>NC_000015.10:78276874-79526874 GCF_000001405.40 Homo sapiens
GTCCCTCTCCCCCTTCCCCTCCTTGTCTGCTTTTCTCTTCCCAGCCTTGTGCTCTTTTTCTCTTTCCTCTCTTGGATTCTTTCAGGTTCCTCCTTTCCTGGGGATAGTAGGAAGCAGAATTATATATCCAAGCCTTGATCGGTTTGTGGAGTTTTAAAATAAACTTATTTGGAAACAATTTCAAGCTTACAAGAAGTTGTAAATATAAAAATAGTCCGAGGCCCATCCATATATGATTTGTCTGATGTTAACATTTTACCCCATTTGGTTTGTCATTTGATCTGTGTCTGTTTTTATTTATTTTTAAAATTTGTTCATTTATTTTTTGAGACAGGGGTCTTGCTCTGTCGCCCAGGCTGGAGTGCAGTGGCGTGATCTCAGCTCGCTGTAACCTCCACCTCAGCCTCCCGAGTAGCTGGGACAGCCACATGCCACCACGCCCATCTAATGTTTGTACTTTTTGTAGAGACGGGGTTTCGCCATGTTGCCCAGACTTGTGTGTGTTTTTATACATATACTTAATCCAGGATTGGGGGAAGCACTGCAGTATAATGCAAAATTTGCATGAAAATTTAAAATAAAACACCTTCCCTTAGGCTTCCATAGACCTCCCAAGGCACCCATTTCCTCCCTCAAGGAGGAGTTTGAGGATCACAGTTTACACGAAGCTCCAGACCACTGGTTGTGAGCTCAACACCCTGGCATTGTGTCCAAGATGCCCTTACGTGGTCACAGCCCAGATCCTAGCCCTCCTGAGCCGGGGCTGGGAAGCATCTGTGTGTAACTTCTTTGGGAAAGCCTGTCCTGTCCAGGGGTGGACTATTTGAGGTCCTGGGCCCCACCAAGAGCCAGCGTTCCTTGCTGTCTCAGCTGACCCCAGCCTAGGGAGCCGGGAGCCAAATGGAGTGAGGGTGGTGGAGAAAGAGCCCCAGAGGGAAGGAAGTGGCAAATCCCAAGAAATCCATTTCCTTCTTTATTATAAGGAAGGGTGGAGCATCCAGGAAACCTGCCGTTGGAGAGTTCTTTGGGGATTTGTTTGTCCTTTTTGTTTTGTTTTTGTTTTTACTTTGTTCTCTTTTGCACCCTCTCTTTTCTTCACCCCTCTTTTGTGTTGGCTTATTTCTTGTTTCTCCATTTTCTCTTCTCCCTCTTCTTCCTCTTTTCTGCTGTTGAAATGCCTTCTTCCCCAGAGCCTTTTAGCCTGTTATGAGCATTGCTGAGGATTGGATTAATTAAAAAAGTGATTTTGGAGCCACACAAGGGTGTGATGGCCCTGCCTGCAGGCAGGTATTTACCTGCCGGGAGAGCCTAACTCGTGGTCTTCTTCTCTTACCTGTAGTTTTCCATGCTTGGTCAGTTTCCCAGCTCCCAGCAAGCTAGAAGCAGAAGCATGGGGAGTAGGGCTTGAGAGCAGCAAGAAGCGACACCTGATAGGAATGGGGAGACAGAAAAACCAGTCATATGTAACTTAACGAAGGGGATATGTTCTGAGAGATGCATTGTTTGGCGATGTCGTTGTGGTGTGAACACCATAGAATGTACTCACACAGACCTAGATAGCATAGCCTGCTACACCCTAGGCTGTGTGGCATAGCCTGTTGCTCCTGGGCTAAAACCTGCACAGCAGGTTGCTGTACTGAATACTGTGGGCAGTTGTAGTACGATGCTGAGTATGTGAGTATCTGAACATAGGAAAGGTGCAGTAAAAGTTTGGTGTAATCTTTGCAACCATCTTCATAAATGTTGTTGACTGAAAGGTCACTATGCTGTGCATGACTGTATTTCTTTTTTTTTTGAGACGGAGTCTCGCTCTGTCGCCCAGGCTGGAGTGCAATGGCGTGATCTTGGCTCACTGTACACTCTGCTTCCCGGGTTCACGCCATTCTCCTGCCTCAGCCTCCCAAGTAGCTGGGATTACAGGCACACACCACCATTCCTGGCTAGTTTTTCTATTTTTTTTTTTTTTTTTTTTTTTTAGTAGAGACGGGGTTTCACTATGTTGATCAACCTGGTCTCGAACTCCTGACCTCGTGATCCGCCCGCCTCGGCCTCCCAAAGTGCTGGGATTACAGGCGTGAGCCACCGTGCCTGGCCATGACTGTATTTCAAAAAAAAAGAATAAACAGGAACACAAAAAGCCAGCAGCCTGGAGCAGTTTAGCTAAGGGGTTGCTGTCCTGCACAGTCAGTAGGCTCTGAAGGCCATGTCTGAACCACAGCCCTGCCTGCGAATGAATCTCAAGGATAGTCATTGGCTTACTTTATTTTTAAAACCTCCTCTTTAAAGATTTCCTCTTGAAGAGACAGCTCACTTTCTACATAGTCCCGTATGGAAGTGGACTGCTGAAGAAATTAGTGTTTCCATTCCCCTCCACCGTCTCCCCCATTTTTTCCGAACATTTCTTTCTGTCTTTGTCCATTTTCATCGCTGAGCTGAAGAGCATGCTTTATCAGAAACCCTTTTGTCCCTTTCCTTTTCCATGCTTAGAGGGAAGTTTCTGACTTGGGAGAACGCCTTAGAGTTCTTGGGGTCTGAACTCCTCTGATGCCTTCCAAAGTCACGTAGCTGTAAGACCCAGCGGGTGCCAGCCGGGAGGGTGACTCCAGCTCAGCAGCATGTATGGAAGTGCATTGTGACCATGAAGGAGTCTGCCAGTGGCCAAGCCACCTAGTGAGCTCCCTACCAAGGAACCTGGGTGTCACCTGCAGGTGGCCAAGAGCCAGTTTTTATGCCAGGCAGGGGACTGGTTGGACTCTATTGAGGCTTCTTCCTGTCTGTGGGGAGCACTCCTGTCCCCCTCGTGGTAGGGATACCTGTCACCCCACAAAGAGGCAGGGTGACAGGTGTTGGCCCCATTTTAGGCAGACTTGGGTGTCATGACTTCTAGTTCACTTGTTTTAAACCTACCTGTGATGGCAGCTGCACCATGCTGCCCTCTTGACACACTGCTGGAGCCCAGAGCACAGGCCAGAGTCTCAGCCTGAGCCCCTTCCCCAGGCAGTACCTGACAAGGATACCTGGGATTGGGGCCAGCTTTCCAGTCAGATGCCACGTTTCCTTTGCCCACTGCCACGGGGCACTAGGGCCTGCCGCAGGCTCTCCCATGAGGGAGAACGACCTCTGCAGGCCCCTCTGCCTTCCTCCTTCCTAATTGACCCTTTCTCTGGCAGGTGAGGTGATAAAGCACGGGGACCTGAGATGCGTGCGCGATGAAGGAATGCCCATCTACAAAGCACCCCTGGAAAAAGGGATTCTGATCATACAGTTTTTAGTAAGTTCACTATGTTTCATTGTCATGGACATATTATTAAATGCCTTAATTGGAAGGGGAAAAAACAGCCACCTTTCTTTCCCACCTCACCCTTTACAGGTAATCTTTCCTGAAAAACACTGGCTTTCTCTGGAAAAGCTTCCTCAGCTGGAAGCTTTACTCCCTCCTCGACAGAAAGTGAGGATTACAGATGACATGGATCAGGTGGAGCTGAAGGAGTTTTGTCCCAATGAGCAGAACTGGCGTCAGCACAGGGAGGCCTACGAGGAGGACGAAGACGGGCCCCAGGCTGGAGTGCAGTGCCAGACGGCATGACGTGGTGCGGGGCAGCGTGGCCCCACCGGACTAGCACATGATGAATGTAAAGTTGGCACAATGAAAATGACATCGCTTTAATGGCCTTGTGTTTGGGATGTCCTGTGTATGTGTTCAGCATTCTTAATTGCTGAGTGTCTTTTTGGCTTTTCTTTTGGTTGTAACTTAAGTTATAGCTTAATTTATATTTAAATGTTTTAAGTATAAATCACCTCTAGTCTGCATATGGAATCTGTTCATTTCTATTTTCAGGATATACTTTTGAGATGTCAGTGATTGCACCAATACTTTGTGCTTCTAGTGGCTTTGCCATAATTCAGTGTCACCAATAAGGCACAGCCCAGTTAGCAGCTTAGCCCCCCTAGCAAACCCCAAGGCACAAAGTGGGCATCCTGACTCATCTCTAGGTCTGTGGTTTCTCCCCTCTTCCCTTGGCAGAGTTATTGAGGGCATGATCTCAGGGCTGCTAAGATAACATTTCTGAGGATTCTAGATGATCCTCTTAAAGAATAAAAGCACATCCGTGGATCGGACATGGCTGCATGTGCCTGCTTAACAGGGCCAACTTAGTTCCTACTGTTCTGTGCCCTTCAGTGGATGGAACGTGAGTGTCTGATCATCTCTCTTGGAAGTTTTCTGAACCTTCCAAGCTCTGTGGTGAGGACAAACCAGTGTTTGAATCATATGCTGATAACTGTTTGCCTGTGACCCTCACACCTTGTTCTTCAGGGTTTTAATGATTTTCTGTTGACAACTTTTGCAATGCTTTCCCACCAAAGTGCTTACTTGTAAAGAAAACTAAATCCTTCTGTGTCCCCGGCAGCCTCAGTGCAGCAACAGAAGCCAAGGGAGAATGCTGCTGGTTTGGCCCATGGCACAGCCAGCTTCTCTGACCAGTAATCCGGGGTGACTTGAGGGTCTGCAAAGGCATAGAACTCCCCAGTGTTTTCCACCTCATTCTCCCAGATTGAGCTCCCTTCCAAAGGATCGTTCCTCTCATTGCACAGCCATATTACAAAGGGTTTCCTGCTCAAGTGATGTTTTGGTAAGAACTTCGCTGAGTTCCACTGTGGATTACAGTTTGTATGGACTACTACTGTAAATTATAGCTTGTTTGGAGGGATATTAGTCATTATTTTATTCATGACAGGTAGACTACAATTCGAACTTAGGGTTACCTCAGTCTTTAGCCATTACTGCTTATTTCTTTTCCCCAAGTCACAAAAAACTTGTAAGCTGCTGGGTTAAAGCAGAGGCCACCTGTCAGATCTACCCTACCCTTATTTGGTTACATGGCACCTGAGAGTTTCACTCAGACCAGGGATCTTCCTTAGGAGGGTCAAAGTGCAGATCAGACCATGCAGGTAAGGTGAACCAGCTGCACGGACCAGGTTCCCGCAAAACATTGCCAGCTAGTGAGGCATAATTTGCTCAAAGTATAGAAACAGCCCACCTGTGCCCACTTTGACCATTGGTGAGGATAGATATAAAATCACTTCTTCCAACGAAGCCTAGGTGAAAATCTATTTATAAATGGACCACAACTCTGGGGTGTCGTTTTTGTGCTGTGACTTCCTAATTATTGCTAAAGAACTACTGTTTAGTTGGTAATGGTGTAAAATTACATTCAGCTCCTTCTTGTCATATAAAAGGAATTTGGAGGGTGTCGCTTAAAATTTTATTCCACCTGTACATTTGTCACTTTAAAATTAAAATTGAGCTGGTATGAGAGATAAGTGGCTTTGCTTTTTCCTTTTTTTGAGAGCTCACATAAACAGTGTTAGGTGCCTGCCAGCTTGCCTCTCATTGGTTGACATAATGGAATGAAGTTTCCACCCTCATGGAGCTTTATTTTGGGGGTGGGGGTGAATGCAAACAAAAAGTGGTAACTGCTATGAAGAACAAGAGGAATGGGAATGAGTAGAAGGGAATGGGAAGAAGGCCTCTACCAGGAGCTGGCATCTGGGCAGAATCCTGGATGCAGCTGGGGAGCAGATGTCCGAAGGTCTGGAGGGAAAACATTCCAGGCAGAGGAATGGCAAGGATGATGTGGTTACAGGAGGGTGAGCAAGGCAAGCAGGAGGGAGAAGTGGGGGGCTATGATAAAGAGTGTGAGCTTTATTCTGAGGGCAGTGAGTGGTTTGAGGAAAAGCACATGACCTGACTCATAAGCATATGAAGTAATGATCAATAAAAAACACGCTTCCAAGTGTTCAGCTACTTACATCTTTCTCATTAACATGAGTCTCAAGGGGGCTGATGAAGAGGAAACTCTGAGGTACAGATACTCTGAAATAACTAAGGCAGGGCTACAGTTCTACAGCATGAGGCACAGGCTTCAGCCTAGGCATTGTTAAGGCAGCAAGAATAGCAGCCTGCCTTCCGATACCCACCTAGCGAGTTAGAGACCTCTCTGAAATTAATAAGGGGAAGGAGGGCTTGGCAGGGGACATCTTTAATACATCAAGTGGAAGGATGCCCAGATAGACAGGAGTACATAATGTTCCTATGCAGTCAAATATACTCTTTCCTTCAGGACTCCATTCTAAAATAGATTAGCTTCTTTATCACAGCTCCGGGGAGCTCGCTGCTGTATCTCACTGCATAAGTCAACTCCCTGGAAGAGTCAGCCTGTATTTCTAAGCTGGAAAGTTAAAGAAATACCTGGATCTCTTGATGGCTAAGGCAGAGATTTGCTCTTAATGCCAATCCCTCTCACTGTTTCACTGGTAATAGGGTAACTGAAAAAAGAAGCATGTTCAAGGACACCAGTGTTTGCATTAAGAAAGCTTTATGTTAAAGTATGAACAGCATTTCCAATAAAACATGAAAAGATTCATATTGTATCTACAAAATTTAAGTCTTTGCTACAATAAATGCTATATTTCTTTTAAACAAGCCTAAGAAGGTAAGGAATGTCATGATCAATCCGTACATTCTCTTTGCAGCATAAGCCTGGAGACTTTGATGTTTAAATTGGACAATCATAGATGTGAATTTCCTGGTCATCTCCAACAGACACAATTTTTGAACCATTTCCATTGTATTTTACTCCCCAGACCTGTAAATTTAAAAAAAGATAGTTCTACAAATGCCTTTATTCTTTATAATATTTATGAAATGAACATCCTTATTTTCTCGTTATTCTGAATCTACCAAAACTGAGATGAGGATGTTCTTGTACTTTCTAAATCAGTGAGAATGGAGGCTTTAACCGAGCACCTTCCATTATTGCTATTTAATTAGAATTCCTGCCCCTTCCCATACTCCAAAAAAAAAAAAAAAAATCATTTTTAAATACAGTACTAATCAAGACTATCTACAACCCTTTCAAAGAGTCAGAATCCTGAAGTGTAACCTAATGCCAGGAAGACGGAAGCCATAAGAGACCAACATTTATGCTTCCAGGAAGAAAGAGCCCCACAACTACCCCGAGGTCACTGCCTATAGGGAAAGTCACAAACTGCGCTCCTCAGCTGACCCCTTGTGTCCGCCCCCCACAGTCAGTAATTCTCACTCTGTTATTAGTGGCCTATGGAGCCTGCCTGTCCCCAGGAGCTAGACAACATGATATTGTGGACCATAGATTTTTATTTGCTATGTGTTAAATTAACTGATTCACACCTCCTTCCCAGACAGAATTGATGTGGTTGGAGTTTCTCTAATCATAAATAACTTCCTGATTATTAGGAGGTGATTCTGGGTGGTAAGCCTGTCACCCTACTCTGATTTTAGTGTTGGGATTGGGCTGCATGATGGCCTTTCACTCCAGCCTCTGACACAGCACCGCAATGATCCATACATACAAGGAAACACAGCTAGCCAGGACTTACTCCCTGAGTAAGATGCTTAAATCCAGAAGTGGAATATCAAGATAGAACCCCCTCAATTTTGTTGGGACAATTTAAGTTGAAAAATAAGCATGAACAATGTTAGTTAACTTTAAGTTCCATTTCAAAGAGGAGAAATCTATAGGACCATCTAAAAATATTTAAAATATATTAAAAGCCAATATTATATTGCCATGGACATTTTATTTTTTATGCTCAGTTCCCCAAGACCTTACAGTGTGGTTAGGACCAGCAGCCTTGGCCTCACCTGGAAGCCTGTTAGAAATGCAGAATCCCAGGCCCTCTGCCAGACCTAGTGAAGCAGCATCTGCATTTTCACCAGGTTCCCAGGGGATACGAGCACACATGAAAGACTCAGCAGTATTGCACTAGAACACCTTTGCTATTTCACATATTCACCTTGGCAAAGATAAAGTTGCTTGTGAGAACAGTTTCCTTTTAAAGACTGAAAAGTTATCAATAACACTAAAGCCAAAAAACTTGTATGAATTTCCAGCTTCTACTATATTAAAAAAAAAAAAATCACATCTCTTCTTTGGACAGTCCCAAAAATGACAAGCGATGATTGTGTTTAAGCAATGGAATCTCCTGAAGAGGAAGGTCCTTGGTGAGCCTGCCATGGCGCAGCAGCCCCCAGGAGAGGGCCCCAGACACCAGCTGCAGCAATTTCCAAAGACGGCATTTAAAGGCTGTGGGGCTAACACCATGTTTTCCAGCCTATGTGGGGATATGCCTCGTGAGTTGCTAGGCTGACAGCACATCCCAGCCTCTGCACCCCAGACTCTGCACAGGAACTCTGGCTACATGGATGACTGAGCAGATAGAGCAGCTCAGGCCCAGGCATCTACTGGTATCCACAGCTCAAGCAACAAGGTCAGGAAAAGAAAATCTCTTTGGTACAATGGTCAAACAACCCCGACTATCTAAAGATGAAATAATAATGCCATACCTGATCCTGGTGATCAAAGAAGGTGTGAACACAAGTCCTCGTTCCAACATCCCAAACTTTTACACTTTTGTCAGACGAACTATTTTAAAAAGTGAACATTAGTATCGGTTTGAAGTTGGAAGGACTTCGACCAAAAATCCTTTGATGACTTACATTCTTCTAACTTCAGACCCCCCAACCCCATGCCTCGGTACAGGAAATGGCCAGGTATCAGCATCATTGGGTGGCTTTCTCTCCTCACAGGGTAGCCATTTTCCTGAAATTGTGATCTGCCTGGCCCTCATATTAATTGTTCTCCAGGAGTCTCAGACACAGCTACCTATTTCCAGATGGGAGGGAGGCCTGTTAAAGCTTCAAAACCAAGGCTCGCAGGAGGCCTCTAAAGCACTGTGCAATGCCTTCAAGTTGTCCATCTCCTGCTTTCCAACTGTCTTGGCCATCCCAGGCCTGACCAACACTGGGATCTATAAACAACATTTTACAAACATTTACATATTTTAAGTTACCATTGGAACACAAGTCTACCTTAGAGTCACTTTGGTAGAAGCCTCAATTTATAATGAAAAAACTAAGAGTTTTACTGTTTAAAAGGATTACTTGTTGACTTTTGTTCCAGCTAAGGTCAACTAACATCACTAAATAAAAATTTTAAGAACTGCAGAAAAGAAAGGCTAACTGAATAAAAAAGGGTCAAACATCTTTAAATGTTAAGGCAATCTATACAAGAAGACTGCTCTCATCTCCCCAGCATTTTAGAAACTGCTAAGAATCATTAAGTACCTGGAAACAAAGTGAGTGTCATCAGGACAGAATGCAACGTTCAGCACCCAGGAGGCATGGCCGCTCAGCGTGCCAGCCAAATTGGCATGTTGTCTGAAATGGGAAAGTTTCAAACAAAATTGAGATGTTAATTTCTACAGTATAATCACTGAAGTGGAAAGTATATTATTAACTCTGCCAATAAGCTGGACCAAATCTGCTATCCTTATAATGACCATGAATACTATATCAAAAATTCCTCTTTCAATGAAGTAGCTTCATGCATTAGAGACAAATTTTAATAGTAGCATTAACCCATAATGTGTTGACACCACCAAAAGCCAAGAATAAAATCCTTCACAAGCAAAGAGCTGAAGCTCAAAATGAACAAAGAACCACACTACAGAGGCTTCGCAAGCCAACCCCTCAGATGAGGAAATTGAGAACCAACGGGGCAAGGAAGCCATCTGAGGAGAAGGGCAGGTTCAGACTCCTGCCTGCACCAGCAGCCTTTCCGTATGGGGCCAGTGCTCCCAGTCCAAGGAAAGTGTCAAGATGTATTCATTATGACAGATGCAGCTTGGAGAGACCAGTTTAAACCTAATCAAGAACAAGACAGGTCTAATTACAACAGCTATTTTCACTTTTTTAATAAAAATGAAACCCAACCACCTCTGGCAGGAGAACCACCATAAGACCTAACTGAGGTCAGCAATTTTACCCCTAAACACAGACCTCAGCAGAGTGGAGCAGACCTCAGTTAGGGGCTAGGGGGCAGGTGGGATACAGTGGGACCATGGGAGGGTAAAAAGTCCTGGGCCTTAGTAAAAAGATCAGTAGTTGATAGGGGCTCAAGGCAGGAGGAAGGGATGATTTGGTAGAGCAGGGGATTTTTAGGGCAGTGAAACTATTCTGCGTGACACTGTAGTTAGGGGTGGCTACACATAATTTTGTCAAAACTCATAGAATGTACAACACAAAGAGTAAACCCTAATGTAAACTACAGACTTTAATTAATAATAATGCATCAATATTGGGTGAAAAAAACATTCTTGGGTCTTCATTCAGTACCACCTCCTTGGGCAAATCAACCACCTCAGCTTGGGTTTCTCATGTGCAAAATGGGGACACTAATCTGTGCTGCTACCTCATTGGTTGCTGGGAGGATCAATAAAACAGTGGCAATAGAAATCATAAAGTCACAAATGTAAGGAACTGCTGCATTTATACTGCCTCTGCCACTAACAGGCAAGTATAACTCTATAGAGACATCTTCCCCTCTGGGCTACAGCACCCTCACTCAGTTACAGTTAAAAACTGCAGTTAGAATTCTATGTCTAGCTGATAACCTTTTGCCAGAAAAAACTGCATTTTAACCAGAAGTGGGCTAGAAGGAGCAGTGTTTCTACTGTGAGGTTTAAACTCCCAAGCAACTATCACAGGCCCCTGAAAGGACACACATGGATGGTCAGGGTTGCAGTACATGCAGGTGGAGGAGGTCTTGGCACCCATGGCTAAGGTTGGAGTGTGATATGTACATGCAGTGGATTAGAATGCCATGTTCGGGAGCAATGAGCCAGAGGCATGCCTGGCAGTGAGAGCTGACCATAGCACCGAGTCATAGTATCAAGAACACAGATCCAACACATTACAGGGGATACCTCAGTGGGGAATAGGAGTCAGGACTAAAAATGATGGGGGAAAAGAAGAAGACATAGGGGTCCGCACAGATTTACAATGACGGCTGTGAATGAAAGAGGATGATTAACTTGCTTCTATACTCGCAGTCAAGGGCCAAAACCAAAAACGCTCCCATCTAGGCCTGTAGCAGGGCGGCTTATAAACTGACTGCTCCCTAACTAGGGCAGAGGCATGTCTGCTAGAACAGCCCTACCCTTGAAAATGGATGCTCTAATTTCTTCCTGTCCCCAGGGGCCAGCTACAGCCCATGGCTCCATTTCCTCATCTGTATATTACTTACCTATCCCAAAGAATTTGAAATCAGTAAGCTCACAAAAATCAGGCTGCCTGAGAAAAAGTAGCAAGTATCTGATCCTACCAGGGAACCCATGCACATCCTCCTCCAAGCAGCCCTTGAGGACACACACTAAAAATGGGCGCTGAACGGGGGAGGACCGCCTGGGGAGTCAAGGTGTCTGATGTGACTTGAGCACAGGTCTTTACTAGGGCTCCTCCCTAGGGCTCCTTGTAACAATAAAGGGACAAGATGGGCATCAGTAGTAAGGGAGATGCCTTTAAGGTAACTTACACATCATAGATCTTGATGTAGCCATCATCTGAAGCAGTGACAAGGAGCTGGGAGTCCGGGGAAAAGGTCAAGGAGCGAATGGGCATGGCATGGCCTGAAATTCATAAAGGCCCTTGTTAATCTGGTGAACCACTGCCTCCTCACTCAGCTTCCCACTGACAATGCCCCTTTTAATGATTATGAGCCACTGAGTTGAAATGCTCAGGTGCTTCAGGCAGAAAAGCAAGAGTTCTGATTGGGCCTTTCCTCTTAATGTTCTCAAAACATCCACATAACCCCAGTATCTCCTCCCAGAGCCATTTCTCCTTAGTTCCCTTCCCTGCCCTCAGCATACATTGCTTTAAATAACTTTTCTACTACAAATATGGCCACACAAGGATATATACATTGCTCCTGATTTGTAAGGTTGAACAAATTAAGGTATTATTTCCCTATCAAATCCTTTATTATAGTATAAAGGATAAACTATAGCAATGTGAGGACGTAATAAATTCACTTGATTAGAATTCAAAACAGCACAACAGTACGCATAATAAAGTCTCCCTCCAACCTACCCCTGTTCTTTAGCTACCCAGTCCTCCTTTCCAGAGGCCACCGGTGTGGACAGTGGGCACAATACTTTCATCCACCTTCAAATTATCAACAAAAAGTTGTTTCCAATCACAAAGTTCATCAGAATCCAAAATAACAGAAATGAGACATTCATATAGCAAATATATATTAACACACACATACATAATGTGATAGATTACGATATAATAAATAAAAAGTAAGTCTGTTCACCCAAACAAGCACTTAACACTGTTACAAGAACTAGTATGTCTAGGTTAAATCTATAGTGACAGGCCAGGTATGGTGGCTCATGTCTGTAATCCCAGCACTTTGGGAGGCCAAAGCAGGAAGAAATCTTGAAGCCAGGAGTTAGAGACCAGTCTGGGAAACAGCAAGACCCCATCTCCTCAAAAATTTTAAAAACTAGCCAGACATCGTGGTGTGCACCTGTAGTCCCAGCTACCCAGGAGGCTGAGGTGGGACGATCCCTTGAGCCCAGGAGTTCAAGGTTACAGTGAGCTATGATCACACCACTGCACTCCAGCCTGGGAGCGAGACCCTGTCTCTAAAAGAAAACAAACAAACAAACAAAAAAACAAAAAAACAAAAAAAACTATAGTGACAAGACTAAAACCTGGAGGCATTTCAGTTTTCCAATTGAGATTGATATTTTGTAAATCTAATGCCCATTTGCCATTTAATGGCATTTCAATGAAAGAATAATTCTTCCTTTGTGATTTGATAACCCAGTTTGTCAAAATAAGATGATGATATATACCTTCCAGGGTATGCAGAAGTTTTCCAGTTGCAATATCAAAAATATTGATGATTCCATCTATGGCTCCACTGGCTAGGTATTTCCCATCAGGACTCTGTTCAGAGAACATATGGAGAAATTAGCACTTTCAGACTCCGTGTTGTTAAGCTGTCCCTACCAAACACAAGCAAACCTCCTGCTATCTACAGGTCTAACTGGCTACTTGGCAAACCACACCAGTGAGACAGCAGCTGCCTGACCAGACCAAGACAGAATCTGTGGCAAGGACTGCAACAGGCTGGAAGGGTAAACTGAAAGAATCAGAAGGAGAACAGAGAGCAATGTTTCCTTACATATGCAATACTAAGAATGAATTTTCCTCTCGTGTCCAAAGAATATTCCTTTTTCCCACTTTCCACACCAAAAATGTTCACTTTCCCGACATGAGTTCCTGTGGCCAGATACTGGGAATCAGGAGAAAAGGCCAAAGTCCAGGCATCCACTGAACAGAAAAAAGAAGGACAAAAATACAGTGTGAAAAGACTTGGCCTTAATTTTAAAAACTAAAGTTTTACCAAAGGATACATCTTTTTAAATCGGAGTAGCAGTGTCCTGATTCAGAAAATTATGTTGTAAAGATGCTAATTCTTTATCAAGTTTAAATTTAGTTTAAGGGTTTCTTAAATTTTTAATTAAAATAGGACAATATCAAGTGTTAGCAAGGATGTGGAGAAACCAGAGCCTTCATACACTGGTGGGAATGTAAAACGGCACAGCCACTTTGAAAACCAGTTTGACAGTTTCTTAAGTGAAAACAAACACTTACCATGATACTCAGCAATTCTACTCCTAATGAAAACATATGTCCACACAAAGACTGGTACACTCATGGTCTTCGCTTCCTCCTACTTCCTTACTTCTCCACGACTGGGGATTGTCTCTCTTCTCTTTTTCTCTTCCTGTGTGGTGGTTCAGATTCTCCATGCATATTTTCAAGATAGGTAGAAACTAAGTGTCTATTTTCCCTACATTCATTAGACCCAAATTCATCCAAGGAGTTTTACCTTCAGATGAATTTAGCTGCTCTTTAGCTGTCAATAGCAATGCTTGCTTTTGTTACTGGACCAAATAACTGTTGGCTGTTTAATGGCCTGGTCTAGTTTTATGCAGAGTCCTATCCAAAAAGAAAATAAATCCAACTCTCAGACCCCATTCTTCCTTTTTTTTTTTGAGATTGAGTCTTGCTCTGTCACCTAGGCTGGAGTACGGTGGCATAATCTCGAGTTCAAGCTATTCTCTTGCCTCAGCTTCCTGAGTAGCTGGGACTACAGGTGCACACAACCATGTCCAGCTAATTTTTTGTATTTTTTAGTAGAGACAGGGTTTCACCATATTGGTCAGGCTGATCTTGAATTCCTGACCTCAAGTAATCCACCCGCCTCAGCCCCACAAAGTGTTGGGATTACAGGTGTGAGCCACCACACCTGGCCTCTTCTTTTTCTTTCATAACAGTAACCTTTAAAACTTTGCCACACTTGGAGAATATCCAGTAAAAGGTACTGTTTATCAGAGAAAGTGAGCTAGATACATACGCCATCCTTTTACTTGGAACCAATCCAGCACTGATTTCTTCAGCTGCCTTGTGCCCAGGGCTACAACCAGCATGGAATAACACCAGCATTATGAGCCCAGGGAAAGCTTAGGCGCCCAAGATGAAAAGGTAGAAACAGTTCTGTCTCTTCCTCTTTTCTTAAGACCATGCTTATATATTGGAGTCTTAATAGACTTTGCAGGATAGTTTGGGGACCCAAGTCCTCTGTAAGTAATGTAAGCAGGGTAAGGGTACATGTAAAGACAACCATCAGGGGAGTCAGGGTGCGTCTGGGTAGCTTTTTCCAAATACATATCCCACCCCACGTACTCTGAACACTATGATTCAGTGGATCCAAAATATGGACTGGGCAGGCATATTCTTAAAAGAGCTCCAGTGGTAAGAATTACAGACAAGAAATATTGCTTCTGAGGGAAAATGCACTCAGTTTCCAGACAACCCAGCCTCTTTAAAAACTCTGGGACCATCATTCTTTCCAATACAGGAACAGCCTAGAGTGGCTACTGAGCATAACTGGCGGGAGGCGAATCCATCCAGGGCACCAATCAAGGGAACTGTGTTCATGGAACACCTAAGCAGCTCTTCTATCATCAACCCAAAAAGGGGTGTGCCAGAGAAATGCCAGGCTATCTGCACCCTCTAGCAGTTACCACCCATTCTGGCAGAGCAGGTTCTGCTGGGGAATGTTGTGCAGCCATTTATAAGTAAATGTGAAGTTCAAAAGAATCCTGAAATGTCCTCTGCTGCTCCACATTAGTCAGCCTATGACATCATTAATTTCTGTCATCTCAGATGATGTTTACTGAGGCTGATGGACAAGATTATGCTGTTCTACAGTACTTAAAACAAAAAAAATTGATGTTTCTTAAAAGTTTCATATGTATCACATACCAAGAATCACACCCTTTAATCAAAATTAGTAGAGATGACCATGATACAGATCTATAAGGACCCCATGCTTTACATTCTAGGTTTCCGTAAGGCAGTGAATGAATCAGTTCAGAATATGGCAAATAAAGAACCTCTGGAAAATGCAAAATACAGGTCAACGCCAAACCAGCAGTTTTGAAATCCAAAAAGCTCTGGAAACTACAAGCTTTTTCTACAGGTTTACTACCAAAATTCATTTGGCAGCAAAATCTAACCTGAATTGACATAAGGCTATTTATAGCCTTTATTTATCTCCCTTAGTGTAAACATTCATGTTTACTTGCAGAGGTATTAGTCTTTCATTACAGTGCTGTTTCCAGCCCCACTGAGGGTATTATGTGAAATACAGTTCATGCACACATTATCACCCCTCTCAAATCCAAAAAATTCTGAGCTGTAAAACACATTCTATCCCTAAAGATTTTGGAAAAGAAATCATGAACCTCTATTATCTCCCCTACAAGTAAAACTCTTACCAGGTCCTGCATCTATGGACTTTATCTGTTTGCCATTTTCCAAGTCCCAAAGACGAATATGAGCATCAAGAGAGCTGGATGCAGCAATGGGCAGGGTGTGGCTGATGTCCACAGACACCACTCCCAGCTGATGTCCCTCCAGACTCCACTGTAGGTCCAGCCTCTCATCACGCCTTCAACAGGGGACAGAGAAATGGATTTCTTCACAAAGAACACACTTTACCTGGCATCTGAAATTCTGGGTCCCTGTGACTATGCAATACCAATGGTCTATGAAATACAGAATCAGAGAAGAGTTAATGAGCTACAGAACACCAAATGCTGCCAGGTTTTAAATGTAGGACTTTAAGATTTTTTTTTTTTAACTTTAGGGCTTTAATACAGAGTAACAGGAAAACAAGTGGGAAAAATAAGCTGCTGTTTTATACCACCATATTGCTATTGCTTTCTTGCCTAGAAAAAAGTATTTCCCGGACTGCAACTGGAGAGTTCAGAAGCAAAACCTCAGCCCCCAATTTTCCAAGGCTGTATGTTAGGGGAGAGGCACTCACCATTTCCAGACCTTCACCAGGTCATCTAGGGAGCCTGTGACCACTGTCTCAGAGTTTTCCTTCTTGTTTGTCCCCCAAGCAACTGACCAAATGGCATCATCATGGGCTAGAATGGAAAGTGCTTCATTTATAAAGTCTTCTTGCATACGACTTAATGAAGCCGAGATACTGTTCAACAATTGTGAGGTAACATTTATTTGTATTTGCTTTACTATTTTACAAAGTGCTTTCCTATACAGCTTTTATTGAAATTTTGGGGCCACATATGAAAATTGGAGGTTCTGAAGAAGCTACTTGCCCTAAATCTCATGTTTACCAGGCGACAAGGTAGTACTTCGGACTCTAAATCCAGTGTCCTTTCTTTTAGCATGCTATCTGGTATATAGGAGTCTACAATGGCTATCACTTGGCTAAAAACAAGTAAAACCAGTGGGGAAGACCCCCTCCTACCAAGAAAAGGCCTAAACCCGGTAACAGATACTCCGAAAAGATCTTTCGAAACAAGCAGGCAGTTCAATTCTAAACAGTATAGATCTAAAAGAAAATACCTACTATAGCCTCCATATATTAAGTTGCCTTTCCCCACAAGTATCTTTATTATGGTTAATGGGCCAATTATTACATTACAACAATCCTATGAAGTGGGTACTATTAATATCCTCATTTTATAGACAAGGAATGAGAGGTGCTAGGATTCAAATCCAATCTCTATTAATTAAAGTCTACCTTAAGTCTAAGTCTGTAAGCTGCATATTTGGTAGGCCATGCTGTTGTATGTGCAGACCCAGTGTGGATGTAAAAACGTGACAAGTGCACATGGAGGCTTTACCCCTGCCTGGCAACAATTCTCCAGCGATACCTTCCCAAAATATGAATATAAAGGCATTAAACTTAAAACAGCTGTGCACCACAGACAGCGTTGTGGCTTCCATTTCAAACCTCACCTAACTCAAGCCTGCTAACTTGCCACCTGGATGACAATAGCTACATATAAGGTAGTTGACTGGCATGCCCAATTAGCCTACTAGTTACTTACACTAGCTAACCTGAATGATGCTTTTGGCTTAAACGTCAAACTACCTCCATGTCACCTACTTAGAGAGCAAGAGCTTTTATTAGGCATTCCACAAATTCCTTAGGCCTTCTCAAACTCATCGAGGCTATAGTGAAGAAATGAGATGGGTGAGTAGCCCATGCACAAACATGGCTCCTTTTTGGGTACAAAGCTCTGTACCACTGGTCAGTTACAATCCCAGCCCACTCTGACCTGCCACCTGCTCTCCCATCCCTGCCACTGCCACTGCTGCACAGCTCCCAGCCCTCCCCATGCACTCGGTGGCCTCAAGAGAAACTCATTTCACTATTATAGGCTTCACTTTCATTAAGGGCCAAAGCAAGTTCTGAGTTCAGAAAAAGGCTCACGTTCACCTCCCCAGATGAGCCGGCATTAACAGAGTTTTGAGCCTCAAAGCATTTCCTTCTTCCACCTCAGCAGCTGGGAAGCTCCATCATGTCTTCCTCAGGTGGAAAAATTTTCCTCAGCCTAGAATTCCCCAACCTATCATGATGACTGCTTTTTTTTTTTAGCTGGTTGTTCAGGTTTTTGTTGTTGTTGTTGTTGTTGTCTGTTTTTTAAGAGTATTTGTTTTCAGCTGCCAATTCTTCTGCAAAGTGAGTATACTTGAAAACTGCATGTCTGGTCAGCATGACAAAAGTCTTAAACCAGGGACAACACAGTTTTTTTCACAGATGAATTGCTTAAACAGGCAGGCTACTTACCTTGCTCTTGTTTGAAGAGAATACCGTACTAAAAAAGAACAGAAGCCACATTAAACCCATGGTCAGATTTCAGATGTCTCACATTGCCTCCAGAAAGCACTCCTCCCCGAGTAGACAGAGTCACCACAGTGTTAGTTACTTCCTCTGCTGTCAACCTGGCCATCCCGCAAGCTCCTTGATTCCCATTCATGCAAGATTTGTACAGTCATATCAGAAAAAAATTCTTAAAGAAACTGACATTCTCCCCTCCTTCCTACTACCCAAACTCACTCAACAAGAGACCAATAAATTATGTTTTCTTTTTCTGTTCTGATCACCAAGGAAGCTCAAAGTCCAGTTTGTAGCTTAAATTTTGCAGCTGCAATAAGAACACACAGCCTGCCTAACCGTCTATTAACTTTGTCCCTAATCTTATTACAAAGATATGTTTCTCCTGTTCTATCTCCTATTCTGATCTTTTTTTTTTTTTTTTTGTACAACATCTTTTAAGCTTCTTCTATTACTCACTAAATTGTGGTAAAGACTTGGATGAACCAATCCTCCTCTCAGTATTTGCATTTCACTAGTCCCACCTAACACTGTGGTGACTAGGTACCCAGGGTCACCCAGCTCTTTAGGAGCCAGGCAAGAATGAGATGCTAGTTTCTTGACTACACATCCAGAAAACCTACTGGACTTGAACTTGGCAAAGAGACCAATTGATGTTTTTCCCTTCAACACAGGTCTTACCTGGTTGGTCATTTCCTTAACCAAGGATCAAGGACAAAAGGCCAGACAGCTCTGTGGAAACAACACCAGGATTTCAGTGAGGGGGTGTCATCAGGATAGAAGGCACACAGGAAGTTCCCCTTGACCAAGAAAATAAGGCAACTCTTTATTATGAAGTTGTTCTGACACCCTTCTATGGATCAGTCCCTGGAACCTCCTTCGCACTCCCTACCAGGTGGTATGGTCTTCTTTCTTCCTCTGAACCTAGGGACTCAACTAACAGCTAATTCTATCCCATGGTTTCTTCACCTCAAGTGTGACTGCAGAGAGCGACCAGTCTCTGTCCTTTCCTGCTCTTTAGAGAGAAAAAAACCACAGCTCCTTTTAATATTAAATATTATTTATTAAAAACAAACAAACAAACATGGGGGAATCCAAAGATGGCAAAGTTCTTATTTTACATGCAAAAGTCTCAACCAAAAATGCCTTTAAGAGCCAACAGGCAGGTAAATAAGGGCAGAAGCTGGAGGGAGACACGTGTCAAGAGATTGAGAACATCCTGGCTGACATGGTGAAACCACGTCTCTAATAAAAATACAAAAATTAGCTGGGTGTAGTGGCGCACACCTGTAATCCCAGCTACTCAGGAGGCTGAGGCAGGAGAATCACTTGAACCTAGGCAGCGGAGGTTGCAGTGAGCTGAAATTGTGCCACTGAACTCCAGCCTGGGTGACAGAGCGAGACTCCATCTTAAAAAATAAAAATAAAAAATAAAAAAAAAAGGATAGATCTAATTTCTCAGGCTACATTAAGGGCTAATGGTTCTTATTTCTTTGTGTGTGCCAAAGACCCCCTTTGGCGGACTTTTTTTTTTCGAGATAGGGTCTTGCTCCATCACCCAGACTGGAGTGCAGTGGCACAATCATGGTCAATGCAGCTTCAACCTCCCAGGCCAAGTCTTGCTCCCACCTCAGCCCGAGTGGCTGGGACTACAGGTGCGTGCCAACATGTCTGGATATTTTAATTTTTTGTAGAGATGGGGTCTCCCTATGTTGCCTAGGCTGGTCTTGAACTCCTGGGCTCAAGCAATCCTCCTGTCTTGGCCTCCCAAAGTGCTGGGATTACAGGTATGAGCCACCAGACTCAGGCTCAGGATGTCTTTACAGAAAATACACAGGTTTAGAAATGAAACCAATTACAGTAGGTTCTCATTATTCACAACAATTATGTTCTATGAAGTCGCTACAGACACTAAATTATCCAACACAGAACCACTGTTCCTTGGGGAAACAGGTTCCTGAAAGCCTCTGGGCACATTCTTGTCAACCAATCAATACATAATCATGTTTTATGTGTGTTTATGTTTAAAGGCACTTACTGAATATACATTAGTAATTCATTAATACTGAACTCATGCCTAAACAAAGCTTATCTAACACACATATTTTCTCCATAAGACAAATCACAATCTTCTTGCATTTAGAAGCACCTCAGCACTATGCTTGGGGGCTATCTCAAACAGTGGAATCACCGACAAAAAGCACAAAGATGAGAAAAATGTAGCACCAAAGACTGCAAAAATGACATTTGCTTACAATATGAGAGTTGACAAGAAGGCAGTGTCACCTTGTTTGACTTCAGTTGAGAACATGTGCATCAGGCAACTAAAATTTTTCACGTGAAAAAATGTCATGTCTTCCAAAGACCACAAAAGCATTGTAAGTATTAATTTGAGGGCTACAGACAAATTTTAGTAAGTAGGTGAATTCATAAATACAGAATCCACAAATAATGAGGATAGACTGTATGCTAAAATTTTATCAAAATACAAAAACATATGTGCTTCTTTACTGACACATTATATATGTGATCTAGAAGCAAATTTAATAACTACCATAATTTCGAAGTTGCAATGAGCTTACACAATATCATGATATGAAAATATCTATAATTTATATTCATAACAAAGTCACACTGCTAATAATGTGATTTGTTGCCTACATTCACAGTGGAAGAAAATGCTAAATTTCAGTTGGAGGTTAGGAAACATAAAGATGCAATTTTTCCTCTCAGCCAAGTTCACGGCCCTCGCAATTCTACCCATTGGCAGTTTAAGGGACCACACAGTTAAGGCATCCAGGTTCAGGTTACTTTCTTTAAATCTGCCAGCCTAAAAAGCTGCCGAAGGTTTTCCAATAACAGGAAATCAAACAAACAAACAATTTATAACTAATCCTTGCCTATGAAGATCTCAAATTGGTAGTGTTTTGTTTTGGTTTTGTAAAGACAAGTTCTCATTATGTTGCCCAGGCTGGTATCAAACTCCTGGCCTCAAACGATCCTCTTGTCTTGGCCTTCCAAAGTGCTGGGATTACAGACAGGTTGGTAGTGTTTTATTCATTTGTGACCCATGAACAGGGTTCTTTCTGCCCAGGGTAGGAAAGACAGGAAAGTGCTCAAGCCAGTTTGGCTAATGGGAATGGTATTCAACCTCTGCTTCAGCACAGCCTTCTGCCTGCTGAAGCACAGGCTTGTCCTCTTCCCTGTCATTCTGGGCCTCACATTTGGCAATGGATAGAAACAAAAAAAGGAGGAAGGCTTGCGGTAAGCCAGCTTCCAAAAACCCGGGCTCCAAAAGACAAGGGTGTGATTCTATCAATGAGTGCACATTTGAGGATGTACAATGAATCCGGTCCTATTTTAAGTAATACACAAAGATTTAGCTCACTGAAACCTCATAACCCCGCTTACTAGGTACAGTAGTTCTTTAGCTGAGGTTTTGATTTCCACAGTTCCAGAGGTCAACCGTAGTCCAAAAATAGGTGAGTAGAGTGCAGTAAGATATTTTGAGAGAGACCACATTCACATACATTTTATTACACTGTTATAATTCTATTTTATTATTATTGTTGTTATTCTCTTATTGTGCCTAATTTACGAATTAAACTAAGTAATCACAGGTATGTATGTGTAATCTGTATGAGAAAAAACACAGTATAGATGCTCCTCAACTTACAATGGGGTTACTTCCCAATAAACCTATGTAAAGTTGAAAAATTGTAAGTCAAACCACGGTAAGTCAGTCAGGGTCCTTCACTATCCAAGATTTCAGACATCCACTGGAACGTACACCCCGCAGATAAGGGGGGAACTACTATTTTTTTATTATCAGTTCCACTTTTCTAGTAAGAAAAGGGAGGCTTAGAAGCGGTTAAGGAAGCTTCCCCAAGGGACACTAAAAGGTGGATACAAGCTATAGTATAGGCTACCAAGATACACTACCTCTTACTTCAGGGTCTTATGAAGGTCAGAGCTAAGAGACTTTAGACCTTAGCCCTCTCTTGCCATCTTCTCTCTTTGGGAAACTTTTCCCTAAATTTCCTAGGCAGAATTCATCACTGACTCAGTGTTTCCAAGGAACACTACAGATGCCTCTATGAAACTACTCAGGCAAGTCAACAGCCCACAGTATTGCACGGTACTTGGCGTAAAGCGAACCCAGCCTCTGTCTGTACCCGTCCAGTGATGTCTGTATCTGTCCAGCACGCTACCTAAGACAGCGTGGCCCACTACTGGAAAACTTCGGTTAATACAGCCCTCCCAGCTACGGATAAATGATCTCCTCCGCAGAGAAACCAGCCCTAATCTCGATACTGCCCAGAACATTCTCAGGACGCAAAAGGAGGCCACCCACGGGCCTCCCCCACTCCCCTCAGGCCCCGTACACCGAGGAACAGCCAGGGCAAATGGAGCCATGGAAGCCACCCTCAGGCCCCAGGGCCTGGAGCATCCCTGAACGGACCTGCTTACAGGCAGCCTCGGGCCCAACCTCGCTCACTCGCCCTCTGGCCTGGACTGTCAACGGCCCTAATGACCCCAATCCCCAACGGCCCTGCGCTCCAACTCACCACTGCACTGCCAGGCTGCACGTCGGAAGCCGGGCTCCGCGCGACTGCGACGCGCAAAGATGAGCTATCGAAGGGGCGGGGCATCGCGCCGGCCCCGCCCTCACGGCTCGGAGCACTCCGCAGCGCCCGTTGCCGTCGCTATGGCGGGCGCGGGGCAGACGCCGACGAGGGTGGGCGGAGAGAGGAGGGAGGAAGCCAGGTCCTGCTTCCAGAGGAGTGGTAGTTGGAAATTTGCTTCCGGAAGCGCAGACGTTTAGCTTCCGGCAACTGCAGGTTTAGAGGTTTGTGTTGCAATTTCATTTTGTACTTTTGAGATTGGACTAAAGCTAATAACTTCTGTTGCTGAAATAAATTCAGTGAAATCGAGCTTTGTCTTTCAAACTGCTAGTCATGACCCATTAACGTGACAGATATCAGTTTAATAGGTTGTCAACTGACTTTTTTTTTTTTTTTTTTTGAGGGCCAGGCAGAGTAGCTCACGTCTGTAATCCCAGGACTTTGGGAGCCGAGGTGAGAGGCTTGCTTGAGCTCTGGGTTTCCAGACCAGCCTGGGCAACATAGCGAGAGACCTCGTGTCTACTAAAAATAAAAACAATTAGCACATGCCTGTAGTTCCAGTTACTTGGGAGGCTGAGGCAGGAGGATCGCTTAAGCCCTGGAGGTTGAGGCTACATTGAGCCGTGATGACGCCACTGCACTCCAGCCTGGGGAACAGAACTAGACCCCGTCTCAAAAAAAAAAAAAGAGATGGGGCTGGGTGTGGTGGCTCATGCCTGTAATCCCAGCATTTTGGGAGTCGGAGTGGGTGGATCACTTGAGGTTAGGAGTTTTGAAATCAACCTGGCCAATATGGTGAAACCCCGTCTCAAGTAAAAAAAAAAAAAACAGAAACAAAAACAAAATTAGCCGGGTGTGGTGGCATGTGCCCGTAATCCCAGCTACTTGGGAGGCTGAGGCAGGAGAATCGCTTGAACCCTGGAGGCAGAAGTTGCAGTGAGCACAGATCACACCACTGCACTCCAGCCTGGGCAACAGAGTGAGACTGTCTCGAATAACAACAACAAAAAAAGATGGGAAGAGGCTCATGCCCCATTATGGAGGCCGCCCTGTGGCTCAGATGTGGTGGCTCACTCCTGTAATCCCAGCACTTTGGGAGGCCAAGGGGGGAGGATTGCTTCTGGCCGTGATTTCAAGACCAGTATGGGCAACATGGCGAGACCCAATCTCTACAAAAAATTTTAAAGTTACAGACGCAGTGGTGTGCACGTGTAGACCCAGCTGCTCAGGAGGCAGAAGTGAGGATCACTTGAGCCCAGGAGTTTGAGGCTGCAGTGAGCTATGATTGGGCCACTGCACTGTAGCCTGGGTGACAGAGTGAGACCCTGGCTCTAAAAAATATTTTTCGAAAAAACTAGTTTTGAAGTTCAAATATATATATAGAGAGAGAGACGGAGGACTATTAGACCACTTACAACTAGGTGAAGTTCATCTTTGGGGGCTTTTTTTTCTTTTGAGACTGAGTCTTGCTGTGTCACCCAGGCTGGAGTGCAGTGGCGCAATCTCGGCTCACTACAACTTCTGCCTCCTGGGTTCAAGTGATTCTCCTGCCTCAGCCTCCCCAGTAGCTGGGACTACAGGCACCCACCACCACACCCGGCTAATTTTTTTTTGTATTTTTTTTTTTAGTAGAGACGGGGTTTCACCATGTTGGCCAGGCTGGTCTCAAACTCCTGACCTCAGGTGCTCCACCCACCTCTGCCTCCCAAGTTGCTGGGATTACAGGCATGAGCCACTGCACCTGGCCATCTTTGGGGGCTTTTTGAGGAGGCTATGTGTGGTGAGAAATTGGCAAATACACCCACATCTCCCAGGACCTATTCTCTTGTCCTCAGTAATCTCACATTAACACAAAAGAGAAGACATCCTGCAGCTCTTCTGCTGCACACATGACTTCCCTGCATGCCAGCATCCTTAACCCTCAAGTTCACATGTTTCAGAGTGATATGACTAATTTTTCTCAGTCACATTGACTGGAGAGCTATTTCTCTCCTTCCCAGCTCTGTGACATCTCTGTCCATAGAAATTTCATCCAGCCCCAGTGGACCCTCTGCATGTCACTGGCTTAAAAAGTTTGGGTCAAAGTGAGCAGACTTCAAGACTGAATTGTCAAAATTCTTATGTGGCATCTCTTATAAGTCAAGATATCCTTGTAACCATTCTGGATCTATTGGACCAGGGTCAGGCATGTGCCCCTGAAGCTAAGGAAGAATGTACAAATTATATCATGAAGCCAGTGAGCTGATTTTCAAACTTAGATTGACTTAAGTGCTGACTGGTGTTCGGGCACATTCCACAGAGCTAAATACACAGAAACTGACCCTGCAATGGCTGGGATGTGGGTTCCTGAAGTGTGGAAAGGAATTAACATTAGTACTACAAAGCAATGGCTTTTAGCAGTTAAATGAGTGACCTGCTGCCTTCCTGTATAACCAGTTGCCTTAGTTTTGGCCAATCTGCTGCTTTGTTTTTGTTGGTGACATTTACGGGTTTTTGTGGGTTTTGGAAATAGATTATTATGTAACCTCTCCCACACCGAGATAATTGGGCCATCTTCACTCTAACTTTTAGCTTTTGAATATGAAGAAGTATTTTTGAAAGACTCCTACTTTAAGAAGGGTGAAATTTTGGCTGTCAAAAGTGCTCACAACTGTATGACTAAGTGAATTTTAATTTGTGTGATCTGGGGTTATGTAAGGTTTTTTTTCTTTTCTACACATTAACTTTAAATACCCCACCTTCAAATTATTCTAAAAGCACACTGATCACATTTATGCCTTTTAACTTAAAATTTAATTAAAATTTAAAATTAAAAAAGCATAAATGTGATCAGTGTGCTTTTAGAATAATTAAGCCAAATACTAAGGCTTTCCATTTCTGTTTACTTGCTCCCAAATCTGCTACTAATAATTTTCAATTGAAGCCAGTTGTTTTGGATAAAAATTCAATTAATCATCTCAAAAAAGAGAAATGGAATACATTAAGAAAGAAGTAGAATAGAAGATATAAGAGTGCATCATACATAGTAAAGTTACATCATGTTTTATAAAAACTGTTTCACCCATGCGGTTACTGGGTCACAAGTGAAAATCCATTTCTTGCTATGAGTCATGGCCAAACACTTTGAAAATCATTGTAATAAAGACTTTCTAAAGACTTTCCAGCTTTATAATTCTATAATTATGACAAGAACTCCAAACCATTCATTCAAAAAGGATGTATTAAGTACCTACTTTCACCACATTCCCCCAGAGGGCCAGACATATGGGATCATTGGCATGACCTTAGCATTGGGACTATAAAGCTAGAATAATTGGCCTTTTTTACACTGTGGACGTCTCAGGCATCTGATGAAACCAATGAATCCTGTCCCAGAACAATGGGGTTTTTTGGAAGAAAAAATTTTAATTGCTGTTGCAAAAAAACATCAGTATGGAGTAGAAATTGGTTTCTATGGCATTATTAGAGAATATGTTCTAGAAAGTGGAGGTAACTGGATGTAAGATTCTGGCAGCAGTTTAATAGATAACAGTCCCAGATGTTTAGGTTGAGGCCAACGCCTAATTAGGGTGAACGGTTTGTGCGTGTGTAATTTTGGACAATATCTGGAGAAAGGTTACACTGTGCACAAACCAAATTTAATTTTTTTCACAAGTGTTGTAAAGTTTCTTATAATAAAAGGTTTTTGCTACATGCACTTCATTTTCACATTAAGAGTGTTTAGAATACCTAGACACAAAAGAGAGCATTCATGCAAGATATGCTACTCCTTGATATAATAATGCATACAGTTCAAAATGTTTACCCTTTTTTTTTTTTTTTTTTTGAGACAGAGTCTCGCTCTGTCGCCCAGGCTGGAGTGCAGTGACGCGATCCCGGCACACTGCAAGCTCCGCCTCCTGGGTTCACGCCATTCTCCTGCCTCAGCCTCCTGAGTAGCTGGGACTGCAGGCCCCCGCGACCACGCCCGGCTAATTTTCTTTTGTGTTTTTTTTAGTAGAGACGGGGTTTCACTGTGTTAGCCAGGATGGTCTCGATCTCCTGACCTCGTGATCCACCTGCCTTGGCCTCCCGAAGTGCTGGGATTACAGGCGTGAGCCACCGCGCCCGGCCACTGTTTACACTATTGTTGCAGTAGCTGCTGCCATCACCGGGCTGCGGCAGGGAGGCACAGCTGGGGCTGCATGCTGGTGGATGCCTCCCCCTTCTGAGTTGGGGAGAGCTCCCCAGGTGCTGCTGCAGCCGCCCAAACAGCAGTTGCAGATCCAGGCCTCCTGCTTTACGGAGCAGGCAGGGTCGCCACCCTCCTGGGCGGGGCTACAACTGCCCAAACAGCGGCTGTGGATCCGAGCCTCCCGGTGCTCTTGGAGGGGGCTGGGAGCAGGCAAGATCTGCCCTCCTAGGTGCAGGACCCAGAGGGTCTCTGCAGCCTGCACCCTCGTGGACCCCAGAAAGGACCCCACCGCACCCCGTCGCTAGGGGGTGTCTGTTCCTGCTGCCTGGCCTCTCTCTGCTGCCGCCCCTGCTCTGATCATGGAGCAGGGCTTGGGGCCAAGCCCCAGGGGCCATGAATGACAGTAGGAGGCAGATCGATTCCTGGGCAGAAGGGGGTAGGTCTCCAGTAAGGCCCCACCTTCAGGTCAGGGAGGGACTGAAGACTGGGGACCAGGCTGCCAGTCCCACAGACCTGAGTGGGAGCTTGTGGTGCCTCCTCCAGGCTCACCCATGGCCGCCCATGGGCCAGTCAGCACACACTTCCTCCCTTCTGAGGTCCATAAAAGCCCTGGGCTCAGCCAAACTGCAGGAGAGGATGGAGAGACAGCGGGAAGAGTAGCTGTAGAAAGGAGCTACCCTCTCTGCCAGAGCTGCAGAGACCTGCAGAGCCTTTCAAAGGACCTGCGGAGAGGAGGCCCCCCTCCTCCTGTAGAGACTTCCAAATGACCTGAGGAGAGGATCCCCCAGAACAGCCTCCTTCTCCAGGAGCACCCCCCGCCAGGATCCCCTAGAGCAGTCCCCCTCTCCAGGGTTGGGTCTTCTCTCTGCTGAGAGCAGCCCCCCTCTACAGGGTGAGGTCTTCTTTTTGCTGAGAGCAGCTCCCCTCTCCAGGGTTGGGTCTTCTTTCTGCTGAGAGCAGCAGGTGGCAGGATAACCAGTGGGCAGAGGGGGAGCTACCCTCTCCAGGCCTCCTGTCTGCTGAGAGCTGAACACTCCATGGGATGACTTGCTCAGAGGAGCTACCCACTGCGGGTCTTCTCTGAGCTGCTTAACACTCAGTAAGTTCTTCGAGTACCTCATTATTCCTGGACACAGGACAAGAACTCAGGCAAAGGCGCTCCCAGGAAGAAAATCAATACCTCCCACACCCGTCCAAAGATCCCGTAACACTACCATTACATCTGAGGCTTTCTGCAACTACAAGGGGGTGGTGGAAAGCTTGGCCCTCAGTATCAACATCAAGAAAGCAGCTACCACCGTCTCTGCCTGTTCTCTTTTTGCATTTTTTTCTTTCATTTTTCTTAATCACCTCTGCTATTGCTGCTGCTTAGCAAAACTGGTAAAAACAAAATTGTAATCACTGATGCATCACCCAGATAATCCTCAAATTCCTGCCAGGGAATCCTCTCAGATTCTCTCCAGCGTGCTGTAAAAACCACCGAAGTCATTTGGGCCAGTGCTGGCAGCAGCCCTCCTGAGTCTGAGTTCCCACTCAAAGGTCATGAGATCACAGAACAGCCAGGTGGGGCAGAATAATGTTTTCAAGTACATAAGAACAAGCCACATAGGATTACAAAGGAAACCAATTATATCAAAGTAGTTATCAAAATATTTGTGAAACAGTAGTATATGTGCTTTATTAATGCAGCATGTCTAATATCTTCTGTTATTTTATTTTTGAGACAGGGTCTCGCTCTGTCACCCAGGCTGGAGTGCAGTGGCGCAATCACTGCTCACTGCAGCCTCAATCTTCCAGGCTTAAGCGATCCTCCCGCTTCAGCCTCCCAAGTAGCTGGGACTACAGGCATGTGCCACCATGCCCGGCTAATTTTTGTAATTTTTTTTTTTTTGGTAGAGAAGAGGTTTTGCCATGTTGCCCAGGCTAGTCTCAAACTCCTGGGCTCAGGTGATCTGCCCACTTCAGCCTCCCAAAGTACTGGGATTACAGGCATGAGCCATGGCTCCCAGCCTGTTCTGTAATTTTAAAGTAGCAGTGAGCATAAACAATATTTAGAATTACTTGCAACAGCTGCAATGTGATACGAAAATATTTGTGATTTGTATTGGTGACAAAGTCACAGGTACTACTAATACTCCTAGATTTATTGCATACATTTATAATTAAAGAAGATATTAAATTCCAGTTACAGTTTAAGGGAAATAAAGATATAATTATTTTCCTATCAAAGTTCACAGATCCACGGAATGCCCATTGTAAAGCAAATCTGGAGAGACTTGCCATTGTATGTGACATTTAAACATCTGTAATTAGAGTTCTGGTCTTCCAGGTCAGGAGGAAATGAAAAGATTTTAGAATAAGATAGGTAAACATCCAGGCTAATGATGAAGTAGCTCCAAGATGTAAGGGCTGCCCTGAAAAGCTCTACAATTCATAAAGAGGCCAAGGTTGGGAGGCCCCCTCTAAGGCTGCAGCCCCACAGGGACATAATTGTTCCCTGAGTCATTCACTGCCTTTCCAACTAGCCCTGCATAGAGCAGACCCACAGAGAGGCTCAAGCAGGAAGAATGATACTAGGCCACAGTGTCCCAGGACTTACCCCTATACTTCTCCTCTCCACTCAGTCACAGGTCCAAGCATTTCTGAATGAAGAAGAACCTCACAGATCTATCTCATACCTCTCTCCCTCTATACAACCCCACCATGGGATCATCCAGCCTCTGTTTGAATACCTCCAAGGACAGGGAGCTCACTACCTCCTTGGGAGGAAGAGCTGCCTCCGCCCCAGTTCCGGGAAGGCTTACTTGACTTCCCGGGAAAGACATGAATCAGCAGGTCTGGAGAGGGGTGCAGGCAAAAGTCCTGCTCTCTGCTCAGCACAGGGAGAAGGAGAGGGAGGTCCATGGGCCACATCTGCCCTGTGTAGAGCTCTCAAGGCTCTCCTCAGAACCCCAGCTGGCAGAGTCTGATGTCAGGGACCCCACCTGCCCTTTCTGATGTTTATCCCAGGTTTCCTCTCTGGACCCCACAGCTGACACCCGACTCTCCTTCTTCCTAGTCCCCCTCTTCCCTCCCCTCCTGCGGGCCACAGTGTCTCATGTGGTGCCCCTCTCCTTCTACAGATGCCACCCTCACTCTGCCCCACAAGCTTCCCCGCTTTCATCAAGCAGCACCTCCTTCTCTCCTCCATGCCCCACCAGATAGGCCCCAGGCGCTTTTTGTTTCCAGTTTTGGCACAAAGGGGTTAAACAACTTGGCCTCTAGAGCACAATGCCTGGGCTCAATCTTGGCTGCTCCACCCAAGGCTCTGGTAAATTATGTAACCCCACTGGGATATCACTAAAATGGGGATAATACTAGAACTTTCCTTTTAGGGCTGATATGAGGATTAATAGAGTTAAAATATGTAAAATGCTTAGAACAGTGCCTGGCACAAGGAAAACACTCAATAAATGCCAGCTAGGATTACTCTTACAATTGCCATTCTGGGACGTCTCAAACATACAGCCCACTGTTAGGGAAGGCCCTGAAAGCCCCCAGGTCTCTTTTCCTCACTAGCTTGCCAGATGGCTAAGGGTATTTACATCTCTGAAGTTTATAGCCAGGGCAACTTCCAGACTTCACCCAGCAATCAGCCACTCTGAGCATTTCCTCACAAGGAAACTTCTAGAAAGTTATGCCTCCTCTTTTCTAAAGCAGTGACCACATGTACCTATTATTAAAAATTTATTACTGGCTGGGCACGGTGGCTCATGCCTGTAATGCCAGCACTTTGGGAGGCCGAAGCAGGTGGATCACTTGAGCTCATAAGTCTGAGACTAGCCTGGGCAACATGATGAAACCCCTCCCTGCAAAAATGTAAAAAAGGTTAGCTAGGTGTGGTGGCACATGCCTGTGGTCCCAGCCACTCAGCAGGCTAAGGTAGGAGGATCTATTAAGCCCGGAGGCAGAGGCTGCAGTGAGCTGAGATGGTGCCACTGCACTCCAGCCTGGGTGACAGAGCAAGACCCTCTCTCACGAAAAAAATAAATTAATTAATTAAAAACAAAAAATTATCACCATGCATTCTCCTGTGTGTACATTATTTATAAATATATATGTATTTATACTACTATAATATTTATGTACATTATAAAACAAATATAAAAATAGAAGAGGGACAAGATAAAAATAAATATCAGAAGATCTAATATTTTCTTCCTATACTCCAGACGGTCTTGCTCACTGTCTGGGGTATACACATTCCACTTTGGAGACACTAATGTCTTCAAATTTTAATTTTGGTTTCAAACACTGGGAGAGCTGTGATGGTGGATGTATGGACTGGGCCACGCCCTGAGAAATAACTCTCGCTAGTGCTACGGAGGAGGGAGTCACCCTGTTTCACACAGAGAAGGAAACTGACCCTGAGAAAGGCGAAGTGGCTTCTGCAGGGTCATTCAGCCAGCAAGGCAGAGTAAGGATGGAAACCCATGCTGAATTGGGTGTAGCTGATTTTTTTGTTCATAATTCCACAGTATTAGGGAGGGAAAGCGGGGAAACAGGAGCTCACAGGAAAGAAAGGGGTATGGAGAGGGTGAGGGCAGGACAATTATGGGGCCAGAGGCGGGAGTCTGGATTCAAATCCAAACCCACAAGGACACATCACTCCTTTCTTCAGCTGGTCCATGGATACTGAATCAGGGAACCTCTTGGAACTGGCTTCCTACCCTGCAATCAGGGTCCTTGACAGTCCCCAGTCGGGAACACAGACCACCACAGTGGAGCCACTAGCCAGGGGCTTTACCACGGCTGGCCAGAGGATGGCAGTCACTGCCTACGCATGCCCACTTGGCTGGCGCCGCTGATGGAGTAGCAAGTACCTGCCCTCCTGGGCTCCTCCAGACTCCGGAGGCAGTGAATTCCTGCTCTTGAATCATTATGGGACCCCTCGTAAAGGCATCTTAGACCTCAACTTCCTCATCTTGAAAACAAAATTGTTAACACCATGGTCTCAATCCCTAGTGGTTTTCAAAAGTGTGGTTCCCAGACCACAGTTGTAGATTCTGGAAGTGAGATCCCCAAGGGAGTTACAGCAGAAGGAAGAAGCCAGGGAGAGAGCATCCTGCCCAGAAGCAGCTGAGGCCTCCCATCCTCTGCACATACCTGACTGAGGGGCTGCATCCTGCGAGCATGGCCTGGGGGACTAAGTTCTTTGCACCCAGCAACTGTTCAGGGTGGGGTTTCAATTCGCTTCACCAGCTGCTGACCAGCGGTTGGTGGTCACCTTCAGTACTTGGCTATTCTGCCAGGATCCACCAACTGGACCTTTTTGGGGCCAGGCTGGGGATACTCAAAGGAGTTAGATGAAATCCCTGCCCTCAAGGAGCTCACAATGACTCTTTCTCACCAGGACTCTAAGCCATCTTCAACCAAGATCGACTTTCCAGCGGAAAAGCCCTAGCTCCTCTGATTCTCCCTACATAAGAGGTGTAGGAATTATGTATCCCCATTTTATAGAAAAGTTGGCACAGGGAGAGCACGTGGTTAATCCAGAGCACCTGGTAAAGCTGTGGTGGAGTAGGGAGCAGAACTCAGACCCCTTGAGTCCTCATGCAGCCTGACTCTCTGCTCTGAGCAGGCTGTGGGCATGGCCCAGAGACCGGATGGGCCAATCCAGGGCCTGAGTCCCTCCGCTGTGCCCACATCCTTCAAAACTGGGCAGGAACCAGGAGTAGACTCACCCCACACTGGGGGACTGAGTCATACCTCTCGGGGACCCAAAGTGCAACCGAAGGGAATCAGGTCCTATGTGTGGAGAGGGGACAGGGACCGTGAAGCCCAGCTGTGTATGAAATTCTGCTGTAGTTGGGGATCATGCCATCACTTTCTGGACATCGTTGGCATTTACCTATTCACATAGGAGGCAGCAAAGTCAGGCCAAAAAAGATGGCTGCCAAGGCACTTGAGAGTGTAGGAGGGTGAGCCAAGGAGGCCAGGGTGGTGGGCCTGCCAGGAGGAGGCTGTAAGCCTCTGAAGGGTGGCAGGAATTGGGTATGGAAGCTGTGAGCTAGTGCCACTGTCTGCAATGAATGAGATAGAAGAGATTGGTAGGTGAGCATGATGACGAAGGAAAAGGAGGTGGGGTCTTAGTCTGTTTTGTGCTGCTATAACAGAATACCTGAGACTGGGTAATTTATTATTATCATTATTTATTATTATTCTCTCTCCTAGGCTGGAGTGCAGTGGTATGATCTCAGCTCACCGCAACCTCCGCCTCCCGGGTTCAAGCGATTCTCCTGCCTCAGCTTCCCCAGTAGCTGGAATTACAGGTGTGGGCCATCATACCCAGCTAATTTTTGTATTTTTAGTAGAGATGGGGTTTCACCATGTTGGCCAGGCTGGTCTTGAACTCCTGACCTCAGATGATCCGCCCACCTTGGCTTCCCAAAGTGCTGGGATTACAGGCCTGAGCCACCGTGCCTGGCCAAGACTGGGTAATTTAGAAAGAAAAGAAATTTCTTTTCTCACAGTTCTGAAGGCTGGGAAGTCCAAGATCAAGTTACTGGTGTCTTATAAGGCCCTTCTTACTGTGTCATTCCATGGCAGAAGGCAGAAGGGCAAGGAAGGGAGAGGGAGAGACAGGGTGATGGGGGAAGGCGAGGAGAGACAGAGACAGAGAGAGAGAGAGAGAGTGCAAGAGGGGCTGAACTTGTCCTTTTATAAGGAACCCACTCCCACTATAACAGCATGAATCCATTCATGAGGGTGGCATCCTCACGGCCTAATCAGCTCTTAAAAGTTCCACCTCTAACACTGTCACTTTGGGGATTAAGTTTCCAACACACGAACTTTGGGGGACACATTCAAACATAGCCAGGGGTCTGCCTGGATGGTGAGAGTCTCAAAGGGGCAGAAGGAGGAGAATCAGGGGTTCATGGTGTGCTGGTAGGTGTTTAACAACAGGCTCTTCAGAGAAAAACCCTAAACCTGGCTTATAGCATTTGCTGATTTCCATAGTGTAAATACAGCTCCCATGGGCTATTTCTTTTATTTTTGAAATGGAGTCTCACTCTGTTGCCCAGGCCCAGGCTGGAGTGCAGTGGAGCTATCTTGACTCACTGCAACCTCTGCCTCCTGGGTTCAAGTGATTCTCCTGCCTCCCGAGTAGCTGGGATTACAGGCACCTGCCACCATGCCCCATGGGCTATTTCACGCCACGGACAGGAAGTTGCTGACCAATATGTACAATCTGCTCTGGTAAGCTGGTATGTACCAGCTCCAGCATCCCCTTGAGTGGTTCTGTTATGTTGCTGGGGGTGTCAGTCTCAATCCAGGTGTGCACACCTGCAGTGTCCCCTCCAGAGGCTGCCAGGAACCGCTGTCCTCTACAGAGAGCCAGCTGTGGTGACAGCAAGGTTGGAATAAGGGACCGTGAAAGAGCTGAAAATATAGGGATTTTTATTTACAAAGTTGGTGGTGGGGTTGGGGGGAGGTCAAAGGATTGAGAGCCAGGTGGGAAAGGCAGGACTGCAGGGAAGTGCTGACCCAGAGGGGCCTGCACTTGGGAGGCAAGGGGGCAAAAGGAGCTCTAGGAAGAGAACTCACCGCCGTGAGGTTTCCAAAAGAACCTGGAAATCCCTTCCTGCCACAGGTTAAGCCCAGGATCTCTTGCCAGGGTGAACAGGTGCTGGCCCCAAGCTGGTAAGCTTGGGAAAGTCCCAGGACTCCTGTATCGAATGCACTTCTGAAGGACAAAGGGAATTCAAGAAGCCAAAGGTAGCTTTAGAACAGCCTCACCACAAAGCTCCTTCCACACACTGCCCTTAACTCAGAGAGAGAGCTGAGGTCCAGGCCCCCCATTAGATGTGAGTCTCCAGTGCATCCTGGTGCCAGAGCTGGCATATCCAGGTGAAAGCACTGCTTTTACTCCTTGACTGCCATTGCACTAAAATTAATAGCAGAAGAATGAAAGCATGTGGAGACCTTGCTGTGCAGTTACGCCCAAAGTGCCCCTGGAGGCCGAGGGGCTTAGCAGCCAGAACACGGAACCTCACATCAGGAGCCATTACTGTTATTGTCACTGTTGATATCATTCCTAGTTTTGATCATTAAGTGTGTGCCAGGCATGAAGCTGGCAAGTCACCCAGATGGCCTCAGGAACCATCTCTGGCTCTGAAAGGGAGACTCTCTAGCCTGCCTCTGCCTGAACCCTCTCTGGACCTCAGTTTCCCTAGCTGTCTGTCCCGTGAGTCCATTGGCTCTGGGACTCCTTCAGTTTTTGTTTTGAGACAGAGTCTTGCTCTGTCACCCAGGCTGGAGTGCAGTGGCGTGATCACTGTCACTGCAGCTCAAACTCCAGGGCTCAAGCGACCCTCCCACCTCAGCCTCCTGAGTAGCTGAGACTACAGGTGTGCACCACCATGCCTGGCTAATTTATTTTATTTTTATTTTTGTAGAGATAGGGTCTCCCTGTGTTGCCCGGGCTTGTCTCAAACACCTGACCTCAAGTGAGCCTCCCGCCTCGGCCTCCCAAAGTGCTGGGATTACAGGCGTGAGACACCACGCCCAGCCTCCTTCCAGTTTTGACCTTCTGATCCACTTCAGCTGTTCTTGACCATGGTGTCCTTCCCACTGACTTGTCACATTAGCTGTGAGCTGCCTGTGTCACACGCGATGAAGCTGACTACTGCATAGGACAGCTTATGTGCATCACGTCACATCTTCTCAGCCTCTTCTCTCTTAGTACAGCCACTACCCTGGGGTCCGTTCTGCACAAGTTTCAACCAGCTCTGCCCAAGCGTGAGCTGACAGCACCTCCCCTCCCCCAGTCTCCACCTCTATCTTCCTGCCCTGGGAATCACTCCACATTCACCCAGAAGAATTGTTGCCTGTGGGACAGCCTTGACCAATGGGAGATTGAAGCTGATGAGTAAATATTTCCCCCTTTGGCCCCTGAGGGACAGTTCTGAGATGCTTGACACAGGCCCTTCAGCGCTGGTGGCCAACTCAGCAGTGCATCCTTGATCTGGCTTTTGCTTCTTCCTTTGTTCCGCCCCTGCCCCTCACTCCTGCTCTCTGGGATTGAATTCCTAAGACAGCTCCCTGCTTGGGGTCTTTGTCTCAGGCTCTGCTTTAGGGGGAATCCAGGCTAAGACAGTTTCCAAGCACCCATGATTGCAAATAATCCACTGTTTTGATAAATTCGGCCAATTTTTTTTTTTTGGTGTGCAAATAAAGTTCTCATTCCCTTGCCTTCAGAGATGATTTCTTGAGGGGTGAGAAGGGGTGTGGAATAGGGACACTCCAAAGAGCCTTTTGCAGCCGTCGGGAGAAGGCCAGGAACCAGGGGACCTGTTGGAGGCTGGGAGGTCAGTGAGGGGCCTGTGCTGGGTGGGCTGGGGTGTCTGTGGGAACTCATCACATTGGTGTAGGGGGTAACTGCTATTGGGGGTGTCTTGTGCCTGAAGAACTGAGTTATTCTCTGAGCAAAGCTCTAGATGTAAAGAAACTGACCCAGATCCTCCACGGACTTCAATTCCAGGCTCCTGCCAAATCAGTGGGGAACGGGAAACCAAGTAATAGAGGCCCCTAGACTGCAGAATATCCGCTCTGAGCACTCAGTCAGGAGGACAGGGATCCTGCCGAGCTGAGGTCCTAGAGGAGAGGCAGTGTTTCGGGGGGATGAGGAGGTCATACTCCACGGAATGGCTAAAAAATAGCAGCATCCTTGGCCTGCAGAGACCGGGGAGGCAGAGGCGGGGTGGGTGCTGGGCCTGCTGGGCAGACCTCAGTCAGGCTATGCTGGTCCGAGGGAATGCATATAGTCTCTGACCTCGAACGGGGCCAGGCTCTAGGGACAGGCCACAGAGAAGCACCTGGACTCATAGGAAGAAGGGTCTTTCTCACAGGTTGAACCATGCCACAGGAGTAGGGGCTGCCTTGGAGGTATAAGCCTCCAGTCCCAGGGGATGTACAAGCCACAGCTGGACAGCCAAATGCAGGGCAGGCAGAGTGGGCCCCAGCAGCACAGTGTGGTGCCCCAGCCGCCCCTCAACACCAGCCTGCTCCTGTTGCTGAGCTGTGGTCGGGAGGACTGCAGAAGACTGAAGGAATCTTCGAACCAGGACAGCTCCAATGCTGGACTCCTTCACCCTCCGATATCTACCCAACCCACAACAGGATCTCCGCCCTGTACCTCCCCACTCTCAGCAACCAGATCTTGGGGGCTTCTGCTGTGCACAACTCTAAGATCCAGGCAGCATCCTATGGGCTTTTCAGGGCTGTGGGCTGGCGTGAGGCCCTCCTCTCTGGCCTCAATGCTCACACTCCTTATGATCTGCCTCCTCTCCCATCAAACAATGTCCCTCCTTTGTGAATCTCCAAATCCAGGTGGCCATCCAATGCCCTGGGAATCCTTCTCCGAGGCCCCAGCCCTCAGCCATCTCAGTCCGGGGTTCTTCACGGGCTCTTTCTATGCTCCTCCTGTCGGGTCCTGGAGTGGAGATGGACAAAGCCACTCTGAGAGGAAGGAGGGGGAGCCTCAGGATTAGATGCACTCGGGTGACAGACTAGCGGGGTCTCTAGATGCTGAAGGGAGGTGACCCAGCCCCATGACCTAGCTCCAGGACATGTAACTAGAAAGGGGCTCTGGGGAGCAGGGCAGAGCAGGCTGGGCTCCGGGCCCAGGGCTGTTGAAATTTCCATGACCACCAGATTAAGGCCACCTGGGTGAGGCTACTCCTACAGGAGGAGCCAAAGGGACCCAGTTGTGGGAGGGGCTGGAGGTAGAGATTCAGAAGGGGAATGGAGGGTCTTCAGCAAGACCTGCGGGGAGGTGGGCTGTTTCCCTCTGCGCTGTGCCTCTCTCCAGGGGCCAAGGGGCCTGGTGGCTAATGGGCCTCCCCACTCGGGACCCACTTTGACCTGCGCTTCCTGGCTGAACCTGGGCCTCTGGAATTCTCTGTCTGTTCTCTGGTCCCCTCTTATCCTTGTCCCTAAGCCAGGAGCATGCCCCGAGGTTGGGTTCTAACCTGGGCTCAGCCACTTGTAAGAAAAGTAACTTTAGCTATTGAAACTCTGTTTTCTTATCTGTATTTTTAAAAATTTTAGTTTTTATTTATTTTGTAGAGACAGGGTCTCACTGTGTTGCCCAGGCTGGTCTTGGACTTCTGGCCTAAAGCGATCCTCCCACCTTGACTTTCCAAAGTGCTAGGGTTACAGGTGTGAGCCACGTGCCCAGCCTCACCTGTAAAATGAAGACAATTTCTTCTTGGGTCTGTTACGAAGATTAATAAGACAAGGACTCAGCAGCACTTAGCGCAGTGCTTGGCTTACAGAGAGTGCTTGATAAACGGGAGCGAATAGTGATAGGATCATTGCTTCCTGTTTTGAGTCTTTCATTCTGCTGAAAGGTAAGGTCTCAGGGAAGGACATGGCTGACCTAAGATCCCCAAGAGGGCCAGGGCAGAGTGGGGATGTGAGCCTAGTCCCCAGATGCCCACTCCCATCCACAGCCTTCTGTGTCTCTAGTACTGTGCTCTGGCTTTCCGTGAGTGGCCAGCTATGGCTTCCTGGCTGCTGGCACTCCTTCCATCCTTTCTGCCACTCTTCCTGCTCTGTGTCTGCATTTTAAAGGGGGCTTTAGGCTGGCTCAGTGGCTCATGTCTGTAATCCCAGAACTTTGGGAGACTGAGGCAGAAGGATTGCTTGAGGTCAGGAGTTCAACACCAGCCTGGGCAACATAGCAAGACCCTGTCTCTATAAAAAATAAGAAAATTAGCCAGGCATGGTGGTATGCACCTGTGGTCCCAGCTATTTGGGAGGCTGAGGCAGGAGTTTGAGGCTGCTGTGAGCCATGATTTTGCCACTGCTCTCCAGCCTGGGTGACAAGGCAAGATCCTGTTTCTAAAAAAATAAAAAAGGAGGGGGGTCATCAGTGTTTTCACCAGGGCCAGGCTCAGGCTCTGTGGGAGAACAGGGGCTGAGGACTCTCCCCCTGACCCCTAGAAGCCCTGCCACGAGGGTGGGGAGGACCTACGACTAGGCAGTCAGAGCCCTCTGCAGCACTCAGGGGCTTGGCCACAAGAGGGAGGGAAAGGGCTTGGCAGAGTAGTCAGGAGACCTAGGTTCCAGCCTTACCTCCACCACCTATGTGCTGTGTGCTTACAGCACATCACTGCTCTCTCTGGGACCCAATTTCCTTGATCACACATACATGCGACCCTCTGCAGTGGCCAGGGTCTCACTCAGCCCAGAAGGGTACTGAGCTCTGGCCAGACAGGGCACAATTCTTTCCTCTCAGAAAACGACAGCTTCTTGGGCCGGGCCTCTGGGGACAGGGGTTCCTGCTCTCTAGGAGCTGCCTGTAAAGGTCCCTTGTCAATTAATTTGGCAGCTCAGTGTTCAGGGGCAAGTGCTCTTTGAGAGGCCTAATGTATCCCCATCAGAAATGACTTATGGGATTCTCCGTGGGGCTGTGATCATGCCCTGCCCCCCGCCATGCCCCCTCAAGGCTTGCTTTGTCATCCAGTCCCTGTGTTTGCATGTGTCATTGCCCAGCCACCCCCTGGTCAGAGGGTGGCCACGGGAGACTCATTGGAGGCACATTATCGGACACTGGTTGTGAGGGATGATGGAGGGGCAGGCCCATCTGCACACACATTAAGCCCTTTGTCTCTGGACTCAGTGGGAAGATGAATGAGGCCTGTCGCTAGGCCTCTGCTGCCTGGGGGACAAAAGGGGCCTGGAACAGGCCTTGGGATGGGTGTTGGGTGGAAAGCAGCCTGTGCGCATCTCTTCAGACAGAACCAGATCTAACAGGCTTAACCAGAGACAGCTGAGAGGAGGCAGGCGGTCAGGAAGGAGTCCCAGAAAGCCCCGGGAGTCAGGCGGGGTTTCTGCTTGACGGAGCCCGGTGTTTCCCCTATAAAAGCTGATGCTTGGTCTTAGGGGCTGGGGCTCCATTTGCATTGTGTAAATACAGGCTGGCAGCGCTCTCAGATGAGCTGATTCAAACTCCTCACTCTACCGTGGGGAACCTCAGGCCTGAAAAAGCAAGGACTCACTCACCTAAGGTCGTTTCAGGAATCAGCAGCGGGGGCAGGACAAGAACCGATGTGATAAAATTCCATAGCCACCACCGCCCTATTTGGTGCAGATCCAACTAAACACACCCTCAATGACTCTGAGACAAGGTACAGTTTCCTGAGGGCAAGAGAAGGGCGAAACGGGACTTTTGCTCATTCCTGGACTTTTAGGGGTTGACAGATTGGCTCTAAAGTTTATATGGATGAATAAATATACAAGGATAACCGGGAGGCCTCTGGGTATAGGAGGCTTTGTTGCTTCAGAGGGTCAGGCAGGGCTGGCAGCACAACAGAGCTGTGAAGTGCAGGGCCAGCAATGGCAGGAGCTGTGCCGAGGTTGCCCCCGTGAGCCTCCTACAACGCAGGTGAACACATCACTCCGCAGCTCATCAACCTTTTGTGGCTCCCCATGGCCACAGGGCACAGTCCCAACTTCTCAGCCTGGCATCTGAGGCCCTCTGTGATCTGCCTCTGCTTCTTCTCACACCCATCTCCAGAAGGCAGCCCAGTCTAAATGTCAGCACCCTGGGGAGCCCTCTTCTGGACACTCACAGCGTGCTGCTCCGAGCACTGCCATGCCAGGTGACTTCACTCTCCTGATTTTGAAGATCCCTGTTTCCATGCCTCTCCTTCGGTGAATCATATGTTCTGGGCCTGACCTGGATCCCCAGTCCTGACACCCAGCCCAGCACGGGAGCTCAGTGAATGAATGAATGAATGAAATGAATGAATGAAATGAATGAATGAATGAATGAATGAAATGAATGAATGAATGAATGAATGAAATGAATGAATGAATGAAATGAAATAACTATGCACCCTGGACCTCTTCTCCCTGACCCCACAGTAGCTCTTTGGGAAAGCAATGTGGGCATACCCTACCCTGTGCTTCAGCAATTCCACTCCTAGAACAGCTCTTTAAGGAAAGAATCCAAAAACAAAGAAAAACTGCTTCAGAGACACAGATGCTCATTGCAGTGCCCCTCATATTGTTAAAAAAAAAAAGTGGGCAAATCCTAAATGTCCAATAGAAAGGGACTGTGTTGAGTAAATTAGTGTACATCCATGTGATGGGATTGTTCACACCGAAGACCTGAAGCTGGCTGGAAAGGGGAGGAGGAGACTTAGGTATTTAATTAATTCTGGAACGTTTGAATATTATACACAAGGATTTACATTTGAAGTGCCCCTTTTTTATGTCCTGCATTTCTATATATGCACAGGTGATATGTCCCTGGACTCTTAATTCTATTCTATCAATCTGTTTTTTTACTCTTGTGCCAATTTCCATGGTTTTAAAACACTAAAGCTTTAGGATAATTTTTATATCTGGTGGAAAAATTTCCTCCTCTTTATTCTTCCTTTTCATAACTCTCTTGGTTATCCTTGTATATTTATTCATTCATATAAATTTTAGAGCCAATCTGTCAAATATGAAAAATCTTGTTAGCATGTTGCTTGGCCTTGAATTTTATAGAGTATTTTGGGGGTGAATGGAAAACTTGATGATATTGACTCATTCCATTGCATTATTTTCAAACATTAAAAAAATGAATATCAGATATCAGACTGGAAATGGCTTGGGCTATAAAACCAAGACAAAATAACACGGTTTATAATTGTATGCTGTGTGATCACCCCTTAACAGATGTGGAGGAGGAAATTGAAAGGAAATGCAAAGCTGCAAACAGTGGATTTCTTTGTTCCATTTTTCTATACAATATTTTAATTTTTAAAATATATGCATGTCTTTAAAAAGAGGGATATTGGTTAACATGAACATTCCCCGAAGGGAGACTAGCATGAGGATGGGACTCAAATGTGTCCCATCAGGAAAGGCTGGAGGCCCCAGAGGCAGGAACCTTGGGGAGGGGGAGGCATGGGCCATTCATAGTTTCTCTCTCATTTCTGTATTGGAACCCTGGGTCCAGGCCAGAGGCCCCCGAAAGGCAGAGTTGAGCAGGAGAAGGCAGTTGAGGAGGGGCTTCCTCACAGACTGAGACCCCGGCCTTCAGTGGCTTGGGCTGCCTGGGGGATCCCTGGGGGTGCAGGCAGAGTGCATGCATAATGGGGAGTGTCTCCCCTAGGTGCCCAGGTCCAGTCCAGCCTAGGAACCTGTGACTCTCTCTCCAGACACTGAGCTGAGAAACTCCTCTGCATCCACATGACTTGCTACTTGGGAGTGGATTTGACCATTAGAAGGCCTGTGGTGAGCACTGCTGTGGGGTAGAGGAGAAGAGGTCCAGGACAGATCAACTCAACAAACAGCTCAACAGTCCACAGCCACATCTACCCAAGAGCAAGCAAAACCCCATCCAGGCAGACCACAGGCAACTGGGCAATAGGAAACAGCCCCCTAATGACTGATCTCTTCTGTCCCTGTCCAGAAAGTTGGCAATGCCTAGTTTGGCTTCCAAAGGCCCTTCACAAATCATACGTGGGGACTTGTAGCCTAGGACGTGAACCTGTCAGGTCAGGCTAGACTGGCCTGCTTTTGAAAGTGAGCCCAGTGTGTGTGCATCAGGGAGGCGGCCATTTTCAGGTTAAGAGTCCTGGTGTCTTGAAAGTGGGCAGTGCTGGCAGTCCCCATCCATTGTATTCTAATGGACCAAGAGACAGATCGGTCTCTCCGTTGTATAGAGGGGGTTGCTGAGGATCCACGAGAGGGGAAGGGACTTGCCCAAAGCTACATGGCAGGGCAGTGATGCAGCCCACATCAAACCCCGGTCTGTTCACACAATTCCACCAACAGACTTCCCCTTCACACATGCACACGTTGTGGCTTCAAAGTGGTTGAAACAATAAGGACATTTCCCAAACAGACGCTTCCTTCTCCCATCGGCCAAGCCCACCCCTCATCCCCACACAGAGGGTAATGCCTCCAGGAGGGCAGTGTCTGCTGTCAGGGGCGACGGCTGTGTCAGTGCAGACAGACAAGATGGATGGGCCAGTCGTTAATGAGTTAGGGATTCTGACCCGCTTCATGGGCTGGGGGCGAATGGCTGTAATGACCGCTGGGCCAGCCATCCCTGACGACAGGCAGCCCAACCACTGCTGTTCTTCATTTGTGCCCCCCCAAAATGACTGTGGCAGGGGAGCCCCCACTGCCCTTAGAAGACCCACTCTCTGCATCCCTGAGGCCCCCATGCCAGGCAGGAGCAGAGGCTTCATCAGGAAAAGGCCAAAGGCAGAATCAATAATCGCAGCGTTTCGAGATGGGGAAGGGACAGGAGGTAGGCAAAGGCCTCGGGCTGGGTATGAGGTCACCTGGGACCAGAAGAGCCTCCTGTTTGGGTGAAGGCAGGAACTCTACCCTCAACACCTGGCAAAGCCAGCTGCTTCCCAGGATCTTATTTTTGCTTTTCTCCACCTGGGGGAAGGTAGGACACAGAGTCTGATCAAAGGCCTCAGACAAAGGGTCCCGCCCCATCCCCAGTGGAAGAGGATGGATAAGGAACCTGCTAAGCTGTTCAGATCCCAGGGCCTCCCACCTGACTCCGAGAAGCTGCATGGAGGGGGACCAGGCTCCACATGCATGGCGCCTCCAGCCACCACCGCGCCCTTCTCCTCCCCATTCCTTCCACTCCATCTGCCAGGGTCCCTGGCTCCTGGCCTGGATGAGTAGAGCAGACAAAGGCCTGGGGAGGGAGGGAAGAGTATGGCTCCTAGACCAGCTGCTGTGTGGACAACAAGCTTGTGAACCTGAGACTGTGCATACAGAGAACCTGCCTGGAAAACCCTCTCATTCATTGACATCACTGATGCCCACTCTGTGCCATGCCCTGGGCTAGGCCCTGGGCACAGAGAGGAGCAGGACTTGGTCTCCGACTCAGTGCTGCTCTCAGACTGGAGGAAGACAGGTTTAGAAATCCTGAGGCTGAGCACTCCGAGGATGGTATGTCAGGGGGTGGGGGCGGGGGCAGAGGCGAGGGTCTGGAGCATCAGGGATGTTTCCAGAGTTGGGGACATGAGCTGGGTTTTGAATTGTGAGAGGGAATTTTTGCCAGGCAGACAGAGGGGAGGGCAGTGCAAAGCAAAAGAAGTATACAAGGGCCTGTGGTTTCGGGGGGCAAATAGGGATGAGGGGTGGGAGGGAGGGAATGAGACAAAGTGGGATGGAGGGACCCAAATCACAAAGGCCTTTGAGGCCAGGGAGAGGACTCATTTCTGAAGCTGGGGCCACTGCAGAAGGGTTTTAGGCAGAAAAGACTGTAGACCGGAAGACCGGGAGCAGGGGTGGAGAGGACTGTGGAGATGGCCCTGGAGAGCCGCAGCAGCTGATGGGGCGAAGAGGTGTGGGTCCCGTGAGGACAGTGAAGGCCCAGCTCCTGCAGTGGTCTCAGGGCCGTTTGTGTGCGTCGTGCGGGTGCCCCACAAGATCAGCCCTGCTGGGGCGCTGAGGGAGGTGCAGAGGCAGCTTGCGACAGTCCTCCACGGTAGATCCCTGAGACCGAGGGTGTGCCCAGACAGCCCCACTGCCTTTGTTCCCCACCACACGACCTCCAACAGCTGCAGCACCACGCGGGGAACCCACTACATTCCCGGCCTGCACTCTGTCTTAGGGAGAAGTGCCCTGCCTTCATTCCCTATAGTAATAACTACCAAGCAAATGCAGGAACACAGCTGGAAGAATAAAATAGTTTTGTTTCTAAACTCTGTTGCAGAAAAATCCCCCAGCTGGGAGTCAGCAGCCCTACAGTCTGCCCCTGCTCTGACTGTACTTCTAGGCAAGTTCCTTTTCCTCTTGGGGCCTCAGTTTCTCCATCTGTATATGAGAGATGTAAGCCCTCCCAGCTCTGAGTTCCATTTCTTTTTTCTTTTTTCTTTCTTTATTTATTTTTTGTTGTTTTGTGAGATGGCATCCTGTCGCCCAGGCTGTAGTGCAGGGGCACAATCACAGCTCACTGCAGCCCTGACATCCCCAGGCTCAGGCAATCCTCCCACCTCAGCCTCCTGAGTAGCTCCATTTCTTAAATGTGCATAGAACTCTGTGGCTTCCCCAGCACCCCCATCACCCTGTGAGCCTAAAAGAATAGGTGTTACCGGGCCTGTGTGTAGATGTTAAAATTGAAGCCTGATGACCTACTCAAGGTCAGGAAGCATGCTGGCAGCAGCGACCAGACCAAGACCCCAGGTCCTGCTCCCTGGCCCCAGGCCTTTCCCTCAGAGCCAAGGTGGGTCCCTGGTTTGCGCTGGTGGGAAGGTGCTCAGTGATTGGTTTGCTTGTGTGTATTTGATCTAAGTGAGGGTGGGGTGAAGTCGTGCCTTCCCTTGGGGTCATTCCCTGCTCCCTGTGAACAACTGACCTGAATCAGGCCTCTTGTCTTGGGGGGCCTTCCTCAAAGGCCTGTTAGGTAACTGCTGGGCCTGCAGTCCAAACGCAAGGTGAAAACGTGGTTTGATTCTCCACCCTGGGTGCTGTAGAAGGGAAGTGATCCGTGTCCGGGCCCAACAGCAATCCTGGATGTGCACACTGGGTGGGACTTGGGGGGTTAAGCTGCCAGGCGGCTGTCTCTGCCCGAGATGCTGTCACGCAGAGGGGGGCAGGGACTGCTCAGCTGAGGTAACAATACAGCCCATGAATCATATTTACAAACACCCCAGAGAGCAGGAAAGGGACGCTAATTAAATATTCACATCCTGCAGGCCTCGGGGAGCCATGAAGATGACGACATGATCGCAGCTCAGCAGGAAGCTCGGTGCTGCCGGAATGTGGGGAGGCCATCCGTCTCATTCAGCGGCCCGGCAGGCCTTATTATGATGATGAATTTTCAAGTTATCAGCACAAATGCAATCACCATCATAGGCCAAGATAACCCTCTTCATCACTCACAGCCCAGTCTGGGACAGCCTCAGGAGGAAAAGGGGGGCACGGAGCTTGTCACTGGGGGGCAGAGGGAGAAGCAAGCCCCTGCCCCCAGCTCTCAAGCTCAAAGGCCTTCCTGAGCTGAGGCCATTTGGCCTGACAACCCGGCCTGGTGGAGGCCTGAGGCTTGGGGCCCCTCAGGTGGGGCTCTTGGGGCTCACCCAGCTGCCACATTGATCGGGAGAGAGAATGGGTTCCCCTGGACATCTGGGAAGGCTGAGGCAGCTGTCCTGCCCATCCATCCCCAGGAGGAGTTGTCTCTGGCTCCTGCAGAAGCCCGGGGCTTCTATGGACCACACGCCCCACATCCGTCAATCTCGATTAAGGAGGGCCTCAGGGAGCTGGGGGCTTCTCCAGCCACTGCAGCATTGTCCTGGAGATGCCTGGCCTGGGGATGAGGGGGAAGGAGGTGGGCGTGACTCCCATCTGAAAAACCATTAATCCCGAAATGGTGATTGAGCACCCGTGACGAGCTGGCATTGTGCTGTGTCCTGCACGTGCCGCACAAAGGGCAGCAAGAGGTGATTGATCAGGGATGAATGAGTGTCTCTTTCTTTATGGACTTTCAAAGGCACCATTTGGCATCCTGAGCAGGATGATCGATGAGAGGCAGCTGACCCCCCTGTGGCCACCTCCAGGCAGCAGGTGGATAGGAGAGCCCACGTGGGGGACGGTTGGAGGGCCTCCCAGTCATGTGCCTGCTCTGTTAGCAAGAATCGGGGTATCCACCATCGAAGGCCCTTCCCGTTGCAGGGCTGTTGGCCATCAATTTACTTCCTCCTTTTGCACTGAAAGAGAAGCTGGAACAATTGCCACGTTTTCTGATAAATTATAGCCACCCGTTCCCCAGCCTTGCAGCCCAGAAGATCCCAGCACATGTATAAATCACACTAATGAAAGCTGAGGTTGTCATTTTCGAGAGCAGGCGTTTATTCAGTAAACCTTTATGGAGTGCCTGCTAGGTACCCGGGCCCACGCTGAGGGCTGGGCACACGGAGACAAATCAAACCTGCTCTCAGCATGAAAACGCTCACAGGACAGTGGGGACAGGCAGAGGTCCACACCAGGCAGAGCCCCACACCAGGCAGACCCCCACAAAAGGGTGTCATGAGGTAGCCTGGTGCCAGGAGTCTGGACTTTGGAACCAGCTGCACTACCTCCTAGCTGTGTGGCCTTGGGCCAGTGCCTCAACCTCTCTGAGCTTTAGTTCCCTCATCCGAAAAGCAGCCATGAGGACAAGTATCTCACTGGATGGTTGTAAAGATTAAATGACAATGCAGCCCCGTGCTTGGCACCTTCTGGAGGGGGCTCAATAAATGGAGAGTCCTGGCCTAGAGATGACCCCCCCCACCCCGCAACCCCACTGTGGAGATAAGCCACTGGGGCTGTAGGAGGGCAGAGGCAGAAATGCTCACTCTGCCAAGGGGCGAGAGGGGAAGGCTTCCCAGAGCAGGTGATGCTGACGGGAGTCTTCAAGAATTAGCGAAAAGTGAGGGGTGCTGGGGAGAGAAAGGGATACTGGGAAAGGCAGACAGACTGAGAAAGAATGTATGGAAGATGGAGAGTGCTGAGAGGGAAGAGCTGGGAAGTAGGGAGGAGCCAGGTGTGCCTGCAAGGCAGAGCACTGAGATACAGCAGCAGGGGCAGGCGGGAGTTTCCAACCACATTGCACTAACTACATGGAGAATGAACTCCTCTTTTGCAATGGTTCTGGCTGGGGCTGGGAGTGAGGGTAGAGAGGGGCTGGATTCAGAAAGAAGCATCCTTGGGCACTGGGATGGAGAGGAGAGGGCGGCTGAGCCATGGGAAGGGCCAGCTTGACCACAGCGGAACGAACCAGACATGGCCACGCAGAGAGGCCCAGTGTCTGTTCCAGAGAACACATGTGCCCTTAGATACAAGCTCACAGGCAGAGAGATTCACAGACATACACAGAGACATTCGGATCATTCCAGAGCATGCAGAGACAAACACATGGAGACTGATGCACATAGGCATACATGGACACAACATAGAGGACACATGTGCAAGGAGCTGGCTACAGAGAGACACGCAGGAGAGGCACATGACCAATGTGCAAAGCTGATACACGACACACACTCTGAGGAAATGCATGCAGAACACACACCCACAGTGTGCAGACATATGCGAGAACACACAGAAGAGGTGCACACAAAGAGAACCACAGAGCGTGACTACCCTGGGAAGATGGGGACCAACTTTCCCAGTTTCTCATTTTACCACTGAAAAGTCCCATGTCCTGGGAACACTTCTCAGTCCCAGGCAAACTGGGACAGTTGGTCACCCTAACTCAGAGACACACAGCCACACAGATAGCACCAACACCCAGGGGTCTGCGCACACAATGTTATCAGCACAAATGCGGTCACCATCATAGGCCAGGATAACCCTCTTCATCACTCACAGCCCAGGCGGGGGCACACTCTTCATGTATCCAAGGCCTTAGACACCTGGAGAGACACACCGAGGAACACACAGAACAGAGGCATAGACACAAGGCAGGCAGACACACCCACTGCATTCCATCCCAGAGCCCAAGCTCTCACACACACACACACACACACAAGCCCAGACACAGACACACAAAGGCTGCCACACACATCCACAGAGCAAAAAAACGCCAAAATTCAAACCACTAAAACAAACAAAAGGCAAACCAATTTTAGAAAGGGTAAAAGCAGCCTTTTGAATCAGTGGGCTCACGGGATATGGTCTTGTTTAGATGTTAAAGATCTAAACAAGATGTTAAAGTGGAGGAATGGGAGTGAGCAGACTATGGCAAGGGCACAGGGTACACTGGCAGGGGTCCCATGGCTGGGATGTCTGCTAGCAAGGGCACATTCTCCAGCTTGACTCTGCTGGTTAATGTCACTATTCACAGCCATGTCTGCAGGGGAATGTCCTGAACAACTCACTCCCATGAAGCTGAAAACACCTTCCATTTCACAGGGCCATGGAGGGGGCTGAGTGAGTAAAATGTGGGAAGCACCAGGCATGATGCCAGGCACACAGGACATTATGCTCAAGGCGCCGGAGCTATTAAGACATAGGTCTACAACCCCTTTTCTGAAATTCTGAACATTCTGAAAACAAAACATTTCTTCCTATTGGGGGCAAAACCAGAGCAGAACTGACATGAGGCCATTTCTTTATTATACAATTTCACATGAAGATTCACATGTTTTTCTGAGATAATAGTAAGGTGTTTAATTATGGAGTATCACATTAGTTTTGAAAATCTGCAAACCAGGCTGGGTGCAGTGGCTCATGCCTGTAATCCCAGCACTTTGGGAGGCTTAGGCAGGTGAATCACTTGAGGTCAGGAGTTCAAGACCAGCCCGGCCAACATAGCAAAACCCTGTCTCTGCCAAAAATGCAAAAGTTAGCCAGGCATGGTGGTGTGCACCTATGGTCCTAGCTACTTGGGAGGCTGAGGTGGGAGGATCACTTGAACCCAAGAGGCGCAATTTGCAGTGAGCTTAGATGGTGCCACCGCACTTCAGCCTGGGTGACAGAGCTAAACTCTGTCTCAAAAAACAAAACAAAACAAAACAAACAAAAAACAAAAACAAAGAAAAGAAAATCTGCAAACCCAGAATTCTGAAACACATCTGGCCCCAAAGGATTCGAATTAGGAACTGTGGACCTGTGAGTACGTGGACACATTTGCATTCAGGTAGATAGTATGCAGTTGCGTGTGCATGCATGGACGGTATAACATAGGCATCACCCTCCACAGTACACAAAGCAAGAACATCTGTCCAACCTAGGCATGGCCCTTAACAGTATACTTCAACATACATTATTTCATGTTATCCTTCCAGGTTTGTAGTAGGCCAGTAGGTGTTAATATTTCCTCCAATTCAGGCCAGGCATGGTGGGTAACACCTGTAATTTCAGCACTTTGGGAGGCCAAGGCGAGAGGATCACTTGACGTTAGGGGTTCAAGACCAGCCTGGCCAACATGGTGAAACCCTGTTTCTACTAAAAATACAAAAATTAGCCAGGCATGGTGGTGTGCGCCTGGAGTCCCAGCTACTCGGGAGGCTGAGGTGGGAGAATCGCTTGAATCCAGGAGATGGGGGTTGTAAGTGAGCTGAGATTGCACCACTGCACTCCAGCCTGGGCAACAGAGTGAGACCCTGTCTCAAAAAAATTTTTTTTTGCCTGGGCGCGGTGGCTCATGCCTGTAATCCCAGCACTTTAGGAGCTGAGGCGGGCAAGATTACGAGGTCAGGAGATCGAGACCATCCTGGCTAACATGGTGAAACCTGTCTCTACTAAAAATACAAAAAATTAGCCGGGCATGGTGGCGGGCACCTGTAGTCCCAGCTACTCGGGAGGCTGAGGCAGGAGAATGGTGTGAACCCGGGAGGCAGAGCTTGTAGTGAGCTGAGATTGCGCCACTGCACTCCAGCCTGGGCAACAGACCGAGACTTTGACTCAAAAAAAAAAAAAAAAAAAAAAAAAATTCCCCCAAGTCATAGATGTGGAACCAAGGCTCAGAGAAGTTGAGTGTCTGGTCCAAGGTCACACAACTAGTTAATGTGGAGCTGGTCCCAAACCTTAGTCCCCGGGACTCCAGGGGCATCCTCTCCCTTACATCCCCTTACTCTATACTCTCTCAACTACTTAGTGAAAAAGATGGAAGTAAATAGAAAGCAACTTCAACCTCAAGTCCAACATTTGAGCCCTAAAAGCACCAGCTAATCATCAGTGACTAATGACCCCAGCACAGGGGGAGGGTTATTACATCTGGGAGCAGGGTCCTACCTCTGTTTCCTCTGCCAGTCCCTTCCTGGTTCCCAAGAAGGAATAGTTTCCCTTCAGCCTTCATTAGAACCATCTGGGTCTCAGAGTCAGCTGCAGCCTGTCTGCCTTTTCTAAAGTTCATCCGAATTGGGTACATCCTGAATTTCACAATAGGGACTCAAAGTCAGCCCAGGGCTTTCAAGCCATGACTCTTTTAATGACACATGAGGACACATGCTCCAAGGGACAGACTATACCACTGACTTTGATCAACAAAGTGCTCCAAAGTGGGACTCAAACACCCACTCACAAGTCCCAGCTCTGCCAAGAAGAACCATGGGACCTTGGGTAAGTCACTTAACATCTTTGGGCATTGGGTACAATTTCAAGTACCTCCCAGAACCTACAGAACACTTAAGAACTTAAATACTACTAAGGACTAGAAGCATTCTTAATCATCCACACAGGGCTCTGACCATGGTTTTCACTGGTCAGGGTCATCTGTACAGGCCCTTCCCCAGACAGCCTGAGTTATTTGGGTGGTGGGGGGTGGATGTGGGCAGTTCTTTCTGGACCCATAGCTCTAGTTTTGCTATTTGCTATAAAGGTTTTCTGGTGGGAAGGGGAGTTGGTGTAAATACCCACAGTAGACCAGCAGTCCCCAAATGTGGTTGTGCATTACAATCACCTGGGAAGCTTTTCGAACTGTGATGTCCAAGCTCCACCCTAGAATAATCACATCATCGTCTCTGAAGGTACCCAGGCATTAGCATCACTAGAATCCCCAGGTGCTTCCAGTGTGCAGCGACGTTTAAGATCCAGTGCATCTCAAACTTGAATGTAGTATGAATCACCTGGGGACCTTGTTAGAATGCAGATTCTGATTCAGCAAGTCAGCTTGGGGCCTGGGGTTCTGCATTTTAACAAGCTCCCAGGTGATTCTGATGCTGCTGGTCCACAGACCATAGGGCCCAGACAATCAGGAAGTCTGTTCCAGCTCAGACCCTCCACAGAGCTTACTCCCTCCCAAGGACTGACTGGTACTCCCAGGTTCAAACCTCCCCAACAAGATGAAGGGCCAGCTGCCAGCTCCCAACCAGGCTCACATGGGTTCTTCTGTTCCTCCTGCAGCTGGAGTGAACCAGGTTATGCTGGGGCTAGTCACAGAGCCCCTCACAGTAGGACAGACAGGCAGAGTGAAATGGCAGAGGCTCTACCTCCATGGCCCAAGGGGGAAGCAGGGCACAGGCAAGGGTGGTAAATGGGGCAGGGGCAAGGGGAACTTGGAGGAGGGGTAGGGAAGAAGCCTAGAGGAGGGCACCCTCAATTGGCATTTCCTCCTGGCTTGCCAGGGATTGCATATTGGTTTGCTATCAAATCACCACAACCTGGGCGGCTTAAACAATAGAAAATTATTGTCTCACAGTTCTGGAGGCCAGAAGTTCAAAGTCAAGGTGTCAGCAGGATTGATTCCTTCTGAGGGCTGTGAGGGAAGGCTCTTGTTCCAGGCCTCTCTCCTTGGCTTGCAGATGGCCGTGTTCTCCCTGCCTCTTTTCACATCATCTTTCTTCCAAGTGTCTCTGGGACCAGATTTCCCCTTATAAGGACAGCAATCATATTGGATTAGAGTCTATCTACCCTGACGACCTCATTTTGATTTGATTACCTCTATAGAGACCCTATCTCAAATAAGGTCCCAGTCTGAGGTACTGGGGATTAGGAGTCCAACATGTGAATTTGCAGGGGGAAACCATCCAATTCATAACAGATTGTGATATAGGAGGTCAGCCCCAAGTTAGCAGATCATTTGTTTTTCAAGAGAAGCCAGAAATCTGGATTGACACGAAATCTGATTTTTGACATTGGTGGGGTGTATCGTTTTAGAGAAACACTGTGGACCTCACAAAACTCTTTTGCACTCAACGTCTGCACCTGGGCTGCTCACCTTTCCTGCCTTGCAGCAGTAATGCCCTGTGACAGGCTGCAGCACCCTCTGGCAGGTGTGGCAGTCTCCCTGGCTTCCTCCTTGCTGCCCTTACAGGTCAGTTCCCAGCTCCCCGCTTGCCCCACTGCACCCTAGGATCCAGGCTCCCTCCATCTCTTGCACTTCCCTGCCTTTCCCACTGCCAGGTCTATGCTCTTGCTGTTTCCTCTGTCCGAAGCACTTGCCTGGCAAACTCTAAATCTTTGAGCTTTAGCTCTAAAGCACTTGCCTGGCAAACTCTAAATCTTTGAGCTTTAGCTCAAGGGCCACCCCTTCTCTGGGTGGAAGGCCACCCCTTCCTGGACTGCCCCTGGCATAGTCATTCCTTCCTTCCTGCTCTTAAGCATCTCAGATTACTCCTTCATCGTTGTGCCTGCCACAGGGTGATGATGTGGCACTGTGGACGTTCGAACCAGCCTCACTTATCAGCTTCTAGGAGGCTCAGACTCTCAACTGAGACAATCATGGATTCAAATCCTGGCTCTGACTATTACTTCTCTGTGACCTTGGGTAGGTCAGTTCACCTCTGACCCTCATTTTCTAAGTCTATAAAATGGATATAATAACAAAACCCATAGAGTTATTTGATTACAGGGCCTGGAACGTAGTAAGTGCTCAATAAATGTTTGATGAATGAGTGTAACAGTCACTTAAAGGAGAAGCCAGAGTTCCCATTTAAGGGTAGGTGGGCAGGCCAGGACTGAGTTGAGCCTAGATTCTAAAAAACAGCTGTTTGGTCTTTTGTTTTCACATCTATTAATTCATTTTACCTTTTGAAGCAGGCATGGTTGGTATTTTCACTTCCATTTTATTAATACACAGGAAGAAACCGAGGTTCACAGTAGTTGTGACCTGCTCCAAGTTGTACAGCCACTCAGTGGCAATCCAGGACTACAGCCCAGGTGGACAGAGCAATAGATCTGCCACAAGCCTTTCTCCTGGCCCTGCTTTTAAGCAGAGTTGTTCTCATTAGCCTTCAGGTGGTCAGACGTCCCAGGCCCTGGTAAGCCCAGGCACCCCTTCTCTGGGCCTCCAGGTCCCCTTCTGTACAATAAACGAACAGCATAAATCTGGGGCCAGCCTACCTGGGCCCACCTCCCAGCTCTGACTCCCATTAGCTGAGTGAGCTTGGCATGGTACCTCACGCCTTGTGCTTCAGTCTCCTCATCTAGAAATGAGTACCCACTTCACAGGACAGTGGTAAGGAATAAATGAATGAATACTCATGGAGCACTTGCCACAGTGCCTGGCACATAGTGAAAGCTCGATAAATGCTAGCTATTTGTTTTTATTCTACTAAGAGACTCCATGATCCACAGGACTCCTTCAATCCTGGTGCTGTCTCCCTCTGACTCCCAGTCCAGTGCTCCTTCCACTCCATTAACCTAAAAGAAACCCACCTGGCTCACGCCTGTAATCCCTGCACTTTGGGAGGCCAAGGCGGGCGGATCACGAGGTCAGGGGATCGAGACCATCCTGGCTAACATGGTGAAACCCCATCTCTACTAAAAATACAAAAAATTAGCCAGGCGCGGTGGCGGGCACCTGTAGATCCAGCTACTCGGGAGGCTGAGGCAGGAGAATGGCATGAACCCAGGAGGCGGAGCTTGCAGTGAGCCGAGATCACGCCACTGCACTCCAGCCTGGGTGACAGACCGAGACTCTGACTCAAAAAAAAAAAAAAAAAAAAAAAAAAAGAAACCTACCAAGCAGGGCAAGTGTGCAGCCCAAATGCCATTCTTCCCCAGGAGCCCTGCTATGCTTTGTCCTGTTTTGCTGACTCCCAGATTGTCCTGGGCATGGTGGCCCCAGCCCCCACTACAAACAGCTGCCCTGAAGACCCCCACTGGGACCCTCTTCAGAGCCCCCAGCTTTCGGGGACTGAACTCTGACCCCCATTCTTCCAGCATGAATTCAGGCTGCCTAAGGGCGTGGGGCCCCGGGCCAGCGGGCCCCTGGGGGCTGAGGCTCTGGCGTGCCTCTAGGCAAAAGTAGCTACACTCAGCAGAAATGTCCCAGGCAGGGATGCAGGTCAGTGGCCTGGGAGGGGCTGGCAACATGGGGTCTGCAAAGGCGGGAGCCAGACTCTAGGCTGCCAGCCAGAGAACAAAGGGGTCTTGGAGAGAGGGCCCAGGCCTGAGCAATCCACATCAGGAGAGGAAATACCAGGAACTGGCCACACACCATAGGCAACTGCAGCCAGCTGAGAAGACCCTTTTGGGTGGGTGCTGGGGGAGAGGAAGGAGTGGTCCAGACTGAGGTCCCTGGATTCCAAGGTGAGGTTACCTGATTGCCAAGGAAGTCCCTTCTCCAGAAGGCTCCTTACAGACTGTCCCTCACTGGAGCTGCAAGAGGCCTCAGAGCCCTGCTCAGCTTCCCTTCTGAGCCCCCGCTGTTTCCTCTGCTCAGAATGCCCTTTCCCCTTTGTCTGCCTGTTAAATTCTTGTTCATCCTTCAGGGCCCTGCTTAGGCTTAATGTCATATTCTCTGGGAAGTCCAAACTTGCCAGGGTTAGATGCCCTCTCCTGAGTTCCCCAAATGCTTCCACTTTCCCCCTTCGTGGCAACTACCACATTGTCCCAGACTTTATCTTGGTGCATCTCTCTTCCCTACCGGCCTGTGAGTTCCCATTCTTGGGCCATGTCCTTTCTCCTCTAAACCCCATGCCTGACACATAGCATTCCCTCCAAACATGGTGAGTGGGTGAGTAAGTGCATCTACTCACAGATCTTCATTCCAAGAAGTCTTGCCAGGTGCAGTGGCTCACACCTGTAATCCCAGCACTTTGGGAGGCCGAGGCGGGTGGATCACCTGAGGTCAGGAGTTTGAGACCAGCCTGGCCAAATGGTGAAACCCTGTCTCTACTAAAAATACAAAATTAGCTGGGTGTGGTGGCACGCGCCTGTAGTCCCAGCTACTTGGGAGGCTGAGGCAGGAGAATCGCTTGAACCCTGGAGGCAGAGGTTACAGTGAGCTGAGATCGCACCATTGCACTCCAGCCTGGGTGACAAGAGTGAAAGTCCATCTCAAAAAAAAAAAAAGTCTTTTCTGCCTCCTGAGTTCAAACGATTCTCGTGCCTCCCGACTAGCTGGGACTACAGGCTTAAGCCACCACACCCAACTAATTTTTGTATTTTTTTTTTTGAGACAGAGTCTCGCTCTGTCACCCAGGCTGGAGTACAGTGGAGCGATCTCAGCTCACTGCAAGCTCCGCCTCGTGGGTTCACTGCAAGCTCTGCCTCGTGGGTTCACTGCAAGCTCTGCCTCGCAGGTTCACGCCATTCTCCTGCCTCAGCCTCCGGAGTAGCTGGGACTATAGGCACCCGCCACCACACCTGGCTAAATTTTGTATTTTTAGTAGAGACTGGGTTTCGCCATGTTGGCCAGGTTGGTCTCAAACCCCTGGCCTCAAGTTCCAGAGATTCAAAGATCAGCTTTTCCAGCCAAAACAATAAGGGGATCCTGAATGTAAGCACATGTGTGCCTGAGCATGCACCATACACACAAAACACCCTGCAATGTGCTAGAATCCCACAGTCATGGAATTAACTGACAGTTGTGCAGCTGTGTTCAGCCAATAAGTCACCTTTGCCTACTGGCCAGTGCCAGTCAAGTCTCCTTGGGCTGAGCAGTAAGGGCCCAAAGTCTGATCCCTGTCCTTAGCTGTCCAGGCAGGCACTGCCAAGCTCCCAGACCATGTACCACAGAATTCCATTTGGCACTCCACGCTCTTGTCCCCAGTCCTCCCACTCTGCTATCAGTGCTCTACTCTGAAGCCCAGGTATTTCCAAATTCAAATGTCATGGTGATTCACATTACCCTATACCTTCATTCCATGGGTTCTTTCTCTAGGGTTCCTATACTGTGGCAAACTGACTCCCTCATCCTCGAGGCCTTCCAGAACACTCCCTCCTGTTGCTTCACTGAAGTTCATGCTCTGAACGCTTCCATCTGTTTGTCCCCATGAGCCTCAAAGCTATTATATCCAAGCTGGCAGTCAGCATCCTCCTTACAAAATTGTCTACCACCATCTGGGTTGGTCTCACTTTCCATGTCAAATCCAAGCTAGAAACTCAGCACCTATCTCTCCTTATCCTTCACTTCCAACCTCTAATCTGTCCTACTTGTCCTACTTTAAATATTTCTAGAAATAAATATTTTACTTTCTAAATATTTCTCAGATCTTGTACCTCCTCAAGCTTTAACCTACTATATTTCTTGCCTGGACCACTGCAGTAGACTCCTCATTCCTTTCCATGTAACAGCTCTCACTCTCCTTCAATCCATCCTCCATGCAGGCCACCAGCAAGATCTGTCTAAGATGCAATCTGACCAAGGCATTTTCTCCTTAAAAACCTTCCATGGCTCCCATTACCTTTTTTTCTGGTTTTTTTTTTTTTTTTTTTTTGAGACAGAGTCTCACTCTATTATGCAGGCTGGAGTGCAGTGGTGCAATCTCAGCTCACCAGAAACTGTGCCTCCTGAGTTCAAGCGATTCTCCTGCCTCAACCTCCCGAGTAGCTGAGACTACAGGCATGCACCACCACACCTGGCTAATTTTTGTGTTTTTAGTATAAATGGGGTTTCGCCATGTTGGCCAGGCTGGTCTCAAACCCCTGGCCTCAGGTGATCTGCCCACCCTGTCCTCCCAGTGTTGGGATTACAGGCATGAGCCACTGTGCCTGGCAGCTCCCATTATCTTTTATCGGAGTTGATTGAAGTGGGTTCTATGAAACACCAGTCCTACAAGATTCTCCAGATTTAAGACTCAATATGTTTAGGAAATGGTGCACACCAATGGCCCTCTTCAAGACTAATAATGTACACTCACATCTTAAAGACGGCTTTATCGTTTTCCTAAATTGCAGTATCTTAATCTCTGACCATGCCCACCTTCCTGCCCCAGCGCACCAATCGTTCGCCCTCACAGGACTTCCAGGCCTTTGAGTTCCTCCATTTTCTCCCTGCCTAGCAAGCCCTGTCATGGCTCAACTTCCATCCCTCTTCTGCCCAGAACTCCTGTCCTACACCTCAACCCCTTCCGTCATCACTCTCAGTTGCTCTGCTCTTCTCTGTCTCTGCTTCAGTTCACATGCCCACTATTCCATCACCTATATGTTGGAGTCCCAGATCTGCTGGAGAAAAGCACATTCCACTGTGAAATCTGGAGCCAGCCCCTGTCCTGCTCTCCAACCTTCCTGGAGCCGTTCCTGGTGAGGCAGGTGGGAGCATCATTTCTGTGCACCCTGAGTCACCTTTCCTATTTTTAGAAGGGGCTCTTCCAAGCTTTCTCCAAGAGCCCCATCTTGCAACTTTTCCCTCCTTCTTTGCAGAAGACCCCTCTCTTACCTAACAGAGAAAGGTAAGGACACAGACGGGAACACCTTAACTTCTGGTTCCTTTACCTGGAAGGCAGACACCTCCACTTGCACTCTGGGTCTCCTCCTCTCCCATCTCTACCACTTGTGTCCATCTTCTATTTCTCCTGCACCTTCTGTCTTTTCTTTAGTCTCTGCCTTCACCTTGTACATATGTTCAAATCCCTCCCATCTGAAATGCAAACAACAAAACTCTGAATAGTCCTTTGGTGCTACCTCCTCTCATAACTTTCAATTCATCTCTCCCCTCCCCTACAGTCATGCTTTTCAAAAGAGTTGTCTACATTTTCTGATTCCAATTTCACGCTTTCCTTTCCAAACTCAACCTGTTGATCCTGCCTTCAGACCCCACCACCTCCTAAAACTGCTCTGACTGCAGTCACGAAGACCGTCCTGCTGCTCATCCAGAGGACACGTGGTGGCCCTTGCCTCCATGAACCTCTTTGGAGCAGTTGTTACTGTTGGTCCATCCCTCCTTTTTTTTTTTTTAGATGGAGTCTCATTCTGTCATCCAGGCTGGAGTGCAGTTGTGCAATCTTGGCTCACTGCAACCTCCACCCACTAGGCTTAAGTGATTCTCCTCCCTCAGCCTCCCAAGTAGCTGGGATTACAGGTGCCTGCCACCACACCTGGCTATTTTTGTATTTTTAGTAGAGATGGGGTTGCACCATGTTGGCCAGGCTGGTCTTGAACTCCTGAACTCAGGTGATCGACCCACCTCGGCCTTCCAAACTGCTGGGATTACATGCATGAGCCACTGCACCCAGCCAATCCCTCCTTTTAAAAAATGCTGGGCTCCTTGACTGGGAGGACATCACCCTCTGGTTTTCTTCCTTCTCCCCTCCTGCTTCCTTCAGCACTCACCTGCTCCATCTGACCCCTAAACGCTGAGATTCTCCAAGCTCTACCCTTTGCCTTTTGCTCTTCTCTTTCTGTGTCCTGTCTCTGCGCATCTCATCCACACTCATGTCTTCAACTGCTTGCTGGAAACAGGTGACCCCCATCCCTGTCTTCAGCTAAGACCTCTCTCTCGAACTCCAAAACCACACTTCCCACTGGATCCTGGATACTCAGACAACTCAAACCCAGCGCTTCCCAGATAAAACTCATCTGCCATCCATGTCTTACCTATAGCAGCAAATGAGACCACCAAGCACACCACCCAGGAATCTAGGAGTCATTCTGGCCTCTTGCTCCCACTTCCCTCACCCCTACCAGTCATGACATATTGTAAAGTCAATCTGGCTGTGCAAGGAGAATCACTTGGAAAACTTGCCGAACACAGTTTCCTGGGCCCTATCCACGACTTACAGGATCCAAATCTCCTGGGCTGGGGCCAAGGAATCTGAATTTCTAGAAAGCTCCCCAGGCTGCTGTAATGCCTGACTCAAATCACAGACTAGCCTTAGGGAACCACTGTGGTCTAACCCACTGCCGACATCACCGCTGGTTGCCTAGTTCAGGGCAAAATCCTCCTCCCTGCATCCCTGGTAATATACTTGTCTCCTCTCATTCATTCTCCACGCTGTGGTGGTGGCAACTTTCCAAATATGCAGTAGGACCATGGCTCATCTCTGCTTAAATCCTTCTATGTGGCCACCTGGGAACGCTGCATTCATGACCCTTTGTCCTTAGGAGAGTGCCTTCAGCTCATCTCTTGTCTTACCTCCTACCTTGCTCCCTTCAAGGTATGCACTCCAGCCAGGCCAAAAGATATGTGGTTCCCAAACACATAACCCTGTCCCTGCACGTGTTGTTCTTCTGACTGTACTCCCTCACTCTCACAGCCCCTCTGGATCCACTCCTAAGGTTCAACCCAGGCTGGGCTCAGTACCTGCCCCTCAGGCACTATTAGCCCGTGTGGTGATCACAGAGTTTCTAGGTTATTTCCTCCTGTGTAAACAGTGAACCTTCAAGACAGGACCTGGATCTTGAGTGGTCACTATCCTCAGAGGTGCACCCAGTTCCTGGCTCACAGAGATGGTCAGCAAAGGTTAGCGAATGGAAGGGTAAAAGAAGAGAAGGAGAGAAGACAGGGAGGTCAGAGCATTTCAGGTGGTTCTGCCCATCTGTTTGAAGACCCGGGCCAAGAGCCGGGTCTCTGCCCAGCAGGGGGCCTGCTCTGGATCCACAGAAACACCACGATGGTGGTGGCTTTCTTTGTTTGTTTATTTGTTGGTTTGTTTGTTTCTTTTTGAGACGGAATCTCACTCTGTTGCCCAGGCTGGAGTGCAGTGGTGCGATCTCTGCTCACTACAACCTGGGACTCCTGGGTTCAAGTGATCCTCCTCACTCAGCTTCCTGAGTAGCTGGGACTACAGGGGCGCACCACCATGTTCGACTAATTTTGTATTTTTAGTAGAGATGGGTTTTCACCATGTTGGCCAGGCTGATCTCGAACTCCTGACCTCAGGTGATTCGCCTGCCTCAGCCTCCCTAAGTGCTGGGATTACAGGTGTGAGCCACCGTGCCCAGCCATGGTGGTGGTGTTTTTGTGGCCCTCTTGACTCTGGGGTTTCCCCAGTAGCCAGGAAGGTGATAGCAGCCTGCCCTCCCATTTCCATGTGCCACCTGATGAGATTTGGGTCTTCTGAGAAGTCCTGGCCCCTCCTGTCTGCTCTGGTCACCTCTAAACTTCCATTAACAAGGACAGCAGGCTGGGTGCTCATGCCTGTAATCCTAGCACTTTGGGAGGCTGAGGTGGACAAACTGGTTGAGCTCAGGAGTTCGAGACCATCCTGGGCAACATGGCAAACCCCTGTCTCTACTAAAAATACAAAAATTAGCCAGGCACGGTGGTGCATGCCTGTAATCCCAGCTACTTGGGAGGCTGAGGCAGGAGGATTGCTTGAGCCCGGGAGGCAAGGTTACAGTGACCCAAGATGGCACCAGGGCACTCCAGCACTGGCGACAGAGCCAGACCCTGTCTTAAAAACAAGGAGAGTGGGCTCACAAGGACTCTGGGATCATCTTCCACTCTATGGCTGAACTGGCTGTGCCCTCCTCACTCCTGGACCCTGCTCCCGCCCTTGTTTTGTGCCTGCAGAACGACACCACTGTCCTGTCCCAGTATGGCCAACTTTTGGAGTGGACACCTTCATCTGGCCCCTCTTGCCCCATTCTCTCTCTGACTCCCTCCCTCACCTTCTTCTTTCCCTCTTCCCTCTTTGTCCATCCAATGCCTTTGCTGCAAGAGCTCTCTGTCACCTTTGTGCCTCATCCACGGCCCTCTGACTATCCTCACAAGGTCTCTCTGGGCTGTAAACTAGGATGCTGCTCCAACATTGCTGCCCTCCTCCAGCCTCCTGCCCCAGTCCCTCCCCAGCCCTGCCCTTTAGATGGCTGAAGCCTTCTTAGGGAAGAGTGTTGGATGGGGGCAGAGGCCTGCATTAGCTGGATGGCACTCCTGTTTTGCCCCTTCACTGGAGAGGCACTCAACCCTCTGTGAAGTGGGTTTGATTCTATGGCAGCTCCATCCCTTGCCTCCCACATCCAGGACCTGCTACTTAATTTGCAGATCCCAGTGCAAAATAAAAATTCAGGACTCCTTGTTCAAAAAGTATTATGGGGCCAGGCACGGTGGCTCATGCCTGTAATCCCAGCACTTTGGGAGGCCGAGGAGGGCGGATCACGAGGTCAGGAGATCGAGACTATCCTGGCTAACACAGTGAAACCCTGTCTCTACTAAAAATACAAAAAATTAGCTGGGCATAGTAGCACACACCTGTAGTCCCAGCTACTTGGGAGGCTGAGCCAGGAGAATCATTTAAACCCAGGAGGCAGAGGTTGCAGTGAGCCAAGATTGCGCCACTGCACTCCAGCTCGGGCAACAGAGCGAGACTCTGTCTCAAAACAAACAAACAAACAAAAAGTATTCTGACGTTCAAGCTGGCAATAGCAGAGCATTCCTGCTTTTCCATTTTCCAATCTAACTATCAGGCCCTTCTAAGTGCATGGCCCTGTGTGACTGCACAGACGGCACGTCCAGAATGCCGGCCCTGCCCATGCCCCTTTCCAGCTGGTGATGGCCCCACTCCCCTCTCCTGTCCTCAGCTGCTTTCTTAGACAGATCCTCGGAGCCTCCTGGCAGCAACCCAGCCCCAGCCACCTCCAGAAGTTTCCAGGGCCCTGTTCAGTAGGCACTCAGCACAGATTCCCCAAGGTCCTGGGGGAATCTTCACCCCAGGCCACCACTCACATCCTCCTCAAATCAATGCACAGTTATCGAGCCCCACCTGGCTAAGCCTTAGGAAGGGAGGACAAGTGGATAAACGATCACTGCCCTCCAGGAGTTCAGTTTATAGCAGAGCGAAGACTTGAACAAGAGCAGGACCGGACAAGAATCCTGTCAATTCAGAGAAAAATAATCACAGTTTATTAGGAAACTGAATTTCACAAAAGAGAGAGCATAAAGATGGGCTTTCGTGAATGGGCAAGATTTGATTAACCCGATGAGGAAAGGGGCATTCAAGGAAGAAGCCATGGCATGGGCAAAAACTTAGAGATAATAAAATGCATGGCACGTTCTAGAATCCTGAATTGTACAGTTTGGCTGAGGTGTGCAGATGGTAAAATAGTGGGAAAAAGCTGGAAGGAAAATGTACAGAGAAGAGCTACAAGGGTAATAGTGAAGTGTTTGTACTCCCTTAGTGGAAACACCGAGGGGACTTTAGGTCGTGATGTTTAGGTTATTTGGGAGCAAAGGGAGAAGACTTCCTCCCCTTGGCCCTCACAGCCTGCCCGAAGAGTGCAAAGCCTCACGCTTTTGCAAAACAGGCCGCACCTAGCCCAGATTCTGGAGCTGATTCAGTCCATGCCTCTCGACCCACAGTTTGTCCTGAGCCCTGACAAAGGTCTGGCCCCCTCCTGCACTCGGAACGCGGAGGACCCGCAGCTCGTGGATTCGCGCCTCAGTGCCCAAGCTGGTGTTGATGGGGGTTGCGGTTTCCTGCCACTCACTCCCCATGGGTCCTGTGGGGGGCGTGGGGATGCGGGGAGAGGGTTTCAGAATAGGATCCCGGACTGGGAGGGAAGGGACACCATCTGGGCACACCCAGTAGGTACGACCGGAGGTGAAAAAAGAGTGGGTCCCATCCCCTGATGGCCCCGCTCGCTATCCACTTTAAGTTTATGTTATGGATATTTTCAAACATATTCAAAAGTAGAGAGAAAAGTAGAATCATAACCCAAGTCCACACCGCCCAGCTTCAACAGTTATCCCCTCCAAGCCCATCTTGTTTCAGCTAACCCTCTCCCACCACCCATTTTAAAGCGGGATGTGGGTGTCCTGAGGGAGGTGGAGGCTCCCCAGTTGGAGAGCGGGTGCCCGCACCTCTGGAGGCTGAGGCACAACTGGGCTGGGAGTTGAGCGCATACCGAGTAGGGGCTGCGGGGGAGCGGGGGCAGGGCCGGCGGGGCGGGGCCAGAAGCCCGGCGGGGTTGGGGGCGCTCTCCTAGTGACTCAAGGCGCGCAGCGCTGGGCGCAAAGCGCCAGTCTCCGCCTTGCGAGCTCAGAGTGTGCCCGCTGCGCCGCCGCTGTCCGTACCTGCCGCCGCCGCCACCGCCACCATGCCCAACTTCGCCGGCACCTGGAAGATGCGCAGCAGCGAGAATTTCGACGAGCTGCTCAAGGCACTGGGTAAGCTGGTGCAGAGGGCGCGCCCCGACGGGGAGATGCGGCCCGGAGGTGCCCTGGTCCCGGAAGTGCCCCGGTCCTGGAGGGGGTGGAAGTTGGGGAGCCCAGGCAGGAGGGAGTCCCCGGGGCAATAGATCGCCTTGTCTCCCAGGCGCACCGGGTCTCGGAGAAGCTGGTAGAGATCCCGGAACCCACGCGTTCAGCGAACGTTTGCTGAATGTTTGGCGCCCTCCTCGATGGTGCGGACTTTATCTCGTGCTAGATCATAGCGAGGAGAGATTACTGGAGAGCAAGGAGGATCAGGGACTTAAATTTGGAGACTCAAATTTGGGACCAGGCTCTGCCACGAATTCACTGTGCAACTCGAGGAAAGTCACTTACCCTCTCTGTGCCTCAGTCTCTCATCTCGAAAACAAGGGCGAGGGCAGGGAAACGAGTGGATCAATTTTAAGGCCCCTTTCTAAAGTTAGGGTATGACCAGTGCCCGACCGGTCCCGAGACTGGCGGCGAGGCCCCGTGACCCAAGCCTGTGGTGCACCCTGCGCAGGTGTGAACGCCATGCTGAGGAAAGTGGCCGTAGCGGCTGCGTCCAAGCCGCACGTGGAGATCCGCCAGGACGGGGATCAGTTCTACATCAAGACATCCACCACGGTGCGCACCACTGAGATCAACTTCAAGGTCGGAGAAGGCTTTGAGGAGGAGACCGTGGACGGACGCAAGTGCAGGGTGAGGCCCCAGAGCCACTACAGCGTCCCCGTGTCCCCGCTCGGTGCCCATGGCCCACTGCTGCTGGAGGAACCTGTGTCTCCCTTTGCAGCCTGTGGCGCGCCTTCCTTGCAGGGTGTGTACACTGGCTGTTTGCAGAGGGGGTTTGTGCATCCTAGTTGCCCCTGGCTCAAGACAAAGTATTACCTTCATTCCATCTCAACCCCATCCCTACGCTGCCTCCCGGGGTGCTAACAGCCGCGCTTAAAGAGCGGGCTCTGGGTTGCGCCGCGTTCCCAGCAGTGGCTTTTGCAGCGGTTTGCAGCGCCAAGCGCAGGCGGCGCAGGAGGAGGAGGAGGTTGCAGGAGCCGCCAGGTTCTCTGTCGCAGGTGAAGCCGCAGCTCTTGCATTCCTTTCCCGCCGTATCCCCCGCGCCCGCCCGGGTCCCTGGGCCGCCTGGGTACGCTCTGGATACAGTTTTAGCAGTCCCGATGGCCCCGTCACCTCTCCCTTCCCGCCTTCGGCCTGGTTCCTTAAAGGAACGGCGGAGTCTTTCCAAAAGCAAGGCAGGTTCTGGCTGGGAAAATGGACTAGTTGCCCTCTCTTAGTCCTCAAGGGCAAGAGTTTTTTTTTATTTCTCCATGCATCGGCCCAGGGATGAACCGGTGGATTGAAGCAAGGGGTTGTACATTCGTTTTTTGCATGGGCAAAAATTGCATTTGGTTAACCAGATGGAAAAATAATCACCGGTGCTACCACTTATTTAAAAAGTGACAGAATGTCTCCCTCCCCTTCTCCAATTTTTTTTTTTTAAAGAAAAAAGTCGTAACATTCCAGAGAGTGGGAAATTGTTTCTTTCACCTTTCCTGAGCAGTGCCTGGTCTGATCTCGGAATGGGACTCTCTGAGCACCGGGCTTGGAAGGACAAAGAAACAAAGCCCCCCAGAAGCAGGCTGATCTAGGAGGCAATCTTTGGCTCCAGAATTGTCATAGCCTGGAAATGATCTCCACGCTTGGAGGGGGTGGGATCTGAAGCCTAAACTGCACTGCAGAAACAAAGAGCAGGACAGCATAGAGTGAAGGGCTGGGAGTCTAAGAGAGGAGGCTTGGCAATAGGCAGGGCTCAGTCTGGGGACATCCAATGTTGGCTACTGCCAGGAAGGGTAATTCTGATTTAAAAAAAAAAAATTAAAGGTTCACACAACAGCCGGGAGAGTGGGGCTTTATGCACCCCCCATCCCCCCACACCTTGCCTAATGAATGTGTCCCATGTGTTAGTTAAAAACTGATTATGTGCACATTCAGCTCTGGCCCACCCCCCAGCCCAGCTGTACCACACTTAGCTTTGTGCAGACACTGGGGAAAAACTTCAGGAAATCCCTCCTTTTGCCTCCCACCTCCAAAAGCATGAAGAGCCTTCAGATTGATTTGCTTTTTAAATTTTTTCTAAAGGGATGTAACCGGGAAAGTGGCAGCATTTTAACCCTCAGAGCCAAAGACACCGAGGTTTATCAGTGCAGGGGTGCACTAAATCTGATGAGGAGTGAACAGAAAGGACGTTCCTATCCCAAAATCCATGCAGGGAATCGTGCTCCTGATAGGCTGATGACAGATGTGGTTACAAACTTGGTGTCTTAACTGTTGTCAAATCTTGTGGTTCTGATGTGAAGGTTCTTGCTTTTAAAATCCAAATTATGTTCACCTGAGGTCAGGAGTTCGAGACCAGCCTGGTGAAACCCCATCTGTACTAAATATACCAAAAAAATTAGCTGGGCGTGGTGGCAGGCACCTGTCATCCCAGCTACTCAGGAGGCTGAGACAGGAGAATTGCTTGAACCTGGGAGGTGGAGGTTGTAAGGAGCCAAGATTGTGCCACTGCACTCCAGCCTGGGCAACAGAGCGAGACTCCATCTCAAAAAAAAAATGAATAAAAATAAATAAAATCCAAATTGTTTGAAGGGTTAGCTAATTTTTATATAAATGAATCATTTCATGCTCTAAATTTTATTCCTAGAGATGTAAAGCATGCCTAAGGCCTCGCTGCTTCAGTAAGAGATTGTTTGTGTGTGCTTGTGAGTGTGTGTGTGTGTTATACAAGGTGTATTTATACCCCATAAAATCTGTGACCAGCACTCTGAATTTGGACTTTATAAGGCTCAGCGGAGAAGAATCTGTGGCCTGCTGACAGGGACCATGTGTTGATTCTCTGCAGAGCAATTATTTTTCAATGCTCATTGTTGTCCCTGCTCCCGCTGCTGAGACTCTAATTAATGTCACTAATGGTTTTCCCGCCTGCAGAGTTTAGCCACTTGGGAGAATGAGAACAAGATCCACTGCACGCAAACTCTTCTTGAAGGGGACGGCCCCAAAACCTACTGGACCCGTGAGCTGGCCAACGATGAACTTATCCTGGTAGGGAACCCTTGACCCTGAAATAATCCTGAAGTTCCCCCAGAGGGGGCCCCAGATGGGCCCCACAAATATGTCCTCCTCACTCGGCCGTTCAGAGAAAGACACCATTTGCCCTGGATTAAAATTAGAGCAGAAAACCCGAGATGACAGTTCAGGTCAGAGGAAATCATTGTTAAATGGTTGGCAGGAAAGAGGAGTGGCTCAGAGGATGGAATAGGGGCTGGAGACAGGCTGGAGTGCCTGCCACTATCCACACTAATACATCCCAGTGGCGGTGACATGCTTTAAGCCAAGCTCCCCTCTCATCAGGCTTGGAATGCTTAGGCTCTATGAGGTCCCCACGCTCACATGGCAGAAGGGATTTTTTTTCATTCTCATTCCCCCTTTTGCTGGCTGGAAAAGGTTTCAGTAATTTTTATCACATCAGCACTCAGAACCTTAGAGAACATTTTTAGCTGTGATTTGCAAACTCCAATGGCCTTTGGGAGCCAGGCAATGAATGCTAATTTGGGAAGTGTCTGAGTATAACACAGTGTGGAGAGATGAGCCCCTGTAGAACTAAAAAAGATAGGCTTTTCCTTAAAAGTATTCAGATCCCAGCATTCTGGGGGGCCAAAGCGGGTGGATCACCTGAGGTTGCAAGTTTGAGACCAGCCTGATCAATATGGAGAAACCCCGTCTCTACTAAAAATACAAAATTAGCCGGGCGTGGTGGCATATGCCTGTAATCCCAGCTACTCGGGAAGCTGAGGCAGGAGATTCACTTGAACCCAGGAGGCGGAGGTTGCAGTGAGCTGAGATGGCACCACTGCACTCCAGCCTGGGCGACAGAGACTCTGTCTCTAAAAAAAAAAAAGTATTCAGACGAAAACATTTTAAACACCTGCTCCTAGCCAAACAAAACTTACCTAGTGAGGCCAAATTAGAAACCTCTATAATTTAAGCACACACTTCCTCCCCTTTTTTTAGGTAGAGAACAAAGGAAGGCTGAGGGCAGAACAATCCCCCTCGCTCTCCCTTTGTGTTACAAAACTGGGCTGGGATTGGTGGCTCACACCTGTAATCCCAGCACTTTGGGAGGCTGAGCCCAGGAGTTTGAGAACAGCCTGGGCAACATAGTGAGACCCCTATCTCTACAAAAAAAAAAAAAAAAAATTAGCTGAGTGTGGTGGCACATGCTTGTAGTCTCAGCTACTCGGAGGCTGAAGTGGGAGGATCACTTGAGCCCAGGAGTTTGAGGCTGCAGTGAACTGTGATCATGCCACTGCACTCTAGCCTGGGCAACAGAGCTGAGACCCTGTCTCAAAATTAAAAACAAAAAAAAAAACAAAAAAACTAATTAAGGGTTTTGCAACCACCCTTTTCTTCCAGACCAGAAAAGGGAAAGCTGTTTTGGGTAACCAGGAAATTATATCCTTTGTTCTCCATTAGGTATTTTGTTAATCTCTGCTCCATCTTAGTGAATGTCACCTTGAAATGTTGTGAATAGGAGACTGCCTGCTGAAGGGTGCTAGGAAAGGACTTGCAGTGTGACCTGAGCATAGGCCTTCCCTTCCCAAGCTCTTCCCCTTGCTATACAATGAGGGGTTAAGCTGAAGTCTGATCCCTGAGGTCCCTCTCAGCCTTGAAATTACATGTTTATTCTGCAAGAAGACCCTAAATTGAGCTATTACTTGAAATGAGACTGCTTGATCTTTCTCTCTCTCCTCTTGTCCTTCCCTGGTATGATTTAACATGCTTTCTCCTTTCACAGAGAAAGGACTGGCTTAATTTGCAACCTGGTTAATATTGTTTCCAGGGAAAGGATACTTGCTGGGCTTGGGGGAGCAATTTGAGGCTGAGACATGGAAATTTAGGAGAAAAGGCGTATATGGTTTACTGGTACCAGAGACAGCAGAGGGAGATGATTTTAGAGTTTTAGAATGTAGCTGAGGGTTCAGTAGGATCGGTTTGCTCTGAGAAAGAGTGATTTTATTAACCTCTGTAGTATACGAGCAGCTGGAGTCACAGGCCAAATTCTGCTAGATGGACCCCATCACTTTCAAATCCTCCCTCCTCCCAACTTCAGTTCTATCCCTGCATTCTTCCCTGGCACAGCAAACATATATACAAGACTCAAAGGGAAAGGGAGTATTAACTCTTGGCATTTTGGATCTGAAATGTGGGCTTTTGTTTCAAGGGTTATTATCATTAATAAATCTAAAACGCAGAGAGATGCAGTCTCTATATAACAAGAGGCAATTATTCTAGTTAAGTTGAAATAAGCTCTCCCAGCGCCAACAGTAAATTGCCCCCAGGCTATAAGTTGCCTTCCTTTGAAAACTGAGTATACTCCCACAAACCACTCTGGAATATTCTACAGAGAGTTTCTGTCGGGAACCTCTAAGCATAGTTTGCAGGCTGAGAAGGGCGCTTCAAATGTGGTTGGAAATGCGGCGATTTCTTCTCATGTCATGAAGCTATTTGTTAGCTGGGGAGAGCTGTCAGCTAGTGAGAATAGTTTCTCCAGGGTACAGCGTTCAATACCCAAATGCTGGCAGCCATTTGACAATCCATGGCTGTAGAACTCAAAGAATTATGGAAAATTAACATGGTTCTGAGGCGTCCAGACATCTGCGAGGTAGACTTACGGTGGGAAAGTCAAGCCCCACACCCCCTAGCATGCAGAATCACCTGCATTTCTTCCCAATAGAGAAGAGGCTAGGACAAAGGTGTCCAGGAGTGGGTATAACTGCCAGTCTGGTCAGGAGATCCCTAGCATGAAAAGCTAGTGGCTGGGTGCAGTGGCTCACGCTTGTAATCCCAACACTTTGGGAGGCTGAGGCAGGTGGATCACTTGAAGTCAGGAGTTCGAGACCAGCCTGGCCAACAAGGTAAAACCCCATCTCTACTAAAAATACCCAAAAATTAGCTGGGCATGGTGGTGTATGCCTGTAATCCCAGCTACTTGGGAGGCTGAGGCAGGAGAATCACTTGAACCTGGGAGGCAGAGGTTGCAGTGAGCTGACATCACACCATTGCACTCCAGCCTGGGTGACAGAGTAAGGCCGTCTCAAAAAGAAAAGAAGCTAGTGATGGGCATCTGCTTCCTCAGTCACTAAGGACTTGAACTATTTCCCTGAAGCACACGTGTCAGGATAATGTTTTAGCATATGTTCTCTGAGAGCATCTCGTGACCAACTAAGATGGCAGGGTAAGAATATAAAGATCCTAGGATAGCTAAATGCCTCGTTTAGTGGTTTTAACATCTCTGTAATTTCAGGCCACTTTAAGAATCTGAAAGATAAGGACCTTCTGGCACATAAATGTACATTTGCAAACAAACATACTCACATCAGGTTTACAGACTGGGGAATTTCTGTTTCTTGGTTTTTGTTTTTGTTTTTTTTTTTTTTAACATACATATTGCTTTCCCTGTTCTAACTGCCTGTGAGAGGTCCAGGAGAGCAGGCCTGTGAGTAATTGCTAGTTTTGGGGGAAAGTTGAGACAGTTTACTTGTGGGCAATATCATTTCAGGGGCCAGCAGAAAAATGTCCTCCTCCATCTGTGCAATGATTCGTGTCCTCCCTACAGCAAACAAACTAAGAGCCATAGAATTTTAGCTGGAAGAGCCTTTGCGATGATCATCTTGTCAACTCCACCCCTCTCCTCAACACCAGCCCCTGCCTGCCCCTTTCCCAAACAGGCCACGAGAGGAAAACATTTGCCCCCAAGCTTAGCCAGCTGTGAGCTGCAGGGGCTAGGTTTGGATGCCAATGCTGTGCTTTTGCAGCTGAGACCAATTTTCTAGCTTGCAGGTGACTTGAGTATTACATATACAGCATCTCAGCCTGTCTCCCAGGTTAGATGACTGCTTCCTGGAAAGCAGTTCTATTCCTTCTCCAAAGCAAGGAACAGAACTGGCTGGTGAGTGCTGGGCCTCATGACCCCAGCTGCCTGAGCTTCTTTCTATCTTGAAGTCATTTGAAAAGAGACAGAGCCACTTCAGAAATGTCCATTGTGACATTCTTTCCCTTTCAGTTTAATTTTAAAACCAAAACTCCTGGCATTTCTTATGTCAGCATTTTACAGGTTCCATAAGCAAAGGAAAATGGTATATAACATAATTCTATACTCTGGTTACCTCTTTACCAATAGCGCTTAAGGGGGAAAAAATATCCCTTAATGCTTAGCCTGAGCACACACACAGGAAATTGAATGTCTGTTACAAAGAGTTTTTAACAGGGCAATAAGTGGCCTTATTAGTGATATGCTTTAAACATTTTTGCACAGGCATCTGCACTGATTGGTTTTCCTTTTCTTCTTCTCTGCAGACGTTTGGCGCCGATGACGTGGTCTGCACCAGAATTTATGTCCGAGAGTGAAGGCAGCTGGCTTGCTCCTACTTTCAGGAAGGGATGCAGGCTCCCCTGAGGAATATGTCATAGTTCTGAGCTGCCAGTGGACCGCCCTTTTCCCCTACCAATATTAGGTGATCCCGTTTTCCCCATGACAATGTTGTAGTGTCCCCCACCCCCACCCCCCAGGCCTTGGTGCCTCTTGTATCCCTAGTGCTCCATAGTTTGGCATTTGCACGGTTTCGAAGTCATTAAACTGGTTAGACGTGTCTCAACCTTTTCCCTTTTTTGGTTTGCCTCTTCAGTTTCAACGTGGGAGTTATTGTGTACCTACTGTCCTTAGCACTGTGTTGGTCTGTGCGGTACTCTCAGCTTTGGCCTGCTGGCCTCGGTGTGGGGCTTTGAGCATACGTCAGCAGTTGCAAGCTGGGCTCCCGCAGACTGGCTGGATCCAGACTGCAGATCCAGGTGTGATTGCACCTCCCAGTGTGGCTGTTCAATTGAATTACTTGGTATCAGTAGTTCCCAGCAGGAAACGGCACATTTAAAAGGGGTTAACAGGGAAGAGCTCATAATGAAGGGACTGTTTATACTGGCAGGATGAATAGAGCCAGCAAAGGATGGGGAGGCACCCAAAGACAAGCAGTGGAGGGATTCACCCCCAGGCCTGAAGATAGAAGGGAAAGAGGGGTCACCAGACCATGAGAGCTATAACCTAGGAGAGGAGCCACTGCCAAAACCATGGCCCCAGTGTTTATGGGGTCAGGGGAGACTTGGCTTGGAACAAGGGGGATAAACATCCTAATCTCCCACCTTTCAGTCTCTACCTATTTTGTCCATTGGCCAAATCCAATAGGAATGGAGAGGGCAGGGAAGAGGGTGCTGTTTACAAGGGTCACCCTCCCAGGATGTGGCCAGGGGGAGAATGGATCTGAACATGCGCATGGACAACAACCCACACAGTTGCTGACTTTTAAACTTGAAAATCAGTAGATTTCACATAATCTGAATCTCTATTTCCTTAAATGAAAAACTGGGAAAATCTGGCATCCCCAGACCTACATTCCCACAGGGTAACAACTGGCCAGGAAGCTTCCCGCTTTTTAAATGGAACTCATACCCTCTGCTTCCCCTTAGACCCCATCCTGGCCCCAGCTTCATTTACATTGCCTGCCTGGCTTCTGTCCTTGCCATCCTAAGTGCCAAGACCAGCTTGGTTGGGGAGACCCTCACCCAGCAGTGCTAGAGGAATTAAGACACATACACAGAAATATAGAGGTGTGAAGTGGGAAATCAGGGGTCTCACAGCCTTCAGAGCTGAGAACCCCGAACAGAGATTTACCCACATATCTATTAATAGCAAGCCAGTCATTAGCATTGTTTCTATAGATATTAAATTAACTAAAAGTATCCCTTATGGGAAACGAAGGGATGGGCCGAATTAAAGGAATAGATTGGGCTAGTTAACTGCAGCAGGAGCATGTCCTTAAGGCACAGATCGCTCACCCTATTGTTTGTGGCTTAAGAATGCCTTTAAGCGATTTTCCGCCCTGGGCGGGCCACGTGTTCCTTGCCTTATTCCCATAAACCCACAACCTTACAGCATGGGCATTATGGCCATCATGAACATGTCACAGTGCTGCAGAGATTTTGTTTATGGCCAGTTTTGGGGCCAGTTTATGGCCAGATTTTGGGAGGCCTGTTCCCAACACCAAGCATGCAGATTCTCAGCAAAGCTGGGTCAGAGTGGGCCATCCAACAGTGTATGGGCAAGAGTGAGGCCAGGAGACCCTCAAAGAGCTTACACTCTGGCAGGGCAGACACCCAAGGCCCAGGTGCTATCACCTGAGTGTGAATGGGGACACAGTTTACCTGAGGCGTCACCCTTCCCCCCTCCCCCAGCCCAGAACCCTAGGCCGAAAGGATGAAAACACACACAGGATGAAAACCTACACAAATCTACATTTGCTTATGGAGGACCTCAGCCCTCCACTCAAACTCTACCTACCTACATGTGGAACTCACAGGGGACAAATCTATTGCAGAATAGAACACATCTCACATCCTGAGCCTGCTTGTTGGGGCTCTATGCACTGCCTCTGCTGTGATGCCCCCCCATGAAAGTGCCAGTGGCTCTGCCAACAGACTGCTTCCCACGGTCCCAAAGCCACCAGGCCCCGATGCATCAGAATGGGGCTGGATTCTGGGTCAGAGTCAGGAGAAAACCTGACACTGGGCTATCCTTTGTCCTCAGGTCCCTGAGGCACCTTGGATTGTGTCCAGAACCTCTCAGAGTCCCTTATGAAAACAGCTTCTTCAACTTCTAGCTCTAACCCACTGCCTCTGGGGCCAGTGAATGCAAGCACCATGCCATTCCCTCCTCTATGCTTGCTTCTCCTCTCTGGGGCTGCACTGCTCACCAGAAACAGCCAAGTCCACTCTCAGTACCCTACAAAACACAGAGTTCCTTGTGGCAGAGAGTGGCGTGCCGGAGGAGTTGCCCCACAGCTTCTTAGAGGAAGGGGCTGGCCCAGGGCCTCTAAGGATAGGGAGGACATGGATTAGTATGCAGTGGAGAGAAATGCAACTGGAAGGCCCATCTGAGTGTGAATGTGCTAATTTAATTTCTAATTCAATTAGAAACTGTGGGGACATGACCGGGCATGGTGGCTCACACCTATAATCCCAGCACTTTGGGAGGCCAAGGTGGGTGGGTCACCTGAGGTCAGGAGTTCGAGACCAGCCTGGCCAACATAGCGAAATCCCACCTCTACTAAAAGTACAAAAATTAACAGGATGTGGTGGCGGGCGCCTGTAATCCCAGCTACTCAGGAGGCTGAGGCAGGAGAATCACTTGAACTCAGGAGGTAGAGGTTTCAGTGAGCCAAGATCGCGCCCTTGCACTCCAGCCTGGGCAACAAGAGTGGAACTCCATCTCAAAAAAAAAAAAGAAAGAAAGAAAGTGTCCTGAGCTGGCCACACAGGGCAAGGCAAGTAGTCATGCTGGATGGATGAAGCTGGGATATCTGGACTCTGCCCGTAGGTATTGGGTACTCATTGCCACTGTGGATGGATTGGGTGAGGCCTCAGACATCTCGGTCTGCACCCTTTCCCAGTTCCCACTGCTTCATTGCCTTCTCCATATCTAGATTTGCTCCATAAAAGCACTGCCCTGCCATTCCACGATGGTTCTATATAAAAGACCTTGTCCGATTGAAGGGAGGATGAAGGCCTTTCTTTCCCTCACGAGTTTTCTTCAGATCAGCTTTCACAAAGGTTGAGGAACAGAGCAGAGTAAAGGAGGCTACCAGCTGTAACTCTCATCCTGCCTGACAGCCAACAGGCATGGGTGGGGGTATCTGGATGACTAGATGAAGTCACAGCAAGTGCCAGTAGTTCACTTAGACTCAGAACTCCGGCTGCATCCTGGTTCTCTTGAATCTTGTTCCTTCTGCATTTTCCAGATAAAAGGCACAGTATTTCTCATTACCTCATGGAACACCTCCAATGAGACCGCAGTGTTCCGTGGAACCCAGTTTGAGAACTGCTGCTATAATCATCAGCCCTAAGACATTTGTGTGTATACACATTGCATATGATATGTAATATATACACACACATAGGTTGAAACCTACACTGTCATCAGGATACTCTCACTAAAACACTGCTGTAAACTTGTCACTCCCCTGCTCAGTAGTCCCCACAGCCTATAGCAGGAAAGTCAAACCCTTTGGCCTGGCATTCAAAGCCCTCCATGATTTGGCCTCGCCAGGTAAAACAGAAAGAACAAGGGCTTTGGTGCCTGTCAGATCTAGCGTCAAATCCTGACCACACTTTTAGTTTGCAAGTGCTAGAAACCCAACCACAACCAGTCCCAGCAAAAAGAAATGTACTCTGTTACAACATGGATGAACCGTGGAAACATTATGTCAAGTGAAAGAAGCCAGCCACAAAGGACTGCCTGTTGTATTATTTGATTTATATGCAATCTCTAGAATAGGTAAATTCATAGAGACAGAAAGTAGACTGGTGGTTGTCTAAGGCTGGGGGTTTTGAGGGGAAATGGGGAATGATTGGATGCACAGTTTATTTTTAGGGTGATGAGAATGTTTTAAGATCGACGTGGTAATGGTTGCACAACCCTATGAATACAATAAAAGCCATGGAATTGTATACTTTCAATGGGTGAATTGTAGGCTATGTGAATTATATCTCAGTAAAACTGGCCGGGTGTGGCGACCCACTCCTATAATCCCAGCACTTTGGGAGACCAAGGTAGGACAATTGCTTGAAGCCAGGAGTTTGAGATGGGAAACATAGTGAGACCCCCCCAATCTCTACAAAAAATACAAAAATTTGGGCAGATGCGGTGGCTCACACCTGTAATCCCAGCACTTTGGGAGGCTGAGGTGCGCAGATCACTTGATGTCAGGAGTGTAAGACTAGCCTGGCCGGCATGGTGGAATCCCGTCTCTATAAAAAATACAAAAATTAGCCAGGCGTGGTGGTGCATGCCTGTAACCCCAGCTACTCGGGAGGCTCAGGCAGGAGAATCGTTTGAACCCAGGAGGTGGAGGTTGCAGTGAGTGAGACTCCGTATCAAACAAAAGCAAAAATTAGCCAGGCATCTACAGTCCTGGCTACTTGGGAGGCTGAGGCAGGAGAATCACTTGAGCCTAGGGAGAGGCTGCAGTGAGCTATGATCACACCACTGCGCTCCAGCCTGGGTGATGCAGTAAGACCTTGTAAGAACAAAAAAGAAACTAAAAAGAAAGAAAGAAAAGTAGCGATTTTTTTTTTAAAGAAATGTATTGGGCCAGGCCCAGTGGCTGACGCCTGTAATCCCAGGTCTTTGGGAGGCATAGGCGGGCAGATCACTTAAGTCCAAGAGTTGGGAGATCAGCCTGGCCAACATGGTGAAACCCCACCTCTACCAAAAATACAAAAAATTAGCCTGGTGTGGTATGCCTGTAGTCCCAGCTACTCGGGAGGCTGAGGCAGGAGAATCACTTGAACCTGGGAGGCGGAGGTTACAGTGAGCCAGGATCAGGCCACTGCACTTCATATCCAGCCCTAAGTGACAGAGCTAGACTCCATCTCAAGAAAAAAAAGAAATGTATTGACTTTTTTGGTTGTAAGGAATGTTGGGGAAGCTCTCAGGAGGAAGCCCTCTGAAGGAGGAGCTGCAAGAACTGAGCTTTGGGGCCAAAAATCTGAACCTGCAGGCCCCTAAAGTCCCTGTTTCTATCTGTGTCTCACTCCATCTTGATTTCCTTATGCAGCTGGTTTGAGTCACATGATAAACCCTGGACCAATCACAATTAGGGAGGAATATAGTACAATGATTGGTCTTCGTGAGTCACGTGATTTCCCCCCCTTACCCCCCCGACCCCAAGCGAGAAATAGAGCCTGGGAAGCAGATGAAGAGGAATAGGGGAAAACAGACTGGGTAGGTGTGAACTGTGGTTAACACCATCCACCAAGCTGGCTAGAAGAACTTGGGTAACTTATGTTAAGTGCTGGGAGCTTTATAGATTCCCACCTAAACCTTGCCCTCCAGCCACATGGGTCCAAACCCTGAACCCACTCCTCTGGACCTCTCTGATCTTTTACATGTTCAAGGCGAGCACCCTCCATTAGGGCACCTTCTCTGCCTGTCCCTATCCCCAGAAGTGGGAGGGTATTTTTGTTTTTGTTTTATTTTTAGTTTTTGTTTTTTGAGACAGGGTCTTGCCCTGTAACCCAGGCTGGAGTGCAGTGGAGTAATCATGGTGTGATCATGGCTCACTGCAGCCTTGAACTCCTGGGTTCAAGCAATCCTCCTGCCTCAGCCTCCCAAGTAGCAAGGACCACAGGTGTGTGCCACCATGCTTGGCTAATTTTTGTATTTTTTGTAGAGACTGGGTCTCACTATGTTGCCCAGGCTGGTCTTAAACTCCTGACCTCCTCCTGCCTTGGCTTCCCAAAGTGCTGAGATCACAGGTGTGAACCACTGTGCCTGGCCCAAAAGTACACTGCTCAGGTGACAGGTGCACCAAAATCTCAGAAATTACCACTAAAGTACTTATCCATAGGCCGGGTGCAGTGGCTCATGCCTGTATTCCCAGCACTTTGGGAGGCCGAGGCGGCAGATCACTTGAGGTCAAGAGTTTGAGATCAGCCTGGCCAACATGGTGAAACCCCATCTCTACAAAACATACAAAACTTAGGCATCGTTGTGTGCACCTGAAATCCCAGTTACTCGGGAGGCTGAGGCAGGAGAATCGCTTGAACCCTGGGAGGCGAAGGTTGCAGTGAGCTGAGATGGTGGCGCTGCATTCCAGCCTGGGCAACAGAGTGAGACTCTGTCTCAAAAAACAAAACAAAACAAAAAACTTATCCATGTAACCAAAAACTACCTGTTACCCCAAAACTACTGAAATAAAATAATTTTAAAAAAAAAAAGGAGCAGAAGGGAGAGGAGGAGGGCAGGTAGCCCCTGTTTGTTTAAGCCAGTTATTCAGTGGTTTCTGTACTTGCACTGAAAAGTATTTCTAAATGATACACCGAGGTAACCTAAAGAAGGACAGAGGCTTGTAGATTTGACTAACTGGCAGATTTCTAGTCATCTGTCTTGATAATGACTACCAGTGCCATGGAACTAGACAATGTGCCATCTTGCTCAAAAGAAACAATGAAGTTAACATATTTTATGGATGGTAAGACCCCATTCCTATTGTAACATCTCTCTCAATCCCCTCTTCAGTCTCTTCTCATCGCCATAAGAGCCAGAGTTTCATAGTACACAGCAAGGATATTATCAGTGAAAATAATATGGGGCAGCAAGTCTACAAATGCAGCCTTCACACTCCAACCCAACCCCATCCACTCCTTTCAGAGGCACCCCCTCCTCTGGGAGCACCCTCCAGGGATCTTCCCTCCTTCCAGCACTTTACTGTAACTATCCATTAGTGTCAGAAAGTCCCCAGATCTTGTCAAAAACATCACTTACATCTATATCTGCCCTCCCGAATGTCCAGCAAAGTGTCCTATAAAATAAATGTGGGATGTCACTGGGTGAAAAATTAATCTTCACAAAGTCCCCAAAGGGTCAAATAAACACATCTCAGAGTAGATTTGAAATTACAAACCCTTACACTGGGTGGGCAGTTGTGCTTAAACCAACCCATCAGAGCCTCTCTCCCGTTTTAAGCAATTCCAACTGCTAGGAGATGGAACTCAGAAACAGGAAATGACTTGGCCAAGACCATCATTTCAGGTGCTTGTCAAGATCAAGAGGATGGCCAGTGTGGTGGCCCGTGGCTGTAATCTCAGCACTTTGGGAGGCTGAGATGGGCAGATCACTTGAGCCCAGGAGTTCGAGACCAGCCTGGGCAACATGGTGAAACTCCATCTCTAAGAAAAAAAAAACAAAAACAAAAATCAGCCAGGCGTGGTGGCGCATGCGTGTAGTCCCAGCTGCTCCAGAGGCTGAGGTGGGAGGATGGCGTGAGCACAGGAGGCGAAAGTTACAGTGAGCCGAGATGGCACCACTGCACCCCAGCCTGGGCAACAGGGGGAAACTCTGTCTAAAACAACAATAATAATAATAAAATAAAAAATAAAAAAATCTACCTATATCTCTAAATGTTAATAATTCCCTTAAAATTACAATAAAAATGTTATCACACCTTAAAATTAACAAATCCTAATATCATCAAAGATCCTACCAGTGTTCAGATTTTCCTGATTGTCTTTTTTACCTCCTTGCTCAAATCAAGATTGAAATAACTATAAATCTCTTTGAATCTATAAATTTTCCTCTGCCTCATTTTATTTTTTGTATTGTATTTTGTGGAGAAACTCGTTGTTTGTCCTGCAGAGCTTCACACAGTCTAGATTTTGATGATTGTATTTCTGCGGTGTTACTTAACATGTTCTTTGTCTTCTGTATTTTTCTGTAGATTGGTAGCTCTAGAAGCTCAGCCAGACTCAAGGGTGATGTTTTGGCAAGAATACTTCATAGGTGATATGCTCTGCTCCCTTAGGAAGACTGAAATCACCTGGTTGTCTCTTTCGTTCTTTCTTTTTCTTTTCTTTTTTTTTTTTTTTTGAGACAGAGTCTCACTCTGCCGCCAGGCTGGAATGCAGTGGCATGATCTTGACTCACTGCAACCTCCGGCTCCTGGGTTCAAGCGATTCTCCTGCCTCAGCCTCCCGAGTAGCTGGAACTACAGGCACGTGCCACCACACCCAGCTATTTTTTTGTATTTTTAGTAGAGACGGGGTTTCATCATGTTGGCCAGGATGGTCTTGATCTCTTGACCTTGTGATCTGTCCGCTCGGCCTCCCAAAGTGCTGGGATTACAGGCATGAGCTGCCGTGTCTGGCCCTGGTTGTCTCTTTCTATGACGTTAACAGCCATTGGTGATCACTGGCTACATTTATAGTTCTCATTAGAGGTTGAAACATGGGGATATTCTAATTCTACCTCCTTCGTTTATGAGCTGGAATACTTCCATAAAAAGATACTTGATCGGTGAGTTCAAGACCAGCCTGGCCAACATGGAGAAACTCTGTCTCTACTAAAAATACAAAAAATTAGCTGGGTGTGGTGGCGGGTGCCTGTAATCCCAGCTACTTGGGAGGCTGAGGCAGAGAATTGCTTGAACCCGGGAGGCGGAGGTTGCAGCGAGCCGAGATCGCACCACTGCACTCCAGCTTCAGCAACAGAGCGAGGCTTCATCTCAGAAAAAAAAAAAGAAATACTTGCTCTCATCTACTATGTGGTTATCCTGAGGTACAGTATGCATAGGAAAGACAGAATAAATACTTGATTCTTTCCCTGTATTTACCAGTTTTTAGAGCAATGAATTGGTTTTCCTGGCATCCTTCAAAAGTGACCAATGCATTTTTCTGTTTTCTATTTTCTTCTTTTTTAAGACAAGGTCTCATTCTGTTGCCCAGGCTGGATTGTAGTGGTATGATCATGGCTCACTGTAGCCTTGACCTCCTGGGCTCATGCAGTCCTCCCACCTCAGCCTCCTGAGTAGCTTGGGACTACAGGCACACACCACCATGCCTGGCTAATTTAAAACAAATTTACTGTTTTTTAGAAATAGGGGTCTTGCTATGTTGCCTAGGCTCATCTCGAACTCCTGGGCTCAAGCGATCCTCCTGCCTCAGCCTCCCAAAGTGCTGGGATTACAGGCATGAGACACTGTGCCCCAGCCATTGTTTTCCTTTTTTAATATCATTATTAATTTATGGATTGAAACACATTTGATATGTTTAATGGGAAAATAAAAGCTATATGCTTAGCTCTTTTCAGGGAAAAGAAAAAAAAAAACCAGAACCCTAGAGGACACACACCAAACCATTAAGAGTGGTTACATCTGAGAGACCGTTTTACTCTCATTATTTCTGTATTGTTGACATTCACTTATAATGCACATGTATGACTTTTGTAATTTAAAACATATTTGATATGTTTCAATTCAACGTAGTTATTATCCTCATTGATGCTGAAAGTGACCCATCTTTGGCCACTGGGAGCTTCTTTATATTGGCTCTTGAGTCTTGGTAGGACCCTAGTATCTCTGATAACTTCTTTGCTATTTATTCTAATAAGATACTCTAGCTCATTTCCTGTTCCAGACCTGGAATCAGCCATTTTTCCGAGGAGCCTAGTTGTTTTAGGAGACAATGGCATTTAGAAACCACAATCTGGGGGCCAAGAGATGGGCCTACTTTTGATTCTAAGAGAGAAGCCAGAGTTTTAGTTCCCAAGAGGCAGGTCACAGACAAAAAACTTACTCTGGGGCGGGTTCTGTGGCTCACACGTATAATCCCAGCACTTTGGGAGGCCGAGGTGGGTGGATTGCTTGAGCCCATGAGTTCGAGACCAGCCTGGGCAACATAGCAAGACCTCATCTCTACAAATAATTTTAAAAATTAGCTGGATGTGGTGGCATGTACCTGTGGTCCCAGCTACTTGGGAGACTGAGGTAAGAGGATTGCTAGAGCCTGGGAAGTAGAGGCTGCAGTGAGCTGTGACTGCGCCACTGCACTCCAGCCTGGGTGATGCCATAAGACCGCAACTCAAAAACGCAACAACAAAAAAAAGTTACTCTGTACTCCTTTGTTCCCATTATCTTCTGCCCAAGACAATGCTAAACAGTATTCAGATGTTGCCAGCACTGTGTTCAGCTATCTGAGGATGACATCTCTTCCTTTTTACTCAGAAATCGGAGTGGATTTTGACCAATCCATTTGTGGCAGGGGATGGAGGTCGGGGCAGTAGACTTGGAAATATTTGTCTGTAACTCAGCACCAGGCTGTGAGGACAACTGCTTCAAAGAGAACGGGACTTGATGGGCAGTGGTCACTTCCAATCAAATCTCCATTAGCTTATTGGAGGCAGGATTAACATTCCATTCTGTAGTAGGAAGATTAAGCATAATTTCTGGGCAAAGAGCAAATTCTCACAAGGATTCTGCAAACATGTTATATTTGTTACAAGTGGGTAATTCATCTTTCTGGGAAAATTACCTGCAGGACTTCGAGGAATTTACTTAATAAAAAAAATAGATGACAGTCACAATTTTATAATTCCGTTTGTTTTCACAAGCCAGGAAAACTCATCAATTATGGTGAGTGAAGGGGGAGCTGGGTTCGTAAAGTGGAATTTGACCAAGGTCTCTCAGAATAGCCATGCTCCAGGGAAGTGGGATTTGGAGATACTAACATAAAAAAAAAAATTGGCTTCAGAAACAATGTGTAGGAAAAAATTATTGAGTTATGAACTCTTACAAAGAACATAATGAGAAGTGAAAACCCTGAGAAAGTTTGGGAAAACATCCAATCCTCAGAATACATGAAATAAAATTGAGGATTTTTTTTCTCTTTCCTACTATTAGGAATAGGTTCAGAAAAATGTTATTGAGTTCCTTTTATCGCCATTCAAAAAAATTGTTGCTGTTATGTTTGTTTTTGCTGAATGTGGTAGTATAGTTCAATGCAGAGAGCATGCCAGGAAACCAGGGTTGTAAGTCCTGGCTCTGCCACTAATTTGCTCCGTGAAGCTACCTGCTCTTTCTTGTACCTTCCCTGGGCCTCCATTTGCCCATCTGTAGAAAGCAGAGGTTGCTAAACATGGGCAGTGGCTGGGAGGGCTGCATGTGAATCACCAGGGACAGCCCAAATATCCACCAACAGGGAAAGGGTTAAGTCATCCACAACAAGCTACACAATGGAATTCTCTGCAGCTGTAGAACAGAGTGAGGTAGACATATGTGTACTGATGTGGAAAGATGTCTAAGCTATATTCGGTTTTTTGTTTTTTTAAGTGAGTGGGGATCTAGTTTAATGGGAAAAATAAAAGCTATATGCTTAGCTCTTTCCAGGGGAAAGAAAAAAAAAGCCAAAACCCTAGAGGACACACACCAAACCACTAAGAGTGGTTACCTCTGAGAGACCGTTTTACTCTCATTATTTCTGTATGGTTGGGATTCATTTATAATGAGCATGTACGACTTTTGTAAATTAAAACAAGTTTTCACTTAAAAAGAGATTCTGATTCTCTTTGTCTGGGTTGGAGCCCAGGAATCTTAATTTCTTTGCATTCCCCAGGTGATTTCTGATAGAATCACTGAACCAATGGTCACAGAGGTCTTTTCCAGCTTTAACACTCTATGACTCCACAAAGTTTATTTGACTCATGACTGGAAAAAGGGAAAGAAGAACCAAACAGGAGAAAAGGAGACAGCAAGAAGGAAAGCACAACATTAGAAGCATAAATAATAATTACCAAGGTGTATGTCTCTGCATGGTTTCTGGTGCCCCTTTGCAAATGTATCCTATATGTGATGCATAGCAACCCGGGGGTCTAAGCAGGGCAGGTATCAGGACTGTCCCCATTTTACAGACGGGGACACTGAAGTTCAAAGAAGTTAAGTGCTTTGAGTAAATTATCCAGTTTGTAAATGGCAGAGCTGGGATTACAACCTCAGGATGTCTGACTCCAGGGCCAATGCTCTTGCCATCCCATCAGCCATTAGGGACACAAAATATTTTCCTTACTATGGTCATCAAGTATTATGTTTATGGCTTAATAAAAAAAAGTTATTTCATAGAAAAGTTATTTCTATGAAATAACTTTTTCATAGAAAAGGAGGGAGGGAGAAAGCATAATGATCACTGACATTTAATAAGGGCTTACTATGTTCCAGGCCCTGTGCTAAGCACTTTGCATTTTCACCTTTCATCCTACAGTAAGCCAACTAGGTAGCTACTGTTTTCACTCCCACTTTACAGATGATCAAACTGAGGCTCAGAGAGGTTAAATAATTCACCCAAAGTGAATAAAAATTAGTACTGGGATTGAATCCAGGTCTTCTATCTGAATAAATGAAACAGAGAAAGAGAAGGGAAGAGGGAGGAAAGTGACGGAGAAGTGGGTGTGCTTTTCCCGTCTCCATGGGGCTCCTGTTTCTTAGGGCTGTCATCACCCCACATGGCAAGGGCTCCTCGGGGCCTTTCAGAAGGAAAGCCCAACCTTACTGCCCAGCCTAGCACTGCCGGCTGCCAGCCAGCCTCTCTCCCACAGTGTATTTCCTTTGCCTACGTTGACAGGTATCCAGTTTCACCAAAGGCTCCAAGCTCCCAGATCTGGTTTTCATCAGGAGCTAGAGCTGAGCCCTAGAGCAATTGCCTGGCAGCCTCAGTGAAGCCAGATGGAGCCCAGCCACCTTCTCTTCCCCTGAGGCCTCCTGAAGAAGGGCTCTTGATGTCTGGAGCCCAGCCTTGGATGGTGGCCCTGCGGGTGCATCTTTCAAGACCCCTTCCTTTCAGCTTTGTCTCTAGCAGCTAGTAGAAGTGACACAGGGGGTGCATAGATCAGGCCAATAGCCTCTCATTGAGGATGTGCAGGGAACAGCCGGGAGAGGGTCTGGGGCAGCAATGAGAACAATGCTGTTTCCTTCCCACCCACCAAGCAGATCCTACCTGTGCATCTCCTCCACCTGGCCTGGGAGGGCTCGGATACACTCCCTGGCTTTGATACACCCCCTGTCCCTGTGGAACCTGTCTGAGGCCAGACAGGGAGATAGACAAAGAACCACAGCTGGACAACCATGACCAAAGCAGAAGTTGTAATTCTGTGGGCACATGGGGAACTTGAGATTCATCCTGGCCAATGCACGGGGCAGTAGGCACTGGAACTAGGACTTGGAGGAAGCGGGTGGAGTATTCCAGGCAGTGCTGGAGCACAGGGAAAAGGAAAGTGGGGTAGGCCTTGCAAAGCTGGGCATGCATCCATGGGGCTGCTTTTGTGTGAATTAGAAAAGGAGACCTTTTCTGGGCAGACAAGGAGGGTACTCTATCCTTGCTTTATGCAGTGCACAAATTGTGCAACTATACTAGTGGCCCTGGGGCTGTGGCCACTAAATTTCATCTGCCTTTTACATTTTCCCTTCCTCTTCAGGTTACAGAGCCCCTATTTCTAGAAAGGAAGTGATTCTATGTGGTTACTGTGGGGCTAATCCATAAGCCTAACAGGGGTCAGCCCTTGATTCAGTCATAGCCAATTACAGCACTGCAGCTTCATGGCCATGGTGATCAGTTCTGAGACAGGCATGTGATCCAAGCTAAGCCAATCAGAGCCCTCTCTGGGACCGCAGCCGGAGCATTTAGGCAGAAGGTGCTCTCTTTCGTCTGGGTTTGCTGGCTACGGGGATCAGGTAAGCCTAGAACTGTGGGGTCATCACTGGTACTTTGCGGGAGACTCTGCCTGAAAACGAAGCCAACACACAAAAATGAGCAGATGAGAAACAAAGAGAATTCTGATGTTTAAACTCCAGGATTTGCTCCTGGAATATTCCATTCACAAGAATGAATAAATTCCCTTTTTTGCTTAATCTAGTCTGAGTTTTTATGCTTCCCTCAAAAGGACTAAGCATTATGGAAAGAATTGCTAGGATTCAAGCCAATGGACACAGAGTACCTTGAAAAACCAAACCAAGAAAGCTTTGGCTGGGCCTCGGGTTTCTAAGTCAAGAGCTGGAGATGAGAACACAGGCATGGAGTCTGACTGAACTTCATTCAAAGCTGTTCCCAGGTGGCATCTCCCTGCGTGCTCACCACAGCCTCAGGAGCCAGGTGAGGCCAGGCCACTGGGATGTGGACTTGCCACTCAACCTGTGATCTGGGTGAGCCTTCGGCTGACGGGCCCTGGGGCACAGCAGGCTCTTAGCACTCGGGGAAGGACCAGCCAGCAATGGCTGTCTGAGTTGGCAGGAAGGGTCTGTGTGCTGAGCTCCTGGGAAGTCTTGTGGGACTTATGACATGTCATGCAGTCAGTCCACTCTTGTGCCCCTGGGCCTTTGCATATCCTGATCCCTCAGCCTAGGACACCCTCACCATGTTGTCTATCCAGAAAACTTCTACTCTGCCTTCAAAATTCAGCTCAAGGGTTACCTCTTCTGCAGAAACTTCTGTGGCAGTTTTAAAACATGGCTGCAAGATTTTGGTCTCAAGAGATGAATTCTGTGTCCCTGTCGCTTGAATCTGGTTGGTCTTATGACTGCTATGCCCAATAGAGTATGTTGGAGGTGATGCTATGTGTCATCTTAGGCTGAGTCATAAAAGGCCATGCAACTTCTGCCTTGTTCGTTGGGAACACTCACACTTGAACCCCCGATACCATGTAAAAAGTCCAACTGTCCTGAGACCACCAGGCTGGAGAGGCCACAAGTAGGCACTTTGGTCGACAGTCCCAGCTGAGCCCACTCTTCAGCCAGCCCAGCCAACCCAGCCCAACTCTTCAAGTCACCTCTAGCCATTAGAGTCACCCCAGCTGAGGCCCAGGCCTCACGGAGCAGGGAAGACACACCCTGCAGTGTCCTATCCAAATTCCTGAGCCATGGAATCTGGAAGCATAGATGGTCGTTTTATGCCACTATGTTTTGGAGCAGGAGATAACTAGAACACTGTCTTTGACTCATCTGGGAAAACTTCAGTGCTTCTTCCTTTATTTGTTTCTTCCCTGAGTTCCTCCTGCATTGCTCCTGCAGAGCCCTGGCTACACTGGGCTGTGATCATCTCACGACATGCCTATCGCCCCAATAGACTATGAAGCCCTGGGGAAACGGGGCCAGAGGCTGTTTCTCACGAGACAGAGGGGCTCCTCTAGGCTGGAGGTCACACAGAAGCCCACAGCAAGGCTGACCTGAATGAAGTCACTGAGGTAAATGACAGCTGCAGGCTCCTCCCATCAGTATCAACCATGGACAGCATCAGCCCAGAGACTGGAGAGGGACTGAGCCCACACGAGGACCAAATGGCCTCCACCAGGCAGAGAGAAGAGCTCTGGGGCCAGGAGACAGGCCCGGAACACTTGCCTGGGAGACTCAGAAAGAGAGGTGCAACCTGCACCACTGGGTAGTGGATCTGGCTACTTACTGAGACCACCTTGTTCTGCGGGGAGAGGAATCAGGGAGCTGAGCGGAGTCCCAGATGAGCAAACAGAAGTTCATCTGCCAGAGAACCCAGAGGAGCAGGAGGCTGAAGCTGAGAGGGCGTTTCCCTTTCTTCTTAAGAAAATTGTTCAGAATTGATGAAAATAGCTGGGAAAGCATTTGTGGAAATGTTAATAGCAGGGAAAGTTAACCCAACTTGAATTCTCTGCCTTGAGTTAGGAGGGAAGACGGCATGCCAAGCAAACATGGATCTGGATTTCAGGGCAGAAGGATCCACAGATGCACAGCCCAGCTCCCAGGCCCAACAGTGGGACTCCGGTACAGCCCGAGGCTTTTGTAGAGAGGTCAGTGTTCTTGTCTGAGCCTCTAGTAACCCTGCGAGGTTTCAGTACGAGGAGCAGGAATTAAGATACTGAAACAAAAGGAAGAAATGGACTCGCATTTGTTGAGCCCACTATGTGCTAAATGCTTTATAGTCATTGACAAATTTAAACCTCATAACAATATTTTAAATATGTAGTAAAGTCCCACTTGATAGCAGAGAAGACTGAGGCTCTGAGAGTTGTAGTAGAGTTGGGGCAGTCTGATTTGAGACCCCCTAAGGGACAAGGGAGATGACATGGAAGGTCAGAGCCCCTCGGGCTGGTGCCTCTGTGACCCTCAGTGGCCGGGTATCCCTGTCTGCACAGTGAGAGGGCTGGGCTCATGATCTCACCCAGATCTGGGCTGAATCCCACCTCTGTCATTGTAGGGCAGCGTGACCTTGGGCAAGTTAGTTATACTTCCCGTGCCTCCTACAGTTTACCAGGGTTGATTGTCAACGACAAGAGCTGGCCTTTCTACTTCTTCCACCATCCATCTTCTATATGGAGTTACAGAACTTGTCAGTCCAGGGCAGAGCCCAGGAGCCCGCATCTTCCTCCCTTGTAGGCTTTGGCCAGTGGCACCCAGTGTGTGCTGTTCCCCGGAGGGTGAAGCAGCAGCCCTTTCAGACACACGCTGGCAGGCACCACGGCTCCGGGATGCCAGCTGAGGCCTTCCAGCCGGCAGCTTCCTAAGTGGCCACAGATGTGGTGTGAGATCACACAGCAAGCCAGCTGCTGATGAGAGGAAAACATCCTCCCCACTCCAGTGGCCTCTGCCTTCTCTCAGAGCTGCGCTTCATCCAAGGAGGATTTGAAGAGGACACTTGTGAAAAGCATGCACAGAAAAAATTGGTATGCTGTCTTCGGGGGTATAATTACAGGAAATGTGTGGGGAGATTTTGCTGGCATTTCGTTTCCAGGAGGATGTTTTCCAGTGAAAAAATATAATGGCGTTGCCTTTACCAATATACTAAATATGAATGTCAGGCAAGTGTCTTGTTTCAAATAGGCAACATACACTCATGCCAAAGGGCACCCTATATAATCTAGATCTCCTTCCCAGTCTCCAACTCCTAGAGACAAGCACCATGACTATTTCTTATGTGGCCTCTGGGACGTACTCTATGCATTTATTAAACATATTATCCTGGACACTATTATGGTCACCTGCAATTCACTCCTCAGCCTCTTCCTTCTCTTCTCTGTATTCCGGGAGGCTAAGCCCTTACAGGCTATTATTTCCCAAGGTCTTGGGTCAGCTGATAGGTGTATTTGGTTTCTCAGCTCTTGTATCACTTACTGAACCAATTTCCTGAATTATGAATTGATTATGAATGATCTCTGTGTGAAAAACCTTGAGTGGTTTCTGTTTTTCTATTTGGACTGAGTGTTTCCCTCTTTGTTAAAGCTCTTGGTTCACTGAAAATCTTAACAAATTCACATGTATCTTTCCTTTTTTTTCACCCAAATGGTGGCATGTTACAATTGGTATTATCTGTATCTTCCTTTTTTTGCTCACCGATATGCCTTGGGAGTTTTGTTTTTGTTTTTTTTTGGGGTTTTTTTTTTTCATATCAGTGTATAGAAAGGTACCTCTTTTATTTTTAGTGTTTACCCAGGATATGGTTTATTCAACCAGAACCCCATTGATCAACCTCTAGGGTATTTCCAGGTTTTTGCTATTATAAAGAATTTCTGGTGAATATGTGAATATTCTTGTACGTACGTCACTTCACTCACATGGAGGTTTAGCTGTAGGATAAATACCTAGGAGTGGAAATGCTGAGTAGATACATTTATGGCGTTGATAGAGATTGCCAACTCACAGTCCCATGAGCAGTGTTTGAGTGGATGCAGGCCCAGCTGAGAGAATTTTGGGGCGCAGGACTGTGAGTATCACGAGGGCAGGGACTGTGTTCTTTTGCTCACTAGTGCATCCCCAGTGCCTCACGTGGTGGTGGGAGATTCTCAATAAATATCTGTTGAATGAAATTTAAAAGTGGAGCGAGGCCATGGCCAAGGTCAGGTCAGCACCCTCCTGGCTCTGCCACTGACCGGCTGAATAGCCTCGAACCAAGTCCCTCAGACTCCATGATCTCAGAGCCCTCTCGAGCTCTGACTACCTGAAATTGAGGGCTTCCAAACCAGGCAGACCATCCGAATCATTGACAGAACTTTAAAAATGACAGACTCTGGACCGCATTCAGGAATTTAGCTACAATAATTCTGCAGTAGAAGCCTTCAGTGGACTCTGTGAGCCACCACCCAGACCCTCCCGTAGGAATGAATGACTTCCTCCCCAGCTACTGGGCGTGCTGCTGGCAGGAAGCCCTCAGCTAGCTGGCAGTCCTCTTTGAGAGGCGCCTCAGCTGGAGACAGCGGCCTTGCCCAAAGTCAGATCCCTTCCCTGAGGTAACTGCATCTAACGACTGATGAACATGGGGCATAAAGGCCTGGCCCCCTCACCCCAACTTAGAGCAACTCTGAAGGAGCATCCCATCTTCAGAGCTCCCCGTAGGGTCAGCTGAGGCCACTCTTGAGACTGTCCAATCCTGCTTTCCATCCCGCCCTTCCACAAGTGTAGATCCTCACAACACTGACAAACCCTCGGAACTCTGAACTCTAAACTCCATCTCGGGGTCTGCTTCCCAGAGAGCCTGGCCTGTGACAGGGCCCTAGAATCTGTAATTTTAAAAAATGTTTTTCTTTTTTGTTTTTGAGACAGGTTCTCACTCTTACTCAGACTGGAGTGCAGTGGCGTGGTCATAGCTCACCTCAAACTCCTGGTATCAAGAGATCCTCCCACCTCAGCCTCCTGAGTAGCTGGGACTATTGGCATGTACCACCACGCCCTGCTAATTTAAAGAAAAAAGAAATTGTAGAGATGGGGGTAGAGGCGTGTCTCTCTATGTTGCCCAGGCTGGTCCCATATTCCTGGGCTCAAATAATCTTCCCATCTCAGCCTCCCAAAGTGCTGGGATTACAGGCATGGGCCACCGTGCCCTACCTAAAAAGTGTATTTTCTTTTATTTTTCTTTTCTTTTCTTTCTTTCTTTCTTCTTTTTTTTTTTTTTTTTTTTTTTTTGAAGTGCAGTGGCATGATCTCGGCTCACTGCAACCTCTGCCTCCTGGGTTCCAGCAATTCTCCTGCCTCAGCCTACCAAGTAGTTGGAATTACAGGCACCTGCCACCACACCTGGCTAATTTCTGTATTTTTAGTAGAGACGGGATTCCACCATGTTGGCCAGGCTGGTCTCGAACTCCTGACCTCAGGTGATCTGCCTTCCTCGGCCTCCCAAAATGCTGGGATTACAGGCATGAGCCACTGTGCCCAGCTGAAAGTGTATTTTCAACCAGACATTCTCCTCCTAAGTGATGTAACCTCTAGCCTCCCGCCTTCTGTAAAGTTACTTTGTACGCATGAGTTCTTCACATTTTTACTTTCTTGGTGCCATGGACCCCTGCTCAGAATAATGTTTTTAAATGCATTTTTAAAAACACATACTGAGGCTGGGCATGGTGGCTCACACCTATAGTCCCAACAACTTGGGAGGCTGAGGCAGGAGGATCGTTAAGCACAGGAGTTCCAGACCAGCCTGGGCAACATAGTGAGACCCAGTCTCTAAAAAATAATTTAAAAATTAGCTGGGCATGGTAGCACATAACCATGGTCCTAGCTACTTGGGAGGCTGAGGTGGGAGGATCACCTGGGCCTGGGAGGTCAAGGCTCCAGTGAACCAAGATTGTACCACTGCACTCCAGCCTGGGTGACAGAATGAGACCCTTTCTCAAAAACAAAAAACAAAAAACAAAAACAGAATTACAAAGGCAACCAATTATATTGAGATTTGGTTATCAAAATATTTTTTAATTGGAAATAGAAATATATTTTTTTATTAACCCATCAATTAAGATCCAGCAGTGGGCCAGGCACAGTGGCTCATGCCTGTAATCCCAGCACTTTGGGAATCTGAGACAGGCACATCACTTGAGGTCAGGAGTTTGAGACCAGCCTGGCCAACATGGTGAAACTCCATCTCTACTAAAAATACAAAAAATTAGCCGGACCTGGTGGCACATGCCTGTAATCCCAGTTACTCAGGAGGCTGAGGCAGGAGAATCGCTTGAACCCGGGAGGCAGAGGTTGCAGCGAGCTGAGGTCACGCCACTGCACTCCAGCTTGGGTGACAGAGTGAGTCCATCTCAAAAAAAAAAAAAAAAATCCAGCAGGGCAGTGTGTCTAATAAGTACTATAATTTTGAAGTAGTGAAGAGCGTAAACCATATCTCAAGACACCTGTAGCCATTGTGATGTGGTGTGAAAATATCAGTGAATTCTGTGGGACAGAATGCCAAGTGCTGCTAAAACTGCTGGGATTTGTTGTCTGCATTCATAATGGAAGGAAATGCTGATCTTCAGTTAGAGGGTAGGGAAAATAGAGATGTCCTTTTTTATTATGACTCATCCCAGTCCACAGACCTTCTGAATTCCATCTGTGACCCCCTACTCCACTGCATGCCCTCTCCAGTGGGTTCCTTGGTCTGGTGAGTGTTTTCATCGTAAATCTCCAGGTGGGCTTTATCTCTTGCCAGCAAGGGAGTAGAAGATTTTCCAACAAAGGATGGGTGAGATGTCTGGGGCCCTTCGGTGGGAAAAGGCAGGGAACGCTGAGCCTAGGTCATTGCTGAGCTGCGCAGCAGAACCCACGTGCCTGCCTTGGCCAACCCTAGGCTCCCAGTTAGAGCACCTTTTCAGTTACACCAAAACAAGGTGCCAAATTGTTTTCCAGGTCCTCCAAGGAGGTTGTCTCTTCCTCCTGTCAGTGTGGGTTGAGCTTTCTCTGCCTTTGATCCTGATGCTTCATGAAAAGCCAGAAGGCTTGTGTCCTGGTGTGACATCCCTCAGTCAGGACCCACAGCAAGGTTACACGCCTGTTCAATTAGGGATAAAATCCATTCAAAGTACGTTAACTCCCTCACTTCTTTGAATAAGTAAATGTGGATCATCTGCCCCACAGCCTGCACTGTGGAAGCAGAAGCAGTCGTGCTGAGGGGGCGTGGCATCTGCTGAGTGTCTCAGAGGCAGGATTAGAAGAACGTGAGAACCCTGAGGAGGGCAGGCAGAGGTATGGGAAGTGGGTAGCTTTCTTAAAGAGGATCTTCCTGAAGTCTGGGCTGCTGACAGCCCAGATGAAAGCCTTGCCCACTAAAATGCATGCCCCATTCCCCACCCCAGGCCCACCTTGCACTGAGTGATGTCAAGAAAGGGACACTTCTGCATCCAACTGCATCACCCACTAGCCAGGTGATGGCAAATCATTCATGTCTTTAACTTCAGTTTTCTCATCTCTAAAATGGGACAGTGATACCAAGTTGGCCAGCCTCATGGGGTTGTTGAGGTCATATTGGGGATGCTTTGAGAGTTTGTAAACCCTAAGATCTGGTGAAATGAGTTCACATATAGAGGGGAGGATGTGGATGCAGATGGGAAAAGAGGGCTGCTGTGTTCAGATGCGCAGGTTGTTCACTGTTCAAGGGAGTCTGGCTTTCCTACTCCACTTGCCAGATATCCCAGCTCCTACCCCACTTGCCAAGCCATTCACCCTGGCACGGGGCTGTGGAAGGCAGGCCTTTTTCCACTGCACATAGTGTCCCTGTTTGCCCTTGCAAACCCAGGCCACATTCAGATGCAGGGAGGAAAATGAACTTTCTGCCTGTTCTCTGACGGGCTTTTGTGGAGCTCTTAGATCATAATTACTTAATGGAGACATAATGCAGCAATCTTAACTAGTTTCTATTATCTAGGAAAATAAACAGTAGATAGGTGGGGCTTTTTTTCATTTTAATAACTTAATACAACCGTAAATAAAGCTGCAGCCTAGAAGGCAGGCTGCTACTGAAGAGAGGTGGCGGTGACCTGATTGTGTGACAGGCAGACATTCATGTTGGCTTTACGGACCACCCACAGGCAGCTGCCTCTAAATTCTTCCTCTTGTCTCCTGGAATTCCAACTTTATTACTGTTTTCAGTATAGGACCCCTAGTTTTGGAGGTTTGCAAAACCTCCACTTGCTCTATCTGATCCCCTACACTGAGAACACAGTGGGTCCTCCATGGCTCCAGGTGATATAGGGTGGTGGGGGAGTGGTCAGCTCTCAGCAGTGGGTGATGCCTTGGATCTTGAGGCTGCAGAGAAGGATAACTCTGGTAGGCTGAATAATGCCTCCCCAAATGTCCACCCGTTAATCCCCGGAAAGTGTGACTGTTACCTTAGGTGGCAAAAGGGACTTTGAAGCTGCGATTAGATTAAGGATCTTGAGATGAAGAGATTATCTTGGTTTATCTGGGTGAGCCCAATGTGATCACAGGGTCCTTATAAGAAGGAGAGGGAGGAGATCAAAGTGGGTGGTTGGAGAAGGCCATGTGACCACGGAAGCAGAGACTGGAGTGATGTAGCCGTGAGCCAAAGAACACTGGCAGCCACCGGGAGCTGGAAGAGGCAAGGAACAGACTCTCCCTTGGATCCTACAGAAAAAAACAGCTTTATCCACACCCTGATTTTAGCCTGGTAAGGCTTATTTCAGACTTCTGAACTCCAGAACTGTAAGATAATACATCCGTGTTGCAAGCTACTAAGTATATGGCCATTTGTTACAGCAGCCAAGGAAACTAATACAATGATACACCTGGTATTGTATACCATGGCCTCTCATGATCCAAAAGGCCCAATGTGAAGCTGGTATGATTTCAGGAACACCCAGAGTACCAGTACACCAAATCTTCATCCCTGTGTCTGAAGTTCCATCACCAGAGCTAACAATAACAAAGGCTTTTTTTTTTTTTTTTTTTTTGAGATGGAGTATCACCATGTTGCCCGGGCTAGAGTGCAGTGGCTATTCTCAAACACAATCATATTGTACCACAGACTTGAACTCCTGGCTCAAGTAATCATCCCGCTGCAGCCTCCCAGGTAACTAGGATTAGAGGTGCATGCACTGTGCCAGGCAATAATGGCAAACATTTAACGAGTGCTTGTTTGTGGTAACAAAAAAGCCTAGTAAAGGCTGTTGCCCTTCAGTAGAGAGGTTCTCAGCTCTGATTATTAATTAGAATTCTCTGAGAGTACTAAAAATACAGGCAGCAAAGTCCCATCCAGAAGTTTCTGGGTCAAAATCCCAGAGGTAGAACCTGGGTTTCTGTATCTTTCTTCGTTTTTGTTTTTGAGAAAGGGTCTTCTTCTGTCACCCAGGCTGTAGTGCAGTGGCATGATCGTGGCTCACTGCGGCCTTAACCTCCCAGGCTCAAGCAATCCTCCTGCTTTGGCCTCCTGAGTACCTGGGACCACAGGTGTGTGCCACCATGCCTGGCTAATTTTTTTATTTTTATTTTCTGTAGAGACAGGTTTTTCCATGTTGCCCACGCTGATCTCGAACTCCTGGGCTCAAGTGATCTGCCTGCTTTGGCCTCCCAAATTGCTGGTATTCTATATCTTTTAAGTGCTTCACAGATGATTTTAATGTGCCCAAAGTTGTGTCAAAGCATAATTTTCAAAAATTTAAAAGACATAACTCTTACACAAACATATAGTGAACACAAGTGAAAGATTTTTTTAACTCATGAATGAGGGAACCCAGCAGAATGGCAAAGCTGGTTCAAAGGAAGATATTAGAAATTGAAGTAAGGTCAGTGAAAAAAGAATGCTGGCTACTTAAGATGGCAAGTAAGAATGCTGGTTACTTAAGATAGCTAAGTAACATACAAAACTGGTTAATGTCCTGCAGGACAACCAAATCACAACCTTCAGGGTTATTTTTTTGAAGTATATAGAAATTAATTGCAACATCAATTTTCTACAGTTAACATCAGTTTTTACAAAGTCTGGCCACTAATCAACAGTAAATAGTAAGTCAGACATACTCTAAGGAGACTTTTAAAGGGCACATAATACTCCTTTTGCTTTATTTCCTAGTTTTGGATAATTTCTCTGCGTTAGGGCAAGTGGTGGTCCCTGTTAAAATGCAGGTTCCCTTGGATCAGAAATGCTTCCCACTGATTTTAGGAGTCCATTCATGCCTTTATTAGTCTGATAGACATTCCTAGAGCACCTACTGAGCACAGGGCCCTCGGGGGGCTATGGTGATGAATAGGACACTGCTGCTGCCCTCACTTGTGGTATCTAGGAGAAGGGCACAGACACAGATAATCCACACATGAGCCAGCAGGTCTGTACAAAGTGAAGTGCCCTGGGATTTAAGAGAGAAAAAAAAAAAATCTATGGAAGGGGAAAAGGGGAAGGTGCCAGTGGACCTGGGCTTAAAAGAATGGTAATATTTCTTTCCTTTTTTTTTGTTGTTTTTTTTTGTTTTGTTTTTTTGAGACAGCCTCTCACTCTGTTGCCCAGGCTGGAGTGCAGTGGCGCGATCTCAGTTCACTACAACCTCCACCTCCTGGGTTCAAGCAATTCTTCTGATTCAGCCTCCTGAGTAGTTGGGATTACAGGTGCGTGCCACCAAACACAGCTAATTTTTGTATTTTTAGTAGAGACAGTTTCGCCATGTTGGCCAGGCTGGTCTCAAACTCCTGACCTCAAGTCATCTGCCCACCTCAGCCCCCCAAAGTGCTGGGATTACAGGCGTGAGCCACTGTGCATGTCCAGTATGGTAAGATTTCAATAGGAGAACATGGGAATGAAAAGCACTCTAGGGGGGAAGGCATGGGCAAAGCCTTAGAGGCAGGAAAGCAGCAAACATGTTTAGAGGAATGGTGAGCAGCCTAACTTGATGATGCAAAGAGCTTGCTTAGTGAGAGAATGAGGTAGGACAAATAGTCAAAAATGGGATCCCAGAGTAGCTTGAATGCCAAGCTAAGGGATCTGGACTTTATCCAGTTGAAAACCAACAACTCTTGCTGGTTTGGGGACACAGATGGGCATGTTTAGCTTGTGGAGAAGGGACTGGATGGGCCTACAGGGCATGGAGGGAAGAGTCCCCATGCCCCATGACAAGAGCTTTGAACATCTCTGGGTGCAACCTGACTTTCATTTGGATCCTGCCTTTCTCTCACCTGAATAGAAGCCCTTCAGGTTTATCCCCTTTGAAATGCACTGCAAGTTTTGAGACCAGCAGAGGCAGGGGTGGAGAAGGGCCTGTGGCATGTTGCCATAGGGTGTTTGGGAAGAGAGACCCCCTTCCTCTCAGGCTTCCAAGTGCTGGACCAGGTCCCAGAGAGGCCATCACCCTATCAGGTCTTCTCCCTCTCCCTCATATAGGAGGCACTGCTTTGCCAGCCCCGCCCCTCAGACACTCCTAGCCAAGCCATCCAGGGGCGGAGCATGGGATCTGAGAATGCCAATCTTGGAGTCAGGTCAGAGTTCAATTTTTTCTTTTTTTGAGACAGAATCTTGGTATGTTGCCCAGGCTGGAGGGCAGTGGTGCGATCTCGGCTCACTGCACCCTCTGCCTCCCAGGTTCAAGCAATTCTCCTGCCTCAGCCACCCGAGTAGCTGGGATTACAGGCATGCACCACCACATCCAGCTAATGTTTGTATTTTTAGTGGAGACGGGGTTTCACCATATTGGCCAGGCTGGTCTCGAACTCCTGACCTCAAGTGATCCCCCCACCTCGGGGTCCCAAAGTGCTGGGATTACAGGCATGAGCCACCATGCCCGGCCCAGAATTCAAATTTTGTCTCCAGCACTTTATTTTATTTTTTATTTTTTGGAGAAAGGGTCTTGCTCTCTCACCCAGGCTGGAGTGCAGTGGTGCACACTCCTGGGCTCAAGCAATCCTCCTGCCTCAGCCTCCTATAGCTGGGACTATAGGCAGATGCCATCACACCTGCCTCTCTCTCTCTCTCTCTCTCTCTCTATATATATATATATATATATATTTTAGAGATGGGATCTCTAAATAAAAAAAATATATATATATATTTTAGAGATGGGATCTCTAAATAAAATATATATATATATATATATATTTTAGAGATGGGATCTCTCTCTATATGTAATAATATATACATATATATATATATGTGTGTGTGTGTATATATAGAGATGGGATCCCACTATGTTGCCCAGGCTAGTCTGAAACTCCTGGGCTCAAGCGATCTTCCCACCTCAGTCTCCCAAAATGTTGGAATTACAGATGTGAGCCACCATGCCCGGCCTCTGCACTTTCTTGCCATGTAACTTCAGCAGCATGAGCCTCCAATTTCTCAGATGTAAAACAGAAATAATAATAGTACCTCCCTCCTCATGTTGACACAGGAGCACATGCAGTAATGCCTGAGAACACCAACACTAAGCCTGGCCCACAGTATGTGCTCAGGCATGGGGCTGGGGGTGTCAGCAATAAGCCCCACCTGCTCTTTGGAATCTTTTTTGCCTTGGTAGATTTTGGAGAGGAAGAAATCTTGGGAAGAAGGACACCTGGGTTTTGGTCTTTTGTCAGGGAAGGAATCCAGTGTTTCACCTTGGGCAAGTCCCTGCCCTTGGGGGGACTTCAACTTCCTCCTTTGTGAAATATTGAGACATAGGTGGGTGATGTGGGCTAGGCTGAAGATCTGTGGGCTTTTTCAGCCCCCGGATTCATTTTATTCATGTCTGCATGCTGAGGGTTTACTGAGCCCCTACTATTGTCAGCCCTTGTGCTGGGCAATGGGACACAGCCAAGAACAAGGCGGACACAGCCAAGAACAAGGAGGACACCATCTTTACCCACGAGGGCCAAGGCTACCTCCCAGGTCCCACTATGCTCTCATTTTCAGAGCCACTGAGAAGGCCTGGTGTGGGCACCTTATGCGGGTTCTCAGGGAATGAGCACTCAACTCGGTGCCAGGCCAGCACCAGGTGCTGAGGCTGCACAGGGCCCTGCCCTTGAGGGCACACAGTCCGGTGGTGAGGGGGGTACAGAGTTGTATGGGAATGTGGAGGAGAGAACCACACCTCCATTTGGATGGGTCAGGAAAGACTTCACAGAACAGAGCCCTGTAATGGGTGGTTTTCCAGTATAAGAGGGAGAGGGTGTTCCAGGCAGACGTAACAGCAGACACAGGGCCTGGAGGTGTTCCCTGCACGGGAGGAGCTGGAGACTGGTAAATAGAGAGGCAGGCAGAAAACCCTGAATGGCCCATGCTGTGGAATTTGGACTTTATCCTGCAGACTATGAGGATAGAGATATTTAAGAAAGGGTGTCAGGTGACCCTATTTACTCTGGAGGACGGTCACTCTGGCTGAAGTGTGGAGGATGGGTTGGCTGAGGCAGGAATAGAGGCAGGGCAGCTGGTGCCCACACAGGAGAAACCAGAGGACCACGGGGATCAGTGGTGGCAGCCGGGATGGGAGGAGGGATCATGTGAGGTGGAAGGCCAGGGCTTGGTTGTGGGTTGGATATGGGCCAGGGGAGTCTAAGAGGCCTCCAGGATGCTGGCTAGAGCACAGGGAGGTTGGTGGGGTTGGTCGCTGAGGTAGGGAAGAGGAAGTGGAGCAGGGCGGGGCAGAGGCCTGGAGATGACGCATATGTTTGCAACAGGGGATCTCAGGAGGAGAGGCCCTGCAGGCACCTGGCTACCTGGGCCTGAAGAGGAGCAGGGGAGATGAGTTTTGTGGGAGTTGACAGCGGCCAGGTGAGAAGGGAACACAGGCATAAAGGACTGAGTGCAGGGAGGCCATTTGAATGAGAAAACAGAGGACTGAGGCAGAACTCCAAGGGCCACCACCACTTTAAAAATCTGTTTTCTTGGCTGGGTGCAGTGGCTCATGCCTGTAATCGCAGCACTTTGGGAGGCCAAGGCGGGCTGATCTCTTGAGGTCAGGAGTTTGAGACCAGCCTGGCCAACATGGTGAAACCCCATCTCTACTAAAAATACAAAAATTAGCTGGGGATGGTGGCGCTCACCTGTAATTCCAGCTACTCAAGAGCTGGGAGTGGTGGCACTCACCTGTAATTCCAGCTACTCAAGAGGATGAGGTGGGAGGATCGCTTGAACCCAGGAGGCAGAAGCTGAATTGAGCCAAGATCCTGCCACTGCCCTCAAGCCTGGGCAACAGAGCAAGACTCCATAAAAAATAATAATAATAATAATGTTTTCTTCTGATTGTAAGAGTAATATATGCTCATTGCAAAAAATTGTGTCCAGCTTTTTGGCATCACTCCTTGTTGGCAAAGATATTGTTTATTCATTCAATACACTCATTTTTTAATTTTTATTATACTTTAAGTTCTAGGGTACATGTGCACAACGTGCAGGTTTGTTGCCCATGTATACATGTGCCATGTTGGTTTGCTGCACCCATTAACTCATCATTTACATTAGGTATATCTCCTAATGCTATCCCTCCGCCTCCCCCCACCCCACGACAGGCCCCAGTGTGTGATGTTCCCCACCCTGTGTCCATGTGTTCTCATTGTTCAATTCCCACCTATGAGTGAGAACATGCGGTGTTTGGTTTTCTCTCCTTGCGATAGTTTGCTCAGAATAATGGTTTCCAGCTTCATCCATGTCCCTACAAAGGACAAGAACTCATCCTTTTTTATGGCTGCATCGTATTCCATGATGTATATGTGCCACATTTTCTTAATCCAGTCATCATTGATGGACATTTGGGTTGGTTCCAAGTCTTTGCTATTGTGAATAGTGCCGCAGTAAACATACGTGTGCATGTGTCTTTATAGCAGCATGATTTATAATCCTTTGGGTATATACCCAGTAATGGAATGACTGGGTCAAATGGTATTTCTAGTTCTAGATCCTTGAGGAATCGCCACACTGTCTTCCACAATGGTTGAACTAGTTTACAGTCCCACCAACAGTGTAAAAATGTTCCTATTTCTGCACATCTTCTCCAGCACCTGTTGTTTCCTGACTTTTTAATGATCGCCATTCTAACTGGTGTGAGATGGTATCTCATTGTGGTTTTGATTTGCATTTCTCTGATGGCCAGTGGTGATGAGCATTTTTTCATGTGTCTGTTGGCTGCATAAATGTCTTCTTTTGAGAAGTGTCTGTTCATATCCTTTGCCCACTTTTTGATGGGGTTCTTTGGTTTTTTCTTGTAAATTTGTTTAAGTTCTTTGTGGATTCTGGATATTAGCACTTTGTCAGATGGGTAGATTGTAAAAATTTTCTCCCATTCTGTAGGTTGTCTGTTCACTCCGATGGTAGTTTCTTTTGCTGTAAAGAAGCTCTTTAGTTTAACTAGATCCCATTTGTCAATTTTGGCTTTTGTTGCCATTGCTTTTGGTGTTTTAGTCATGAAGTCCTTGCCCATGTCTATGTCCTGAATGGTATTGCCTAGGTTTTCTTCTAGGGTTTTTATGATTTTAGGTCTAACATTTAAGTCTTTAATCCATCTTGAATTAATTTTTGTATAAGGTGTAAGGAAAGGATCCAGTTTCAGCTTTCTCCATATGGCTAGCCAGTTTTCCCAGCACCATTTATTAAATAGGGAATCCTTTCCCCATTGCTTGTTTTTGTCAGGTTTGTCAAAGATCAGATGGTTGTAGATGTGTGGTATTATTTCTGAGGGCTCTGTTCTGTTCCATTGATCTATATCTCTGTTTTGGTAGCAGTACCATGCTGCTTTGGTTACTGTAGCCTTGTAGTATAGTTTGAAGTCAGGTAGCGTGATGCCTCCAGCTTTGTTCTTTTGGCTTAGGATTGTCTTGGCAATGCAGACTCTTTTTTGGTTCCATATGAACTTTAAAGTAGTTTTTTCCAATTCTGTGAAGAAAGTCATTGGTGGCTTGATGGGGATGGCATTGAATCTATAAATTACCTTGGGCAGTATGGCCATTTTCATGATATTGATTCTTCCTATCCATGAGCATGGAATGTTCTTCCATTTGTTTGTGTCCTCTTTTATTTCGTTGAGCAGTGCTTTGTAGTTCTCCTTGAAGAGGTCCTTCACATCCTTTGTAAGTTGGATTCCTAGGTATTTTATTCTCTTTAAAGCAATTGTGAATAGGAGTTCACTCATGACTTGGCTCTCTGTTTGTCTGTTATTGGTGTATAGGAATGCTTGTGATTTTTACACATTGATTTTGTATCCTGAGACTTTGCTGAAGTTGCTTATCAGCTTCAGGAGATTTTGGGCTGAGATGATGGGGTTTTCTAGATATACAGTCATGTCATCTGCAAGTAGGGACAATTTGACTTCCTCTTTTCCTAATTGAATACCCTTTATTTCTTTCTCCTGCTTGATTGCCCTGGCCAGAACTTCCAACGCTATGTTGAATAGGAGTGGTGAGAGAGGGCATCCCTGTCTTGTGCCAGTTTTCAAAGGGAATGCTTCCAGTTTGTGCCCATTCAGTATGATATTGGCTGTGGGTTTGTCATAAATAGCTCTTATTATTTTGAGATATGTCCCATCAATACCTAGTTTTTTGAGAGTTTTTAGCATGAAGGGCTGTTGAATTTTGTCAAAGGCCTTTTCTGCATCTATTGAGATAATCATGTAGTTTTTGTCTTTGGTTCTGTTTATATGCTGGATTACTTTCATTGATTTGTGTATGTTGAACCAGCCTTGCATCCCAGGGATGAAGCTAACTTGATTGTGGTGGATAAGCTTTTTGATGTGCTGCTGGATTCGGTTTGCCAGTATTTTATTGAGGATTTTTGCATCGATGTTCATTAGGGATATTGGTCTAAAATTCTCTTTTTTTGTTGTGTCTCTTCCAGGCTTTGGTATCAGGATGATGCTGGCTTCATAAAATGAGTTAGAGAGGATTCCCTCTTTTTCTATTGATTGGAATAGTTTCAGAAGGAATGGTACCAGCTCCTCGTTATACCTCTGGTAGAATTCAGCTGTGAATCCGTCTGGTCCTGGACTTTTTTTGGTTGGTAGGCTCTTAATTATTGCCTCAATTTCAGAGCCTGTTATTGGTCTATTTAGGGATTCAACTTCTTCCTGGTTTAGTCTTGGGAGGGTGTATGTGTCCAGGAATTTATCCATTACTTCTAGATTTTCTAGTTTATTTGTGTCGAGGTGTTTATAGTATTCTCTGATTTCTGTGGGATCAATGGTGATATCCCCTTTATCATTTTTTATTACATCTATTTGATTCTTCGCTCTTCTTTTTTATTAGTCTTGCTAGCAGTCTATCAATTTTGTTGATCTTTTCAAAAAACCAGCTCCTGGATCCATTGATTGTTTGAAGGGTTTTTTGTCTCTATCTCCTTCAGTTCTGCTCTGATCTTAGATATTTCTTGCCTTCTGCTAGCTTTTGAATGTGTTTGCTCTTGCTTCTCTAGTTCTATTAATTGTGATGTTAGGGTGTCAATTTTAGATCTTTCCTGCTTTCTCTTGTGGGCATTTAGTGCTATAAATTTCCCTCTACACACTGCTTTAAATGTGTCCCAGAGATTCTGGTATGTTGTGTCTTTGTTCTCATTGGTTTCAAAGAACATCTTTATTTCTGCCTTCATTTTGTTATGTACCCAGTAGTCATTCAGGAGCAGGTTGTTCAGTTTCCATGTAGTTGAGCAGTTTTGAGTGAGTTTCTTAATCCTGAGCTCTAGTTTGATTGCACTGTGGTCTGAGAGACTGTTTGTTATAATTTCTGTTTTTTTATATTTGCTGAGGAGTGCTTTACTTCCAATTATGTGGTCAATTTGGAATAAGTGCGATGTAGTGCTGAGAAGAAAGTATATTCTGTTGATTTGGGGTGGAGAGTTCTGTAGATGTCTATTAGGTCCACTTGGTGCAGAGCTGAGTTCAATTCCTGGATATCCTTGTTAACTTTCTCTCTTGTTGATCTGTCTAATGTTGACAGTGGGGTGTTAAAGTCTCCCATTATTATTGTGTGGGAGTCTAAGTCTCTTTGTAGGTCTCTAAGGGCTTGCTTTATGAATCTGGGTGCTCCTGTATTGGGTGCATATATATTTAGGATAGTTAGCTCTTCTTGTTGAATTGATCCCTTTACCATTATGTAATGGCCTTCTTTGTCTCTTTTGATCTTTGTTGGTTTAAAGTCTGTTTTATCAGAGACTAGGATTGCAACCCCTGCTTTTTGTTTTGTTTTGTTTTCCATTTGCTTGGTAGATCTTCCTCCATCCCTTTATTTTGAGCCTATGTGTGTCCCTGCGTGTGAGATGGGTCTCCTGAATACAGCACACTGATGGGTCTTGACTGTTTATCCAATTTGCCAGTCTGTGTCTTTTAATTGGAGCATTTAGCCCATTTACATTTAAGGTTAATATTGTTATGTGTGAATTTCATCCTGTCATTATGATGTTAGCTGGTTATTTTGCTCATTAGTTGATGCAGTTTCTTCCTAGCATCGATGGTCTTTACAATTTGGCATGTTTTTACAGTGGCTGGTACCAGTTATTCCTTTCCATGTTTAGTGCTTCCTTCAGGAGCTCTTGTAAGGCAGGCCTGCTGGTGACAAAATCTCTCAGCATTTGTTTGTCTGTAAAGGATTTTATTTCTCCACTTATGAAGCTTAGTTTGGCTGGATATGAAATTCTGGGTTGAAAATTCTTTTCTTTAAGAATGTTGAATATTGGCTCCCACTCTCTTCTGGCTTGTAGAGTTTCTGCCAAGATATCTGCTGTTAGTCTGACGGGCTTCCCTTTGTGGGTAACCTGACCTTTCTCTCTGGCTGCCCTTAACATTTTTTCCTTCATTTCAACTCTGGTGAATCTGACAATTATGTGTGTTGGAGTTGCTCTTATCTTTGTGGCATTCTCTGTATTTCCTGAATTTGAATGGTGGCCTGCCTTGCTAGGTTGGGGAAGTTCTCCTGGATAATATCCTGAAGAATGTTTTCCAACTTGGTTCCATTCTCCCCTTCACTTTCAGGTACACCAATCAGATGTAGATTTGGTTTTTTCACATAGTCCCATATTTCTTGGAGGCTTTGTTCATTTCTTTTTACTCTTTTTTCTCTAAACTTCTCTTCTCACTTCATTTCATTCATTTGATCTTCAATCACTGATACCCTTTCTTCCACTTGATCAAATCGGCTACTGAAGTTTGTGCATGCGTCATGTAGTTCTCATGCCATGGTTTTCAGCTCCATCAGGTCATTTAAAGTCTTCTCTATGCTGTTCACTCTAGTTAGCCATTCATCTAATCTTTTTTCAAGGTTTTTAGCTTCTTTGCGATGGGTTCGAACATCCTCCTTTAGCTCGGAGAAGTTTGTTATTACCGATCATCTGAAGTCTTTTTCTCTCTACCCATCGAAATCATTCTCCATCCAGCTTTGTTCTGTTGCTGGCAAGGAGCTGTGTTCCTTTGGAGGAGAAGAGGCACTCTGATTTTTAGAATTTTCAGCTTTTCTGCTCTGGTTTCTCCCCATCTTTGTGGTTTTATCTACCTTTGGTCTTTGATGGTGGTGACGTACAGATGGGGTTTTGGTGTGGATGTCCTTTCTGTTTGTTAGTTTTCCTTCTAACAGACAGGACCCTCAGCTGCAGGTCTGTTGGAGTTTGCTGGAGGTCCACTCCAGACCCTGTTTGCTGGGTATCACCAGCGGAGGCTGCAGAACAGCAAATATTGCAGAACGGCAAATGTTGCTGCCTGATCCTTCCTCTGGAAGCCTCGTCTCAGAGGGGCTCCCAGCTGTATGAGGTGTCAGTCGGGCCCTACTGGGAGGTGTCTCCCAGTTAGGCTACTCGGGGGTCAGGGACCCACTTGGGGAGGCAGTCTGTCCGTTTTCAGATCTCAAACTGCATGCTGGGAGAATCACTACTCTCTTCAAAGTTGTCAGACAGGGACGTTTAAGTCTGCAGTAGTTTCTGCTGCCTTTTGTTCAGCTATGCCGTGCCCCAAGAGGTGGAGTCTACAGAGGCAGGCAGGCCTCTTTGAGCTGTGGTGGGCTCCAACCAGTTCGAGCTTCCTGGCCACTTTGTTTACCTACTCAAGCCTCAGCAATGGTGGACGCCCCTCCCCCAGCCTCACTGCCGCCTTGCATTTCGATCTCAGACTGCTGTGCTAGCAGTGAGCGAGGTTCCATGGGCGTGGGACCCTCTGAGCCAAGCACGGGATATGATCTCCTGGTGTGCCGTTTGCTAAGACTGTTGGAAAAGTGCAGTATTAGGGTGGGAGTGTCCTGATTTTCCAGGTACCGTCTGTCACAGCTTCCCTTGGCTAGGAAAGGGAATTCCCCGATCCCTTGCACTTCCCGGGTGAGGCGATGCCCTGCCCTGCTTCGGCTCACGATCGGTGCGCTGCATCCACTGTCCTGCACACACTGTCCTGCACCCACTGTCCGACAAGCCCTAGTGAGATGAACCCAGTACCTCAGTTGGAAATGCAGAAATCACCCGTCTTCTGCGTCGCTCACACTGGGAGCTGTAGACTGGAGCTGTTCCTATTCAGCCATCCTATTTTTTTTTTTTTTTAATTTTTATTTTATCTTTAGAGATGAGGTCTCGCTTTGTTGCCCAGGCTAGTGTCAAACTCCTGGGCTCAAGCGACCCTCCCACCCTGGACTCCCAAAGTGCTGGGACTACAGGAGTGAGCCACCACACCCAGGTTACACTCAGCTGAAGGCCTACTATGTGCTGGGTATAGTGCTGTTGAGGGCAGCGGCTGCCATCATGCGGGCTGCAGCAGGGAGGCTTGGCTGGGGCTGCACACTCCGTGGAGCTGGTGGGAGCTCCCCAGGTGCCACTGCTGCCGCCTGCCCAAACCGGGGCACCTGTAGAATCAGCTAGCTACTCAGGAGGCTGAGGTGGCAGGATGGCTTGAACCCAGGAGGTAGAGGCTGCAGTAAGCTGTGATTTTGCCACTACACTCCAGCCTGGGCAACAGAGTGAGATTTTGTCTCAAAAAAAAAAAAGTAAAGAAAAAAAGAGAAAATCCAGCCAGCTTCACCATTACTGTGACATCTGAGGCTGGAGAAAATGATGAAACTGTCCAGACTACCCTCAAGTTTACAGACAAGGAGAAATACCCAGATAAAGCTTGCCTTTATGAAGTATTCTCAGAAAATCTAGAAGATAATGTCTCAGACATTTAAAAAATCTTAGCATTACAGGCTGAAGAAAATCTTGGTATGGTGATTATCTTTAGTGACAGTTGTGCAAGAAAAATTAAATGAAATAGATCAGATAAAAAAACTAGAAGAGAAGAAAAAAAAAGAAACAAAAAATCCAAATAAGCTGAAAAGCAATTATTCTATGGTATTCCTGTTATAATTGAGAATGTCTTAAACTGGAAGGCTGAGTTTGCTGCAGAAGGCTTGGAAATTAAAAAGAAATGGATGGAAGAGGAACAAGCAGGAAAAAATAAATTAAGTGGGAAACAGCTACTTGAAACAGATCCAAATCTTGACACATCTGATATCCAGTTCTTGGAGGATGCTGGAAACAATGTGCAGGTAATTGAGTCTTTGTTCCAGGAAATGGATGACCTGGAGCCGGGGGATTGAGGAGGATGATCCAGACTCCAAACCTGCTGACCCAGAGAGAGACTCCACTGACCAGAGGACTGTCCCCATCTGCAGAGAAGCTCAACTGCCACAGCATCCTGGCTATGCTCAGAGGGTTTTGATTTTCCTTTCCTTTTCTCCAAGAAGAAATAATTATAAGGAGAATTTTTTTTTTTTTTTTGAGACAGGGTCTCGCTCTGTCACCCAGGCTGGAGTGCAGTGGTGTGATCATAGTTCATTGCAGCCTCAACTTCCCGGGCTCATGTGAGCCTTCCAAGTAGCTGGGACTACAAGTGTGCACCACCACTTCTGGTTAATATCTAAAATTCCTTATAGAGACAAGGTCTCTCTATGGCTGGTCTCAAACTCCTGGTCTCAAACAATCCTCTGACCTCAGCCTCCCAAAATGCTGTTATTACAGGCATGAGCCACCATGCCAAGCTGGGAATATTCTTCTGATAGCTTTCATTGTTGAACTTAATAAACTGACTTAAAATTTCAAATCAGAGAAGAAGAAACAATGTATGAAATGATCACTCTAGGGAATGGTAAGATTTCCTAAAGCAGTTTGAGGTTCGTTTGGCAGTGTTGAGTGCCTAGTTGAGGTTTAGGGTCATAAACTTGAAGTGCGATAGTTGGGGGTGGAGCGTCTCTGGGAAGAAAAAGGTGGAAATACTTCCCTTCTAGTTGGCTAGTTGGGTTCCTCTGCATTTGGAGGCCTGCCTTGATTCTTCTTTGGCTGAGAGGATCTTCAGCTGTGGTCCTTTGGCTCCTTAGATGCTTCTTGGTGGTGAGGGGCCACCAGGGAGTAGGGTAGCATGAGAATACAGGAATGGACAGAGCTGGGACTACCAGGAATTCAGAAGAGCAGCTGGTAGCAACACACCAGATAGCTTTAGGGAGAGATATTGATGATGGGACAAGGGGCTGGGTGAATTTGAGGTGTTGGCCTTGGATATTGGCATTGGGTTGGTGATGATGGAGTGGAGACAATATGATATTGGTATTGGACTGTTGTTGGCTTTAGGGTATTGAGGAGCCAAGGATTGTCATGGATGCTCAGAGCATGGTGCAAACCTGAGGGAGCCCAAGAAGGGCTGCCACCATGAGGGACAACTAAAATAAAGTTGTTGGAAAGATCAGTAGAATGAAGCTCAGCCAAATCTGTAGAGACAGAACAGATCAGTGGCCAGCTAATTTTTTAAAAAAATTTTTTTGTAGAGGCAAGGATCTCACCCCATTGCCCAGGCTGCTCTCAAACTCCTAGGCTTGAGCAATCCTCCTACCTCGGCTTTCCAAAGTGCTGGGATTACAGGCGTGAGGTATTGCACCTGGCCAGGGTGGATTTTCTGATAACACTTAGCACAACCTCGTCAAGTGAAGCACTACTGAAGGAGAATGTGGTATGATGAGAGTCCATTTGTACTTGGGGAGACTAGTTGTTAGCAGAGTTGGATCAAGGTGCAATCAAGCCAGTTAATGACACTTTCAGACTCCTCTTCACTCATCCCCTGAACATCCTTACAGCACAGATGTACTGCTGGTGAGAGAACGTGAGCAGGACTGGAGCTATGCAGTGGTAGCTGAGAGACACCTGTCTGTGAAGGAGGAAAGGTAGACGGACTCCCTATCCTCCAGCTAACTGCTCTGCTCTTTGCCGTAATCTGTCAATGTAGCCCTCACTGCTGTCCATGGATCGCCCAGACCCCAGGCATCCTGCAGCAGCCGAGACTGTGGCTGCGCCAGGAGAGTGGGTAGTGGCCAGGCCAGGCCTCCATTCTCTTTTCTTGAAACTTCAATACCTTCTCCCTGCCCCAACACAGACACCCTTAACTGATGACCTCAGCATCTCCCCTGCCTATTCCACCATCGCACTGTATTTAAACCTACAGCCCCACCTTCCTTCCTGCCACATGAGATGAAATGTCTGTCCTGACTTCCATCTCAGGTCAGCCCCACCTGGGCCTCTTTAAGGATCTCGCTTCTGCAGTTATCGCCTCTCTTCCCACACTGTCCATCTCCCTTTCTCTGCAGGACCACTCTCATCCGTGCCTAAACATCCTCTTAGGAAACCTTAGCGTGGCCCCACATTAACCCATTTCTCTTTTCCTTTTCCCGGCACATCTCCAAGGAGTTGTCTATATTTGGTGTCCCCACTCTTCTGTTTTACTGCCCATTCTTTCCTCACCCCATTGTGGCATTTTGAATAGGTGCTTGTAACATAGTACAAAAGAAGCACATGATGAAAAGTAAGCTTATCTCCACTCCTGGTCCCAGCCACCTGGTTTCCCTCCCCAGAGCCAACTGATGTTACTCATTTCTTGGTGTCCTTGGTATATAAGTAAACGCCTCTGTCCACTCTAATGGGGCTCTTCTATCCATGCTGACTCTAAAAAGGCCCTTCTCAGAGTCACAAGTGACCTCTACCAGCCCAGAGCTACAGATCACTTCTCTGTCTTCATCTTACTCAAATTCCCAGCAGCATTTGACATGGTGACTAATTCCACCAGCTTCTCCTTCGTCTCCAGCCGTTTTTCCTAGTCTCATCTGCTGGCTTCTCCTCCTCCATCAGTTCTCTAAAGGGTAGCATGCCCAGGGCTCAGTCTTCTCTCTTATCCATTCCTAACTGTTCTCTGTTCTCAGTCCTGTAGCTTCAACACTTTCTATGTGCTGACGACCCTCACATTTAAATAAATCTCCAATCCGTCTCTAAACTCACATCCAACTTCCTAAATATTATTCCTCATGGATAGTTAATGGCATCTCAAACCTAAAGAAATACTAGCTTTTTCAGCCAGTCGCAGTGGCTCACACCTGTAATCCCAGCACTTTGGGAGGCCGAGGTGGGTGAATAGCCTGAGGTCAGGAGTTCAAGACCAGCTTGGCCAACGTGGTGAAACCCCGTCTCTACTAAAAATACAAAAATTAGCCTGGCTGATGGTACACTCTGTAATCTGTAATTAATCTGTAATCTCAGCTACTCGGGAGGCTGAGGCACGAGAATCACTTGAACGCAGAAGGCAGAGATTGCAGTGAGCTGAGATTGTGCCACTGCACTCCAGCCTGGGTGACAGAGCGAGACTCTGTCTCAAAAAGAAAAAAAAAAAAGAAAGACATACTAGTTTTCTCCTCCAAATGATGCCACCATTCACCCACTTGCTCAGACAACTGAGCTCAACCCTTGCACGAGCATCCAATTCATCAGAAGGACTCATCAGCTCCCTTTGCAGGATATATCCTAAATCTAGCCTCTTCTTACACCTCCACAACTGCCCCCAGTCAAGCCACCATTGTCTGTCAAATGGAATACAACAGCTTCTTCCCCAAACTGCCACAGTTCAGCCAGGGTGAGCTTTGACAATATCACTCCTCTGCTTGAGACACAGCTTATTCTACCACCTTACCATGGCCCTGCATGGTCTACCCCCTCCTCCAGACCCCCACCCTGTCTCACTCCACTCCCCCACTTTCCTGGAATGTGGTGACACATGCTGTCGGCCCCTTAGTGGTCCTTCTCTTTGGAACGCCCTTCCTCTAGACCTTCAGGGGCTGCCTCCTTCTCATGAAATCTCATGTTTATGCCCCATAACCTGTGCTTGGAATGCAAGCTCCTTGAGAACAAGGCCTCTGATTTGCTTCATACTCTTTATCCCCAGTACCTAGGATCAATGCATGGCACATGGTAAGAGCTTAATCAACATTTGCTGATTGACTCCTGAAATGAAAGAGCAAGCTGATAAGGATAAGGTCTGTAAGGGCTGGGAATTCTTCCTAGCATAATCATAATCATCTGTGGTCTCTTTAGAGTTTTTTTTTTTTAAGTTCTCAAACACAGCCCTCTCCATCAATCCTGCCTAACTTAACAACTGAGACTCGGCCGAGGTCAGAAAGGTAGTCCTATTTAACTTCTACCTCCACTGTCTTTACACCGAAAACCCTGTAAAATTGTCATTCAGCTACATTGTACCCAGGCTAATAAGTATAGAGCCTTCTCTCCCTGTATTCCTTACCTTACCCCCACCCCGCCACCCCCTGTCTTTCCCCTGGGGTATCAAGGGGAGACAAGCTGGCTTCGCATCAGACCTAGGAGAAGTGGGAAGGGCTTGCGCACTAACTTATCTCCCTATGGGGAGATGTAAAATTTGCCCATAAATAAAACATTTTATTATTTAGCTTGAACATTAAATTTCATCGGCATGCAGCGTGTGTTTTATTATCTGTGCCAGACACTAACATGTACTTAAAAATGAAATTCTGGAACGCTGCCCTGGCTTGCAGAATGCTAGTAAAGAAATTCTAATATGGTCTTGGAGAGATGCTCCAGACCTTGCCTTCCAAAATGGCACGGGCAATCAGCATTTTTACATTCATGTAGCACTTTGCAGTGGTGGTAAAGATGCTCTAATTGTGCCTCTAGCTGCTTCTATACTGCTGCTTCTAATCTATTGCAGGCTGGAAAATAACACACTGTAGCCAAAGATGTTGCAATTGTGTCCAAAGTAAGCATTAGTATACCCTAAATGAGTGTGGAGGGAATTATATGAGAAAGGTACAGAGAATTTGTGATAGCTGTTCTCCAATCCACCAGACTTTTTTTTTCTTCTTCTTCTTGTTATTTTTTACTTGCTGCTCCTTTGTTCTTGGCTGTGCTCCAGAGAAACTCTTCTCAAATGTTAATGTGCACATGGAGCACCTGGGGATCTTGTTAACATGAGTCTGATTCAATAGTCCTGGGGTGGAGCTTAGGTCTAATGAACTCTCAGGTGGTGCTGCTGGTCATCAGACCACCCTTTGAGTAGCCAGACTCTAGGACTGCAGCATTCAATAAGATGCCATCAACCGCATGTGGCTATTTAACTTAATTCAAATTAAACTAAATGTAAAGATGCAGTTCCTCGGTTGCACTAGCCATATTTCAAGTACTCAATTGCCACATGTGGCTGGTGGCTATTCTATTGATGGCTCAGAGATAGAACATTCCCATCCCATGCAGAAAGATATACAGGAGGCTGGGCGCAGTGGCTCACATCTGTAATCCCAGAGTTTTAGGAGGCTGAGGGGGGTGGATCACTTGAGGTCATGAGCTTGAGACCAGCTGGCCAACATGGTGAAACCCCGTCTCTACTAAAAATACAAAAATTAGCCAGACATGCTCGCTTGAACCCAGGAGGCAGAGGTTGCAGTGAGCTGTGGTAGTGCCACTGCACTCCAGCCTGGGTGACAGAGCGAGATTCTCTCTCTCAAAAAAAAAAAAAAAAAAAAAGTATATAGGACAGCGCTGCTGTACAGAATTGGAGCTGTTGGAAATATAATCCCCGAAGTGTGACAAGGTACTCTCGTCCCTGCTCCCCTGGAGGGGCTAAGTGCGAACAAAACTCCACTTGAAGCTGGTCGTGGTGGCTCATGCCTATAATCCCAGGACTTTGAGAGGCTGAGAAGACCAGCCAGGGCAACATAGCAAGACCCTGTGTCTATTAAAAAAAAAAAAAAAAAAAGCAATAGGCCGGGCACGTTGGCTCACACCTGTAATCCCAGCACTTTGGGAGGAAGAGGCGGGTGGATCACCTGAGGTCAGGAGTTTGAGACCAGCCTGACCAACATGGAGAAACCCCGTCTCTACTAAAAATACAAAATTAGCCAGGCGTGGTGGCACATGCCTGTAATCCCAGCTACTCGGGAGGCTGAGGCAAAAGAATCGCTTGAACCCGGGAGGCGGAGGTTGTGTTGAGCCAGGATCACGCCATTGCACTCCAGCCTGGGCAACAAGAGCGAAACTTCGTCTCAGAAAACAAAAACAAAAAAACTCCACTTGAGAGCAGATGCTTAAGTACGATGTAGCTTCACGTCCCGATGAAAGTCCGCAGCCTTACTTTGACGTTTTCCACTTCCTCCTGTCCAGACCCACCAACATGGGTACATCTTTGTCAGTAATGACCGCGGCCATCACTTCTGGGATGTGCAGACGACATGGAGGAACTGCCCCTTTGCTGCTTCTTTGTCCACTTCCTGGTAACTTGGTGCAGGGGGGACGTTTACAACCCAGACCCCACAGTCCCTTCCCCCTTCCCTCTGTACTTTAGTTAGAGGGTCTGGAATGTGGCTGGGGAGCTTTGCAGGAGAGTCCAGGGAACCCAAAGCCCTTTGTCTGCTGTTTCCACTTCTGTGGGCATCTTCATTACATGGGGAGATGGAGAGAAGGGAAATTACCGGAGAATTGAGTTGATTCTGCACACATTGGAGCAATAAAGAAATGAGACCCAGCTCCCTCCTCTCAAACTGATCCCAGCAGTTGCTGCAACAATTCACGGCAAAAAGTTCTCCAGCTGGGGAAGGAGGGAGGGCGGAGAGACATTTTCCAAGAATGCCTTTCATGTGGACTCAGAGCTGTCATTTTCCTGGCAATTCTGTGAACCGGGACCTGGGGCGATTTCCCAAAGTGCAGTTGGTGTGCATGTGGCCTGCTCTAGAAATCGCATAACCAAGAGGCACACTACTGGGGGGCCCGGGAAATGCCTGCCTCACCACCCTCAGAGTTCATGGCCCAGCAGGGCTGGAAGGCACCAGAGGACCAGCACAGCTCACTGTCTGGGTGGAGAACTTTTTGCCCCCAGCTAAACTGTGAGGGGCTGGCCTGGAGCTGAACCCAGGCAGCCTCCTTTCTTGGGCAAGGGCTCTGCTAATTCATATTGAAATAACTCTTCTGTCTGTAAATTTATACGCAAGGCTGATGCTGTCTGTCCCAAATAACCAGGTTAATCCTTCAACCAATTAGTAGACATGTAGGTGGCAACACAGATGGAAAGGATCCTGGGGTGTGAGTCAGAAGAACTGGAATCAGTCTGCCTCTGGCCCTTGCCACTGTGTGACTTTGAGCACGTCTCCTTTCTTCTCTAGGCCTCAGTTTACTTATCTGTAAAAGAAGGCTAATATCTATTTTTCAGAGTTGTTCAGCATTTGGTACACAGTACCAGGTGCTCAACAAATGCTGATGTAACCATTTCATACTTACTAGGTGCTGGGCCCTGGGCAAGGCAGTGGGGGAGATTGTGACACAGTTCCTGTCCTCATGAGGTTGACTATGTGGAGAGGGAGACAGATACTAATCAAAGATTCATATGAAAAAGTATAAAATAACTGTCACAGATGCATCAAAGAGGGTTACAAAATGTAACATGAATCTGTAATGGGGGAACTGACCTAGTCTGGGAGGCTGACTTCCCTGTGCATGTGATAATTGAGCTGAGAGCTCAGAAGTGATGGGGGTTAACTGGGCACAGCATGTGCAAAGGTCCTGTGGCACGAGAGTGCTTGGCAGTATACAAGGGACAGAAAGAGGATGGGTGTGGCAGGATGGCAGGCAGTCAGGAGACATATAGAGAAAAGAGAGACTGGAAAGGAAGTTGAGATAAAACTGTTCATAGGGGCCTAGCATTGTCCTAGATTGTGGAGAACAAACCAATTATAAACACCTCTGACCTCAGGGAGTTTACATTCTGCTGAAATGGGATGATAACTGTGAAGTGTCCTTTCAGTATTCTTTGGTATGTTGAATCTATTATTGTATCTTGGGCCGTGACCTGTAAGAAATTAAGATAGTGCCAAAGTTGTCCAGTTGGAATTTCTAAAACACTGACCTCTTGCACACAAACACATAGTTCATCTGGAGGGAACCAAAAGGGGATCAGACCCAGCTTCCCAAAGAGGTCCAGGGATGTTATGGGAGAATGAGTCTAGTCTGACCAGAAATGTCCCTTTTCTGCAAAAATGCCCTGCCCTCTCCACACTGACCACTGGCTCTTGAAAGAGAAGCTGGAATGTTCATGTGAATCACATCCATTTACCTTCTGACTCCACAAATGGTTTGCATTAGGAGACCATAGGGCTTTTCTGCCTTCATTCTTTCCAGATGAGGGTAGAGCCGCGGGCGTAATAGGCTGAATGAATGGGGTGATGGATGCCTCCAGTCAATCCCAGGAAGCCTTCTGCTGGAGTCAGTGAGAAGTGCCTCAACCTCACCCACTTAGAATGGCTCAGCCCAAGAACCAGAAACCCCTGAGCAGGAAAGGGGAAGCCATATTCACGGTAGTGGGTGTGCCTTTGTTCTTACCCTAGGTGCGGTGGCTCAATTTCCTGACCTGCTCCATGGAAGGTGACCTAATGGTGGTGACTGCGGGAGGAGCAGCAGCAATAGCAGGAGTGGTACTCAAGTTCTGGATGGCTATCATAATGGAAATAAATCTTAGTCCACACACTCTTCATTAACCTGTAAGTAAACTAAATGTCACTGGTGAGCCCCATTCCAGAAGGTGGTAGAAATGTAATCGTAGTCAATTTGGGATTCCGCTTCACTTTTACCTGGGATTGCATGTAAACTCTGGGAAGATTTATGGAGAGTTTAAGGGGGTTGGGGGTGGATGTTAGGAACCTGTTAAGAGAATAGATTCTGGAACCAGGCTGTCTGGGTTCAAATCCCAGCCATGCTTCTTGCTGGCCCTGGGACCTTAGGTAAGTCATTTATCCTCCTAATGGCTTCAATTTTCTCATCTGTAAAATGGGGAGAAAAATAGTGCCTCCTGTAATGGGTTGTTGTGAGGACTAACTGAGGTACTACAAGTGTAGTGCTGTGGAATGAATGCTACATGTAATAAATATTTGCTTCTCTTAATATGGGGGTTTGACATTGTTATCCTCCCCGAAGCCCAGTGGTCTGGCCTCTGGGTTCCCAGGACACAGGGTCCACATCCAGCCCATTCTTGAGCATACAGGACCATAAGACGGAGCCAGCATCAAGCAGGACCCAGAGCTTGGGGAATGCCCTCTAGGACACCAGTCAGCCTGGACAGCCCACAGTGACCCCTTCTGCTTGTGCACTTGACCTGGAAGGGCCCCGGCATCCACAGTGTCCTTCCAAAGGGACCCCACCATTTGCAGCCTTTATCTTCCTCTGCCTCCTCTCCTACCTCCCAATCATAATCTTGTTTCTTGCCTGGGACCTGAGAGCCCCATCCTCATTCATCCTCATCTCTCAGCCCCATAGATATCCCTGAGCCTTGGTGACTCCAAAGCCAAAATTACTTTGTTCTCGGAGCTCTGATGAGTCTTTGCTTCCCTTGAGTAACAAGCGAGGGATCCTTTGGCTGGTTGAATGAGGGAAGGAATAACTTCCCAGGCCAGGGGCAAAAGGAAATATTAGGGATTGGGAAGCAGGGCTCTGTTAAATTATCAAATGCTCTCTCCCCACACTGTCCTGTCACCTTACTGAGGATCAGCATAGGGCTAGTGCCCAGTGAGAGGAGTAGCAGCATTAGTGCCGGAGGCCTGCTGCTGCAGCATGGGTGACACTGTGCTATACCCTGCTATACTCCAAAGAGAGCTGCAAACTGAGTCCGAGGCAGGAGCTCCTGGAGAATCCCTGCAGTCGGTGCATCAGGAAGTAGGCTCTCAGACAACAGGCCCAGCCAATCACTGCCCCCAGGTGCACCAGGCACCCCAGGCACTCGGCCAGCTGCTAATGCTAGCATTGAAAGTGCTTCCTGCTAACCAGCCCAATCAAGCTATTTCTGATTACACAATGAAACTTACCCTGGCAAAAAGAGGACCAGTTTTATACATCCTTCTGGAGCCAGTTTCCATGGAGATCTACTTTTTTTTTTTTTTTGAGACAGAATTTTGCTCTTGTTGCCTAGGCTGAAGTGCAGTGATGCGATCTCAGTCAAGCGATTCTTCTGCCTCTGCCTCTCAAGTAGCTGGGATTACAGGCACCCGCCACCATGCCTGGCTAATTTATGTGTTTAGTAGAGGTGGGTTTCACCATTAGTCTGCTGGTCTCGAACTCCTGACCTCAGGTGATCCACCCGCCTTGGCCTCCCTAAGTGCTGGGATTACAGGCGTGCGCTGCCACACCCAGCAGATCTACTCTTCTTTATCCCAGCCATGCTTTCCACTTTGCTGGGCCTTGAACACACCAAGCTTGCAACAACCCCAGGGCTTTTGCACTCCCTGTCTCTTCTATCCAGAAGACAGCTCTTCCCCATATATCCACGTGGCTGCCTCTTTCATCTCCTTCAGGTTGTTGATCAATTGTCATCCTATCAGTGAGAACTTCCTGACATCTTGTTTCAATTTCTATTGTTTTATAGAGATGAGGGTCTCACTATGTTGCCCAGGCTGGCCTTGAACTCCTGAGCTCAAGCAATCCTCCCACCTTAGCCTCCCAAAGTCCTATGATTACAGGTGTGAATCACCAAGCCTGGCCCTGACATCCTGCTTAAATTGCTATCCTACTGCTACCCATTCTCCACTTCCATTATTTTTCTCCAAGGCATTTAGCACCTTCTGTCCTATTTATTATCTGGTTATTGCTTTTGTTTTCATACAGGGTCTTGCTCTGTCACCCAGGCTAGAATGCAGTGGTGTAATGACAGCTCACTGCATCCTCAACCTCCCGGGCTCAAGCAATCCTCCTGCCTCAGCTTCCCAAGTAGCTAGGACTACAGATGTGCGCCACCACACCTGGCTAATTTTTGTATTTTTTGTAGAGACAAGGCCTCACTATGTTGTCAAGGCTGGTCTCAAATTCCTCATCTCAGTGATCATCCCACCTTGGCCTCCCAATGTGCTAGGATTACAGGCATGAGCTGCTGTGCCCGGCCTGTCCTATTTGTTATTTTCTTCCTCCCAATTCCATGAGGGCGGGGACTTAGTCTTGTTCATTGAGGAAGGAAAGAAGGAAGGAAGGAAGGAAGAAAAGGGACTTCACAGGAGCTGTCTGCCTTTTCCCCATTGTATACACAAAGCAGTAAAGCCCAGAGAGTTTAAGTGACTTGGCCAAGACCATACAGCTATTCAGTAGAGGAGGATAATCTCTCCTGCTTAATTTCTAACGAACTTGTTCCCTGAGCACATCTTGCTTTTTCCAGCCCTTCCATGGGTTTTCTTACACATTGCCGTTATCTATAAGTACCTGCAATTCTCTCCTTTCCATCTCTAGTTGAAGGGATTCTATCCTCATTCTTACAGGCACAGCTACTCCAGGAAGCCGCCTTGGGTTCCCCAGTTGGGAGTGATCTTTGCCTCCTACACACTCCCAGTTCACTTTTTCTGCCTTATAAAGGCACTTAAAAGAGTCTGCCTCATATCTAGTTGTTTGTGTGCTAGGCTTGGTGCAACCCCAGGTTAAGGGCTACATTTTCCCAACTCAATATCCCCTGTTTGCACTAGCCCCAAGAAGGGAGTGGACATATATAATCAGAATCTCTTCAGCCTCAGTCCTCCCTCTTCCCTCAAAAAACATCCATTTATACCTGAGAGCTAAGAGACAAAGCAGGGCTCAATGACAGATTATTGACCCAATACATAAAAGAATAAATGGAGGCTGGGCCTGGTGGCTCACGCCTGTAATCCCAGTACTTTGGGAGACCAAAGTAGGCTGATCACTTGAGGTCAGAAGTTCGAGCCAGCCTGGCCAACATGATGAAACCTCATCTCCACTGAAAATACAGAAATTAGCTGGGCATAGTGGTGCACGCCTGAAGTCCCAGCTCCTCGGGAGGCTGAGACACAAGAATTGCTTGAACTCGAAAGGTGGAGGTTGCAGTGAGCCAAGATTGCATCACTGCACTCCAGCCTGGGTGACAGAGTGAGGTTCTGTCTCAAAAAAAAAAAAAAAAAAAAAAAAGAATAAATGGAGAGATGACTACCTCCTACCTGTCTCTACATTAATAAATGAAGAGCTGACTACCTCCTACCTGTCTCTACATTATTCATTCCTAAAGGGCAGGGTTAGTATGTGATACTTCTTTGAAGCTTCCCATAGTACCTGTTCTGGGTTGTAGGAGGTGTTCAGTCCCTCTTTATGGAAGGCATTAAGGAAGGAATGGTACAACAAGATGTCTAGATTCATTTCAAGTTTAATTCTGATAACGCGAACAAGTAGGAAAATAGTTGTTCCCTGAGAGCCCCGCCTTTTGCCCCACAGCCCCCACCCCAGTGAGAGGGTTAGGTCCAGGACAAATGCTCCGCCTCTGAGCCCAAGTGAGGCTGGCAGACCCACAGCAGGGACACCAGAGGATGAGACCGCGGCTCTAAAGGAGACTCCACCAGGGCCAACATTAACAAGGGGAAGATGGGAGGGGCAGTATGCAAACAGACCTTCTTGAGCCTCAGTCCTCCCACCTCCCTCCAAACAGTTCTAAACAATTCAAGCACCCGCTGACAGCTGAGATGGGAGAGGCAAACCCTGGATGGGGCTTCCAGCTTGGATTTCACATAATGAGGCTTTGGAATCCGGGAAGCGATTACAAGCCCACTGGGGAGGGACCACCTACAGGTTTTGGAACCTTTCACTGCTCTACCACATGTGGCTCAACATGTCCGACTCACCAGGAAGCAGCTCTTGGATGAGAAAGAGGAAAAACACAGACACCATAACAGCACGGTTTAGAAGTCAAGGGCTTAGGAATTCCGCGATGGAGACGGGATCACGGAAGCGTGGCCTAGGGTTGGAGGAACTATGTCCTTGTTTTCAGCATTCACCAAGAGCAGGGATTGAGGAGGGTCCAGAACCTACCCTAGCAACCCCACATGGTCACACAAGTCCCAGCCACCAGCCAGCATGTGTTTATTCAATTTTTTTTTCACTGACAAAAATTGTCAAAAATTGGACATGTTTATTGATTTTATTAGTAGCTATTTTCAAATCGTGGAGCTGGAAAGAACTTGGGTTTTACAACTGAGTGGTCTCATTTACAGATGACACCACCAAGGCAGAGAGAGGGAAGGTGGGTTCCCTGGGATCACACAGGCTGGGAGGGGTGCTCAACCAGGCCTAGGTTTCAGGTCCTCTCCCTGGTACCATCTGTTAGTCCACTCTGCTATTCTCACTCAAGTTAGAGCCAGGAAGGAACCAAACCAGCCTAGAATCCCATCCACTCATTTCTTTCTTTCTTTTCTTTTTCTTTTTTTTTGAGACAGAGTCTCACCCTGTTGCCCAGGCTAGAGCACAGTGGCGGGATCTCAGCTCAATGCAACCTCTGCCTCCCAGGTTCAAGCAGTTCTCCTGCTTCAGCCTCCTGAGTAGCTGGGACTGCAGGCATGCACCACCACACCTGGCTAATTTTTGCATTTTTAGTGGAGATGGGGTTTCGTCATGTTGGCCAGCCTGGTCTCGAACTCCCGACCTCAAGTGATCCACCTGCCTTGGCCCCTCAAACTGCTGGAATTACAGGTGTGAACTACTGTGCCCGGCCCAAATCACTCATTTATTGTCTGAAGAGCTGAGCCGTGTGAAGCCCAGCCCCTTGGAGGGTGCTGGGGTTGGATGGGGGTAACCAGTAAGACCCCTGCGTACTGGACACTGTGCTGGGTGCTTCACCACATCCTCTCACTTTCTCCCTGGACTGTCCCTAGGAGTGAGGTGATGGGGACTGTGTTCCTTATTTTACAGATGAGGCAACTGTGGCTCAGAGAGGTTAAATCACTTGCCCAGGGTCACACAGCTAGAAAGTGATGGAGTTGTGATTCAAACCCAGGCCAGTCTGATACCAAGCCTTTGGCCTTCCCGTGTGCTAGACTCCGGGAGGACGACCTAGAATAGTTGAAGCAAGAGCTGTCATATAGGTGAGAAAGAACTTTGGGAGCTATAGCAAGGAAGAGAAAGGAAATTGCATCTTTGAGGCCAAAGATTATTAGTCACAGAGGTATGGCTACCAGGCCCTCGAGCTGTCACTTACTTGCCACAAGCAGGGCCCTGAAAAGCCTGTTTTTTTCTGCTCTGACTTCAAACACAGATTCTCCAAGCAAGAAAGGCTAGCTTGTGAGACCAAGTTTCACAGAGATGGAGCTTGCAGGGAAAGGTCAGAGGAATTGTCCCCGGGTTCCTCAGAGGAGGCAGACGAGTTCGGAGTAGTTAGCAATAAACATATCAGCCCCGGCCCCTAGAGGGCACTGGCCAGAGGGAGCCTCAAGGGAGCAAGCAGGGCTGGGGCATGGAAGCCAGCCAGAGTCCAGCCTAGCTTTGGGCCGGGCCCAGAAACCAGTTCTGTTAAACAAAGCATTACACAACCATCTCATTAACTGCATCAATCCAGAAGGTCAAACTAACTCACTCCAGCGTCTGCGGGGCTCTGTTGGGGTGGGTGGGAGAGGACAGCCTCCTGAATTCCAGGCACTTGGGTCCACGTTGGTTTAATTAGCTCCATGATGTCCGCTTCCCTTGGGCACAGCCTTGCATGCCAGGGCCCTGACAGCTGCCTGGTGCCCCTAGAGGAGCCAGAAAAAGAGGGGGGTGCCTAGGGCAGGAGTGAACCCCTCACCCAGGCCAGCCAGGGCAGGAAGTCTGGGGTTGGCAGAGCAGTGATACAAAGACCAAGGCTGGAGATACCATGTTAGGGCTCAGGCTGAAAGGACCCGGAGAAGCTGTGGGTGAGAAAATGAGGCTGGCAAGTTTGCAGAGTGTGAAGCAAGCCAGGGCAACAGGTTCAAGACAGAGGCCAAAAGGAACACAAAGGTGTCATTGGCCAAGTTGGGGCATTGTCAGTTATAGATATGACAGACTGGAGGTACTCAGCAGGACTGAACTGTGGCAAGTGGTCAGGACTAGAGAACTCGAAGAAAGTCACAGAACTCAAGGAATAATAATAAAGGTAATGGAAAGGTCGGGAAACTAAAACAATTGTTCTCAAAGTGTAGTCCCTAGAGTAGCGGCATTAGTATCACCTGAGAACTTCTTAGAAATGCAAAATATTGGAATCTACCCTAGGCCTTCAAAATCAGACTGGGAAAGGCCCAGCAATCTGTGTTTTAATAAGACCTGAGGGTCATTCTGATGCAGGATGAAGCTTGAGAACCACTAGGCTACTCAGTGTGGTTGGTCCATGGACCAGCACCATCAGATGAAATGGCGCTGAGAGTTTGTTACAAATGCAGACTCTCAGGCCTGGCCCCAGACCTACTGAGTCTGCAGTTTAACAGGATCCCTGGGGCATCCCACGTACCTTTTAATTTGACAAGAGCTACACCTGAGCTCCACTGACCTGGGATTCTTTGGTCTGGGTGTGAATGAGTCTGTGTCTAAGTCCAGGGACAAATAGACACAGATGGCAATGGGGAAGTAGGCCACCCAGTTCCAGGCATAGGCAAAGGCTGTCCTCAGCTCTTCACGAATTTAGACTGCTGCCAGAAAATGTCACCAAGAAAAATAATGGCTTCACTGAGCCTGCAAATGTGCTCAACCTAGACATTGTGCAGAAAGCAGATTGCAAAGGCAACAAGACCAACAGCCCGACAGTGCTATTCGTATTCCATGGGAGACAGCTGGAGCCCCTGAGATGCAGGCGGGCTCCCAACCCTCTGTGATTGTGATGTGGAGATGATTTAAGAAGAAGCAGCCGAGGGTGGCTGTAAGCAAGTGACGCTCCTGAGAAGACAAAGCTGCAGAGATAGGAGGCTGGACCTGTCACCGCTGCCCAGAATGACCCAGGATTCTCATTCTTTCCAGGGAAACCAGTGGGCAACATTGACGACTGACAGGAGGGGACCTTGCCTCCAAGGCTCCAAGGCCGGATAAGAATGGCTTTACCTTCCTGACTCCAGAAAGAACCGCCCTTTTTCCCCACCTCCCTGATGGCTTCCTGGTGCTTGTGATTCTACCAGACTAGCTTTTCCTTTCCCCCTAATAATAGCTGCTAATTAATATTTAGCGAGGGTTTACCAAGCGCCGGGCTCTGAGCTAAGTACCTTGTATGTACTTTTTTCATTTAATCCTCTCAACAGTTCTACTAGGAAGGTACTACTATTTTCAGTATTTACTAATATTTGGGTATTTCTTAATTACTAAAAACATTTCTCATTCTACAGATGAAAATTGAGAGTAGAAGTTGGTCAGTAGCTTTCCGAAGTCAGCTAGATAGAAAGAAGGCATTGAAGTCTATGGCCATACCACCCTGAATGCGCCCAATCTCGTCTGAAAGAAGGCATTGAAGCAGAGCTCAGACATCCCAACCCCAGACTCTCCACCAAACCATTGTCTTTGTTCCTCATAGTGTGGTCCTTAGACCAGCAGTCGTAGAGTTATTTGGGAGCTTGTGATGCAAGAATCTCAGGCCCTGCCCAGACTTGCAAAATCAGACTCAGCATTTTAAACACAATCCCCCAGAGTTGGTATGCACATTACAGTTTGAGAAACGTGCCTGGTTATAAGAGCTTCCTTCCCTCGCAAGACGCAAATCCGTCTTGCATGAGGAACACAGCCGATACCAGACAGAGATACTTCAACAGGAATGAGTTTCAGCTCTTCTCTGGGAAGCAGGATGTTAGGAACCCAGCGGGGCCACCAGGCTGTTGAGGGACACGAGGAAGTGGAAGGGATGGCCTTTGTAATTGCCATCATCAGAAACGGGTTGGCCTAGAAATCTGTATCCCAAGGTGAAGCAATGTCTTTTTTTCTGCATGCTTTTTTCCTGCATGTTGCAGAGTTGGGAGAACAGACTGCCTGTGTAGACCCCAGTGAGAAACAGCTGCAAAGAGGCATTTCTGGGTTTTACTTCCCCTGGGCCTCTGCATCCTCACCTAGGTGGGTGAGAGCAGTGAATCTACCTGCTTACCTCACAGGTGTGCCTTGAGCACTGTCAAGAGTGGGAAAGGCTTTGCAAAGTTCAGAGCAGGATCCAGGTCTAGGGTGCAATCCTTATTGCTAGGTGGGTCAGTCATTTGATCTCCCTTTTGCCCAGCAAAGCCACTTCATAAAACCCCTTGCTGGAAGGCCAGATCCAGGTCCCTCTGCTTCCATGCATGCCTGCCTGCCTGCCTCCCACTGCCACTCCCCTGCTGCTCCACATGCTAGCCTGGGTGCATTCAGGGGCCCACTGTCTTGTTTTCTGATGCCAGTGCTAGAAAAGTTCTGCTCTTTCTAAAGGAACATGGTACTTTCAAGGCCTTTGAGAACCATGCCGTATGTCATTCATGGTCACTGAATCACAGACAGGATTCCAAATGGGCCTGAGAGATCAGAGTCTTGTCTGCACGCAGTGGCTCATGCCTATAATCTCAAGCACTTTGGGAGGCTGAAGCAGGAGGATCACTGGAGGCCAGGAGTTCAAGACCCACAACACAGCGAGACCCCATCTGTACAAATAATAATAATAATAATTTTTAAAAAAGAGTTCGGCCTCAGGATATAAGTCCCAGCTCTTCTGTTTATTAGCCATGTGATCCTGGGTGAGTTTCTTAACCTCCCTGCAACTCAGTTTTCTCATTTGCAATGTGGGGATAATAACAGTCCCTAATTTTCAGGATTACTGGAAATACTGAATAAAAAACTAAATAAATACTAATTTATTAAACACTTAGTGCCTGCATTTAGTTGACACTCCAGATTGATAGCTATTACTAAACCATATTTGAGGCTGGGCGTGGTGGCTCATGCCTGTAATCCTAGCACCTTGGGAGGCTGAGGCAGGCAGATCACCTGAGGTCAGGAGTTTGAGACCAGCCTGGCCAACATGGAGAAACCCCATCTTTACTAAAAATACAAAAATTAGCCAGGTATGGTGGCATGTGCCTGTAGTCCCAGCTACTCAGAAGGCTGAGGCAGGAGAATCACTTGAACCCAGGAGGTGGAGGTTGCAGTGAGCCAAGATCCCGCCACTGCACTCCAGCCTGGGTGACAGAGTGAGACTCCATCTCAAAAAAAAAAAAAAAAAAAAACCATATTTGAAAGATTCTAAGATACAGCCATTGTGAGACACAGCCCTGATTTCAGAGATGTTAAAATGGTATAATTCACCCAATAGCAAAAGGGTTCCAAAGCCAAAGATGTTAGGGAGACACCTTTTCTGCAAGATGTTTCAGAGCTTTTAAATGCTGCGTTTCAATGTGAGCTCATGGTAGTTACCGCATTCGGTAAGAACTCAGACTGAGTAGACAACGGAACCCCTTTTCTATGAAATAGCTTGGGAGTTCTGTGACATTGGCTTGGGGAGTGCTAATCTAGTCCAATGCTCTAATTTCATAGATGGGGAAACTGAGGCCAGAGAGAGGAGGAGACTTCCTGAAGTTACTTAGGTGGTTAAGTGGTGAAGACTAGGCTACTGAAGAGCCAAACTGGAGCTCCCTCCACTAAACCGCCTTTCCTCCCAACTAACCTGTTACCTACGACACTTGATAGTTTCCTTCTTTTTTTTTTTTTTTTTTTTTTTTTGAGACAGAATTTAGCTCTTGTTGCCCAGGCTGGAGTGCAATGATGTGATCTCAGCTCACCGCAACCTCCGCCTCCCAGGTTCAAGTGATTCTCCTGCCTTAGCCTCCCGAGTAGCTGGGATTACAGGCAAGCACCACCATGCCCAGATAATTTTGTATTTTTAGTAGAGACAGGGTTTCTCCATGTTGGTCAGGCTGGTCTCGAACTCCCGACCTCAGGTGATCCGCCCGCCTCAGCCTCCCAAAGTGCTGGGATTACAGGCGTGAGCCACCGCGCCTGGCCTGACATTTGGTAGTTTCCAAAGACCTTCCTGCTGTGTGCTGTTCCTCACACTAACCCCTGCAGATCCCAGGGGAAGGGATTGTCCCCACTGTACAGATGCAGTTGCCAGCCCACTGAGCAATGGGTTACAAGTGGGACCCAGGTCTGATTCCTGGGCTTACTGCTGTGTTTTTGTAACACCCTAAAGACTGTGACTTGGAGGGGAGGAGGTGCATGACTGGGAGCCAGCAGGTGAGCCAGAAGGGCCCAAAAGACCTGGGTCAAGAGGTGGTCCCAGTACAGAAAAGGACTAAAACCGGCAGAGCTCACCTCCTGAAGCAGTCTTGCTAGGTCAACCCCAGCTTCTTCCATGATGGGCAGAGATGCAGACCACCACGATCTACCCTACCAATACTTGATCATGCATCGGGATAGGGGCAAGGCTCTCATTTCACACCTGCCCACATGCAGAGCCTCATGGACGGGAGGGCAGACCTCCAGATTCAATGTTATTGCACCACTGAGGAACATCTACGGGGACCTGCTGTGCAAACTTCAGACCACATTGATGAAATCCACTGGGAAGTCCTTTCATCACAGCAGTTAATTTGATGACTGCTTTGTTTTAAGAGCAGTTTTTGTTTCACTGGCTAAAGTGACTTACTATGAGGGGTTGTTAAGCAATTCATCAACTTTTAAATCTCGATATGTTTGTGGTCAAACATGACTGTTCTCACAGACCGAGCGACGCTCAGCCTTTTCCCCTCTGAGACGCACATGATGGACGATGTTTGTTCACATGCTTGACCCACCCCCAGTAAGAATAGACTCATTTGGATTCACACAAATTTCTTAAAATGGCAATATCAAGTGTTGGTAAGAGTGTAGAAAAGGCTAACTTTTATGCCTTGTTGGTGGGAGTGTAAACGGATATAGACCCAGTAGAGAACAACTTGGCAGCATCTCACAAAATGGAACATTTAATTTCAATTACATTCTCTATAAGCCTGCAATTCCATATACCCAAGAGAAGTTCAGTGTGCGCACAAGCAAACACATCCAAGGATGTTCACTGCAGATGTTGGTAGGTATGCAAAACTGGAAACAACTCAGATGTCTGCCAATAAGAGAATGGCAAGGTAAAATATGGCATAATTATACAATGGAATATTTCACAGCAATTAAAAGGAATGAATTAAAGCTGTATGTGTTATTATGGATAGATCTCAAAATATACTGTTGAGTGAAAACAGAATTGTATCATGCAAAATTAAAATTTTATTTATGGCTGGGCGCAGTCGCTCACGCCTATAATCCCAGCACTTTGGGAGGCCGAGATGGGTGGATCACCTGAGGTCAGGAGTTCGAGACCAGCCCGGCCAACATGGTGAAACCTCATTTCTACTAAAAATACAAAAATTAGCTGGGCATGGTGGTGGGCGCCTGTAATTCCAGCTACGTGGGAGGCTGAGGCAGGAGAATTGCTTAAACCCGGGAGGCAGAGGTTACGGTAAGCTGAGATTGTGCCACTGCACTCCAGCCTGGGCGACAGAATGAGACTCTGTCTCAAAAAAAAAAATGTATTTATATGTTTTCAAACAAAAATCAGTTCTATGTATTTATCATTGATGAATATAAACGTATAAAGGTGAAAGCATGAAACACACTTTCATGTACTATATTATATATCATGTACATATAAAAGGATATGTACTACATTCATGATAGTGATTGTCCCTGAGAAGGGAACAAAGAGGAGTGGGGCTGAGGTAGGAGGATTGCTTGAGCCCAGGAAGTGGAGGTTGCCATGAGCTGAGACCACGCCATTGCACTCCAGCCTGGGCGAGAGAGTGAGACCCTGTCTCAAAGCAAAAAAAAAAAAAAAAAAAAAAAAGGAGTGGGATGGGTCTGAAGGACAAAGGAGACTTATTTAATACTTTCTCTGTGAGGTTGTTGTCATGTCAGACACGGCTGATGCATCTCCCAGACTCTCTTGGCCTCACTTATCTCCTGAACCCTTGGCCGCTGGCTCTGCCTCAGCCACTACCACAGCAGCTAGCTCTCTGCAGGTCTACATGGCTCCACCAGAGGCTGACCAGCCACATGACCAGAGTCTTGGGTTCTTCTCATAATTTCTAGACTTGAATGAAACACTCTGCATCAAGGCCTGGGATCTGGCTTCCCCGGTGGCTGCCCAGAGGGGCCAGGTATAATGCAGTGGTTCTCAACTGGAGTGATTTCTCCCCACAGGGGACATTTGGCAGTGTCTAGAGATATTTTTGGTTGCTACTCCTGGGTAACAGGTGCTACGGGCATCTAGTGGATACGGGTCAGGGAAGCTGCTAAACACCCTACGATGCACAGAACAGCCCCTTCAACAGAGATTCATTCATCTGGCCCAAAATGTCAGTAGTGCTGAGATTGAGAAATCCTGCTGCAGTAGTTAAGAACAAGACTCTGGAAACAAACAGGCAAGTTACTTCACCTCTCTGCTTCAGCTTCCTCATCTGTAAAGTGAGTATAATAATTATGTTTACCTAATACAACTGTTGTGAGAATTAAATGTGTTACTAATTTATGTAAAGCATTTATGTCCGTGAATGGCACTTAGAGAATGTTATGTAAATGTAATAGTGATAACAGTAGTAGCAACTTGGCTGTGAAGAACAGTAGAAATGAATACTCTAATTTTTGAAGTAAGCAATTTACAAACTTTACAGCTTTAATTAGGCTGGGCATGATGACTCATGCCTGTAAACCCAACACTTTGGGAGGCCAAGGTGGGCAGATCACTTGAGGTCAGGAGTTTAAGACCAGCCTGGCCAACATGGCAAAATCCTATCTCTATCAAAAATACAAAAATTAGCTGGGTGTGGTAGTGCGTGCCTATAATCCCAGCTGCTCGGGAGGCTGAGGCACGAGAATCACATGAACCCAGGAGGCAGAGGTTGCAGTGACTGGGTGACAGAGCAATACTCTATCTCAAAAAAAAAAAAAAAAAAGCTTTAATTATTGTTAGTTACCAATGTCTCACTACATTTCATCACCGATTGTAACACATCAGTAGTATCATGTTTTATTATTCTAAAACACACACTTTGGGCTGGGCATGGTGGCTCACGCCTGTAATCCCAGCACTTTGGGAGGCTGAGGCGGAAGGATCACTTGAGGTCAGGAGTTCGAGACCAGCCTTGCCAATATGGTGAAACCCCACCTCTACTAAAAATACAAAAATTAGTTGGGCATGGCAGTACGCACCTGTAATCCCAGCTACACGAGTGGCTGAGGCAGGAGAATCGCTTGAACCTGGGAGGCAGAGGTTGCGGTGGGCAGAGATCGTGCCACTGCATTCCAGCCTGGGCAACAGAACAAGACTTGGTCTCAAAAATAAATAAATAAATAAATAAATAAATAAATAAATAAATAAATAACGCACACTTTGACACTTTCACATTTTGACATCTGTGAACGCAGGATGCATCTTACAACCATGGTTAGCATGTGACCATCAGATATAGCTGTCACACATATATAAACCTTGGGGAGGCTGGGTGATTTGTGAGGAAATCCTGGGGACAGTAGGAAAGATCCCTTGTAAGAAATGGTGCATCACTCACACTGTTGATGGCTTGGAAGATGATACCGATGGCGGTGGCGGGTCGTCAGGAGCAGCCACTGCCATCATGCCAGCCACTGCAGGGAGGGTATGGGGAGGAGGCAGACAGCCACCCCCACCAACCCCCACCACCACTGCAGCCTGCTGCCCTGGTGGGTGATGGGGCCAGGTCGAGTCACCAGCTGGTGGGGGAGCAGCGCCGTCTGGCAGAGAGAGCCTGGACGCGGAGCTGGGCCCGGGGTGGCGCTGCACTTGTACAAGGAATGCAGGAACTGGGGAGGGAGCACAGAGCTGGGGCCCCGTTTTGCCACCACAGCCCCGCCGGGGCTGGAAGTGGGAGCGGCGCTGCCACCCTGGGGTCAGGGTGACCGCTGAGCCTGACACTCCTGACGGCCCGGCCGCCCCTGAGCACCCGGGGAACATCGGGGAGCTTGTGGTGATGTAACCTCTGCCCTGGATGCTCACCCGGGGCCCAGAGAGGACGTGGAGCCCCTCCCTCAGGCTGTGAGGGGATACCGCCGGGGCTGCATGCTCCACAGAGCCAGGAGGAGCGGGCAACAGGCAGCAGCCCAGCCCTCCTGGGTGCAGCTGCAGCCGCCCAAGTTGGGTTTGTGGACCCAGACTTCCGTGTGCTCTTGGGGGCCTGGGAAGGCCCTGCACTGCCCTTGCAGGCTCGGAAGTGCCTCTTTCCACTGCCTGGTCTCTCCCCACTGCTGGCACCTGCTCCAACCCCAGAGTGGGGTTGGGACTGAGCCCAGGCAGGGTGTGCACATGCTTGCGCCCTGCTGCCTTTTTCCCCTCTGGACTTTGGACAATGAGGGGTCGGGGAGTGAGGGGCTGAGGGTGGCTTGGTGCTGGCCTGCAGGTGCCCATTGGTACAAGCAGCCTGGGTGCCTTGGTCAGCACAGCAGGCAGATGGGCTCCTGGGTGGAGGGGGGCAGGTCCCTGGTGAGGCTCCACTTTCAGGCCAAGGAAGGTCTGAAGGCTGGGGACTGGGCTGCCAATCCTATGGACCAGAGTGGAGACTTGTGTCTTTTCTGGCCCGCCTGTGTCTGCCCACGGACCAATTGGTGCTCACTTCCTTCCCTCTGAGGCCCATAAAAGCCGTGGGCTCAGCCGGAGCAGAGCAGAGCTGAGGACACAGGGATGACTGGACTACCAGCTGGAGAGAGGAGCTACCCTCTCTGCTAGGGGCCGAACACTCCTCCGGACACCCTGGCTACAGTGCAGGTTCTTCTCTGAGTTGTTCTCTTGCTCAATAAAACTCCCCCTCATCTTGCTCACCCTCCACTTGTCTGACTACATCATTCTTCTTGGTTGCAGGACAAGAACTTAGGACTGCAGGACAAGAACTCGAGACCCACACAATGGTGAGGCTAAAAGAGCTGCTGTAACACAAACAGGCCTGAAACATACCCCTTGCTTGCCACGTTGTGGGCAAAGAGCTGTGGCCCTTCAGGGAGTCCAGACCTGGTCCGTCAGCCAGGGCTGTGACTCCCTCCTTGAGGCCCTGTGGTTCCTGGCATCTCCAAACTTCCGGGTGCTGCCACATTCCCTGGTGCCAGCTGGGGAAGATGCTTGCTTGCAGTGCACCTGGTCCAGCTGCAGCTTCACAGAGAGCTGGCACCCATGCCAGCAACTGGAGCTGTCTGTCTCATGGCAACCAGTGTGTCTGACTGCGTGGTGGCCAGACCCCACACTCGCTCAGCTTGCTCACGTACCCCTGACCACTCCACGCCTGACTCCAGTCTCTCTTGGAGGTGTGAGATCCAGGCCAGTAGTGTGAGCTGAGTGCAACCTGCCAGCAACCAACCTGAGTGGGTGGAACGAGCCCAGCAGCCCAAGCAAAACTTGGGCAAAGGCACCATCGGCCACGGCTCTCTGGCCAGAAAAGTGTCCATAACAATACTATGTGGCAAATATGATCACCAGTGATGCTAAATCAAAAAGTGATTCAGTTTGCATCCATTTAAGTACAGAAAAAGAAAAAAAAAATTTTAATTTAAATTGATTCAAAAGAGTTGCACCCTTCTGAAGTGAATTTATTCTGCTTACATTTTCCCTTTTATATATGTATAAAAGTGACATTATTAAATATCAACTTGTAAAGTCAGAGCTTTTTCATAGATATCTTTCTTATTTGAAGAAAGATAGTATCTATCTGTTTTAGATAAGAAAGGCTTGTGCAATAGTTTAATTGAGAATGTTTCTTTTTTTTAATGGTATGTAAAACAATGGTACCTTGCTATGTTTTACAGAGTCCTAATCAGTTGGCACACATTATCTCATTTCATCCTCTCAACAGCCCTATAGTGTATGTGCTGTTATTGTTCATTCATACTTTGATAATGAACAAACTGCGACTCAGAGAAGTAGAGTAACTTGCCCAAAGTCAACAGCTGGTAAGCGGAGCTGGGACTCAAACCCAGTTTATTTGAACTTCAAAGCCTTGGTGCTCAGCCTTTTCATCCTGGTTGAGAACTAGAGTCAAAGCTGTATCCTTTTTCCAGGCCCTGGCAATCTAGGGCATGGATAGTAATGACAAAAGACAGCTGGGACAATAGTCAGCAATGTATGGACTGGCCTTTCCTCAGCACTGCCTTCCTCATTTCTCAGCACCACCAGGCTCGACCCAGCACAGCTCATCCACCCACCCCAATGACAGAATGCAGCCAGAACTGTGGTCAATATGGAGTGGCACCTTTGAGAGAGGTGAGCTTCTCTGAGCTTCCCTGGGGAAATATAGTTCATGTACTAGGACAGCCGAGAGGGGCTTGAAAGGATGGAGACGTTTTATAAACTGTGGGTAAAAATTCCCATGTGTTCCCAGGATGAACCACACCTTTGGAATTGTTCCAAAGAACAATTAGAGAGTATAGTTCTGTAGAGAGTACAGTTCTTTAGAGAGTATAGTTCTGTCCCTACAGATTCCGGCAAATGGTGGGGCAAAACACAGAGTCATTTTAACCAAACATCCAAAGGCAAAGTATTCAACAGCATCATCAGTGTGCAAGTAATAACAGTCCAATTAAATTAGGAAGCCCAGCAGATGTATCCTATTAGCGTCATCAAGACTTAAATCCTACTGCTCCTCTCCAGCAGTGTAGGCCTTCTCAAGTCTCCCTGCACATGGGTAGGTGGGTAAAGCTTGGCTGATCGGCAGGGGGATGAGGAGATGGTGAACATCACGTTGGGAATCAACAGACCTGTGTTCACATGTTAAAACTTGTGTGACCTTGCGTAAGTCATGTGATTGTCTATGCCTCATTTCCCCTTCTTTAAAATGTGTGTCTTGTGTTTCTAAAACTAAATGGGAGCTCTCCTTTACTTGCTCCCTTAACCCTGTGAAATCTGGTTTTCATTCTCATCATCTTTCAGGGCCTCTGAGCAAGTTCCTGTGCCTGTTTCTTTCAACGAGGATAACTACTTCCACCTGCCTTTGTAATTTGTTCCTGGGACAAAGAAAGCCTCTTGAGGAGGCTGGCCTGCCCTGCATATGTTGGATAAACGCTTGAAATATGGACCTGTCCCCATCTCTCGCCTTTCCCCGGAATTCAGGACTGAATGGATGCTGCCTGCATTTTGGGGAGTGGGAGTTTTGCTTTTCCTTTGCTTTGCTACTTACTCACTCTGATGAACAAGGAGGAGACTGACAGCTTCACAGTCCTGGATCATTTCCTGCCCTGTTCTCCCATCCAGCTCATGGAAGTCAGCAACTCCATCCACTCATTGCACAGAGACCAGAAAGGGGAAGGGATTTTCTCACTGTCTCACAGCAACTAATGGCCAAGCTGTGGTGGGCGTCTTGGTGGTCTGATTCCAATTCAAGTTGGAGTGAGAGAGTGAGAAGATTATGGGCTGTGGCCTCAAGCCAACCAGGGTCTAAACCCAGCATTGCCTCTGGCTTACTTGTGTCTCCTCTGCTTCCTCATTCTTAGAATGGAAATCATCATCATCATCTCATAGAAGTGTTATGGGCAACAGACAGGATAATGTACATGAAGCTCATACAGCCTTAGGATTAAAACCAGTGAAGACCCAAACGACTGTACCTGGGAATTTAAGATAAACAGGGTGTGTTACTGCCTGGCACAAACTGGGAATTTGTGCAAAGGTAAGATACCAAGCAGGACAGTATTTCTCCTTGAGGGACCGTGAAATCTTCTCATCATTTAAGCTTATGAAACGAGGTGGAGCCTCATTTCTTAAAGGGGGAAATGCAAATCAAAACTACCTGGGTATCATATGAAATTATACCTTGATAAAGCTGATTTTTAAAACATTACCCTGAGAATTGTAAAGATCAACAGTCCTGATAACAAGCCAGGCATCGTGGCTCATGCCTGTAGTTCCAACTACTTGAGAGGCTGAGGTGGGAGGATTGCTGGAGCCCAGGAGTTTGAGGCCAGCCTGGGCAGCATAGCAAGACCCTCTTAAAAAAATAAAATCCTGGCCAGGCGCGGTGGCTCATGCCTGTAATCCCAGCACTTTGGGAGGCCGAGGTGGGCAGATCACGAGGTCAGGAGATCGAGACAATCCTGGCTAACACGGTGAAATCCCGTCTCTACTAAAAATACAAAAAATTAGCCGGGCATAGTGGCAGGCACCTGTAGTCCCAGCTACTCGGGAGGCCGAGGCAGGAGAATGGTGTGAACCCAGGAGGCGGAGCTTGCAGTGAGCCAAAATCGCGCCACTGCACTCCAGCCTGGGTGACAGAGCGAGACTCCGTCTCAAAAAAAAAAAAAAAATCCTGGCCAGTGGCTCACACCTGTAATCCCAGCACTTTGGGAGGCCAAGGCAGGAGGATCACTTGAGGCCAGGAGTTCGAGACTAGTCTGGGTAACATAGTAAGACCCCCTTCTCTACAAAAAAAAAAAAATAATAATAAATTAGCAGCCGGGCACAGTGGCTTACACCTGTAATCCCAGCACTTTGGGAGGTCGAGGCAGGTGGATCACGAGGTCAGGAGATGGAGACCATCATGGCTAACACGGTGAAAGCCCGTCTCTACTAAAAATACAAAAAATTAGCCGGGTGTGGTGGCGGGTGCCTGTAGTTCCAGCTACTCGGGAGGCTGAGGCGGGAGAACGGCGTGAACCCGAGAGGCGGAGCTTGCAGTGAGCCGAGATCGCGCCACTGCACTCCATCCTGACTCCAGCGAGACTCTGTCTCAAAAAAAAAAAAAAAAAAATCTGCCAGCCACGGTGGTGTGTGCCTGTTTTCCCAGCTACTTGGGAGGCTAAGGCAGGAGGATTACCTGAGCCCAGGTGGTCGAGGCTACAGTGAGCTATGATCCCACTCCAGCCTGGGTGACAGAGTAAGACCTCATCTCAAAAAAAAAAGAAAAATAATCCTGATAACAGATGGTTATCAAAGGGCATAGGGAAGCGGAGGTATCCAGTGGTGCAAGCTCTGTGGAAAGCAATTTGGCAAGATTCATCAAAATTAGTAACATACATGCCAGTGGGTCCAGCACCGCGGTATTGCACCAGTGGTAGACAGCTGTGGACTGCTGGCCCTCAGGTGCGGCGACCACACCAAATTCAATCAGCTGTGGCCAGGAGCATGGGGCAGGGGCAATTTCACTTAAAACAGGATAGGATTAGCCAGTCTTGGTGGCATGTGCCTGTAGTCCCAGCTACTCGGGAGGCTGAGATGGGAAGGATCACTTGAGTCTGGGAGGCAGAGGTTGCAGTGAGCGGAGACTGTGCCACTGCACTCCAGCTGGGGCGACAGAGTGAGACTCCATCTCAAAAACAAAATAAAATAAAAGGTATAAATGACATCCAATAAACTTCACATATTTAAGCTGTAGTATAAGTCTTGTGTTTCATGTAATCCCATGAAACCATCATCAGAGTCACAATAATGAACTTATCTATCACCTTTACATTTACCTGGAGCCTTTTATAAAGTCTTTCTCTCTGCCTTCCAGATAACCACTGATTTACTTTGCTGTACAATAGAGTAATTTCCACTTTCTGGAATTTTTGGACTGATGTAATAAAGTGTTTCCTCTTATAATCCCTGGGTGCTCTGTCATCATGCTTATTTTGATATTATCAGTGTAGACATATGAATTGTTCATTCTTTTTACATTGCTGATAAATACACTCTGCTGTAAAATGTCATTGTATATTCATTCATCTGTTTATGGATATTTGAGTGGCTTCCTGCTTTTGTTTTGTAAATCAAACAGCTACAGATGAAAAAACAAAACGAAACAGGATAGGGTATAATGAGGTAATGTGAAGACTTTTTAGTACCTTGAGGGGAAATAGTCTGTGCCCCTAGAGTTGAGGAGGGGCTGGAGGTGCAGGTTGGGGTGGAGCAGTGCCTGGTGGCCGCGGTACTGGCTTTTAGCCAACAGACCTGTACATTCATCATACCTCTGCTACCTACTAGCTAAGACAAGTCACTTTGCTTCTTTTCTCCATCTGTAGAGGCAGATGATATTCCCTGCCAGGAAGGGTTGATGTGAGGATTAAATGAAATCCACACGTGGCCCCTGGCTCAGTGTCTCATGCATGACCGGTGAGCAGCCATTTATCCATTCATCTGATTATTGTTCTTCCCATCTGCTATGCTAATGTTTTATTGCTCCAAAATTCTGATGTTGAAACCTAATCACTAATGTGGTGATATAGAAGGATTATAAGTGGGACTTGTGCCCTTATAAAGAGGCCCCAGAGAGTTGCCTTGTCCCTGTCATTCATGTGAGGACACAGTGAGAAGTCGCCATCCATGAACCAGAGGATGAGCTCTCACTAGACACTGAATATGCCAACGCCTTCATGTTGGGCTTCCCAATCTCCAGAGCGGAGAGAAATACATTTCTGGCCAGGCAAGGTGGCTCATGCCTGTAATCCCAGCACTTCGGGAGGCTGAGGTAGGGAGAATGCTTGAGTTCAGGAGTTCAAGACCAGCCCGGGCATCATAGTGAGACTCCATCTCTATTAAAGACACACACACACAAATTAGCCAGATGTGGTGGCTTGGGCCTGTGGTCCTAGCTAATCAGGAGGCTGAGGTGGGAGGTTTGCTTGGGCCAGGGAGGCAGAGGTTGCTGTGAGCTGAGATCACATCACTGCATTCCAGCCTGGGCAACAGAGCAAGATCCTGTCTCAAAAAAAAAAAAAAAATAGAGAGAAAGAAAGGAAAAGAAATACGTTTGTTAATCTGTTGTTTAAACTACTCATTTATAGTATTTTGTTATGACAGTTCAAAAGGACGAAGACACCATCTTTGTCCCTTCACCTCTCCCCTGGCCTTTTTAGTTGGGGCCAACACACCCACACATCACATCCCAGCAGTTTGTAAGAGTAAACTTCAGGCAGTAGTGGATCCAGGAGGCAATTTCTCACATCCTCACCTGTTCTGTCATCCCACATCAGCCTCTCAAGTAGCTGGGTCTCCAGGCACCACCATGCCTGGCTAAGTTTTTATTTTTAGTAGAGTGGGGGGGGGGGTCTCACCATGTTGCCCAGTTTGTACTTGAACTCTTGGGCTCAGGTGATCCTCCTGCCTCAGCCTTCCCTCAACCCCAAAAAACCTTTTTAAAAATACAGTGAGTTCTCACTTAATGTTGTCAATAGGTTTTTGTAACCCATGACTTTAGTGAAATGATGTATAAGAAAACCAATTTTACTATAAGCTAATTTTTGTTTTTTTTTTAGAGACAGGGTTTCACCATGTTGCCCAGGCTGGTCTCAAGCAATCTGCCTGCCTCAGCCTCCCCAAGTGCTAGGATTACAGGTGTGAGCCACCAAGCCCAGCCACTACAGGCTAATTGATAGAAATAAGAGTTAAGTTCTTATGGCACATTTCTGGTCATTAAAATATCACCAAACTTCTAAATAAAGACCCAAAACACTTATAATATTAAACATCAAAATAAATGTGAGCTATACATGCATTTAACAAAGAGTAATAAAAAAAAGTAGGCAATTACCCCATTTTTGGCGAATCAGTGTGTGACAGCCGTCATAGTGATGGGTTAAATCAAGGAAAAGGCCAGGCGCTGTGGTTTACCCCTGTAATCCCAGCACTTTGGGAGGCCGAGGTGGGTGGATCACCTGGGGTCAAGAGTTTAAGACCAACCTGGCCAACATGGCAAGACCCCGTTTCTACTAAAAATACAAAAATTAGCTGGGTGTGGTGGCTCATGCCTGTAATCCCAGCTACTTGGGAGGCTCAGGCATGAGAATTGCTTGAACCCAGGAGGCAGAGGCTGCGGTGAGCTGAGATGATGCCACTGCCCTCCAGCCTGGGCAACAGAGAGAGACTCTGTCTCAAAATAAATAAATAAAAATAAATAAATAAAAAATGTTAAAAAATAAAATCAAGGAACAAATGTTTGCAAAGTCAACATTGTAAGGAGCACCTCCTACCACCATGGAGTTGGAGTTCCAAAACAATCTCAGATCCAGAGAGCTTGCTGAGCACTTTTGTACTGCAGTGTATACTGCTGAACTTCTGGATGATTATCATACACTTCATGAATTTTTATTATTTATTTATTTATTTATTTATTTACTATTATTTGTTTCCCAAGACAGAGTCTTGCTCTGTCACCCAGGCTGGAGTGCAGTGGCTCAATCTTGGCTCACTGCAACCTCCACCTCCCAGGTTCAAGCAATTCTCCTGCCTCAGCCTCCCAAGTAGCTGGAATTACAGATGTCCGCCACCGTGCCTAGCTAATTTTTGTATTTTTAGTAGAGACGGGGTTTCAATACGTTGGCCAGGCTGGTCTTGAATTCCTGATCTCGTGACCCACCCGCCTCAGCCTCCCAAAGTGCTGGGATTACAGGCATGACCCACCGCACCCAGCCAAATTTTTATTTTAAAATAATTTTAATTTATTCATGCATTAATTTTCCAACCTGCTTATTCCAGTTCAGGGTGACAGGCAGCCAGAGTCTATCCTGGCCCCTCAGGGTGCAAGGTAGGAACCCACCCTGGACAGGACACCATCTCATCGCAGGGTGTGTGCACGCACAAACGCACACACACACACACTCGTCCTGAGACAATGTAGACATGCCAATTCACCTCATGTGCACATATTTGGGATGTGGGAGGAAGCCAGAGAAAGTAGAGAAAAAACCCGGGCAGATATAGAAGAATGTGCAAACTCCCTATAGACAGTGACCCCAGCCAGGAATCCATTTTTTTCTCATCAACATTATAATGAAACAAAATGGAGCAACAATGAACAAAATGACATTACCTGAGGACCTGCTGTAATTATACTCACAGAAAGTTGCCAAACAAATACAGAGAGATCCTATGTACCCTCTACCCAGCTTCCTCCAATGGTCACATTTTATATGATGGCAGCACACTTTTAAAATGTGAGTTTGGTACTTGGAACCATCTGGAAGAAGATTTGGCAGTTCACACCTTACCATTGCAAATCTACTCTGTCCAATCCACTGAAAGTCCTGGTCTTCTCCTCCTCCAGGACTTTGTTCACTCATTGGTACCGCCCAGAGACTCAGGCTGGCTTAAGCCAAAATGGAATTTGCTGGAAAGATGGTGGGATGCACCAGAATCTGTGAGAGCCTGGGGAGCAGAGCAGGAGGCAGGACAAGAACTGGGCATCCAGCACGCCTTGGCCAGGTGCCCAGGATGCCCCACAGTAGGGAATGAATGCCCACTGCTTTCTTTGTTTTTTCCCCCATCCTTTGCCATCTCTTTACGAAGCATTTCCATATCACCCCAGCCAAAAATGGCTTTATCCTCCTCTAGCCCACCCCTATAGCCTTCCCACCTGTAATTTCTTGGGGCCAAGGTCCTGATTTTTTATAGTTCATAACATTTAATTATAGTCCATAAATGTAATTGCTTGGGGCCAAGGTCTTGGTCTTTGTATAGTCCATAATATTTACTCAAAGTGAGAAACCAGCAAGATTGTGAATGAATAAATCCTGCCTCAGTAGGCAGTTAATTTTTTTAACCAAATCCTTTGACATATTCATACATAACCAGAATGAAAACAAAACTGCTCTTTTTTGGTTTGTTTTTCACTTCACTTCTTAATGGGAGTGTTAAAGCAGTCAGTAAGTGAAATAGGCTTTTGAAATCACTGACAAAGCTTTTAAGGAGCCCATGAACTTGCGAATAACAGCTACAGAAGGTTTTAATTAGCGTGCTGTGAAACAAAAGTCACTTGACCTCTAGGTGCCCTTCTTTAAAAAGTGAGATAATGAGACTGGCCACCTGCCTCGCTCACTTGAGATAGTGTGTTCATTAATGAGACAGGTGGTGGTGGCAAGGTGCTGGGACTCCTTTGGATGAGAGAAGGAAAAAGCTCTCCAAATACAAACTGTCATAATGATGGTTCTAGCCAAAGATCCTGTTATACCTAGACTCCCTCTGGTGACCAATTTAGCGCATGGTATATAATGCATTTTGAATTAATTGGTTTCTACAGCCTCTTAGTAGCCTGGGAGTTGTGGATTGGCTGTGGTTTTTACCTTTGTTAAGACAAGGTGAATATATTCTCCCCTCAGTGGAAGACAATGAATGGTTGCCCTTGTCATCTCTTTAATGCCACAACTCTCTTCACCTTTACACTGGTGCCTGGCTTGCCTCAGTGCTTTTTCATTTGGAAACCAGTGTTTTCAGCGCTGCTGAACAGTATGGGGAACATTACTATCACCATCTTCGGATCGCCAAAGGGCAGTTAAAAGGAAACAGGAGTCGATGCATTCTGTTTGGTCCCAGAAAGCAAAGTTGGGACAGGTGAGAACCAGATGAGCACAGGTTTCAGCTCAACATAAAAGAAAACATCTTCATAGACAGTCTGTCACACAATGGAACAGGCATCTCCTGGAGGAAGTGAGAAGGGACACTCTCACCAGAGACAGAACCTGTGTGGGACAGGGGTTTTGATTTGTAGACACTTGAATCTGAATCTACTGCAGCTAATTGTTTAACAGAAACAAGTTTATAATGATGAATTGGTGCTCAGCATCAATTTCATTCTCCTTGTGTTCCTTCCTCCACTGAGGAAGCTGGAAAGCTCAGATCTGTATTTCCCAGACTCCCCTGTAGCAGGATTTGTGGTGTGATTTGGGCTCAGCATATCAGATGGGCTTGCACGGAAGGTGAGGAGGAGGCCATACTTCTGCTGGGTCTGCTGATTTTTCAGTGGCCCTTGAGAATTCCAGTGTCCAGTCACACGCTTTATGTGTATTAAGAAGCAGAGCATGAGGCATTAACTAGTATAGATGGTGGCAGGCACAGAGTGACTCTTCAGCTAGCAGCAGCAGTCGTGGTATCTGATCATGGTGGTGTCCTGATTGTGACAATTTGCCAAGCTGGGTCTCACCTGCTGTCTTCTCCTTCAGACTTTCCGATAAGTCGCTTCCTTTCTCTGGGCCTTGTGAGAAACAAACTTACCTGTCCAAACCCAAAGAATGAACTCGGAGACCTGGAGATCAGCAAAAGTGAGACTTTTAATGATAGTCTTGCAAGATTGGGTGTCTGATGGGCAGACACACCCAGCACAGTTTTAACAAGCAATTTATACCCTAGTGAGCAGGTCCCTTCCCCTGTTCCTCATAGGCTTGAGTACTGTGGGGTCACAATCTTCCTGGACGTCGTCTATTGGTTGTTGGATAGGGGCTTTAGGTGTTTTCTTTAGGGTTGTCTTGCTGCATTTTGCTGCAGCCCACAATGCATCGCAATCCTAGTTAGCTCAGGGGCTCTTTAAGTGTTTGACTTACGACCTACGTAGCTGGGCAGGCTGATAAGAACAGACAAAGCAAGCTATTTTGCAGACTAATAAACTTTCATTTTAGACTAAACTTCTTTGGTTCGGGTGAGGGCAACTAAGGCGGCAGGGGGTGGTGAGGGGGCTGCGCACAACAAGCAGGCATCGGCTATCCAAGCAGGGGCCTAGTATATCCTGTTTCTTATGTAGTTTGCTAACCTAAGCTGATTTAAGGCACATTTTCTTGGAAATGGACCACTGTATACATTATTTCCTTCAGGCCTCACTTGCTTCATTTGACAAAAAGGGGTCAGAACACTGTCGCATCAGTTGAATCAGCTCCCAGCTTCCTCCCAAGGCTCATGCCCTACAGGAGAAGACATCCTAGGATTCAGAGACAGTTTGCAAAGGTCTCTACCTATTCAGAGCAGCTATTTTTCCAAATGGAGTCATACTTCCTAATAATCTCACAAACTCTGCATAGCAGAGCCACATCTTATACAGGCATAGGTTCTAAAGTCAGCATTTAAAGTAAAAATCCTATTTAGTCAAAATGACCTTGAAAATCCTCTAGGTTTTCTATATATTGCATTATTGCATGACAAAAATATCTTTGAATAAGATCAATACAGCCAGCTCTTCCTCCAGCATAGATAGACAGCAGCTTCTTCAGCTGAGTACCAGATACAGTAGTGGGCTTATGTTTTGGGCTGAATTGTATGAAAAATAGAAAATGTTCAACGCAGCTGGGTGCAGTGGCTCATGCCTCAATCCCAGCACTTGGGGAGGCTGAGGCAGGCAGATCACTTGAGATCAGGAGTTCAAAACCAGCCTGGGCAACATGACAAAACCCCGTCTCTACTAAAAATACAAAAATTAGCTGGGAGTGGTAGCACATGACTGTAGTCCCATCTACTCAGGAAGCTGAGGTGGGAGAATTGCTTGAACTCAGGAGGCAGAGGCTGCAGTGAGCTGAGATCACACTATTGCACTGCAGCCTGAGTGACAGAGCGAGACCCTGCCTCAAAAAAAAAAAAAGTTCAATACTACAGATATACCCGGTGCTGGGAGATAGATGCTTACATTATGAAAGATTGAGCTCGGGGAATGGGGTGACAAAGAGCAGGCAGAATGTGTAGGGCAGGGCTCTGAAAGTTCAAAGGCCAAGAGGCTGGGGGAGGGCCTCAAGAGATGGGCCTAGTGGGAGGCAGTGGTGCTGAAGGGTCCTCAGTAGCCCTGCCAAATCCTTCCAACCCGGCCTCCCTTTTGCTCAGCAGTGCCTGGTTTGAAAGAGCCCTTCCATGGGTCTGCCGGAAGAGCTGTCAGGAAGGCTGCAATAATGATGTCACCCATGTTGAGAGAGAAGCAGTGACATTGAGGTGTGAAAGATTGGGAAGATTTCAGGGAAAAAAAGGGTGCAGGGTGATGGATGGGTGGGTTTGCCTAGCTGGAGAGGAAGGGGGTGGCATTCATGGGAGATGAACGGGGGGTGAGGGTGGAACAGCAGAAACAGAGGCTGATGTGGGGAAGCTCAGGGCCTGCTTCCCCTGGAAAGCAGATGACTCAGTGAGATGACGCAGAAGATCCAGGAAGGTGAGAGGGCTCAAATATCAAGCTGGAGAGTTTATTTATTTATTTATTTATTTATTTATTTATTTAGAGACTGAGTCTCCTGCTGTCACCCAGGCTGGAGTGCAGTGGCACCATCTCAGCTCACTGCAACCTCCGCCACCTGGGTTCAAGCGATTCTTGTGCCTCAGCCTCCCGAGTAGCTGGGATTATAGGCGCCCGCAACCACACCAGGTTAAATTTTGCATTTTTAGTAGAGATGGGGTTTTATCATGTTGGCCAGGCTGGTCTCGAACTCCTCACCTCGAGTGATCAGCACCCCCTTGGCCTCCCAAAGTGCTGGGATTCCAGGCATGAGCCACCGCGCCCAGCCGAGCTAGAGTTTAGACTTTGATCTTTTGTGCACAGACTGGGGGTTTTGAACAGGAAAGTGGCTGTCATCAATTTGGTGCCTCAGGAAGCTCAGCTGGCTGTTACAGATAGAGTCAGGAGGCCAGGGAAATCCAGCCCCACATGAGGTGATGGCGAGGGCATGGAAAGGGAGAACATAGGAGAGGGATGTGGCATGCTCTGAGCTATGGAACCAAACTTCAATTCCTTCCATGAACATTATGTTAATCTCCCTTCTCTCTGAATGTCAGGATCAAGTCATTACATTTCCAGGGACAAAGCTTCTTGTTTTAAGAACACACAAAGGTATTCTGGGTCCTAAAACTGCAATCACCAGATGAGTTCTTCCTGCCTGCTGCACAGACAAAATCAATTCACTGGAACTGTGGCATTGGAGTAGAGCAAGTTAACTGACACGAGGCTGACCCAGACAGGAGAACTAGAGTTATCACTCAAACCAGTCTCCCTGAAGGCTCAGAGGCCTAGGGTTTTAATGGACAATTTAGTGGGCAGGGGGCTAGGGAATGGGTACTGCTGATTAGTTGGGGATGAAATTACAAGGGTGTGGAAAGCAGTCCTCATGCACAGAGCCCGCCTCTGGGTGGGGCCACAGGACCAGTTGAGTCATGAGTCACGAGTCCAGGTAGGGTCAGTCTGGAAAACATCTCAAAAAAATCTAATCTTAGGTTCTACAATAGTGATGTTATCTATAGGAGCAATTAGGAAAGTCACAAGTCTTGTGACCTCTGGCCACGTGACCCCTGAGCATTACTGCTCATGTTTTAGGGATTATAGAAGTTATCCCTACATTCTAGCAGAGTTCAAGCCCCTCCCATATTCTAATGGCTTTTTTAAAAAATTTATTATTATTATTATTATTTTTTGAGACAGAATCTTGCTCTTTTGCTCAGGCTGTAGTACAGTGGCACAATCTCGGCTCACTGCAACCTCCAACTACCTAGTTCAAGCGATTCTCCTGCCTCAACCTACTTGAGTAGCTGGGATTACAGGCATGTGCCACCATGCCCAGCTAATTTTTGTATTTTCAGTACAGATGGGGTTTCACCATGTTGGCCAGGCTAGTCTTGAACTCCTGACCCCAAGTAATCTGCCCACCTCCCCCCCTTCCAAAGTGATGGGATTACAGATGTGAGCCACTGCACCTAGCCTCTTATGGCTTTTCATTAGTCTGACATAGGCTGTTGTCAGTCCCTGAGCGAGGAGGGAGTTAGTTTTAGGAAGGGACTATTATCATCTTTGCTTTCAAGTTAAACTATGAATTCTTCCCAAGGTTAACTTGACTTATACCCAGGAATGACCAAGAACAGCTTGGAAGTCAGAAGCAAGATGGAGTCAACTATGTCAGATTTCTCTTACTGTCATAATTTTCCAAAGGCAGTTTTAAAACTAAGAGAGAAAAAGCACTAGGTTATGTGACATTTGACCCAGGAATGAGAAACCTTCCCTAGGTCTCTCCACCGCATGGACTGGAGGAGCCTCAGCTTGTCTGGCTTCTGCTTTTTGCTGCTGCTTGAGCAATTTTCCACCATCCCTCCTGCCAACACCATAGATACACCCTCAATGGGGAAAAACCTTTTTAACTTGAAAATTTAAGCGCTCACTTAACGGAAGTCACAGAGGTGAATATGACCAGAATCAATAGAGGTATCTTTGCCTCTGATGTTTCCCACTCCAGGTTCAGAGAGACAAGTTGCGTCTCTCTTTGAGCTTGCCTGCAGGATCACTTGATTCATGCTTTTTCTCCCATAAATATTTATTGAACACCTACCATGTGCCAATTCTAGGGGCTGGGGATACAGCAGTGAACAAAACAACCAAGTCCCTGCCTCATGGAACCTATGTTCTAGTAGGAAATAGACAACAAACAAATGAGTTAAATGTGCAGCATATTAGACCATGATAATGAGATGGGATGGTTCCCTTGACCTTGACCCCCTTCGTGGGCAGGAACTGGAGTGGCTTGTTTCACTCAGCCCACCGCTGGCCACTCCTCATGAGAGGGAGCGTGCAAGCGAGTACAGGAACCGGAGGGAACGAATGCTGGAACCGGCCAGTCACTTCTCTCTGGTGAGAGCAGGCTCTGTGCATCCCTGCAGCAGTGTCCAAGCCCCTGCCCTCTCAGCACCCAGGTTCTTGTCCAGCATCCAGAAAGAATCAGGTCACAAGAACGGGTTCAAGGGTAGTGTATGCAGAGGATTTTATTGGGTGATGGCTCTCAGCAACATGGGAGCTGGAAAGGGGATTGTGTGGGAAGAAGGTGATCTTTCCCTGAAGCCGCACTGTCTGAAGTTAGCTGCATCTATCCATAGTCTCCAACGCTCAGTTGCTGCTTCTCTGCTCACTGCTCAGCCTCTTGTATCCCCAACTCCCAGCAGCCTGCATCCCCACCGGTCAGCCGCTTGTGTTGCTTTGCCAGCTGAAGTCTTTTTATGGGCACGGGAGAGGAGCAGGGCAGACCAAACAAGCAACATTTTCATGGAAAAAAAGGGGGTCAGCTGTTTTCACTTAGGGCCATGGCTCCAGGCTTAAGGGTGGAGTTTAGCTGGGCGCTCAGCCATTCTGTATCAATAAGTGCTACGGAGAGGAATGAAAAGAATGAGTATAAGGGGTGCTGGGGTTTGCCATATATGTTGGGTGTTCAGGAAGACCTCACCGAGCTGGGCAAATTGGAGCAGAGACCCAGTGAAAGTGAAGGAGCAATCTATGTGGCTATCTAGGAGAAGGCACCTGAAAATGCAGAGGCCTAAAGAAGAGATTGTGCTTGGTGTTAAAGGAACAGCAAAGAGCAAGGAATGAGACTAATGCAGAGTGAGCAAAGGATGTAGGAGATGAGGCCAAAGAGGAGGAGTCAGATCAGGACCCTGGAGGCCATCGTGAGGACTTTGAATTTTACACTGACTAAGATGGGAGCCAGTGTGGAGTTCTGAGCAAAGAATGACATGAGCTGGCTTCCACTTTAACAGCATCCTCTGGCTGTTGTGCTGAGACTAGTTAGGAGGCTGCTGTCATCATCCAGAGCAGAGATGATAGTGGCCTGAACCAGGATGGATTGTGTGTGTGTGTGTGTGTGTGTGTGTGTGTGTGTATATATGTGTGTGTGTGTGTGTGTGTGTGTGCTTTTTAGAGATAGGGTCTTGCTCTGTCACCCAGGCTGAAGTGCAGTGGTACAGTCATAACACATTACAGCCTTCAACTCCCGGGCTCAAGTGATCCTCCCACCTCAGCCTCCCAAATAGCAAGGAAAGGACTACAGGTATGTACAACCACACCTGGCTAATTTCTTTATTTTTTGTAGAGACGGGATCTCACTCTGTTGACCAGGCTGATCTCCAACTCCCGGCCTCAAGCGATCCTCCTGCCTCAGCCTCCTAAGTGCTGGAATTACAAGTGTGAGCTACCATGCCCAGTCCAGGATAATATTTCTTTATCAGTGGGGGAGGAGTGGAAGTTTGTAGGAGACAGGCCCAGGGCACCTGAAAAAGTCAGATTTTAGTCTTACAGGCTTTAGATGAATGGCCTCCAAAGCAGATGCTCACCCTCAAGCCTGACCCTTCTGGTCCAGTCTCAGCTCTGAAGGCCACTCTAAAAGAAGAGTGATTGCAATGTTTTGAGTAGGGACAGCTTCATTTGGAATAGACATCTAGTCTAGTAGAATAACTGCTTTGAGGCTGGGTATGGTGGCTTGCCCCTGAAATCCCAGCACTCTGTGAGGCTGAGGTGGGAGGTTTGCTTGAGCCCAGGATTTGAGACAAGCCTGGGCAACAAAATTAGCCAGGCATGGTGGCGTACACCTGGCGTGTAGTCCTTGCTACTTGGGAGGCTGACGTGGGAGGATCGCTTGAGCATGGGAAGTCGAGACTGCACTAAGCTATCGCACCACTGCACTCCAGCCTGGGCGACAGAGCAAGACCCTTTGGCTTTGATTGAAAGGGCCATTTGGGTGTTTTAAATGTTAAAAAAAAAATCCGTTTTTATTGCCATGCTACAGGATACAGTGTGAACTTCAATCCCTTATTGTTCCCTCAGTGTTTTATTAACTACGGATGTCAAGGTCAGACGCTGCTTATTGTCTCTCTTTACATCACTGGAAGGGACAATGCCTACTGCTGCCCCCTGGAGGCCACTAGGCCTAACAGCAGCTCAAGCTGTAACTTCTGAACTTCACCTATTTTCTGGGCACAAACCATTTGGTTCAGCCTGCAGAAGAGCGTGGAAGACATATGGGACTGGGGCCCACAATCTGGTTTCCCATTCTTGCTCTGCCATTATTTCACTGGATAACTCACTGTGGGAATTTAAGCAAGTCCCATGCTCATATATAAAGCTATTAAACTAGATGGTTTCTTATCTTCCCTTCTTGTGCTGACATTTAATTTTATTATTTTATTCACATTTATTACAGGTGTGAACCACCACGCTTGGCCATGTGACATTTTAAAGTGTTTATGAAATCTGTAAATTAAGTGGGACATGGCTTCCACATCATCCCAAATTCCCTTTATATTCCTGTACCCTTTTTTCTCTCTCTCCCCAAACATCCCTCCCAGCACCTAGACACTGTCCTCTGGCCATCTGGGAAACCACAGTGCAAGGCCCCTCCTGGGCCCATCTTCCCCTTAGCAGGGGCCCTAAACGTTAGACATTTTTTCTTCTTTTGCTCTTATCAAAAACGACTTTTCCTAGTTCCACCAACTAATGAGTGAGTGCTAATGAGGGATTATATTTTTCCACGTCTCAGTTTTCTTCTCTGTACAACAGGGCTAATAATATTTATCTTCAAGGTTATTATGAGGATTACAAATAGTTTATGCAAACAGCCTAAACTGTTGAATACACTGTCTGAGGTATTCAATAAATGGCAGACTGCTTTTATTTTATTCTATTATTTATTTATTTAAGACAGGGTCTCATTCTGTCACCCAGGCTGGAATGCAGTGGTATGATCATGGCTCACTGCAGCCCAGACCTCCCTGGGCACAGGTGATTCCCCCATCTCAGCCTCCCAACTAGCTAGGACCATAGGTGTGCACCACCACACCAGGCTAATATTTCTATTTTTTGTAGAGTTTCAGCATGGGGTTTCCCCATGTTGACCAGGCTGGTCTCGAATTCCTGTGCTCAAGCGATCTGCCCTCCTTGGCTTCCCAGAGTGTTGGAATTACAGGAATGAGCCACTGCGCCTGCCTTGGACACTGTTTTTAAATGGACACAGCTCAAAAAAAAATCATTTTCTCTTAATGTTTCTTAGAAACCTTTTTTAATTCCCTCCAAGTGGGGTTAAATGTTCTTCATCTGTGCTTAAAAGTCTATGGGAATGATTCACTGAGTGCTAGATACATGTCCATACCCGAATAGACCACTATGGTAGGCAGAATAATTCCCCCACCTCTCCAAAGATGTCCATGCCCTAGTCCCTGGAACCTGTGAATAGGTGATGTTACATGGCAAAGGGGGAAATGAAGGCTTAGGATGGAATTATGTTTGCTAATCAGCTGACTTTGAGATTGGGAGATTATCCTTCAGTATCCAATGTCCCCAATGTAATAACGAGATTCATTATCAATGAAAGAAGGAGGTAGAGAGTCAGAGATAGATGTGAAGACCGAGGCAGAGGTCTGAGTGACACCATTGCTGGCTTTGAAGATGGAAGAGAGCCAGGGCCAAGGGATGTCTGAAGCCTCCAGAAGCCAGAAAAGGCGAGAAAATGAATTCTCCTCTAGAGCCTCTGGAAAGGAGTGCAGCTCTATTGACACCTTGATTTTAGCCCAATAAGACCCATTTCAGACTTCTCCAGAACCGTAAGATAATTAAATTGTGCTGTTTTAAGCCACTAAGTTTGTGGTAATTTGTTACAGCCACCATTGGAAATAAATACAAACCCTCACATACATTTAATTGGCACAACAATCCAAGTAGTCAGTAGTATTGTCCCCACTTTACAGCTGGGGAAACTGCAGCTCAGAGATGTTAAGTAACTTGCCCAAAACTGCACAGCTAGTAAATAGCTACATCAGTTAAATTCCTTTGGTGCAAGTTTTGGAAAACAAACAAAAACACAAATTGGGCTGGGCTCGGTGGCTCACGCCTCTAATTTTAGCACTTTGGGAGGCTGAGGCAGAAGGATTGCTTGAGGCCAGGAGTCTGAGACCAGCCTGGATAACATAGAAAGACCCTGTCTTTACAAAAAATAAAAATTAGTGGGGTTTGGTAGCACATGCCTGTGGTCCCAGCTACTCGGGAGGCACAGGTGGGAGGATCGCTTGAGCCTGGGAAGTTAAAACTGCAGTGAGCCGAGATAGTGCCACTGCATTCCAGCCTTGGCAACAAAGCAAGACCAAACACTAGAACTTGTACCTTCTCTCTAACTATATTTTTGTACCCCTTAACCAACCTCCCTTCATTCACCCCTCAACCCCCTAACTCTCCCCCAGCCTCTGGTAACTGTCATTCTTCTCTCTCACTCCATAAGATCTGCTTTTTTGGCTCCCACGTGTGCATGAGAACATGTGATATTTGTATCTCTGTGCATGGCTCTGTGAAAGAAAAATAAAAACTCGGGACCCCCAATATAATGACCTCCAGTTTTATCCATGTTGCTACAAATGATAGGATTGTATTCTTTTATGGCTGAATAATACTCTATTGTGTATATATACTACATTATCTTTATCCATTCATCTGTTGATGGACACTTAGATTGATGCCATAATTTGGCTATTGTGAACAGTGCTGCAATAAACATAAGAGTGCAGAATCTCATTGATTGATATACTGATTTCCTTTCTCTTGGATATATACCCAGCAGTGGGATTGCTGGGTCATATGTTAGTTCTATTTTTAGTTTTGAGGAACCTCTATATTGTTCTCTATTGTGGTTATACTAACTTACATTCCCACCAACGGTGTACAAGAGGCCCCCTTTCTCCACATCCTCACCAGTTATTTTTTATCTTTTTGATGAGTCATTTTCACTTGAATGAGATGATATCTCATTATGGTTTTGATTTGCATTTCCCAGATGATTAGTGATATTGATCATTTTTCATATACTTGTTCTTTTGAGAAATGTTTATCAAACCATTTGCCCATTTTTTAATTGAATTATTTACTTTTTTGTTATTGAGTTGAGCCTCTTATATATCTGGTTATTAATTCCTTGTTAGTTGGATAGTTTGCAAATATTTTCTCCCATTCTGTAGGTTGTCCCTTCACTCTGTTGATCATTTCCTTTGCTGCACGGAAGCCTTGATATAATCTCACTTGTCTATTTTTGCTTTGGTTTCCTGTGCTTTTGAGGTCTTATCCAAAAAATCGTTCCCCAGACTAATGTTCTGAAGCATTTCTCCAATGTTTTCTTCTAGTAGTTTCATAGTTCAGGTCTTACATTTAGGTCTTTATTCAATTTTGATTTAATTTTCATATAAGATGAGAGACGAGGGTCTAGTTTTGTTCTTCTGCATATAGATATCCAGTTTTCACAGCATCGTTTATTGAATATATTCCCCAATGTATGTTCTTTTCCCAATGTATGTTCTTGGCACCTTTATGAAAAATCAGCTGGCTATAAATGTGTAGCCTTTGTCAAAGATGACTTGGCTATAAACCTGTGGGTTTACATCTATCTGGCTTCTCTATTTCGTTGTATTGGTCTATGCATCTATTTTAATGCCAGTACCATGCTGTTTGGGTTACTATAGCTTTGTAGTAATATTTTGCTTTGTTTGTTTGTTTGTTTGTTTGTTTGTTTGTTTTTAAGACAGAGTCTCGCTCTGTCGCCCAGGCTGGAGTGCAGTGGTGCTATCTCAGCTCACTTGCAAGCTCCACCTCCAGGATTCAAGTGGTTCTCCCACCTCAGCCTCCCGAGTAGCTGGGATTACAGGCACGCACCACCACGCCTGGCTAGTTTTTGTATTTTTAGTAGAAACAGGGTTTCACCATGTTGGCCAGGTTGGTCTCAAACTCCTGACCTCAGGTGGTCCACCCACCTCGGCCTTCCAAAGTGCCGGGATTACAGGCGTGAGCCACCGTGCCCAGCCTGTAATAATATCTTGAAGTCTGGTAGTGTGATGCCTCCAGCTTTGCTCAGGATAACTTTGGCTATTTGGGATCTTTTGTGATTCCATATGAATTTTAAGATTTTTTTTCTATTTCTGTGAAGAATGTCATTGATATTTTGATATGGAGAGATATTTAAACAAAACTACATTTGTTTTTTATTTATTTTTTTACTTAAAAAAAATTTTTTATATTTCTTTATACTTTTTTAAAACAAATAAACATGGGGTCTCATGATGTTGCCCAAGCTGCTCTCAAACTCCTGGCTCAAGCCTCGGCTCAGCCTAATTTGTTTTGTCTTTTGACACTATAAAATAAAATGAGTGTTCCAATGAGCTGAGCAGAGGAGGTTGGCTTTATGGGCAGAAAAGGGCTGAAGAAAGGTAGAAACGGAGAACGAAAAGCAGACTGGTTGTTTCAAAGTTACCTTCCTTGTAAGGTAGAAGCAGAAGGGACTTCCTTATCACACCAGCTAAAGCTGGCCTGTTTGGGGATTTGACTACTTCTCTTTCTTGATTTCTTCTAAGGTCAGGTAAACAATTTAATTTAGGCTTGGTGGCATGGAACTTCAGTGTGAGTGACTCCATTATGGTTTGGTCTGTTGGGCCTAGTGCAGGAGCTCAATTGAAACCAATGACCTCCTATACATTTTAACACCATAAAGGAAGTTCATTGGCTCACATAACTGAAGAGAATTCCAAAGGAAGTTCTTGTAGAGAACAGGTAAGGCTTGATTCAGAATCCGAAAGAATGACACCCGGGATCCAGAATTTCTCTCTCTTATCTGTGCCTTCCACCGAGAATGGCTTTATTCTCAGGTACCACACAGTGGAGGCCACACCTCCAAACTCACCCCTGTGGTGATAAAATGGCTGCCGCAGTTCCAGATGTCAGAACCTCACTCTCACAACTTGTTGAGGAAAAAAGAAAGCCTCCCTTTCTCAGAAGCCCCAACAAGTCTTGTTGTGAGTTGTTGCTTCTAATTAGGTTACATCCCCAATTTCTGATCTGAATACTGGATCCATGGTGGACCTATGGATGGGAATTGGGGAAGAGCTGAATTGCCCAGGGGAAGTTCAGAGTCATCTGAACAGGAGACACAGGAAATGACTATCAAATGTCCACAAAGATCTTGACCACCAAGTATCTGAGTTCAATTACTACTGCCTCTCAGTAACATCTTTTCTGACTCCTCAGACACATTACTACTGTCTGTTTCTCACTGTCCCAATTCTTCAAACTAAGGGACAACCCTTATATCCTGGAGCTAGCCTTATATCCTGTGCCCCCAGCCCTTACCACAGGGCCTGGCTAAGATCAGCTATCAGATACATGTGTGTTGTTCAATGGGACTGCTCTTTACTGGCAGGTGAGACATTCACAAAGCTGCTCAAGTTCCACCTTTCTCTAATTCTGTAAGGGAGCTGCTCTGTTACCCATGCAGCTGGCTAACGTTTCTGAGAAAATACAAGAACTTCATTTGGTACAAGGTGTGGCTTGTATTATATTGAAGCCAGTTTGAGTTGAATGTTTCTTTTAGTTATAGCTGAAAACAACCCGATACCATGCCTTCTAGGGGTGTTTTGAGGAATTTTTTTTTTTTTTTGGGACCGGGTCTCACTCTGTCACCCAGGCTGGAGTACAGTGGTGCGGAGATCTCAGCTCACTGCAACCTCTGCCTCCCACATTCAAGATATTGTCCCACCTCAGCCTCTCCAGTAGCTGGGACTACAGGTGTGTGCCACCATACCTAGTTAATTTTTGTATTTTTTTGTAGAGAGGGTTTCACCATGTTGACCAGGCTGGTCTTGAACTCCTGACCTCAGATGATCTCCCTGCCTTGGCCTCCCAAAGTGCTGGGATTACAGGTGAGCCACTGTGCTCATGAGATAATGTATGTAAAGTATTTAACAAGTTCAAGTTTTTTTTTTTTTCCTTTTTTGAGATGGAGTCCACGCTGTCACCCAGGTTGGAGTGCAGTGGTGCAATCTTGGCTCACTACAACCTCCACTTCCTGGGCTCAAGCAATCCTCCCAACTCAGCCTCCTGAGTAGCTGGGACCACAGGCATGCACCACCAGACCCAGCTAATTTTTTTGTATATTTGGTAGAGACAGGGTTTCACCATGTTGCCTGGGCTGATCTCCAACTCCTGGGCTCAGGAGATCCGCCGGCCTCGACCTCCCAAAGGTGTGAACCACTGCCCTCTGCCTTAACAAGGTTTAATAGGTGTTAACTATTATTACTTTTATTATCACTTGTACTAATGTTATCTATTTGTAAGCTTCTCAAGGGCCGGTCTCATCCTCCTCACTGTTCTGATATTAGTACATAATACTCAAATGGTGGTTGAACCAAACCAAAGTGTCCAGGCCACCACTTTACAAGAGTCAGGTTTCCATCGATGGGATTTTAAAATATAAGTCATATTTTCAAAATCAGTAGGATAGCTTGCTATTTACAGAATTCCTGTAGAAAATTATTTTTGAAAGATTAATCATTTCATAATTCAAATCACTTATGTCTCATTTGTCTGTTGCACAGGTTTGGAACTTCTTACATGCAGAATCAGGTTTCTTTCATTCATTTATTCATTCACTTATCAATTCATTTATACAACAAGACTTTCTGGAGCAATGGCCATATGCCAGGGCCTGTGCTAGGAGACAGGGAGAGAGAGTAAACACTTGGTGCTTGTGTTCAGGGAGTTCAGTTTAGTGAATGAACAGACAAACAAAGAATTACGGCATGGTGAGCTAAGTGCTGTGAGAGGGAGGCATGGGTGGCTTTGAGGGCAATAAAGAGGGAACCCAGGGTAGCGGTGGAGGGGAGTGCATAGGAGCAGAAAAAGCTTCAAAAAGAGGAGCTTCTGCTTCTGATTGACAACTAGAAGTTGGCTGATGAATGTGCAAAGGCTTGAAGGAGCATGAGGCTTATTTTCAGGGAAATCCAGGTGGTATTAGTTCTGTTTGTGTTCCATGTTAGTTAAGAATGGGACAAGAGGTAAGACTGGAGAGTAGGCGAGGATCAGGCCGCAAAAGGTCTCAAAGGCTGGGCTGGAAAGTTATGATTTCATCTTGAAGGTGGTCAGGGAGATTTTGAAGATTTTCAGCAAACATGATCAAATTTGCCTTTCAGAAAGAATATCCTGATGGGACTGGGTGCGGTGGCTCATGCCTGTAATCCCAGCACTTTGGGAGGCTGGGGTGGGGGAATCCCTTGAGGCCAGGAGTTGGAGACCAGCCTAGCCAACATGGCAAAACTCCGTCTCTACTAAAAATACGAAAACATTAGCCAGGCGTGGTGGCATGTGTCTGTAGTCCCGGCTACTTAGGAGGCTGAGGCAGGAGAATCGCTTGAACCCAGAAGGCGGAGTTTGCAGTGAGGTGAGATTGTGCCACTGCACTCCAGCCTGGGCAACAGAGTGAGACTCCATCTCAAAAAAACAAAAACAAAAACAAAAAAAGGAAGAATATCCTGGTGGGATTGTAAAGCGTGATTAGAGCAATGATGAGAGGGTTGGGGAGGCAAGCCTGAAACAGGGACACCACTTAGGAAATGACTCTTAGGCTGACCCATATAAAATCACCTTTTTAAAAATGATCAAATGCCCTCAATCTCCCTCCCAAAGCAATGGTCCAGATGAGAGTGATCGGAACCCAAACCAAGCCACCAGTAAAAGAGATAAACCAAGAGACATCAGGAGCTCTAATTTGATAGGACATCATAGTGTTCTTTGATGAGAGAGGCAAAGGAAAGGACTTACATCTGAAAGTGGAAACATAAAATCACAGTCTATAAAAATCATTCTTGTACCTAAAAAGTTTACTTCAACCAGTGAATTCTGCAGCTGAAGCCTGATAGATTCATTCAGGTCGGCATAGCCACACAGCAGAATTGGGGCAAGGCTGGGATTGAAACCCAGGACTCCTGACTGCTCTGCTGCACTGTCTTCATTGTACCTTGGGTCTTCCAAAAAGGTATTTGTATTCACTTCCTAGGCCTGCCGTCACAAACTACTCAAACTGGGAGACTTAAACAACAGAAATTTATTGCCTAACAGTTCTGGAGGCTGGAAGTCAGAAATGAAGGTGGTGGCAGGGTTGAATCCTTCTAGGAGTTGTGGGAAAAATTTGCTTCAGGCCTCTCTTCCTGGCTTGTAGACCTGTCAGCCCTATCTCCATCTTCATGATCCCACAGCGTTTCTCTCTGCGTGCTGACTTTCTTCACATGGGCTTTCCCCTGTGTGTCTATGTGCCTGTTTTCTCTTCTTAGGAGAACACCAGTCATTGGATTAGGACCAACCTTACTCCAGTATGATTTCGTCTTAACTAATTACATCGGCAATGACTTTATTTCCAAATAAGGTCACATACACAGGTATTAGGAATTAAGACTTCAACATATGAATTTTGTGGGGGCACAATTCAAACCATAACAACAGTACATTTGAAATTTATGTTTCCATGTCATTTTACTGATGGCAGTTCTGCATTTTCCCTTAGAAAACGGAATTAGGGTCCAAGGAATAAGGGTCTTTTCCATTTCCATATCTTGACACAGTTCCAAGGACAGTGTTCTGCTCTATAAGCCTGCATCAACATTCTTAATCACCTGCTGGCAACAGACAGGGATTTCGGTGAGCTTCTAAAAACTTTTAATATGTGGGCTGGGTGCGGTGGCTCACACCTGTAATCCCAGCACATTGGGAGTCTGAGGCGGGAGGATCACTTGTGGTCAGGAGTTCAAGACCAACCCAGCAAATATGGTGAAACCCTGTCTCTACAACAATAAAACAATTAGCCAGGCATGGTGGCACACACCTGCAAATCCAGCTACTTGGGAGGCTGAGGCAGGAGAATTGCTTGAACCCGGGAGGTGGATGGTGGAAGTGAGCTGAGTTCACACCACTGTACTCCAGCCTGGGCAACAGAGCAAGACTCCATCTCAAAAACAAACAAACAAACAAAACAACAACAACAACAAAACCTTTTAATGTGTGGTCTACTCTCATTGGTGAAGAGAAAAAACTCTTATCTGCATTCCTCTTGACTTGATAGGCAGAACATACAGTTACCTGCTTTGGATGAGCAATGGTTCCCTTTAATTTCATATGCCAAGGGCTGGCAGCCAACTGCTCTCCTCTTACCCACGATCAGGCTCAGCAGTGGCTACAAAGGTCAGCCACAGAATGGCAGGAGATCTTGTTTATCATGCTTTTGATTCTTGAAGATAAGACATTTATTTTGGAACTATCAATAACCAAACAGACTTTCTCTGTGTAGAACTAAAACATAGATTGAAAGAACAGAGCATCACTGAGGACTTAGCTACTAAGAGATCATACTGAGATTTAGAAAGGCCATGGGAGCCTCCAACTCACCCCCTGTAATAACTGAGACCATGTCTAACCACAGAGGTGTGGGTGGGTGAAAATATGGGCTCTAGAGTGTCATGGAGGCCAGCCACAGTGGCTCATGCCTGTAATCCCAGCATTTTGGGAGGCTGAGGTGGGAGGATCACTTGAGCCCAGGAGTTCAAGACCAGTCTTGACAGCATAGGGAGACCCCGTCTCTACAAAAAATTTAAAAGTTAGTCAGGTGTGGTGGCACATGCCTCTAGTCCCAGCTACTTGCAGGGCTGAGATGGGGGGATCGCTTGAGCCCAGGTAGTCAAGGCTGCAGTCAGCTGTGATTGTGTCACTGCACTCTAGCCTCAGTAACAGCAAGACCCTGTCTCAAAAGAAGAAAAAAAAATAGAGTCTCATGGACCTGGGCTTAAAACTCTGCTCTGATTTTAAGTTAAGTGATGGCTCCATTCCCAAAAAAAAAAAAAAAAAAAAAAAAAAGAGGAACTAAGTAAAGGCAGGTGCCTCCTGATATGATGCACCAAAAAGAACACAACATGACTTATGTAGCATACCTACCAAAAATGCATAATTAAATGTAATCATGAAGAAACAGTCAGGCTAGCCTAAATTAAAGGACATTCCACAATACAATGGGCCAATACTCTTTAAAAATGTCAATACCATAAGAGAAAATGAAACGCTAAGGAACTGTTCCAAATTAGAGAAAACTAAACAGATACGACATCTAAATCCAATGCTTTATCCTGGATAGCATTTTGGATTGGAGAAGAGTTTCTAGAAAGAACAATATTGGGACAATTGACAAAATTTAAATATGGATTGTAAACTGTGTCAATGTTTGAATATGGATTATTAATAACATTTGATGATTCAAGTTCATAAAATTTGGATATGAATTGTATTGATACAATTGATTGTGTTGTATCAATTACATTTCCTGAATTTGATCATTTTTAGTAGATACATGATAAAGTACTCAGGACTGAAGGGTCATAATCTCTAAAATTTACTCTGAAATGGTACCAAAAAAATGAGAATAAGAAATAGCCAGGTGCAGTGGCACACATCTGTAGCCCCAGCTACTTGGGAGGCTGAGGTAGGAGGATTGATTGAATCCAGGAGTTGGAGGCTACAGTGCACTATGATCTTGCTGTGAATACCTACTGCACTCCAGACCAGGCAACACAGTGAGACTGTGTCTCAAAAAAAGAAAAAGAATAAGAAATAATGAGGATCTTATCTCTGAAATAGCAGAGAGGGAGAGAGAGACAAGGCAAATGTGGCAAAATGTTAACAGTAAATAAATAAACCTAATTAAGGTATATATGAAGTTTTATTATAATTATCTTGCAATTCTTCTGTATTCTTGAATTTTGTTTTTCGAAATAAAATGTTTAATTTAAAAAGTAGAGATGGGCCAGGTGCAGTGGCTCATACCTGTAATCCCAGCACTTTGGGAGGCCAAGGTGGGCAGACAGCTTGAGTACAGAAGTCGAGACCAGCCTAAGGAACATAGGAAAACCCTGTCTCTACAAAAAATACCAAAATTAGCTGGGCATGGTGGCGTGCGCCTGTGGTCCCAGGAACTCAGGGGCTGAGGTGGGAGAATTACTTGAGCCCAGGAGATGGAGGTTGCAGTGAGTCGAGATCACCCCACTGCACTCCAACCTGGGCAACACAGTGAGACTCTCTCTCAAAAAAAAAAAAGGAGAGGTGAACCAGCCTGGACATTGCCCGAGACACTGATCTAAAAGGGTGCTAAAATCTCACTGGAAATGTAACTTGAAAAAAAATGTATAGTGAAAACATACCATAAGCTTCCATTTGCATAGCATTCAAAATAGGGTGTAGGGGATGAGGAAATGGCAGCCTAGGAGGAAAACAGCTGCGGTTATAAAACGGCAACAGGAAGGATCCTTGGAAATGTTCCATATCTTGACTGTAGTGATGGCCACACAAAGCCACACACGTGAACTAAATACACACGTGCATGTGCGCGCACACACACACACACACACACACACCCTACAAAGGAGTACATGTAGAACTGCCTAAATCTGAGTAAGGTGGAATGATTGTATGAATGTCAATTTGCTCGTTTTTATATTGTACTATGCTACATGGAGAAAGACTAGGTGAAGAGTATACGGGATCTTTATTACTTAGTACAACTACATGTAAATCTACAATTGTCACAAAATAAGAATGTTTAACAATAGGTAAATTTTATGATATTTAAACTAAATCTCAATAAAACTGTTAAAGCTGACTGAGATGGCATATGCCTGTAGTCCCAGCTACTTGGGAGGCTGAGGTGGGAGAATCCCTTGAACTCAGGAGTTTGAGATCGGTCCAGGCCAAATAAACAGACCTCTGTCTTAAAATAAATAAAATTTTCAAAAAGTAAATAAAACTGTTAAAAAAAAAAAAAAAGTAATGAGTCCAGCCACACGGGAGCATATCATGATTGTTCTAAGTTAGTGCTTCTCAGTGGAAGCGGGACACTGAGAAAATGGGTGTTTTTGTTTGTCACCATCATGGGGCACTTTTGGGATTCAATGAATGTTAGATTGCCTGCATTCCACACTATAGAATTACACAACAAAGAATCAAACAAGGGCCAGGCCCGGTGGCTCACGCCTGTAATCCCAGCACTTTGGGAAGCTGAGATGGGCGGATCACGAGGTCAGGAGTTCAAGACCAGCCTGGCCAACATGGTAAAACCCTGTCTCTACTAAAAATATAAAACTTAGCTGGGCATGATGGCACGTGCCTGTATTCCCAGCTACTCAGGAGGCTGAGGCAGGAGAATTGCTTGAACCGGGACCCGAGGGGCGGAGGTTGCAGTGAGCCAAGATCATGTCACTGCACTCCAGCCTGGGCTACAGAGCAAGACTCCGTCTCAAAAAAAAAAAGAATCAAACAAGACCCATACTGTCAGATATTCAAGTACATTAAACATACACACAAACATAAAAACAGTAACAACAAATTTGTTTATAATTATCTGAGCCTAGAGTTTAACCCCATATACAAGTAAAAACAAAAGTAATTTGTGTATGGTTTTAATATATACGGAATTTTCTAGGAATACAACTATTGCATAAAAAAAGCAAAGGTTTTTTTTTTTTGTTTTGAACTTTATCAAGAGTTATTCACCATTTCAGAAAATCACAATAGTGACAACACTTCCAATATTTAAGTCACTAACATATTTTCATTAGTCTTTAGAGGCCATTCATGATATATATGTACATTTTATACATATGTGCATTTACCATATATGCATTCATAATATATATTTATGCATGATATGTATGTATATATTGAATCCTTATTTTGCAATGTCAGACATAAAAAGTGTTGACCATATTCAGCTGAATATTATCTTTTTTTTTTTGAGACGAAGTCTTGCATTGTTGCCCAGGCTGGAGTTCAGTGGTGAAATCTCGGCTCACTGCAAGCTCCGCCTCCTGGGTTCACGCCATTCTCCTGCCTCAGCCTCCCGAGTAGCTGGGGCTACAGGCGCCTGCCACCACGCCCGGGTAATTTTTTGTACTTTTAGTAGAGACGGGGTTTCACCGTGTTAGCCAGGATGATCTCCCATCTCCTGACCTCGTGATCCGCCCGCCTCAGCCTCCCGAAGTGCTGGGATTACAGGCGTGAGCCACCGCCCCGGCCTTATCTTTTTTTGAGACAGGGTTTCATTCTGTCTCCCAGGTTGGAGTGCAGTGGCACAATCATAGCTCACTGTAATCTTGAATTTCTGGGCTCAAGTGATCCTCCTGCCTCTGTCTCACGGTAGCTGGTACTACAGGCATGCACCACTATGTCTGGCTAACTCTTTAAGTTTTTGTAGAGACAGGGTCTCACCATGTTGCCCAGGCTAGTCTCAAACTCCTAGCATCAAGCGATCCTGCAGCTTTGGCTTCCCAAAGTGCTGGGATTACAAGCTTGAGCTACCAACTGTGCCTGGCCCAGTCGAATATTATATGTCCTGTAAAACCAAACTCATTCGTTATAAATAGATACAAGCATCTGACTACTCAATTTTGTCATCTAATATAGACATGCCTGTGCAGCTACGTATTATAATACATATTATTTTCTAATAAATTACTTTCCTATTTTTCTCCTTTATATTACAGTTAGGTCATTAAGTAGATTATTTATCGTGTATGTAGATTATATTACCTATGAATTTCATGCTGGGATTGTAAAGGAGATGTTACAAAATATAGCAAGGTGAATAAAGGAAATATATTGGAGTTTGGGTTGACAGGGCTTGGATCAATGATTAAAGGGAGTGGATGAAGGAGTCAGGTATAATGTGTTGATTTCTGGCTTGGGCAACCAGGTGGATGGTGGCGCCATTCGCTAATACAGGCAATACAAAAGGAATAGTAGGTTTAAGGAGGGAAATGACGAGTTCAGTTTTGGAGATTTTTAGTTTGAGGTGCCTTGGGATGTGGAGGCATCCCATGGGTACTAGGATATACACCTCCGGGTTTAGGAGATAGGCTCAGGTCACAGGCAGACTGGGAAGCATCAACATATTAACTAATAACTGAAGTCAAAGGAAGTGTGAGATGGGCCAGGGAAAATGGACAGAGGGAGGAGGTACAAGGCCAGAGCCCTGGGACACATTTAATGTCCAATATATTTTTTTTTGAGACAGGGTCTTGCTGTGTTGCTCAGGCTGGAGTGCAGTGGTGCAATCATGGCTCACCACAGCCTCAATCTCCTGGGCCCAAGTGATCCTCCCACCTCAGCCTCCTGAGTAGCTGAGACTACAGGTGCATGCCACCACACTCAGCTAATTTTTAAATTTTTTTTGTAGAGATAGGGTCTCACTACGTTGCTGTGTTTGGTCTTGAACTTTTCAGCTCAAGCCATCCTCCCACTTTGGCCTCCTAAAGTGCTGGAATTACAGGCATGAGCTACTGTGCCCATCAAGTGCCCAGTACATTTAAAAGCTGGGCGGAGGAAGAGGTCTGCAGAGGAGCCTGAGATCAAGCACCCTTAGGAGAAGAAACAAAAGTAGAGTCTGAAGTCACAGAAGCTGATGGAAGAGTATTTTTCAACAATGGGAGAGAACCAGTCAAGATTGAGATATGTGAGATTAGAAAGTGGAGTTATAGCTGGCCTTGGCTAAAGGCATTTCTGGGAGTGGAAGCCAGACTGGAAGAGGATAAGAAGTGGGTGGGGGAGAGCCGAGTATGAGCGACTCTTTCTGGTAAGTTGCTGCGACAGGAGATAATGCTGGGTAGGTGGAGAACACAGGGACCGGAGGAGCTGAGGCGGAAGGATGGAGAGGCTTAAGCATGTGTTAACTGCCACTGGGAAGAAGTCGGCAATCACGGAAGCTACCGGAGGGTAAGAAAAAATTCATTCATTCAACAGTTGAGCGCCTCCCACGCGCCCGATCAGTATGGCCGCCCCCACTTGAAAACACGCGTGTGGGCCGCCCACGTCTGACAAGTTAATGCAAGGCTTTATAGTTAGGGGAAAGCGGTTCTCCTTGAGCTCTTTCTCCTAGCAGTTCCGATTCCGACCCTGACTCCAACAGACACCTTGCGGGAACGCAAACACCGCTCGAATTCATGACCCCAATAGAAAACTTAAGGCCGCAACTAAGTAACGGATCGCTGCGAAGGCCAAACTAGCCACGCCAACGCCCCCACTGGAGCCTCCCCAGCGCTCCGCCCCCGCTCGCGAGAACAGCGGCGACGGCGCGAGAAATCGCTTTCTGGTTAGCTCCGCCCCTTCCCTTTCTTTGTTTTCCTGTCCGACGATCTCGCGGGAGTTAGGCGACAAATCCCGCGAGCGCAGACCCGGGGCTGGCTCTGCTGCTCTCGCGATATTTGCGCGAGCCTGCTTCCTTCTTTCCTCCCTTGCCAGTCCGCCTGTCTTCCTCCCCGTCTTCCCTGCCCGGCCTCCCCCTTCTTCCCCCGCTGGCCCCCTCCCCGGAGGGATAATATGGTCTCCGGCGATGGACGCCCCAAAAGCAGGTCAGTTTCGGGCCTCCGAGCTGGGTCTGGCAGTTGGAAACGCGCGCTGCCTAGGCGCCGAATTCCTTGCTTTTCTCGCCTGGAGTCGCTCGGCAGGCGCCCAGGCCCTCGGGGCTCGGGTTGTGCTCCCCTCGGGGCCTGCCTGCTGGGCCGCCCTTTGAGCCTAGGCCGCGGAAGCTGGGGCTCCCGATCCCCACCCTCCTGCGCGACACCCGCAGGGCGGGCCACCCCACCGCTGGCCTTGACCCGCACCCCTCTCTCTCCGGTGGCCGCTGCCTGCTGCCAGCGGCTTCCTGGCCCCCGTCAGCAACACCAGGGGCAGGGAGAGGCCCACCGTCTTCTCCTGCCCGCCCCCCATTGGCGAGCGATGAAGGCGGGGGCCTGCGTCTCCGTGTTCGGGTCTCACGCAGCTAGATGTTGATTCCACGGTCCAGCCTAAGGCCCCTCAGTCTCTCTGTGCCTCTGGAAGCCGAATGAGGGGCAGTCAAGGTTGAACATTGGTCAGTCAGTTCTCCGACCATTTATTGCACCGCTGTCTCCTCCCCCGTCCACCTCCCTCTACAAAAAAAAAAAAAGAGAAAAAAATACTATTCATTCTGAAAATGGGCTGTGCTTATGTTTTCTCCTTTTGGATGAAAGCCTTAACAATGTTGAGGGTCCTGGCCACCCACCGCTATGAGTCTGCACAAAAGATCTGAAGGTTCTTTTCAACCTCAGGGCTGCCTCCCCGCCACTGCCCCCTAGAATGTTGGGAGCTGAGGCACGTTTAAATGAGACCTCTGGATCTTTGACTTAGTAGTTCAGCTTCAGTTCGTGCAAAACCAGAAGACTTGTCTCTTTCGGGTAGAATATGCTAATTTCCTAGAGATTCTGTTACTTTTATTTTCAGTACTAAGCCCTGGTAAGGACTTAACTGAGAAGTTTTTTTGTTTTGGTTTATTGAATGCTCTGTAAAAATCCGTCTTTTAGTTTTTTTTTTTAATCAGTCCCTCTAATGTTAATTGTGGAATTCACAAATTCCTGTCTCTGCAGTTTTCAAGACATGTCTTTCCAAAACGTCCCCGTGGATTATTTAAATCATTCTTATTGTCCCTTTCCAGGTATTCTTATCACATTTCAGGAGTGAATTATCTTACTAGTTTTTACTTGACAAATTATGGTTTAGAACTATGCTTTCCAGTGTGGTGGATACTAGCCCTGTGTGACTTTAAATTAATCAAAATTAAATAAATTAAAAATTCAGTTCCTCAGGCACGATAGCCACATTTCAGGTGCTCAATAGCCACACGTTGCTAATGGCTACTTTACTGGACAGCTCAAACATAGAATATTTTTACCATTGCAGAAAATTCTATTGGATAAAGCTAGTTTCCAGGTATTTTCAGCTGAATAAAATATTTTGTTGCTGCATTTAATGAAAATACAATTTTTTTTTCAGGATACGCCTTTGAGTACCTTATTGAAACATTAAATGACAGTTCACATAAGAAGTTCTTCGATGTATCTAAACTTGGCACCAAGTATGGTAATGTTGCTTTACATTTTCTTGGGTTTGTTTAGTCTCTAATAATGAAAATGCATTTGTCAAGCTGAGCTGAAGAAATTTTAAATGTATTTCCACCGTATTGTAACAGGTACACCTACACATACCTATACCATTTTAAAAACTCCTCCTGGGACAACTTCTGTTCAGGGAAGATGTAGGCCCACACCTTAACTTCTCATTTAAAAATCTAAGTTAATTAAGCACTAGTTTTTCCCCTCAAAGAAACCAATAATGCAGTTTTCAAACTTTTTTTTTTCTTGTTTTTGTGAAGACAGGGGTCTTGCTATGTTACCCAGGCTAGTTTTGAACCCCTGGGCCCAAATAATCCTCCCACCTCTGCCTCCCCAAGTTTTGGGATTACACATGTAAGCTACTGCGCCTGGCCTAATGTGATTTTTAGAAGAACCTGACTGACTGATGATAATTCTACACCAATTAAATGTATATTTTATTTTCTCTTTTCTTTTCTTTTTTTTTTTGAGACAGAGTCTTGCTCTGTTGCCCAGGCTAGAGCACAGTGTTGTGATCATAGCTCATACAGCCTTGAACTCCTGGGCTAAAGCAGTCCTGCCTCTGCCTCCCAAGTAACAAGGCCTACAGGTGTATGCCAACACATTTATATAAAAACATATTTTTATATTTTTTGTAGAGTTGGGGTCTTGCTGTGTTGCCCAGACTAGTCTCAGACTCCTGACCTTAAGTGATGCATCTGCCTCAGCCTCACAAAGTATTGGGATTGCAGGCCTGAGCCACTATGCCTGGCCTGTTTTACTTTGTCAAATGAACAGTGCCCACATCTATTCTTTTTGCCATCTGTTGAATAGGAATCACCAACAGGACCCATTGATTTGAATTTTTCTGAAGTATTGGGCATGGTTTGCCCCAACCTACACACCTGCAGTTTTGGCAGACATTCTCATTGACCTTATCAGGGTCAAACCTTTCTCTGTGGTCTCAGAAGAGTGAATGTGGGCGACCTATAGGGCATTGAATGGAAGTTTTGACTTTACTAACAGTTGAGTAACTTTCTCAATTGGGCCAATAGAGAGACCTCTTTAGAAGACTCATTATTCTTTGTGAACTTTTCCATGACAATGACATGAAAAGATAAATTGAATGCCACATCTGTTGCAGTCAGTTTTGGAAGGAGCTTTAATCTTGTTTTTTCTTGCATTATTTAATTAAGACGATTGTTCTTGTGATTTTTCTGTAGATTTTGAGGAATTTAAATATTCTTGACTGCTATGTGCAATATTTTTTGTGTATTGTGAAATACAGCTATTTTGGAGTATCTTAAAGAATCCCCATTTTAGAATTAGGCTGTCATTTAAAAATAAACAGTTTGCCAAAATGAGAGCAATATCCTTTACCTTGCATGTTTAGCTGCAGTGATTTGTGTTGATACGTTTGTTAAAGGAAGTTGGTCATTTTCTTAATGTATGTCTTTCACATTAATTTTATCCCTTCACTGATGGTGAGTTTGCATTAATTTTGAAAAGAAACAGCTAGATTGATCGTTTACAAGAATAGTCATTTTATTTCCCATTTACTTCTCCAAAATAATCTAGTGATACTGGCTTGGAAGTCTTTTAACCCAAATTTCATAGTTTAATAAATTAAAGGAGCACATAAGATGTTTTGAAAATTGAGTATAAATACTTTCTGTGTATAATCTGTAGAAATGTGCTTACTTGAAGGAAGATGACCTAAATTTCTCAAATTTAAGGAATCAGTAGGAAACTGTCAAAAACAACTGTAAAATGCATTGAAAGGGAATGATTGATAATCTGAAAGTTAAATTTTCCCTGGGAAATAAGTTGTCATGGGAATTTGTACATAACTGTACAGAGTACATGTGTACTTAACATAATTCCAGAATTACCAGTTTTTATAACCATGATAAATGTAATAATAGAATACCTGTGACTATAAATACTTTCAAAACAGAAAGTTGGTTTTTATGTGGGGTCAGTACCCTGGTTTTTATTTTATTTTATTTTATTTTATTTTACTTATTTTTTTGAGACAGGATCTTGCTCTGTCACCCAGGCTGGAGTGCAATGGTGTGATCTCAGCTCACTGCTGCCTCTGCCTCCTGAGTTCAAGCGATTCTCGTGCCTTAACCTCCCAAGTAGCTGGTACTATAGGCGTGCATCACCACACCCAGCTAGTTGTAGAGATGGTGGTTTTACCATGTTGGTCAGGGTGATCTCAAACTCCTGACCTCAAGTGATCCACCCACCTCAGCCTCTCAAAGTGCTGGGATTACAGGAGTGAGCCACTGCGCCCAGCCCCTCCTGCTTTTTTAATAGAGTGCTTATTATGAGAGGTTATTAAGTAATAATTACTTAAGTAATTTCCTAATAAGGAATAAAATTTGAAGAATTGACTTTGAAAGAAAGGAACAAGTTAGGTAGGAAGTATTTGGTTGTTTAACCTTAGAACAAAAAATCCTTATTGCATTTTTGAAAGGATCAGATTGAATTGCCTCCTAGACATATGCTTACAAGAAGACATTGCTTTGGTAGTCACCAAGGTACAGAGCCAGTCTTCTCCACCTCCATTCCACATTTTGATGCCTGCTAGGTTGAGAATGACTGTTGTAATGAGTAACGATTAATGAAGGGAATGGATTCTATCCCTCATAAATGTTACAGAGTAAAGATAGTTGAGAAACACTGTTCTAAGCTCCATGCTGACTATGTCAGGGATGCCTGCAGCTGCAAAGAACTGAAAACTTGCTGTCCAATGACTTTAAGAAATACGAGTTTATTTTTCTAACATAACGAAGTGTGGAGATTGGCAGACTGGGGCTGTGCAGCACCAATCTCCGCAAGGATCTAGGCTCGTCCTTTCTTCCCGTTCTGTTTTTATTCTTTTGGTTGCACCTCCAGGCATTATGTCCAAGTTAAATTTTCCCTGGGAAATAAGCTGTCATGGGAATTTGTACATAACTGTACAGAGTACATGTGTACTTAACATAATTCCAGAATTACCAGTTTTTATAACCATGATAAAAGCCCTCTCCAGGGGCTTTTGCCTCTTTGGCCAAAGTATCAGTGGCCACTCTTAGCTTCAAGAAGGCTGAAAGATGGAATAATCAAGGTCTTCTCTTACTCATGGGGGATATGTTCCAAGACCCTCAGTAGACACCGGAGACTATGGGTACTACCAAACCGTGTATGTACTGTTTGGTATATATTTTTTTCTATACATACATAGCTATGATAAAACTTAATTTATAAATGAGGCACAGTAGAGATTAATAATAACTAATAATAAAATAGAACAGTTATAACAATGTACTGTAATAAAAGTTATGTGAATATGGTCTTTCTCTTTCAAAGTATCTTATTGTGCTGTTCTGCAGGTAACTGAAACCACAGAAAGCCAAACCATAGATAAGATGGGGTACTGTATTTTACCTTTACATCTTTTACAATAGAGAAAGGAAAGGGAGAAGTGGTTGGGAGTGGGTGGTGAGTGAACCAGCCTAATCTATCTGCGTTACCAACCTGATGCCTTCTCTTATTCTGACTTTAGATAGAGTTCAACACAGATTATTTGATTTCTGCTTTTTTACTGCCATTTTATCCTTTTGCTTCCCAAATTTATACTCAGGGTATCTCTATGGAAGTGGGCACATCTTAGACATTGATTACATTTTGATCTTGTATGATTTTGCTTGTGGGGAATCTCCTTTGTTTTTTTATTTTTTGTGGGGTTTTTTTTGTTTTTTGTTTTATTTTGTTTTGTTTTTTTGAGACAGAGGCTCGCTCTGTTACCTAGGCTGGAGTGCAGTGGCATGATCTTGGTTCATTGCCACCTCCATCTCCAGGGTTCAAACGATTCTCGTGCCTCAGCCTCCCAAGTAGCTGGGACTACAGGTGTGTGCCACCACATCCGGCTGATTTTTTATTTTTAGTAGAGATGGAGTTTCGCCATATTAACAAGGCTGGTCTCAAACTCCTGACCTCAAGCAGTCCTCCTGCCTTGGCCTCCCAAAGTGCTGGGATTATAGGCGTGAACCACTGCACGCAGCCAGTTGTGGGGAATCTCTTTAATATTCTGGAGCTGGCTGTCTGGCACTCCCAATGTGCTGACTAGAAACATGTCAAAATCTAGGTAGTCTCAAAATGTAGATTTTGAGTAACTCTTTAAAAAAAAAAATTATAAAGATGGAGTTTTACTGTCAACCTGGCTGGAGTGCTCTGACATGATGATAGCTCACTGGAGCCTTGAACTCCTGAGCTCAGGAGATCCTCCCACCTCACCCTCTCAAGTAGCTGATTTGGGTGACTCTCTTAAGTAGATCTCTGAATTTGAAACTATTGCTATTTTTAAGGAGTGGAGAAATCAGTGGTGTCTCCATGTATGATGGAGGACAGTTAACATCAGAGAATTAGAATGAACAGCATAATGGAAACATGAATGACTATGTTGAATGAAGGGGAAGATGGTGGAGAGACTGGCCTGGCTGGAGTGAAAGGTAGTTTTGAGAGAGTACCTGTTACTGGGCAACAGGGCCTCTGGTGGTGTAAAGCCCCCAGGCACCCTTTATCTCAGGTCATCTTATTCACCCTTTCTTTTGTCCTTCCTGTCTGCTTGCCTTTTTAACCACAGTACTGCTTAGTCCTCCAGTAGAGCCGGGACTTAGTGTCCAAATCCTACCTTGCAGCCTTTGGAAGAAAATCCTGTATTTAATTTTTTAGGAGAGTTTTTATCATTTAGAAGAATCACAAAAAGACAAGAACATTGCAGATGGTACAGAAAGTCTCATTTTTATGTGTATACAAAAATATATGTAAATATGCTACTTTTAATAAAAATAAAGTATATGTTGTTTTGTAACCCTTTTTTTCACTTAATATATCATGAACATCTTTCCATGTCATTGAATACAGGTATCCCTTGCTATCTGAATCTACTTGGTTTCTGAGTCAGGGAGCTTGAGTTCAGGTAGAAAGGGATACCTGTACTTCTCTGTGGCTTCTAATAGCTGCACAATATTGCCTGTATGAATGCATTGTGGTTTAGTTAACAGACCTTTGAATATTGAGGCTGATAGTAACTTTTCTCTATTTATAAATAAACTTTGTATGTGCTAATACTTACATTTTTGTGCAAACTTATCATTATATAGAATTGTTGGATTGAAAGTATGTTATTTCCTCCACCCCATCACACGCTTTTATTTTTATACTTTCACTATTTACTGTTGGTTCCAGTCTTTATTTTTTTTTTTTTTTTTTTGAGACAGAGTCTTGCTGTGTTGCCCAGGCTGGAGTGCAGTGGCACAGTCTCAGTTCATTGCGTCCTCCAACTCCTGGGTTCAAGTGATTCTTCTGCCTCAGCCTCTGGAGTAGCTGGGATTACAGGCCCATGCCTTCACACCCTGCTGATTTTTGTATTTTTAGTAGAGACAGGGTTTCGCCATGCTGGCCAGGCTGGTCTCGGAACTCCTGGCCTCAGGTGATCCACCTGCCTTGGCCTCCCAAAGTGTTGAGATTACAGGCATGAACCACTGCACCCGGTCTGGTTCCAGTCTTTACCTTGGACTAAAAAGAACAAAAACTCACTCAAGTAAAAAATAGGTTGCAGTTTCCAGACATCCAAAGACAAAGGAAGAAAGCATAGTCAAGTTTCAGGGAACCAGAATTTCTAAGCCAGAGGCAGTGTTCTGTTTGTCACTTAAAGGCTGCCTGGTTTCCTTATTTTCTGTTTCTTTTTGAATATCCAGTCTTCCATCTCTACAGCCTACTTCACTTACTCATTTTTGTATAATGCCCAATATGGCCACTGCTGACCATTCTTGTATGTTATGACTGGATTACTAACCGGTTAAGAGTGTACCTCTAGGTGACTCTTTTACTTGTTTTGTTTTGTTTGTTTTGTTTTTTCCCTCAGGGTCTTGCTCTGTTGCCCAGGCTGGAGTGTAGTGGTTCGATCATGGCTCACTGCAGCCTGGACCTCCCGGGCTCAAGTGATCCTCTTTCCTCAGTCTCCCAAGTAGTTGGGACTACAAGCACATGCCATCATGCCTGGCTAAATTTTAAATGTTTTGTAGAGACAGGGTCTCCCTACATTGCCTAGGCTGGTCTTGAATCCTGGCTTCAAGTGATCCTTCTGCCTCAGCCTCCCAAAGTGCTGGGGTTACAGGTGTGATCCATTGTATCCAGCTCACCTGTTGTTTTAACCTATTTTGACTGCACTTGTCAGGAGTCTATTGCCGGTCTGGTGATCTTGCTGGTAGAGACACAAATCTGTTCATCTTGTCTTTTATGTGGACTCTTGAAAAGACTGGGTTGGGTAAGCAATGTAACAGTTTGCTTGTAATTTGTACACATAGTACATAACTTTCCAAGGATTACCTTTACCTAACATCATCCTACTAGTCCATGTATAGCCATGTGCTCACCAACCCTCCACATTTCAACTTTGTTTTTATTGCCAATTTCTATTCTAGATTAGGCCCTTTTGGTTCCAAGGAACAGACACTAGCTCGAGTGAAGAAGGATTTATTGTAATGATACAGCGCTCCCCAGGCCAATGAAATGTGGCTGTCTCTCAAGAAAATGGTGGTGGCCCAGAATTAAGGAAGTTGTTTATTATTTTCTCTTAGGAGCTTCAGATTTCTGCCCTGTTCCACTCTTCTGCTTCCTCCACTTCACTATAGACAAGCCTCCTCTGCCTGCTCACTTTGTACATGGCCTCAAATGGCAACCTCAGTCCCTAGCTTAGCTCTTAACACCTTTCCAGTTCAGTCTCTCTGTGTCCTGATTACACATTTCTGAGAGGTGAATCTAATTGCCCCAGTGTCTCCTTTCTCACAAGACTTTTGGTCATCAGCCTACCAGGGGATTGGCTTTTGCGTCGCTGCTGTAGCCAAGGAGGCCACAGGCCACCGAGAACTGTAGCAGTTTGGACAGGCACCATGAAGGACATCTGTTGTATAGTGTTAGCAAAGAATGCCAGTTTACATGCTTACCAGTGAATGAGAAGAATATGTGTTTCTGCACCTTCATCAATAGTAGATATTATTTTTCTTGTTGGCTCAATTTCTGTCAGTGAATGAAGAGAAGAAAAAAAACTTTCTTCTACATTAAATTGGGGGGTTTATTGTGAAGATTTGAAGGAAATAAGGAAATTGAGGGGATCTGAGTGCGTGGTCAGATCAGACTCTTTGTTCCCTTCAGTAGGCATGCATAGAACCCATGATTCTGGCTTAGCTGATTTTCCCTATTTCTGCTTTCCTTTCTTTTTCTTTTCTTTCTTTCTTTTTTTTTTTTTTTGAGACAGGATCTCTCTTTGTTACTCAAGCTGGGGTACAGTGATGCAGTCATAGTTCACTGCATCTTCAACCTCCTGGACTCAGGCAATCCTCCCATCTCAGCCTCCCACTACAAGAAGACACCACTACACCTGGCTAATTTTTTTTTTTTTTTTGAGACGGACTCTTGCTCTGTCACCCAGGCTGGAATGCAGTGGCACCGTCTCGGCTCACTGCAACCTCCGCCTACCAGGTTCAAGCAATTCTCCTGCCTCAGCCTCCTGAGTAGCTGGGATTACAGGTGCGTGCCACCATACCTGGCTGATTTTTGTATTTTTAGTAGAGATGGCATTTCACCATGTTGGCTAGGCTGGTCTCAAACTCCTGACCTCAGATGATCCACCTGCCTCGGCCTCCCAAAGTGCTGGGAGTACAGGCGTGAGCCACCACTCCCGCTCTGATTTTTTTTTTATCTTTTATAGAGACGGGAGTCTCCTGAACTCCTGACCTCAAGCAGTCTTCCTGCCTTGGCCTCCCAGTGTGCTAGGATTACAGGCGTGAGCCACCATGCCCGGCCCATTATTCTGCTTTTCTTTTTCTCTTGGTTCTTTTTTGTTTCCATCTGTTTTCTGCCTTCTCCCTAAGTCAAGTTCAAGGTATCACAGAACGAGGCTGAGGCAGCCTATTGGACATGACATTTGTGCTTGGCGAACTCCCTGTGCCACTGGCCAGACTGTAAATTGGTTGTCTGTTGGAAGGCTGGCTCCAGGTCCCAGCTATTCATGCCAGGATGGCAAGGCTACACAGAGCCCACCAGCAATTGGTATAGAAGGAACTTTTTAGAAAGAGGGCTGTGGTATAGGCATTCTGAGGACGTGCCAGTACAGGTGAAAAAACAAAATCTTATGCAGGAATCTGTTTTGTTTTCTGCTTCCTCAGACTCTCTCAATGGCAATGTATGTATGTATGTATGTATATATTTATTTATTTGAGACAGAGTCTTGCTCTGTCATCCCAGCTGGAGTGCAGTGGCATGATCTCAGCTCACTGTGACCTCTGTCTCCTAAGTTGAAGTGATTCTCGTGCCTCAGCCACCCAAGTAGCTGGGATTACAGGTGCACGCCACCACGCCCGGCTGATTTCTATATTTTTAGTAGAGATGCGGTTTCACCATGTTGGCCAGGCTGGTCTCGAGCTCCTGGCCTCATGTGATCTCCCTGCCTCAGCTTCCCAAAGTGCTGGGATTACAGCCGTGAGCCATCACGCCGGGCCCAATGGCAATATATTTTAAAAGAGAGAAAAAAAAGGTCAGAATTTATTTATTTATTTGAAGAAATAAGGTCTTGTTCTGTGGAGGTCAGACTTTGTTTATTGGAAATCAGCCCTATCCCGCCTGGTTCTGGTTAGAGACAGAAACACTTACTTGACTCTAGTCAGACATAGGCATGGGTTAGTCCTGTTGCCAGGCCTGATGGGATTACAGGGCCTTCTAGAACAGCTTCCTTATCTTTTCTCCAGGCCCCTAGCCTTCAGCAGGGTTAGCTTTACCCTGTAGCTATGCTGGCTGGTTTCTGCTCTGGTGTCCTAGCCCCCTTTCCCAGTCTGGACTCCAAAGATGGAATCTCTTTGAGGGCTTTTGGCAGGCCTAGAGAACCTGTGGCTTCAGAGTCTTTCCCCCTTCCTTCAGGCTGATGGGTTTCTCTGTTACATGTAGTTATCTAAAGCCTGCTTACTAGAGTACTAATATTCCCTATGGGTAATTTCTTCACTACTGCTTGAACTTGGAATTTTCCATTTCTGCAAATATCAAAACCCTTTTACTTCAGTGTGCTGCTTCATGATAAGCACGGAAGATAGTTTTAAATCTGTTGTGTACAGATAATACAGATAAGGTTAAAAATCTGAGTAATTTGCCTAAGGTCACAACATATCTTCTAGGTGAGGAAACTTAGTCTTAAACTCATATCTTCTGATTTCAAGACCAACGCCTTTTCTTTCCAATACCATTCTGTTTCCCGGTTTAGTAATGTCAGTAATAAAAAAAATTTTTTTAAGTATTTGTTGAGTATGTATTTACCGTATCCAGTTCTATAAGCTCTGTTATACACTTGGCCAAGGTCCCACAACTAATTACCGTTACCTACTAAGTGGTGGAACAGAAGCATGAACAAAAATCTTGATTCCAAAACCTATGCTTGTAAAAACCTGTTACAGCAGGGGTTGCAAGCTCATGTTTATAGGGATCAGAGAGGCAACGTAAACAAGTGAAATGTTCTGCTGGGAATTGTGTGGCAAACAGGAAGGCACATGTCCTATATAGAGAGGTAGGTGCTTACTAAGTTCCAGCAGAAGTACAAGGTTGGTATTGTAAAGTTTTCTGATTGAAAGACCTGTAGTTTTTTAAATGTTGGCAGTTAAATTTAAAATGTTAAAACTCTGCAGAACAAGCAAAACATGTCTGCAAGCCAGCAGACATGAAACAGAGTTTGTGACCTCTGTACTGAGAGATACACTGTGTTTTCTAATCTTTGCAGCAGCTATTTAGCCTTGAATAGTAGAATCTGCAGTCTTGGGAGCCTTGGTTTGCCTTTCATCGGATGCTTCCCGTATACAAATAGCAGACCTCAGCATTTTTTTTTCAGAGCCGAACCACCTATTGGATCTTCCACTAAGTAACTGATCAAAAGGATATTTATTGTTATCAGCTTATTTTAGAAGTGTGATGACACGAATTACTATACTAAACCAGTTTAAATTACCATCATCCCAGTTCCTCCATGGCGTTTTTAATTACCTGTCCTTAAAGGGTTAGCTTTATGGATTCATAGAATTCTAGAAATTCCTGATTAGAAGAGGCAGACGTAATCCAGTGCATTTTTTTTACTTGTTGCATGAGTCTCTAAACAATATGATTTAATTTATTGAGCTAATATTTATTGAGTACTTGTATATTTCTAGCAAATGAAAGATGGCTAAGATAGCATCTGTGCTAAAGAAAAGACACGGTTTAGTAATGGGGACATACATGGAAAGTATATGTGAAGTACAGTACTATGTTGTAGCAATTTGGGTCCAGTCAGGAGATAGAAACCACATAATAGGTTAAACAGAGGAAGCTTAATATACATAATTATTAACTATGGTAAGAGTAATTGTAATACAGGATAATTGTATATAATACTGTAGGGCTAAGGGAGAATACCCAAGGAAGGACAAACTTGGAAGAGGTTCAGAACTCACTGGAATAGGTGTGGGTTGGCCCACAGATAACAGAGAAGTATATTGGTTTTGGCCAGGTTGGAGCTGGTCTGGAGTTGCTGGGTAGGCAGTAGGCCACCCTCTGGAGTGCAGGCAGGGATCTGATGATCAGGAACTAGTGGTGTGGGCATGCGTTGGGAAAACAGATGCTGGTAGGGGGCAAGAGCCCTTCAGAGCTCATGGGCCATGTCGGGGCTTGTAGAAGGAGTGACAGCTCAATATATGACCCTCGAGGCAGCTTACAGATGTAGTCCACGTGCTGTCAGAGCAGCAGGCCTTCTTTACGGGGGTGCCTCAGTCCAGGTACTGGCACAGGCAGGATGCCTTCAGAGTGTACAGCTATGTAGGAACTCCAGCTCCTAAGTTGAGAGGGCTGTGGTGATATTAACAAATTTGTGTGTGTGTGTGTGTGTGTGTGTGTGTGTGTGTGTGTGTGTGTGTGTATTTTAATATACAATGTAATGGTGTCCACCTTTGGAAGTTCTGCATAACTTGATGAACTCTTATTTCTCAAAGACCAATAATGTAATGAGCAGACTGTAGAAGCTTATTTCATTCAAATCTTGCTCTGTTGCCCAGGCTGGAGTGCAGTGGCTCAATCTCGGCTCACTGCAACCTCCATCTCTTAGGTTCAAGCGATTCTCCTGCCTCAACCTCCCGAGTAGCTGGGATTACAGGCGCCCACCACCACACCTGGCTAATTTTTTGTATTTTTAGTAGTGATGGGATTTCACCATGTTGGCCAGGCTGGTCTCGAACTCCTGACCTCAGATGATCCACCCACCTCGGCCTCCCAAAGTGCTGGGATTACAGGTGTGAGCCACCGTGCTCAGCCTTCATTCACTTTTGAGAAACTTTTTGCCAAATGTACACATTTGAATAACCATAGTTTGTCAGTTCCTTCAAGTGAAAAACTGTTCTTTAAAAAAAAAAAAAGCTTAATTTTAGCTTGCAGCTCAATCATACAAGAGTTTTTCTGCAAGCAACTGATGTACTTTGTTTTCGAGTAGAAATATTGTATAAATATATTTCATTTTTGTCACACAGAATATTAAGACTTGACCTCAGCAGTTGAGATTTAATAAAATTAACAGTTTTTCTGCTTCTTAGGGACATTTTTAAGTGAAACTGGTATTTTGTGTGACAGTAAACAATACGAGTACTACAGGTTGAGTATCCCTAATCTGAAAATCTGAAATCTGAAACTTTTTGAGCACTGACGCTCAAAGGAAATGCTCATTGGAGCACTCTGGATTTTTTTCTTTTTTCTTTTTTTAAGATGGAGTTTCACTCTAGTCTCCCAGGCTGGAGTGCAATGGCACAATCTTGGCTCACTGCAACCTCTGCCTCTAGTTCAAGCGATTCTCCTGCCTCAGCCTTCCTAGTAGCTGGAACTACAGGTGTGAGCCACTGCGTCCAACAGGGTTTCACCATGTTGGTCAGGCTGGTCTCAAACTCCTGACCTTAGGTGATCCACTCGCCTCAACCTCCCAAAGTGCTAGGATTACAGGAGTGAGCCACCACACCTGGTGGATTTTGGATTTTTGGATTAGGGATACTCAACCTGTAGTACAATTTGGTGCCACTGCTTTGAGTCCTGCTAAGGCATCAGCAGTTTAGGACCACATTTCGAAAATCACAGTATAGGGTTGGGGGACCACCTAGGGAACCTAAGTGAGAGATGATGTACTGGTGGTTGGGACTAGATTTAATGGTGATATTGATAGAAGACAAAAAGATGTAGGAGAGAGGCATTGAGGAAAATGCCTCGATGTTTTGGCATAAACATCTGGAAGGATGGTGGTGCTATTTACTGTGCTAGGGAATGGAAGATGAGGTGATGATAAGGGGAAGGGGCAGAGGGGAAATCACTGAGTTCAAGTTTAGGTACTAGTGAAGTTGGGAACATACCAGTATTAAAGTAAACATGTTCACCTCCTGAATCGGGCATGTGGTTTTGGAGCTTAGAAGACAGACTTGGACTACAGAAAATATTTTGGAATTATTAGTGTAGATGTAGTGATAATTGAAGCCATAGGAGCAGTTGTACTCCCTGGAGGAAGCAGTATAGAGTAAGAAAAAAAGTGAGTCTCAATATGAACTCTGAGGAACTCCTACATTTAGATATCAGATAAAGGAGTAGAGGTTAACAAGGAAGATAGGCCTACCTAGAAGTGTTAAGAACTATAAAGGAGGCTTGGCATGGTGACCCACACCTGTAATCTCAGCACTTTGGGAGGCTGAGGCGGGAGGATCTCTTGAGCCCAGGAGTTCGAGACCAGCCTGGGCAACATAGTGAGACCCCCATTTCAATTTTAAAAAAATGAAAAAGAACTATAAAGGATCTAAAATTTTACCTTCCTTGGAAGTTAACAAATTAGCCTGACGTAGTTTCATGTATGTTGGCAGGAGGCACCCAACTCCTGGATCAGAGACAATGGACAGTTTATTACTCACAGCAAAGCATTATCCTTATTAACAGTATTTATGTTGGTTTCCCAAGCTCTAGTTTCTATAGGGTAATGTTGAAGAAGGCCAGGTAACACCTGCACACACAGGTGTTGTGTTACTTACAGAAAAGGAACTGTGGCTTAGGAAACCCAAGTCTTTTATAATGGGTAGTAAGCATGCCTGCTCTTTGCTCCAGAGCAAGACGCTATCGTGTATTTGAAAACTATTCACTATATAGACATATCTGAAAAAATAGTCTGGAACAAAGGTAGTCATTACCTCTGTTCACAAGTCTTGAAGAAATGTGAGATGGGAGACATGGAAAATTGTCTTCCAACAATATGTTAGAAGGAAAACTGGAGGATGGTGCTGTGGAATCCAGTAGAAAGAGTGTTTCAAAAAGGAGGTAATTATTAGCTCTTTTGAATATTGCTACAAGGCTGTTGGGATTCTAGCTAGACCTGCTTCATTCGTGTTTAAGGACAGAAATAATATTGATTAGGGCTAAGGTGAGTGGAAGGTAGAAAAGTGGGCACTTTTAGAGAATTTGAAGGAAGCAGTACTTTTGTTGTCAACTGGGGCTAGGAGCTGTTTAAATGTTGATGGGAAGAAACCAGTTGAATTGCAAACCAGTTTGCAAAAAAAGGAGAGAGGAAATGATTGATGACTCTTGAGTCCTAAAATGGTTAATGGAAATAGGATGCAAAACTCCTATAGAGAAGTTATCATTTAGTAGGAGGAAGTCCGCAGCTCCCTTAACTGGTGAAAGGGTGAATCCAGAGGCAGCAAGGCTTGTGGGTATAGTAGGAGGAAGTTGAGAGGTAGGAACTGTTAGTTTCTATTTATCAGTGAGGTAGGAAACGGGGCTAGGTCCTCTAGAAGATAAATAGAGATTAAATTTTAAGGAGAGTGGATGAAGATAAGAATTAATTGATGTGGAGTGTGGGAAAATAAGCAGATCAGAGAAACATTAGGATTTCGAATAGTGAGGACCTGATTGAGGTTATAATCATGTGTTTACATTAGTGCCAGTTTCTCTGCGTTGATGTTTTAGGAATTTTTTCCTCATTCTTCCTCCTCAACATAAAACTTAAAACCACAACAAATTACCATTCATACCTGTTAGAATGGGTACTGTATAAAAGACAGACAGTGACAAATGTTGGGGAGGATATGGAGAAATGGGAAACCTCATACACTGCTAGTGGGAATGTAAAATAGTGCAGCCACTTTGGGAAACAATTTGGCAGTTTGTTAAAAAGTTAAACATAAATTTACCACGTAGCCCAGCAATATCATTCCTAAGTATCTATCCAAGAAAAATGAAAACATTTATTACACAAAGATTTTCAAATGATCTTAGCAGCATTATTCATAGCCGAAAATTGAAACCAACTTAAATGTCCTGCAGTGGGTGAATGAATAGGCAAAACTTTGGTATACAATGGAATACTATTTGGCAGTAAAAAGAAATTGACTACAGATACTTGCTACAATGTGGATGAACTGTAAAAAGCAGGCTTAGTGAAAAAAATACAGGCATAAGAAACTTTATTTTATGATTTCATTCATATGAAATGCCCAGGAAAGGCATAGAGTAGATTGGTGGTTTCTTGGGTTAGAGAGGAGGGGGAGAGGGATTAACAGTAAATAGGCATGAGAGATCTGTTGGGATGATGAAAATGTTCTAAAACTGATTTATGATGTTGATTGTACAACTTGGTAAACTTACGTTACAAAAATCGCTAAATCATACACTTGGAAAGGATGAATTATAAGATATATACAATATGCCTTAATAAACTTAGGACTTGTTTTATTATTTATTTAGAGACAGGGTCTTACTCTGTCGCCCAGGCTGGAGTGCAGTGGCATGATCACGGCTCACTGCAGCCTTGACCTCCTGGGCTCAAGGGAGCCTCCCGCTTCAGCCTCGTTAGTAGTTAGGATCACAGGTGCACACCACTGTGCCTGATGAATTTTTTATTTTCTTGTAGAGATGATCTTGTTATGTTGCCCAGGTTGTCCGAATTCCTAGGGTCAAGTGATCCTCTTACCTTGGCCTCTCAAAGTGCTGGGATTACAGGCATGAGCCACTGTGCCCAGCCAGTAAAGTTAGTTTTAAAAAAGAGAGAATAGTTCTTAAGCAGGGAGGTGATGTGGAGTGGACCAGCTGCGGGGACGGGGTGAAAAAAGAACAGGATTGGTGTTTTCTTGGGCAAATGGGGTAAAAGAACAAAGAGGAAATAAATGTAGGGTTTGGGGAAGTGAGAGATTGAACCACATTGACCCTAACTGCCTAAGTAAGGAAAGCGTGGATAGGCTGGTGCCAACGAGTAAGGAGAAAGTCCCCACAGTATTGAAGAACAGATGTGGTAAGAGTGGGGATCAGAGAGGTTCTGAAGTTTAGGAAGCTTGCAAGATGGTATAGTTGGAGCACAAGAGCGTATGTAGAGGTGAGATGGGGAGAGTAGGGAGGAAGAAAGGAAATAAATGGGCCTTCCTGAACTTTATACCTGTTTGAAAGTGGGGACGTAGAATTAATATTGTTGAAAAAGCAAACCAAGGCTGGACATAGTGTCTCCTGCCTTTAATCCCAGCACTTTGGAAGGCCAAGGCTGGAGGATTGCTCGAGGCCAGAAGTTGGGAGACCATCCTGGGCAACATAGGAAAATCCCATCTCTATTGAAAAAAAAAAGAAAAAAAGAAAAAAACCAGAGCATATGTCCATTTTTCACATCTGCTAATTTACTCTCTATTGTTGTAACTCTTCTACTGGAATATCTACCTGTAGGTTTAATTTAAGGGTTAAATGGAATAATTTATATAAAGCACCTCTGCATCTGCCCCTTAGTCCTAAATAAACAACTGCAGATGATATTGTTGGAAAAGTTGAGGAAGAAAAGATATTTGTTATCTATTACTGCATAACAAACCAAAAGCAACAGTAAAGATTTATGACAGTCACAGTTTCTGTAGGTCAGGAATTTGCAGTGGCTTAGTCGATAGTCCTGGCCCAAGGCCTCACTCACATGGCTGACAGGCTGGCGCTCCCTGATGATGGAGAGGCTTCAGTTCTTTTCCATAAGGGCCTCTCCTCAGTGCTGCTCAATAGTCTCATAATAGGCTGCTGGCTTTTCACCGAGTAATCTAAGAGAGGAAGGTTGAAGCCAAAAGACTTTTATAGCCTAGCTTTGGAAGGCTCACACTGTCATCTCTGCCATACTCTAAATAGAGTCAGACAAGCAGAACTGATTTCAATACAGATTATATGAGAGCATGACTATCAGAAGGCAAGTATTATTGGTATCATCTTGGAGATTGGCTACCACAGGGAGAAATAAGAAATTTTGTTTTTGTTTTGAGAGACAGTGGTATTTTTATTCATTTGCATCTTCCCTGGCAGTAGGTCTCTAGTCATTACTTTTACAAATTTAGACAAATTTGAGATAGTTGGTGCTTCTTCATGACAAAATGTTGAGTTAACATTTGTGGGACCAGGTGTGGTGGCTGGCTTATGCCTGTAATCCCAGTACTTTGGGAGGCCAAGGTGGGAGGATTGCTTGAGCCCAGGAGTTCGAGAACTCCCTGGGCAACATGGCGAAACCCTATTGCTACAAAAAAAAATTACGAGAATCAGCTGGGCATAGTGGTATACGCCTGTAGCTCAGCTACTCTGGAGGCTGAGGTGGGAGGATTGCCCGAGCCCAGGAGGTCAAGGGTGTAGTGAGCCATGATCGTGCCACTGCACTCTAGCTTGGGTGACAGAGCAAGTCCTTATCTCAAAAAAAAAAAAAAATACATTTGTGATTAGTGTTTTCTCGTAGCACTCTTATTTGATAATTGCTTTTTAATTTTTAAATAAGAATTTTTTAATACCCTACTTGTTAAATTATAACTAAAACAGTAGCCTTTTGCCCTGTCCCCAATTTCTACTCCCCAGAGAATACTATTTTCAATTCTCTTGACTGTTTCTTCAGGTAATTTCCTCCATGTTGTTAAATTGCCCTTCTTATACTACTCTTTCTTGATTTTCCGATTTTAGACTTTAGTAGTTTTATACTGTGAAAATGGTAATTTGGCACTTCTTCTGTATATTTATGCAACTCATAATTTTTGGTGGAATCAATGTTGAGCATTTATGTTATGACTATAAATGTTCTTAGCCAATCCTTGTAGTAATGATGATTGTATCTCATCTCTCATATAACTTTGTATTTTTCCTGGGATTAATGGATTGCCTTTTTTTGTTTGCTTAGTACTCTATGTCCTTATGAATAAATCATCTCTGAACTCTCCAAAAGAACTAAATTCCTCCTCCTGGTATAATCATGTAATCTATTGGTTATTTTTTTTTCTTCTGTTGATGACATGCTATCTGGACTTCATCTTCTGGTCCATCTGGGACTGACTGCATTGTAGCTTGCACAGCCGTTGTTGTAGAAGAGTCTGCTCTCTCTTTGTTTTGGAGACTCTCCAAGATTTAGTGGTTTTCTGTTTTTTGTTTACTCTCTGATTTTATAGAGCATGTCCTCTACTAGATTCCTAAGAAAGGATGCCTGAGAAATACATTTTTGAGACCTTGCTTGATTAATTGATAGTTTTCCTGTGTGTAAATTTCTTGGTTGGAAATTATTTTCATTTGGAATTTTGAAGGCATTTTTCCATTGTCTGCTAGCTTTTAACACTCCTCATAAGAAATCTCAGGCAATCCTGATTTCCTAAACTTTGTTTCTGCTTGCCTTTCCCCCATGTAGACATTTTAAGTTTCAGCTGTCTCTCCTCTGTTCTGCTCAGTCCATTACCAGTCATCCATCTAGTAATACTTTGTTTTTCAAAATTTTTTTGGCTTTGCCTCACCCTGTCACTTTTTTTCTAGTGGGTTTATAACTTTTATAAACAAAAAATATTCCTGAGATTGTTTTTCCATAATAATTATCTAAATAAAAGGTTAATCTTGTATATAATTTCTGTGATAATATTTTCCTTCTCATTATCTCCAAATGTTCTATTAAAAAATTTTTCCCCTGTAATTCCCCTTGGTTTGGGGAATTTTTATGTTTCTGATTGAAGTAAGGATGGAAACTAATATTGGTTAAGTGCCAACTATTTATTGTAATTTGAGAGCTTTACATGTACCAACTAGATAGACGAGGTAAGGAAGATATTCTTCACATCTCTGTTAGGTAGCTGACAGTCCCATTTTAGTGAGAAAATGTATCAACTTAGTCACTTTCCAAAGGCCATACCTGTAGTAAATACAGGCTTTGAATCTAGTATTTCTGATAACTGTAATCCTTTTTCTACTTTACGTACAACTTTATGGGTCTTTGTGTGTGAAAAATTTCAAACATGAAAGTAGGGAAATACACAACACTAAGAGTGAACCCTAATGTAAACTGTGGGGTTGGGGTGATTGTGATATGCTGATACAGGTTCATCAATTGTAATAAATATACAGCTCTGGTGGGGAATGTTGATAGTGTGGGAGGCTACGTACTTGTGGGAGTAGGGAGTATATGGGAAATCTCTATACCTTCCTCTCAGTTTTGCTGTGAACCTACAACTTCTCTAAAAAAATTAAGCCTCTCATTATGTTGGCCAGGCTAGTCTCAAACTCCTCACCTCAAATGATCCTCCAGCCTCACCTCCCAAAGTGCTAGGATTACAAGCATGAGCCACCGTTCCCAGCTGGTCATCATGCTTTCTCAGAGGTGCCTTCACCACTCACCCCATCTAAGGGTGTTATTTTCTGTCCTGAACCCTACTCACCTCCCTCATAGCACCTGCCACTGTTTCTAAATATTTATTTGTTTACTTGTTTATGGTCTGAATCTCCTAGTAGGCGCCAGCTTCATAAGAGCAGATACCACGTCTCATTTGTTCACCTAGTGCTGGAACATACTAGAAAAGTCAATAAATATATTCGTTTTGTTGTTGTTTTTTGAGACAGGGTCTCACTCCCATTTCCCGGGCTGGAGTGCAGTGGCAAGATCAGCCTTGACTTCCCAGCCTCAGGTGGTTCTCCCATCTCAGCCTCCCAAGGAGCTGGAGCCACACTCTCACACCAGGATACCTGGCTAGTTTTTTGTATTTTTAGTAGAGATGGGGTTTCCACCATGTTGCCCAGGCTAGTCTTGATCTCCTGGACTCAAGCAGTCCCCCCTCCCAAAGTGCGGGGATTACAGGTATGTGCCACCATACCTGGCCAATAAGTATATTCTTAACGGGAAAAAAAAGTAGCGTGAGAATACTTTTGTAACCCACCATGTAATTGTCAGCCATTTATCAGCATTTTGCCAATCTTTTGTTTCATATATTTTACCATATTTTAACCTGTAAATATTCTTCCATATGCATAGCTGTTATATAAAAGGACTTTTAAAAAATCACAGTGCCATTGTTATACCTAACAAAATTAAGTAATCCCTTAATATAATTGGGTTTTTTGTTTGTTTGTTTTGGTTTTTTTGTTTTTTGTTTTTTGAGACAGAGTCTCGCTCTGTTGCCCAGGCTGGAGTGCAGTGGCAAGGTCTCCGCTCGGTGTAGAATCTGCCTCCTGGGTTCAAGCAATTCTTGAGCCTCAGCCTCCTGAATAGCTTGGATTACAGGTGCATGCCACCATGCCAGGCTAATTTTTGTATTTTTAGTAGAGACGGGGTTTCGCCATGTTGGTCAGGCTGGTCTGTAACTCTTGACCTCGAGTGATCCACCCACGTCGGCCTCCCAAAATTTTGCGATTACAGGCGGTGAGCCACCGTGCCTGGCCACTTAATAAAATCTAAAACTGAGTTCGTATTCAGATTTTTCTGGTTATCTCAAAAATACATTTTTACATTTGGTTTGTTGAAACAGTATCCAAATAGGGCCAACACAGTATTTGGTTGTTACGTCTTTTAAGTTTCTTGTAATCTGTAATAGTCTTCCTCTCCTCTTTTTTCGTGCCATTTTTATGTTGAAAAACCTAGGTTCTTTATCCTGTAGAATGTCCCACATTCTAGATTTGGCTGATAGCTTCTTTGGGGTTTCATTTTACTTTCCTACTAACCCCCATGTTTTCAGTTAACTGGAAGTTAGAGCTAGAGGTTTAATTAGATTCAGGTTTATTTTTGCAAGATAGTAAGTGTTCTTATTTTTGCGAGAACACTTCCTAGTTGGAACATGTAGTTTTTTGTTTCATCAGGAGGCAAATAATATCTCTAATATCTTACTTTTGGTGATGCTAAGTGGGTATGAGTGTTACCAGCTTGTAAGCGCGCCATCCACATAAATCCTAATGATTTTAGCACCCATTTGTGACCATTATCTAGATCCATTATTTCATTAGGTGTTGCACATTGGTGATCTTTCAGATTACATCGTTTCTTCCACATTTACTAGCTGTAATTCTTCTATAACAAAGTACTTTTGTCTATTTGGTTACCTGAAAGGAGGAAAGATAATATTAACTATTGATTTTCCCCCTTTATTTGTCAGTTTTCAGAGTAATGAGTTGATGCCCTAGCAACTCTCATTGGTGATCAATGAAAGGTTTTTTAAGAGTCATTATGAACTAAGGGCTACTTATATATTTGATGTATTTTGGTGAATTATAGTTATTACTCATTTTGATGCTCAGATTGACCCGTTAGTGTCCCCATTAGTCTTTGATAACTTCTTTGGTTTCGGACACAAGATATCCAGGCTCATTTTGTACAAATCCTTCTCCAGATTAGAATCAGTCATTTCTCTGAAAAACTGTTCTGTTGTGTGTGTTTAGGAAATAGTTTTTAGAAACAACAAACAGTTGTTAAGGGTTTGTTACTGTTGGGTTGTTATTCTAGGCATTTTCAGTGACAGAGCTAGAAAATACCTAATTTTTAGGAAGAGAAAAATAAATCATGAGTTCGTATCCATGTTTATAATTGAAATGTAAGGACTTAACTTGGCTACTGTGATTTTTTTTTCCAGATTTTAAAAATAAGCTTCATTTTAAAAAAAATTAACGTGCGCTATTGGAAACTGAAAAACACAAGAAATGAGGAACAGAGTCATCCACAATCATAAGCAGTTTGACATGCCCTTCTAGGTCTTGTGTGTGTATATACATAACATCCATTTTTATGTGATTGAGATCATACAGTATGTATCATGCTTTTTCACATATCATGAACATTTATTAGTTCAGAACCCCAAAGCTACCTTCTGCCGTTCAGCTGCCAACCTATTGAATGAGTCCTGATACACCCTACCTAGGTGGTTTAACAGTTCCATGTTCAAGATGCGTCTTTTCCATCAATTATACCAAGATATTTACAAATTGGCTAACTCACTATCTCTGCTTTTTATCATACATTGTCACCTCAGGACATCTATAAAGCTTAGATGTTGCAAAATAAAGATTGAACTTTGTTCACAGTAAACAGATGAGTTACCAAAAATGCACATAGAGACCTATGGTTAAAATCTAAAACCTGTCCTCTGGATATGGAGACACTAGTAAAGAGCCTTACCCTTCACCCCTTTTCCCTCTTCTATCATTTCAGTGACTAAGTACATTACTGCATCTAGCTCTTAGAAGTAGGTTAACAAATACCACTCCCAGAAGACAGGCCTTCCTAAAAAAAAGGATGTTTAAAAACGGATTATTTTACTGCCTCTACTTTTAACATACTTTGAGCCTTAGGAGTTGTTTATCCTTTACACACAACAGTATTAACTAAATTACATATATAGAACAATGGTTAGACAATCTGAACTAATGTAACTCACAGGCACAGAAGTCTTCTCTCTGCATACTTCCTCCTCCTCGCCCCCCTCCACCTCACCCAGTGAGCAGGAAATGCAAACGCTCCTGTGAAATAACAAAAAAATACTTAGTGTTACTTTAGCTCTCATTAGCTACTCTGATTTTATACTTCTGTGCTCTTGAAACCATAGTAACAAAAAGTACTTTTTTGCTTGCTGCTTGTTACACCAGTCACAATCTCTGAATAGCAGCACTAATGACTGAATATAGTTTTCTTTCTTTGTGATACCTTTTTGTACCAAAAAGGTACTCCCAATAAGGAAGTACAGTGGAAATACCGTGTGAGATATATGCTTAGTTTTTTTGTTTATCCTTTCGTTGTTTCTTTTTGTTAAAATATGCATGCTAATATATTTTTAAAATTATATTTCTCATAATACACATTTGATGATCTTATGTTTATTTTAAAATAATATATTATGGATATGTTTTTAAACTCTCTTTCTTACAGGAAAGTTAGCATACTATAAACACTGTTCTGCCCTGCTTTTTCTCTTAATGATATATATTCTGGAGCTCACTGTTTATCAGCATGTAACTCTTCACTCCTTTAAACAGCTGCATGGTAATCCATTGTGTGGATTACAGTGATTTATTCAACTAACCCCATATTAATTCAGTCTTCTCTTTAAATCCTAAGGAAACACTTTTGTGTGGCACAATCTGGTGTGAGAATTTAATATGATTGAAAATTTTAAAATATTGAAATCACTTTCTCAATTGTGTCCTTGAAGTAATTAAGAGTGAATCAAAGTTTTCGTGAAATGAATTTTACTCACTCAGGCATTCCAATTTACTTTTAAACTTTAATCATTTTTGATGGAAAATTTTAAATTTATTACAGACATTTATACAGTTTAATCATTTTCTTTTTGCCATACCAGGGGATGTCTGCATTATTGAATTGAATTCTGATATTCTGTGCTTTTTTTTAGTTTTTCTGTGAATTCCTTGAATATGAAGTATTTGTCATAGTTGCAGTATGATATTCCTAAATTAATGCAGCTCTTGTATGAAGGTTTTTATCTCTGCTTTTTTCAAGGCTTTGAGGTTATGTACAGGAAAGTCAGTTACAAAACACCTGATGTTAACACGAATGGTGTTACACTCTAGTTTGTCAGACTAAAAATGAATTGTTTAAATTGAGAAAACAGTGCATTTTTGTCTTTGTCTAACTTTTTGCTATGGCATTTTAAAAATAATATATAGGTATGACTGTTTGCTTATTAATAGTAATATTTTCTTGAATCAGATGTTCTGCCTTACTCAATACGGGTCTTGTTGGAAGCTGCTGTACGAAATTGTGATGGCTTTTTAATGAAGAAGGAAGATGTTATGAACATTTTAGACTGGAAAACCAAACAAAGCAATGTTGAAGTGCCCTTTTTCCCTGCCCGTGTTCTTCTTCAAGATTTTACGTGAGTAATGGGTTTATTTTTTGTGAATGAACTCTTAGAGTGTGTTTCCTTTTTAAAATACAGACTCTTGGGTAGGTGTGGTTGTTCATACCTCTAATCCCAGTACTTTGGGAGGCCAAGGCAGGAAGATCACTTGAGCCTGGGAGTTTGCAGTCAGTCTGGGCAACATAGTGAGACGCTGTCTGTACAAAAAAATTTTTTTAATTAGCCGAATGTAATGGTGCATGCCTGTAGTCCCAGCTACTCTGGAGGCTGAGGTGGGAGGATTACTTAAGCCCAGGAGGTTGAGGCTGCAGTGAGCTGTGATCACACCACTGCACTCCAGCCTGGGTGACAATGCAAGACCCTGTCTCTAAAAATAAAAAATAAAATAAAAAATCAGACTTCCTAATGGATGGCTCTGTGTTTTTTTGTTTTGTTTTGTTTTTGTTTGTTTTTTTAAGGTTAGTTTATAAACTTAAAAATTTTGCCCTTTCTAAACTGAAGCAATTCATTAAAAATTAGGCACTGTTTTGTACCATTTATTCAAAAACTGCTTTTGTTTAACTACCTTCTTATGATCTCTCAATAGGTTTCTCAAACTTAACATATTGAAAACTTGATTTTATTTTGAGGTAGTCTCACTCTGTCACCTAGGCGAGAGTGCAGTAATGCAGTCATAGTTCACTGCAGCCTCAACCTCCTGGGCTCAAGCGATCCTCCTGCCTCTGCCTCCCAAAGCTCTGGGATTATAGGCATGAGCCACCGTACCCAGCCATCAAAACTTGAGTTTTTGATTGTCTATCTCAACTCACCTATTTCTTTCTAAGTCTTTTCTGTTATAGTAAATGGCACCATACACTCCCATTTGTTTAGGCTTCAAATCTAGGAGTTAGCCTTGATTTTTCTCTTTCTTTAATACCCTCTAACCCAGTCTATCAGCAAGCTCTGTCAGTGCTACCTTTTAAATATATCTTGTGTCCAATTATTTCTTTCCATCTCTATCACTGTCATTGTGGTTCTAGTCCCATTCTCTCTTAACCTGGACTATAACTGCAATAGTCTCTTAACTGGTATCCTTGCTGTCACACTTGCAATCAATAGTCTGTTCTTTACACAGTAGATGGAGTGACTTGGTTACAAATGTTAAGTCGTATTATCCCTCCATATACCAGTTGGCTTCCATCACACTTAAAATCCAGAGCCTTTACCATACTCTGAAAGATTTTGCCTGATCTAGGTGTCCAAGGATTATTTATTGGAAGAGTTAACCTTGAGCTGAGTTTTGAAAGAGGCGTAGAGGTTAGCTGGAACATCCTCTTCACCCACCCACTCAAATCTGGTTTGTGTGCCACAGCTCTTTGTACCCTATGTATGCTGCTATTATGGTACTTACGATACATAGCCGCATAAGAAATAAATGATATTTCTTACACCATTTATTCAGAAACTGCTTTTCTTAACTACCTGCTTATGATTTCCACATAACCAATAGGTTTCTCAAACTTAACATGTTGAAAACTTGATCTTATTTTGAGATACAGTCACACTCTGTCACCTAGGCTGGAGTGTAGTGATGTGATCATAGTTCACTGCAGCATCGACCTCCTGGGCTCAAGCTGTTATTGTATGCAGCTATTATAGTACTTACGATACTATTCTTTAATCATTATCTTCCCTAAAATTTTTTTGAGAGCCAGAACTATGTCTTATTTGGCCTTGTACCATTGGTGTCTAGCACACTGAAGGCATTTGATAAATGCTTGTTGTATAGTTGGCTGGATAGATGGGTGGATGAATGTAAAATGGCAAAAGCTACTGTGGATAGCTTTGGGGCAACACGAAGGCACTAGGGGGAAGGGGCTGGAACTAGGGAAAGGGGAAGGTGCATCAAAAAAATACATGGCAAGAGTTTCACAGGCATTTTCCCTGAAGTTCGCTTATGCCTCAAAAATTATCTCTTATTATTTTTGGCATATTTGCCCAAGTACTTCAGTTCTCAGATAATGTTTAATGTTAATTCTTATTAAACAGGATACTCCTAACTTATAAAGTACATTATGAAAAATGAATGTAAACTAGACAGGGATACTTTTTAAAATATGAAAATGAAAAAGTTTATCATTTATTAAGCATGTATAAAAAACAATTTGGACTATAATTTGACCATTCTTTATTTTTTAGTGGAATACCAGCAATGGTGGATTTTGCTGCTATGAGGGAGGCAGTGAAAACTCTTGGAGGTGATCCTGAGAAAGTCCATCCTGCTTGTCCGACAGATCTTACAGTTGACCATTCTTTACAAATTGACTTCAGTAAATGGTACTTCAATGCAGATATTTATAGACAGCCATGCAAGTTAATTGGCTGGAAATGTGTCATGTAGAGGAAAAGGAATAGAGATAATTTATGGCAGAGAAAAGTATGCTAAATTTAGTATTGGCTAGTATATAAAAGCTAAAACTGGTGAAAAGTTTATGGAGTGGTGGGGTTTTTTTCATGTTCTTGTATTTCTGCTGCCGTTTTTGATAGAAATGAATAAGCCTAGGACCTGCTTTTTGGAGTGAACCTCTGTATTCAGTCTTTGTTTCCTTTTTTGTTTTTTAACCTACTTGTCTTTCAGAAAGAATCGAAAGATGTGAGTCATGAATGTTTTTAATTATTTGGTGATTAAAAACATTGAACTCACTAAAGCTCTATTTTCCTTCCTCTGAAATAAGTTTCTTGTATTTATAAGGCCCCTTTGACCAAGACCAAACTAGAGAAGACATATTTCTGTTGCCATAAAGTAACTTTTTAAAAACGTTCCCTGGAGTAGTAGAATAAGACTGCAATTTATTATAGCCCATGAGAGAGGTTTTGCCCTCGAGATAAACTGTAGCTCTAAATTTCTTTTAAGTTGTTAGGGGGAAAAAATCTATTTCAGTACTTGCTAAAAGTTATTTAAATTAGTAGAGTATTTGAAAGTGATTTTACTGGACGCTTAGAATTCTGTTTTCATTTCTGTAAATTTAAATGACCTGTTTCTTTTTTTATATATATATAATCTGAGATTTGCCTTTGAAACCTGAGTTAAATGATACATTAGCCTTTAAACATCATTCAGTTACTTCCAGATAGCGTTGCTAATGTGCGTTTTTTTTTAAGAGCTAAATTTGTGTCCCTTTTAAATGGCTTTATTTTGTTTTCTTTTTGGAATGACAGTGCAATACAGAATGCACCAAATCCTGGAGGTGGTGACCTGCAGAAAGCAGGAAAGCTCTCTCCACTTAAAGTGCAGCCTAAGAAGCTTCCCTGCAGAGGCCAGACTACCTGCCGAGGATCTTGTGATTCTGGAGAACTAGGCCGAAACTCAGGAACATTTTCTTCGCAGATTGAGAATACACCCATCCTGTGTCCTTTTCATTTGCAACCAGTGCCTGAGTATGAGATTGTTTTTCTTAAAGTTTATTAATACCAGGTTATTTTCCAGTTAAGAAAATCAAATTTATTCTCTTCCCACCCAATTACTATTATGTTACCTTCACACTTAAGTACTGAATTGAATTTTTATATGTATTTCCTGTTATACTAAAAGAAGTAAATTTAGTGAAAATGGTGATCTCTAAGTACCATTCTCTCTTACCATTACTAAGAAAGCAAACTTTTCTTAAGATTTATCTGTAAATAGAATTCATCTTTTTGACGACTGTAAGCAGAAAAATGGGATCTCATTTTAAACTAAAATTTTTATTTTAGTATATTTGTACCATTCATATACTCGTTAGTCATTCATATTTCTTATGTTAATTCCCTGTATATATTTTTAACATTTTTTTCCTACTAGGGGGTTTCTTATCTTTTCCTATTGCATTAAGAGCTCTATGTTGGCTGGGCGTAGTGGCTCATGACTGTAATCCTAGCACTTTGGGAGGCCAGAGCAGGTGGATCACTTGAGCTCAGGAGTTTGAGACCAGCCTGGGCAGCACTGGTGAAACCCTGTGTCTACAAAAAATTACCCGGGTGTGGTGTCGCGCCCCTGTGGTCCCAGCTAGTCAGGAGGCTGAGGCAGGAGAATCTCTTGAACCCAGGAGGGGAGGTTGCAGTGAGCCAAGATCATGCCACTGCACTCCAGCCTGGGTGTGACGGAGTGAGACTGTCGCAAAAAAAAAAAAAAAAAGAGCCGTATGTTAACGATAAAATTTTTGTTTTTTATGTTTCAAATCTAGTAAGTCCTTCTAAATAAGTGATTTCCTATATGGTAACATGGAAAGTAGTAAACATGCCTAGAAAAGAATTCTATTCCTAGGATTTGGCTAGATTTCCTAATGTGTAATTTTTTTAAATAAGAAAAAGAGTTCTATGGCCAGGCGCGGTGGCGCATGCCTGGAATTCCAGCACTTTGGGAGGCCGGGGCAGGCAGATCACCTGAGGTCAGGAGTTCGAGGCCAGCCTGGCAAACATGGCGAAACCCCATCTCTACTAAAAATACAAAATTAGCCAGGCATGGTGGCAGGAACCTGTAATCCCAGATACTTGGGTGGCTGAGGCATGAGAATCGCTTGTACCAGGAGGCAGGGATCACAGTGAGCCGAGATCACGCCACTGCACTCCAGCCTGGGTGACAGAGCAAGACTCTGTCTCAGAAAAAAAAAAAGTCATACAGCTTTTTAAAATATGTACTATAAAGTTTCCAAACTTTTAAAATTTATTTATTTATTTTTAGAGACAAGGTCTCACTATGTTGCCCATGCTGGTCTCAAACTCTTAGGCTCAAGCGATCTGTCTGCCTTGACCTTCAAAAGTTGGTTTTTTTTGTTTTGTTTTGTTTTGAGACAGAGTCTCACTCTATTGCCTGGGCTGAAGTGCAGTGTCATAAGCATGGCTCACTGCAGTCTCGATCTCTTGGACTCAGGTGATCCTCCCACCTCAGCTTCCCAAGTAGCTGGAACTTCAGGCATGCACCACCATGCCTGGCTGATTTTTTCTGTATACAGGGGGTGTCACTGTGTTGCCCAGACTGGTCTCGAACTCCTGGCCTCAAGTGATGCTTCCACCTTGGCTGCCCAAAGTGCTGGGATTATAAGCATGAGCTACTGTGCCCAGCCATATTTTTATTTTTAAGAGAGTTATGTGAATTGTTTTTGTCTTAGTTTAAATAATTCATGTAAAATATAACAATTTATCCCATTGTTAGTAAACTGTCTTTTTTTTTGAGATGGAGGGTCTCTCTGTCACCCAGGCTGAGGTGCCGTGGCACCATCTGTAGCCCACTGCAGCCTCCAACTCCTAGGCTTAAATGATCCTCCTGCCTCAGCCTCCAGAGTAGCTGGGACTACAGGCACACACTGTCAGGCCTGACTTATTTTATCTACCTTTTTTTGGGGTAGAGATGGGCACTATGCTGTCCAGGCTGGTCTTGAACTGGGCTCATGCAGTCATCCCACCTTGGCCTCGCAAAGTGCTGGGACTGCAGGCATGTGGCACTCCACCTGGCTTTTTTTTTTTTTAATTTAGTAAAAAATTACTTGCACTTTAGGTTTTAAAAAGTTTAACACATTTAAGATTTAGAGTAGCTAAGAGTAATGTCCATTCATTTATCCTAAGTACCAAATAATACGTTAATTCCTTTGTCCCTGACTGGATCTTCCAAATTCTGTCTAGTTCTAAAATATTGGGCTTAATATTTTTATGAAGCCACAGGTTATAGTGACCTCGTGTGCTCTTCCTTTCTAAGGATTCAGTATAATCTCTGAGTCTTTTGCCATCAAATTTTGAAAGTTTTATGAAGTCACTTTCTTGTTCCTGTTGCCTAGTTGTCCTGGTTGTTAGGAGCATGTTGACTTTTGAGATTAACACCTCTTATACAGAAATTAATTTCCTGAAAAGGAAGATTTATTGATTCAAAATCATTGATTTCTTTAGTTTTTGTTTCTTTTTATAACTGGCACATCGTAAGTGCTTAGTGCTATATTTTTATTTCTAAAAATCCAATCTGCTGTAACATTTCCCCATAATTTTGACTCCGAATTACAAAGTATTAAGATAGATTATATTGTAGTTCCTGGCTATGTGATAATAGTTACTCATTTGTATCTTTTAATGTGTCAGTGAAGTATTAATTATTGACTTAAGAAGTTGAGTAGAAAGATGAGAGCATAACCTTTGGCACTTCAAATTACCCCCTAGTTTGAAGTCAGGTTATGAGCCAATAAATGTTTGTATGGCACTTTGTAGCCATAAGTGCTATTGAAAGGTAAAATAATTGGAGTGGCTCAGAAAGCTGTTTTCCCTGAGGCCCTGAGAAAAATCTCACTAAGATATGCTTGGCTTCAAAAGATGACTCAACTATGAATTATTAAAGTAATCTTTGTTTAAAAAAAAAAAAAGTTGTCCGAGTGTGGTGGCTCACACCTGTAATCCCAGCACTTTGGGAGGCTGAGGCGGGTGGATCAGTCACCTGAGATCGGGAGTTTGAGACCAGCCTGACTAACATGGAGAAACCCCATCTCTACTAAAAATACAAAATTAGCCGGGTGTGGTGGTGCATACCTGTAATCCCAGCTACTCAGGGGGCTGAGGTAGGAGAATCGCTTGAACCCGGTAGGGCGGAGGTTGTAGTGAGCCGAGATCATGTCATTGCACTCCAGCCTGGGCAACAAGAGCGAAACTCCGTCTCAAAAAAAAAAGGTTGACAATTAAACAACTGTAATTATCTGGACTAATTATCTGGTCCCTGGAGGACACGTATAATTTAAGTTATATTGATATTCTAGTCAACACCCAGTCACCAGCTGGCAGGTAAAAGAAGCAGCTTAAAGCTGTTTGAAATAATTTTTAAAAATAACTATTAGATAAAAATAATTTTTTAAAAATGATACTATGTTACTGGTTAGAGGTCAATTATTTTTGTCTCTTAGTTTAAATAATTCATGTAAACTATATTTATAATCCATGTAAAGTGAACTGCTACTTATACATAAAGTAGAGCCTTCTTTTGGTATGAGATGAATGAAAGATTTTTGCCAAAAGCTCTTTTTAAACTGTAAAATGATGTTGAGATGTTGTTCGTCAATGCTGCATAGAAATAATCAGCACCCATCTCCTAGTTTAATTGGCACAAGAGCCAGGTGGGGAGGAAAGTACATGCTTGTCGTTGAAGCTACTACTTTCCTCTTTTCTTGCAGCGGATAACCCAACAAAGTGTGTTTTTATTATCACTTGAGTACAGTTTTGGACATTGGTGTAATGTGGCTTTCTTACACTCAGTAAAATACAACTCACTTTTGTAGCTTTCCGGTGTGTTATTTTAAAGCAGAACTTTGTTGAAAAAGAAAATAATTCTGAGAAACCTAGTAAATAGTTCTTCCAAGGATTTTAAGAATATATTTGTGTATATATATGCCTAAGAACGATGACTTAGAAAGAAACAAGGCAAGTCTTTTTTGTAATACATACGTTTAATGCCAGCTCTTCTTCCTTTTAGACCTGAAACAGTGTTAAAAAATCAAGAAGTAGAATTCGGCAGAAATCGAGAGAGGCTTCAGTTTTTTAAGGTATAAATGATTCAGGGAAATTTTTGTATTGTAATATATAAACTAATGATAGGTACAATTTTTATATCTTTGTTTCTTTTTCTTTTCCTTTTTTTTTTTTTTTTTTTTTTTAAGACAGAATCTCGCCCTGTTACCCAGGCTGGAGTCCAGTGGCGTGATCTCAGCTTACTGCAGCCTCCACCTCCTGGGTTCAAGCAGTTCTCCTGCCTCAGCCTCCCGAGTAGCTGGGATTACAGGCGCACACCAGCACGCCTGGCTAATTTTTGTATTTTTAGTAGAGATAGGTTTTCACCATGTTGGCCAGGCTGGTCTTGAACCCCTGGCCTCAGGCAATCTGCCTGCCTCGGCCCCCCCCAAAGTGCTGGGACTACAGGCATGAGCCACCGTGCCTGCCGTATTTATTATTTTATTTATTTATTTATTTATTTTTGAGGAAGAGTCTTGCTATTGCCCAGACAGGAGTACAGTGGTGTGATCTTGGCTCACTGCAACCTCTGCCTCTTGGGTTCAAGCGATTCTTGTGCCTCAGCCTCCTGAGTAGCTGGGATTACAGATGTGCACCACTGCCTGGCTATTTTTGTATTTTTAGTAGAGACGGGGTTTTGCCATGTTGGCCAGGCTGGTCTCGAGCTCTTGGCCTCAAGCCATCTGCCTGCCTTGGCCTCCCAAAGTGCTGCGATCACAGACATGAGCCACTCTGCCCAGCCACTTTAGTAGTTTCTAAAGGTTTTATAGTAGTAGAACGCTTTTGTTCCTCAAATGAAATCTTAATTGGAAACCCTATTGTGTAGAGAAAGATGAAAACAGTGGCTCTAGTTTAGGAGAGAGAGCTTGGAGGGAGGGCCTTGTACATTGAGCCTTTCTTCCTTCTCATTCCTGAGAATCTTTGGAACGCAGTTGAATACTGCCATTTGTCTGGACTTTTTGAACATTTTTATTTGACCTAAATTAATTTTGTCTTAATAAAAAATACATTTAGGTTCAGTATCTGTATATTTGTTTTTAACTATGTGATATGAACTTTGTATTTACCATATTGAACATTAGTTAAAATATTTTTAATGTTAATATTACACCTTGATTGTGAGCACAAATTTATATACTAACATTTGTATTTCTTAAATTTAAACAAAATATAGTGGAGTTCAAGAGTTTTTAAGAATGTGGCAGTGATCCCTCCTGGAACTGGAATGGCTCATCAAATAAACTTAGAATATTTGTCAAGAGTGGTTTTTGAAGAAAAAGACCTCCTCTTCCCAGACAGTGTAGTCGGCACAGATTCACACATAACGATGGTGAATGGTTTAGGGATTCTGGGGTGGGGTAAGTAAATGACTAAATATATTTCATTTCTTTTGGGGTAAGGATGTCAAGAACATTGTAAAAGAACATAAATTATTGAGTTTGTATAGCCTCTTTGAGGCTCTGTGTTTTTCATCTGTAATAACAGCAGCAACAACAAAATCCTAATTGAGAGTTTGTGATCAGTGTTGTAAAAGAGGATTTATGAGAAGAAATTTACACAGTGTCTAGCACAGCACTACTATTTGTGAAGTAATTGAATAATTGAATGATGATGATGATACGTCTACAAAGTTTGCTTCTTTGTGTAAGGTACTTTTGTGGCTTCTCCTGGTCTTCTTTATAAGTCCAGATTTCTTGCCATTTTATACAAGGCATGTCCCTTTAGCCACTCACCCACACCCATCTTAGAGAGACTAGTCATTTCTTTACTTACGTGGGCTGTCTCTTTTCTTTTTTTTTTCTTTTTCTTTTTTTTTTGGAGACAGCATCTTGCTCTGTCACCCAGGTTGGAGTGCAGTGGCACAATCTTGGCTCACTGCAGCCTCCACCTCCTGGGTTCAAGCAATTCTTGTGCCTCAACCTCCCAAGTAGCTGGGACTACAGGCACGTGCCACCACGCCCAGCTAATTTTTGTATTTTTAGTAGAGATACGGTTTTGCTATGCTGGCCTGGCTGGTTTTGAATTCCTAGCCTTAAGTGATCCACCCACCTCGACCTCCCAAAGTGCTGGGATTACAGGCGTGAGCCACTGAGCCCAGCTAGCTATGCTCTTTTATATGCCATGACTTTGCATAGGCTATTTCTTCTGGAAGAATGCTTTCTGCCGACCGTGACTTTGTTGAAATGTGGCTACTATTAACTCATCCAAGACTGGCCTCAGTTATCTTCTGAAAGTCTTAACTCCCTTGCTGAGTTCAGTGTACCTCACTTTGTAAGCTTACTCTTTCACAGGGTGTTATAAATGTTGATTTTTTTGTGCTTTTTCATTAGACTGAACTTGTTGAGGTTGGCAGGGACTGGATTCTGTTTATATCTGTATCTTGAATACAGTGCAGTGCCTAACATAATGAATACTTAAACTAATGTTTTAACTTGAATATACTTAAAACTAATATTTTACCTTGAATATAAAGGTAAAATAATAGTTTTTCGACCGTGCGAGTGGAATCATTTCTTTTGGGAAGCCTTGGGTTCAGTGTCCACATTAATAGCAATATAGCAACTCTGCAAAGTACTGTGTAAGATAAGCTCATGAAACACCTAGAGATTCAGATGTTACAGAGATAAATGATCTTTAAATATACTGTGCTAATATACCTGTCTTTATTACGTTAGGGGTTGGAGGCATTGAAACAGAAGCAGTTATGCTTGGTCTGCCAGTTTCTCTTACTTTACCAGAGGTGGTTGGATGTGAGTTAACTGGGTCATCAAACCCTTTTGTTACATCCATAGATGTTGTTCTTGGTATTACAAAGGTAAGTTAAAGTTGTGGTAGCTCTATGACTTACTGAACATTATTTTTATAAAAATTGAAGAGCTCTATGAGAGCAGGGATTTGGGTTCATTACTGCATCCTCAGGTCTCTTGACGTTAGCCACATCATCATAGTTATCATAGTAATAACAACAAACAGAGCATTTAGTTTGTACTAATAAATACAAAGAAATTTGTTGTGTTCACTTATGTTAGCTCATTTAGTCCTTATAACAAGCCTGTGAGATGGATACTATTACTATTCTCATTGTAACTCTGAGAAAACTAAGGTACAGTAGGGTTTAGTGACTTACCAAAGGGTCGAAGGCCTGAGTAGTAAGGGGTAGAGCAAAGATTCCAGGCAGTCAGATTCTTGAGTCCATTGTCTTAACCATTATGCCTTATTAGTGCCTTGTTGCCTTAATAAACACTTGCTGACTACATTATTTTTTTTCTCTTTTTTACTTGAATTTAAAAAAAATGTTTAGCAAAAGTTGATTGTGTCGTCTTTAATTAAATTATTTGCCCATTAGAAACTGTTGCTCTACTAAGTAATGCTTTCAAAAACATGGACTGTAGAAATGTGATATATCATTTTTCTGTTGCCGTTTTAACATTTCTCTGGATTATTATGTAAAAATCTTCTCTCTGAATTTTTAAAATACTGGCTTCAGAACTTCAATACATACACTGAGCTTGTTAAGCATATTAATACACAGGCTCACGGATTTCCTAGTGAACAATAATTTGTAACTCTTCTTCCTAAATGTCTGGCCTTTGCTAACTTTATTTTAATGATTAAATCCTATTTTGTTAAATGAATGTACCTGGAAAATGTTCCACATATAATTCCAATTTGAGTCCCAATCTCAGCATTTTTGGTTAGATTATTGGTACGAAGGCTTTCCGGATACTCCAGTGTAAGGAAATGATAATGCCTCCCTCTCAGCATTTGGTATTGATCCTTCTTCCCTAATTAGAAAAGAATTTGGCATCTTAGAGAAATTATTGATTCAACGTATGATACCAAAAGATCAAGTAGTAAATTGGGAATTGCAGGATTATTCCTAGAGGAAAAGGAGTATCCCATTATGTTTTTACAGAAATCAATTCTTTACTTTAGACATCCTGAAAACTAACGCTGCTTTTTAGCCTTCTCTAGCTGTTTTTTCCTGACAATATTACTGTGTGTTTTTTGACATTTTAGTTTAATGTTAAAAAATTAATCTATTATATATGTTTACATTTATTGAATATATTATTACTTCTTTTTTGAGATCCTGTTCCATTTGTGATCCTTATAGGAATAATCCTGTATTGTTTTTTTGATGAGAGCAGCATTTGGTTTGTAATATCTAATCTGTGTTTCTTTCATCCTAAAAAATAAAACCATAGGCCGGGCGCGGTGGCTCACGCCTGTAATCCCAGCACTTTGGGAGGCCGAGGCGGGTGGATCATGAGGTCAGGAGATCGAGACCATCCTGGCTAACAAGGTGAAACCCCGTCTCTACTAAAAATACAAAAAATTAGCCGGGCGCGGTGGCGGGCGCCTGTAGTCCCAGCTTCTCGGGAGGCTGAGGCAGGAGAATGGCGTGAACCCGGGAGGCGGAGCTTGCAGTGAGCCGAGATTGCGCCACTGCAGTCCGCAGTCCGGCCTGGGCGACAGAGCGAGACTCTGTCTCAAAAAAAAAAAAAAAAAAAAAAAAACCATAAATGAGGAAACATCTTTACACTTAGGGTTTGAGTTTCTGTATCTATAAAAAAGGGTTTGGATTAAGTGATCCCTGGCACTTATAAAATGTTAGGGCTTAATATTATTCATAGATCGAGGATAGTTTCATTCTTAGTCGCCTCCTTAGTCACTCTTCCTATACCAATCTGAGACCATTTTACAATTTAGAAAAGACAAATAACTGGTTGGGTTACTTGATAGTATAATAACCAAGAAAAATAATTTTAGAAGGAATTAAGTTTGAAACCACATGTTAACAAATTCTACCAAAGTGGGATTTGCCTGTGATTAAAGATGCTGTAAACATTTGGGCCAGTAGTTATAATTTGAAAAATGTTTATAGCCAATATATAATTTTTTATTTAAATATACAGTTTCATCAGTCTATTAGTATTTCATTAAGTCTAAGATGCCATCAGTGGTTAGCAAACACCACTGTTTTATGCACTGCTAAGAAAGAATAAAGGGCTGTGTGCAGTGGCTCACACCTGTGGGACGCCAAGGCAGGAGCATCACTTGAGGCCAGAAGTTCAAGACCAACCTGGTCAACATTGTAAGACCCTGTCTCTACAAAAAAAAAAAAGTTAAAAATTAGCTGGGTGCGGTGGCACATGCCTGTAGTTCCAGCTACTCTGGAGGCTAAGGTGGGAGGATTGCTAGAGCCACGGTGTTGGAAGCTGCAGTGAGCTGTGACCACACCACTGCGCTCCAGCCTGGGCAACAGAGTGAGACCCTGTTTCTAAAAGAAAGAAAGAAAAAGGGCTGCCACCTAAACAGACACACTATTGAGTTGAGGTACCCTGATTTCAAAGACATGAAAATGTTAATTATAGCCACCTTGAGCTTTCAGGCCCCTTTCTACCCTGATTAACAGTGACATTGGACCAGTCTTCTCTTTACTTCTTATCTTAAAATACCCCCAAAACCAGAATGAGTTGATTCATAAGGACAATGAAGGATCTCATTCCTTCACCATCACTAGTATTGGTTAAAAATTTTATTTTATAGTTTTCAGACAATCGTTGCTAATCTTATCTTTGCAATTTTGTATGTGTTTCTGTGTATTCCTTATATAGCACCTCAGGCAAGTAGGAGTGGCTGGAAAGTTTGTTGAGTTTTTTGGAAGTGGAGTTTCACAATTATCTATAGTTGATCGAACTACAATAGCAAACATGTGTCCGGAATATGGTGCTATCCTCAGCTTTTTCCCTGTTGACAATGTGACATTAAAACATTTAGAACATACAGGTAAGAAGATAAAAGATCACTAGAATAAACATGTTACATTTCCAATGTGTTTGATAATATTTTATAAATTACTACCTTATCCATGTTATTTACTATTCACAAAATTACATTATGTTGAAACAACAACTTTCAAGCAAACATCAGATGTCTTTAAAGAGTGTTGTGTCCTCAAACCCTAGTTCCCTGTGACACATTGAAAGCAATTTAAAGGAATTATTCAAACCATTGATCCTGACTTGACTGTTTCCCCATAATGATGGATACCTCCACCTCTACTTAGGGGTCATAGGTTGCAATTTAATGGAAGTCAGCCTTAAACATATTCACAGCAGTCCCCTTCTACAACCAAGAGTAGAGGAGCTATCAGACAAAGGGGTTTGGGGACCAGTCTTCTATCTAGAGAAGAAGAAGAAGCGCAAAATTTTGCAAAAAACAACATAGGACCACAGTTTCTAAATCTTTTTGTAACCTGATTAACTAGAAATTTTGGCCACTCTTCCATTGGCTGTTTAGATTAAAACAGAAAGTATCTACAAAACAAGATATGTTGATATTTCATAAGTCTGCTATTTAAAAAGTAAGATCTCTTTTTTTAATCTCTTTAATGAGGTAATCATTGCTGAGTTACTCATTTCTAAGTATAGATATTTATTTGGAGGATATATTCTAGTATTCTTCAGTGTGCAGGCAGATTATTATGTTAGTTAATCAGACAGCAAAATTGATGAATGGTTATATAGAATCCTGGAGGGAATGATCCCCCCAAGTGCAAAACTTCTGCATTTGAGTTAGTAGAACATTCAAAGTAGAAATGGTTAGAAGTGCCTCGTTCCTTGCATATTAATCTTGAGTTAAGGTTTTAGTGATCCTGTGTAACAAATTATCCTAAAATTTAGTGGCTTGCACAAGCAGTAATTACTAGCTCATGGTTTCAGTGGGGTCGGTAATTCAGACAGGGCACAGTGGGGACAGCTCATCTCTGTTTCATGTCTTGAGCCTCAACTGCAAGATTTGAAAGGAAGGGCCTGCAATCCTGAAGGCTTGTTGTGCTTGCATGTCTAACAGCAAATTATGAGCTGTCAGCTGAGGACTTAGGTAAGTCTATCAGGCAAAACACCCTCATGTGGTTTCTCCGTGTAGTCTGGGCTTGCTCACGTGGTAGATTCTCAAGGGTTAGGAGAAAGAGAAATGTAAATGAATATGTAAATAGTATTTGTTTCTTGTTCATCACTGGAATTCAGTATCCTTACCCCCAAAGATTTCAAAATTCCTTACTGAGGCCAGGCTCAGTGGCTTACAGCTATGATCCTAGCACTTCGGGAGGCTGAGGCGGGAGGATCACATGAGTCCAGGAGTTTAAGACTAGCTTGGGCAACATAGCAAGACCCCCATCTGTACAAGAAAATTAAAAATTAGCCAGGTGTGGCAGTACAGACTTATAGTCCTAGCAACTTGAGAGGCTAAGGCGGGAGAATCACTTGAACCCAGGAGTTCAAAACTGCAGTGGGCTATGATGGCACCACTGTACTCCAGCCTAGGTGACACAGTGAGACCCTGTTTCTAAAAATAATAAATTTATTGGCGGGGTGTGGTGGCTCATACCCATAATTCCAGCCCTTTGGGAGGCCAAGGCAGGAGGATCTCTTGAGGCTGAGAGTTCGAAACCAACCTATTCAAAAAAAACAAGACCCTCCCGCCACCCCATCTGTACAAAACATTTGTAAAAAAAAAAAAAAAAAATTAACCAGGCACGGTGGGGTGCTACTTGGGAGGCTGACATGGGAGGATTGCTTGAGCTCGGGAGGTCAAGGTTGCAGTGAGCTGTGATTGCAGCACTGCGCTCCAGCCTGGGCAACAAAGTGAAACCCTGTCTGAAAAAAATAATAACTAAATAAATTTCTCACTGCATTTTGTTGTTTTGTTCATCTTCGTTTTAGGTTTTAGCAAAGCCAAACTCGAATCAATGGAAACATACCTTAAAGCTGTGAAATTGTTTCGAAATGACCAGAATTCTTCAGGAGAACCTGAATACTCCCAGGTATATGCAGAATAACCCACCTCGTAGCAAAGAGTGTAAATTGTGGTGTAATCCCAGCGCTTTGAAAGGTTGGGGTGGGTTGATTGTTTGAGTTCAAGAGTTTGAGACCAGCCTGGGCAATATGGTAAAACCCTGTCACTGCAAAAAAACTACAAACATTAGCTGGGCATGGCTTGCGCCTGTGGTCCCAAGTACCTGGGAGGCTGAGGTGGGAGGATCACTTGAGCCTGTGGGGCGAAAGAAAGTTGCAGTGAGCTGAGATTGTGCCACTGCACTCTAGACTAGGTAACAGAGTGAGACTTGTGTCAAAAAGGAAAAAAATAATAATAATAAATTCTAGAGTACCTGACCACCTGGGTTTGAATCCCAGCTCTAAGACGTGTTAGCTGTATAACCTTGGGCAATTTATTTAGCCTTTCTGCCTCAGTTTTCTCATCTGTTAGATATGACAATATCTACCTCTAAGGATTCTTAGATATTAAAAACAAATTCATAGAATAGTTCCAGGCACATAGTAAATGCTCAATAAGGGGTAGCTAATCTTTTTGTTTTGCTTTTTGAGACCCAGTCCGGCTCTTTCACCAGACTAGAGTGCAGTGGCACAATCATGGTTCACTGTAGCCTCAACCTCTGTGCTCAAGCTCCCACCTTGCTGGGATTACAGACATGAGCCACCACCATGCTTAACCCCTGTTTTGTTTTAATATTACTATTTTTTTAATATTATTATTTTTTGGACCCTGGGCAGGGTCTCATTTTATTTTACTGCCCAGGCTGGTCTCATACTTCTGGTTTCAGGGGATTCTCTAGTCTTGGCCTCCCAGAGTGCTGGGATTACAGGCATGAGCCACTGGACCTGGCTGAGGGGGTAGCTATCATTATTATTATTATTTAAGTAATGTTATTGTAGCCCAGTGCTTTTGTTTTATTCATTAATTTTACATAGAGTTTTATTATAGTGAATTTTGTAATATCTTATGAAGTCTAGTTGTGGTTTTTGGATTTTTTTTTTTTTTTTGGTAGAGAGAGGATTTTGCCGTGTTGCTTAGGGTGGTCTTAAACTCCTGGCCTCAAGCAATTCCTCCTGCCTTGGCCTCTCAAATTGCTGGGATTACAGGTGTGAACCACCAAGCCCAGCCTATGAAGTCTAATTTTTTAGTGTTTAAAATAATAGTAGTGACTCTTAATTCTTGCTCTAATTTATTTCTACTTTATGATAAGAGTAATATCTCCCTTCAGAATAATCAGTTTCGATGTTATCTGCATCTGGTTTACTTGTGTATTTTGCAAAATTCCGCTATTAAAGGTATACACTATTATGCAGTCTTACTTGTTAGTTTTAAAGATATTTTACAATCTAAGTAAATACTGAAATTATCCAGGAGTAGTGGCATGCTCCCGTGGTTCCACATCCTCAGGAGGCTGAGTAGGGACGATGGCTTGAGCCCAGGAGGTCAAGGCTGCAGTGAGCTGTGGTCATGCCACTGCACTCTAGCCTGGGCAACAGAATGAGACAGTGTCTAAAAAAAAAAAAAAAAATCTGTTGGAAATTTATATCAAAATAGGCAGAATTCACTTCCAGGGAAGCCTTAATTTTAATAAAATTCATTTTCTAGGAGTGTGTCAAGGATTTCTAACAACATGGTTTTACAGTTTTGGTTAACTGTTCATTAAACTCCATGAGGACAGGAACTTTGGTTTGGTATTGTATCCCCAGCTCCTAGAACAATTGCTGGCACATAGTAGATATTCAGTAAACGTGTTAGGTGAATAAATGAATCCATATAGGACCCATAGAAATTGAATTTGTGTGCTACTTTGGGCAAATCTTTTTACTTCTGATCATTTTCCAATCATTTTCACCTCTATTAGATCTAGTGCTTTGTCCATTTTTTTTCCTTGTTCACATTTTTTAAAATCCATAAATGGAAAGAATAAGAACAATGGGAAAACTTTGGTGGTAGAATAAAATGAAATAAATATGCCTGTTAAAAACCCTTGGCCAGGTGCGGTGGCTCACGCCTGTAATCCCAGCACTTTGGGAGGCTGAGGCAGGCAGATCACCTCCTGAGGTCAGGAGTTCACGACCAGCCTAGCCAACATGGTGAAACCCCATCTCTACTAAAAATACAAAAAAATAAATTAGCCAGGTGTGGTGGTGGGGGCCTGTAATCCCAGCTACTCAGGAGGCTGAGGCATGAGAATCGCTTGAACCCAGAAGGCGGAGGTTGCAGTGAGCTGAGATGACACCACTACATTTCAGCCTGGGCAACAGAATGAGACTGTCTTAAAAAAAAAAAAAAAAAAAATGTCTGGCCGGGCGTGGTGGCTCACGCCTGTAATCCTAGCACTTTGGGAGGCCCGCACTTTGGGAGGCCGAAACAGGCAAATCATGAGGTCAGGAGGTCCAGACCATCCTGGGTAACACGGTGAAACCCCATTTCTACTAAAAATACAAAAAATTAGCTGGGCATGGTGGCATGCGCCTGTAGTCCCAGCTACTCAGGAGGCTGAGGCAGGAGAATTGCTTGAACCTGGGAGACAGAGGTTGCAATGAGCTGAGATGGCACCACTGTATTCCAGCCTGGGCAACAGAGCGAGACTCTGTCTCAAAAAAAAAAAAAAATTTCCCAGCAGACCAGGTGTGGTGGCTTATGCCTGTAATTACAACCCTTTGGGAGGCCAAGGCAAGAGGATTACTTAAGGCCAGAAGTTCAGGACTAGCATCATAAGCAAGGCCCTGTCCCTAGAGAAAGGGGATGGATGGCCCGAGCCCCTGAGTTTGAAGCTGCAGTGAGCTATGATCGAGTCAATGCACTCCAGCCTTGAGCGATAGCAAGACCCACCCATGCTGGAGTGCAGTGGCGTGATCACGGCTCACTGCAACCTCCATTTCCTGGGTTGAAGTGATTCTCCTGCCTCAGCCTCCTGAGTAGCTAGGATTACAGACATGCGCCACCATGCCCGGCTTTTTTTTTTGAGAGAATCTCGCTCTGTCACCAGGCTGGAGTGCAGTGACACGATCTTGGCTCACTCCAAGCTCTGCCTCCCAGGTTCATGCCATTCTCCTGCCTCAGCCTCCCAGGTAGCTGAGACTACAGGTGCCCGCCACCACACCTCGCTAATTTTTTTTTTTTTTTTGTATTTTTAATAGAGACGGGGTTTCACCGTGTTAGCCAGGATGGTCTCGATCTCCTGACCTCATGATCCGCCTGCCTCGGCCTCCCAAAGTGCAGGGATTACAGGCCTGAGCCACCGCGCCCGGCCTATTTTTTGTATTTTTAGTAGAGATGGGGTTTCACCGTGTTGGCCAGGATGGTCTCAAACTCTTGACCTCAAGTGATCCACCCGCCTCAGCCTCTCAAATTGCTGGGATACAGACATGAGCCGCCGCGCCCGGCCCAAGACCCTGTCTCTTAAGAAAAAAACAAAAAACAAACCTGACCATGTAAAGAAATAAAACTAAAATCATTAGGATGTTGATTTCAAGAGAAACTTCTTAAATGGATATTTATGGGCAAAGACTAGGATCGCCTGAATCCATTAAATGAAAGTATAAGTAAGCCAGGTGTGGTTATTCTTGCGTGTAATCCCAGCACTTTGGGAGGCTGAGGCGGGAGGATTGCTTGAGCTCAGGACCAGCCTGGGCAACATAGTGAGACCTCACCTCTGCTAAAATTCACTTAGCCAGGCGTGGTGGCGCATGCCTGTAGTCCCAGCTACTTGTGGGGCTAAGGCGGGAGGATCACTTGAGCCCAGGAGGTTGAGGCTGCATTTAGTCCTGACTGTGCCACTGCGCTCCAGCCTGGGCAACAGAGTGAGACCCTTTCACAATAAAAATAATAATAATAATAAATAAATACAGTGTAAGTAGTTGGATCAGTCAGAATAAACAGGGATATAAAATAATGTTGAAAGCCATGATGAAAAGTTTCAAGATGGTTATATTCACATAAAATGCATGAAGGAAACGATAGAAATGCCAGAAGAAATAAATAGGAATCTAGTTGGAAGTGGGATTTTTAACAAAAAATACGTTTCTTAACCAAGGAATAGAACCCTGAGTTGCAGCAGGCTGGCCAGTGAAACCCTCTGGAACAGGAAAAAGAACGCTTTCTCTGCTGTGTCCCTTCAGCACCCTCTAGTGACCAGTCTTCACATTCTTCACATCATGTGTGCTGACAAAGGAGAAATGTTTACTAACCGTTTACCTCTGTGATCACAGAGCGGGCAGGAGGGTAGATTTGGAGCTCAGAGGCAATAAGTTGATAGCTGGCATAGGCATCTATTTTATCATTGGACATCTGTTAAGACAGTGTTTATCTTTGTGGGAAAAAACACTTGGGAAACCAGGTTTTTTTTTTTTTTGAGACGGAGTCTCGCTGTGTTACCCAGGCTGGAGTGCAGTGGCGCGATCTTGGCTCACTGCAAGCTCCGCCTCCTGGGTTCACGCCATTCCCCTGCCTCAGCCTCCCGAGTAGCTGGGACTACAGGCGCCCACCACCACGCCCGGCTAATTTTTTAGTAGAGACGAGGTTTCACTGTGTTAGCCATGATGGTCTTGATCTCCTGACCTCGTGACCTGCCCACCTCGGCCTCCCAGAGTGCTGGGATTACAGGTGTGAGCCACCGCGCCCGGCCCCAGATTTTGTATATGCAGTACAATTGGTGTTGTGGTAGTTTAATTGCATACTGATCTACTAGTCTTGATTTTAGCAAATTTTCATGTTTCGTACATTTAAATGTGCTTGTTTTAAAATCTTTATTTCTTGGGGTTGAGGGTGTATTATACTATTAAAATAAATTGCATTAAAATAAATACGAATATACTTACTCTGCTTTAGAAAGTAATGCTTCAATTGGAATCTGTCGTAAGGAATTAATTCTAATTCCTTGTTCTTTCTCTTTCTCATTTCTTAGGTGATCCAGATTAATCTGAATTCAATAGTTCCATCTGTTAGTGGTCCAAAAAGACCTCAGGATAGAGTTGCTGTGACAGATATGAAAAGCGATTTCCAGGCTTGCTTAAATGAAAAGGTAGGTTACTTTATTCTTATCCGTGTTTTTCAACCCGCTTTGTGCTAAGTAGTAAAGAACCAACAAGGTGACCCATAAACTCAATTCACTGCTATGTTTTATATATTATGGCACACACCAGCAGCCCCCTTATTTTCCTTCTGTCTAATGTGCAAGTCAGTCATTAGGTAAGCTTGTTCCCAGTTCCATTGTGAGGATCAGAGATTGATTGTGTCTATTTAAATTAAAATTATATACAATTTAAAATTGAGTTTCTTAGTCACAGTAGTCTCATTTTTAAATGCTGAATACATATGGGTCTTGTATTGATGAACAGCATAGATAATTGAATAGTTACATCATCACAGAAACTTTTTTTTTTTTTTTTGAGACAGAGTCTCACTTTGTTGCCCAAGCTGGAGTGCAGTGGCACAATCTCGGCTCACTGCAACCTCCCCCCTCCCGGGCTCAAGCGATTCTCCTGCCTCAGCCCCCAAAGTAGTTGGAATTACAGGAGTCTACCATCATTCCTGGGTAATTTTTGTATTTTTAGTAGAGACAGGGTTTCACCATGTTGGCCAGACTGGTCTTCAACTCCTGACCTCAAGTGATCTGCCCACCTCAGCCTCCCAACAGTGCTGGGATTATAGCCATGAGCCACCGCACCTGGCCTACAGTCATAAAATTTGGTAAATGTGACCGAGTAGCAAGTGGTCTCTGGCTTTTGAGGGTTTGTATTTTCTGTCTGAGAATCACAGTTTTAGTCTTGTCACTTTCTCTATTCTGAGATCTCTAGTACTTGGCTTTCCTTTCAGAGCCTTTCTTTTTATGATTTCTTGACTTTTTGTTCAGAAAGTGTTAAACTTGTACAAAAACAAAATAGTCCACTGAATTGCCATGTACCTGTCAATTAGCTTCAATAATTAGCAACTCATAGCCAATCTTGTTTCAGCTATGCTACACTCACACACATAGGATCCCTTTGGAGGAAATCTTCGGGGTCATTTTAACAGAAAAAAATTTCTGCCATCTCTTGAGAATTACTATAAACAGGGATGATTAAGAACAACAAAGCCAAATGAGATCTGGATTCTGGGTGGTAGGCTGGACTCGCTTAGTAGATAAAAGTTTTGCTTGTGAACATCACCAGACTCCTGTCGTGCCCATGCAGATTTATGCTTCAGCTGAATTACAACTACTGAATGTTATGGGCCTTTAGCATCACTCACAAAAAGGATTTTTAATGTTAAATCATCAAATGTCCGGTATCTGCTATGTTTTCTGCCAGTCTTTTATTCTGTACATACCCAGAATATTTAGTTTATATTTTTGTGGAAATTTGTATAGGTTGGATTTAAAGGCTTCCAAATTGCAGCTGAAAAACAAAAGGATATTGTCTCCATTCATTATGAAGGAAGTGAATATAAGCTGTCTCATGGATCAGTGGTCATTGCTGCAGTTATCAGTTGTACCAATAATTGCAATCCATCTGTCATGCTTGCTGCAGGTGGGTTGTGGTTTATGGCCATACTTTTTCTTTTTCCTTAATTATTGTTGGCTTTTCTGTTATTGTAACTTTGTTTCTTAGATGATGCATGAGTGTCTACATTTGATATTGAGAGACTTTCTAGTATTTTAGTTAGGTCTTAAGGAGCCTGAGTTTGATTTATGTTGTTTTTATTACACCGAAGGTAAATTTACTGTTTACTATAACTTACCTGTCAATTAATTTTAGGTTGTATCTGCTTCTCTTGTTAATTTAGAACTATAGTTAATTAGCAGGTATTTCTTGATTATCTAGAAGTTAACCATAACAGTGTGGTAGATTTCATTAAAAGTTATAAAAGTAGTAAAAGATCATTGTCTTGGCAAGGATTGTAAATGAAATTAATTTGTATGCCCATTGGAACAATTCCTTAGTTGTATAAAACCATGTATAATGTGTTACATTGCTCTTATTGTAATTATGACTTTAAAATGGTTTGCTTTAGAAAAAAGAAGAAAGAGAAAAAATGGTTTTGTTAACATGTACTTATATATGTGCACCTTTTGTTTACTCTGTGTGAATGATGTCAGCCTGTATCTTAATAATTTTCAACATAAAGGCTGTAATTTTAAATTTGTTGTAAATGAAGCAAATCAGTAGAATAAAGTGGACAAAATAATGACAGTAAGTTTATGAATTCATACTTTAATCTGTTAAATAAATTACTTCTCACTTTTTACTTTAATATGGGTGAGAGAGGGAAAGAAACATTGCCATAATAAATCATTGTTTGTTGGCTGTGCAGGTCTTTTGGCTAAAAAGGCTGTTGAAGCTGGTCTGCGTGTTAAACCTTATATAAGAACAAGTTTATCTCCAGGCAGTGGGATGGTTACACATTACCTCAGTTCAAGTGGAGTATTACCATATCTAAGTAAGCTTGGGTAAGTAACAGCTATCGCACTTCATATTGATATTGGTGTTCAGTAGGTACTGAAGCTGCTTGTTTGTGCCTTTCATATACAAAGAGAAGATAGAAAAAATATGCTTTAGTTTTACTTGCTACCTTGCCATTACCATACAATTTTTGATGCCTTATCACTCAGGAAACACTTATTGGGCATATCAAATGAGCAAAGCACCAGGTTGGATACACAGAAGTAGGAGATGTGGTCTTAGCTTCAAGATACTTAGTTGGGAAGACAAGACAAACAAGTACAACCAAATAACAGTTACAGTGTAAGAAACGATACCAAGTATGCACAATTTCTGTGAGTTGTGTAGGTCAGTTCAAAAAAGAAAGAAATCTTATAGTTTGCATTTATTAACTGAAAATTGTCTTAATTTTAGTTTTATGAGGTTATTGGGTCTATAATACATAAGTTTAAATTGTCCCTGAACTTTGGAGAAAGTAACTTATGTTTTTTGGGCTGGGCGCGGTGGCTCACGCCTGTAATCCCAGCACTTGGGGAGGCCGAGGCAGGCAAATCATGAGGCCAGGAGTTTGAGACCAGCCTGGCCAATATGGTGAAACCCCGTCTCCACAAAAAATACCAAAATTAGCCAGGCGTGGTGACGCACACCCATAGTCCCAGCTACTCAGGAGGCTGAGGCAGAAGAATTGCTTTAACCTGGGAAGCGGAGGTTGCAGTGAACCCAGATCGTGCCGCTGCACTCCAGCCTGGGCGACAGAGCGAGACTCCATCTCAAAAAGAAAAAAAAAAAAGTAACCTATGTTTTTTATGTAATCCAAAACAATTGATGCTAGTTGTGTGGGGATTTTTTGGTTTTGAGACAGTGTCTTGCTCTATTGCCCACACTGGAGTGCAGTGGTGCAATCACAGCTCATTGCAGCCTCGACCTCCTAGGCTCAATCAGTCTTCCTACCTCAGCCTCCTGAGTGGCTGGGACCGCAGGTGTGCACCACCACACCCAGCTAATTTTTATGTTTTTAGCAGAGACAGAGTTTCACTGTGTTGGCCAGGCTCGTCTCAAACTTGTTCCCTTAAGTGATCGGCTCGTCTTGGCCCCCGAAAGTGTTGGGATTACAGGCCTGAGCCACCACACCCAGCCTAGTTATATTTTCGGTGTGTATTTTGGAACATATGAGTCATCAATTCCATTGCAAAACTGATAAATTTTAGACTTTTTTGCTTTTAGAATAGCATCTGAAAGTAATTTAGAGGACTGTGCCTGTAATCTTTTGGTTATATTATCTTGGATTTATTGTCAGAGACTCTTCTTGGGTTTAACTGGTTGATAATTGAGAGATTACTCCTATCAGAGTGCCCAATTACAATCAATGCCTCTTTTGGGACCTTTGGTCAGGTTATTATAGCCAGGTCCTCTTTACATTTTAAACTCTTGGATGGAAGTACAGTATCAATTATTTTAAAAGGTCATGTTATATTCCTAGCAAGTAGTATTTGGGGGAATTCTCTTGTACAGTGATAAGTGCTATTAAGGCTCTTCAAAGGTTTGCATTCACCTTTGAGACCAGCCTGAGCATTTTTATTTTTTATTTTACAAAAAATAAAAAAATTAGCTGGGCCTGGTGGCGAGCGCCTGTGGCCCCAGCTACTTAGGAGGCCAAGGAGCAGGATTGCTTGAGCCCAGGAGGTTAAGGCTGCAGTGAGCTGGTTCAAATAGCATGCCTGAGAGTTAGACTTGATTGCTCAGAATCTTCTGAGGTGAATATATTGATGAAGGTTAATCCATGTGTCATGAATAGTCTTTTAAGTAATCTTATTACAGTGATAGAAATACAAGATAAGACTTGTCCTTTCTCTATAAATGTTGTGATGTGCTATTCAGTCACTTTTTTTTTGAAATGCAGATTTGAAATCGTTGGCTATGGATGTTCAATTTGTGTGGGAAATACAGCACCCTTATCAGACGCAGTTTTAAATGCAGTAAAACAGGTAAAATGTGTGGATTGGCAAGACATCTAAATGATTTTCTTAACTATGTTTTGTTACTAAATTATAGAAAATATATATTGATGTGTTTATATTTCTGTAAACTCTGCACCTCTTGGCAATAGTAACCTGTGAATCTTTAAATGATTCAATGAATCATTTGTAGATCCTTGAAATAATTCCTTCATAATACAAGGAATTGATTTAGTTTATTTGCAAGATGCATAGTTCTATATTTAAAAATTAGTAATATGTTTTTTGGTTAATCTCGCCCTCAGACTTTAAGATTGCTTATATATGATTATCCAGATTTGTACCATCTCTAGAATTGAATTTATTTGTTTGTGTGTTTGTGTTTTTTTCAGGGTGATTTGGTTACCTGTGGAATTTTATCTGGAAACAAAAATTTTGAAGGTCGTCTTTGTGATTGTGTTCGTGCCAATTATCTTGCCTCTCCACCCTTAGTGGTAGCTTATGCCATAGCAGGCACAGTGAATATAGATTTCCAGACAGAACCTTTAGGTATCTTTTCCTTTATGTATATGTATACCTACACATACTTTTCCCAATGGAAGTCGTTATATTTTTGAAATGTTTCTTAGACCATCTATTCTTTGAATTATTTCAGGAAGACGTATGATAATGTATAGTTATTAATTTCTGTGTTTATGTGAAGAAAATAAAATGTACAGGTAATTAGTTCTTCCAGCCGCTTAAGCCTGAAGCACCCTGTTGAATCATTTACTTGATTTCCATGATATGTCTTTGAAAAGGTATGAACATTTTCAGAGTTATTTTTTTACTGAGTATCATGTTCAAAAATTTTAACCAGGTACTGACCCCACCGGCAAGAACATTTACCTGCATGATATTTGGCCTAGTCGAGAAGAAGTTCATCGAGTAGAGGAAGAACATGTTATACTATCCATGTTTAAAGCATTAAAAGATAAAATAGAAGTAAGAGTCTTATGTGTTTCTTAAATAGTTTAATCAATTTGCAGTGTTCTTTTATTTCATATATCTTCTGAATAGAATAAAAATTAAAATTACATTATTTTGAATACAGTTTTTAATGTGTAATAGTAAGTTTGTATCTGGAATCTGTAGTTAAAAAGAAAATGGCGGCTGGGCACAGTGGCTCACGCCTGTAATCCCGACACTTTGGGAGGCTGAAGCAGGTTGATCACGTGAGGTCCGGAGCTCAAGACCAGCCTGACCAACATGGAGAAACCGCATCTCTACTAAAAATACAAAACAATTAGCCAGGCTTGGTGGCGCATGCCTGTAATCCCAGCTACTCAGGAGGCTGAGGCAGGAGAATCACTTGAACCTGGGAGGCGGAGGTTGCGGTGATCCGAGATCGCGCCACTGCACTCCAGCCTGGGCAACAAGAGTGCAACTCTGTCTCAAAAAAAAAAAAAAAAGAAAGAAAATGTCTTAGAGGATCAGAATTCATTAGTGTTGATTGGATGATCTGTGCAGCAAACCACCATGGCACACATTTACCTATGTAACAAACCTGCACATCCCGCATATGTACCCCAGAAGTTAAAATAACAGTTGAGGGGGGAAAAGAAAGAATTGATTAGGTGTTCAGAATACATCATTGAACAAAACACAAAATTCTCCTGGGGAGAGGCAAATAAGCTGTAAAGAGAATAATTAGCTAAATTATGCAATATTTATTATTTTTTATTATTTATTTTTTGGTGTTTTTTGGGAGATGGCACCCCACTCTGTCACCCAGGCTGGAGTGCAGTGGCCTGAAGCAGCTCACTGCAGCCTTAACCTCCTGGACTCAAGCAATCCTGCTCCTCAGCCTCCTGAGTAGCTGGGGCCACAGGCGCTCACCATCAGGCCCAGCTAATTTTTTATTTTTTGTAAAATAAAAAATAAAAAATGCTCAGGCTGGTCTCAAACTCCTGGACTCAAGTGATCCGCCCACCTCAGCCTCCCAAAGTGTTGGGTTTACAGGCGTGAGCCACTGTGCCTGGCCTAAGAAATGGTGAGATTTTTGGCTGTAGTTTGAAGGCGTTGATGTGGAACAAATACATTGAAAAAGCAGAGGTTTTTCTCCATTATAACATTCTTAGACATTAACAGCATACCTCATACATGCTTAATCTCTCTGTAGCAACATATAGAAATCTTTCTAAATTCTTTAACTTTTTTGGACTCTGTGAAGTCTTTATGTTCTGTTTATATTGAAACTTGCCCCTTGGAGTGTTCCTGAACATCTGGTATGCTAGAATTTGAGGAGCAAATTTTTAATCATTCTGTCCAAAAACATCATGATTTTTTAGAACACACTGTTTTGGCTGGGCATGGTGGCTAATGCCTATAATCCCAACCCTCAGGGAGGCCAAGGCCCACGTATCGCTTGAGCTCAGGAGTTTAAGACCAGCCTGGGCAAAAATAAAAATTTAAAATTTTTTAAAAAAAAGAAAAGAATACACTCTTAATTTTCTTTCCAAATGGATAAGGCCTATTTTTGTTGTTGTTGTTGTGACCTAAGTACTATTTTATTCCCTTGATCATTTTCATGCGCCTCTTTTTCTGAGTCCTTTTATCTTTGCTTTGGTTCATCAACGAAAACTGTATTCACAGATGGGGAATAAACGGTGGAATTCCTTAGAAGCACCGGATTCAGTTTTGTTTCCATGGGACTTAAAGTCTACTTATATCAGATGCCCTTCATTTTTTGATAAACTTGTAAGTACTGTTTTACTATTTGATCTTTTAAAGATTGTTATAAACTAAGAAGTCTTGTAAAGAGTTAAATGCCTTGAACTTTTACCTTCTAGACCAAAGAGCCAATTGCACTCCAGGCTATTGAAAATGCCCATGTCTTATTATATTTGGGAGACTCTGTCACAACAGATCATATATCACCTGCAGGAAGTATCGCTAGGAATAGTGCTGCCGCTAAGTATTTGACAAACAGAGGGTATGTGTACATGGCTTTAGAGTGTTTTTGTTTTTTCTTGTTTCTTACTGATTAAGAGGCTTCTATTGGTCTTGTTCCTTTTTTCCAGTAAATACATGCTATCGTAGGTAATCTGACTGCCAATGTGTTTGTCTTAAGCAAGAATGGAGAGTGGCGGGGTGGGGAGGCGGGGGGTACCTTCTGTACTTGTCTTTGCTTGTGACTTTAGAAAATGAAATTGCAATTTTAAATTGAGCCCTTATAGTCTAAATAAACAGCTGATTGGAAATAAGATTTTTCTTTTTCAGTGCTACTTTATTGAAAAGTCAGCTTGGTTTTACCTACCAAATGAAGCCTGCTCATTTGGTTAAAACCAGCTTCCCATTATTGGAGTAAGGAATTTAAATGTGTATTTTATGGGCTATAACATGTACGTGTGTGAGGCTGGGAATGATATGTACAAATCAAAAGACAATGAATTTCTGCTTCATGAGCCTAAAATTTTATAGGAACAATAAACGTAAAGGCCATTTATATTGGAGATATAAATTTAAAACTGGTAAGATTTCATTTCTACATGATTAATCATGTAGAGTTGCCCTGTTATCAAAGGACTGTTTTGACAATAGAGACAAAGTTTTGTTAAAAGCAGGATTTGTAGTACTGCTACCTGATTAGCTTATTGGATGCTTGTTTGATGCTTGAGTAATTAAAATGACAAGCTTTTTCATTGAAATTTATTTATTTATGTATGTATTTATTTATGTATTTATTTTTGAGACAGACTCACTCTGTCACCCAGGCTGGAGTGCAGTGGTGTGATCTCAGCTCACTGCCACCTCTGCATCCCGGGTTCAAGCAATTCTCCTACCTCAGCCTCCCAACTAGCTGGGATTACAGGCACGCGCCACCATGCCCAGCAAGTTTTTATATTTTTAGTAGAGACAGGGTTTCACCATGTTGGTCAGGCTGGTATCAAACTCCTGACCAAGTGATCCGCCCACCTCGGCCCCCCAAATTGCTGGGATTACAGGCATGAGCAACCGTGCCCAGCCAAAATGTCAATGTAGCTTGTGTTGACATGTGATAATATTGCACAGCTTTTATTATAAAGTGGTGAGAAATAAGTTTCCTTTCCTGTAAATATTTTTTTGGTTGTGATTTCCATCTTCATCATAATTGTGACATACCTCCAAAAAAGAAAAACAGTCAACACTTCTCTCAAATGTACAATTTTTGTAATTATTATGCCTCCTGATATGTATTTCTTAGCACATTTAATCCAGTAGTGCTCATCAATTAGAATTTTCTAAAAATAAAGACACTCAAACCTCCTACCACTCCCATCCTGAAGTAAAAATTTAAATGCACAAATTTAGAATATTGTTGCCTCTGCATAAAAGACCAAATCAGAGGCTGATAAAAGTCAGTTGTTGATTGTTGAGATACTTATGTTCAGTTATTTTTCCCTAAAAAGTTATATATGGTCACTAATCCAGTAGCAATACCCCCCGCACCCAGATTATGATTTCTAAATACTGTTTCCCACTATAGTGAACCAGTGCTTCATGGAGAAATTATTGATTCCAGATCTGGGACTGGAAAATGTACACAATTTTACCAAAAATTACCAAGATTACCAAAAATAAAATTACAAAGATTACCTGATGGTCACAGACCATCAGGCTTCTGTCTAAAGGTCTCAGGGTCAGGACCAGCTCATTAGCTTGAAAACTGGTAAATAATCAATTCTTTAACCAGCCTTTCATGTATGGAATGTATTTCAGCATAACCAAATCATTGATGAAGGAAAGTTTGTCATTTGTTTGTTTGTTTGTTTTTAGAGACAGGGTCTCACTCTTGCCTGGGCTGAAAGGCAGTGGCACTTGGCCCTCTGCTGCTTGGAACTCGTGGGCTCAAGCACTCCTCCTGTCTCACCCTCCTGAGTAGCTTGGGACTACAGGCTCGCACCGTCATGCCTGGATAATTTTTAATTTTTTGTAGAGATGAGATCTCCCTTTGTTGCACAGGCTGGTCTCCAACACATGGGCTCGAGCATTCCTCCCACTTTGGCCTCCCAGAGTGCTGGTATTGCAGGCAAGAGCCAACATACCTGCTGGAAAGTTTTTCTTTATAGAACTTTTGTACCTAAAAAATGAAGAAGGAATGGGTGAATTATAGTATCACTATTTTACGGTCTCTAATAAGCAATCTAGACCACAATGAGCAATCACTGGTAACATTCCAGGAAAAGACAGTTGGCTATCTTGTGCCTCCTAATAGAAGTACATATGACCTATGAAGCATTGTTGCCAAAAATTAAAAACCCAAATCTTATCAAACCACTGGATCTGACATGTGATTTACAAGAACAGAAGGCAGAAGAACATGTTAAATGATTCATGGAGATGCAGTCAACACAATGTGGGTACAGAAAACTATACAAGTAACTTTATTGCATCAGATAGAGCACAAGCAGGAGGAAGGAGAGGGAACATATACTGTCATTCTTCAGTATAGATGTGGGACTGGTTCCAGGACCACCCATGTATACCCAAATCCACACATACTGAATTCCTACAGTCAGCCTTGCAGAAGCCACATATATGAAAAGTCGTATTTGCAGTTTTCTGCATCCTGTGAATAATATATTTTCTGTCAGTGTTTGGTTGAAAAAAAATCGATGTATAAGTGGACCCACACAACTCAAATTCATGTTTAAAGGTCAACTGTAGATTAAAACACTTGAGATCAACTGAACACATTTATGAACTGCATTTGGATCCTGATTTGAACAAACCAACTTAGTTTGGAAATAATCAGTGACAATATTGACTATCTGATGTTAAGAAATTATTGTGATTTTTTTTTTTTGGTGTAAAGATTTTTTTTTAAGAGTCTACATCTTTTAGTGAAATGTACTGAAAAGTATGCTGTTAAAATTATCTCAGTTTTGCTTCAAAATAATCTAATGGGGTTGACTGTAGAAGAAACGGAGCATCTGTTAAGTTATAGCTTGGTGATAGGCGCATGGACATTCATGGTTTTGTTTTCTTTTGTGTTTGAAATTTTCTGTGATAAAAAAATTTTTCAATAGGTCTTACAGCTCAATAGTATGTGATTATTTTCCACATGTAATGAAAACTGACTTTCATTACTTTCTTGTAGCCTTACCCCTCGTGAATTCAACTCTTACGGAGCTCGAAGAGGTAATGATGCTGTAATGACAAGAGGCACTTTTGCAAATATCAAGCTTTTTAATAAGTTTATTGGAAAACCAGCTCCTAAAACAATTCATTTTCCATCAGGACAGACGGTGAGAATGCAAACAAAGTATTTAGACAATTTATAACTGGATCAAAATTTGTATTAAAAAATTTTGTGTTTGTTTTAATCTACAGCTAGATGTATTTGAGGCTGCAGAGCTGTACCAGAAAGAAGGTATCCCACTGATTATTTTAGCAGGAAAGAAATATGGTTCAGGAAACTCCAGAGACTGGGCTGCCAAAGGACCGTATTTACTGGTATTGAATCTTAAAATTTATCATCTTAAGCTTCAAAGAGTTTTAACTGTTCCCTTTTGTCAGTAACATCCTGTCAAAGTTTATCTGGATTTTTTATAGTTATTTGAACCTTATAGGTATAGAGGGTTTTGTTTGTTTGTTTATTTCAGTGATCTTTGGTAATATTTTGTACTCATCTAGTTAGTATCATTTTAATACTCTGAGTTTGGTAAAACCTACATCAGTCTTATGTGAAGAAGTCAGTATAATAGAGGGAAAGGAAATTCTGTTTTAAACTATTGTTTTATAATTATTTATACCTATTGATCATTTTTTTTGGTTTTTTAGTTTTGAGACCATGTCCTTGTCACCCAGACTGGAGTGCAGTGGCGCAATCACTGCTTGCTGCAGCCATGACCTCCCAGGTGCAATCAGTTCTCCTGCCTCAGCCTCCCAAGTAGCTGGGACTACGCCATGAGTTACCACACCTGGCCAATTTTTGTATTGTTTGTAGAGATCGGATCTCTCTATTTTGCTCAGGCTGATCTTGAACTCCTGGGCTCAAGTGATCCTCCCGCTGTGGCCTCCCAGGGTGCTGGGATTACAGGCTTGAGCCATGTGCCCGGCCCCCACTGTTAATTTTACTTGCCTCCTTTTGATTTAATTTTCTCCGATTTGCCCCATCAGTGGGTAAAAGACTCAGAAGTAGTAGGCCAAGTTGCACCTTTTTTCCCCCTAAATAGGAGATTGTGGTGCCTGGCTGTCTGCCAGGAGGACATTTCTCCTGAGACTGTTTCCTTGTTGCAGAGCAAATAGGCCATCTGCTGGGGGGGAATAGTCATGTGACATGTGCTTTTTGCCATTTCATACTCACAGATGCTTCTCTTTACAATTGTAGCTGTAAAAAGGCTGGCTGAAACACAGATACCATGCAGGCCTCATTCTTATTTTAATCTTTAATATCTCCTTTAAAATGTAAATACTCTGAGGGGCTGTGGGAATAAAACAAAATCTCATCCTTCTAAGATACTAATTATAAGTATTATTATGAGTATTAATGATAGGTATAGGTTATTTTTATCCTGGAAATTGTTTTAGTGTTTGTTTTTGATGTTGGAAGCTTTCCTTATATGGCAGGTGATGCTTGGCCCTCCATTTGTTAGACATTAAAAAACTGATTACAAGCCATGGATGGGGGCTGGGTTGTGTCAGTTACTGGGCCTTACTATAGGTGACTGGGTGATAAGCTACCTTTTTCATTAAGCGATTCTATATGTCATTATCTGTATTTTCTCTGAGGCCATTCAGTTTCTTGAAGGAAAGAGACTCGTTCAGTATGTAGACATCTACTTAGTCCCCTGTTTTCAATCTGGTATTCTCAAGCCCCTGTGCCCAGTGTTTGTCAGTTTAGAGAATGTATTCTCTTCCTTATTTCTGCTATAACAAAAAATGAGTAAAAATTTGTAAAAAATGAGTAAAAAAGAACAAAAATTGGTCCTCAGGTGGTAAAAAAAATTCTACTTTTTGCACATAAAGTACAGATAAGAGTACATTAAAAGATACACAGCATCTTTGTGGTACTAAAATTTTGGAGAGAAGGGAGGTGAACAGGAAGACACAATTTGGGGGAAAAAAGTCTTAAAAGACTCCTTAGGTAGACAGTGGAGAAAAAAGTTGAAAAACACAAGTCTAGAGCCTTTGGCTCATTTTTTCCAGAGAATAAACCTCTACTCTTGTGGAGTGGGGATTGAGCTGGATCTTACTGCTTTGTATGGCCTTGTAACCTGTGTCCACGAGTATTCTGAGAACCTCATGCCTCTGAATCTCAATCCTTTTCCTGGGTCTTGTGTTGCACATTAACTCAGACCTTACTGGTATCACTCTCTAATTTCATTTTATCATTCTGCGGTTTCAGCATTGTCTTCTAAATCACTTACCTATCTCTGTTTTCTAAATATTCATAGAATTCTCTCATCCTATTCCCTTTGTTGCTGTGGGCTTATACCCTCTTCATTATTGTTGTTACTTATTTGTATTTTTTGGAGACAGGGTCTCACTCTGTCGTCCAGGCTGGAATGCAGTGGCATGATCTCAGCTCCCTGCAACCTCCACTTACAACCTCAAGTGACTCTCCTGCCTCAGCCTCCATAGTAGCTGAGATTACAGGTGTGCACCACCATGTCCAGCTAATTTTTCTGTTTTTAGATAGAGATGGAGTTTCACCATGTTGGCCAGGCTGGTCTCAAACTCCTGGCTTCAAGTGATCTGCCCACCTCGGCCTCCCATAGTGCTGGCATTACAGGTGTGAGCCACTGCATCCAGCCTATTCTTGTTACTTTTTATTGTATTTTTTATTTTTATGTTTTGTAGAGACAGGGTCTCACTATATTGCCCAGGCTGGTCTCAAACTCCCGGCCTCAAATAATCCTTCTGCCTCAGCCTCCAAAGTACTGGGATTATAAGCATATAAGCCACTGCGCCTGGCCCTATATACCTTCTTTATTCCTTTATTTTAGTGGCATTTCAAGAGTGTTGAAAACATATGTTAGATCTGGCATGTTTAAATAGAAATCCTTCTGAGCCCTACTTTGGGGTCAAGGGAGCCGGCCCATTTATAGAGCTCTTATGATGTGGTAGGCAGCGGCAGTACTTAACCCTAGAGCAGCAGAAAGGGATCCGAATAATTTAGAGAGCTCCATAAAAATTCAGAAAAATAATCTGTAAGAAGGTTCTGTAAATACTTTGATAAAATATTGATTCAGTATGAGATATTAGACTAAAAGTATTTAGAGAAAGGCCAAAGTAGATTTTTGCCCCCTTTAAATGCTCAATAAATAACTTTCAGAAGTGATTAGAGGGAATAAAATGCACATTTATTACAGGGTGTGAAAGCTGTTTTGGCCGAAAGTTATGAAAAAATACACAAAGATCATTTGATTGGAATTGGCATAGCTCCACTTCAGTTCCTTCCAGGAGAAAATGCAGATTCCTTGGGCCTCTCCGGTAGAGAAACATTTTCTTTAACATTTCCTGAAGAACTGTCTCCTGGAATTACATTGAATATACAGGTATCTCTAAATTTTTCAAATATATGATTATGCACTCAAATGTTTATGAATTATTGAATAAGAATCAATTGCTGTAAATTATATACTAATGTCACTTAATGAATGTTAAGTTGCCATTTAAGATGACTCTCTCTTCCATACTTAGATCTAGCTATGTTAATAGTTCATGTTCTCTGAGGAAAAGTGGAAAGAACTGGGTGCTTATACCAGAAAAAAAGAACACATGAAGGGGAATCTTGACTTCCACTTAACAAGTGTCAGCTTTCTTTTCATGGTGGTCATTTTTTTGCTGTCCTGATCTAATTTTAACCGAGGCATACATACCACTCCAAAGAGAGCAAAGTTGAGCGTTCAAAGTTAGAGCAAAACAGACTTTACAACTAAGAAAAAAGGGGAAAGAGTAGGAGTTACTGATTACATGCAATCAATATTTGGTGTAAAATGAATGTGAGTAGTGAGTATAACTTCCCCAATTAATAAGTCAAAATCTAAATGCAGCTATTTTTCTACTTAACTATGAAGCCCATGGTCAGGTATCTCAGGTGTTTTTCAAGCAGCAGCAAAGTTTCAGGCAATCAGAATATAAGAAATTAGAACCAAGATAAATCAGACAGAATCTGTGGCAAGTATAGTCATTAAATATGAAGACAAATGGTCTTAACCATCAAGTAGCACCTGGAAGATTTACTTGCTCACATGAGATGTTTTTGCTCCTTTCAAGACAAGCACTGGAAAAGTATTCAGCGTGATTGCTTCGTTTGAAGATGATGTGGAAATAACATTATACAAACATGGAGGATTATTAAACTTTGTGGCACGAAAATTCTCATAGTATCTACTTACCATAGATACCTTTCATAACTGGTAACTGCAAAGCCTTTTGTGCTGGACCCAGGAATCCTTACCATGGAGCAGCAGATAGTCCCAGTATACTCACTTATCTCATCCATGGATGTAAATGATGATGAATCAACATAGTAACTGAAATGAAATCTTCTTGATTTTAAATAATATACGAATGGTGCTATTAATATTGCTAAAATCAACGTGTGAAGTGTGTTGTGGAAGAGACCTGTAAGTATGGGGGGGGGGCGATATTTTATCAGACCATTTTGTAAATAAAGGCAGAATTTGTGTTGAAGATTCTTATATGAATAACCTTCCTGGATTTGTTTAGTTTTGCACCAATAAAACTGTGTACTACTGTTTGTTGGTTTAAGAGTAGCAGATTGAAATATAAGAAGCCAGATTAGACTCTAAAATTGTGGCCATTGGAATCTCATTTATAAATGGACCTTTTAAGTATATTAATTCCTCTTCAGAATTGAGCTGGACACATTTGGCATTCTTAGTTTGTCATATAACCAGGTTTATCCTTAGTCTAACTGCAAGGGATGGAACCTGCCCCAGGTCACAATCATTCTGTCCAATCCAGCCAAGGTTCCCTCCACATATGAAGATGGACCATGGCAGGATACAACTGATTGTGTGGCACCATGTATTAGCAGTGGGAATATGTATCACATATGATGCAGCCTTTCATATTTCAGCAGTTTGCCACTGTGACTGTCTGGCAAGCCCCCAGATGGCGTTATATTAATTGGATTAGATTATTTTGCTCACCTTATGTAATACTGTAACTTCCTATAACCTAATATTTTCGGTATCATTAACCAAAATTTCACACTCATAGTTGCTAAAGAGAATGTTATTCAATCATTAAACTCTGAACTGATTTCTTCTATACATTTAAATTATCCACCCTCAATAATACGGGTGCTCAACCCTATGCATTTTTTAAGTGTTGCTATTTCTTAATTAAATTGATTTCCTGTCATTTTGAATCATTTATCACCTGCGATGCATGATTCTATTAATTTTGTTATGTTACTGTTTTAACCAAAGCTGACCGTAAGGATAAAACACTTAAGTTGTTGCTGAGTACTATATATCCTCAATATGCATGTCTGCCCATCACATCAAATGTTCTGTCAACAAGATGTTTGGTAATTTTTTTTAAAAAGGTTGGAAAATTAATTATAGAAGGTTCTATACTGTTTTTTTAATTAAGAAACTAAGTCTAGCAGGCTAAAGGTTAATTGTAGTGATTTTTTTTCACATAGATATCTTTCTATGACCTAGTTAGTTACTGCAATTCAGAATTAGTTCACATTGCATAAAGAATTACTTGTTGTAAGCAAAATGCTGAAACTACCAAACCAGTGGATGAAGACCACTAAGAACTTTGCACATAATCATACAATCTTTTGAAAATATTTTGCAAATATGTGTTTAGACAATAAGATGGACTAGAGTTCGACAAAATGATTTCTTTATTTAAATTTTGTATAAGTATTTTCTTCGACACTTTCAAATTATATTGTGTTCTTGATATATGCTGTATATTTATTTGTTAGTGCATGTGTTTTTAATTTACATGAAAACATGAGTTAGGAGAAATTACAGGTTGAAAGATGAAATGCCTGTATGTGCTCTGAAGAAATGGTAATTCCAGATTGTGCAGGGGGAAACAAATCTATTTTGTTTTGTTTTGTTTTTTGAGACGGAGTCTTGCCCTGTGGCTGGGCTGGAGTGCAATGGCGCGATCTTGGCTCACTGCAACCTCCGCCTCCCGGGTTCAGGGGATTCTCCTGCCTCAGCCTCCTGAGTAGCTGGGACTACAAGCATGCACCACCACGCCCAGCTAATTTTTGTAGTTTTAGTAGAGATGGGGTTTCACCATGTTGGCCAGATGATCTGAATCTCTTGACCTCGTGATCCGCCCGCCTTGGCCTCCACAAGTGCTGGGATTACAGGTGTGAGCCACCACACCCGGCCTATATTGTTTTGAAAGCATACTCTATATATAGTTATGGGCAGAGGCACAGGCATCCTCAGCAGCTGATTCAGGAGATGATGGTAAAGCTAGCTAACTATGAATTAAACATTCACATATCCAGTCTACCTGGTCCAGTAATAATACAAGCAAATCTTGTATTTCAGGAACAAATCAAGGTTCTCTTAATTTTTTGGCTTATATACAATGAAGTAAAAACTTGATAAACATGGTTTCAAATTGAGGAGGAGAGTCTTGGATGTATGTTTTAATATGTATACCTTATAATTCTGCCTCTAGCCAAATGCTATGTTTGCAAAATGTGGCATCTGTTAGTTTTTATTGTCTGTGTCTTCTTTGTTTACTATACCTTGGGTAATTTTGTGTTACCAAAAAAAAAAAAAAAAAAAGGAAGTGTAATGTCAGACACACAAGAAAAGCAAATCAGTGTTGTAAGCTTAAAGTACAATTTCAAAGGTCACTACCAACAGCAGGGTTTTTTTTATACTTTGAAAACATTATGCTACATATCATTGCCATTTTCATATTTTGGGGTTTTGCTACTCTTATACAATGGAATCAATGGAAATGTCATCCAGCCACTGAATTGCCATTATTATATCTAAAAAGTTTCTAAGATGACAGTTATCACTATTTTGTTTTATCTCCATGCTGACATTTGAAAGAAGGTACTAGTATCCCTCTAGCCAGATTGCTTAGTTTTTCGTTGGTAATCAAACAACAGTTGTACTAAAGGAAAGTAAAGCTAGGACCTAAATCAGAATCATAGTTGCCTGCATATATGGTAACAAGGTCGTGTGCATTTGCTTTCACAGTGATGAGTGAGAGGATGAGAAGAAATTATTTGACATTTTTCTGTGGTTGAATAGAAGACACCTTTCTTTTGTCTTTAGGTTTAGGAGGAGATACTAAGATACTGGATGTTTATCCTATCTTAGTTTGGTTGGAGTAATAAGAGAGAAGAAGAGGGTGGACTTTGGCTTTTCAGTGTTTTTTCCCCTAAAGAGTGATATTGCTGACGTTTCTATCAATTTTACACATAATATGTGGCTATGAAACCATATATCTCACTTAAGTAACAAAGTAATCACTTTGTCTATCACTAAGTAATAGACAAAAATCATTGTCTATTATTTAAAGCCAACAAAACAGTGTAACAGTTTTAAGTTCAATAATGTTAAGTATTGTATAGAAATATATTGGAGGCAAAGTTCAGTTGATGACAATTGTGTATATGTTACTGATGCTGTAAATTATTTTTAATAAAGAAAATTGTATTATCACATTTGATTCTTGTTCTGTTTTGTAGTAGTTGAAAATAAAACAACATGATGTAAAAAATATGCTGCCATCCGGCTGGGCACGGTGGCTCACGCCTGTAATCCCAGCACTTTGGGAGGCCGAGGCAGGCGGATCACGAGGTCAGGAGATCGAGACCATCCTGGCCAACACAGTGAAACCCTGTCTGTACTAAAAATACAAAAAAATTAGCCGGACATGATGGCGGGCGCCTGTAGTCCCAGCTACTTGGGAGGCTGAGGCAGGAGGATAGCATAAACCCGGGAGGCAGAGTTTGCAGTGAGCAGAGTTCACGCCACTGCACTCCAGCCTGGGCGAAACAGTGAGACTCTGTCTCAAAAAAAAAAAAAAAAAGCAAAAATGAAATGTCCCGCCATCCAGATGCCATCCAGGAGCAGCTGAGGATGCCTGCTCCCTGTGCTGCCCGTTCATTAGTGTTCATGAAACAAGTCATCGGAAGCTGGGAGCCAGGATCCCAGGTGTATTTGTTTGTTCTCGCATTGGTATAAAGAAATGCCTGAGACTGGGTAATTTATTTTAAAAAGAGGTTTAATTGGCTCATGGTTCTGCAGGATGTACAGGAAGCATGATGCTGGCATCTGCTTGGCTTCTGGGGAGGCCTCAGGAAACTTACAATCAAGGTGGAAGATTAAGTGGGAGCAAGCACTTCACGTGGCCAGAGCAGGAGGAACAGAGAGACAGGGGAGGTGCCACACACTTTTAAACAACTAGATCTCAGGAGAACTCACTATTGGGACAACACCAAGGGGGATGGTGTTAAACCATAAGAAACCACCCCCATAATCCAGTCACCTCCCACCAGGCCCCACCTCCAACACTGGGGATTACAATCCGACATGAGATTTGGGCGGGGACACTCATCCAAAAAGACGTATCCTTTCTTCCCACTATTATTAGCAACCTAAAAGAGTAAGGTTTATTTCTTAGAATTCAGTAATCATAAACCATAATTGGCACTTTATTAGAATTTTCTAAGGATTCCAATTTAGTATTCTAAGAAGTTTGCATTACCTAAAGGCTAATACCAACATAGGCACAAGCTGATAGTTTGAATATGCAGTCTAGGAGGAAACTTAAGAGCTTCATCAGTGTAGCATTTAGTTGGTTTACAGTTTTCACTTGATGCTAATTTTGCTTTTTAATTACAAAGTAGCTTCAGATTTACCATTTTGATTTGATGTATGTTGTAAACCTGTGTTCTGTACTTGAAAAATGCATTTATTGCAAAAGCAGATGCATATGTAATTCTCACAAAATTTGCTGGTATAATGACAAGTGTGGCCAGGCGAGGTGGTTCACACTTTGGGAGGCCAAGGCAGGAGGCAGGAGGATCACTTGAAGTCAGGAATTTGACCCCACCCTGGGCAACATAGCAAGACCCTGTTTCTTAAAAAATAATAATAATTAGTTTGGTGTGGTGCTGTGCACCTGTAGTCCCAGCTAGTTGGGAGGCTGAGGCAGGAGGATCGCTTGAGCCTAGGTTGAGGCTGCAGTGAGCTATGATTTATGCCACTGCACTCCAGCCTGGGTGACAGCAAGACCCTGTCTTTTAAATAAGTGTGTTGTCACTGTGAATTTTGTGTTTATGTGGTGTTAGTACTGAATTTTAAGCATTTTTTTCAGTATTTCCCTATCAATATCTATATGATCTGTGGCAGGGTCCCTTTTTATTACCAATATTGGTAATTTGTGTTTTCTTTTTTTTCCTTGATTAGTCTTTCTAAAGGGTTAGAAATTGAGTTAATTTTTTAAAGAGCCAATTTTTTACATTATTTTCTCCATTGTTTTCTGGTTTTTTGTTTGGTTTTGGTTTTGGATTTTTTTTTTTTTTTTTTCTTTTTGAGACGGAATCTGGCTCTGTTGCCCAGGCTGGAGTGCAATGGTGCGATCTCGGCTCACTGCAACCTCCACCTCCCGGGTTCAAGTGATTCTCCTGCCTCAGCCTCCCGAGTAGCTGTGATTACAGGCATGCGCCACCATGTCTGGCTAATTTGTTTTGTATTTTTAGTAGAGACGGGGTTTCACCATGTTGGCCAGGGTGGTCTCAAACTCCTGACCTTGTGATCCGCCCACCGGGGCCTCCCAAAGTGCTGGGATTACAGGCATGAGCCACCGTGCCCGGTTTGTTTTGTTTTATTGGTTTCTGCTCTGAAGTATTTCCTTTCTGTTACTTATTTAATTTCCTCCTTTCCCCCAGCTTTGTAACACTTTTCCTCCAATGTAAATGTAAATATTTAAATTTTCCTCTAAGTGCTGCTTTAGCTGTAGCCCACCGTGGAAACTAAAGCCAATTTTGAGCATTTTAAACAACTTGTAATATATAAAGGAAGTATCATAAAACTGCTGGGATATTGTTTTATGAGACATTGTTTTATAATGTAAAATCATGTCCATAATCTCACTGCAAATTGTTCATTTTGTTTCACTCCAGTTTTGTTTTTTTTTTTTTTTTATCGCTGAGCTCTTTTTTAAAAAAATTATAAAAATAGAGGTGGGGGTCTCACTGTGTTGCCCAGGCTGGTCTTGAACGCCTGGCCTCAATCAGTCCTCCCACCTCAGCCTCCCAGACTGCTGGGATTACAGGCATGAGCCACCATGACCAGCCACTGAGCTATGTTTGAGAGCAACTACTTAAAAGTGCTCCAGTAGCCAACTGAAGAAACGTTAATACAATGACATGACATTTTTCCCCCCTAGAAACGGGTCTCACTATGTGGCCCAGGCTGACCTCGAACTCCTGGGCTCAAGCACTTTTCCTGCCCAAGCCTCCTGGAGTAGCTGGGACTATAGACATGCAACACCATGCCCCGCTTAAAATGACATATCTGGCCGGACACGGTGGCTCACACCTGTAATCCCAGCACTTTGGGATGCCAAGGCGGGCGGATCACGAGGTCAGTTCGAGACCAGCCTGGCCAACATAGTGAAACCCCGTGTCTACTAAAAATACAAAAATTAGCTGGGTATGGTGGCATGTGCCTGTAGTCCCAGCTACTCGGGAGGCTGAGGCGGGAGAATCGCTTGAACCCAGGAGGCGGTGGTTGCAGTGAGCTGAGACCGCACTGTTGTACTCCAGGCTGGGCGACAGAGCAAGACTCTGTCTCAAGAAAAAAAAAAAAAATGACAACGCATCTTGTCTTACATTGGTGGAACTTTTTAAAATGTTGTAAATGTTGTAAATGTTTAAAATCCAATGTTGGTATTATTGAGAGGAAAACATGATTTGACAACATGTATTAAGAGGCTTAGACCGGGTGCAGTGGCTCACGCCCCTAATCCCAACATTTTGCCAGGCTGAGGTGGGAGGATTGCTTAACCCAGGAGTTCAAGACCAGCCTGGGAAACATGGCGAAACCCGTCTCTACAAAAAATTAGCCGGACGTGGTGATGCGCACCTGTAGTCCCAGCTACTCGGGAGGCTGAGGTGGGTGGATCCCTTGACCCCAGGAGGCGGAGGTTGCAGTGGGCTGAGATCACGCCACTGCACTCCCGAGTGACAGAGTGAGACCCTGTCTCAAAAAATAAAAAGGCCTTAAAAGTGTTTATTCTCTTATACCTAGTAATATGATGCTGAGCAGTTTTAAACACATAAAGTGCACGAAAGATTTATGTATGAGGATATTATTATTTTTTTTTTTTTTTGAGACGGAGTCTCGCTCCGTCGCCCAGGATGGAGTGCAATGGCGCGATCTCGGCTCACTGTAAGCTCCGCCTCCTGGGTTCACACCATTCTGCTTCAGCCTCCCGAGTAGCTGGGACTCTAGGTGCCCGCCACCATGCCCGGCTAATTTTTTTGTATTCTTAGTACAGACGGGGTTTCACCGTGTTAGCCAGGATGGTCTCGATCTCCTGACCTTGTGATCCGCCTGCCTCGGCCTCCCAAAGTGCTGGGATTACAGGCGTGAGCCACCGCGCCCGGCCGAGGATATTCTTTAAAACAAGGAAATGGTCACTTAAAGTGAAAAAGGCAATTTACAAAGTACATTTTTTTTTTTCTTTTTTGAGACAGTATTGCTCTGTCATGCAGGCTGGAGTGCAGTGGTGCGATCTCGGCTCACTGCAAACTCCATCTCCCAGGTTCAAGCGATTCTCCTACCTCAGCCTCCTAGGAGCTGGGATTACAGGCGCTAGCCACCACGCACGGCTAATTTTTGTCTTTTTAGTAGAGATGGGGTTTCACCATGTTATCCAGGCGGGTCTCAAACTCCTGAACTCAAGTAAGCCACCTCCATCGGCCTCCCCAAATGCTCGGATTACAGGCGTGAGCCACCACACCCTACCAAATACTATATTTCAGAAGAATTCAGGGAGTGGAAATGCACATACCAAAGAGGGCAGTTGTGGATCCAATAGCCCTGCCTCCAATTCTCACAATTTCCAGATTCAATCTTAATTCCCATTCCCTCATCCCAAGAGAAGTAGAGAAAGACCAGTAGAGCTGGAATAATGACAGGTGGAAATAACTCAGAAGCCACTCAAGGCAAAAAGCATGCAGAGGGGCCTAAGGGAGCCAATAGGATTCCAATTCTGGTTACAGAAAAATCCAAGTCAAAATCACTCTTTGACAATCTAAAGGAATGAGATATTAATTATGTTCCCCTGGGGTTGTGAAAAACAGCCCTGCCTTTTGGAGATTAGAAGTGAAGCAGGTAAGAACCATATCTAAAGCAGGAGAAGAAGCTTCCCTCAGTAGGTGGTTGATAGGGGTCTGGGAATCATCCAAGTTAATCAGGGTGACTATAGATAATCCGAGTGTGTTATATCCTGACAGAAAACAAAGGGTGGATGTGCATTGGCAAAAACAAAATAAGAAACCAATTTGCAGGCATGAGTGGACCAGTACCCAGGACTCTCTTCCAGTAGCCTACAGTAGATAGAGGGCTCTGACTTATCGGAGAAGTCCTGCTTGGCTGGAGAAGGGCATCAAGCTGTTTATCAGCGCCTCATGCCCTTAACAGTTAAGACCATCCAACTAACCTGGCTGTTACTCCATGAATCTCGTGCAGCTTTCTGAAAATCATGGGGTCTCTGCGGACTTTCCTGCAGAAAGAGAGCCCACTGATTCCACTACCTAGATAAAGGCGTGGTGGTGGGCCCCTGTAATCCCAACTACTCGGTGTAAGAATTAAAGAAAGAGGAAAGAAACACGAAAAGTGGCTTGGTGGTCATAAGAGGTTTATTTTAGAGAAAACCTGAGAGGGGCGTCTGGCCAAGTTAGGTCAGAGGCACACTCTCTTACAGACTAAGTAAGTTTTTAAGGATTCGGAGTGGGAGAGTTTATCAGAGGCTTGGACTGCTTCTGTGTCTCTTTGTTGTGCTTATCTCGGAGGGAGAGTTGTGTGTCTGTTCCCATACATCTTTCTGCAGCTGCAGACATACCCCCTGAGTCTAATTTTTGTATTTTTAGTAGAGAGGGGTTTCACCATGTTGGCCAGGCTGGTCTCGAACTCCTGACCTCAGGTGATCCTCCCGCCTCGGTCTCCCAAATTTCTGGGATTACAGGCGTGAGCCATCTGCGCCCTGCCTAAACTGTTCGGGTTCTAACATTCCAGCATCCTCCTGCGGAACGCAGCCAGGCCTTACTCAGGCCTTCCAATCAGGACCCTTACAGTTCCTGGGGCTGGGATTGCGAGTCTCTCTGGGGCCACGCTTTCTAAGCGTATCACTTCCAGGATACGTGCCTCCAACAGAAGGAATGAAGGCTAGGAAACAAAAACGTGGATGCGGGTGAGGAGCTGTCAGTGTTACCGCCACGACAACGTGGACCCTGCGAAACTCGGAGGTGCCACTCAAGAGCCGAAAGCCTGCCCACTCGGGGTGGGGCGGCAACCCGGAGAGCCAATCAGGAATAAGGAGTCCGGTTCATGAAAAGGTAGCCGGATTCTGACTGGGATACTCACTGTGAGAAGGCTGGGCGGAGTTGCAGAAAGTCAACAGAAGCCGAATCTCTGAATTTCTGTTCGCAGCCTCCTAGGCGGGGCCGGGAAAAAAATCCAGTAGTCTGCGCTGACTGGGCGGCGAGGGACCGGGAGGAGCCAATCAGAAGTCAGGACTCGCGGGGCTTGGAGGAGGGGCGCGGGCGCTGCGGCCCCTGCTCTACCTCCTAGCGCCGGTGCGCGGCCGAGGCCGCACTACCTGTCTGCGGGAAAGCGGGATCCACCCCAGGACGTCGGGTCGCTGCCGGTGAGCCAAGGAGGGGGAAGCAGAGACGAGCCCTGCGTCCCCGCTGCGGGAGTCGGGGTCGCCCCCGAGGGCAGGGAGGCTCGCTGCAAGTGTGGAGCCGGGAGTCCTATGCCTCAGGCTCCTCCAGCCCGCGCTATCCTCAGCTCGCTGCGTGCGTGATGGGCAAGTCACCCTTCTTCCCGGACCTCACCTGTAACCTAGGAGGGCTGAGCTGGGCCCCCAGAATGAAAGCGTGGCACCCGAGAAGCTGTCGAGGCCAGCCCTCCCGGGTCTGTGTGGGGTCGCTGGCCGAGGGCTGTGCCGGCGCCTGGCCGGTGTCTACTGGGAGCAGTCTCTGAGCTCCGCTGAACCTCACTTACTCATGCGCCCTCCTCCTCTCTTTTCCTGCCTCTTGGTTCAGCAGCCCCTCTGCAGCCCGCTCACCCACCACTTTTTCCCCTTCACCCACCAGGAAGACCCTTAAAAGCACCTAGTAATGCACTGTTGTCTTTGAAAAACTGCAGATGCTAGATTCCCCACCTTTCTGTTTCATGATCCCCTTGGGGTTGAACTGCCCCGTGAGTCTGTGGAATGAAGGTCACCCTTGGTTCACCATTTAATATTAAATAAGGGACTAGCCTAGGGGCTGAGAATACAGAGATTGACTGGGTATAATCCCTTGGAAGGACGCAGCAAAAGGGAATGTAGGAGAAGAAAGGTAGAGTTGGAAGACATGCTAAGGTAGAATTTACTAGACTTTGTTACACGTTGGGAGTGAGGGACAGGAAAGAATCAAGAATGACTCCTGTTTCTTGTCTGGTATACTTTGCACAAAGTACAGAGCTTAAGTTCCAGCCCCCTCCCGGCTGCAGGACAAAGGTGGTGAGATTCTGACGCAGATCTTGGAGTTGGAAATCACACTTGCTTCCTGCGGGCTTTTTCAGGAGCTAAATACTGTTGGCCGGATATATAGACCAACAGCCTATAGTACCTGAATTCCTCCTCTCCCTTTCAATGAAGTAGGAAAAAAAGTTAATAATTTTTAAAAATGTGTGAGTGGGCAACATAGCGAGACACTGTCTCTAAAAAAATAAAAATAATAAAATCAAAAAGACAGCCATGATGGCTTGCACCTGTAATCCCAGCACTTTGGGAGACCAAGGTAGGAGGATTGCTTGAGCCCAGAAGTTCGAGACCAGCCTGGGCAACATAGTGGGACCCTCTCTCTCCAAAAAAAAAAAAAAAAAAAAGGCCAGGCATGGTGGCACCTGCCTGCAGTCCCAGCTATTTGGGAAGCTCAGGTGGGAGGATCCCTTGAGCCCAGGAGTTGGAAGCTGCAGTAAGCAGTGATTGTGCCACTGTACTCCAGACTGGGTGACAGAGACCTTGTCTCAAAAACAAAAAAAAAAAAATTCCCCTCCATACAAAGGAGACATTTGGTTAAGACAGACATGTCTGATAAACATATTTTTTTCTTTGTTTTTATTTACTCTCAAGAGTTGACTTGATCTGTGCCATTAGTTCTATGATATGGAGCGCTTATATAAAGAAAAAAGGCGAACTTAAAGAACTTTAGTGGCATGGAATACTAGAGCTAGAGGAGACTTTTAGTAATAATCTAATCCAACTCTGTTTTAGAGGAGACATGACTAGTCCAGAGTTTCAGAGGTTAGGTAGCAGAACTGGGACTAAAATATGTCCTATTTCTCCCAGCACAGCCTTTTATTACATCAGTCTATTTGGATGGCCAGAGCTAACAACCTTGCTTTACATGGCTATGGAAAACAGCGCTCTCCTAAGAGGAGCTTAACAAGTCAAAGATTGTATGGGAACATCTGGAATAGAAAGGAGATTGGCCTTCACCAGTTGCCTCTAAGGTTCCTTACAACTTTAAGAACTTATCATTCATTTCAAATTCAGAATTGTTCTGACATCGTTAACGCTTTGGGAGTTGAAAATGACTCCAGGATTTCATCTTGGAGTTAATGCTTCAGTCCATATTGCATTTTGAATACTTACCTTATACCAGTTTACATATCTCCAGAAAGAATGTTAAAATTCCTTGTAAAGTTTTAAGCCTAAATACAGTGTGACAGGATATGTTGGTTCCCAGAAGTTTCAAGTGCAAAGATTGTTTTGAAACTCCATTTAGGCTTTGTCACAGTACCTTCAGTGAACAAAATCTGAACGGCTTAACTTGCTTCTGAAAGCAAATGCCTGGTTAGAAAGTAAACAGGAAACATGATTGTCAAGAAGGCATTAACTTGCAGTAACAGGTGATGGAAACCGATCAGTGGCACAAGCTATGCAAGTTAAGAGGCTGGAGCAATCACTTTGGGTAGGAGGATCAGGGAAGGCCATGGCAGGGGCTAGGGGGTGGTTAGCGTTTGAGGGTTACCTCTCCCTTATTTTCTCTTCTCTTTTTTTTTCTTTCTTTCTTTTCTTTCTTTCTCTCTCTCTCTTTCTTCTTTCTTTTCTTTCTTTCTTTCTTTCTTCTTTCTCTTGCTCTCTCTTCTCTCTTTTCTTTCTTTTCTTTACTTTTCTTTCTTTTTGATGGAATTTTGGTCTTTCGCCCAGGTTGGAGTGAAGTGACGCAGTCTCATCTCACTGCAACCTCCACCCCTCTGGGTTCCAGTGATTCTCCTGCCGCAGCCTCCTGAGTAGCTGGAATTATAGGCGCCGGCCACCATGCCCGGCTAATTTTTTTTTTATTTTTATTTTTATTTTTAGTAGAGATGGGGTTTCGCCATGTTGGCCAGGCTGGTCTCAAACTCCTGACCTCAGGTGATCCACCCACCTCAGCCTCCCAAAGTGGTGGGATTACAGGCGTGAACCACTGTCTTTACCTACCCTTATTTTAACTTGAGTCATCAGGCCATAGTCCTAGGACTGAGGCAGGGAGGGGGTCATATAGGAGATTTCTGGTATATCTCCCTGAATGTTATCCCCTTTCCCTCACTGGAGTTAGGTGGGTTTTTGCTATGATACAGCCAAATAAATTAGGCATTAACAGGCATATGGTCTGATTTTTAGAGTTCCAAGAAAGTCCTAAGATCCACCTCCTCTGTCCTAGCCAATTTCTCAGAAGCGCTCTTTCTTTTTTAGAGGTAAATTTTACATTCAGTGATATTCACAGATCTTACTAGTTTACTTAGGTTTTAAGTTAAGTTTTGACAAATGTAAGCCATGTCGCCAAAGCCTAATCAAGATGTAGAACACTTGCCTCTCAGAAAGTTCTCTCATGCCCCTTCCCTGTCAGAAGCAATACATCTTCCACTTTCCACAAAAGCTAACTCTTCATGAGATTCTTTTTTTTTTTTTTTTTTTTTTTTTTAAATAGAGAAGCGGGTCTCATTATGTTGCCCAGACTAGTCTCGAACTCCTAGCCTTGAGTGTTCTCCCACCTTGGCTTCCCAAAGTGCTGGCTGGGATTACAGGTATGAGCCACTGTGCCCAGCCCATAAGATTATTTTTATATAGTACTGTATCCCCTGAACAGCAATCAAAACATACCCTAAAATGCAGCTCACCCTCACGATGTTATCAATTATTTACAACTTAGTATGAAAGAAGGATTAGAATAAAACTATTTTGGGAAAACAGCATGAGATTCTAACGACCTTAAATATTTGGTTCCTGAAGCATGTTCAGAAGACCTACATTGTCTTTCATATGTAGCTGGATGCTCAGAAAATATACCAGGTGTGGGTAGCAGAGGGTGGAATTACCAAGAGAAAGAAAACAGTCTCCTCCCCCGCCCATGTATCCAAATCATACTTAAAAATTCAAGGCCCAGCGTGGTGGCTCATGCCTGTAATCCCAGCACTTTGGGATTACAAAGCAGAGGCAGGCAGATCACTTAAGCCCAGAAATTCAAGACCAGCCTGGCCAACATGGTGAAAGCCTGTCTCTGCAAAAAATACAAAAAATTAGCCTGATATGGTGGCTTCTGTAGTCCCAGCCACCTAGGAGGCTGAGGTTCAGGATCATTGAGCCTGGTGGTTGAGGCTGCAGTGAGTTGTAGTCATGCTATTGCACTCCAGCCTGGGCGACAGAGCAAGACCCTGTCTGAAAAAAATAAAAAAAAAAAAATCAATTCAGGCCAGGTCCAGTGGCTCACACCTGTAATCCCAGCACTTTGGGAGGCGTAAGTGGGAGGATCGCTTGAGACCAGGAGTTTGAGACCAACCTGGGCAACAAAGTGAGACCCCCATCTCTATCTTTAAAGATAAAAATTCAAATCTATCTTCTCAAGAATGTCTTCCCTTAGGCTGTAGTAATTTCTCTCCCTCTCAGCTTCTGTCACAGTTTTGGCAGATATTAATTTCATAGGTCACAAACTCAAATGTAACTTTATTTTTTGTAATTGACCTTAATTTTAATTTTAAGCCCCTATTCCTCTCAGCAGTGGAAAACATATTCTTTACAATTTAAGGTAAACTCAGTCACTTCAGTGTTGATTCAGTCATTTCAGGTTAATACGTATAGTTAATACAGGGTTTTCTTTGGTTCTCTGGCCTTATCTCCTCCAGTGACTCACACAATACTTAGCTCATCAGTCTACATTTTTCTATTTGAAATATGTGTAATAAATTAGATGATCTTATAATTTAACCAAACTGTTACTATAAAAGATCACTGTATTTGAATTTATTGTTTAACCTAAGACGGTAGGAATATAGTCAAAAGGACATAATCATGGATTAGAAGTCTGGAGAGCTGAATTCTTTTTTTCTTTTTTTTCTTTTTCTTTTTTTTTTTTTTTTTTTGAGATGGAGTCTCGCCCTGTTGCCCAGGCTAGAGTGTAGTGGTGCGATCTTGGCTCACTGCAGCCTCGACCTCCCATGTTCAAGTGATTCTCCTGCCTCAGCCTCCCGAGTAGTTGGGATTACAGGCGCCCACCACCACGCCCAGCCAATTTTTGTATTATCAGTAGAGACAGGGTTTCACCATGTTGGCCAGGCTGGTCTCAAACTCCTGACCTCAGGTGATCTGCCTGCCTCAGCCTCCCAAAGTGCTGGGATTACAGGCTCGAGCCACCACGTCCAGCCCCAGAGCTGAATTCTTACTGTGACTTAATATGTAACTTTGGGCAAGTCACTTAACCTCTCAGGACCAAAATTTCCCCTATAAAATTAATGGGGGAGGAGGAGGGAATGGACGAAGTGATACCAAGGTGCTTTCCTAGTCTGTGTTTGGGAGGTAAGTTTAAAAATAATTTGTCCTATAAGAATTTGTATGCAGTTGTCAAATCATCTACTTCTTGATCTTATTCACTGATTTGATTTTCTTTTTAACTTTATGAGTAAAACTTAACAATCAAAAGAAGTACAGAATCAACAGAAACATTACTGGTCTGTCTTGAGAAAAATCATTTAAATAAATATATTCATCCTGTGTCCCCTTTCTGTTTGTTGCTTTTTGTTCCCCTAGACATAATGTCAAGTGGAAACTATCAGCAGTCAGAGGCTCTTAGCAAACCCACTTTCAGTGAGGAACAAGCCTCTGCGTTAGTGGAGTCAGTGTTTGGGTTGAAAGTTTCCAAGGTCCGGCCACTTCCTAGCTATGATGACCAAAACTTTCATGTCTACGTTTCAAAAACCAAAGATGGCCCAACTGAATATGTCCTCAAAATAAGCAACACCAAGGCTAGCAAAAATCCAGACCTGATTGAAGTGCAGAATCACATCATCATGTTTCTGAAAGCCGCTGGATTTCCAACAGCCTCTGTGTGTCACACTAAAGGAGACAACACAGCTTCTCTCGTGTCTGTAGGTAAGAGATGACCAATTCGCCGATCCATTACCTATCCAGACACATCACTGCATTTTGGCCACAAGTAGAACTATGAAGAGCAGGTTCATAATTCCAAGTGTAGATGTGGTTGTTATTATTTTTTAGCACCTCAATAGTACACCCTTAGAGGTGGTTGTGTTTTCGGTGCTGGGAGAAGCTACAGCGTCATCAAAGTGGTGATTGGTCCTCTGATTGAGTAGTGGTTAGAGCCCAATGTGGTATAAGTTTTCTGTTTAGAAAGGCCCTGACAGATAGTAACTAAGGGGACTTGTGGAAATCAGGGGAATATTTTTTGTTTGTTTCGTATTTTTTGTTTGTTTTGTTGGTGGTTTTGGGATTTTTTATTTGTTTGTTTGTTTTTTGAGACAGGGGTCTCACTCTATCACCCAGACTGGAGTACAGTGGCGCAGTCACAGCTCACTGCAGCCTTGACCTCCTGGGCTCAGGTGATCCTCCCACTTCAGCCTGCTGAGTAGCTGGGACTACAGGCATGCATCACCACGCCCAGCTAATTTTGTAGTGTTCTGTAGAGGCAGGGTTTCGCCATGTTGCCCAGGCTGGTCTTGAACTCCTGGCCTCAAGTGATCTGCCTTCATTGGCTTCCCAAAGTGCTGGGATTACAGGCATGAGTCACCATGCCTGGCCTGTTTTTTTGTTTTTTTTTTTAACCAGAAAAATAATAAAACATTTTTATTATTTAGAGAAGCTATAAATTCTGGTGTTGTGGTATAGTAGAAAGAATATAATACTGGAAATCAGGAAATCAGGAATTTTAGATTTTAGCTTTGTCATTACTGTATATGTGACCTTGGACACATAGACCACTTAAATCCCTAAGGCCGCCAGTCCTCATCTGTGAGACAGCCCTTTTCACCTCTAAATACTAAAATGCTGAGAATGGACCTAATTCAGCTCTTTAAGCAACAGGCTAAAACCAATTTCTTGAAATTTTTTTAAAGGTTCGAAATCTTGATTGTCTTTTTCTCTCTTAATTGTTCACCATTCTTTCTTAATTTGCATTGCTCCAAATACGTGAGGCCCATTGTGGTCCCTGAGACACAGTTATTGTCCTGTGTTGCAAACACAGGCTGTCCCACAAGAAGCCTGATTCTGGAAGTCATTTATTTGTACCTCACTCCCCTCAATTGTGAACTTATGAAAGAGTATGTGTTTTTGCTTTCATTTACCACAGTAAGTAATTTCTGTGTAGAGCTAAGGCCAGCAGAGTTAGGGCTATAATTTTGTTGGTATGTAAATGGCCAGTTCCAATGTTGTTAAGGTTTGTATATTCTACCTTCTTGCTTCATCCACTCAACTCTGCTTCATAGAATCCTGCCGAGCTGTTTTAGGTTAGCACATTTTTGTTGTTGTTCTGTAATTTCTGTTCTTTTCAGTAATACTTGCAGAGGCAGAATAGCTTCTAATTCTGTTATATCTAAATACCTCTCTCTCTCTCTCTCTCTATATATATATATATATATAAATAATTTAGTCAAAGGATATTTTATTCCATCCATTTAGATAGTGGCTCTGAAATCAAAAGCTACTTGGTGAGGCTGCTGACTTACCTCCCAGGAAGACCCATCGCTGAGCTTCCCGTCAGCCCCCAGCTATTGTATGAAATTGGAAAACTAGCTGCCAAATTGGATAAGACACTGCAGGTAAGATTTGGGGCTTTATTTTATTCTAAGGGATGTTTGTTTGCTTGTTATTTTATTTTTAAAATAAAGTATGGATCAGATTCTCTTTTTATGTATGGTGCTACCTAAGGTATGTTATGAAGGGAATGGAGTCCTAGAGTGCATACATTTTATGACAGTAAGGCTAACTTCTACCTAACTCTTACTGGTGTAGGCCAGGTGTTGTGGCCCACGCCTGTAATCCCAGCGCTTTGGGAGGCTGAGGCAGAGGAATCTAACTTGAGACCAGGAATTTGAGACCAGCCTGGCCAACATAGTGAAACCCCATCTCTTCTAAAAAACACAAAAATTTAGGGCATGGTGGCGTGTGCCTGTAGTCTCAGCTACTTGGAAGACTGAGGCAGGAGAATCGCTTGAGCCAGGAGGTGGAGGTTGCAGTGAGCCGAGATCACACCACTATACTCCAGTCTGGGTGACAGAGTGACACTGTCTCCAAAGAAATTTTTTTTTTTTTTTTTTTGAGACAGAATCTCGCTCTGTCGTCCAGGCTGGAGTGCAGTGGCACGATCTTGGCTCACTGCAAGCTCTGCCTCCCAGATTCACGCCATTCTTCTGCCTCAGCCTCCCAAGTAGCTGGGACTACAGGTGCCCACCACCACGCCCGGCTAATTTTTTGTATTTTTAGTAGAGACGAGGTTTCACTGTGTTAGCCAGGATGGTCTCGATCTCCTGACCTCGTGATCCACCCGCCTCGGCCTCCCAAAGTGCTGGGATTACAGGCGTGAGCCACTGTGGCCAGCCCAAAAATTTTTTTTAAATTAAAAAATAAATAAATCTTACTGGTGTGTTGGAAAGATTACCTAAATTTTTAGAAATTCATGATATTCTTCATGCTGCTCACTGAAAACAGTCAATATTCACAAATAGAAACCTGAAGATTTCATCCAGTCACAGTATAATCAACTGGAGCCCCATATAAAGCAATAGCTAGGTTGCAAATGGATTAATAATGTATGTTAAGGATGTTTTTGCCCTATAGAAACAATATAATGTATGACAGGTACCTTTTAGACCCACCCATAAAACATCTTCATTTATTCAATATTGACTGAGTACCTTTTATGTTATTTAAAAAAAATCACAGGACAAAGGAAATATATTTACTATTTATTAAGTGGAAATGGATCATCATAAAGGTCTTCATTGTCATCCTCATTTTGAGTGGGCTGAGGAGGAGGAAGAAGAGAAGGGTTGGTCTTTTTTTTTTTTTTTTTTTTGAGACAGGGTCTCACTCTGTCTCCTAGGCTGGAGTGCAGTGGTACAGTCACAGCTTAATGCAGCCTCGAATTCCCAGGCTCAAGCAATCCTCCCACCTCAGCCTCCTGGGTAGCTGGGACTACAGGCGTGTGCCACCACACCCATCTAATTTATTTTTGTATTTTTTGTAGAGATGGGGTTTCACCATGTTGCCCAGGCTGGTCTCAAACTCCTGAGCTCAAGCAGTCTTCCCGCCTCTGCCTCCCAAAGTGCTGGGATGACAGGCATGAGCTACCCCATGCCTAGCCAGGGGATTGGTCTTTGTATTAGGCCATTCTTGCACTGCTATAAAGAAATACCTGAGACTAGGTAATTTATACAGAAAAGAGGTTTAGGCCAGGTGTGGTGACTCACGCCTATAATTCCTGCATTTTGGGAGGCCAAAGCAGGAGGATCACTCTAAGGCCAGGAGTTTGGGACCAGCCTAGGCAACATGGTGAAACCCTGTCTCTACTAAAAATACAAAAAATTACCCTGGCATGGTGGTGCATGCTTGTAGTCCCAGCTACTTGGGAGGCTGAGGTGGGAGGATCACCTGAGCCCAGGAGGTTGAGGCTGCAGTGAGTTATCGCACCACTGCACTCCAGCTTGGGTGACAGAGCAAGACCTTGTCTCAAAAAAAAAGAAAAAAGAAAGAAAGAAAGACATTGCTCCACTTCTTGCTTGCATCAGGTCCTTTTCTTTTCTTTCTTTCTTTCTTTCTTTCTTTTTTTTTTTTTTTTTTTCGAGACAGAGTTTCTGTCTGTTGCCCAGGCTGGAGTGCAACGCTGTGACCTCTGCCTCCCGGGCTCATTGCATTATTTCTGACAGGAAATCTGCCATCAGATCGTCCCTCTGAATGTAATGTGTCTTTTGTATGTGTGTGGCTGCTTTTAAGACTTTCTCTTGAGGCCAGGCAAGGTGGCTCACACCTGTAATCCCAGCACTTTGGGAGGCTGAGGCAGGCGGATCACTTGAGGTCAGGAGTTCAAGACCAGCTAGCCTGGCCCACATGGCAAAACCCTGTCTCTACTGAAAATACAAAAATTAGCTGGGCATGGTGGTGCACGCCTATAATCCCAGCTGCTTTGGAGACTGAGGCAGGAGAATTACTTGAACCCAGGAGGTGGGGGTTGCAGTGAACCAAGATTGCACCACTGCACTCCAATCTGGGTGACAGAGTGAGACTCCATCTTAAAAAAAAAAGAAAAAAAATTCTCTTTATCTCCAGTTTTGAGCAGTTTGATTAAGGCGTGACTTGTATAGTTTTCCTCATGTTTGTTATGCTTGTCATTCACTGGGATACCTTGAGTGGATATACTGAAGTTACTTGGAAGCAGTTTGATCCTTTTGGGTCATGCTTTTACTACTTGATAGATGGGACCAAGGACCAATTTACTACTGATCAAAATCCTTCAGTGTCCTGTGAGCTGTGAGGTTTTCCAGTGTGGATGGTAGGAACAGGCACTCTTCCTGGCCCTGTGCGTGCCATGTACTCTTCCCTCTAATCTTTTCAGGTGGCTCGTTCCCCAGTTTTGAGTAGTTTCCTCACATTTACACATGGGTCATACACCCATCTGCTAATTTCTCAAGGGGGACATAATGCAGATCCCTGAAGTGCTTTCTCTCTGCAGCTCTCCCATCCCTGGTAATCTGTCCTGCAAACTCAAACTCCTTTGGTCTCCCCAGACTCTCAACTCTACCTCCTCAACTCAGAGAGTCCTCTGGGCTCCGCCTGGGTCTTCCCTCTCTGCACTGCATCCTCTGTCAAGGCAGTGAGCTGGGGCAAACTGCCCTTGTGTGTTTTATTTTTTATTTTTTTTGAGACAGGGTCTCACTCTGTCACCCAGACTAGAGTGCAGTGGCACGATCTCAGCTCACCGCAACCTCCGCCTCCCAGGCTCAAGGGATTCTCCTGCCTCAGCCTCCTGAGTAGCTGCCACCACCGCCCGGCTAATTTTTTGGTATTTGTAGTAGAGACAGGGTTTCACTATGTTGGCCAGGCTGGTCTTGAACTCCTGACCTCAAATGATCCACCCACCTTGGCTTCCCAAAGTGCTGGGATTATAGGTGTGAGCCACCACACCTGGGCCCCTTGTTTGTTTTCATTCTCTCAGGGATCACTGTTTTTCATTGCCTAACGTCTAATAACTTGAAAACCAGTGTTTAACGTATTTTGTCCACTGTTTTTGCTTTTTCTGGCAGGAGGGTAAGCCCCGCGTTACACCCCTATTGGCCAAAAACTGAAGACCAGGCCGGGCGCAGTAGCTTACGCCTATAATCCCAGCACTTTGGGAGGCCGAGGCAGGTGGATCACCTGAAGTCAGGAGTTAGAGACCAGCTGGCCAACATGGTGAAACCCCATCTACTAAAAATACAAAAATTAGCCAGGTATGGTGGCGGGCGCCTATAATCCCAGCTACTGGGGAGGCTGAGACAGGAGAATCACTTGAACCCAGGAGGCAGAGGCTGCAGTGAGCCGAGATTGCACCACTGCACTCCAGCCTGGACAAGACAGAGCAAGACTCTGTCTAAAAAAAAAAAAAAAAAAAACTGAAACCCCTGTTGCAGTGTAAATAGTATTCATTTATCCTTAGATCCTCAAATAGAAATATTGTAACCTTTTTTTCTGAGTAAAAATCCTTCCATGATCCATTATTTAAAGAAAACCAGATAAAAATACAAAGAAAAATTAAGTTACCACTAATTCCATCATCCAGAGATGACATTCTCTGAACCATTTATTCCATGCGCCACGCTATTCCACAGCCCCAGGGGCATACTTGGTGCTCAGCATATGTTTATAAACCCACAGACCTTTTTCTATACTTACAATAATCACCATTTTATATTGCACTCTATCCGTTTATTCAACAAATATTTATTGAGCTTCTGCAAGGGTTTGGGTGGTAAACATATTAAACATTTCCGTCAAAATAGTTTTCAAGTAAGTTTGAGCAAATTCATTTGTGGACTTTTGTTAAAATGTTCATTTGTTCACAATAATATAAGTTGGATTTAAATAGCCCTTTCTAATTAATATATTTTTAGGAAATCTTCACATATTAATTTTGTTTAGAAAAACCTTTGAACTGGGCCGGGCACAGTGGCTCACTCCTATAATCCCAGCGCTTTGAGAGGCCAAGGTAGGTGGATCACTTGGGGTCAGGAGTTTCAGACCAGCCTGGCCAACATAATGAAACCCCATCTCTACTAAAAATACAAAAATTATCTGGGCTTGGTGGCAGGTGCCTGTAGTCCCAGCTACTTGGGAGGCTGAGGCAAAGAGAATCACTTGAACCCGGGAGGCGGAGGTTGCAGTGAGGCGAGACCGCACCACTGCACTCCAGCCTGGGTGAAAGAGTGAGACAACGTCTCAAAAAAAACAAAAACAAAAACAAAAACCTTTGAACTGATTGTAGTGCTCAATAAAGTCTGTCTACCTTCCTCAGACTTAAACCTACTATTGAGGTTTAAATGACTGTCTGTTACATAATAGTTTTCCTTTACCAGTAACCTTTCCTTCCGCCCTATCTGTGGGCTTCATTCATATGCCTATGGCCACTGAACTTTCAACTTTTCCTGCTATATTCTGAAAAAGCAATACAGTTTTAGAGGGAAATAGCACCACATCATTGCTGACAGTGAGTCAATTCTGCTATGCATTTAGGCACCTGCTGCTCTGCTGTGCAACTTTAAGTTGTCTTACAGAGGACGAGGGAGCTCTAGAGGGAACCAAGCATTCTTCATTTGGCATTACATGCATTTTATCATGCATTATTCCTGTTGCTCATCCCCTCACCCAGTCTCACCCCATGCCTTTGCAGGAGCTGAGTTCTTTATTTATTTATTTATTTATTTATTTATTTATTTTTATTGATCATTCTTGGGTGTTTCTCGCAGAGGGGGATTTGGCAGGGTCATAGGACAATAGTGGAGGGAAGGTCAGCAGATAAACAAGTGAACAAAGGTCTCTGGTTTTCCTAGGCAGAGGACCCTGCGGCCTTCCACAGTGTTTGTGTCCCTGGGTACTTAAGATTAGGGAGTGGTGATGACTCTTAACGAGCATGCTGCCTTCAAGCATCTGTTTAAGAAAGCACATCTTGCACCGCCCTTAATCCATTTAACCCTGAGTGGACACAGCGCATGTTTCAGAGAGCACAGGGTTGGGGGTAAGGTCACAGATCAACAGGATCCCAAGGCAGAAGAATTTTTCTTAGTACAGAACAAAATGAAAAGTCTCCCAGGTCTACTTCTTTCTACACAGACACGGCAACCATCCGATTTCTCAATGTTTTCCCCACCTCTCCCCCCTTTCTATTCCACAAAACCGCCATTGTCATCATGGCCCGTTCTCAATGAGCTGTTGGGTACACCTCCCAGATGGGGTGGTGGCCGGGCAGAGGGGCTCCTCACTTCCCAGTAGGGGCGGCCGGGCAGAGGCGCCCCTCACCTCCCGGACGGGGCAGCTGGCCGGGCGGGGGGCTGACCCCCCCACCTCCCTCCCGGATGGGGCGGCTGGCCGGGTGGGGGGCTGACCCCCCCACCTCCCTCCCGGACGGGGCAGCTGGCCGGGCGGGGGGCTGACCCCCCCACCTCCCTCCCGGACGGGGCGGCTGAGGAGCTGAGTTCTTAGTTTTTCTATAAGTACTAAGAATGTAGAGTCTATGAAAGATAATACACAAGTGTGGTATTTTAGTCATGTAGGCATGGCCGAGGCTGTGGCTGCTCTGCTGGGGACATGGTTGGGCCATTGAAGCTTCCAGCAGTTGGTCAGGTAGGCCTGTGGGATCCAAAGTAGGCAGGAGTTCTGGGGATTGTAGGGGCCAGAACTGAGGAGTTAACAAGTGAAGGGACCAACTAGTACTGGAATTTGGTTGCCATTTGGTCCTCAGATGGGCTGGAAGTCAATCTCAGGAGATTTCATTAATTATAAGAAAGAAGAAAGTATAGGACAGGCTTATGAGTATGATTGTGGTCAAAGCTTTGTACTAGAGGACACAAGATGCATGGGAAATGGGAGCTGGGGTATGGGGTGGAGAATGAGGGAGTTATTCGATTGGTGCAAAAGTAATTGCGGGTTTGCCATTACTTTTAATTGCAACACTGCAATTACTTTTGCACCAACCTAATAACAAGAGGAGGGCTAAGATAGGCTAATAGAGAGTACTGATTAAATTATCAAGAATTCAGGTTGGTGTAGCAAGGAGTCAAGAGGATAGAAAAGCCGGAGAAGTCAGGCAGATCAAGGACAACACTGATTTTAACAAACATGTATTGAGCACCTATATGTATGAAGTTTTCATTTCATGTCTTAGTGAGTCCACAATTGATTGTAAAGCTGGTAATTGATAGCTTGATTTTGCTATCTAAGGAAACTAAAATCTGGGATATTAAGTGGTAGAGCCAGTTGAAACCTAGATCTGTCTGAGTGAACCCCAGGATTCTTCCCAGTACCCCATACTAGAGCTGAGAAGTTCTATGGCTGCGTGGGTCAATCGTGCCATCATTTCAGAAGCTGACTCAGAGCCTTCCCCGAGTAGACTGTCACTCCACTGGAAACCCAACTAGAATATTATATTTCACTTCCTTTCTTCTTCTTTTTTTTTTTTTTTGTAATGAGGTGAGATCTCACTATGTTGCCCAGGGTAGTCTGAGCTCAAGCGATCCTCTCACCACAGCCTCCCAACTAGTTGGTATTATAGACATGAGCCATGACGCCCAGCTATTTTACTTTCTTTAAAAATAAAAATAATAAATATGCACAGTTAAAATTTCAAACAGTACTGAAAGGTATGAAATGAAGATTTTTTCTCACCACCATCATCTCCATTCCTCCACAATCCCACACTCCAAAAGTAATAGCTCCTAACAGTGTTTTTTCAGTGCTTACTCTGCAGTGCTTTTGTGATCTGCATTGGCATTTAACACACAGGATGTTAAATAAACAAAAGAGAAGACTCCGGTTCGAGACCAGCCTGGCCAACATGGTGAAACCCTGTCTCTACTAAAAAAAAATTTTTTTAATTAGCTGGGTGTGGTGGTGTGTGCCTGTAATCCCAGCTATTGTGGAGGCTGAGGCAGGAGAATCGTTTGAGCCTGGGAGATGGAGGTTGCAGTGAACTGAGATCACGCCATTGCTCTCCAGCCTGGGTGACAGAGTGAGACTCCGTCTCAAAAAAAAAAAAAAAAAAAAAAAGGGAAGACTCCAAAGCTGGGTGCGGTGGCTCACGCCTGTAATCTCAGCACTTTGGGAGGCTGAGGTAGGTGAATCAGTTAAGGCCAGGAGTTCCAGACCAGCCTGGCCAACATGATAAAACCCTGTCTGTACTAAAAATACTAAAAAATTAACCGGACATGGTGACACATGCCTGTAATTTCAGCTACTTGGGAGGATGAGGCATTAGAATCAGTTGAACCTTGGTGGCAAAGGTTGCAGTGAGCTGAGATTGTGCAACTGGACTCCAGCCTGGGCAACAGAGTGAGACTCTGTCTCAGAAAAAAAAAAGAAAAAAGAGAGAGAGAGGGAAAGGACTCCGAGGGAGCAGGAGTACTATCCTCAAAAATCTGGAGGACTAATCCTATTCCAGATGGGCCCAGAGGTCATAGTTGGAACCAGTGGCATGGATACTATTAGAGAGGCAGAGGCAGATTTTAACTGCACAAAAGGAAGAACACAAAGCCATCTCAATAAGGGTAAAAAGTACCTACCATGGGAAGTGTGTTAGTCCATTCTCAAATTGCTATAAAGAAATACCTGAGACTGGGTAATCTATAAAGAAAATGGGTTTAATTGGCGCATGCTTCTGCAGGCTGTACAGAAAGCATAGTGGCTTCTGCTTCTGAGGAGGCCTCAGGAAGCTTCTAATCATGGCGGAAGGCAAAGTGGGAGCAGGTGTCTTAAATGGCAGGGGCAGGAGCAAGAGAGAGCAAGCCGGGGGTGCTGCATACCTTTAAACAACAGATTTCATGAGAACACACTCACTGTCATGAGAGCAGCCTCAAGAGGATGGTGCTAAGCCATTCATGAGAAACCACCCCCATGATCCAATCACCTCCTACCAGGCCCCACCTCCAATACTGGGGATTACAGTTTGGCATGAGATTTGGTGAGGACACAGAGCCAATCCATATTATGCTGCCCCTGTCCTCCCAAATGTCATGTCCTTCTTCCAATGCAAAATACAATCATCCTTTCTCAACAGTCCCCCAAAATTTTAACTCATTCCAGCATTAACTCAAAAGTCCACAGTCCAAAGTCTCACCTGAGACAAGACAAGTACCCTTCTGCCTATGAGCCTATAACATCAAAAACAAGGTGTTTACTTCTAAGATACAATGGGAGTATAGACATTGGGTAAACACTCCTATTCCAAAAGGGAGAAATCAGCCAAAAGAAGGGACTACAGGCCTCATGCAAGTCCAAAACCCAGCAGGGCAGTCATTAAATCTTAAAGCTCCAAAATAATCTCCTTTGACTCCATGTCCCACATCCAAGGCAGACTGATGCAAGGGATGGGCTCCCAAGCCTGGGGTAGCCCCACCCCTGTTGCTTTGCAAGGTTCAGCCCCTGTGGCTGCTCTCAAGGGCTGGTGTTGAGTGCCTGTGGCTTTTCCAGGGGCAGGGTGCAAACTGCTAGTGGATCTACCATTCTGGGGTCTAGAGGATGGTGGCCCTCTTCTCACAGCTTCACTAGGCAGTACCCCAGTGGGGACTCTGTGTGGGGGCTCCAAGCCCACATTTCTCCTCCACACTGCCCTAGTAGAGTTTCTCCATGAGGGCTCCACCCCTGCAGCAGGTTTCTGCCTGAACATCCAGGCTTTTCCATACATCCTCTGAAATCCAGGCAGAGGTTCCCAAGCCTCAACTTTTACACTCTGTGCACCCACATGCTTAACACCACTTGGAAGCCACCAAGGCTTCTAGCTTGCGCTTTCTGAAGCAGTGGTCCAAGCTATACCCGTACCATACCCCTTTGATCCATGGCTTGAGCTGGCACAACTGGGACGTGGGGAGCAATATCCCAAGGCTGTGTAGGGCAGCAGGGCCCTGGGCCTGGCCCACAAAACCATCTTGTCCTCCTAACCCTCCAGGCCTGTGATGGTAGGGGCTGCCACAAGTCTCTGAAATGACTTCAAGAACTTTTCCCCATTGTCTTGGCTATTAGCGCTTGGCTCCTTTTTACTTATGCAAATTTCTGCAGCCTTCTTGAGGTCAGGAGTTCGAGATCAGCCTGGCCAACATGGTAAAACCCCGTCTCTATTAAAAACACAAAAATTAGCTGGGCCTGGTGGTGGGTGCCTGTAATCCCAGCTACTGAGGAGGCTGAGGCAGGAGTATCGCTTGAACCTGGGAGGCAGAGATTGCAGTGAGCCAGGATCGCGCCACTGCACTCCAGCCTGGGCAACAGAGAGAGACTCTGCCTCAAAAACAAACAAACAAACAACAACAACAAAAAACAGGTCTCATGAGAACTCACTCACTATCACAAGAACAGCACCAAAGGATAGTGCTAAACCATTCATAAGAAACCACCCCTATGATCCAATCACCACCCACCAGGCCCCACCTCCGATATTGGGGATTACAGTTCTACATGAGATTTGGTGGGGACACAGATCCAAAACATATCAAGAAGTATTCAAACAGGCTACGTGACTATTTAGCAAGAAAATGCTACTGATAAGAGAATTATCAGGGGAAGGTTCTCAAACTCCCGGTCATAATAGTGAGTACTGAAATCCATTTAGAGGAACTTTTTTTTTTTATTTTTATTTGTTTATTTATTTTTGAGATGGAGTCTCGCTCTGTCGCCCAGGCTGGAGTGCAGTGGTGCGATCTCAGCTCACTGCAAGCTCTGCCTCCCAGATTCATGCCATTCTCCTGCCTCAGCCTCCCAAGTAGCTGGGACTACAGGCACCCGCCACCACACCCAGCTGATTTTTTGTATTTTTTAGTAGAGATGTGGTTTCACCATGTTAGCCAGGATGGTCTCGATCTCCTGACCTCGTGATCTGCCCGCCTTGGCCTCCCAAAGTGTTGGGATTACAGGCGTGAGCCACCATGCCCAGCCTAGAGGAACTTTTAAAAGAAATCTAATTTTTAAATTTTATTTTTTATATATATATTTTTTGAGACAGAGTCTCACTCTGTCGCCCAGGCTGAAGTGCAGTGGCGCGATCTCAGCTCACTGCAACCTCCGCCCTCCAGGTTCAAGCGATTCTCCTGCCTCAGCCTCCCAAGTAGTTGGGACTACAGGCACCCACCACCATGCCTGGCTAATTTTGTGTATTTTTAGTAGAGACAGGGTTTCACCATGTTGGCCAGGCTGGTCTCGAACTCCTGACCTCAAATGATCCACCCACGTTGGCCTCCCAAAGTGCTGGGATTACAGGCATGAGCCACCACGCCCAGCCAGAATATAATTTTTAAAAACACCAGAATATGTCACATGTAATGGTCTAAGTGTTGTTTACTGAGACTTTTTCTTTATATGTGTGTGCCTGTATACTGGGGTTATGATGTAAAATATATTTCTTACTGCAAGTCATGCAAAAAAGTTTGAAATCAACTTCACTGGATGACCATCAAAGCATCTTCCAGCGCTCACTCTGTGAAAGAGGTCTCAACTGTGGGTCACAAGATCCAGGTCCTCCCTCAGCCTTATAATAACAAGTCGTTATCCCTCTATGAATCTGTTTCCCCATTTGTGCAATGATAGTGAAAATTATTTACAACTTTAGATAGAGTGGTCAAAGTCTAAAGGCCCTTCCAATTCCAGAATTTTTTAATTCTAAGAACATCCTTTAATTCAGCAAATATTGCTCAAGCAGTGCCTTCAATGTGCCAGGCACTGTTCTAGGTGTGGGGATACAGGAGTGAACAAAACAGACAAAAAACAGCCCTATCCCTCATGGAGCTTATATTCTAGTGAGAGTAGACAGTAAAATAAGTAAGTGAACTATGACAAATGTTAGCAATAAGTGGTAAGAAGAAAAAATAAGCAGAGACGACAGGTACAAAATATCAGAGAGAGGGTTGAAATTCTAGATGGAGTGGTCAGGACATTCTCACAGAGAAGGCGTTTTTTGAGTAAAGACCTGGTAGAAATGACGGCACTAACCATGTGGATATCTGGTGAAGGGCATCCCCAAAAAGGGAAACAGCAAAAGCAAAAGGCTGTGAGGTGGGAACGTGCCTAGCATGTTCCTTGAACAACAGGGAGGCCAGGGTGGTTGGAGTAGGTGAGCAAAGGCAGTAGAAGATGAAGTCAGAGAGGTTACAAGGGGCATGGGTGAGAACAGAGTTCTTTAGAGCTGCCTCCAATTTCTTTTGTAAGCTGTGGGCAATAATGCCTATCTTTACATAATTATGAGGATCAAGTGAGCTGGGAATGTGCTCCCCAAACTGAGAGATCCTGCACAGATATGAAGGCTTACTATTTTGTGAGTTAAAGTAAATGGGGCAAGTCAATGACCATGAGAGAATGCCAGCTCTCTCCCTCACAGACTCCCTGGCCAGTCTAGAGCAGGTAGTCTTCTGAAGCAGCACATCTCTTGTGACAGTGAGTGAGTTCTCACAAGACCTGGTTGATTAAAAATGTGTAGCACCGGCCGGGCGAGGTGGCTCACACCTGTAATCCCAGCACTTTGGGAGGCCCAGGTGGGTGGATCACCTGAGGTCAGGAGTTTGAGACCAGCCTGGCCAACATGGTGAAACCCTGTCTCTACTAATAATACAAAAAAAAAAAAAAATTAACCAAGCATGGTGACATATGCCTGTGATCCCAGCTACTCGGGAGGCTGAGGCAGAAGAATCGCTTGAACCCAGGAGGTGGAGGTTGCAGTGAGTCGAGATCGTGCCACTGCACTCCTGCCTGGGCGGCAGAGTAAGACTCTGTCTCAAAAAAAAAAAAAAAAAAAATGTGCAGCACCTCCCACCTCTCTCAGCAGTGGTTGCTCTGTCAAGAGACTAAGAATATCTCGCTTTTGATTTAGAGATTCCATCACCCAAAGTTAAGTAGTCTTCATCGGGAGAACTTCATCTGGAATCTGAAAAATGTTCCTCTTCTGGAGAAATACCTGTATGCCCTGGGCCAGAATCGAAACCGAGAGATTGTTGAGCATGTCATTCATCTGTTCAAGGAGGAAGTAATGACCAAATTAAGTCATTTTCGAGAATGTGAGTATTCTCCCAATTAAGTATTTTTCTTGATATTTAAACTGTCCAATTTCATATCATCAGAAAAGTATGGAGGTACAATTTAGCTTTATCAAATCTTAAAATTTTGCCATATTTGCTCCTATTGCTTTTTAAATAATAATATTTTTACTTTCCTCAAAATTGCTACATTTGAAGCCTCCTCTAAACTTTACATGAGTCTACCTCTCTTCTTCCCATTAAATTTGCACATTACATATGTATGATTTATAAATTATTTATAGTAGGGTTTGTGTTTTTCAAACTTTATATCAATGGTATCACACTGTGTATTATTATTCTGCAACCTGCCTTTTCTATTCAGCATGTTTTGCAGATTGATCCATATGAATATTTGTAGTTTTAATTTAGTTTATTAGTTTTAACTGCTAAATAGTATTCCATAGTATGAATATACCATAATTTATTTGCATGTACTATAATTTTTTGGTCCATTCTCTTGTTAATGGAATTTTAGGTTGCTTCCCATTTCTTTGCTACATAAATTATGCTGCAATGAACCCTCTAGTACAGGAGTCCCCAAACCCCAGGAACTGGGCCACACAGCAGGAGGTGAGCAGAGGGAAAGCAAGCATTACTGCCTGAGCTCTGCCTCCTGTCAAATCAGCAGCAGCATTTGATTCTCATAGGAGCACAAACCCTACTGTGAACTGCGCATGCAAGGGATCTAAGTGAGAATCTAATGCCTGATGATCTGAGATGAAACAGTTTTATCCCAAAACCATCCTTCCGCTGTCTCCTGTCCATGGAAAAATTGTCTTCCATGAAACCAGTCCCTGATGCCAAAAAGGTTGGGAACTACTGCTCTAGTATATATCTATCTCCCTGTGTACACAGACAGGTGTTTCTCTAGGCTATATTTCTAGATATAACCAGCCTTTTCATCCAGCATTAAGTACTGGTCAAAGGCAAGGAACTGGCTGGGTGTGGTGGCTCCCGCCTGTAATCCCAGCACTTTGGGAGGCCGAGGTGGGTGGATCACTTGAGGTCAGGAGTTTGAGACTAGCCTGGCCAACGTGGTGAAACCCTGTTTCTAATAAAAATGCAAAAACTAGCTGGGCATGGTGACGCGTGCCTGTAATCTCAGCTACTCAGAGGCTGAGGCAGAAGAATTGCTTGAACCCTAGAGGTGGAGGTTGCAGTGGGCCTAGGTTGTGCCACTGCACTCCAGCCTGGGCAACAGAGCGAAATCCGTCTCCAAAAAAAAAAAAGGGCAAGGAACTGAAGGGCATTTCTATCAAGGCCTAAGATAGGCAGTATGTGTTTCTCAGTGTTTCCTTACTCCGTGTAAACACAGTGTAAGGTGTAGCGTAAAAACAGAGTTGATTTTTTCCCTTCAAACCTGTTTTTCCCCCAGTCTTATTCATCTCATTAAAGTTGTATCCACCATTCACCTAGTTAATCTGGACAAAAAGTTAGCAGTCATAGGCTTCACTTTGTGCTTTCTCTCATGTCACAAATCCAGTCAAATTCTATCCATTCTTTCTTCAAAGGAGAGCCTATGATCTGGATGATTGCAGTAGCCTTATAACTGGTCTCCCTGCTCCTACTCTGCCTCTCTACCATATATATTCACTTGTCTTCCCTTTTTTTTCTCAATACTACTTTTGTAAGATTCTGCGTGTCATTGCATATGCTAGAGTTGGTTAACTTTTATAACTCTAGAATATTGTATTCACTAATATACCACACATTATTCTACTCTTAAAAGATACTTGGGTTGTTCCTTATTTGGGGCTATTAAGAACAGTGGTGCCGTGAACATGCTTGAGTCTCAGTATACATGTTCATTAGTCTTTGAGTGTATACCTTGCGATAGGATTGCTAGGTCATAGGACATGTCTATATTCAGCTTCACTGGATAATAACAATGTTTTCAAAAGTGGTTCTATGAATTTATACTACAGCTAGCAGAGTGTAAAAGTTTTCATTGTTCTACACCCTTGGTGTGGTCAGACTTCTAAAATTTTTCTCAATCTGATTTGTACATAATAGTTGATCATCACATCATGGTTTTAAAATCCATCTCTCTATTTATTGGCCATTTGAAATATATTCTTGAGAAGTGCCAAATCAAGTCTTTGGCCTTTTTTCTATTGAAATTATTTTTTTCTCATTGATTTGTAGAAATGCTAAATATATTCTGGATATGAGTCCTTTACTAGTTATATGTGTTACAAATATTTTGTCCCATTCTGTGGCTTGTCTTTTCATGGTACAGTATGTTTGGATGCATAATTCTAAATTTTTTTTTTGAGGCAGTCTTGCTCTGTCACCCAGGCTGGAGTGCAGTGGTACGATCACAGCTCACTGCAGCTTCGACCTCCTGGGCCCAAGCGATCCTCCCACCTCAGACTCCCAAGTAGCTGGGACTAACCTATCCACCATCATGCCTGGTGAATATTTTTATTTTTGTAGAGATAGGGTCTCTCTATGTTGTTCAGACTGGCCTCAAACTCCTGGGCTCAAGCGATCCTCCCACCTTAGCTTCCCAAAGCACTAAGATTACATGAGCAACCGCACCAGGCCCCTGTTATTTTTTTACAGCTTTATTGAGATATAGTTCACAAACCATGAAATTCAACCATTATTTATTTATTTTTTTTTTTTTTTTTTGAGCTGGAGTCTTGTTCTGTCACCCAGGCTGGAGTGCAGTGGTGCAATCTCAGCTCACTGCAACGTCCACCTCCTGGGTTTAAGAGATTCTCCTGCTGCAGCCATCCAGGTAGCTGTGGCCACAGGCGTGTGCCACCATGCCTGGCTACTTTTTTTGTATTATTATTCATGGGTATTTAGAAGTATAAATCCTGTTCCCCAAAATATGATGAACTTTTTTGGTTATATCTTATTGTTCATTTCTACTGTAATTACATTGTGATCAGAGAACATACTTTATATTAGTGCTGTCCAGTAGGATTTTCTTCAATGAAGGAAATGTTCTATATCTGTGTTGTTCAATACAATAGCTCCTATGTGGCTATGGGCATTTGAAATGTGGCTAGTGCTACTAAGGATATTCCTTAGGACTTTCAATTTTATTTAACCTTATTGAGCTAAAAAATTTTTTTTTATAGCTGGGGCTACAGGCATGCATTACCATGCCCAGCAGATTTTTTTTTTTATAGAAATGGAGTCTCACTATGTTGCCCAGGCTGGTCTTGAACTACTGGCTGCAAGCGATCCTCCCACATCAGCCTCTGAAAGTGCTGGGATTACAGGCATAAGCCAATGCACTCAGCTTAAATCCTGTTTTGGTTTTTTTTGTTTGTTTGTTTTTGTTTTTTTAAGACAGAGTCTCACTCTGTTGCCCAGGCTGGAGTTCAGTGGCGTGATCTCGGCTCACTGCAACCTCTGCCTCCTGGGTTCAAGTGATTCTCATGCCTCAGCCTCCCTAGTAGCTGAAATTATGCACCACCACACCACGTAATTTTTGTATTTTTAGTAGAGATGGAGTTTTGCCATGTTGGTCAGGTTGGTCTTGAACTCCTGGCCTCAAGTGATCCGCCCACCTAAGCCTCCCAAACTGCTGGGATTACAGGCGTGAATCACCACATCCGGCCCTCCAGTTTGAATCTTAATGAATTTAAATAGCCACATATGTCTAGTGGCTACCATATTAGACAGATCAAGCTCTATATGATTTCAGTCAATTCAAAAGTACTTTATCATGTGGTATTTGGTAAATTTTTATGAATGGTTCATGTGTGCTTTAAAAGAAAGTATATTCTGCAGTGTTGGGCATAAAGTTATATGCCCATTAGGTCAAGTTTGTTAATCATTTTTAAATTTTCTGTAACTTTCACTTACATTTTTGTCTGCTTTTTCTAACAATTATTGAGTAAAGCACATGTTAAAGTATATTTTAATCCTACTATGATTACAGATTGCCTATTTTTTGCTTGTATTTCTGTCAAATTTTGCCATATATATGTATATAAAATTTTTTTGAGATAGAGTCTCGCTCTGTTGCCCAGGCTAGAGTGCAGTGATGTAATCTCAGCTCACTGCAATCTCTGCATCCCAGGTTCAAGTGATTCTCCTGCCTCAGCCTCCCGAATAGCTGGGACTACAGGTGCCCACCACCACGCTGGCTAAATTTTGTATTTTTAATAGAAACAGGGTTTCACTACGTTGGATAGGCTGGTCTCGAACTCCTAGACTCAAGCAATCCACCTGCCTTGGCCTCCCAAAGTGGCCAAAGGGATTACAGGCATGAGCCACTGGGCCCGGTCAAATTTTACCTTATATATTTTTGAGTCAATTATATAATATATCCCAATTTCAGAAATACGTAGTTTAAAATCTATGATTTACAGTAATATTGTTTCTATGTGCCCACTCACTGTTACATTGCTTAAGCATGATTTACACAATCCTAAATCATATAGAAAAAGTCAGCATTATATTTAAAAGTTAAAATTATATACTTTATATCATGTATATGACTCAGGGCTTCATTGCTCATGGACACTTACATCTCTTACTAATCTTTAGTTGGTGGCTTAAATCCGTGCTTCTTAGACTATCTATGGTAAAAGACAAGTGTGGGTTTTTTCCCCCAACCCATTACAGTCTGACATATGGTCCTACTGTGCATGATTCACGTACAGTTCATGCCACATGCAACTAACCATGGGAGTTTGACAAAACTTGAACTCGTGTACGCTCCATTCAATGAGACAAGGCCACTGATCACACTCTTGGATGTCATATCCCTGTAAAATTTTCTAAACACTCTCAACTCTGTTCTTATCTCATGGAGACTAGTAACATTTTGTAGACCAGCACTGGCCATGGACCCCACTTTGAATAGTACTGACTTAAAATATCACCACCTATTTTAGTAATCAAAAAAAGGGAAATTTAGAATTACCATGTTATCAGAAAATTTTGTTTAAAATCCTAGCTGAGGCCAGTCACAGTGGCTCAGGCCTGTAATCCCAGCACTTTGGGAGGCTGAGGTGGGTAGATCATTTGAGGTCAGGAGTTTGAGAGCAGCCTGGCCAACATGGTGAAACTCCGTCTCTACTAAAAATACAAAAATTAGCTGGGTGTGGTGGTGGCGCACCCCTGTAATCCAGCTACTCAGGAGGCTGAGGCAGGAGAATTGCTTGAACCCAGGAGACAGGTTGCAGTGAGCCAAGACTGTGCCACAGTACTCCAGCTGGGCAACAGAGTGAGACTCATCTCAAAGAATAAAAATTTAAAAATAAAATAAAATCCTAGATGAAAATAAAGGTAAATCTGGTCCATTCTAGGACTCTTTGTTTCTTCTAACAATATGAATGTGTTTCTATTCTTTTAAACATTTCTGGGTTTAAGCAGTTCTTTTCACTTTACTCTTCTAATGGCCAAAATCAGGTATTTGTAGTAACTGCAGTCTCCAGCTTCTGGCCTTGTACTGATGAGAAGCAAAAGCAAAACCACCACCCCAAATTAACTGCTTTTATTCTTTTCAGAGGAAATTATTTTATTTCAAGAAAAATAGGGCCTGGCCCTTTATCTCTGACTGCTCATCAAATTATGGCTTTGCCTATGAAAGAGAAATGGAAGGGGAATGAATTGGGATATTCAATAACTGTTTTTACATGATTTTTCTACTTTCAGGTATCAATCACGGAGATCTTAATGACCATAATATTTTAATAGAGTCCAGCAAGTCAGCCTCTGGAAATGCTGAATATCAAGTGTCTGGGATTTTAGACTTTGGTGACATGAGCTATGGCTACTATGTGTTTGAAGTGGCAATTACCATCATGTACATGATGATTGAGAGCAAGAGTCCTATACAAGTAGGAGGCCATGTCCTTGCAGGGTTTGAAAGCATCACCCCACTGACAGCTGTAGAGAAGGGTGCTTTGTTTTTACTTGTATGCAGTCGTTTTTGTCAGTCACTTGTCATGGCTGCATACTCTTGCCAGCTATACCCAGAGAACAAAGACTATCTCATGGTTACTGCAAAAACCGGGTGGAAACACTTACAGCAAATGTTTGACATGGGTCAGAAAGCTGTAGAAGAAATCTGGTTTGAAACTGCCAAATCCTATGAATCTGGGATCTCCATGTGACTGAGATCTCCATGTGACTCAAAGTTCACTTTAACTTGGGTAATTAAAATAGGACCCAGTCAAATTTTAGGAAGGATTTTCCTGCATAGTTAAAAATCAACTGATGGAATGGATCAATTCTGAATATGACAGAGCACATGAAATCCCTAAGGTCTTCAAGCAATCTCGTGACAATTTTTTAAAATTCACAAAAGTACCACAAGCAAGCATATTTTTCTGTGAGTCTTACTTGCCATATCTATAAAACACATATAATGATACCATTTTGAAGCAGATAATCTCACAAGATCTATTCCTGCCCTGAGATTAATGACTATTTTAATTTTAAAAATAATATATACATATAGATATATTGACATATTTTAAATATCTGGACATAACATACTGACCTAGATAACATACTACCAGTTCTATGAAACCTCCTCTGATCTCTCCTTTCTCTAGAATCCCAGTGCATTGTGTCTTTTTCATGGCCCATCACTTTGTATAATGGATCGTGGTTGTGCAGTCATCTTGCCTGAGAGCTACTGAGGGCGGAGACCATGTAAAACTTATTTTTGTCTCCTCAGCCCTTCTTTTTTTTTTTTTTTTTTTTTTGAGACGGAGTCTCGCTCTGTCGCCCAGGCTGGAGTGCAGTGGCACGATCTCGGCTCATTGCAAGCTCCGCTTCTCGAGTTCACGCCATTCTCCTGCCTCAGCCTCCTGAGTAGCTGGGACTACAGGCGCCCACCACCACGCCCGGCTAATTTTTTTTGTATTTTTAGTAGAGACAGGGTTTCACCGTGTTAGCCAGAATGGTCTCGATCTCCTGACCTTGTGATCCACCCGCCTCGATCTCCCAAAGTGCTGGGATTACAGGCATGAGTCACCGTGCCCGGCCTCCTCATCCCTTCTTATCACACCTGCTATTATAGTGCCTTTCCTACAGAGAGGTCTTTAAAAATATTTGAAAATAAATGCGTGCTAGAAGAAGGGATGGAGAAGGCACACACTAAGATGCTTTAGGAGAAAGCATTGACAGCATTCTTGGAGAAAAAATTTTAACTTGTCTGAGAGGGTGGTTGAAACTGGAACTCCAGAGATAGATGCTGGAAGACCCTGGGAACTGCAAGGAAGCAAATAATGACATCCAGGCAAGGCCACTAACCCCTGAGCTACTTAAATATAATGGTTCCTTTCAGACTGATACCAGGAACCTCCTTAAGCATATAAGCATATATTTTTTAATTCTCTATAATCTGTTTCTTTTTGGATGACTATGAAGTAGATTGGGTAGACTGAAGCTCACTGTATTCTTGGCTGACGGTATCCCACTGTGTTTCCTTCACTGGTTTCTCGTCATGTCTCCTTTAGTATGATTTAGTAAATGGCTGTTTACTATTCTTATGATTTCAACTATTCATTGTCTACAGATGACTCAAGTCTAGAACCCTGGCCATTCAAATACTCAATAGTTATCTTTCTATATATATGAACAGGCATTGATCCTATCTCCATCTTTCTGTCTACCTACCTAGTCTTCCCAAACTAGATATTTCTCTAAATTGTCTTATATGGTTCATTTTTCACTTCTTTGTCCCTCAATTTCATTTCATTTCTTTTTCTTTTCTTTTCTTTTCTTTTTTTTTTTTTTTGGTGGTGGGGCGGCAGGGACAGGGTTTCACTGCAGCCTCAACCTCCTAGGCTCAGGTGATCCTCCCACCTCAGCCTCCCTAGTAGCTGGGACTTCAGGCATGTGCCACCATGTCTGGCTAATTCTTTAATTTTTTGTAGAGATTGGGGTAATACCTATCTCATAGAATTAATAGAGTTCATTGTGAAGATTTCATAAGAGAACAGTGCCAAGTGCTTAACACAGTGTGTGGCACATAGTTAGGACTCAGTAACTATTTACTCAATAAATGAACCATATTCCAGGTTACCCAAACTCAAAATATTGGAGTAATTTTTTGCTTGCCTCTCTTATATTCAGTGAGCCCTACTGGTTTTTAGAATTGTAGAATTTTAGGAATCTCTGTCTTTACTGGATTTTTTGTTTGTTTTGGGCTTTTTTGTTTGTTTGTTTGAGATAGGGTCTCACTCCGTCACCGACGCTGGAGTGCAGTGGTGTGATCACAGCTCACTGCAACCTCTACCTCCTGGGCTCAAGCAATCCTCCCACCTCAGCCTCCTGAGTAGCTGGGACTACAGGCATGTGCCACCATGCCCAACTAATTTATTTTATTTTGTAGAGATAGGGTCTCACTATGTTGCCCAGGCTGGTCTCAAACCCCTGGACTCAAGCAATCCTCCTGCCTTGGCCTCCCTAAATGCTAGGATTATAGGCGTGAGCTATCATACCCAGCCTGTGTTGTTTTTTAACAATATATAATAAAAGCCAACATTTATTCAGCACTGAAGTATTTTATACACATTAGCTCACTTAATTTTTACAACAAACCTGTGTGGGAAGTACTGTTATAATTAATCGTCATTTTCAGATAAGAAAATAGCAGCTGAAAAAGTAAAAATAATTTCCTCAAAGACAGCCAGGGCTTAAATCAGGCCTTTCTGATGTAGACCATGCTCTTCACTACCACAGAGTTCCATGCTACTTTCTCTCCCTCTCCCTCCTCTCCTGTCCCTGCTACACACACACACACACACACACACACACACACATGCACACTCACTCACACACACTAGGAGGAACAAATGAGATCATTCACATGAAAGCACTTATGTTTCTGAAATTTAAGGGACTGTGGTTTTTATCTAGGTTGACCTCTCAAGCTAAAAACTGGGAACCAGAATAATGGACTGAAACTTGGGTTTCACTTCCAGACCAGTGTTGATCCTCTGAATTGATGAAACTGTATAGATTTCCCTCTTGATTGCCCCTGCTAACATGGATTTCCTTTCACTCAATTCCTAATGCAAATATTGCTGACCACTGTTTAGATGTTTACATGCTGCATTACATTGATATTTTACTATTTGGTGTTTGTTCTAACTTGTCTCCAATCAATCAATTTCATGTGGTTTATATAAACTCTTTGGTGGCTGTGATGGTTAGTTTTAGGTGCCAACTTGCCTGGATTAAGGGATACAGAGATAGGTAGTAAAGCGTTATTCCTAAGCATGTCTGTGCGGAAGTTTCCAGAAGAGACTGGCATTTGAATCAGTAGCTGAGTAAGGAAGATCCCCCTCACCAATATGGGTGGGCACCATCCAATCTGTTGAGGGCCTGGATAGAACAAAAAGACAAAGGAAAGATGGATTCAGTCTCTCTCCTGGGACAGCCATCTTCTCTTGCCCTCAGATAGCAAAACTCCAGGTTCTTGGCCTTCAAACTCCAGGACTTAACCAGCGGCCCCTCAGGTTCTTAGGTCCTCAGCCTCAGACTGAGTTACACCATCATCTCCTCTGGTTCTCAAGCCTTTAGACTCAAACTGAAACACATAATTGGCTTCACTGGTTCTTCAGCTTACAGACAGCAATTGTGGGACTTCCTAGCCTCCATAATTTATTTCCATAATAAATCCCCTCCTGTTTATCTACCTATCCATCCTTCCATCCCATTGATTCGGTTTCTCTGGAAGACCCTAATATAATACATAAATTAAATATTTATTTTACTTTACTTTCAGGACCTAGCACCGTGCCAGGCCCCTAGAAGACCCAGTAAAGATCTGTTGAATAAACTGTAAGAATGAACACACCACTACAAGTGCCAGGTCCTGGTCCTTTCAAACAACGTGGAGAAAACCCAGTTCCAGATTTAGGAATCAATACCATATGTCTGGCAAAGACTCTTTGCTCTTGCAAGTGCCTTCTTCTGTTCAGGCTTTTAGCGCCCCTGGACTACAACAGAACTTTACTTTCTGGTATTCTTAGTCTCCCTAACCTCTGCACTTCATATTATGTAGGCAGATAAAAACTCTGGTTACATATATTGCTGTGTGATGACCAAAAAAAATTGTGGCTTAAAACTTTAATCATTTTATTAGCTCATGGTTTCTGGCAGTCATGAATTCAGGCAGGCCCTGGGACAGTTTGTCTCTGCTCCCCCCAGTGTTGGGGCCTCAGCTAGGAAGACTTTAAGGCTGGGAGAGATTTGATGCCTGGGAGAGACTCAATCACTGTGTAACCGAACACTTGCTTCTTACAGAGTCCAATTGACAAGGGTGAGGTATAATAGAAAGACAGAATTTATTAGCCAAAAATAGTAAAGGGAAAGCAATCGGATTCCTATCCAAATTAACGGCTTCTATTTTTAGGAAGAAGGCAGGGGTTTAAAAAGGGAAAACTTGATAAGGAAGGCAGACAAGAACTGGGCTGAGTACAGTGTCTGTGTGTCTTATTCTGGTGGCTATCTTGGGTCCTGGTCCACCTGGACCCTGGGCTGATGGCATTTCAACAACAGCCAGGTTGTTAACTAGCTGTCTTGAAGTAATCTCTGGAACTTTGCAGCTGGGTCTCCAGACTTGGTCTGTGTGTCTCAGGATTGACCCCTGGAACTTCTAAGAAGACACATAATTAGATACTAGTAGACAGTTGGATAAATGTGAAGGGAGTATATACAATGAGAAAGGGAGGGATGTGGACTCTAGAAAAGGTTTCTGCAGTTTGCTTCAAGGTTATATCTTTAAACCCAAGGAAAAGGGGAAAAAATTTTTAATGCAGTTTGAAGCTAAGCTGCCTGGTTACAACTGGGTACTAGGATCATCTGGAGGAATCTTCACTCAGCTGTCTGGCAGGTGACACTGGGACTTCATCTAGGCTGTTGGCCAAACACCTCTCCATGTGGCCTTTGCTTCCTCACAGCACAGTGCCTGGGTCCCAAGAACGACCATCCCAAGAGGACAAGACAGAACCATATCACCATTTGTGATTTGCTCTTGGAAGTCACATGATATCACTTCCATTGTAGTCACAGGCTCACCCAGATTCAGAATAAGGGGACACAGAACCTCTCAGTGGGAACCATCTGTGGCACATTGTAAGAGGAACATGTGGGATGAGAGATGTTGAGGGTTCATCATCCTAAAACATCACTTTAATCCTGTCTTCCCATTACTGACCAAAACAAATTCTGGCATTAAAGGCACTCTACACTTAGGCCTCAAATGCCTTTCCTTACTTCCTGTATTATCTCCTCCATTCAGATCAGACCGAACTACTCAGTCACCCACACTTGTCAGACTCATTCTTCTCTTGCCCTTTTTCTCAAGGAATCCCTCTCTTGACCTGAGAAATTCTACCTCTCACTTAAAAGTGACTGTTCACTGAATTCCGCAGAATGAACTAAGGTGGCAGGCAGGGGCCCTCAGAGATGCCATAAGTTACACCACCTGAGGATGCTTTCAGAGCACCACCTGCGTGTGGCTCTTTGCCATCTTGCCTTGGCTCACTTCCCTGTGTGCTTGGAAAGTAGAGACGATAGGCGAGACCTCAAAATGTAACTTACTTCCAAGCTATCTCCTTTTCAAAGCCCAGATCCCCCAATAATTTTGCAACCAACATGAAGAGGAGTTTCTGCCCAGTGGGCTGCTTTTTGGGAGAGACTGTGAGCAGATGACTTCATATTAACCCAGATCTAGTCAACCTTCTAGCCTGAAAAAACCTAAAATGCATAGTAGATAGTTTACATACGGACCGAGGCTGAATGAGCAAAAAGGTGGAGAGATGGATAATGAACACAGAAACAAGTATGACAATTTCAGTAAAGAAGATAAAATGGTGCGAGTATATGCTGACGGTAGGGTATTGCTTTAACTGTGCTGGTCAGGGAAATCCTTTCTGACTGGTGAAAAGCAGAGAAAGAGACCAAGGTGAAAATTCCCCCAAAAGTGTGAACCTGATCATAATTTTTTTTAATTTAATTTTTAGAGCCAGTGTCTTTCTCTGTCACCCAGGCTGGAGTGCAGTGGTGCGATCATAGCTCACTGCAGCCTCCAAACTCCTAGCCTCAAGCCATCCTCCTGCCTCAGCCTCCCAAAGCGGTGTAATTACAAGCATGAGTCACCATGCTCGACCCTCATCATAATTTTTTTTTTTTTGAGATGGAGTCTCAGGCTGGAGTGAAGTGGCGCACTCTCGGCTCACTGCAACCTCCGCCTCCCGAGTTCAAGCGATTCTCGTGCCTCAGCCTCCCAAGTAGCTGGGATTACAGGCGTGCACCACACACCCGGCTAATTTTTGTTAATTTTAGTAGAGACGGTTTCACCATGTTGGCCAAGCTGGTCTCGAACTCCCGACCTCAGGTGATCCACCCGCCTCGACCTCCCAAGGTGCTGGGATTACAGGCATGAGCCACCCGGCCTTCCTCATCATAATGTGTATGTCCAAAATGTATGCATCAGCAGTAAAAGTGAAAGCCAGAATGAAAAAGGAAGGTGATGAGAGGGGTAAAGTCTCATGTGGTTGGAACCATTTTGGGAAACAGGACAGGAATGATAGCAATTAAGAAGCCGGTCCACACTATTTGCTATCCTAGGTCTGAATAGTGAAGAGAAAATGAAAGGAGAGCGCCAAGGGTAAGAGAAAGAAATTAGCTATTCCACCTCCTGGTTGGCTACTGTCTTCCTGCCCTCTTCCCCATGGCACAGCAACTCCTCCACCTGCTGAGGACCCTAGCCTAAGCTGCAGCGCCCCAGAGCCTCAGCACCCCCGCGACCCAGCTCCCACGAGGGGCACGGGTTCTAGCTCCGCCCCGCAAGAAGGACTTCCGCGTCCTCGGCCGTCCCGCTCCCCCCGCCCCAACCCAGCGGTTCTGCGCATGCGCGGGGGCCATATTAGCAGCGGTTATTCGGTGAGCGGTGGTGGTTTATTCTTCCGTGGAGTTAAGGGCTCCGTGGACATCTCAGGTCTTCAGGGTCTTCCATCTGGTGAGCCTTTGGCCCCTTGGGGCCCGCGGAAGCTTGGCCGCTTTCCCATTGGGCGGGGGTCGTGAACGTCAAGACAGTCGGTCCCGGCCTGCAGTTGCCGCCGAGGAGCCGTGGGCACGATGACTCTGCACCGCCTCCTCTGTGACGGACCGACCGCCGGGAATGGCCCCCGCCGGCCGCCGTCGGGGGCTTCCCAGTGCCAAGCCTGGACGCCGGGGCCCGCGAGGGGGCGGGCTGAGGGTGGGGGTCTGTGGGCAGGACCGAGAGTTGGGGTGGCTTCCGTCCTCAGGAGTTCGGTACGTGAAAGTTAGCTCTCCCGGAGGTGCCGGTGAACTCAAAATAGTGCTGTGCCCGGCGTCAGGCGTGGAGACAACAGAAAGTTGTGCTTAAAGCTCGAATCAGAAATCCCCGGCGAGTGTCTCTGTGTCCTCCCTGCTTCTCTGCTCTGTGCCATCCTTACTTTGCACCATTCCTATTGCAATTACCTCAACCAGTTCGCTGCCCTCGGTCTCTCACCAGCCAGAGTGATCATTTAAAATGCCAATCAGTTCCTGTGGGCCTTGGGAATCATTCAGAGGAGCCCCATTGGCTGAGAGATAAAATTCTGTTTTTACCTGGGCACGCGGGCTCTCCAGGATTTGATTCCAGCTTACCTTTCCAGTCTTGATTCCCTATATTCCAGTATTTGGAAATGTGGGCCTTGGACTGAGGCTTTACCAAATAACGCTGAACACCTAGTATTGCCTTTTGCACGAATGGTACTGATGGTGCCCAAGATAACTGCCTCCACCCCCAAGTTCAGGACCCAGATCACTCTCTGGAGAAGGCCTCAGCCTCTTGCCTTGGCTTTCAAGGCTCTGCGTGATTTGGATACTCGCTTAGCTCTTATTTATATATATTTTAAAAGCATCAGCAGTTTATCTCATGCCCACTAAACTATCCTGCCTCCGTACCCTTTGTTCATACTTTCTGCTCTGTGTGGAATGCCCTTCTTTCTTCCCCTGTTCTTTCTCTTAGACCCAAGGGTTCTCAGCCTTATTTCTGCCTCTCCCATCTCTGATTTACTTTCATTTTCTGTATCGATTTCTCAAAAAATACTTTCTTGATTCTTTCATCATCCCTTTTCCCACCCTACCCCCGGTTCCTCTTTCCACATTATAATCTATGACTGCCTCTCTCACCTAACTGCCAGTATTAGCTTTTCAGGACAGGAACTGGTTTTACACATTTTGGTATTCCAGCATCTAGCATAATGCCTGACACTTAGCTGAATAAAGGGAGTAAATAAAACAGATTTGTAAAGTCAGCAAATGCTTTTTAATTTGTGAATCTTATTTTAATGATGATCTGATTTTCTTTTTACAGGAACTATATAAAGTTCAGAAAACATGGTGAGTTAATACACATGCCAATAAACGGTTGCCTGATAAACAGTATTGCTTGTACTCAGTTTACAGACTTGAGTGGGAAAATTGAAATAGAAGGAAAGCAGTGAGAAGGTGCCTTTTTTCTTGTCAGTTTCCTCTCACCTATTGAACTTTGTATACCAGGATAGGTTTTGTAAGATCATTTGTAGGCTTGCAGGAGTTGGCCTACTTTCAGTGGGTAGGAATCACTCATGTGTTTTTCCTTTGCAGTCTCGAAGATATGACTCCAGGACCACTATATTTTCTCCAGAAGGTAAAATAGAAATTGTTTAATCTGCCTCAAGTTTAAAAATAAATGTGTTAGACTTTTAGAAAAAAAAATTACAAACTTTTTTTGGTAGTTGCAAAGTTCATCCTTTTTGTACTTTGAAGCAATTATCATCACCAGGTTGATTATACCATAGAAGAGTGAAAGTGGAAATTTGTTTCTAGCTTGCTTCATTGCTGATTTCTTTTGGGCCAGTGGTGCAGGAGCACAGAGGAGAGTCTTGGCTTCTCACTGCTTTTGTTTTGTAGGTCGCTTATACCAAGTTGAATATGCCATGGAAGCTATTGGACATGCAGGCACCTGTTTGGGAATTTTAGCAAATGATGGTGTTTTGCTTGCAGCAGAGAGACGCAACATCCACAAGCTTCTTGATGAAGTCTTTTTTTCTGAAAAAATTTATAAACTCAATGAGTAAGTGAGATTTTAGGAAAGAGTTTAAAAAAAATCTCACTTTCTCACATAAGTGGGATCTATGTAATTTGGGAGGGCTCTTCCGTGCGATGTGGTAGAATTGAAATTGTGCCTTTATTTTGCTTGAAACCTCTTTGAGGCCTGGTACCATGTGTTACTCCTTTTAAGTGCAGGGCAAACACTTAGTGGAGAAACTAGCATTGTGTAATGATAAGAGTACAGACTTAGTAGTCACACAGATTTGGGTTCAACTCCAGGCTTCACCCATGCAGGCTATGTGACCTTGCACCGATTATTTAATTTCTTTGGGCCTCAGAGCCTCCTAAAGTGGTTGTGGCAGTTTAATGAAATAAAATGAATGAAATAAAATAGTATAGTATCTGGCATTTAGTAGGCCCTCAAAGTATTGTTTAGAATAGCTACGCAGGATTTTGTTGAATTACACTGAATCTTACTAAAGAACAAGCCTCTTAGAGGTCTCGAAGAATTTAGCCAAGCCTTGTACACTGTGTGAAATGTTTGTTATATTTGAGTGTGCAGAACTTTGCAGCTCATGGAGAGCTGACCGTGCTAAGTAGAGACTTTCCTTTCAGTGGTGGTGGGCTTGGTAAATGCTGATTATCAGGGCCTTTTGATAAACTTGTCCAAAGTGGTGTCACCCCTCCACAGAGCCTCTGTTGGGACCACTCAACAGCTGGCAGGCTTGGCTAGGCGTAGTCACAGGGCGAGTCTCAGCTATAAGAGAGCCAGGGCAGCCCTCAGGAAGTGGGCCCAAAAAAATGAAATGCACCTCTAGTAGGAGCCTAGCCCTGTACTTCCTAAGCAGGCTTGTAAACCCTCCTGCCATTGTCCCCTGTCACCTCTGTCAAGCCAGGCCTTAGGAAATGAATATTACTCAAGAGCAGTCTGTCTAGCAAAATCTTTTTTTTTTTTTTTTTTTTGAGACAGATTCTTGCTCTGTCACCCAGGCTGGAGTACGGTGACGCCATCTTGGCTCACTGCAGCTTCTGCCTCCTGGGCTCAAGTGATCCTCCCACCTCAGCCGCCCAAGTAGCTGGGACTATAGGTGCGCACCACCACACCCAGTTAGTTTTTGTATATTTTGTTGAGATGGGATTTTGCCGTATTGCCCAGGCTGTTCTTGATCTCCTGGGCTCAAGCCCTCCATCTACCTCGGCCTCCCAAAGTGCTGGGATTACAGGCGTGAGCCATTGTGGCAAGCCTGTCTTTTTATTCTTTGTTGCTGAATCTTCTTGAGATTACATTAGCTTCTTGGCGTTAATTTTGTTATCCTATTCATAGGTGGTAATGATAAATACATCTATTAAATAACTTAAAGGGTGCATTTGTTTATCTTTCATGTTGAGTGACATCGAGTAAACATCTCCTACAAAGATAAAACTTGTAGGTTTTTTCTGAAGGAAGTAGCTGTTGTGAAGCAAACATAGTGAATTTCTAATAGAAATTAGAATTTTTTAAATACTTATAAACACTCCTTGCAAGCATCTTCCCTGCTTACAGATCAATGTCTTTTTTTCTTCAAGGGACATGGCTTGCAGTGTGGCAGGCATAACTTCTGATGCTAATGTTCTGACTAATGAACTAAGGCTCATTGCTCAAAGGTATGGTCATAAATAGCATAACTGATGATACAGAAATTAGTTTTGATGTTTCTTTTTTTTTTTTTTGAGACAGAGTCTCACTCTGTCACCCAGGCTGGAGTGCAGTGGCACGATCTTGGCTCACTGCAACCTCCGCCTCCCGGGTTCAAGCGATTCTCCTGCCTCAGCCTCCCAAGTAGCTGACCACCACACCGGGTTAATTTTTGTATTTTTAGTAGAGACGGGGTTTCACTGTGTTAGCCAGGATGGTCTCGATTTCCTGACCTCGTGATCCGCCTGCCTTGGCCTCCCAAAGTGCTGGGATTACAGGCATTAGCCACTGCACCTGGCCTAGTTTTGATGTTTCTAAGGAGAGCTCACTTTTGCAAAGATTAAAGTCATTAAAAATCTTTGAATTGAAAATTACAGATTTTTTTCAACCAAACTTACAAAATATTATTTACTATGAGAATATTCAGATGTTGACTTGTTCCCTCCCCTTCAAATTACAAATGACTGTTAGGTTGTCCCCATGGCATAGATTGCTTTTCAGAGAATATTTTCCTTAGAGTCTGTCTGTGTTTTAGAGAAAACTACTAATGTGCCCATCTCTTTATCCTAGGTATTTATTACAGTATCAGGAGCCAATACCTTGTGAGCAGTTGGTTACAGCGCTGTGTGATATCAAACAAGCTTATACACAATTTGGAGGTATTTAATTTTTTTGAAAATTTTATTCGAAAAAGTTAAGACATTTTATGAGTTATAACCCTTTTGAGGTAGTAAAAAATTGAAAATAGACCCTTTGTTTTAAATTAAATTTAATTTTTTTAATTGGCAAATAAGAATTGTACATATTCATGAGGTACATAATGATGTTTCAGTGCACATAATGATCAGATCAGGGTAAATGGCACATTCATCATCTCAAACACTTGTGTTGGGAGCCTTCCATATCCTTCTAGCTATTTGAAACTAATATGTTATGGTTAACTATATTAATCCTACAGTAGTATAGAACACTAGAATTTCATACATTCTTGCTTCATGAATGAACGTGTTCCTCCACCATGTAGATTACCCTCGTTTTATTAATAGGATATTGAAAGTCCAAAACAACATTTTCAAATCTGGAAACTAACTGCTGTTTACATAATAATGAAATTCAGCACTGGTCCTTTGTCTGTTCCCTCTTCTGGCTGTGTCCAAATCGTAGAAACAAAAGTCGAATTTGTAATGGAGCTTATCTATGGTAGCCAGAATACAAAACAGTTTATGAATGCTTAAGTTCACAGAGTAGGGTTTAGCTACCTTCACTGAGCTCAAGTAACTGTAGTGATACTAAATTTAGATTATTGATATGTTTGGCTTTTTTTCTTTGTTAAAGGAAAACGTCCCTTTGGTGTTTCATTGCTGTACATTGGCTGGGATAAGCACTATGGCTTTCAGCTCTATCAGAGTGACCCTAGTGGAAATTACGGGGGATGGAAGGCCACATGCATTGGAAATAATAGCGCTGTGAGTATTTTTGTTGTGCTATAAAATCTAGCAGAATGTCTAATAACTGCCATAATTTTGCCATGGTGATGAATGTAAACAGTATTTTAAGATAGCTGCAACAACCTTAATGTGATATGGAAATATCTGTGATTTCTGTTGGTGACAGCATTGCTGATATAGCTAATATACTGGGGTTCGTTAACTACATTAATAAATGCTAATTTTCAGTTAGGAGTTGTGAAATTAGAAGCTGTGATTTTGTTTCACATCTAGTTTACAGACCCCCTGTATTCTATGACAGACCCCTTGGGAGACTGAGGACCCCAGGTTAAAGACACTCTTTATAGAGCATTAGTACCCCCTCTTCTCACCCCGTGCCGTGTGTGCCCTCCCTGTCATCAAAATTATGTATATGGGCCAGGCATGGTGGCTCATGCCTGTAATCCCAACACTTTGGGAGGCCGAGGCAGGCAAATTGCTCGAGCTCAGGAGTTCGAGACCAGCCTGGGCAACATAGCAGAACCCCATCTCTACAAAAAATACAAAAATTTGCTGGGCGCCATGGCATGTGCCTGTAATCCTAGCTACCCAGGAGGCCAAGGTGGGAGGAGGAGCACCTGAGCCTGGGGAGACTTGAAGATACAGTGAGCTGAGATCATGCCACTACACTCCAGCCTGGGCAACAGAGTGAGCCCCTGTGTCAAAAAAAAAAAAAAAATTGTTTATACTTGTAATGCCAATAATAATTCAGGCATTTTTCTTCTAGACCAATTCATGTTTCTAAAAAATGTAAAAACTTAAAATTCTATGTTGATTCATGTTTTATAGGCAGCTGTGTCAATGTTGAAACAAGACTATAAAGAAGGAGAAATGACCTTGAAGTCAGCACTTGCTTTAGCTATCAAAGTACTAAATAAGACCATGGATGTTAGTAAACTCTCTGCTGAAAAAGGTAATTCATATCCTCTCCTTTAATTCTTTCGACTGAGTGAGGGAAATTAGCAGCTGTTAAGATTTTTTTCTTTTTTTTTTTTTTTTGAGATGGAGTCTCGCTCTGTTGCCAGGCTGGAGTGCAGTGGCGCAATCTCAGCTCACTGCAACCTCCGCCTCCTTGGTTCAAGTGATTCTCCTGCCTCAGCCTGCCGAGTAGCTGGGACTACAGGCTCGCGCCACCATGCCCAGCTAATTTTTGTATTTTTAGTAGAGACGGGGTTTCACCATGTTGGCCAGGCTAGTCATGACCTCCTGACCTCAGGTGATCCTCCCGCTTCAGCCTCTCAAAGTGCTGGGATTACAGGCGTGAGCCATTGCGCCCAGCCAGCAACTGTTAAGATTTTAACATGTCATCCTAGTTCATTGAAACAGCAACCTTACGAATTAGGTGATGTTATCCCTGTCTTCTAACTGAGGACACTAGGGCTTAATGAGGTTAAGTGAGTTGACCAAGATCAACATTGGTAAATTGTGGAGTCACAATCTCACACTGTATTCCAAACTTAAAGGCTTGATACTGAACAATCTCATTACTCACAGATAGACATCCTGCACTGTGCTACTTTTAGTTAACAGTTATCAAGTCTTCTCATCAATGATATCTTTGCTTGTGTGTATATATGATAAAGCATACGTATGTAGTTATATATTTATACATAGGTTTGGTATACTTTACCAGAGATACAACATTTGCGTGGGTTGTGATACCCTCTCCTGTTCTTCTTAATCTACTAATCTCTTATTTTAAGCTCATGTTAGCAATTCCAAATACCTTGTTCAACTTAAGCTATATGACTATATAAAAGAATATTTCAGTCGAGCTTGGTGGCTCATGCCTGTAATCCCAGCACTTTGGGAGGCTGAGGTGGGTGGATCACCTGAGGCCAGGAGTTCCAGATCAGCCTGGCCAACATGGTGAAGCCCCATCTCTACTTAAAATACAAAAATTAGCTAGGCATGGTGGTGCATGCCTATAAATCCCAGCTACTTGGGAGGCTGAGGCAGGAGAATCACTTGAACCTGGGAAGCGGAGGCTGCAGTGAGTTGAGATCATGCCACTGCACTCCAGCGTGGGTGACAGAGAGAGACTCTGTCTCAAAAAAAAAAAGAATATTTCTAAATGTTTTTCAGAAATTGTGGTAAATTAACATGTTGCTTTATGTTAGGACAGTTTAGCTCCTGGTGTTCCTTAGAAAATGCCATTTACGGCCGGGCATATTGGCTCACGCCTGTAATCCCCAGCACTTTGGGAGGCCGAGGTGGGTGGATCACCTGAGGTCAGGAGTTCAAGACCAGGTTGGCCAACATGGTGAAACCCCTGCCTCTACTAAAAATACAAAAAATTAGCCGGGCGTGGTGGTGCGCACCTGTAATCCTGCTACTCAGGAGGCTGAAACAGGAGAATCACCTGAACCCAGGAGGTGGAGGTTGCAGTGAGCCGAGTTTGCGCCATTGCACTCCAGCCTGGGCAACAAGAGCAAAACTCCATCTCAAAAAAAAAAAGAAAAAGAAAATGTCATTTACATGCAGATTGCCCTCTTTTGTCTACTTCCACCCAGTTTCAAGGAAGCACTACTCAGTTTCCCTGGTACAAAAAAATTCCTTCCCCTTTAGGTATCAGTCTGCTTTTCTTGGCCATTTCATGCCTTTTATTTATTTATTTTTTTAAGAGACTTGAAAAGTCCATAAAAAATAAGCTGTTATTACCAGTTGAAGATTCTGGCTGAGCCCTCAGAGGTTCCAACAGTTCCGTCTAATCAGCACAGCTAATAGCAGGCCGGCAATAGCAATTGGTTGATTATACTTTTTCTAAGGGAGTGACAAAATGGCTGAGGAGACGATATTTAAGTAAAAATTATAATTAAAACATTACAAGATCAAAAGTATATTGTTCTCATAAAAGGGAATAATGTTAAGTATAAAACATAGGAGAGTGCTGAACTAACGTTTCAATGATGTGGCGAGCATAAACCATGAGTGCCTATTAAGCTTCTCTGCTAAGTATGCCTGCCTGCCTGCAATACAAATAAATGTATGTGTTTGTTTTTAGTGGAAATTGCAACACTAACAAGAGAGAATGGAAAGACAGTAATCAGAGTTCTCAAACAAAAAGAAGTGGAGCAGTTGATCAAAAAACATGAGGAAGAAGAAGCCAAAGCTGAGCGTGAGAAGAAAGAAAAAGAACAGAAAGAAAAGGATAAATAGAATCAGAGATTTTATTACTCATTTGGGGCACCATTTCAGTGTAAAAGCAGTCCTACTCTTCCACACTAGGAAGGCTTTACTTTTTTTAACTGGTGCAGTGGGAAAATAGGACATTACATACTGAATTGGGTCCTTGTCATTTCTGTCCAATTGAATACTTTATTGTAACGATGATGGTTACCCTTCATGGACGTCTTAATCTTCCACACACATCCCCTTTTTTTGGAATAAAATTTGGAAAATGGAAATGAAGGAATAAATTCTCTGTAGCAGTAATTGTTAAATATACAAAAACTGACAGGGCGATTACTTTTTGCACATTGTGGCTTACAGTCCTTTCACAAAGATGGGCACGTTCCTCAGGCTGGCCAGATTATTCGTCTCTGTCTGCAGGAATTGGTTTGAGAATGAACACGTGAGCTGAACAAAGCCAGAATTGATGTGTGGGTGTGGATCTCGCAGCTAGGACTGAGGCTGCCCACAGGCAGCAGCTCAAGCTGCGCGGAAGATGAGGTGTAGAAGTTAAGGCCACAGAGGAAAAGTGGAACCAAGAGATGAGAACAGTTACGTGTTGGCTGAAGGGAGCTCTGTTGCTGGGGTTTGTTCAACCTGAGTTCCCTTGGCTATCTGTGGCTTCATGACAGAAGTGATACAGGGCAGTGGTACTTAATGCGTAGCCATGGTGCTTTAGCATCACCTATGCAGATTCTGATGTCCCATCCCAGATCTACTGAATTAAAATCTCTGAGGGTGAAACCCAGTAATCTGTTCTAACAAGCTCTGCATGTGATTCTTAGGAATGCTAAGTAAAACTTTAAGAAGTTTTTGTTGCATATTAGAATCACCTAGGAAGCTTTTGCAGCTTGTAAGCATGCTGTATCGATTAACTCAAGCTCTGTGGTGGAACCCAGATATTAACATTGCTTAAACTCTTCAGGTGATTTCCATCAGCTAGGGTGAGTGCATTGAGCCATCATTTACCCTTCTCTCAGCTGTTGTCAACCAAATATGTGCTCCCAGTCTAATTTCTCATTGTAGATTTTCTTAATGCAGCTCCCTGCAGTTTTCTGTATAGGCTAAAGTATTTACAAGCCCTATTTGCAGCACTTTTTTGAACTTCTAAATTATTCTCTTACTCTGTACAGCAGGTTCTCGTTATTTTTGGTAGTTATGTTCTAAAGTCACCACAAAAACTAACAAAATACTGAACTCTTGCACCTAGAGAAAGTACTGGGTTAGGGTCCTACAAGCCACTGGTCACATTTTTATCAACTGATCAGTACATAACCTGTTTTTTGTGTATTTCTACTTAAAGACACCTTTTTAAATGTGTATTGTGGATTCATTAACATAGAACTCAGCCAACAGCTCTTTACGTGAATGTTTTTGTTTTGTTTTGTTTTTTGAGACTGGGTCTTGCTCTGTCACCCAGGCTGGAGTGCAGTGGCGTGATCATATTTCACTGCAGGCTCAAACGGTCTTCCTGCCTTGACCTCCCAAAGTGTTGACATCACAGCCCTCTTATGCTTAGGAACAACACTAAACAGTGTTTTTTTCATAGAGACGGTGAGCAGGGAAGGTCTCACCATGTTTCCCATGCCGGTCTCAAGCTCCTGGACTCAAGCGATCCTCCTGCCTCAGCCTCCCAAAGTGCTGACATCACAGCCCTCTTGTGCTTAGGAACATTAAACAGCACTTCAGCACTATACCTGGGTGCCATTTGAAATAGTAAAATCACTAAGAAAAATGCAAAAATAAACGGCACAAGGTAGACTGCAGGAACACTTACACGGTGTGAGAGCTGAAACAAGAATTCAGAGTGTCGCCTTGCTCAACCTCAGATGGGAACATGTGCACCTGGGTACTCAAAATTTTCACCACTCTGCATGTCAACAAATGACTAAAAGTACCACAAGTATTGGTTTGGGGGTTACATGTACATTTTATGAGAATGCAAATTTTGCAAATTCACAAGTACAGAATCAGCAAGTAGTGAAGATGAATGGCACGTCTTCACCCTCCAGTCTTGCTACACCCAGAGGTTGAGGTAGTCAATAAATCTTATTAACTCTGTCTGCAGAATTTACCCATAATCCAGCCACTTTCCACTGCAGGAACGCTGGTCCAATTCACCATTATCTCTGACTTGGACTATTGCAACAGCCTCCTAACTGGTTCCTTGCCTCCACTTCATTCCCCACAGTCAATTCTCCAGCAGCAGCCACAGTGATCCTTTCAAAATGTAAACGGTACTACTGCACAGTTTTGGCTCAAAACCCTCCAATGGCTTCCCATCTTGCTCAGTAAGAGTCAAATTCTTTGTACTGGTTCATGAGGTATCCTGTATTCTGGCCTTGTGCTACCTTCCATGTGCTTCCTTCCTCACTCATTCATCCAAATGAGCCTTCTCATCATTCCCTGAATGTGCCAAGCTCCCCTCACATCACTTGCCAATCCCTCTGCCTTGGGAATGCTCTTCCTGGGTATCTATTGCCCACTCCCTCATCTCCAGGTCTCTGCTTGCATGTCACCTTTTTTGGGGTACTTCTGTGAAGGAGCAATCTCTTTCCCCTGCACACTCACATTTTCTATTCCCTATACATACCCTGTTGAGTTTTTCTCCATAGCACTCATCACCAGCTGGCATATTTGTTTCTTGTCTCTCCCCACTGGAATACAGACTTCCAGAGCAGTACTTTGTTTTCATTCAATAGTCGTGTCTCGGTACCTAGAACAGAAACTGGCACGTGTTAGGCAACAAATAAGTACTGATGAATGAATAAATACCCTGGATATGCTGGTGTGAAATCCTAAAAAATACCTGCTTTCCATCCAGATCAGTAGCACTGGTGGATTTTCTGTATCCTGACTACCCCTTCAACATTTGCCTAAAGCTAGGACAACTTCTTCAAAGGCAATAGTGAATAAGAGAGCCTGGTATAGTTTGCCGCCACATTAGGAAAGTCTTCAGAATTTGACCCTAACAGCAGGCAAATTTCAACGTATTCATCTTTTTGTTGAAATAAATTCATACTGTGAGGAAAAGCAAAAGATAGGAGGTGAGGCAAAAGCTACTCTTTAACTGTGAGTTTTTTTTCCTTGCGATGGGGTTTGGCTGCCTAGTCTAGATTCTCACGCTAGCCCCACTTTCGTCTGCTCTGTGGCATATTTTTAACCTGAGTTGCAGGACAGGTGGTTTCCAGAGTGTTGCCTGATGCATCCCAAATGCTGCCTTAGCAATACACATCTGAACAGGGGCCCATCACTAATAGCAAGCATTTCATTAATCTGAGCAAAACTCATGGGTTTTCACAGGGACCCTACCAGCTCAGAAGCACGTTGATATAAATAAGTAGAAAACCAAAGACAGCTAAGTTTTAAATCTTGAGTCAAAACTTTAAAATCAAAGTCAAATTGATTTCATTTTGGTGAGCTTTCAAATCATGCTTTTAAAAATAAATTATGTAAAAAAATCATGTACTCCTGTGTATAATTTTACTTCTGGTGTTTTTTCTTAATCAGAAAATAAAGGAAGACTCTGGAATTTGTACAGTCTAGCACTTTGAAAGTTCCATGAGAATATTTGTTTTAGCAGTGCAAAAATATTCCATACTCTGAAAAACAAAACCAGAAAGTTGATTCATTCCTTTATTGGACACTTACCATGTTCCTGATAATTTTAGGTGGTGGGGATATATGGATAAGACACGTCCTCGGCTCTTAACTTGCAGCCTTGCAGGAAAAGCAGATAATCAACAACAATATTGTGGAGGAGCGCTAGACTCCAGGTAGCTGTGTGCCGAAGAGTAGGGAGTAAAGGCAGAAGGAACTGCACGTGCAAAGGCTTGGCAATGGGAAAGCTTCACAGTAGCTAAGCAGAGCTAGAGCACAGCTTGCTGGGGAAATAAGAGAGAAGGTTGGAAATGTGCACTAGGATGAGAAGACAGCTTTGCAAGTCTTGAAGTTTGTGCTCTATGCAATGCAGAGGCAGCTGAGATTTTTTAGTGAATGAGAAAAACAATTACTCTGACTTGTTTAGAACAATGATTCTGGGAGCCCAGAAGATGGACTAGGTGGGAAGAGACAGAGTGAGTTAGGAGGCTACTGAAATAGGCAAGGAAGGATGAGGGTGTAAGACTGTAGTAAAGTGAACAGAGAGGAAGGGAAGCTGCCGCGGAATGACGGAGGACAGAGAAAGAGGAAGGGATGACAAGGGCATCAAATTCAAGTAGTCACAATCTGATCTAAAAGAGCACTCGGTGAACATGATGAACTACTCTTAAAATTTCCTAATGTCTTTTTTGTTACTATTGTTATAACCTGAAACCAATTAGAGTTAATATCCCTAGTAGGGAAGAATTCTGTAAACAACATTGTATATCACACGTCGGAGTAAACCCATGTCAAATGCTTTTTTCCCCTTCTTCTTCCAGGTATTATTCATTTGTATTCTTGCATGCACTGTCTGATCATCTTTTTTGCCCAATTTCTATCAGATAATTTAACTTTCTATAAATTCATTTATGAGCTCTTTTAAAGATAGTTCTTTGTCATCTGTGTTACCTTTTTTTTTCATTGTAGCATTTGCATTTTTATTTTGATTTTGATGCTGATGTACCGAAGGGTTGTTTTGTGTTTACGTAGACAAAGCTATCATTTAAAGTTCTTGTTAGTACAATGCACATAAAAATATTCCCCATGCCAAAGTACATCAACATTATTCTAGTAAATTTGTGGCTCAATCATCTTTATAATACACAATTTGCAAAATATAATTGTTAATCTCTTTTTAAAAGCAGTATTTAAATTAATCATGAAACTTTAATTCAATTGTTCAGACTACTTGGGAATTTTCCATTCTTGAGTGAATTCAGAATTACGTGAAATGATAGTTATTTACCTTTCTCCATTTATTTTTGTTATTTTTTGGTAACAGCCTTACTGAGATACAGTTCACATACCATACAATTCACCCATTTAAAACATACTTTTCAATGGCTTTCTGTATACTCCCAGGGTTGTGCGACCATCACCACAATTGATTTAGAACATCTTCATCACCCCAAAAATAAAACTCCACACGCTTCTTAGACATCACCCCCAAATCACTGCCCAGTCCTAGGCAACCACTCATCTACTTACTGTCTCTATGGATTTGCCTATTATGGACATTTCCTGTAAATGGAATCATACAATATGTGATCCTTTGTGTCTGGCTTCTTTCACTTAGCGTAATGTTTACAAGGTTTATCTATGTGGTAGTGTGCATCAGTAATTTCTTTACTAGATTAGAGAAAAAAAGCAGAGATTTATTATTTTTCTTCCATTGTATGGTTATACTACATTTTGTTTACTCATTGGCAAAAATATGAGTTATTTCTACTCTTAAGAATAATGCTGCTGTGAACACCCAGGTACAAGTTTTTTGTGTGGACATACGTTTTCATTTATTTTGAGTATACACCTTGAAGTAGAATTTTTGGCTTATTTTAAAATCCATCTTTATGCCATACATTAACATTAGTGATATGGATTTTTAAAAGAATCTACTTTGCCCTATTTTCTCCTATAAGAACCCAATAGAAATGGGAAATGGGTTGACTGTTTGAGTAAATGTATATGAATCTGTTAGTTATAGAAGTAGGTCTCACAGTTGGAGAGGATTTTCACTTCCTTTCATCTTGGCAGGAAGAATGTTTTCTCTAAGTTTCTTTATACTTAACTTTATACTCTCTAGTGAGAGGCCAAGTCTTTGATTCTGTACCTAAGAGCCTTATGTAATAACCTTCTCTGAAATATTAGGAATCACATGGAATGGGAGAATCCAGGGTAAACTGTCTTCTGATTCCTAAACAATCTAATAACTTACTTTTTCTGATTAGGAAAGCAATGCATGATCACTTTGAAAAATACACAGTGAATAAAATAAAAATCACCCATAATATCTTGCCCAGAGTTAGCCACTATTAACTTGTCTCAGTGGCCCAGTTTAGATGCTGAACGAGCATACTGGTAACCTTCAGCAAATTATAGGCAAGCCATTTTAAAATACTGTTTTATTTTGTTTTCTTTTGAGATGGAGTCTTGCTCTGTCACCCAGGCTGGAGTGCAGTGGCACAATCTCGACTCATTGCAACCTCCGCCTTCCAGGTTCAAGCAGTTCTGCTGCCTCAGCCTCCCAAGTATCTGGGATTACAGGCGCCTGCCACCATACTCAGCTGTTGTTTTTTGGAATTTTTAGCAGAGAGGGGGTTTTACCATGTTGGCCAGGCTGGTTTCAAACTCCTGGCCTCAAGTGATCCATCCGCCTTGGCCTCCCAAAGTGCTGGGATTACAGGCGCGAGCCACCGCCCCCAGCCTAAAAATACTCTTAAAGGAGAAATGTAAAAATACTTTTTCCTTCTAATTGCTTTTCTTTTCTTTTTCCTTTTTTGAGATGACGTCTCGCTCTTTTGCCCAGGCTGGAGTGCAGTGGCACCATCTTGGCTCACTGCAACCTCCGCCTCCCAGGTTCAAGCCATTCTCCTGCCTCAGCCTCCTGAGTAACTGGGATTACAGATGCACACCACCACGCCTGGCTAATTATGTATTTTTAGTAGAGATGGGGTTTCTCCATGTTGGTCAGGCTGGTCTCGAACTCCCGACGTCAGGTGATCCACCCACCTCAGCCTCCCAAAGTGCTGGGATTGCAGGCGAGAGACACCACGCCCGGCCTCTAATTGCTTTTCTAAAGTATTTTGCAGCCTTAGAAAGCCCCATTTCTCTTTACAGCAGAGTAGAAGCTATCATTTGTTGATTAAACAGTAAGTGTCAGCTACATTATAAATGTTAGTGCTAATTCTCACAACAACCTTGTAAACCCTTGAGGGCTTACTCTGTGCTCAGTGATTTAGAGGCAATCTCTCTATTGTGTAGTTGAGGAAACCAAAGATCAGAAAAGGTGAGTAATTTGTGCCAAGTCACACAACTCCAGTGCCATCATTCCATGCAAGCCATCACTATCATCCCTTGCCTGGACTTCTATAATAGCTGCCCATGGCCAGGCACAGTGGCTCACACCTGTAATCCTAGCACTTTGAGAGGCCAAGGCAGGCAGATTGCCTGAGTTCAGGAGTTCGAGACCAGCCTGGGCAACATGGTGAAACCCTGTCTCTACTAAAATACAAAAAAATTAGCTGGGCATGGCGGCATGCACCTATAATCCCAGCTACTCGGGAGGCTGAGGCAGGAGAATTGCTTGAACCCGGGAGGCAGAGGTTGCAGTGAGCCAAGATTGTGCCACTACACTCCAGCTGGGTGACAGAGTGAGACTCCATCTCCAAAAAAAAAAAAAAGATATTTTGCATATGAGCGTAACAATACGTTATTAGGGTCTTTCCCAGGGCCTTGGAAGGAGCCGTGCAAATGAAGAGGCTTGACTCTTAAGCTGCATTAGCTTCACAGTAAATTGGGGAAGTTCTCTGATGGGAAACCTATGCAAGGTTTAAGACATGTGTTCATGTGCTCCGATTGACATATTAAGAAGATCCCTCTAGCAGTGAAGGGGAGAATAGGTTGGAGGGGAACAAGCATGGGCAGCTTCTTTTTTTGAGACAGTCTTGCTTTGTCACCCAGGCTGGAGTGCAGTGGTGTGATCTCAGCTCACGGCAACCTCCACCTCCTGGGTTCAAGCCATTCTCCTGCCTCAGCCTCCCGAGTAGCTGGGACTACAGGCATCCGCCACCGCGCCTGGCTAATTTTTTGTATTTTTAGTAGAGACGGGGTTTCACCGTGTTAGCCAGGATGGTCTCGATCTCCTGACCTCATGATCTGCCCGCCTTGGCCTCCCAAAGTGCTGGGATTACAGGCGTGAGCCACCATGCCTGGCCCAAACTATCATTTTCTAGTTACTGTGATGTTTGTCAACTTTTACAAAATTTGTTCTGGCTTTGAGTGTTGTGGTCCAAAAAATAATGTAATTTGTTGAAAATTTTTTTGTTCTAAGTAAATATCCAATTTCACACGCAATTTCACATTTGTACTATCATATTCTTTTTCTATTTGTAGAGATAGGGTTTTGCTATGTTGCCCAGGCTGAGTCTTGACTTTAACTCCTGGGCTTAAGCGATCCTCCCTCCTCAGCCTTCCCAGTAGCTGGGACTACAGGCCCGTGCCACCACACCTGGCTTGTATTGTCATATTCTTTGCTTAAAGAGGACTCCTTCCCACCTGCCCAAATAATACAATCTTCAATATAAACCGGAATTAGCCCCAGCTTTCCATTGTCCCCCTATCTTGTTGAGAATCTGTACCCCTGATTCCTCTCTGCCCCTCCCTCTCACAAACTTCTTTATTCTTTTTTTTTTTTTTTTTTTTTTTTTGAGAGACATGTTCTCTGTCACCACAGCTGTGGTACAATCATAGTTCACTGCAGCCTCAACCTCCTGGGTTCAAGTGATACTCCCATCTCAGCCTCCCAAGTAGCTAGGACTACAGGTGTGCACCACCACACTCGGATAATTTTTATTTTATTTTTAGTAGAGATGAGGTCTCACTATGTTGCCCAGGCTGGTGAACTCCTGAGCTCAAGTGATCCTCCTGCCTTGGCTTCCCAAAGTGCTGAGATTACAGGCATGAGCTACTGTGCCCGGCCGTAGCAAGCTCTTTTCTACCAAAGGGTCTTTAGCTAGATCACCCCTGTATCTGGAATGCTCTTCCCCTCCATCCTGCATGACTGCCACTTTCTCCATCTTCTGTCCTAACTCAGGTTATCTTGTCAGGAAGGCATTTCCTGACCACCTGATTAAAAGTAAAATCCCCTACCCCCCACTGCATCAATTTCTAGTTATTCCTCAAGTTTTGTTTGTTTGTTTGTTTTTGTTTTTGAGACAGAGTCACACTCTGTCGCCAGGCTGGAGTGCAGTGGCACAATCTTGGCTTACTGCAATTTCTGCCTCCCGGTTAGCTGGGATTACAGGCATGCGCCACCACACCCAGCTAATTTTTGTATTTTTAGTAGAGACGGGGTTTCACCATGTTGGCCAGGATGGTCTCCATCTCCTGACCTTGTGATCTACCTGCGTAGGTCACCCAAAGTGCTGGGATTACAGGCATGAGCCACTGCACCTAGCCCTCCTCAATAGTTCTTATCAAATTCTGAAATTATCTTGCTTACTTGTTTTTTATTTTATTTTTAAAGACAAGGTCTTATGTTGTTTTTTTAAAGGCAAAGTTTATTTTTTTTTTTTGAGATGGAGTTTTGCTCTTGTCACCCAGGCTGGAGTGCAGTGGCGCACTGTCTGCTCACTGCAATCTCCACCTCCTGGATTCAAGCGATTCTCCTGCCTCAGCCTCCCAAGTAGTTGGGATTACAGGCACATGCCACCACGCCCAGCTAATTTTTGTATTTTTAGTAGAGATGGGGTTTCACCATGTTACCCAGGCTGGTCTTGAACTCCTGACTTCAGGTGATCCACCCACGCCAGCCTCCCAAAGTGCTGCGATTACAGGCATGAGCCACCGCACCCGGCCAAGGTTTGTTTTTTCAAGACAAGGTCTCAGTCTGTTGGCCAGGCTAGGGTGCAGCAGCAGGCATGATCATAGCTCACTGTACCCTTGAACTCCTGTGCTCAAGCGACCCTCCCACTTCAGCCTCATAAGTAGCTAGGACTACAGGTGCACACCACCACACCTGGCTAATTAATTTTATTTTATTTTATTTTTTTGTAGAGATAAGGGGGCTCTTGATGTTGCCCAGGCTGGTCTGGATCTCTTGGCCTTAAACAATCCTCTCACGTCAGCTTTCCAAAGTGCTGGGATGACAGGCGTGAGCCCCCTCGCCCGGCTTTGTTTACTTGTTTATTGTTTGCATTCCTTCCCAAGGCAGTACTTTCCAAGAATTCAGGGACATTAACTATCATGTTCACTGCATCATTCCTAGAATTTGGTGTATACGTGAGTTGTTTCTTAAATATTTGTTGAACGAATGAATGAATAGCTGGGAGTGACAGCAAAGATTCAAACTCATGTTTATCTGACTCCACAAATCAAAGGCTGTGCGATTCCCAATATGCCAAGAGCTCTCTGTATTTCCCAATCTGTTATCCCATAAAGCATTGAAAAGATCATGTGTGTGTTAGAAACACAAGCAGTTTCAATTCTGGTTCACCAATGACTGAGAAGATCAGATACAATCAAGGATCAAAATACCCTTTTCCATACAGGTGACTTGAAGTATTCTTCAGTTTTCAAAAAATTTAAAACACCTAAAATTAATCAGCCATGTTCTAGAAGAGCAAGGAAAGATTGTGTCTTGTGTGAGACAGCTGTGGAACTGGAAATTACCAAACGATTTCCAATTTTAAGAGATTTGGATCAGGTGGCTTAGAATTAGATTAAAGACAATCAATTCCCTGAAACAATCAATGCCATACATAATCTTCCGAAGGAGCTTTTTCTATTGCTGAGAGGTTGCTCATCTGGTCTTGTTTCTTATCCCTATAGAAACCTTGATGTCAATTAGTATTCCACGGGAAATGAAGCTAGATGAGAAAGTGAACCCTTGCTAAATAAATTAGAAGAGATGATAATTAAAGCAGAGATTCCAAACCATATCAGAGAAGCAGCTCTATCTTCATTTTACCATTACTTCCCTAAAAGCAATATATGGCAGTTTACAAATTACACATGGAAATGAAATATATTTAATTTTGGATTTTTTTGTGCTTTTGAGAATCAGAATTTTATAATATCTCTTGACTGAAGGGGAATTAATCTGGGAACCAATAATTTGGCAATCAATACATTAAATTCTAAGATGGCAGTTCTCCTGGTCTATAGCCACAAATATCTGGAACATTTGTGGTCTAAACCTGCAGTATAAATTGTACTTTGGATTCACTTCTGGTATACATAGCAGTGTCTATAAATACCTCTCATGTCCAGAATAGAAAGCCTGAGGGAGAGATAGAGGCTAGATATTTGATATTAGAAAAATATTCCAATTCTACCTTTTGCACAGAATTGAATATTTGTAATTGTATCTTGTAGATATCAAATTAAAAGCATAAGTTTCATTTTAACATTTATAATAGTATATCATCTATGGAGAACAGACAATACATATTTATATTACACACATTTATATGTTCCTAATAAGGTGTCTTTATTTAGTAGACAAATGTTGAACTTTTGCATATTAAAAATTATTACTCAAGGACTTTATGGAAATTCATATTTGTCTTAAAAAGAAAAATTATTTTATAACGTAATTCATCACTCCCAGATTTAAAAGCTTTCAACATTTAGGGGACATGGGATATTGTATTGCACTTTCTTAAAATAAAAAACAGTATCTTCATTTTTAACAAGAATGTTTTGTAGGCCAGGTGTGATGGCTCATGCCTATAATCCCAGTACTTCGGGAGGCCGAGGCGGGCGGATCACCTGAGGTCAGGAATGCGAAACCAGCCTGGCCAACATGGTGAAACATCTCTACTAAAAATACAAAATTAGCCAGACGTGGTGACGCATGCTTGTAATGCCAATACTTGGGAGGCTGAGGAAGGAGAATCACTTGAACCTGGGGTGCGGAGGTTGCACTGAGCTGAGATCGCGCCATTGCACTCCATCCTGGGCAACAAGAGTGAAATTCCATCTCAAAAAAAAAAAAAATGTTTGGTAGCTGAATTGCCATTTCCTTATTAACATGCGTTTTTCTATTGGTAATTGAACCTGTGACATTGTGTGATATATACGCTATTATTAAATTCTATTGAGAAGGCTTAGTTTTATATATGGCTTATATTTTTGTGATATTTGATTTTATGCATTACTATTTAGTTATTACAATCTAATAAAAATGTGGCAAATTAATTTTCTTCTTTAAAACTCTCCACATTAAAATATGTCTGTACTTTTACATTTTGATTGTGGTCACTGAAATAGCCCTTGAAAGAGACCTTTACTTCTTATATCATTTCTTATGAAGGATTGAATTTTAATATCCCATCAAAACTTGCTTTTTTCTTTTAATCTGTGAAAATGAATTTAATTTCAGCAGTAAAATTGACAGCATCCATTTTTATCTTTAATTAACTTTTCAGTTTGGCTTTCATCTTAAAGGCTCACGGCAGAATTTATTACCAAGCCATAATAGAAGTGCTGAATGGAAGATTCAGAGAAGCTGCCTAGCTCTGAATTTAGCTCAGTTGACCCCATTATAAAAAAGAAAAGTGAACAACATTGATATAAAAGACAACTCATTAGGCCATACCACTCACAGATGACAATGTTTATTTTTGATGTCTGCTATTTACTTGGCCTCCTAATTCCCTTTCCATGCACTCTCTTTTTAACTCCAAAGCACCAACTGCCCTTTACTTAAGGGTTTTGTAAGGATGAAAGTACGTCAGAGAATAATTGCTACATAAATAATAATAGCTACCATCTATTGAACACTCAAGCACTGTGCTAAGGACTTTATGAACTTTACATTCTGTGAGGCAGGTTTTATGGCACTGTTTAAAAAGTTAGTAATAGGGCTTAAAGAGATTAACTTTAGTTTAGTGAATGGTTAAGTCCTTGAAGTCAGGTCACCTGGATTCGAATCCCTGCCCACTATTTTCTAGCTCGCTAGCTCTCAGATCTTTGGATTCATTTATTCAGTGAAAGTAATGAGCAGAGGGAGTACAGGGCCCAACTTAGAGAGATTGCTTTCATACAAGAAGTGACGATCAGCCCAGTGCTGAAGGAGGAGTAGGAGTTAGGCAAGGCAGAGGAGGAGGAGGGGTGGAGAGAGATTAGTCCAGGCAGAGGGAACAGCATGTGTGAAGGCCCTAGGGTGGGACTGGGCTTGGTGGTTCCTGGACTGAAGGGGCCCATGTGGCTGGAATTTAGCATGCAAAGGGGAGGGGTGTGATGTGGAGTTTGTGAGCGTAGCGGGGGCCCCTCTAAGAATCATGACAAGGACTTGGGATTTTGTTTCTGTTTGAAGACAATCACTCAGGCTGCCATCTGGAGAGTGTGTTGGAGGATGCAGGGAAGGAGACCCAGTGAGAGGCTGGGGCAGGAGTCTAAGATAGAGATGCATTTGAATAAACTAGGAGTGGAAAGGAGATACAAGAGATGGATTCAAAATAAATTCAAGGCTGGCCAGGCACGGTGGCTCACACCTGTAATCCCAGCACCTTGGGATGCTGAGGCAGGTGGATCACCTGGAGTTCGAGACCAGCCTGACCAACATGGTGAAACACTATCTCTACTAAAAATACAAAATTAGCTGGGCCTGGTGGCGCATGCTTGTAATCTCAGCTACTTGGGAGGCTGAGGCAGGAGAATCACTTGAACCTGGGAGGCAGAGGTTGCAGTGAGTTGACATCGCACCATTGCACTCCAGCCTGGGCAACAAGAGTGAAACTCCTTCTTAAAAATAAATACATAAAAATAAATAAATAAATAAATAAATTCCAGGTAAATAGCACTTAGAGTTGAATTAGACTCGGTGGGTGAAGCAGAGGGAGGAACTCAGGATGACTTCCAGTTTTCTAGCTTGAGTAATTAGTCAGATGGTGGTATCATTGATTGAGATGGGAAGGCTAAGAGGATAACATGGTTTGGAACATCTTAAGTGACATAACTAAGTGATTATGATGTAAAGTACATAGTCAAATACACTGGAGCTCAGAGGTGAGATCAGCACCTATCTGAGTATGAATCTGGTCATCATCAATATATGGATGGTATTTACAGCCAGGGAAGTGAATAAGATCACTGAGGGGGGAAGTTTACAGAGACAGAATAGGTCCCAGATTTGAGCCTCTGGAATTTCCAACATGCAAAGCCTGGGTAGAAGAGGAGGAACCTGCCAAGAGAACTGAGAAGGTGTTGGCCAAAACAAGGATAATAAAAGTACCACTCCTGTAATATTGATACTAAATGAACTAGCATATTAAAACGTGTTTAAATTCTTACAGTCCCCATTACTTAGCAGTGTTAAGATAATTGTTAAATTCTACTTTCTATGGCAAGGTACTGACTGGCAAGTAGGTATTATAAAGGTGAACAAGACATAGCCCCGCTGGGTATGGTGGTTCACACTCCTAATCCCAGCATTCTGGGAGGCCGAGGTGGGAGGATCTCTTGAGCCCAGGAGTTTGAGACAAGCCTAGACAGCATAGTTAGACCTTGTCTCTACCAAAAAAAAAAAAAAAAGAAAGAAACAAACAAAAAAATCAAAACTAAAAAAATTAGCTGGTTGTAGGGGTGCACCCCTGTAATCCCAGCTACTTGATAGGCAGGGGAGGGAGGATCGCTTGAGTTTGAGCCCTGGAGGTTGAGGCCACAGTGAGCTATCATCACACTGCTACACACTCCAGCCTGGGCAAGAGTAAAGCCCTGTCTCTACTAGGAAAAAAAAAAAAAAAAAAAAAAAAAAAAGACATAGCCTCTAGGCTGAGAAATCCACTATCTAGTAGAGAACATAATTATGGAGAAATAGATAAAGAGAAGGCAGGTGGCATTTGAAATGAGCCTTGAAGAAAGCGTGGGTTTGGATATTCAGAAGAGGGGAGAAGGAAGGATAAATGAAGACAGGAAAGTGTAATAAAAATTCCACAATCTTCAGAGGAAAAGGTGGTGTCTGGGATGCAAGAACTGTGTAATAGTCCCTTTGGCTAAGTCTCAGAAAGTTGGTAGATAGATGCCACTTTAGGGGAACTTTGTAGGTGGTGGCTGCAGCAACAGCAGCAATTTTCATTGTCATTTGGTCAGCTAATGTCTCCTAGCAGTGTGAAGATGCCTGTTATCAGAGTCAGGTGTAGCACCATATCCAGCAACCATGAGTAATTGGCGTATCCCCCTGGAAAAACCATGTAAGATGTAGACATTATATTCTGATTATTTGTTTGGATTTTAAAATGCCCAACAAATGTCACGCTTTGCCTTTCACTTAATAGCAACAATTAATAGTGTTTTTCATAGATTATGTAAATAACCATCATTCTCATGATTATTGATATAACATCTAGGAGTTCCAATTATACTTGCAGTGGCTGCACTGACAACCATTTCATTCTAGTTTTGCCACTGACAGGTACTGTGACCTTCAGCAGTTATTCAACTCCTCTGTTTCAAATCAGTTAGCTGTAAAAGCAGAATAACATTTTAAAGTCATCCAAACACTGTTAGGATGAATTGCATAAGTGCCTGTAAGTCCCATAAATTCTTCAGAGTAAAATGTAAATTTGCAGTGAAAGGATGATAGGTACTGTCTTTCATTTCTGTGCAGAAGTGCAATTAATTACTAATCTGGTTAACATCTTGTGCATCCCTTTTCTGTGGCCCCTTTGTTTAAGTCCTGTTTAAACAGATTGGCTCCATTGGATGTAATTTACATTTTTCCAGCTGTATTTGGACCTAAGAAGAGCATCTTCACTGAATTTTGCTGTTTAGATTCTTTGCAACCAGGTTTAGTTTTTCACAGATTTACTAGTCTGGAGGGTGGAGTGAAATTTTTGCTCACAATGAGTCTTAGAGGTGTCACCTCCATAAAGCGTTCTGTGAAGAGTCAGCGGCTCCCTCTGCCACTGAAGTTTAAAGATAATTCGCCTGAATCCCTTCAGCCAAATGAAGCTTTCTAATTATGGACAGAGAGGATGAAATATAGGGTCTGGAGGGATTTGAGACGGGTTTCCAGCAGTCGGCACCAATCTCCACCAGAGGTGCTAAGTGTCTGTAGCAGATAGTCACTAATATTTACAAATGTTAATTGATGACAACACGGAGGGCGATGCCCACGTTTGAGGCGACTGCATATCATTTCCGGGGATGGCTTGAGTGAGTGTCAGAGCTGTACCTTCCCGAGTCCTCTAGTTTATCTGCCTCGGTTCCTCGCTTCCAGACGAGGAAACAGGCCCAGAGAGGAAAGTGACTTGCCCAGGGTTGTCTCGCTGGTCCACAACACAGGTCTCCTGGTGGGGACCCCTTGGCTGACACGACAGCCCCAGGAGGCAGTCAAGCTGCGACTGGTACTTCCTGGTGAGAAAGACTTGAGTGGGCAGCGGGGCCCATGGAGAGCGCTGCAGCCTGGAGCAAGTCCCCCACCACTGTGATTCTGCCCCAGCCTCCAGCTTGTTTCTTTCTGATCACAACTCGGAATTACTTTATTTACATTTTCTATCAGCTGGGAGCAATCTGTCCCTCTGCTTCCCCTTTTGGTGCTGAGCACAGAGCAGACATCAATGAATAGCTGTTATCTTAAGGTGTGCAGTGACTAGGCCAAGGACATCCGGTGGTTAGAGAAGGACGCGCCTGCGATGCCAGCCTCAAGTCTTTGCCTTCCTGGAACTCTGCTCCAGGGTCGCACCTGCCCAAAGGAAGGCCTGGAGGCGGGGGCCAGGGCGATGGGGCTGGGCCAGGCGTGGAAAAAGAGGAGCTAGGAGCAGACAGGGTTGGACCAGAGGCGGGGCGGGGTGGGGAAAGGGTTGGTGGGGATCGGAGGCGGGGCTATGAATAGACCGGACTGGGCCAAAAGGAACAAGGCGAGGATTGGGCGGGGCCAGAGGGAAATAGGGGCGGGGCTAGGCGCCGGGAGCTTCCACATGCGTCCCGAGCCCGCCAGAAGCTGCTAGGCTGAGGCTGCTGTCCCGGCGGGAGCTGTGGCGCGGAGCGGCCCCTCTGCTGCGTCTGCCCTCGTTTTGTCTCACGACTCACACTCAGTGCTCCATTCCCCAAGAGTTCGCGTTCCCCGCGCGGCGGTCGAGAGGCGGCTGCCCGCGGTCCCGCGCGGGCGCGGGGCGATGGCGGCGCGGGGGTCAGGGCCCCGCGCGCTCCGCCTGCTGCTCTTGGTCCAGCTGGTCGCGGGGCGCTGCGGTCTAGCGGGCGCGGCGGGCGGCGCGCAGAGAGGTAAGCCCGGGCTGCAGAGGGGCGGGGCGGGAGCTGGCCCGGACTCCACATCGCGGTGCCCAGGAAGCCGCCAGGCGACGGCCGCCGGAAAACCTGGTTGCGAGGGGAGGTGGGTTTTTTTCTCCTGGGGGCTTGGAGTGAGGTTTCAGTTTAAATGTCCAGATTTGCTCATTTAAATGCAGAGAAAGGGCTACTTGGGTGGGTTTTCTTTGTTGTTCCACGACCTGCATCGCTGGAGACTACGAGGCTGGCTTAGCGTATACTTCCACACAACTTTTTCAGTAAAAGATGCCACTCTTGTCCAGCAGGGCTTTCCTGTCCTGGTGGCAGCCAAGCTTCCCATTTTGTTGCCCATTTACGGGATATAGAGACTCTGGGGTTCATTCTAGGGGTTGGGACTTATCTTCCACCTCCTGCCCGCCGCCTCTTCCTCCATCCCTGTCCCCTACCCACCGCAGCATTTGAAAACCTTTCCTTTCGCCGGAGATGAAAGGTGTGTGTTGTAGCAGGCTAGGCGGCCAACTTCCCTGGCTTCGGGGCTAATCGTTTGCATCCAGAGTTCCTCACTAGCTCCTTAGAGCACAGCTTTTTTCAGCCTGCTGTTTTTCAAGAGGTTTTGGACAGGAATGGAAACAACAAAAGAAATCGCGTAGTCCTACATGTTTCAAGTGCTTGGGAAAGTTTTAGAGTCAGTTCTCTCAATACCTTGAAGAAAAACACGTTTGTGGAGCAGCTATGGTGTGATCTAAACGTAGAAAAGCTAAGCATCCGTTAAGCAAGATATGATTACAGAAGTTCACTACGTCTGTATTTCAGGTTTTATGAGTGAGTTTCTTAAATAGTGGAAATATTGCAAGAACCTTTTCTTGCCTTTCCTTTGTTAAGGTTTTTAATCTATGGCTCCTGATTTTAGGAAGTAATAAGACTAGAATAATTCATTGCAGGATGTATTGCTTAGTGTAGACCGAAGAGAAATAAGATGGAGGGTGATTTAAACAAATGAAGAAAATCCTGGGCAGAGAGAGTTAAACAGAAAGAAAGGAATGTGATTTTGGAGCCAGGCAAACCTGTATTCAAATTATGGCTCTGGTGCATCCTGACTGGACGAACTTCTCTCAGCTGTTTTCCTTCTTTAAGAAATGGCGGGCCGGGCGCGGTGGCTCACGCCTGTAATCCCAGCACTTTGGGAGGCCGAGGCGGGCAGATCACGAGGTCAGGAGATCGAGACCATCCTGGCTAACACAGTGAAACCCCGTCTCTACTAAAAATACAAAAAAATTAGCCGGGCGTGGTGGTGCGCGCCTGTAGTCCCAGCTACTCGGGAGGCTGAGGCAGGAGAATGACGTGAACCCGAGAGGCGGAGGTTACAGTGAGCCGAGATCGCGCCACTGCACTCCAGCCTGGGCAACACAGCGAGACTCCGTCTCAAAAAAAAAAAAAAAGAAAAGAAAAGAAATGGGGGTAATAATCATGCTTACCTCTCAGAGTTCTTTTGAGGATTAAATAATGCATATAAAATGCCAGGCACAGTGCCTGACACTCGAGAAAATGGTAGTTCTCTACCCCTTTTGATGAAACTGAACTTTAAAAATCTGTTTCATGTCTTTTAATATAGAACACTGTAGCCAAGCATTAAATAGTGTAAATAGCTATCTCCCTTCATGCATGGTGTTCAGTGTTATAACAAAGTGAAATCGATTAGTTCCTGCTTTCTGCCCCACTTAGTTAATATCTCTCTCATAATAACCATCTGGTTCTATTGCACTTCTGTTTCCTCCTGCTTCCACGTAAGCTCCTTAAGAACTGTGATTCTTGTTTATCTTTGTATCGCCAACACCTGCCTTAATGTAGGAGCCCAGTGAAGGTTTGCGGAAGGAAGGAGTGGAACAGTATTACCTCTCTGGATATTAGTTTCTCCATCTGGATGGTGAGGGGCCATTAAAGGATCCCCCTTCCACCTTGAAAATTATAAGATTCTGTGTGCTCTTAGAAGTGATCATCTTGAAGAACAAAGTGATACTGAATGGATGATGTAATTGCACACTTGCTCTTAACTGTTAATATGCATTTGTGTACAACTGTCGTTCCATGTGGGTGGCTGAAAGTACTGTCTGGAAATAGGAGACCTGCCACTCGCTGTCTGTGTTTCCTTGGACGTATTACTTGACCTTGCTGATTCTTTGTTTCTCTCTCTTTAAAATGAAAGGGCGGTAGTAGATGTTTTTAAGTCAACTTTAAGTTTTTTAAGTTCAAATATAATTACCTTTATTTTTACAATTTATTGTTTTCATATTCGTCTTAGGTTCTTAATAGTAACTTTTCCCTGTGGTTTTCTGTGAGCCAGTTCCCAGGTAAAGAGAATATCTAGTCAGCCCGCAGCTATTATTTGGCTGATGAACGGTCACAGAGCTGTGGAAAGTGGCTCAGGAGACAATTAAAGTATAATATATTAAAGTATAATGAACTAGTACATCAAGATAATACAAGCATTTTAAACTGACCTGTGATTGGGACAGTGATTATGGAAGTTAGATAGTCATTAACTACCTAACTAGTTATATTTCTTACTATTTCTTAGCTATGTGACATTTTAAAGCCAATGGTTATATTTCTTAGCTGTGTGACATTTTATTTTTTTAATTTTTTTTTTAAAATATTACTTTAAGTTCTGGGATACATGTGCAGAACCTGCAGGTTTGTTACATAGGTATACATGTGCCATGGTGGTTTGCTACACCTATCAACCTGTCATCTAGGTTTTAAGCCCCACATGCATTAGGTATTTGTCCTAATGCTCTCCCTCCCCTTGCCCCCAACCTCCCGACAGACCCTGATGTGTGATGTTCCCCTCCCTGTGTCCATGGATTCTCATTGTTCAACTCCCACTTATGAAAGAGAACATGCGGTGTTTGGTGTCTGTTCCTGTGTTAGTTTGCTGAGCATGATGGTTTCCAGCTTCATCCATGTCCCTGCAAAGGACATGAACTCATTCTTTTTTATGGCTGCACGCTATGTGACATTTTAAATGGCTGAACCTTAATTTTAATTACTATATGTAGTGGCTGAAAATGAAATAGGAAAATGAAATAATTCATAGAAAATGAGAGCTATGAAAGATTTTTTTCTTCTCATCTTTAGTCATTTTCATTAACATTTTCAGAAGCTAACAGAAATACACACATACTGACTGTCAGTTTTACTTTTGTTATATATATGTCCTTACGTAAACTTTATACACAATTTAATTTGCAATTTAAAATTATTTTGATTTCCAAGAAATACTAAATATGTGAACTAGACTGAGCAGCTGGAGGGTAGGATTTCATTTGTCTGTGTATTTCCTGATACACTGCAGATATACCTGCATTTATTAATGTAGCCTATGGATTGAACTCTGAGCTTTTTTTCAACCTATAATCTACAAATGAGATCTAGCAAGTAATTTTTTATAATTAGGATATGAAGTTTTAGTTCAGTAATTTCAGTACAGAACTTTTTCTTCTAATAGCATTATTTTTCTTAAAGCATTGGAATTAAATTATCAGATGATAGTTTAAGTTCACTATTAAATAAGCATGTCGACAATTAGAGTTGTTAAATATTGGAATTTTTTTTTTTTTTTTTTTGAGACGGAGTCTTGCACTGTTGCCCAGGTTGGAGTGCAGTGGTGCAATCTCGGCTCACTGCAAGCTCTGCCTCCCGGGTTCACGCCGTTCTCCTGCCTCAGCCTCCCAAGTAGCTGGGACTACAGGCACCCGCCACCACGCCTGGCTAATTTTTTGTATTTTTAGTAGAGACGGGGTTTCACCATGTTAGCCAGGATGGTCTCGATCTCCTGACCTCATGACCCGCCCGCCTCGGCGTCCCAAAGTGCTGGGATTACAGGTGTGAGCCACCGTGCCCGGCCTGGAATTGTTTTTGAAAGAAGTTTAGAATTTGTTTCTTTAAACATCTGTTCCACAGAACAGCATGGGTATAGTGTTTTTTTTGTTTTTGTTTTTGTTTTTTTTCTTGAGACAGAGTCTCACTCTGTCGCCCAGGCTGGAGTGCAGTGGCATGATCTTGTCTCACTGCAGCCTCTGCCTCTGGGTTCAAGTGATTCTCCTGCCTCAGCCTCCCAAGTAGCTGGGATTACAGGCATGTGCCACCATGCCTGGCTAATTTTTGTATTTTTAGTAGAGATGGGGTTTCTCCATTTTGGCCAGGCTGGTCTTGAAAACTCCTGACCTCAGGTGATCCGCCTGCCTCGGCCTCCCAAAGTGTTGGGATTACAGGCGTGAGCCACCGCGCCTGGCCTGGGTATAGTTTTATAATGACAATATGATAGAAAGGATTATTTAAAATCATCCTTTTCTGTTCTATGATGAAAAATGTTAATTTAGATGTTTTGTTCTCCTTTGAGGAAACATGATATTGTTTGTCCTACTGTTTATTTATTTATTATTTTTATTGAGGCAGAGTCTTGCTCTGTCACCTAGGCTGGAGTGCAGTGGCGTGATCTTGGCTCACTGACACCTCTGGCTCCTGGGTCCAAATGATTCTCGTGCCTCAGCCTCCCAAGTAGCTGAAATTACAGGCATGTGCCACCAATCCCGGCTATTTTTTTTTTTTTTTTTTTTTTTTTAGTAAAGACAGGGTTTCACCATGTTGGCCAGGCTGGTCTTGAACTCCTGGCCTCGAATGATCCGCCCGCCTTGGCTTCGCAAAGTGCTGGGATTACAGGTGTGAGCCACCACGCCCGGCCCCTCCTACTGTGTTTAATTCAGTGACTTCATGCTCTTCTCTTCCAAAGTGTGATTATAAAATATAGCCTTTTACCAGTAAAAATAGGAGTTAAATATGAATATTTGAATTCTGACAAAAAAGGTGATATGAACTTTTAGGTTTTATTTTTATCTGGTTTTATTTTCATTTTTATTTTACATTCAACTGTATGTATGGAATTAGGCAAAACTCTTTCCTCTAGGTCAGGATTTCTCAACCTCTGAAATTTTGTACTGGGTTATTCTTTGTTGTCAGAGGGGGGCGTCCTGTGCCTTGTAGGATGTTTAGCAGCATACTGGTCTCTAGCCATGAGATGCCAGTAGCACCCACTGAAAAATGTCTCCAGACATTGTCAGATGTGCCCTGGGGGCAAAATTGTTCTTCACATTTGCTACCCCTTGAGAACCACTTCTCTAGGTCTTGTTGACCAGGGCTTCTGAAACTTAGATGTACACAGGAATTCCCTCAGAACGCAGATGCTGATCCAGTAGGTCAGAAGCAGGGCCTGAGACTCTGCATTTCTAACAAGCTCCCAGGTGATGTGAATACTGTTGGTCAGTGTATCACAATTAAGTAGCAAGGTTGTAGAAAAGTCCACATTCATACCAACTGGGTGAACTCTCAAGGGAAGCCGATGAAAGTAATTATGGAAATAGTGAATTTACAATGAATTGTAGCCCAAACAATGTAAGGCTAATAGAAGCTAAGAAAACAAGCATTATCCTGCTGTCCTAACAAAGCAGCTGTCTTCACTTTTCCATATTTTCTTCCAGTCCTTAGTATTCATTCATAACTCGACATCTCTAAGGGGGAAATTTGCAAGAGTCTTTTCAAGGTCATACAGGCAACCTCATGCACCATTAGGTGTTTTATTCCATAATATTGTAAATATACTAGCTCATAATACATATTTATAGCCTGTTGAGAGATTTATAGCCCCAAATTAAGATAATGAACTCTGCATTTACTTGATCTGATGATGCTCTGCCTTTTTTTTTTTTTTTTTTTGAAGTGTACAAGTTGTCTCGTCTCCTCGAGAACTATTGACTGCACCTAAATTAATACCACCTAAGGTCATTCATTTTCTTACTGCGAGTGTTCTGAGAGTCAGGGTAAGATATTAAGTTTACTAAGGCATAGCAGTTACAGTGTAACTTTATCCTATAATTCTGTGATAAAAATCAATATAAAATATAATGAAAATCCTGGAGCGAAAAAAATCCCTCTATATTTTATCTGTAATACTTAAAATAATGATTGGTAAGCATTCTTGTTTGTCACATTGAAAATGTTGGATATAATACACATTTTCCCTCGTTTACAAAATGGTTACGTTCACTGCTTTATCTTGCTGTTGCTTAAAATAGCCCTCCTAGGACTGCTGCAAAGAGGATTTTTTTTTCAAAAGAGTACAAGTCACTTTTTGCTAACTTATAAAAAGATGCAAGGAGACTTCAGGGGTAGATTAACTGCTCCAGGAATGCCTTGATTATGAATTGGGGAGGTATAATATACATCACTCTTCAAATCTTTTTAGATATATTATCTTATTTCCTTCTTATGGCAGCCTGTGAAGAAGAAAAGGAAGATATTGGCAGCACCTAGCAAGATTTAAAATGTGCGCCCCCTTGACTCAGCAGTTTTACTTCTGAGAATCATTGCTATAGAAATCTTTGCATCAGTATGGAAAAAGAGATTTGTTAATTACAGCATTTTTTCCCATTGTAACATTATTAGAAATAACCAAAAACTGAAGACTATAAATGCCAATCAGTGGTGAAAACTTAAATAAAGTCTAATGCACTCATAATGATCACTTTGCAGCTTGTGAAGGAAGACTGGAGATAGTTGGACATCTACTGGTATATAGTTTATATAGTTGTGTTTTTTATTTTTTATTTTATTTTTTTTGAGACGGAGTTTTGCTCTTGTTGCCCAGGCTGGAGTTCAGTGGCGTGATCTCGGCTCACTGCAACCTCTGCCTCCCGGGTTCAAGTGATTCTCCTGCCTCAGCCTCCCAAGTAGCTGGGATTACAGGCATGCACCACCACGCCTGGCTAATTTTGTATTTTTAGTAGAGACGGAGTTTCTCCATGTTGGTCATACTGGTCTCGAACTCCCGACCTCAAGTGATCCCCCACCTCAGCCTCCCAAAGTGCTGGGATTACAGGCGTGAACCACCACACCTGGCTGGTATATAGTATTGAATGAAAAAAAGTTGCAGAACTTAGAGGAAAACATGTTTCTGTGTGTGAGTGAACATGCATGTAATTTAAAATATCTACACGTCAAACTTAATGGTTACCCTTGGAAGGAAGGCGAAGGAGAGGAGGAGGGAGAATTCTTACTCTTTATGAGCTTCTGGATTTGAATTTTGACAGTGACCACACATTCCTTTTGCAATTATAGCATCATTTTGAGAAAAAACAAAATAAATCTGGGTCCTAGTTCTACTTCTGCTGCTTATTAGCTACTAGTGTCACAACAGTGGTTTGCAAGAAGGGTCAGTTTTGCTCCCCCTCACCAACATTTGGCAATGTCTGGAGACATGATTGGTTGTCATGTGGGGCGGTGGTATGTCTAGTGGGTAGAAGCCAGGGATGCCGCTAAACATACAGGGCACAGGACAGCCCTCCACAACAGGGAATTGTCCAGCCCAAAATGTCCGTAGTGCCAAGTTGAGAAATCCTGTGTTAGACTCCAGAGCTGCAGTGCTGTTGGAATATGCAGGTGATGCACTGTGCAGTGGCAGGGGCGCCATTCTCACTGTGGGGTGTACTTTGCATAGCCATAGAATTATAAGTATGATATAATAAGGTAAATAAATATGCAAGTTTTTACCCCAGGAAGACAGGCACCAGGTCTTCGTTTTCTGCTCTCCCTCTGGCACCTGGCACAGAGGTTGGCACAGTAAGCAGCTAGTTGGCATTTGTTGAATTAACGAATTGAACAAGATATCACGTTAGGCTCTAGTGTGGCCAAGTTGTAGCAGATGCTAAAGATTTAAGAATAATTTGTGGCAGAAACTTTAAATTATAGTTAATGTCTGTTTTTATCTGCAGGTTGGCAAAAGACTGCTAATATCCACATTTAGTTGCTGAACATGTTGGTTGACTTTTTTCCAAATCATTACCTTTTGATAAGAAAATCATGATTCTTCATGGAAAAATGCCAGAGCAAAGCACTATCAAATGTTCCTAGAATTTTTTTTTTTTTTTTGAGACGGAGTTTCACTCTGTCACCCAGTCTGGAGTGCAGTGGCACAATCTCGGCTCACTGCAACCTCCACCTCCCAGGTTCAAGTGATTCTTCTTCTTCTGCCTCAGCCTCCTGAGTAGCTGGGACTACAGGCGTGCACCACCACGCCTGGCTAATTTTTTTTTTTTTTTTTTTTTTTGTATTTTTAGTAGAGACAGGGTTTCACCATGTTGGCCAGGATGGTCTCAAACTCCTAACCTCGTGATCCGCCCACCTCGGCCTCCCAAAGTGCTGGGATTACAGGCGTGAGCCACCGTGCCCGGCCTAGAATTGGTTTTTTAAATCCTCAGGGGGAGGCCAAGGCGGGCGGATCACCTGAGGTCGGGAGTTCAAAACCAGCCTGACCAACATGGAGAAACCCCGTCTCTACTAAAAATACAAAATTATCCGGGCGTGGTGGCACATGCCTGTAGTCCCAGCTACTCAGGAGGCTGAGGCAGGAGAATTGCTTGAACCTGGGAGGTGGAGGTTGCAGTGAGCCGAGATCGCACCAATGCACTCCAGCCTGGCCAACAGGAGCTAAACGCTGTCTCAAAAAAAAAAAAAAAAAATCCTCAGGTATCTTTTTGGCTACATACTATATTTAGTGAAGAAGGTTTTTTTAAAAAAATCTTAAACTACCTAGACACTACCTAACATAGTAAGATAATGTACTTTATTTCATTTGATTCAGACGAGAGTGAAGCAGCTAAGCAGAGGTTCTCCTTTTTATTAATGTTTTTTAATGGAAAAATAATGTTCACAAGAATGGTCCAAAGTAATGAATCAAAAAGTCGTTGCCATACCCATTTAACAATTATTGACATATTGCTAACAGATATCCTTATTTTATATAGGCTAGAAAATTGTGGGCCAGACACGGTGGCTGACACCTGTAATCCCAGCACTTTGGGAGGCCGAGACAGGTGGATTTCTTGAGCTCAGGAGTTCAAGACCAGCCTGAGCAACATGGCAAAACCCTGTCTCTACAAAAAAATTAGCTGGGCATGGTGGCGAGTGCCTGTTGTCCCAGCTACTCGGGAGGTTGAGGCAGGAGGATTGCTTGAGCACAGGAGATCGAGGCTGCAGTGAGCCAAGATCGTGCCACTGTACTTCAGCTTGGGCGACCAAGTGAGACCCTGTCTTAAAAAAAAAAAAAAAAGGAAAGGAAAAAAATTGTGGCTTATGGATGGAGGTTAACAGCTTATTAGTGGTGCCAAGTATTCAAATTAAGGTTTTCAGCTTTGCAGTTCTGTGTCCTTTCCTTTTCACCATACTAAAACTAAGGAGCAAGGTTACATTTCTTTGAAAATAAATGTGGTTTCACCAAATGATTTGACTGTGATTTTTTTAAATGTCATTCTCCCAGTTCCTCAAACTTTAGGCAATGAATGATAGTAAGAGTTAAAATTGAATTTGTAAAACCAAAATGTAAATATATAAAAGTGTTAGTGACATTACTGTATACACATTTATACCTTTGTTAGGTATTCAACTTAGTTTTTCTCTTAGCAGCTGTACTTTTAACTACTTTAGAAGAATTATCCCATTTAATTTTTTTTTGTTCTTATCCTATTTTTAGTGTGCTTCACTGCTTGGTTTCCTTTGTTTTTCTGAGATATGTGGTTTATATGCTATTAGCAGGTTGTATTATAATTATTATTATTTGGTTTCAAGAAGAGACTTGAGGAAAGCTTTATAGTGACCCATTATTGCACTGTGTTAAGAGTGCCCAATGCCACAAGCATATTCTTCCTTTGTATTTTTGCAAAGTTCCATTGCCTGGGACTGTCTGGAGACAGTCTTTGTTGGTCTATCAGTTACCATTACTTTAGCAATCATTTATGGAAGAATAAGAACGACCCTGTGCTGGCACTTATATCTACACTGTTAGCTAATCCTTACAATGACCTCATAAGGGAGGTACTTTTTTAATACCTGTGTCACAGATGAAGAAAAATCATATCCAAAGTTGAGTAACTTATCTATCTTTTTGGTTATAGCCAATCCTATTAGGTGTGAAGTGCTGTTTCATTGTGGTATTGATTTGTGTTTTCCTGATGGCTAAAGGTGTTGAGCATCTTTTCATATGCTTACTGGCCTTTCTTTGGAGAAATGTCTAAGTTAATTTAGATCTCTTGCCCATTTAAAAATTGGATTATTGAATCTTTTTATTATTCATTTATAATAGTTCTTTATAGATTTTAGATACAAGTCCCCTATCAGATACATGATTTGCAAATATTTTCTCTGGGTTGTATATCCTTTTGATGTAAGGGATCTTTTGAAGTCAAGTTTTTTGTTTTGTTTGTTTGTTTTTTTTTTTGTTGTTGTTTTTGAGTTAGAGTCTCTCTCTGTCTCCCTGACTGGAGTGCAGTGGCACAGTCTTGGCTCACTGCAACCTCTGCCTCCCAGGTTCAATAGATCCTCCTACCTCAGCCTCCCTAGTAGCTGGGACCACAGGCGCGTGCTACACGCCCAGCTCATTATTGTGTTTTTAGTAGAGACAGGGTTTCTCCATGTTGGCCAGGCTGGTCTCGAACTCCTGGCCTCAAGTGATCCATTTGCCTCGGCCTCCCAAAGTGCTGGGATTACAGGCGTGAGCCACCGCGCCTGGCCCAAGTCAACTATTTTTAAGACAAGGAAGGGAAGAAAAATTAAAATGTAATAATGTAATAAGTAAGGCCGGGCGTGGTGGATCTTGTAGCACTTTGGGAGATTAAGGTGGGAGGATTGCTTGAGCCCAAGAGTTCAAGACCAGCCTGAGCTACAAAAAGAGACCCTGTCTCTACAAAAAATAAATAAATTAGCTGGGTGTGGTGGAACGCACCTGTAGTTCCAGCTCTGTGGGAGCTTGAGATAGGAGGGAGGCTGAGGTGGGAGGATTGCTTGAGTCCAGGAGTTCCAGGCTGCAGTGAGCCGTGATGGCGCCATTGCACTCCAGTCTGGGTGACAGGGCGAGACCCAGTCTCAAAAAAAAAAAAAAACAAAAAAAGCAATTACTGTCATCAGCCTATATGTAGTGCTATAGAGATGCCAAAAAAGTGTTCATTTTGAATAGGATGAGCAAATATTAACTATTTAAAACAACTTCTAAAAAGAATTTTTCCATTTGATTCAGTTTATTTAGAATTTACCTTACATATAGTGTCAGTCTTTCCTACTGGATAGTAAATGTCGATGTTGTCTGTTTTGTTTACCAGTGTGTTCCCAGTGCCTGTCTGATAAATGTTTGTTAAATGAATGAATAAGTAAACATCAATGTGGGCTAGAGCTATCGGGGGTGTGGCATTCATTAAGTTAATCTAGAAAGTTGTCACAAGATGGAAGATGTTAGGGTGATGAGAGCATGAAGCCAAGGTGCCCCTCAGAGCCCTGCGGTTTATGAACTCTGTAGCAGCAACCCTTCTTTTCATACGTATATCCTGATTTGTAAAATGAGGGGATGCATTGGATTGTCTCCTTTTTAACATGCTGAGGTTTGTGAACAGTGGAAACTTAAAACATTTACAGCCAGCTAAAAAAGCATGACTGCTAAGAAGAATTTAAGTGCACTATCAAGGTTTTATGCTAAGATACCTTTGACATTTGCACTGGACACTGCTGTAAAGTGTCCTAAGAAAATGGTATTTCTAGTATGGGATGTATTACGAAGATATTCACAAAGCAGTATCTTGAAGATTCTCATTAGGTAGAATGTTGGGATTACTATTTTATTTATACCCTGTCTACTTTCTTTCAAAGAAGATTTGAGATAGCGACTCAAGCTAGTTTTTCCCCCACTCAGGCAAAGGTTCCTTTAGATGCTATTGACAGACATTTTAGGCTGGGTGCAGTGACTCACACCTGTAATCTCAGCACTTTGGGAGGCAGAGGCTAGCAGATCGCTTGAGCTCAGGAGTTCAAGACCAGTCTGGGCAACATGGTGAAACCCCATCTCTACCAAAAATACAAAACATTAGCCAGGTGTGGTGCACGCCTGTGGTCCCAGTTACTCAGGAGGCTGAGGTGGGAGGATCGCTTGAGTCCAGGAGGTTGAGGCTGCAGTGAGCCAAGATTGCACCATTGCACTCCAGACTGAGTGACAGAGACCCTGTCTCAAAAAAAAAAAAAAAGACATTTTATTTATTAATACTTTTATCTTTTAACCCTTAAATTTTTGGTATTTCAGGGACTATAGGAGGATTAGAAGAGGAGAAATGGTTCAATAATGCTATTTTAACTTGAAGCTCTAAAATTAATGGCTTTTAAACATTAAGAATGACTCTAGTGTATAATTTTCTAAATTAATCTAAATATCTTCAATGCTGTGCATTTCAGCATAAGGTGACTTTTACAGGCGTCACCACACAAACTCCATAGTATTTGTAGATTAAACTAAGTATCTTAAACTAGTTACTGCCTGGCGCAGTGGCTCACGCCTGTAATCCCAGCACTTTGGGAGGCCGAGGCGGGTGGATCACCTAAGGTCAGGAGTTCAAGACCAGCCTGACCAGTAGGGTGAAACCCCATCTCTACTAAAAATACAAAAATTAGCCAGGCGTGGTGGCGTGTGCCTGTGGTCCCTGCTGTTCGGGAGGCTGAGACAGAGAATCACTTGAACCTGGGAGGTGGAGGTTGCAGTGAGCCGAGATCACACCACTGCACTCCAGCCTGGGTGACAGAGTGAGACTCCGTCTCAAGATAAATAAATAAAAAATAAATAATTTTTTAAAATTAAACTAGTTATTCAGGGAAGCAGGACACAAACTCTTGAGGAGTAGGTTATTTATGAAAAAGAGAACCAGGAAATAGGTTTCCTCCAGCTAGAGTACCTGGATATTCTTTCATATCTCTGTATGGAAAACATGGTCTATCATCATAAAGAGAAGATTTTGTGAAAGTGCTAATTTCTCTCCAACCATTTCTTTTAGGTTGGAGAAGAACAATCACTTGCTACTGTAATCCTTATGTGTATATTTGCTGATTAATAAGCCAGTGACATTTTTGTTTCAAGTAAAAGTGGTTTTTTCGTAATATCATTAGTCTTAAGTAAAAGTCATGCTTGAATTTTTATACATTTCACATTTCCTTAAGTGATCCCAGGCCAGACAACAGTGAAAACTCATTTCTTCAGAGATGCTTATTTGAGCTCTGTAGTAGCATAAGCATAACTGTGATCCCCAAATCTAACCAGTCTTTGGCCATAGTATCCAAAACATTTTATATTTTGACTTTTTTTTTTTTTTTAACAACTTAGGTCCTTAAATAGATTTTTTTGAAGAAACAAGTTTCTTTTTAGTATATTTAATGGCACATGTTTCCTGATTTTTGAACGGGAATTCCTCATCTTCATTTTACATTGGGCCCTGTGAATTATTTAGCCAACCATGTTCACATTCTCACATATACATACATTTATTTATTTATTATTTGTTTGTTTGTTTGTTTGTTTGTTTGTTTTTTGAGACAGAGTCTCGCTCTGTTGGCCACGCTGGAGTGCAGTGGCACAATCTCGGCTCACTGCAACCTCTGTCTCCCGGGCTCAAGCAGTTCTCCTGCCTCAGCCTCCCAAGTAGCTGGGATTACAGGCGTGTGCCACCATGCCTGACTAATTTTTGTATTTTTTGTAGAGACAGGGTTTCACCATGTTGGCCAGGTTCGTCTCGAACTCCTTACCTCAGGTAATCTGTCCGCCTCAGCTTCCCAAAGTGCTGGGATTACAGACGTGAGCCACCGCCTATTTATTTTTTTTACTGATCTTGAAATAAACCTTTCTTGATTCTTTATCCTCAGTATCCCTATATCAGCATAACTTTTGGAAAGAGATCATTCCTGTCTTTGCACTCTGTCTTAAACATACTGCAGTTCATCTCTCTTCTCTTCCCATAGATGGCTTTTGTTAGATTCACCATTGACCTCACTGTTGCTAATCCAACACTCAGTTCTCAGCTGCCTCTCCATGTCTCATGAGTAGCATCAGTAGATTGGGAGGCTCAACCCTTCTTGCTGCATTTTCTTCATTTAGCTTCCAGGACAGCATGCTATCTGCTATCTTCGAGTTCTTCCTTCCTTATTCCCTAAAAAGCAGTTTTATACAAATGTATAGTTTTATACAAATATAGTAGCAAAGTATGTCAAAGCTAAATCAATCATTCAATATTTATATATTTTCATATTAAGATTATGACAGGCCAGGCACAGTGGCTCACAGCTGTGATCCCAGCACTATGGGAGGCTGAGGCGGGCAGATTGCTGAAGGTCAGAAGTTCAAGACCAGTCTGGCCAACATGGTGGAACCCCGTCTCTACTAAAAATACAAAAATTAGCCAGGCGTGGTGGTGGATACCTGTAGTCTCAGCTACTCGGGAGGCTGAGGTGGAGAATTGCTTGAATCCCAGTGGCAGAGGTTGCAATGAGCCGAGATTGCACCACTGCACTTCCAGCCTGGGAGACCAGGCAGGACTCCGTCTCAAAAAAAAAAAAAAAAAAAAAAAGATTATGCAAATTAAAGCAATTTTAACATTTATAATTGATAAATGAGCTTTGCTTTAGTATATCTGTTTTCTAGGTTTGGAATTTCAAGATAACTCCTGCCACCCTGGCAATTTAAAAGCTTTTATTATTTAGATTTGAAACTATTCTGTATTGAGTACTGAGTGTTTCTTAAGGAGCTCAGCATATTCCAATAGTCAGTCTGATTTAACTGAGACGTATCTGAACCAGAGTGTCCCTTATTCTATCAGAAATACTTACATTAATATTTCATTTTAAAAGCTGCATTAATAATAGCCTAAATTGTAGTTTGGTTCATTAATAATCTGAACTTTTTTTTTCCTTTTTTTTTTTGAGACAGAGTCTCTCTCCATGGCCCAGGTTGGAGTGCAGTGGCCCGATCTTGGCTCACTGCAACCTTTGCCTCCTGGGTTTGAACTTTTGTTTGAAAGTACAGGTATCTGGTGGGAGAGAAGCGAGTACATTAACTTTTAAAAATTTGTTATACAGGATTATCTGAACCTTCTTCTATTGCAAAACATGAAGATAGTTTGCTTAAGGATTTATTTCAAGACTACGAAAGATGGGTTCGTCCTGTGGAACACCTGAATGACAAAATAAAAATAAAATTTGGACTTGCAATATCTCAATTGGTGGATGTGGTAGGTGTGCATATCCTTCTATAGTCAATTTCCCACAGATTTAGTGAGAGCCTGGTGTGTGCCCAGGCACTGTGCTAGGCACCAAGGATTACAAAGGTGATTGAAGCAGTCCTTTGCCTGAAGGAACTCACCAGGGAAAAGTAGTGATTGTGTCACATACATGATAACACACTGTGTTTATATATTTTATAGTTTAGAAACTGTTTATCTCAATTTGGTAATTATAAGTCTATCTTTAACAAATTCAAAGATCTAAAACATTGTGTATTCCTTAAATGTGTTAAAAATAGTTTCAAAAAGTTAGCTTGAAAGGAGGGAAAAGAAAATAAATTTTTAAGTTTAAGAGAAAAAGTCCAAAAATAGAGTGATAGATTCTTAGGAACTAAAAGTATCACAAGAGATCATTATCTTGGGCTCACACTTAAAACATTTCAGAAATTTTTCTATATGACGTTCATTAGTAGAATAAGTTCCCTTGATAAATTGTACTTATTGTCAAGAGATCCTATCTATTTAAACTAAAACATTCATGCTAATTTTTAAACTAGTTTCTTCTTGTTCTGAACATGTAAATCAATAATTATTTCCCTGTTGTGTTCCCAAAATAACCAAGTATATGTATATTTATATATATGTATGTTTTAAAATAACATTTATAGATGTGCTTTATGTTCTGATTACAGAAGCAATGCGTGATTTTTGTAGAGAATTTGGAAAGTGCAAAAAATACAAATGAGAAAATAAAAAGTGACTGTAATTCTACTACCCGGAGATGACTAATGTTAATAATTAGTTGTGTTTCTTGCCAGTCTGTCTTTGTGTATATGTTACAAAATTGGAATAATATTTTAGAAATAATTTTGATTACTGCTTTTTCTCTACTATGACATGATGAACATTTTCTTATGTCATTACATACTCTCCAAATATAATTTTTAATAGTTACATATTTCATCTATAATTTAAGCATTCTCCCATTTTGAACAGAAGCTTGTTTCCAATTTTTCTTATTATAATTAACAATGATGAATATATTTGTACACAAATGCCTGAACGTCTCCTTTCCTTAAGAAAGGCAGTTAGTGAACCAAAGGATATACCTTTTTCAAAGTCTATTGCTATGTCATCTAATTGCTTCCAGAAAGGTTAATGAATATATGTGGACTGTGTGTGCTCAGCCCTTAGCTAGTCAATATGGGGAGATTTTAAATGAAAATAGGAAAGTGGAAAAGTAAGGTGGTAGCCAGGTGTGGTGGTTCATGCCTGTTATCCCAGCACTTTGGGAGGCCAAGGTGGGTGGATCACTTGAGGTCAGGAGTTCCAGACCAGCCTGGCCAATATAGCAAAACCTCATTTCTATCAAAAATACAAAAATTAGCTGGGCGGTGGTCCGTGCCTGTAATCCCAGCTACTCAGGAGGCTGAGACAGGAGAATCGTTTGAACCCTGGGAAGCAGAGGTTGCAGTGAGTTGAGATTGCACCACTGCACTCCAGCCTGGGCAACAGAGCAAGACTCTGTCTCAAAAAAAAAAAGAAAAGAAAAGAAAAAGTAAGGTGGGTGGGGCTTGCTCTCAAAGATCTTTCTGGTTGAGGTCATTGACACACAAATGGTGTAGAAAACTGTAGCACTAAATCATGATGCCAGAAAGAGCTGGGAATGCAGATCTTAATGAATGACCTTATCAAAGAAGGTAGGGTAGATGAGGTGGCACCCGAGCTGGCTTTGTAGGAAGTGTAGGGTTTCAACGTGGCAGAGAGGAAAAGTATTTAAGTACAAAGGAACAATATAGTTGTAGGTATATAAGTGATAACTGAGCCTTCCTGTACAGCTGTTTAGATCAAAAGATGAATGTTGGGAGCCCTGGCATACAGGAGTGGTCTGACTGGACGGTGGAGAAGGTGAGGAGAATCCCTGCATGCCACTTCGTCTTTACTCCTGCCATGTTTACTTCTTGGGAGAATTTTCCTACTGGCACTAGCCATTTATTATTCAAGGCCAAATTCATCTGTCAGACCCTTTGTGAAATCTTTCCAGAATCCATAAGACAGCCTCTCCTGTGTTCAAAATTTTTTTTTTTTTGCACTTTAATATGGTGCCCATTACACTCACTGGTACTCATGTGCTCTGGCATTTCATCTTCAAAGCTGGGTGAACTTTATTCCTTGTATCTGTCCCAGAACCTAGCACGGTATCTGGTACATAGTAAATGCTGAATGAGTGAGAGACCTGATAGGCAACAGACACGATCAAAGCAGTACTTTCAGAAGATCAGTAAAACAGTAATGTACATGGTTTTGAGGAGTGAAAGAGAGACTAGAAAATGAAAGGCAAGTTAGAAGACCACATACAAGAAGGAACAGGACTTGACCACTGAATATGGAGGGAGGCATCACATTTTGAAGCCTAGGTGATTAGAGTGGAAGAGTAACACATTTGAAAAATACTGTCGGCCGGGCACAGTGGCTCACGCCTGTAATCCCAGCACTTTGGGAGGCCGAGGCAGGTAGATCACAAGGTCAGGAGATTGAGACCATCCTGGCTAACACGGTGAAACCCCGTCTCTACTAAAAAATACAAAAAAATTAGCTGGGCATGGTGGCGGGCACCTGTAGTCCCAGCTACTCGGGAGGCCGAGGCAGGAGAATGGTGTGAACCTGGGAGGCGGAGCTTGCAGTGAGCCGAGATTGCGCCACTGCACTCCAGCCTGGGCGACAGAGCGAGACTCTGTCTCAAAAAAAAAAAAAAAGAAAAATACTCTTCATTGTTACGGGAGTAGGGCAGAGAAGATGATGAGTTTGATTGTGGTTTGAGGTGTTAATTCCAAAGAAAATGTTCACTAGCTTTTGGGAAGTCAAGACTGGCTCTGAGATGACAGATGAGAACAAGGATGTCCATCTGGAATTGCTGGCCTGGAGGAGACTGTTGAAAACTTTGATGAGTTTTCTTTGTTTTTGTTTTTGCCCTTGCCTCTCACCTCCCACTTTGATGAGTTTTTAAAGTTAGTGGGAAGAGCAGGAACCTGATCCTTGAGGAACATTTGTAGAAAGTGGTAGAAGGAAGGGGTAACCAAGCAGAGAAGTTGGGGAAGGGTTGCTTCTTGAGAGAAGAGCCCAAAAAATGAAATGTCAGTGACTACGAAAGCAGAAGAGGACTGCAGTCAGGGGAGATGAAGGGTGAGGGCTCTGGAGATGGAGAATGGCAAATTCACTGAATTGTGTCTGAGATGTTTTAGGTTCCTTTTATCGCTAAGCTCCCCGGAATCATATTTGGTGGATTCCTGCCTTATTTCCCACATATTCTGTCTTTTTTTTGTTTTTAAATCTCATTTTTGGCTTGTTTGTTTTGATTTTAAAGATAAAATCTTTTTATAAATACGATTACCCCTGAAACTCTTCTGCTATATTTACACATGTAGTTAACATTTTTCCATTTGTTAGTTTAGGTTTCCTCCTGGGGATCATCGTACATTTATCTGTCCTCAGTTCATTTTTGTTGCATCCTCCATTGTGCTGAGCACATTATAGATGCTTGGGAGGTATTTGAGGTCACATTAAATTAGGCGGTATCCCTTATGGTAATGGCTAACCACCACATCTTAGGGGCCATTTGTGAACTTATGGATTATTCTTTTATCTGTGTTATTGTTGAAAGTGCTAAGTATTGACTGGGAGCCCAATTTATGTGTGTGTGCACATTTTTCTAGGGAAAGGCCCATAAGTTTCATTAGATTCTCAAAGATGACCTATTGCTATATACTATCATCATGGGTAATATGTTTACCAGAACTTTCCTAATTATAAATGCCTCTGTTTAGAACTTTTGCCTAACAGGCATATTCAGATACAGGGATCAGCAGTTATTCTGGGTGGTGTGCGACTAGGGTGGATAGCAGAGTTGGTGGCTTTAGATTTAGGAAATTTGAGTTCTAAAATCAGTGCTACCAGTAATCGGTGCTGTGACTTTAAGCAAGTCACCTCTCTGGGCCAGTTTCTGTCGCCTAGGCTGGAGTGCAGTGACATGATCTTGGCTCACTACAACCTCTGCCTTCCAGATTCAAGCGGTTCTCCCACCTCAGCCTCCTGAGTAGCTGGGACTACAGGTGTGCCACCATGCCCGGCTACTTTTTGTATTTTTAGTAGAGACCAGGTTTCATCATATTGGCCAGTCTGGTCTCGAACTCCTGACCTCGTGATCCACCCGTCTTGGCCTCCCAAGTGCTGGGATTACAGGTGTGAGCCACCGTGCCCAGCCAGCTCTAGTGTTTTAATCAAGGAAAATTGCTCTTTGGAACTGCAGTGTAAGAGAGATGGCCGTGCTGCATTTCCCAGTACTCATTCTCCCCATGCAGGGACCTCATGGAGCTGCCTGCATCCTCAGGGGTATGCTTCCTTCTGGTCTCTTCCTTTGTCCTGGGTCACTTACCTGTTGTTGGGACGGGATAAGGAATGGGTCACCTCCAGTTACCTGAGGTATTAATATTTATTTACACCCCTGTCCTATCTCCCCAGTTTCCTCATACTTCTGTGAGTCTCTGTGCATAGCATTGTGTCCTACACATAATATATTTGCGGCTGGTGATTATGGATCTTTTGTTGATTCTCCTGGCTCCATGATATTTCACTAAAATTTAATGGAAGAAGTATTACTTTAATTACACCTTGAATATTTGGTAAAGGACTGGCATAGCAAAGACATGATAGCAGAGAGGTGTAAGTGAGAAGTACCAAGGACCTCCAGTTCTCTACAAAAGTAGGCACGAAAAGCTTTATGAAATTCGTATTCAAGGCTGCCAATATTTTTTCTTTTTCTTTTTCTTTTCTTTTCTTTCTTTTTTTTTTTGAGATGGAGTCTCGCTGTGTTGCCCAGGCTGTAGTGCAGTGGCATGATCTTGGCTCACTGCAACCTCTGCCTCCCGGGTTCAAGCAATTCTTGTGCCTCCGCCTCCTGAATAGCTGGGATTACATGCATGTGCCACCATGCCTGGCTAATTTTTTGTATTTTTTTTTTTTAAGTGGAGATGGGGTTTCACTATGTTGGCCAGGCTGGTCTCAAACTCCTGCCCTCAAGTGATCTGCCCACCTTGGCCTCCCAAAGTGTTGGTATTATAGGCATAAGCCACTGCGCCCAGCCCTCAATGTTGTTTCTGTCTAGCAGACCTACAGGGAAATTCAGATTCTTCCCTCAGCAGAGGCAAATGACTGTAAGAGATGTCCCTCAGGGATGTACAGAAATACCGTATCTCACTGATTCTAAGAAGCACACTTTTCCGCATTTTAATACTTCTGAAATCATGATGTGTCTTATAATTCATGGCAGCTTGTAATTCATTGACAGCCCTTTTTTCTCCTCTTAGTGCTAAGCACATAAAATAACACTATGCTTATATCTTAGACTGCATCTTAAATATGAGGAAATATAGTAGTTGAGATGATTAATGTTAAATGCAAAAATGCCAAAGGTATCTTTTAGTGTAGTTTATCTGAAATAGAGAGTATGTTGAAAGGAGTAATGTGAAATTAGGCTGGAAGAAAGATCCTAGCTTTCTAGAGAACCAGATTGATGAATGAAATGTGGGTACTATGTGAAGAAGAGTGTTTATATAACAATGTGAAATTTATTATTTAAAGAATTATTGTTTCTGTAATTGAAATCAATCTTATTTAAATTTTTATTTTTTAAAGGATGAGAAAAATCAGTTAATGACAACAAACGTCTGGTTGAAACAGGTATGTGTGTAAAATTCAAACGGGCACCCAATTAGTGACTGGGACACCTATTTTTATTATATGTATTGTAGCAGAAATACAAGAGTATGTATATTTGTGAATACAAATGAATACGTGACTATATGGCCTTGGTGGATTGGCAGGACACAGAAAGATGAGGGTAGATGGAGTTCTTGTATTTATTCAGCTAGTATTTTTGGAGTGCCTATTGTGTGCCAGACACTGTTATGGGGAAACAGCAGTGAACAAAACAGACAAAAAACCCTGTAGTATTAGTCCGTTCTCACACTGCTATAAGGACATACCCAAGGCTGGGTAATTTATAAAGGGAAGAGGTTTAATGGATTCACAGTTCAGCATGACTGGGGAGGCTTCACAATGATGGTGGAAAGTGAAGGAGAGGCAAAGGCATGTCTTACATGGCAGCAGGCAAGAGAGCATGTTCAGGGGAACTGCCCTTTATAAAACCATCAATTCAAGATGAGATTTGGGTGGGGACACAGCCAAACCACATCACCTGCCCTCATGGAACTTCATTCTAGTGGGGGAAAAATAAACAAGTTGTATAGTACCTTAGAAGCTGATAAGCTTGGGGAAAAACACACTGGAAAAGAAGATAGGGAGTATTGGGGTCGGGGGTGTACTTATAAAAATGGTGGTCAGAGAAAACAGCATTGAGAAGATAATGTCTGAACAAAGTCTTGGTGGAGAGGAAGCAAGCCATGTGTATATCTGGGGAGGAGCGTTCCAGGCAGCAGGACCTACAAGTGCAAAGGTTTCTGAGCTGGTGTGTGCCTAGTGTGTTTAAGCAGTTGCAAGGAGGCCAGTGTGGCTAGCAGTGAGAGAACCATTGGGGAGAGGGGGTGTAGGAGATGGCATCAGATAAGCAAGAAGAGGCTGGTGGAGTAGCAGCTGCTTATAGGCCACTGCAAGGATTCTGACTCTCTAAGGTGGAAATGGGCAAGAATGAAATGAATTTTTTTTTAATAGATAGTCCCTTTTATATAAAGGACTTTTGTTTTTTTCTGGGCCACCATACATATGTCCTAACTGCTGTTGAGCGCTTCCTTTTGTTTTTATCATCCCTAATTTTTATACCTACTATTTGTTTTCTAACCCCGAACTCCTGAAAGGCATATATGCTTTTCTCAGGGTGCAGCTCCTAACTTGATCACAGAATTGTAACTGCATGGAGGTAGGGTAAGGTGTTGAAATACGCAGAATGTGCAATAAATCCAACTCCCTTTTGCATGGACCAGAACAGCCAAATTGGGTGACAATACATCTGGAAAAAAGAATGTTTCCCTTGAACCTGGATATTAAGTGCCTGTGGCTTCAAGTCCTGGATATAGTCAGTCAGTTGATGGGAGAAGAGTTGCCGAGCAGAGCCATGAACACATCTAGCTCTGGTTCTCACCTGTGTCTCACAGGGACCATGGTGAGAACCACTACACAAGGGGACAGGGTTATCTGGTGCCCATAATAAGAAAGACAGGGAGGTGTTCTCTATTGGGGGTAGAGATGATCTCATGTCTAAAATTTCTGGTGTGACAAAAAAGTATGGTATTCACTGTTTTTGACTATTAGTTTTATTGAAATTGAGGCAGATTTCTTTGTTTTAAAGGAATGGATAGATGTAAAATTAAGATGGAACCCTGATGACTATGGTGGAATAAAAGTTATACGTGTTCCTTCAGACTCTGTCTGGACACCAGACATCGTTTTGTTTGATAAGTAAGTTATATTCTAAATATAGTTTTATATTTTCAAAAGAAAACATTTGTATTTCTATTAGGCACTAATAATTTTTCTCCCTTTTGAAATTGTTTAGGTATAAAAATCAAATGACATGACCGCATGTGCCTGGGTATGATTACATGTTTTATAGATGAGGAAACAGAGGCTTAGGGTGGTTGTTCTTTTCCAAGATCACAGAGCTAGCACATGGCAGAGTAGGGGGGTCACACCAAGGGGACTGATACCTCCATTTACTCTTTGTTTTACTAGACTACATATTTGGCAGACTTCTAGATTTTTTTGTATGTTTTTTACGTCGTTGAGGTCATATTTTATGTTGAATTGTGCATCCTTCTAGTTGTGTTTAAATACTGTATCGTCATTTTCCCACAATGAGGAATGCTGGGTTAATTATCAATTCATCTTTAGAGGCATCCTACCTAGGTGTGTTTTGAGGATTTTTTTTTTTTTAACTTAGGGGAGAGGAAAATTCTGGGTACCAGTTTTATTTTTTTCTAAGACCACTCCTGGGCAAATCTGGGAATTTGTGCTTATCTTAAAGCACTTTGTCTGATTCGAAAGAAGGCCATTTGGCATGAGGACAGAGCAACTGCTATGCAAAAATATCTTTAATCTTTTGACACTTTTTACCTCCATGCTTCTTAAGAAGTGAACAAAGCTTGTAAGGACACATGATGCAGCTTCCTGGAGCATCATTTTATTTTCAGTAATTGAAAACATTTTTATATTAAACATGGATATATTACAGAATAGTGTGCAAAAGCCACATGAATTTGAAGACAGCAACATTTTAAAGAAATCTTATGTTGGTGGTGTGCTTTCCTAGTATATGGATTCTATACTAGACTTTTCTCATATATGAATTCACTTGGTGGGAGAGCTTGAGAGGCATAGCTGCTTTTCAGGGTCATGCCCAGCTTGGTGTTCATGGTCTTTCCCCATCAAAGTAAAAAACGGCCAGTATTTGCGATGAAGGAAGAAGAGCACTGTGGAGGGAGTCTAGGAGTGTGGATTCAGGTTCTGGCTGTATGCGTGCCCATTGTGTCAATAGCCTGAGTCTATTCTGTGTGTAAGGTGAGGTCTTTTCAATCATTAGAATCTCAGGCTTCTGTGAAAATTTGTCAGTTCTGGAGTAGATGCAGAAGAAGGGGTTCAGTTCTAGTAGAGTTAGATATTTAAGGAAGATATTCCTGGAGCAGGGTCCCTATGTAGCACGTATATCTTATCTGAAGTATAGTAATTTAAAAATTATTTCATGCAATCAATGATAGGCCTGCTTTTATATTAGGCTTATATTAATACAATTCATGTGCATTGTTTAATTTCTGCATTGTTATTTTATATGTGTGTATTTTAGTGCAGATGGACGTTTTGAAGGGACCAGTACGAAAACAGTCATCAGGTACAATGGCACTGTCACCTGGACTCCACCGGCAAACTACAAAAGTTCCTGTACCATAGATGTCACGTTTTTCCCATTTGACCTTCAGAACTGTTCCATGAAATTTGGTTCTTGGACTTATGATGGATCACAGGTTGATATAATTCTAGAGGACCAAGATGTAGACAAGAGAGATTTTTTTGATAATGGAGAATGGGAGATTGTGAGTGCAACAGGGAGCAAAGGAAACAGAACCGACAGCTGTTGCTGGTATCCGTATGTCACTTACTCATTTGTAATCAAGCGCCTGCCTCTCTTTTATACCTTGTTCCTTATAATACCCTGTATTGGGCTCTCATTTTTAACTGTACTTGTCTTCTATCTTCCTTCAAATGAAGGTGAAAAGATTTGTCTCTGCACTTCAGTACTTGTGTCTTTGACTGTCTTCCTTCTGGTTATTGAAGAGATCATACCATCATCTTCAAAAGTCATACCTCTAATTGGAGAGTATCTGGTATTTACCATGATTTTTGTGACACTGTCAATTATGGTAACCGTCTTCGCTATCAACATTCATCATCGTTCTTCCTCAACACATAATGCCATGGCGCCTTTGGTCCGCAAGATATTTCTTCACACGCTTCCCAAACTGCTTTGCATGAGAAGTCATGTAGACAGGTACTTCACTCAGAAAGAGGAAACTGAGAGTGGTAGTGGACCAAAATCTTCTAGAAACACATTGGAAGCTGCGCTCGATTCTATTCGCTACATTACAAGACACATCATGAAGGAAAATGATGTCCGTGAGGTCTGTGATGTGTATTTACAAATGCAGATCTTCTTCCATTTTAAGTTCAGAAGTTACTTTCATTAATTTTGGCAGAGTAAACAGCATGACCCTTAAGTAAGACTAAGCATAGATTGAGGGCCAGAATTGTTGACATATTTTCTATAAAAGATCTTTACTAAGGCTTGTTTCAGTTAAAGCACCTGCAAAATGGGGCATTTACACAAATCTCACTTCTCCACTTCCCCCATCAGCATCTTGGATAACTCTAAAGAAAATTTAGTGTTATATTCTAAGGAATAATCCTGCCATATTTCTTGGCTCTGACCTGATGAATTGTTTTAATTTCTTGGGGTGAGGGCAGTGGGTGAACTGTTTTAATTTTGTCTTCAGTAACTTTGTTTCTAAATTGTGATAATCTGTAGGCAGAACTCCATTATAACAGTTAATGGAGTTATCAAAAGTTCTTTTAGGCTGGGCGCAGTGGCTTCATGCCTGTAATCCCACCACTTTGGGAGGCCGAGGTGGGTGGATCATTTGAGGTCAGGAGTTTGAGATCAGCCTGGTCAACATGGTGAAACTCCATTTCTACTAAAAATACAAAAATTAGCTGGGCATGGTGGCACATGCCTATAGTCACAGCTACTCGGGAGGCTGGGGCAGGAGAATCACTTGAACCCAGGAGGCGGAGATTGCAGTGAGCCGAGATCACGCCATTGCACTCCAGCCTGGGCGACCGAGCAAGACTCCGTCTCAAAAAAAAAAAAAAAAAAAAAGTTCTTTTAAAGAATGAGCCTAATGTGGAATTTATAAGTATAAAATTCAGTCTTGTCACTGTTATTTCTTCTATTGTGTATTATTTTAAACCTATGACTATAGTAATATTTTCATAATTGAATGTACATTAAAATTATGTGAATTATAATCTGTAAAGCTATTTTAAATGGAAAATTTCCATCAGGTATGAGGAGACAGAATAAATCTGGCAAAATCACAGCCTTTATCCCAAAAGGGACATTTGATGTATATATTTTTAAAACTTTTTTTCATATGTTAATGATTTAATTTCAATAAGACTTTCCTTCCTTATTTTATTGTATTTCAATAGGTTTTTGGGGAACATGTGTTTGGTCACATGCATAAGTTCTTTCATGCTGATTTCTGAGACTTTGGTGCACCCATCATAAAAACTTCTAATGCTTGTGGGTTTGTGAAGTATCTATTTGGTGGTAGCATAATGAAATTAGTTTATAAGGTTTGGAGCTATCATTGGAGTTTTTAAAAGTACATAGATTTGTTAGGTAATGGTTTAGACTGAGATGGAATTTAATAAATGTCTGCAAAGTATTGTGCAAAAGGGTCATGGCTCATACTACTAGGACCAAGGAGGTTGGTTTTATTTTCAGATAAAAACAGAGGCAGAGGTGGCCAGGTGCGGTGGCTCACGCCTGTAATCCCAGCACTTTGGGAGGCTGAGGCAGGTGGATCACGAGGTCAGGAGTTTGAGACCAGCCTGGCCAATATGGTGAAACACTGTCTCTCCTAAAAATAGAAAAATTAGCTGGGCATGGTGGTGTGTGCCTGTAGTCCCAGCCACCTGGGAGGCTGAGGCAGAAGAATCACTTAAACTTGGGAGGCAGAGGTTGCAGTGAGCCGAGGTCACGCCACTGCACTCCAGCCTGGGGGACGGAGCAAGGCTCTGTCTCAAAATAAAATAAGCAGAGAAGTAACAGGGTTTACAATGCCCTAAATTCTAAATTATCCTACACTTTGGAGGCACAGTTCCCATAGAGGACACCATCCTTCATAGAGGTTCAGGGCCAGGGAAGCCCCTGGTCAAGGAAATGGCCTTGTAGAAAGGGGAGCCCCTGCTGCTTAGTGGCTGGGCTCATCCTTCTTTTTCCTTGTGGTGGCTCCGAGCTGCTGAGCCAGCTCCCTACTAAAGCTGGCTCCAGGGAAGACTGTTCTGTGCTCATGAAATTAGACTGAAGTGGTCCCTAGGAAATCCAAAAATAAATAAAGTGTGTATGTGAGGAAGATGAACAGCTTTCTAACATGTATTATTCTGAACCAACTTTTAATTTGGCATGAAATTAATCTCAGGCTAGAGTCTCTCAAAATATTAAAATAAGTAAACACTACTGGGCAAGAATAAGTATATATAGTAAGAATAATTTTTTTTAGTTTATTGTAAAATATCCAAGTCTATTTTAATTTTTAATCTATCAAAATAAACCACTTGTAATATAAGTTGATGTGTAAATGAACATATTTTGTAGTGTCTTTTAAAGCTTATATCTATAGTAGACCTTCAGGCTAGTGTCTGTCCCTGAGCTGAGTATAGGGTCACTTACCGTTTAGAGGCAGCAATGGGAGGCAGAAATCGATTTGGCTTCTAACTCAGTGTGTTTGTTATATCTTAAAATATGTACACAATTTACAATTATTTAATGCATTTTTATTTTTTTCCTAACAGGTTGTTGAAGATTGGAAATTCATAGCCCAGGTTCTTGATCGGATGTTTCTGTGGACTTTTCTTTTCGTTTCAATTGTTGGATCTCTTGGGCTTTTTGTTCCTGTTATTTATAAATGGGCAAATATATTAATACCAGTTCATATTGGAAATGCAAATAAGTGAAGCCTCCCAAGGGACTGAAGTATACATTTAGTTAACACACATATATCTGATGGCACCTATAAAATTATGAAAATGTAAGTTATGTGTTAAATTTAGTGCAAGCTTTAACAGACTAAGTTGCTAACCTCAATTTATGTTAACAGATGATCCATTTGAACAGTTGGCTGTATGACTGAAGTAATAACTGATGAGATACATTTGATCTTGTAAAAATAGCAAAATATTATCTGAACTGGACTAGTGAAAAATCTAGTATTTGTATCCTGGCAAATAATACTAATTTATAATCCACAGTAAAGTTCATCCTTTGACTGTGCTGGAGAATTCCAGTTGTATTTGAAGACTGATTTTAAAACTTTTCTGCATTTGGTAAAGGTATGTAAACTTTCCTGTACTCACTGAGTAACAGCTAATCTTTAATATAATATTATACTGCTATATTTAAAAAGCTGACTACTTGATATAATTACTTAATGTGATGCTTGATATAATAATTACTTAATGTGGCCGGGCACGGTGGCTCACACCTGTAATCCCAGCACTTTGGGAGGTCGAGGTGGGCGTATCACCTGAGGTTGGGAGTTCGAGACCAGCCTGACCAACGTGGAGAAACCCCGTCTCTACTAAAAATATGAAATTAGCCAGGGTGGTGGTGCACACCTGTAATCCCAGCTACCTGGGAGGCTGCGGCAGGAGAATCGCTTGAACCCAGGTGGCGGAGGTTGCGGTGAGCTGAGATCACGCCATTGCACTCCAGCCTGGGCAACAAGAGCAAAACTCAGTCTCAAATAATAATAATAACAACAACTTAATGTGCTGCTGCTTTTCCATAACCAACATTTTAAAAATAAATGAAAAACAGGAATTGGGAACTCCTTTAAGGCTTACTTTATTCTTTAGATGCTTAATTATTGTGTTAACTATTTCTGTAGCTTAGCTTCCACTGTAAAGTCATACAGTAGACAACTCCTGTGGACACGCAGTAGCATATCCTTAACATTAATTTCAGTCCTCTTGTCCACATTTCCCACAATTAATAGAACCATCTTCTATATAAATTGTGGTAGTATCTCTTTATCCTTGATCTTAGAATAGTCAGTCCACTACAATTACATGAACCCCATTTAAAAAACATATTTAGGGCCGGGGGCAGTGGCTCACATCTGTAATCCAAGCACTTTGGGAGGCTGAGGCAGGTGGATCACCAGAGGTTAGGAGTTCGAGACTAGCCTGACCAACATGGTGAAGCCCCGTCTCTACTAAGAATACAAAAAATTAGTCGGGCATGGTAGCAGGCGCCTGTAGTCCCAGCTACTCAAGAGGCTGAGGCAGGAGAATCGCTTGAACCTGGGAGGTGGAGGCTGCAGTGAGCCGAGACTGCGCCATTGCACTCCAGCCTGGCAACAAGAGCAAAACTCTGTCTCAAACATATTTTGGTCTAAATCATTCTGTGAGAAAACAATCTTCTAATATGAAACACAGTATTCTAATTTGGTATATGCACACTGTTATATACCTGTAATATTTCAGTTTTCTCTCCTTCATTCTAACAATTACAATAATAGAATCTTAGAGTTGCAAGGGCCTTTAGATGTAATCAATCTTAGCCTATTACTAGTACAGCGTAAATGATTTAGTACAGTATAATGTATCACAGTTAAAACAGTTAAATTCCATCTCTAAATGTCACCACTTCAGGTGTGACCAGGTAGCAAACACTGACAGAAACCCTCGTTCAATTTAGAACTCTTAGCTGTTGAGATCACAAACACCTCATTTATTTATAATAAGTAACCTATCTAAGTTCAAGCCAATGCTCTTTGGAAGGCGGAGGAGACCCTATCTAATTTGCATTTAATCGTAGGCAGGTGTTTAATGCCATTTAATGAGTGAAAGCCTGGTGTGATGAATTTAGATTGCCTGCCAGCTACCTACCTTAGTTCGTATACATCCCTGATCCCTCTTATACTACCATTACTGTTACTTATGATTTTTATATATAAATTTTTATCGACATCTTTCTTTTGACTTATTGAAACATGAGTCACAGCGGGCTGCAATTCTGTCCATTTTATTTTTGCACAGGAAAAACTAGTGAGACAAGATTCAAACAGTCTCTGTGAATCATCTGTCAGTGGTGATGATCACGTTAAGTTTCAGAAGTGTAGTACATGATACTCTTAACAATTTGTCTAAAGCAATGTTTCTCAACCAGGGGCAATTTTGCTCCTAAGGGAACATTTAACAATGGAGACATTCTTGGTTATCATAACTGGTGAAGAAGCAAGGTATGTCATTGGCATCTAGTGAGTTGAGGCTAGGGTACTGCTAAAGATCCTACAATGCACAGGATACCCCCATTCTGTACCAACACATATTTATCCAGCCCAAAATGTCCATAGTGCTAAGGCTGAGAAACCCTGTTCTAAAGGTTCATGCTGTGGTCCAAATGTGTCCTCCCCCAATTCATATGTTGAAACCTATTCCCAGCGTGATTGTCTTAGATAGAAGGTGGGGCCTTGGAAAGGTGATTAGGCCATGGGGGCTCTGCTCTCATGAATGGGGTTAGTGCCCTTATAAAATAGACCCCACAGAGATAGCTAGTCCCTTCAGTCATGTGAGGACACAGCTAGAAGGCACCCTTTGAGGAAGAGGACCCTCACCAGACACCAAATTTGCTGGTGCCTTGACCTTGGACCTCCCAACCTCCAAAACTGAGAAGTTTCTGTTGTTTATAATCCACCCAGTTTATGGTGTACTAAGACAGTTATATTAACAATGAATAACTAGGCATGATTTCTCATGGTATAATTTAGAAGTATGCAAGAGAAGTAGTTGAAGCTCTCTGAAATGGAGGCATAGCCCTTTAGACCCAGTAAAGAACGAGAAATGCATGGTAAGAAATGGGTAACGATGGGGGATTGCTGAATTAGTATAAACCTTCAAAGAGATTATGGGCTAAATAAGAAAAATTACTGGGAGATCTGTAGTGATAACTGAATGACTTTTCATATTTCTGAACAGCATTTTTCTATCCAGTTTTGTTTCAACAACTAAAAGGAAACATTTTTACATGTATATTCCATAGCATAGCATACTAATCACATAGAATCACATTTTGACATCTCTTTACCATACCAAAAAGGCTAGTTAAATGTTCATTTATCGGTAATAAATACTCTTGACATTTTTTTTTTTGCATGATTCCAAGATAAGTGGAAAATAAGTAAACCTCGAAATGCCAAAAACAAAGCTGGTAGCTTGATAACAGAAAGTACGTTCTTACTAGGAAGCAGCCTCCTCCTGCCCTGACACAAGGAAGTCTCCCAGGCAGGCACACAGCTTAGTGCTTATGCATCTTCCCTGGCCATCAGGGGTTGCAGAAACAATCCTGCTGTCCCTAGAATGCACACCAGGGTGAAAACCCACAGAAAAATACGATCAATCACCATGGCAACATACTTCCAATCATCTTGAATCTGCAAAACAAAATGATAAAAGAAAAAAAACATGGAGGGAAAGGCAAATGAATACATTTTCAATACTGAAGATGTAATCAACACGTTGCAGTAGAAGCCATTTTGTCTCTAATATGTAAGAAGCCCTTTTTTTCCTAATTGATGTGGTCTGAGGAAATCCACCATTCTCAAGTTTCTGTTTATGCAGGAGAGAAACAGGTATAAAAGATCTGTCATGTTAGATCTGTTTCAAATCAGAAGTTTCCTAAAAATGCATAACCTAGTTTTTCTAAACTGAATTCCAATTTTATAAAGTTAGTGAAACCAGTTACTTAGGCTTCCATGGCAGGATTCTGGGCCTTGGTTAGAATGGCTAATATAGTCCAATATAATCTACCATTGTTTCAAAGTACTCTATCCAGTTTTAGATATAAATTTGGCGCAGTGGCTCACGCCTGTAATCCCAGCACTTTGGGAGGCTGAGATCACCTGAGGTCAGGAGTTTGAGACCAGCCTGGCCAACATGGTGAAACCCTGTTGAAACCCTGTCTCTACCAAAAATACAAAAATTGGCCAGGAGTGGTGGCACATGCCTGTAATCCCCAGCTACTTGGGAGGCTGAGGCATGAGAATTTCTTGAACCCGGGAGGCGGAGGTTGCAGTGAGCAGAGATCACGCCACTGCACTCCAGCCTGGGCAACAGAGCGAGACCCTGTCTCAAAAACAACAAAATAAATTTCCTTTTAACATCTGTTCCAAAAATGAGATAAGCGTTATCAGGGCAAGTCCATCCTCATCACTCTTTCCCTCCCCACTGCCCTCTCCACGATGCCCAGCTGATCAAAAGTCATTTTTACTCATAAGACCAAAGTATCATGGGATACTGTGCAGTTGGAGAGCAGGTTGAACATCAGAAATAATTGCTGACAATAAAGTAAAAGATGGGAGAAAAAGCAAGACCAATTGTATATAATACAGCTTCAATTTGGGCTTGAAATAGGAAGGAAAATTGTAATTATACTCCTAGACAATTCAGAAAGCAAAGAAGCCATAATTGAATTGAGAGAACCCATGAGTCAGCTGATTTTGAAGCAATAATGAAATTAATAAATTACATGCTGCCTCTTTATTATAAGTATACTGAAATGGCGCTGGGAGATGAAGATTTTACATCACCATTGTGAGCCTGAGTAAATGTGTTCTCTTGGTGACACTACTGTCATAGGTAAAATTAGAATTATGATGCCATATTTGCCATGAGGTACTTCATTTGAATTCCTAAGACTGGTTTGTGTGTGCTTCAGATACACCTTGAGATGTGAGATTCCTACCCACCCCCTACCAGCCACCTCCTAAGGCTCTAGGAGGCAGAGGTGTGGAAAAGCAGAGACTTGGAGACAAACTGATTAGAATCCCAGCTCTGCTCCTTTTGAGTTGTGAGAATCTGGGTAAATTCCATGACCGCTCTTAGCCTCAATTTCCTTATCTGTAAAATGGGGATAAGAACAGTACTTCCCTCAGAAGCTTGTTTCAGAACAGAGTCCTTAATGAATAGAGCCTAGTGATACTAATGTTGATTTATAAAATGACCCTTACTCAAGCCTCATGAAGAAAGATGACACTTGGGTTTTATACATGAATAGAAATAGTGGTGCAAAAAGAGCTGGCTGGACAGAAATTTTATATCTTTTTTTTTTTTTTGAGACAGGGTCTTGCTTTGTTGCTCAAGCTGGAGTGCAGGGGTGCAATCATGGCTTGCTGCAGCCTTGACCTCCCGGGCTCAAGTAATCTTCCCCACTCAGCTTCCTGAGTAGCTGGAACTACAGGTGTGTGTCACTACACTTGGGCAATTTTTTGTTTTTTGAGACGCCCAGGCTGGAGTGCAGTGGCATGACCTCGCCTCACTGCAAGCTCCACCTCCCAGGTTCAAGCAATTCTCCTGCCTCAGCCTCTTGAGTAGCTGGGATTACAGGTGCCTAGCACCATGCCCAGCTAATTTTTGTATTTAGTAGAGATGGGGTTTTATGTTGGCCAGGCTGGTCTCAAACTCCTGACCTCAGGTGATCCACCTGCCCCAGCCTCCCAAAGTGCTGGGATTGCAGGCGTCAGCCACTGCACCCGGCATTTTTTTTTTTTTTTTGAAACGGAGTCTCACTCTGTCACCTAGGCTGGAGTCCAGTGGTGTGATCTTGGCTCACTGCAACCTCTGTCTCCCGAGTTCAAGCAATTCTTGTGCCTCAGACTCCCGAGTAGCTAAGATTACAGGCTCATGCCACCACCACCCCCCGGTTAATTTATTGTATTTTTAGTAGAGATGGAGGTTCACCATTGTTGGCCAGGCTGGTCTTGAACTCCCAACCTCAGGTGATCCACCTGCCTCGGCCTCCCAAAGTGTTGGGATTACAGGCGTGAGCCACTGCACCTGGCCTGATTTTTAAATTTTTTTTGTAGAGAAAGGGTTTCCCTACGTGGCCCAGGATGGTTTTGAACTCCTGGGCTCAAGTGATCCTCCTGCCTTGGCCTCCCAAAGTGTTGGATTACAGGTGTAAGCCACTGTGCCTGGCTTATATCTAGCTCCTAAAGTCTTTAAAGCACAATGATATTGGCCATTTTCTGATGAGTCACAGATGTTAGGCAAAGTGGTGAACTAGCCCAAATTGAGAGCTGGCCCAGAAGCATGAGAAGACTACTTTAAAGACCCAGAAACTGGGAAGGTGTGGCCAGAGACTGGGGCTGGCAGGGGGAGGGGCTTGGTGGAGGGGAGAGCTAGGGAGATCTTTGTTCCCCTGCCACTTTGCCTCTTTAGCCTGCCACTCCCAGCCCAGAGATGCAGGTTCAGGGGGTCCCTCACAAGCCCAGCAGAGCCTGGCTAAAGGGAAGTGCAGAGAACTGAGCTGCCCATTGACTGGTGGAGCCTGAGGCTTTCCTCCTCTCCTTTGTAGCCCCCTGGATTTATTTCTCTTCTTATTGGCATGCCTTCTCAAGAATGTTTATGGATAAATGTTCTTCTGAGGGCTCAAAAGGCCAGGTGTGGTGGATCACACCTTTAATCCTAGCACTTTGGGAGGCCAAGGCGGGCAGATCACCTGAGGTCGGGAGTTCAAGACCAGCCTGACAAACATGGCAAAATCCCCTCTCTATTAAAAATACAAAAAATTAGGCATGGTAGCGGGCGGGTACCTGTAGTCCCAGACACTTGGGAGGCTGAGGCATGTGAATCACTTGAACCTGGGAAGCAGAGGTTGCAGTAGGCAGAGATTGTACTACTGCACTCCATTCTGGGTGACAGAGCAAGACTCCATCTCAAAAAAAAAAAAAAATAGGTAAAACTAATCAATTATCAAATAAGTCAGTATAATGGTTTTTTAAAAAATTAATTAATTAATTAAAGAAAGGACTTCACTCTGTTACCCAGGCTGGAGTGCAGTGGCATGATCACAGCTCACTAGACTTCCTGAGCTCCAGTGATCCTCTCACCTCAGCCTCCTGAGTAGCTGGAACTACAGGCACGTGCCACCACGCCTGGCTAATTTTTGTATTTCTGTTAGAGACGGGGTTTCGCTATGTTTCCCAGGCTGGTCTCAAACTCCTGATCTCAAGCCATCCACCTGCCTCAGCCTCCTAAAGTGCTAGGATTACAGGCGTGAGCCACTGCGCCTAAGCCAGGATGGTGGGTACCAAGCAGGGAGGGAGACACTGACTGGCAAGGGCATTGGGGAACTTTCTAGGGGCCCTGGGAGTGTTCTATATCTTTACCTGGGTCTTGGTTACATGGTTGTATACATGATGTAAAAACTCATTGAGATGTACACTGAAGAGGTGTGCACTTTACTCCACGTAAATTCTTCCTCAGTGAGAACACATATACAATTAGAAAGTAAAAATAAAGGCCAGGTGCGGTGGCTCATGCCTGTAGTCCCAGCATTTTGGGAGACTGAGGTGAGCAGATTGAGTCGAGGAGTCTGAGACCAACCTGGGCAACATGGCAAAACCCCATCGGTACAAAAAAATTAGGGTATGGTGGCGGGGCATCTGTAGTTCAAGCTACTCGGGAAACTGAGGTGGGAGAATCGCTTGAGCTGGGAGGCGGAAGTTGCAGTGAGCCAAGATTGCGCCACTGCACTCCAGCCTGGGCAACAGAGCAGGACCCTGTCTCAAAAAAATAAATAAAAATAAAAATATAACCTCAATTAACCAATACTAACTGGAGATCATCTGGCCCCATGCCCTTTTCCAGCCTACATCCTAATCTAGTCTATTGGCATCAGGTGTTTTCATGGTCCAGCCTGCCAGCCTGCTGGCAGCCTGGTGGCTAGCTTCAGGGTACCACATACCAAGCTTTATCATCCCATTTTACAGAAGAGAAAACAGGCTCAGAGAGGTGAGGTAACATACCCAAGGACATATAACTGGTCTTAACACAGGCCACTGACTCCAGAGGGCAATTTCTTAACCCCCTACCCTATGCCTTGCCCCACGAGGAACCCATAAATATTTGTTGAATGAATGAATGACCAATGTAATAAAAGCCATATCCTTACCTCTTTGGCTTCATTTTGTGCTTTCATATTTTCAGCAATATACTTGACACTTTGGATGGCTTCTTTGATTTCTGGTGACAAAGCAGAGAGGGACAGCACAGCATCAACAGATTCAGAACTAGAGCTTCTCGTGAGGTTAGCACTGAAATTGGAGATTTTTATCCTGCGGTGGTGGCAGTAACCACACATCCCGTCCTGGCAGGGGTAGCCCTCCTTGCAGCCTTTGGACTCTGCGCGGCTGAAGCAATTCAGATTTGAGAGCTCGGCACCGTAGAGGGGCCTCGGCTTCTGAGCGTTGCCCTCGTTGCTTGTTGGCCTGGTCATGAACATGACCCTGGGGAGCAGGTTCAAGAATACAGTCTTCACCCATGAGGGCATTGTGTGTGTCGTCGGGGTTCTGTAGTGCACGTTGAGCACGAAGACGGTGATGACGATGGACAAGGTTACAAAAATCATGGTGAACAGGAGGTACTCTCCAATCAGGGGGATGACCAGCGAGGTGGAAGGGATGGTCTCAGTGATCACCAGGAGAAACACCGTCAGGGAGAGGAGGACAGAAATGCACAGGGTCACCTTCTCACCGCAGTCGGAGGGCAGGTAGAAGACGAGCACAGTGAGGAAGGAGATGAGCAGGCAGGGGATGATGAGGTTGATGGTGTAGAACAAGGGCAGGCGCCGGATGTACAGCGAGTATGTGATGTCGGGGTAGATCTCCTCGCAGCAGTTGTACTTGATGTCGTGTTTGTAGCCTGGGGCTTTGATGATGGCCCACTCGCCGCTCTCCCAATAGTCCTTGAGGTTCATGGAAGAGCCGATCAGGACCAGATCGATTTTCGCCTTATCGTAGGACCAGGAACCGAACTTCATGGTACAGTTTTGGTAATCAAACGGGAAGTAGGTCACGTCGATTTTACAGGAGCTCTTAAAGATGGCCGGAGGTATCCAAGTCACCTCCCCAGTGTACTTGAGTAAGGCTTTGGTCTTGTCGTCCACCTGGAAATCCCCAACAGCACTGCAAAGACAAAGAGGGGGCACAGTGACACACGGTCATTAACACTTGGTCATATTGTGGTCATCTCAACCAGCTTCTCACAGTAAGTAATGATTTGGAAGGCACTGGAAGATGAGAGCTAAAGTGCCATAAAAGGTCACCCATTTCCTGGCCCCATTTACCAACAGGGATACTGAGGCCCAAGCTCCCTCCCCAACAACAATCTGAGATATGGATCACTCCCTGCCCCAGGGCAGGCCACCAGTTCATCCCACAATACAGGTCCCAAACTGATAGACTCCCAAATGCCCGAAGAGGATTGGTCCCCCTTTAATTAAAGAAATGGGAGGAAGGTCATCCTCCTGGAGCCAGGTGCTGAAGCAGCCTTTGGGATTATTTGCCACCCAGGGTCCCTGAGGCTTGGCCCTCTCCTCATTCAGTCTGTACCGGGCGCCTAATGTGTGTGTGAAACCAGACTATGGATGTGGAAGGGGCTGCACAGACCACCCAGGGGAGTCCACCCCCATTAAACGGAACCTTGTCAGATGGATTTACTTCCAAACCCTATCTCTGGATCCTGATTTGACCATTCCCTGTACCCTCCCCACCCCCATTCTTCCCAGTACTGTTTTACAATAATCATGTTTTGCTTCCTTGTCTTTCGAATTCAGCCTAACAGGTTTCTTCACTTTCTGTGTCCCTATCCCCATTTTCTCCCCATGTTTCTTCTCCCTTCCTTTTCACTATGTGCATCCTGACATTTATTTTCACACAGAAATAGACATTTTTCTTTTTCTTTGAGACAGAGTCTCACTCTGTTGCCCAGGCTAGAATGCAGTAGCTCACTACAATCTCTGTCTCCCGGGGTTCAAGCAAGTCTCCTGCTCAGCCTCCTGAGTAGCTGGAATTATAAGCATGTACCACAAACGCTCAGCTACTTTTTCTATTTTTAGTAGGGATGGAGTTTTGCCATGTTGGCTGGGCTGGTCTCGAACTCCTGACCTCAAGTGATCTGCCCACCTCGGCCTCCCAAAGTGCTGAGATTACAGGCTTGAGCCACTGCCTGGCCTTAGACATGTACGTTTTTCTAGGAATAGTCTTGTTGGTTTGTTCGACAGAAAATCAGCTGATGATCCCTGTTGAGTCTTGCATTGGGCATTCCATCCGCGATGGCCAGATGAGGCCATCTGAGAGCAAGGCCAGTTGCTTCCACAACAATGGCCCTGCCCAGGAAGGTTCTTAAACATTCCTCGGATCAGCCCTGTTAAGTTTCTTAGCCTTGTGAAGGCATTTACATCCTCCAAAGGGAGCAACTGCCATACTCCTTTGCCTTGTAAACAATGACAAAGCCTAAACATTTAGGGATATCCTTGTGCTGCTGTAATTGGATGGGAACCTGTGAAAACAGAAGGGGAATGTTGTGGTGCATGTGCTTCTTCCTTGCTAGTCTCTCCTGGGTCTCGGTTGAGCAGGATCATTACCCATGAAGGCTCAATGCCAAAGCCACTAACTATCTTTCCTCTGGTTGGCTAGTTTGCCCCCAATGGTGCCCTGCTGAGTTTATACATTCTTAGCCCCAATTTCACTCCCACCATGCCCTTAATTCCCTACGAGTATTCCTGCTCCTGGCTCCAGGAAAAAGGGAGAGGTAGGAGGGTGGGGTGGAGGTGAACATCCACACAGTCCCCAAGTGGACTCAGCCCATGTTTAGCACTGAGGGGCCCTGGAGAGGGCTGGGCTAAGCAGAAGGTCGAAAAGACCCTCAGGAAGGCAGAGGCCTCCTGAACCAATTCCATACAGCATCCTGGATCAACAAAATGTCAGAGCGGCAAGGGAGCTTCAGAGCCCAGGGTCTGGTCCAGGGGTTGGCAAGCTGTGGTCCTCTTTCTGTAAATAAAATCTGGGGGGAATAGTGCCACTGCCTTTTGTTGTCCATTATCTATAGCTACTTTTGAGCTCCAGGGGCAGAGATGAATAGCTGTGACCGTCACTGTATGACCCACAACGCCTAAAATATTTATTCTCTGGCCCTTTAGAGAAAACATTTGCTAGCCCCTGCTCTAGTCCAACACCTTCATTTTGCCAAAGAGAAAACTGACGGTCAAAGGACAGGAATGACTTGCTCGAGACTCCACAGAGTTTATGGCAGAACCTTGGCCATTCAGAACTTGGGTCCCCAAGTGAGGAGACACAGAAATGTGTGCATGTGCCCAAAGAACATATACTAGAGGTTAGCTGAGCTTGGCTGATGGCTCATTTCTGGGGATCCTGGTCACTGTGGCTGCTGCCCACAGCACCCCTGGGGTGTGTCCACCCAGATCAGAAGGCCTGTGTGCTGCCTGGGGCAGTGTCAACAGTCATATCTCTACTAGCAGAAGACAGAACATGCAGACCCAGCTGGAGACTGGGGTCTGGCACAGCACCAGCCTCATAAAGGGCACTCAGTAAATATTTGTTGACCTAACGAATGACCAAAAAATAAATGAAAGCTGGGTGTGGTGGCTCACACCTGTAATACTAATACTTTGGGAGGCTGAGGCGGGCAGATCACCTGAGGTCAGCAGTTTGAGACCAGCCTGGTCAACATGACAAAACCCCATCTCTACTAAAAATACAAAAATTAGCCAGGTGTGGTGGTGCACACCTGTAATCCCAGCTACTCGGGAGGCTGAGGCAGGAGAATTGCTTGAACCCAGGAGGTGGAAGCTGCAGTGAGCTGAGATGGCACCACTGCACTCCAGCCTGGGTGACAGAGTGAGATTCTGTCTCAGTCAATCAATATCACACCCAGAGATAGCTGGCAGCAAGGGACAGCATTGGTGGGAAGGGTCTGAGCAATGTACTGCCAAACCATGTGAGGCAATTAAAAAAAGAAAAGGTAGTATGGGTGCAAATGATCAGCTGAGGTAGCACTATCATACAGGGGGCATTTAAGAACAGAAGTGGGGTGGGGTGGTGAGGGCTATGAGAAAGATCATGATGGCATGGGTTTTTAAAATCTCTCTAAATTTCTTCAGAAAAATAGGGCAACTAGGATGACAGCAAAATAACAAATCTGATCACATTGTCAACAAAGTTAGGTTACACAGCACCTCAGGATATGAGAGTGTGCGGTCAGACCACCACCACCAGCAGGACCTGTGGGACCCACATGCGATTAGCTGCGGGGTAGAGGCAGCCGGGGGAAAAGAAAGAAGGGTTCTCATGTCCTAAGATCCTAAGAGTGCCAGACACAGGAATCTCCAAAAAGTGGCTGCCCCTCAAAAGACGAGGACCCCACTCTGCACTGAATCCTCAGCAAGGGGAACAATGGAACAGAGAGGGCTCCACAGGTTCCAATTTGTGGGCAAGAACCAAAAAAATCCCGTGGGAATCCACTCAGTGTCTGCAGAGGTCAGTCAGTGCTGACGTGGGCTCTTGAGGATGTCAGAAATGCCTCCCAAAACCTCCCTTTCAGAAGGACAGAGACCCACTCAGAGAAAAAGCTGCTTATGGTAGAATCCAAACTCAACAGGGTAAGAAGTGGGGATGAGAAGAGAAAGAAGGTTCAGAAACTGAAGTCAGCATCCAGAGGCAGCAGCTCGTGGAGATGCCATGACTGTGCGGTCATGTCATGACTGAGGTGTCATGACTGTGGAGACTGGGGAGGTGGCCATGCATTGAGACAAGTGGCACCTCAAGGTAACTACCGTCTTCTCCTATTCCCCCCAAGAACTTGCCCTAAAAGTAAAGCAAGGCTATCTATTTAAACAAGAGCAACGAAGCTTTATGAAAACATATTGTAAGAAAAACACAAACTGGGTACAGCAGCTCATGCCTGTAATCCCAGCACTTTGGGAGGCTGAGACAGGTGGATTACCTGAAGTCAGGAGTTCGAGACCAACCTGGCCAACATGGTGAAACCCCGTCTCTACCAAAAATACAAAAAAAAATTTAGCTAGGCGTGGTGGCAGTCACCTGTAGTCCCAGCTACTTGGGAGGCTGAGGCAGAAGAATTGCTTGAATCTGAGAGGCAGAGGTTGCAGTGAGCCAAGATCATGCCATTGCACTCCAGCCTTGGTAACAAGAGCAAAAAAACAGAAGATGTCTCAAAAAAAAAAAAAAAAATACAAACACAAGTAACTGAATTAACACACACGCAGATAACAGCAACTACAAAAATAGAGCCACCAAGCAGATGAAGCTGACGATAATCTGATATTACAAATTAAATGAAAAGAAACTAAGAAATTTTTCAAAATTGTGAAAGAACAGAAATCAGAAAAGATAAGGGATAATTTGGTTAAATGAAAGAATGTATAAAGAACTAGCAGAATTTAGGAAAGAATTAGGAAAAAGAAAAAAATCATTTTAGAAATAAAACCAGAAGAGGCCAGGGGTGGTGGCTCAGGCCTGTAATCCCAGCACTTTGGGAGGCCGAGGTGAGTGGATGACGAGGTCAGGAGATCGAGACCATCCTGGCTAACACAGTGAAACCCCGTCTCTACTAAAAAAAATACAAAAAAATTAGCCGGATGTGGTGGTGGGCACCTGTAGTCCCAGCTACTTGGGAAGCTGAGGCAGGGGAATGGTGTGAACCTGGGAGGCGGAGCTTGTAGTGAGCTGAGATCATGCCACCACGAGAGTCTGTCTCAAAAAAACAAAACAAAACAAAACAAAAAACACACAAAAAAGAAAACCAGAAGAAACATAAGAACAAGCAGTCTGGGTGTGATGGCTCACACCTGTAATCCCAGCACTTTGGAAGGCTGAGGCGGGCAGATCATTTGAAGTCAGGAGTTTGAGACCAGCCTGGCCAACATTGTGAAACCCCATCTCTACTAAAAATACAAAAAATTAGCTGGGCATGGTGGCACACACCTGTAATCCCGGCTACTCAGGAGGCTGAGGCAGGAGAATAGCTGGAACCCAGGAGGCAGAGATTGCAGTGAGCCAAGGCACTCCAGCCTGGCCAACACAGTGAGACTCTGTCTCCAAAAAAAAAAAAAAAAAGATTTTCATGGAAGATAAAGAGGAGCCAAGAATTTTACACCCAGCCAAGTTACCTAAAAGTATTCTCTAAAAAGGTTACAATGAATTATGAACTTGCCAGAACACAGAGTATACAGTGTCCATGAATACTCTGAGGATTCTGTCAGCAAATGAACTTTAGAAAACAAAATATCACAGGAGAAAGGCTGGGAATGATGGCTCACACCTGTAATCCCAGCACTTTGGGAGGCCGAGGAGGGTGGATCACAAAGTCAGGAGATTGAGACCATCCTGGCTAAGTCAGGAGATTGAGACCATCCTGGCTAAAACGGTGAAACCCCGTCGCTACTAAAAAAATACAAAAAAATTCGGGTGGAGCCAAAATGGCCAAATAGGAACAGCTCCGGTCTACAGCTCCCAGCATGAGCAATGCAGAAGATGGGTGATTTCTGCATTTCCATCTGAGGTACCAGGTTCATCTCACTAGGGAGTGCCAGACAGTGGGTGCAGGATAGTGGGTGCAGCGCACTGTGCATGAGCCAAAGCAGGGCGAGGCATTGCCTCACTTGGGAAGCACAAGGGGTCAGGGAGTTCCCTTTCCTAGTCAAAGAAAGGGGTGACAGATGGCACCTGGAAAATCGGGTCACTCCCACCCTAATACTGCACTTTTCCAACGGGCTTAAAAAACGGCACACCAGGAGATTACATCCTGCACCTTGCTCGGAGGGTCCTACACACACGGAGTCTTGCTGATGGCTAGCACAGCAGTCTGAGATCAAACTGCAAGGCGGCAGCGATGCTGGGGGAGGGGCGCCTGCCATTGCCCAGCCTTGATTAGGTAAACAAAGCAGCCGGGAAGCTCGAACTGGATGGAGCCCACCACAGCCCAAGGAGGCCTGCCTGCCTCTATAGGCTCCACCTCTGGGGGCAGGGCACAGACAAACAAAAAGACAGCAGTAACCTCTGCAGACTTCCCTGTCTGACAGCTTTGAGGAGAGTAATGGTTCTCCCAGCACGCAGCTGGAAATCTGAGAACGGGCAGACTGCCTCCTCAAGTGGGTCCCTGACCCCCGAGCAGCCTAACTGGGAGACACCCCCCAAGTAGGGGCAGACTGACACCTCACACGGCCGGGTACTCCTCTGATACAAAACTTCCAGAGGAACGATCAGGCAGCAGCATCTGTGGGTCACCAAGATCCACTGTTCTACAGCCACCGCTGTTCTGCAGCCACCGCTGCTGATACCCAGGCAAACAGGGTCTGGAGTGGACCTCTAGCAAACTCCAACAGACCTGCAGCTGAGGGTCCTGTCTGTTAGAAGGAAAACTAACAAACAGAAAGCATATCCACACCAAAAACCCATCTGTACGTCACCATCATCAAAGACCAAAAGTAGATAAAACCACAAAGATGGGGAAAAAACAGAGCAGAAAAACTGGAAACTCTAAAAATCAGAGCACCTCTCCTCCTCCAAAGGAACATAGCTCCTCACCAGCAATGGAACAAAGCTGGACGGAGAATGACTTTGACAAGTTGAGAGAAGAAGGCTCCAGACGACCAAAATACTCCAAGCTACAGGAGGAAATTCAAACCAATGGCAAAGAAGTTAAAAACTGTGAAAAAAAAATTAGACAAATGGATAACTAGAATAACCAATGCAGAGAAGTCCTTAAAGGAGCTGATGGAGCTGAAAGCCAAGGCTGGAGAACTACGTGAAGAATGCAGAAGCCTCAGGAGCCGATGCAATCAACTGGAAGAAAGGGTATCAGTGATGGAAGATGAAATGAATGAAATGAAGTGAGAAGGGAAGTTTAGAGAAAAAAGAATAGAAATGACCAAAGCCTCCAAGAAATATGGGACTATGTGAAAAGACCAAATCTACATCTGATTGGTGTACCTGAAAGTGACGGGGAGAATGGAACCAAGTTGGAAAACACTCTGCAGGATATTATCCAGGAGAACTTCCCCAATCTAGCAAGGCAGGCCAACATTCAGATTCAGGAAATACAGAGAATGCCACAAAGATACTCCTCGAGAAGAGCAACTCCAAGACACATAATAGTCAGATTCACCAAAGTTGAAATGAAGGAAAAAATGTTAAGGGCAGCCAGAAAGAAAGGTCGGGTTACCCACAAAGGGAAGCCCATCAGACTAACAGCAGATCTCTCGGCAGATACTCTACAAGCCAGAAGAGAGTGGGGGCCAATATTCAACATTCTTAAAGAAAAGAATTTTCAACCCAGAATTTCATATCCAGCCAAACTAAGCTTCATAAGTAAAGGAGAAATAAAATACTTTACAGACAAGCAAATGCTGAGAGATTTTATCACCACCAGGCCTGCCCTAAAAGAGCTCCTGAAGGAAGCGCTAAACATGGAAAGGAACAACTGGTACCAGCCACTGCAAAAACATGCCAAAATGTAAAGACCATCAAGGCTAGGAAGAAACTGCATCAACTAACGAGCAAAATCACCAGCTAACATAATAATGACAGGACCAAATTCACACATAACAATATTAACTTTAAATGTAAATGGGCTAAATGCTCCAATTAAAAGACACAGACTAGCAAATTGGATAAAGAGTCAAGACCCATCAGTGTGCTGTATTCAGGAAACCCATTTCACACGCAGAGACACACATAGGCTCAAAATAAAGGGATGGAGGAAGATCTACCAAGCAAATGGAAAACAAAAAAAGGCAGGGGTTGCAATCCTAGTCTCTGATAAAACACTTTAAACCAACAAAGATCAAAAGAGACAAAGAAGGCCATTACATAATGGTAAAGGGATCAATTCAACAAGAAGAGCTAACTATCCTAAATATATAGGCACCCAATACAGGAGCACCCAGATTCATAAAGCAAGTCCTTAGAGACCTACAAAGAGACTTAGACTCCCACACAATAATAATGGGAGACTTCAACACCCCACTGTCAACATTAGACAGATCAACAAGACAAAGTTAACAACGATACCCAGGAATTGAACTCAGCTCTGCACCAAGCGGACCTAATAGACATCTACAGAACTCTCCACCCCAAATCAACAGAACATACATTTTTTTCAGCACCACACCACACCTATTCCAAAATTGACCACATAGTTGGAAGTAAAGCACTCCTCAGCAAATGTAAAAGAACACAAATTGTAACAAACTGTCTCTCAGACCACAGTGCAATCAAACTAGAACTCAGGATTAAGAAACTCACTCAAAACCACTCAACTACATGGAAACTGAACAATCTGCTCCTGAATGACTACTGGGTACATAACGAAAGGTAGGCAGAAATAAAGATGTTCTTTGAAACCAATGAGAACAAAGACACAACATACCAGAATCTCTGGGACGCATTCAAAGCAGTGTGTAGAGAGAAATTTATAGCACTAAATGCCCACAAGAGAAAGCAGGAAAGATCCAAAATTGACACCCTAACATCACAATTAAAAGAACTAGAAAAGCAAGAGCAAACACATTCAAAAGCTAGCAGAAGGCAAGAAATAACTAAAATCAGAGCAGAACTGAAGGAAATAGAGACACAAAAAACCCTTCAAAAAATTAATGAATCCAGGAGCTGGTTTTTTGAAAAGATCAACAAAATTGATAGACTGCTAGCAAGACTAATAAAGCAGAAAGAAGAATCAAATAGATGCAATAAAAATTGATAAAGGGGATATCACCACCGATCCCACAGAAATACAAATTACCATCAGAGAATACTACAAACAACTCTACGCAAATAAACTAGAAAATCTAGAAGAAATGGATAAATTCCTGGACACATACACTCTCCCAAGACTAAACCAGGAAGAAGTTGAATCTCTGAATAGACCAATAACAGGAGCTGAAATTGTGGCAATAATCAATAGCTTACCAACCAAAAAAAGTCCAGGACCAGATGGATTCACAGCTGAATTCTATCAGAGGTACAAGGAGGAGCTGGTACCATTCCTTCTGAAACTATTCCAATCAATAGAAAAAGAGGGAATCCTCCCTAACTCATTTTATGAGGCCAGCATCCTCCTGATACCAAAGCTGGCAGAGACACAACCAAAAAAGAGAATTTTAGACCAATATCCTTGATGAACATTGATGCAAAAATCCTCAATAAAATACTGGCAAACCGAATCCAGCAGCACATCAAAAAGCTTATCCACCATGATCAAGTGGGCTTCATCCCTGGGATGCAAGGCTGGTTCAACATATGCAAATCAACAAATGTAATCCAGCATATAAACAGAACCAAAGACAAAAACCACATGATTATCTCAATAGATGCAGAAAAGGCCTTTGACAAAATTCAACAACCCTTCACGCTAAAAACTCTCAATAAATTAGGTATTGATGGGATGTATCTCAAAATAATAAGAGCTGTCTATGAGAAACCCACAGCCAATATCATACTGAATGCGCACAAACTGGAAGCATTCCTTTTGAAAACGGGCACAAGACAGGGATGCCCTCTCTCACCACTCCTATTCAACATAGTGTTGGAAGTTCTGGCCAGGGCAATTAGGCAGGAGAAGGAAATAAAGGGATTCAATTAGGAAAAGAGGAAGTCAAATTGTCCCTGTTTGCAGATGACATGATTGTATATCTAGAAAACCCCATTGTCTCAGCCCAAAATCTCCTTAAGCTGATAAGCAACTTCAGCAAAGTCTCAGGATACAAAATCAATGTACAAAAATCACAAGCATTCTTACACGCCAATAACAGACAAACAGCCAAATCATGAGTGAACTACCATTCACAATTGCTTCAAAGAGAATAAAATACCTAGGAATCCAACTTAAGAGGGATGTGAAGGACCTCTTCAAGGAGAACTACAAACCACTGCTCAATGAAATAAAAGAAGATACAAACAAATGGAAGAACATTCCATGCTCATGGGTAGGAAGAATCAATATCGTGAAAATGGCCATACTGCCCAAGGTAATTTATAGATTCAATGCCATCCCCATCAAGCCACCAATGACTTTCTTCACAGAATTGGAAAAAACTACTTTAAAGTTCATATGGAACCAAAACAGAGCCCGCATCGCCAAGTCAATCCTAAGCCAAAAGAACAAAGCTGGAGGCATCACACTACCTGACTTCAAACTATAGTACAAGGCTACAGTAACCAAAACAGCATGGTACTGGTACCAAAACAGAGATATAGATCAAAGGAACAGAACAGAGCCCTCAGAAATAACGCCACATATCTACAACTATCTGATCTTTGACAAACCTGACAAAAACAAGCAATGGGGGAAAGGATTCCCTATTTAATAAATGGTGCTGGGAAAACTGGCTAGCCATATGTAGAAAGCTGAAACTGGATCCCTTCCTTACACCTTATACAAAAATTAATTCAAGATGGATTAAAGACTTAACATGTTAGACCTAAAACCATAAAAACCCTCGAAGAAAACCTAGGCAATACCATTCAGGACATAGGCATGGGCAAGGACTTCATGTCTAAAACACCAAAAGCAATGGCAACAAAAGCCAAAATTGACAAATGGGATCTAATTAAACTAAAGAGCTTCTGCACAGCAAAAGAAACTACCATCAGAGTGAACAGGCAACCTACAAAATGGGAGAAAATTTTCACAACCTACTCATCTGACAAAGGGCTAATATTCAGAATCTACAATGAACTCAAACAAATTTACAAGAAAAAAACAAACAACCCCATCAAAAAGTGGGTGAAGGATATGAACAGACACTTCTCAAAAGAAGACATTTATGCAGCCAAAAAACACATGAAAAAATGCTCATCGTCACTGGCCATCAGAGAAATGCAAATCAAAACCACAATGAGATACCATCTCACACCAGTTAGAATGGCGATCATTAAAAGGTCAGGAAACAACAGATGCTGGCGAGGATGTGGAGAAATAGGAACACTTTTACACTGTTGGTGGGAGTGTAAACTAGTTCAACCATTGTGGAAGTCAGTGTGCCGATTCCTCAGGGATCTAGAACTAGAAATACCATTTGACCCAGCCATCCCATTACTGGGTATATACCCAAAGGACTATAAATCATGCTGTTATAAAGACACATGCACACGTATGTTTATTGCGGCATTATTCACAATAGCAAAGACTTGCAACCAACCCAAATGTCCAACAAGGATAGACTGGATTAAGAAAATGTGGCACATATACACCATGGAATACTATGCAGCCATAAAAAATGATGAGTTCATGTCCTTTGTAGGGACATGGATGAAACTGGAAACCATCATTCTCAGCAAACTATCGCAAGGACAAAAAACCAAACACCGCATGTTATCACTCATAGGTGGGAATTGAACAATGAGAACACATGGACACAGGAAGGGGAACATCACACACCAGGGACTGTTGTGGGGTGGGGGGAGGGGGGAGAGATAGCATTAGGAGATATACCTAATGCTAAATGACGAGTTAATGGGTGCAGCACACCAACATGGCACATGTATACATATGTAACAAACCTGCACATTGTGCACATGTACCCTAAAACTTAAAGTATAATAATAATAAAATTTAAAAAAAAACTGTAAAGCAGTGGCAAACAAACAAAAAAAAAACCAAAAAAAACCACAAAAAAATTAGCCAGGCGTGGTGGCGGGCGCCTGTAGTCCCAGCTACTTGGGAGGCTGAGGTAGGAGAATGGCGTGAACCAGGGAGGCGGAGCTTGCAGTGAGCCCAGATCATGCCACTGCACTCCAGCCTGGGCGACAGAGTGAGACTCCATCTCGGGGTGGGGGGAAAAAAAAGAAGAGAAATCCTTAACAGAGGGTGAATCCTGAGCAATTGAAGTTCTAACTAGGAGAAGAGAGAGAACATGAGTTGGATGATTTTCTCTAAATGTTATTTTCAGCTTCAGATTTCAAAGAAATTCCTTATGATATTTGCTCCTCTCCACAGCCAATTTGCAACATTTTGCTACGCCTCTCATTATTGCTAAAATCATAAATCCTACAGTACTCCAGCTGTTCACTCAAGATTGCCAGCAAGGAAATGGCTATAAAACGCAAAACATGAAGATTAAACTTTTTGCTCATTTTCTTAATTGTAGCTTAGCAAAAATTCTCTACACCCTGCCCAGTTCCCTTAAGAGCATTTGAACCATGTGATTCCTACGACAATTCAGTGCAAGAAGAAAAAAATCTGCAAGCCTGTTGAGTTTATATTGTGTCCCAGTTCTTTGATGACCAGTTTACAAATACAAATTACATACAAGAAACATTTATAAGTGCTGTGTTTCCTTGGGAAAACAGTAAATAAAACATGGACTGTCTTTAGAGTGAGTAAAGACCCACTTTTGTTTTTGCCAGAGACCAGAAAGTGGGATTCAGTATAAAACATAGCTTCTCTAGTCCTGACACTAACTGTAAAATCAATACTACTAATAAGAAAACATTATTTTGTACTAATATGGCATAAAAACCTAGAAGTATTCTTAGCATTAAAATCAGAATAGACTAATTCTACATCAACTGTTTTGCTGAAAATGTTTAAATGTAAATGTAAAAGGTTTAAATATTCAAACATTTTAACTCTAAAATGCAGGTACAAAAATGATATTCTTCAATACCCAGAGAACTAACTAGCATATTGCAAAATATCAACTAAAATTTATGTCAGTCCAATGAAAGAGCTTAAATGTGGGAAGTATCAGTTTTGTGTGGACTTAGAGAAAAGGGAGGGGTTTTGGAGGTGCTATGATGAGCAGGACCTGTCTGGCAGAGGAAGAACCTTTGCAAGAGAGAAAGAGGAGAGGCCTCCCAAAACTGGCGGGAAGATGCACATTCCGGATCCATAGGAGACTGGAAGTGGCCCACTGTGAAGGACTGGCTCGAGAGCAGCTTCTCTCGATGGCAGGAGCCAGGGAAGTCTTTTTAGTCCTGGACTCACCCTTCTCAACTACGACCTGGATGCAGCCACCCAGACGGGCTGGGAGCACGGGGCCCAGAATGCTCATCCTACTCTGTACATGGGAACCTTGCTTCACATACTTGGGGGGCTATCAATCCTTTCTCCAAGGCCCAGACCTTTTCCCAGTGGGAGGAGGCCTGCAGGGTACACCGTGTAGCAGGGTAACTGTCTGATGGCAGGTTTGCTGTTGGGAGAGTAGAGAAGAGGTTTGGGGACACAGGCAGAGACAGGCTGGGGTGCCCAGCTCAGCCCCCTGATCACAGCATCGGCCTCCTGCATCCACTGCCCACAGTGGCCCCAAAGCCACAGTGGATGGCTGAGACCACCCCAGACCTGGCTGTGCCACACATCCACTCTGGGCCTCAGTCCTCATCTGTGAAATGTCAGGGAAGGGCCAGATCAGGGATCCCCAAAGCAAGCTGGTCACACAGCCCCCAGGACAGCTTTGTGAAAACACCCATTCCTAGGCCTACCCAGACCCACTGACTCAGTGTTTCTGTGGGGCAGGACCTGGGGACAGGTATAGAGATTTTTTGGATAACGTAATACATATTAACTTTAGAAAAGACAGTGAGGAACAAAGAATAAAATATTTTGAATTCAGGCACCTGTATTTTTTTTTTTTTTTTTTTTTTGAGACGGAGTCTCACTGTCACCCAGGCTGGAGTACAGTGGTGTGATCTAGGTCACTGCAGCCTCTACCTACCAGGTTCAAGCGATTCTCCTGCCTCAGCCTCTGGAGTAGCTGGGATTACAGGCACACGCCACCATGCCTGGCTAATTTTTTGTATTTTTAGTAGAGATGGGGTTTTGGTATATTGGCCAGGCTGGTCTCGAACTCCTGGCCTCCAGTGATCCTCCTGCCTCGGCCTCCCAAAGTGCTGGGATTACAGGCATCAGCCACCATGCCTGGCCAAACACCTGTATTTTTAAAAAGCTCATTGGGGCTGGGCATGGTGGCTCATGCTGTAATCCCAGCACTTTGGGAGGCCAAGGCAGACAGATTGCTTGAGGTCAGGAGTTCAAAACCAGCCTGGCCAACATGGCAAAACCCCATCTCTACTGAAAAATACAAAATTAGCCAGGTGTGGCAGCACGTGCCTGTAATCCCAGCTACTTGGGAGGCTGAGGCAGGAGGATTTCTTGAACCCAGGAGGTGGAGGTTGCTGTGAGCCGAGATCCCACCACTGCACTCCAGCCTGGGTGACAGTAAGACTCAGTCTTCCCCCCCCCACCCCCCCAAAAAAAAAGCTCCTTGGTAACCATGCCAGTCAGCAGGCTGGGAACCCTGGGACTACACAGCTTAGGCCCACCCAGCTATGATCTTCTCCAACACCCTCATTCTCTTTCAAAGACAAGGTGAGGAGGGACCGTTTACTCCATTCCTGTCTGTTTGCACAGAGCTGCTAACAGATGCTACATTCCAGGTGCCCCGGGCATCTGAGCCTTCCCCCTCCACACACTGGGGTTGGTCCTTGGCCCATGGATCTTTCCAGCCTTATGTCCCACAGTCCAGCCAATGAGGTCACCTTGGCTGCCCATGACATACTCTCCTGCCTCCCCGGGCCCTCCTCTGCTCCATCTCCCTGTCCTGAGATCCTACACAATCTTCAGGATTCACTTCAAATGCCAATTCTTCCTTGAAACTTTCCCAATGCCATCTTCCACCCACCCATGCCTGCTTTGAAGCCACTCAGCACACTGCTGCTCTCTGTGGCTCTCCAACATCTCTGGTACCTGGTATGTAGTAGTTGCTGATTACATACCTATGGACTGAACAAATGAATGCAGCCTTCTTGGAAAAGGCCAAGGAAGGCCAGGTTTTAAGCACAGTGGGCCAAAAACCCAGAGCCCAGGCTGACAGCCCTGAGAGGGCGTGGGCCCCCCAGCACCTTACTTGTTATACAGCACAATGTCTGGCTTCCAGATCTTCTGTGCAGGGACACGCATGAACTCTGCCCCACCATAGTCAGAGGGGTTCCATTTCAGCTTGTAGTCATTCCAGATCTCGGGGAAGGAAGCAGGGAGGGAGAAGGAGACGGTAAAAGAATCAGCCTGGTTTTACTTCCCGTGGCACCACCCATCTTGGTGACTCCCCACCCCTGCTGCATGTGACCGAACCACATCCATGCCATGATCACATAGTCCAACTTCTCCTGTGGGTGTAGTGCAGGAGAGAGCACACGGCTGGCTCTGCGGGCCACCTCCTGGCACTAGGGAAGCCACTGCCCCCATAACCATGAGCAAGCCCAGCCCCTCATCAACCAAACAGGGCCTACTCGTGCTTTCTCTGGTCACTTCTAGTGCCAGGTGGAGACTCCTGGACTTCATGCATCATGTCCAGGTCCATGTGCCTGTTTACAGCCCCTGAATGGCTCTCCAGGGGTGTTTTCCAACATAGACACTCTTTCACCCCAAGGTTAAGCAAGACTGGACTCTGAAAGATTCCGGGGGAAGAATCCATGACCCCTGCAGGGCCCAGGAAGTGTCTGGGTCCAGAGGCTGGGAGGTCTGAGTCCTGAGCACCAGAGGAGAGAGGGGTGAGGCTGCGGCCACAGAGGGAACGTGTGCATCAAGTACTGGGTGGGGCACTGTGCCCATCTGGCTTTCCAACCTCCTGGGGATGAAGGCTGTGTGTGCTGAGTGCTCAGCTGGCCAGGCTGGCAGAAGGGTCACCCGCAGGCCAATGGGCCATTATGTCTCCTGGCAAGTCTGGACAAAGCCTCCCTGGGGAGGACATGTGGAAGGCAATTTCTTGGCCTCGATCTGAACAGGAAAATCTACTCCCACGCTACCAACAACAGCAGCATCTTATTCTGACTTAAGAATGAGTATAGGGGCTGTGCACAGTGGCTTCTGCCTGTAACCCCAGCACTTTGGGAGGCTGAGGTGTGTGGTTTGCTTGAGATCAGGCGTTCGAGACCAGCCTGGGCAACATGGCGAAACCCTGTCTCTATAACAAATCCAAAAATTAGCCAGACGTGGTGGTGCACAGCTGTGGTCCCAGCTACTTGGGAGGCTGAGGCAGGAGAACTGCTTGAACCCTGCTGGTGGAGATTGCAGTGAGCCGAGATCACGCCACAGCACTCCGGCCTGGGTGACAGAGCGAGATCCCGTCTGGAAAAAAAACTGAGTTTTTAGCAAGAGGGAGAGAAGGAGGTGTCTCAGGCACCACCCCAGGGTTTGGGGGCAGGGCTTCAATCTCAGGTTCGTACTCTTCTGTTGTGTGAACATGGAGAATGTCTTTCTCCAGGCTGCAACCTGTCCATCTGGGACTTGAGGGGTTGGGCCCTACAGTCCTTCCAGGGGGACTGTAGGGCAGTGCATGTGACCTCAAGCCTTAGAAGAGATATATCTGCCAGTCAGTGGACCCCAATCTGGGTTCCACAGAAGTAAATGAAGCCTGGTCTTTAGGCCTTTCTTGGTTCACCTAAAGCAAATAAAACAGTCACCACCAGGGGGCAGCAGTGCCTAGGGTCTGGTCACTTACTTGCTTGAGCCACAGGTTGGTCTCCATGATCTGGTTTACTTCATCCTAGAAAGAGGAATTAAAGTTGACAGGAGAATTACAAAACAAGACTAATTCTGGGAAAGGCTCCTCCAGAAGCCCCGGTCCCCATGGCCACGGCTCGTGGCTTCCAGCACTCACCACCTTCACCAGCTGAGACATGGACACCTCGAAATGGATGATGACTGGGTCAGACACGTTGGCTACAGGCCGGATGATCTCATTGTAATCTTCAAACAGCCGCTCAAATAGACGGTGCTCAGCCTCTGAGGCCCTGGCCACTGTGGGAAGCAGCCCTGTCAGTCCCTGGGGAAATCGTTACTTAACCTCCCCCACCCAGCCCAGCAGAAACATCACCCATCTACAGCATCCCCTCCACCTGTGGGGGGATTCTGTGGAACCCTAGACTTTCAGGCCAGTCTAACCCAGTGGGTTACAAAATGGGAAACTGAGGCCCAAGAGGGGCAGGATTCTACCTGGCCACACGCATTCAGTGAGAAGCACAGTGGTTGCAAGCCTGGGCTCTGGAGTTGGACAGATCTGGTGCAAATCCTGACAAATCACTTGTAAGCTGTGTGAGCTTAGGCAAGTGGCTTAACCTCTCTGAACCTGTGTCTTTACCAGTCAAAATAAGGATTATAAACGTATCCACCTCAAAGGGTTGTTGTGAAGGAAGTGCACAGCTTGGTGCTGCGGTAAGAGGTCAAGAACTATTCGCAATCTTTTCCTGGGTTGTTTCTGCCGGGTGGGGGTGTGGGGCAAATGCTGTCTGCCTGGGTACAGCCACTCACTGCTTCCACGATGGAAAGATGGCCAGTCCGCTCCCAGGGGCAGGGCCAACCACGGTCGCCCAGGCCCAGGTCTTCTACCTCCCAGCCTCCGGGAGAACACAGCCCAGGTCTGGGCCTCTCCTGCATTCCACCCTGTAGGGGTGGCCACCAGCCCTCTTAGAAGCCAAGGCACTGTGTGACTCCCGTGATCTCGTGTGACCCCCAGCTCTTGCTGATGCTGTCTTCATATCCTGATGAAAGACTCTGACCTCTGCAACCCTTGGGCACCCCTCTTTGTTCCTAAGCCACACCCCAGCACAAGTGAGGCATACCGGGTCAGCTGTCTTCTGATTCCCACGTACAGATCTGGGGGCAGCTTGGGGAAGCGGGAGGAGAATCCTCTAGGAAGTTGAATCCAACTTCCTCAGGTCTTGAAATAGGATTTTTCCTGCTCCCCACTCTCCTTCCCCAGGATGAAAGAAGGGTCCCAGGCAGGAGGTCGGTTGAGAGCGTATGGCGTTCTGAGTAGTGCAGGCCTCGGCACCGAGGGCGGAAAGCGCTCTGAGCTCACAGCCGCACGACAGACCGCCGGCCTGGGCCCTCCAGGAATTCCCTGCAGCCTTGCCCGGTCCCCGACTCTCGCTACCCACCAGCCCTCCCAGGCACCCAAGAGCCTCCCAGCGGCGGGCCAGGGCCGGCTTCCCCCAGCAGGCTCCTCTGGAGAGCGGGAGGAAGACAGGAGGCGCTCTCCCGGTGGAGGGTCCCTCAGCGACGCAGCCAGGAGCGCTAGGAGGCTACAACCGGAGGAGAGGCTGGCGCTCCAGCTCCAGCCCCAGTCCCGAAGCGACTCCCCTCTTCCCGAGGTGGCCTTGGCCAAGTCTTCAGCCATCTCCGTCAAATGAGGAGGTGGGCGGGATGCAGACGGTGGAGCGGGAGGCTTGGGCGCGCCAGTTTGGGAGCCAGTGCGCGGGGCAGGGCGACGGGCAGCGCGGGGACGCGAATCCCCAACTCCTGCGCCCAAGACGAAGGACCCGGTCTCGACCTCCCCATCACCCGGCGCGTACCAGCGCCCGCTCAGTGACTCCCAGGTTTGGTGGTGGCTAGGGGTGGGAGGTGAGCCGAAAGGGAAAAAGCCACCCCACCCAAGTCGCCGCCGGGCTGGAGCCAGTCTGCGCGGGTTCCGAGTCCCCGGCGACGGCGCCAGCCCTCTCCGCTCGCCCGCGCGGTGTTCTCGCCGGCAGCCCCTCCGGACCCCGCGCCCCTTCTCGGGCGCCCGTCCCTCCGGAGCCCTAACGCCTGTGCGCGTACCTGGCAGCAGAGACAGCAGCAGCAGCAGCAGCAGCCGCGGCGGCGACAGCGCCAGGGGCAGCGAGAGCGGGCCAGAGCCCATGGCTGGTGGCCGGGCTGGCCGCGGACCCGGACGGTCGGGAGCGGGCGCGGCGGTCGCAGAGACGGCCTCTCCCCGCGCGGCTCCAGCGCAGACCCCAGACCTGGAGCCGTGCGGGCGGAGACGCGCGGGGCTCCTCTCCGCTTCGCCGCCGCTGGGTTTCCAGCGCCCTCGGACCCGCGGGAGGACAGGAACCATCCGGAGTGAAGCTGCGCCAGGCGCGGGCGGGCGGGCGGGCGTGCGCGGGGCGGGGCGTACGTGCGGTAGGGGAAGGGGCTCCAGGTCCCAGTCCCCAGCGCCGGGCGAGCTCCTTCTCCGCCGGGCTGGGTGCTCCGGCCGGCGGCGTCCGACCAGATCTGAGCAGGTGCTGTCACCACCACCAGGAAGGAGAGGGACTCAGTTTCTGTCCCAGGTTTCCGGGGCGTGTGCAGCTCCCGCAGGGGGTTGGGACCACCGGGCTAGGCGGGCGCCGTAGGAGAGACGCTAACACACCCTGGGAAGGACGCCTTGTGTATCTCATGCTATTAAATAATTGTTAAATATTTTAGCCGGGAGCAGTGGCTCACGCCTGTAATCCCAGCCAGCACTTTGGGAGGCCAAGGCGGGCGGATCACGAGGTCAGAGACCATCCTGGCTAACATGGTGAAACCTCGTCTCTACTAAAAATACTCTACAAATTAGCCCGGCGTGGTGGCAGGCACCTGTAGTCCCAGCTACTCGGGAGGCTGAGGCAGGAGAATGGCGTGAACCCGGGAGGCAGAGCCTGCAGTGAGCCGAGATTGCGCCACTGCACTCCAGCCTGGGTGACAGAGTGAGACTTCATCTCAAAACAAAACAAAACAAAACAAAAAAACTTAGATATAGTACTGGTATTTTTTTTTTAAGTCCTTATAGCTTAGGGGTGGGTGGAAGTTAGTTGAAACAATATTGGCTATGAGTTGATAATTGTCGAGGCAGGATGATGGTACCTGGAGGTTTGTTATACTGTTCTCTTAACTTTGGAATACGTTTGGATTGTTCCTTAATGAAAAATTTTTTGGGGTGATCAGACCCAACCCCAGGCCATGGGGGTGACAAAGTCAGGCGGAGTCAAAAGAATGAGAAAAGACAAGAGAGAAAGCGGGACCAGGCGGCCAACGTATGGAGGCTACGAAGGCCCCCAGCTGTGGGAGCCCACGCTATTTATTGGTGATCAAAGAAACAGGTGGTGAGGATGTGGGGGTTGAAAGGAAGCGGTGTATCAAGCAAATGAACTACAGCTGTGACGGTAGTTCACCTCCCATCCCAAAGTGCTGGGATTACAGGCGTGAGCCACTGTGTGCAGCCTCATCTGCTCTTCTGATGGAGCAATCTGAGAGGGCAATGGGGTTCCCACCCTAGTCCCCTGCAGAACCTGTCCCCTTCCCCGCCACCATCTGCAACCCCAAGAATGTGCACTGATTGGCCAGGCAGGGTGCCCTGGAGCCTCCTGCCCTCTCTGACCACCCACCAGGGATGGGGGGCACCTTGATGTTGGCTTCTTTGACATCCTTTTATTGCAGGAGGAAGTTCTGTCATAAACTCTCCTCCTGGCATTCAGCAAATGGAGAGTCACCTTTATCATTTCCAGAATGTGCTGTTTACCCATATTAAAACCAAACAAAAGGAGACAGTTTGTGGAATGGAAAATGTAAGAATTGGGACCCACCTCTCAGGCCTCCAATTACAGCATTCTCAACTCTTGGCAAATGTCCCCCATTGGGACAATACTGTAAGTTATATATCCAACAAAGGACTTGTATCCAGAATGTATAAGGAACTCTCAAAACTCAACACTAAGTGTAGATGCATATGAGGGGTCTTACTGGGGTGATGCAGATGTTCTAAAACTGGATTCTGGTGGTAAGCTTACGACAACTCTTTGAATTGTACTTCAAATGGGTGGATTTTATGGTATGTAAATTATACCTCAATAAAGTTGTTTTCTAAAGAAAGTCTCAATGGTAAGAAAACGAACAATTTTTTAAATGAGCAAAAGAGTTAAACAGACTCTTCACCAAAGAGGTATACAGAAGACAAAAAAAAAAAAAAAAGCACGTGGAAGATGTTCAAATCACTAGCCATCAGGGACACGCAAATTAAAACCAGGGTGGAATCCAGTTGCTGAACAACTGGATCTCTCATACTTTGGTGGGATTGCAAAATGGTATAGCCACTCCAGAAAACAGTTTGACAGTTTCTTTCTCTTTCTTTTGTTCTTTTTTTTTTTTGACAGAGTCTCGCTCTGTCACCCAGGCTGGAGTGCAGTGGCACGATCTCGGCTCACTGCAACCTCTGCCTCCCAGGTTCAAGCAATTCTCCTGCCTCAACCTCCCGAGTAGCTGGGATTACAGGTACACACTACCACACCTGGCTAATTTTTGTATTTTTAGTAGAGACAGGGTTTTACCATATTGGCCAAGCTGGTCTTGAACTCCTGACCTTAGGTGATCTGCCGCCTTGGCCTCCCAAAGTGTTGGGGTTACAGGTGTGAGCCACCATGCCCGGCCTCAACAGTTTCATATAAAGTTAAATATACACTTACCATATAACCTAGCAATCACCCTCCTGAGTGTTTAAATAAATGAAAACTTTTATTCATACACAATCCTATATGTGAATCTTTATATTAGCTCTATTCATAATTGCCAAAAACTGGAAACAGCCTAAATGTGCGTCAACATCATACCACTGAACACTCCTCAGCAATACGAAAAAAACCCAACTTGATTGAATCTCGAAGGCACTATGCTGAATTAAAGAAGCCAGTCTCCAAAGGTCACTACTGTATGATTCCATTTAAATGGCATTCTTGAAAAGACCCGACTGTAGTGAAGGAGAAAAGATATGTGGTTGCCAGGGGCTAGGAGTGCAGGGAGTCAGGACTCTAAAGGAATAGCAGGACGGAGTTGTTTTGCGTGACAGATCTTTCCTGGGTCCTGATTGTGATGGTGGTTATACCAATCTATACATGTGTTAAAATTCCTAGAACTATATATTTAAAAGTCAATTTTATTGTATAATAATTTTTAAAACAGAATTTTTTAGAACATCCTCCTCCATTCCACAAATATTTTGAGTGCCTACTACATGCCAGGCACTGTGCAAAAGGCAGTATGTGCGAGGAGTGAATCAGAGCATCCGTGTGGGAGACAGACCTGAACCCAGCCATGAGAGAGAAGTGGAAAGTGACCAGCACCGCAGTCATGGAGGAGCAGGTCATGCCTTTCAGATGGGGGAACTAGGGATGGCTGCTCAGAGGAGGGGCATCTGGACTTGAAGGAGGGGTAGGAGCCATTCATTCATTCAACAAACATTTATTGAGCACCTACTGTGTGCCAAGCTCTGTCCTAGGCCCTGGGGATACTACCACGAATGTGAAGGAGCAGGTCCCTGTTCTCATGGAGCTCACACTCTAGTGGGTGAGCTGTGGATGACATACATGCCACCAGATAAGAGCGACAGGTACACAGGAGTGCTCGAGGAAGGAGGCAGGGTAACGTGACTGTAGGGAGGCTGCTTTAGAATGATTGGGTGGTTAGGGAAGGCCTCTCAGAGGAGGTGACATTGGAGCAAAGAATGGATTGGAGCCATGCCCTGACTGATGTGGCTGTGGAAAGAGCTTGGGAAGCCCTGGGGGAAGAGGAAGAAGGTTCAGGTAGAAGATAGGGAAGGCCAGGCATAGTGGCTCACACTTGTAATCCTAGCACTTTGGGAGGCCGAGGCAGGTGGGTCATTTGAGGTCAGGAGTTCGAAATCAGCCTGGCCAACAAAAATACAAAAATTAGCTGGGCACGGTGGCGGCTTTCTGTAATCCCAGCTACTTGGGAGGTTGAGGCAGGAGAATCACTTGAGCCTGGGCGATATAGCAAGACTCCGTTTAAAAGAAAAAAAAAAAGATGATGATATGGCAAATGCCAAGCCTCTGAGCTGGGAAGAATCTAGAAGTGTGTGAGGAACTGGACAAGGGGAAGTGGAGAGAGATGGTGATGGAGAGGCAGGCCGGCACCATGCCTGAAGCATAGTAGGTGCTGCTACGAAGTCATCTTTATCCCCATTGCCCGGTGCAGGGAAGGAAGACAGGCCAGAATTGAACTGTCTGAAGCTCCCTCCTACTGGGGCTTCCTGGGATCCCTCCAAGGCATTCAGAGAGGACAGCCCAGGCCCCCATCCTTGCCTGTTCCACGGCTGTGGCTGGTTTGATGGGGTTGATGGCCAATGCTCACATATTTACTTAGGGCCTCATCAGCCACAACCCAGAAAGAAGCAGCAAAGTGCCCACCCGGCCACTCACATCCTCTCACCCCACAACCCAGGGGGCCCTCAGTCACGCTGGGCAGCGTAGGGCCCCTCAGAAGCTGCATGGGTCTGGAAGAGGGGCGGTAGGAAGAGCCCCACAGTGCCCAGGACGCACACAAACATGAACACCCACAGGAACAGCCGGTCCACCACCATAGCCACGTACTTCCAGTCCTCAACGACCTGCAGGCAGACAGAGGAGTTGGTCACAGGTGCCAAGTACTGGGGTCCCTCCTTTCCCCGAGTCAGGCCCTTACTCTCTGGCCAGGGACTCCACAGGCCACAGGCGTGGAACTGCATACTAGGGGGGCAAGTTCTGAGTCCCAGGCTGGCCTCCCAGCTGGGCAGCTCTGAGCCTCTCTGGCTGTTCTCCACCTCCACCCCTGCCTGTCCCCCACAGCGTTGGAGGGGCACTGGGAACTTGGGCTGTACAGAAAAGCTAGGAATGTGAGGGCTTGTTAATACTACATATTATGATTTGAAAACAAAATCTGGTTATACATAGGAGATAGGGCCTGAGGATCTCAAAGCCCCAACTTCTCATTTTTACCCCAAACTCACTGCCTGAGCTGGTTCTAGCTAAAGAAAGAACTAGGTGGCTCCCACCTAGTTCAGTGAGAGCAGAGAAACCGGGGCTTACAGAACACCTGGAAATCCTGCTGTTTAATTTGTTCAAGTCTGTTCACAGCAGTGTCTGTTTCCTGTAATTAAGACCCAGCCTCCTCCTGCTGCATCATTCAGGTCTCTCTGGTCTTCTTAGATCCTGCTGCGGGGTGTGAGGTTGGCAGAGACCTGGCTGGCCTCCAGAGGGGCCACCAGAGATGGGCCTGTCTCCTTTGCACTGGGGGAGAACCTAGAGAAACGCCTGTGTGCCCAGGGTCCTGGCCTCCCTCGCCGATGCCTGCTTTCACACCCCTAGGCCTGGCTGGCTCACACTGCATTCATTCCCTGGCAGAGACGGGCTGGATCAGAAGGCTTCGGAGATCAGCAGAGGCTCTGGAGTTGGAAATGTGGGCAGCAACGGGCATGCTGACGTCAGTGACCCAGTTTGTCAAGGCCCTGTCAATGGTGTACCTAACGTGCAGGCTAATCCTGTGTCAAGCCAACCCCGACACCTGCAACCAAGCACGCCTGCACCTGTCCCCAAGACTCAGCAGGCACACACAGCTCTCTCCACAGAGCACTCCTTGGCTTTCCTGGGTTTCTTTTTAACAGCCCTAATTTCAAGCGGGGGTGTGTGTGTGTGTGTGTGTGTGTGTGTGTGTGTGTGTGTGTGTTTCCCCCTTTTAATATTTTTGTGCTATTTATAGTGACCAGTTAATCAGGGTGGGTAAAAGTACTGAAGATGAGAAGCGGCGTGGGCTGGCTTAGGGGCAGGCATGCTCTAGAAGGGAAGAAAGCCTCTTTTCTCCAACCATCCATAAGAAAGTCAATCAACCAATAAGCCGGCCATGTGCTCAGTGCAGGGCAAGAAACTAGGAAGGGCAAGAAAGTTTAAGGATGACAGGCAGATCTGGGTACAGAGCCTGGGCCAGCTGTTTGACACTGGCCAAGTCAGTGAACCTCTCTGAGCTTCGCTTTGAAAGCCTCCTTATTGTAAATGGGGGTTCTACTAAAAGCCACTTCACAGGATTCCAGGGAGGGTTAGCAGTAATGTATGTCAGCTCCCAGCAGAGCACCTGATGTGTGATTGGAGCTTAATGAACACTGGTGATTATAATAACTGGTCCTGCCTGGCTCCTTCCCTTAAGAGGCTTGTAATTAATTGAGCTAGAAAGAGCAGAAGGCACGTGAGTGCCAAGGGGGTGGTGAGGTCTTCAGAAGAGTTCAGGGTGGGTGCCGGCTCAGCCAGGGATGCAGGAGACCAGTACTTCTCAATCTAGAATGTGCACACGAACCACCAGGGATTGGTTAAAAATGCAGGCTCCAATATGTCTCCGCCAGAGATCCTGGCTCAGTCAGAAAGGGTGGTCCCACAGTGTTGCCCACGTGGTTCTCACTTAGCCAGCAGGGCCCCAGGCTGCACATTAATGATTGGGAACCAATGAATTAGGTGATGCTGACCTACAGAATGATTTAACCTAAGTAATAGCGTGATCGAATTAACGTTTTAGAAAGTGAAATCTGAGAGTCCTATAGAGCTGTGCTTCTCAAACTGCAATGGGTCTGGGAATCTCCTGGGGACCTGGTTAAAATGCAGGTTTGGAGCTAGCAGGTCTGGATTGGGGCCTGAGACTCTGCATTTCCGATAAGCTCGCAGGCGATGCCGGTGCTGCTGGTCCAAGAACTACACCAGAAGAATATCTCATGTCCTATATTCCATTTGTTTGCATTTCTCTTCTTTTCTTGGCACAGTGTGATTCTGGGGCTGTTCCTGCTCTTTTCTCTGTGGGCTAACTAATGGAATGCCAGCGCTTCTCCTTGAGAATGCAGCGAGTGGAAAGCAATCTCAAAACGGTAAGAATGAGACGTCCACTTTTGTCCATGCAGCTGCACAGGGGCAGACACCATGTTGCATAGTAAAAACCTGTCCAAAGAATCTGATCTGAAGGTGTTAATATGAGAACATTCACAAGAGCATGAAACTTGCTCTCCCTCCTGGTATGGAAATGGGTGTGAAAATTTGTCACCACCACATTCTGTGTTGTTACTATGACATTGTCCTTAGAAGTGTTATTTATTCAAAGGAGTCATGTGAAATACCCAGACTCCAGCACTCATTGCTTTATCCTGTGAAAGTAAATTAAACCTCTTTTTAAAAAATCCGTAATTCTAGGTCAGGTTCGGTGGCTCAAGCCTGTAATCCCAGCACTGTGGGAGGCTGAGGTGGGCAGATCACCTGAAGTCAGGAGCTCAAGACCAGCCTGGCCAACATGGTGAAACCCCGTCTCTATTAAAAATACAAAAATTAGCCAGGTGTGGTGGCAGGCACCTGTAATTCCAGCTACTTGGGAGGCTGAGGCAGAAGAGTCACTTGAACCTGGGAGATGGAGGTTGCAGTGAGCCGAGATTGTGCCACCACACTCCAGCCTGGGCGACAAGAGCAAAACTCCATCTCAAATAAATAAATAAAATAAAAATCTGTAATTCTAGTTAGCACAATCGATTAATTCATTACCCTGGTAATCATAGTATTTTTACTGATGTTCCTATAGCCCTGGAAGCTATAAGTGCTTGAATGGCTTCTTTGCAAGTCTGAACAGAATAGGGCAGATGCGCTTGGTACCCCAGCCCGCCTGTGTTCCCTAAAGCCTGCAGAGTCACTTCCCAGCCTTCCATTTCTGGCACCCGCATTTCCTCTCTCCTCTGCCTCAGGGCTTTCTCCAGCACCAAGGGTGCTTGTTCTGGCAGGCTGGCATTACCTGGAAGCACAGGAGAGTTAAAGTCCTGGGGCTACCCTCATCCTTTAGGGAATGGGGGCTGGTGGGTAAATACCTCAGCCTCCTTCCAGGGGGGTGATCCTGAGGCTTGTTCCCACGGGTCTGCAAGGGTACTGAGTCCCGGGTACCCACGGCAGTATCCTGCTCATTCATTCTCCTTTCCCTGTCTCACTTTCCCTCCTTCCTCACTGTGCTTCCCAGGATCACATCTCAAGTAAACCACCTGCACCCAAGTCCCCATCTTGGCGTTTGCTTCTGGGACACCTAAAACAAACAAACTAAATCACTGGCACGTCCTTCCTCTCCCCGGATGCATGAAGCTATAATATTTAACACAAACTCATTTCAATTTTGGATTCCTTATTCAGAGTTTGAGAGTCCTTGTCTCCTATGAATTAACTGCAGGAAGTGGGAAGCTGGTGCTACTATCTGAGCCCTTTCTGTTGGGCAGGTGGGCAGGGGCTGGTTAGCAACTTACACTCTGGTCTTCATCGTCATTCTTCATGTGCTGGGCGATGAAGCTGACACCTTCTAATGCCTCCTGCACATCCTGTCGGAACCTCCCAGAGGACCGCAGCCAGAAATCCCTGGGGATAGCCACCGGGGTAGAGCCGGCTGGAGACTTGGAAGCTGCAGAGGCGGGGTTCACAAAGTACATGGAGTTCCCATAGAAGTTGGAGGGGCTGGTGGAGGTGGCGGTGGCCTCGGGCTTGGTCACGCATGACTTGCTGGGCGGGAAGGCTCTGGCCGGGCTGCTGTCGGGGCCAGGGCGCTTCATGAAGAGGAAGGTAGGCAGCTTGTGCAGGAAGCAGCGCTTGACCCAGGGTGCCATGGTGTGGGTGCTGGGCGAGCGGTGGTGCACATTGAGCACACAGACGCTGGTGACGATGGAGAAGGTGACCAGCACCATGGTGAACATGAGGTACTTGCCGATGAGAGGCACATCGAGGGAGGTGGGTGGCACGATCTTGGAGATGAGCAGCAGGAAGAATGTCAGTGCCAGCAGCACTGAGATGCACAGTGTCATCTTCTCGCCGCAGTCGGATGGCAGGTAGAAGACGAGGATGGCCAGCAAGGTGGTGAGCACGCAGGGGATGATGAGGTTGATGGTGTAGAACAGAGGCTTGCGCTTGATGATGAAGTCGTAAGTCACGTCCACGTAGCTGGGGTCTTGTGGGTTCACTGTCCTTCTCCCTGGGAGGGCCACTATGTCCCACTCACCACTGGGAGTAAAGTCATCCATGCTGGCTGTGGGCGTCATGAGGACCATGTCTATCTCCGTGTGGTCATAGGTCCAGGAGCGGAACTTGAGGGTGCAGTTCTGCTGGTCGAAGGGAAAGTACTTCACCTCAATCTTGCAGGCGCTCTTGTAGATGGCAGGGGGCAGCCACAGGACGCTGCCGTTGGACCGGACTATCAAGTTGGTGTAGACAGACACCTCATAGGTCCCGTCGGCGCTGGGCAGGGTCAGGGCATGGAGAACATCGTGAAACCCATACACAAAACCTGGCCTGTTCTCAGAACTCACTGAAGAGCCCTTTGGGATTATTTCCCACTAATCACCCTTCCAATCCCCCAGGCCCTCACTGAAAGGAGGGGTCTGCTTTTGTTAGCAACTATGTGGTGGAGAGAGCCCTAACATCAAAGCACCCCCCTTTTTTTTTTTTTTGAGACAGACTCTTGCTCTGTTGCCCAGGCTGAGTGCAATGGTGCAATCTCGGCTCACTGCAACCTCTGCCTCCCAGGTTCAAGCAGTTCTCCTGTCTCGGCCTCCCAAGTAGCTGGGATTACAGGCATGCGCCACCACGCCCGGCTAATTTTGTATTTTTAGTAGAGACGGGGTTTCTCCATGTTGATCGGGCTGGTCTCGAACTCCTGATCTCAGGTGATCCACCCGCCTCGGCCTCCCAAAGTGCTGGGATTACAGGTGTGAGCCACCACACCCGGCCCATCAAGCACTCTTAAGGCTTCCCATGGAATAGCTCATTTAAGCCTCTCAGTAGTCCAGTGAGGCAGGTTTTATTATTATCCCCATTCTACAGATGGGAAAGCCAAAGCCCAAAGAGGTTAAGTGACTTCTTCAAGGTCAGAAAACTTGTAAGCAGGACAGCTGAGATTTGAACTCAGGTCTGTCTGTCCCCAGACCACACACTTTGAGCCATTTCAAGCTACTGCTGGTGTAATCACGACTCAGGAAAAGTCTCTTTGGCTTCCTCCACCTGCCTAAGATATTTACACACAGTAAGTCAGTGGTACCAACACCAACACTGGCAAAGCAACAGAGGCTCAAAAGGATAGTATGGAACACAGAAAGGGTGCTGGGTTCAAGGTCAGGACACTGCTGTGGTCCCAGCTCTGCTTCAGTGAATCAGACAAGGTCCCTCCCCTCCCTCAGCCTCCAACTCCCCATCTGTAACTGAGGGCTCTGGCTCTGCTCACCTCTGTTTCTCTTCTAGCTTGATGGCCTGGAAGGCTGGGTAAAGCAGAGATGGGGCTCAGGGTTGGACTCAGGCCTGGATGACTCTTAGGGCTGGGCCTGCTGCCCTGGCCTGGCTGTCACCAGGCCTCCACCAACCCTGCCACTCACTTGTTGTAAAGCACGATGTCAGGCAACCAGATGCGCTTTGCAGGGATCCTCAGGATGTTCACACCCTCGTAGCGGGAGCTGTTCCAGGTCAGGCGGTAATCAGTCCATTCCTGGACAGACAGGCAAGGCCCTGTCACTTGCAGGTCCACTGCCACCAAAGGGCAGCCCTAAAGAAAAGATCTCTGGGGCTCAGGGCCCTTCAGGGCACTTACCTGTTTCAGCCAGACATTGGTGGTCATGATCTGCTCTCGCTCATTCTGGGGAGGGAAACGGGGCTATCAGTTCACCAGGAAGGAGGAGCCTCACAAATGGATTGCACTTTATTGTGCAAAAGGCTGTGAGCTCCAGGCCCACGTGACCAACTGCCACCCCAACATCTCTTGGATGGCCCAAAGGCATGTCACACTCAGCATGTTTGACACAAAGCTCATGATCTTCCCCAGAACCTGGTCCTCCTTTGGCTTCATTGTCTCAGTGAATGGCACCCCTAGCCATCCAGTTCCACAAGCCAGAAGCGTGGACACTGTCTCTGACACTTTGCTCTCTGATCCATCAATAAGTCTTGTAAGCTATATCTTCTAAAGCAACTCATATTTGTCTGCTTCTCTCCACCGCCACCATCATCTGTCACTTAGACTACCGCAGGAGCCCCCTAACTGGTCTTCCTGCTCTGTCCTGGCCTGCCTTTAGTCTATTCTCTACATGGTAGCCAGGGTGATCCCTTTACAATCTCAATCCCTTCTACTAATTGTTCTGCTGCCACATCTCATCCAAAGTAAAAGCCAAAGTTCTGCTTAGAGTCCACAAGGCCCTAGTGATCTGCCTCCCCACCACCCCTCATCCCATTAGCTCTATGACCTCTTATCTCAACACTCCGCCATTTGCTCATTCCACTTCCCCTGCACTGCCTCTTTGCTCCTGCACACACTGTTCCCTTTTCCTGGAAACCCCCTGGGATGCTTCCACACTTTATTCTGTTATCAGAAATGTCATCCTATCTGAGAAATCTTCCCTGACCTACATAAAATAGCACCTCGGTCCCTGCCCTGCCTTCTCTTTTTCTTTCTTTCTTTCTGTCTTTCTTTTCTTTTCTTTCTCTTTCTTTCTTTCTTTCTTTCTTTCTTTCTTTCTTTCTTTCTCTTTCTCTCTCTCTCTCTCTCTCTCTCTCTCTCTCTCTCTCTTTCTTTCTTTCTTTCTTTCTTTCTCCCTTTCTTTCTTTTCTTTCGTGTGTGTGTGTGTGTGTATTTCTTGAGACAGGGTCTCACTCTGTCACCCAGGCTGGAGGGCAGTGGTGTGATCTTTGCTCACTGCAACCTCCACCTCCCAGGCTCAAGCGATCCTCCCACCTCAGGCTCCTGAGTAGCTGGGACTACAGGCACAGGCCACCATACCTGGCTAAATTTTAAAAAATTTTTTGTGGAGATGGGGATTCATCATGATGCCCAGGCTGGTCTCAAATTCCTGAGCTAAAGTGATCCATGCATCTCAGCCTCCCAAAGTGCTGGCATTACAGGTACAAGCCACCTCACCCAGTCTCCTTATTTTTTTTTCGTAGCATTTCTCACCCCTAAACACCATCTATCTATCTGTGTATTGTCTGCCACCTCCCACTAGAATCTAATGGCTATGAGAAAATAAGGCAGATAGAAGAGTATGTAACATGTTGGATACTCCATAAATATTTTTTGAATATACAGGAATCCTACCATAATAATCCAGGCCACCATAATCCATGTCTCACCTGGACCATGTAAGACCCTCCTAACTGGCCTATGTTCATTCTGTACACCACCACCACCGCCACCATACACACACATACATCTCTTCTTCGTACGCAGCCCAAATAAACCTTCCAAAGTTCCTGTCATTTCCTCCCTCAATTTTATCCCTGTTTAGATTAATTCCTTGGCTTCCTTCACCTACAGAATAAAAATCTTGCTCCTTCGCAGGGTCTACGGGGCCTTGCCAGGTTTCCCAGCCTCACTTCACCTCCCTATGTCCCTCTGTTCTGTCCTCCAGCCCCCTGGCCTTCTTTAGTACTTTGGATAAGTCTTGTGTTCTCAGTCTGTACAATTTTGGTGCCTCTCCTTTATCAAGATAACTTCCAGCATACTGATCTCACTTTGGGAGTCATTTCCTCAAGGAACCTACAACTAGATAAGATTATCAGTAAGATAAGGTTTGGCTGCCAGTAACAGTGATCCAGAGTAACACAGGCTTAAATAAAGTAGAAATTCATGTCCCTCTCATGTTAACACTTTAGACATATATGGCAGTTCTGCTCTACAAAGTTCTGATAGGTACCCAGATTCTTTCCAACTTTCTTCTCCACCATACCTAGAGTGTGGCCCTCATAAGAATGGATCAAAATAACTGTTGGAGCTCTAACCACAAATTCCACATTCCAGGCTGTTGGTGGGAAGGGAGGAGGGAGAAGAAGAATGCATGGCAATTTGTCTCATTTTGATTAGAATATTTAGGCCATTTACATTTAATGTAGTTACTGATATATTTGGGCTCAAACTTACCCCCTGAGCTTCCACAGCATCAGATCTGCCCCCCTGCATACCCCCGATCTCTTGCCAAGTGGCATTTGGGTCTTTATGTCATTTTCCTCACATGTCTGGGAGTAAAGACGAGGTTCAGGGACTTGAGCTTGTGTACTCTGGTGTCTTCCAGGAGAATGTGTCAAGTACAGGGGAGATGGCTTGGAAAGAGGAAGACTCAGAGGAGAGTCAAGGACATCAAAACAGGCAAGCCCAGGAGCAGGAAAAGAGATGAGAGTCAGCAGAGGAAACAGTGCTGGGGCAGGGGAGCAGGTGGAAGGGTCAGGGAATAAGGGGGGCTGGAGAGGTGGGGGTGGGGATGCTGGCGAGGGAGTGCCTGGCTCACCAGACTCTGGAGTCAATGACAAAACAGCTGCTTTGACAAGCCTGCTTTCCTTACCCAGCCCTAAATCCCTACCTGCTCTCTAAAAATTTCCATCTTTAAACTGGTTGTACCTATAACCCTCCCTCCTCAAATAAATAAACAAACCCTGGCAACCCACAACCTAATATTTACTGTATACACAAGCTTTCGGAAATATAACTTGCATGGGTGGGGGCTGGTGGCCGCATCCCCTCCTCCTTCTGGTAGCCGCTATCACCCTATAGGGCCGGCAGAGCAGATCTGACCAGGTAGCCTGAGTCTGGAAGTGCGGCAGAGCCTCCTGCTCGTTCACCCTCACTAGGGCAGCAGCTGCACCGCAGCAGCTGGGTTCAACTCATTAAGCAAGAAGCCCTGGGCTGGACAATAACACTCAGACACCAGCCTGAGCAAGCCTGGCTGAAAGCCCTCCTTCCTTCTGGTCCGACTACGGAGGGAGAGGGGCAGAGAGTACACAGCTCTCCAGCCCTCCCCATCCTGGGGCTGTGCGTCCTCCCAGGAGATGGAGCCAGTCATTAATTTGGCCAAAGCCTTCCTGAGGGCTGTAGGTTTGACAGGCTGGGTGTGTGTGGGCCAACCGTGCTAGAGAGAGAGTCTGGCATTTCAGAAGGCAGCTACCTGGCCAGAGGAGGGTCAGCCCCCTTGGTGGTCTCTTTCCCCTGGCTGGACACAGCGCCCTGCACTCTCCCCTTGTGAATGTTCCCCCAGAGCTTCTTCCAGGGACGGAGTTCTAACCCTGTGGATGGGGACATGGGAAGGTTTACAATAGGCCATGGTTCCCTCTGACATCTCCAACTCAGAGGCAGCAAAGAGAAGAGAAATTCCCAGGCACCTCCTCCCTCAGCACCCCCACCTCTGCCCCACATCCACATATGGACAACCTGACAATGGTACCTGTGAATGCTGCCATCCACTCCTCCTTTCCATGCCTGCAGCAGCCACGCCCACTGTCCATCCCTCACCAGCCTGGCTCAATAGGTGCTGCACTGCCTCTGGTCCTGCCCCTACACCTGGGCCTCTCTGTACCTATCAGTTCCCCCAGTCTGGTTTTTACTTCTCCCAACAAGTAAGAAGCATGTAAGGTTATCTGAGCAGTCTAGGGGAGAGAATAGGGTGGGGCTGTAAAGACAAGGAGGAGAAGCTTATGGTCATGCTGGAGACCCAGCTGAGCAGAGTCTACAGCAGGCCCATTGGCTGCCTACCCAATGGTCATCCTGCTCCTACCCTCATTTCTTCTTTGTTAGAACAAAATCATGACTTCATTAAATATTGGACACCTATGAACTTCATGGACCCTTCTGCAGCCTCCCTGACACGTACTGGTAAGTCTAAGTCAACTATAGTAGTTTCATTCCTTTGACCAATGATCGCCTGGGGCTTGGGCATGAGCGGCCTCTCCACCTGAGCCTGAGCCACAGCTGCCCTCTGCACCTACCACGCTGATAAGCTGGGCCAGGGAGAGCTGCAGCTTGATGGAGATGAGCTGTGAGGAGCTGGTGGCTGGGCGGATCAGGTTATTGTAACGGGTTTTGTTCAGAAGGTCGTCCATCAGCTTTTCCTCCGCATTGGCCACGCGGCAGTTCCCTGAGAAAACACACAGTCAGACCTGCTGGGCCCTTGTGCACCTGACCCCCACTGCAGCCTGTGGCAGCAGGGAGAGCTGAGAGGGAGCACAGGTGCCCTTAGGGCTGGCTGAAGCAGCGAAGGTGCTGGCAGGCCTGTCTCTCCTTGAGGACTTCAAATTAAATACACTCAACACAGAGCTCAGCTGTCTCCTCCCATGCCATACTTCTTCCTCCTCCTCTTCCCTCTAGCAGTGAATGGCATCCCACTCTACATATCTGGTACAAAAGCTGGGTGTCTCTTCTTGACCTCTCCCTTGGTTCATCCAAGTGGCCACTTAGTCCTGTCTTTTTTTGTATGAGACAGAGTCTCACTCTGTTGCCCAGGCTGGAGTGCGGTGGTGTGATCTCGGCTCACTGCAACCTCTGCCACCTGAGTTCAAGCAATTCTCCTGTCTCAGCCTCCAGAGTAGCTGGGATTACAGGCCTGCGCCACCACACCCGGCTAATTTTTGTATTTTAGTAGAGACAGGGTTTCACCATATTGGCCAGGCTGTTCTTGAACTCCTGGCCTCAGGTGATCCACCCACATTGGCCACTCAAAGTGCTGGGATTACAGGTGTGAGCCACCATTCCCGGTCCTAGTCCTATCTTTTACCTTCCAAGTCCCTCAGTCTGTTCTCCTTATCTCTACTGCTACAGCCATGTCCCCACCTCCCCACCCCTGCCCTCCTCCTGGTCTCTCCACCCGCAGTCTCTCCCTGCTATCCATGTACCATACAGTGCCAGAGTGGTCTTTCTACAGCAAACTGGTCTAGGGCCCTTCCCTACCCACAACTCTCAGAGCTGTAGGTGGACTTAAAAATCAAATGTTTTGGCTTGGCGTTCAAGGCCCTTTCCCCACTGACACTGGCTTATCTTTCTCAATCTGATTTTCTCCCACCTCTCTACCTCTACCCCAGATACTCAGATACTCTCTCTTCTGGCCATAGCCTACTGTTTGCCTTTCCCCCTGTGACCTTCACTGTCTCACTTCCTGTTTTTTCCTTTTTTTTTTTTTAGAGACAGGGTCTTGCTATGTTGCCCAGGCTGGTTTCAAGTGATTCCTCCTGGATTCAAAGGATCCTCCCACCTCAGCCTCCTTAGTAGCTGGGACTACAGGTGTGCACCACCACACCCAGCTTGTCTCACTTCTTTGAACAGACTCTTTCTTCTGCCAAGATTGCCCCCAGCCCACCAGTTATGAATTATCTGAGGGTCTATCTTGTGCCAGGGACTTTACTACATTTCGAGGGTAACAGCAAGCAAAAACCAGAAACGGTTCCTGACACCAGAGCACTTACAGTGCAGGGGAGCAGCCCCATTACTCACATGTGAGTTTGGGTGCAGAAATGGGTACGAGGTGGTGCTTTCCCTAAGAAGAAACAGAGCTGAGATGGAGGGGATTTTCCGGGTTCAGACTTAGACCTACAGAGTGTAAGGTCCCTCTGAGACACCAAATGGAGGGGTCCAGCTGGCAGCTGGCTCCTCATCTGGAGCTTCGAGGAGAGGTCTTAGCTCAGAGCCATATTCAAGACCCAGCCTAAATACCGCCTCATGCAGGGAGCCCCCCTGACCTTCCATAGCCTCAAATCTGCCCCTCTGCATACCCCCGATCCCTTGCCAAGTGGCATTTGGGTCTTTATGTCATCTCCCTCACCTGTCTGGGAGTAAAGGTGAGGTTCAGGGACTTGGGCTTGTGTACTCTAGTGTCTTCAGGGAGAATGTGTAAAGCATAGAGGGGGCAGCTTGGAAAAAGGGAGACTCAGAGGAGACTCAAGGACATCTGAGGAGGCAAGCCTGGGAGGAGGAAAAGAGATGAGAATGAGCAGAAGAAACAGTGCCGGGGCAGGGAAGCAGGTGGGAGGATCAGGGAATAAGAGGGGCCGGAGAGGTGGGGGCGGGCATGCTGGTGAGGGGCTGCCTGGCTCGCCAGGCTCAGGAGTCGATTACATCTTCCTGCAAGGGCCAGTTCACCTAGTTGCACCAAACCCCTTCCTCTGTGGGTAGGGCCAGAAGGCCCAGAGCACAGACCAACCCAATTAGGCAGGCCTGAGGTGGACTTAGGGGTGGGTGCTGGGCTGGACTCCTGGTTGTGGGGAGCAGCCGCCACCCTGCCGACTTCATCCACTTTCCAACTCGCTGCCTATCTGGAACAGATGCAATATTTAGTGCCTTGTGAAAGATGCTCCTAGTGCACCTGCTGCCTGCTGCCCCTCCCCCAGGCTGCCCTGGGCTCTCCAGAGGGGGGTCCTATGGATGCTTGGCCTAGATTCTGAGCCCTGCTTCTTATATCCAGGACCCCTTTCCCAGAGGCCAGCTGCTTGAGTACCCTGGAAGCCAGTCTGTAGCCCCAGGCTAGAGCTGGGTCCCTCCCACAGCCCTTCTTTAGCATGTTTGTTTGGACTGACTTATTTCATAGAGAGGGGTGTGTCTTGCCCAAGCCCATCTGGCATGTCTGAGGCAGCTCTGGGGTCAGAATCTGCAGCTCCCATCCCCCAGCCCTGCAATACTAGGGGAGGCTGGATCCCACATCTCTGAAGTCCCACTAGGCTGGTCTGACAGGGCTCCCAAGCGCAGGGCTGCTCTGCAGGCTGTGGGGCTCATGCTCCAGCTCCGAGCCCACCTGATGTGCCCGGGTGGCTCACCTTTGGGCCTGTCCTGCCTCTCAGGCATTCAGCTGACCCGGAGGGACTCCCCCATCTTGACCACCAGCTGTGGGCTTGAGTTAGAGGTTCCCAGAACTTTAGACCATTTAGCCCAACCCCCTATTTCTCAGCTGGGGAAACTGAGACCAAAGAGGGAAGAAACTTTCTCAAGTGCCCCCAGCAAGTCAGAGGAGGAACCAGGTATAGGAGCCTCTTTCCGACAGAGGTCTTCCCTGACCCCTGAGCCTTCTTCAGTGCCTCATTAGCTTCCCTGTAAGGAGACTGCCCCACAGAGCCTGGAAATGGTGCTGTCCCGGGCAGTGTGTGCCCATGACTGCGCCTGTGTTTGTACTTGTGAGTGTATGGCCGGGGGGCCGGGGGGGTGGTGCACTGAAGGGTGGGAATAAACAGCAGGGATACTGGGGACTGGAATGCACCCCACTTGCCCCCCAAAAAGGGGCGACGGAGCCCAGCCCAGCCCAGCACATGCTTAGACTTTCCAATCTACTGAATGTCTGTGAGGCCTGCTGGGCTCAAAGGACAAGGAACAGGCCTTTCACCCCCAGGTGGCAGGGGTGGCCCAGGATGGGTGGAAGCTTCTGCAGCACGGTCAGGGGTCACATCCCAGCCCATGGGCTGACAGTTAAACAGAGAAGCCGCCACTAGGGGTCAGTCATGATTCAATGATTCTGATGAGGAGTGGGCCCCACCAGCCTCTGCCCAGGGTTTTGTCTTCCAGGCCTTCTTGGGAAGAATTGTTCCCTGCCAGAAAGGGGCTAATAATCTGAGAGGAAGCCATAGCTGGAATTCTAAACTGTGTGAGTGTGTGTCCAGTTTGGAAAGGTATATCCAATCTAAAAATTTGTATTGAAAAAATGGAAAGATATACCTATTGTTTTGGAATACAAACTACAGAAAGTAACAGTTAACAGAATCTTATTGGAAAGATTAGATTCTGCATCTGGAAAGGCAGAGTGATTTTTCAACTGGGGTGTATGTCCTTAACTGAGGAAGGGAACATGATATTTATATTAAAAGGCAGCTATGATTTTCTTTTTTCTGAGACGGAGTCTTGATCTGTCGCCCAGGCTGGAGTGCAGTGGCATGATCTCAGCTCACTGCTGCAACCTCCACCTCCCGGGTTCATGCCATTCTCCTACCTCAGCCTCCCGAGTAGCTGGGACTACAGGCGCCTGCTACCACGCCCGGTTAATTTTTTGTATTTTTAGTAGAGACGGGGTTTCACCACATCAGCCAGGATGGTCTCGATCTCCTGACCTCGTGATCCGCCCGCCTCTGCCTCCCAAAGTGCTGGGATTACAAGTGTGAGCCACCGCGCCTGGCCTATGATTTTTCTTTATGTAGAGAATTTATCTTTTATAAAGAGCTTATTACATACTATTAGTGCTTCTTCAATCATGTGTATTAATCACCTGGATTCCTAGGCTTTATTCCCAGAGATTCTGATCCTGTAAGCCTAGGGTGGGACCCAGAAATCTGTACAGGGTGATACAGGCTGCCCCAGGACCACACCTAAGAAACACTGCCACTGGCCCCCACACACATCCAAGTCTCCAAATATGTAGGCAGGGCACATTCTCTCCATAGAACAGATGGGGAACCTGAGGTCCAGGATGGTGAAAGAAATGGCACAGGGTCACCCAGCTAGTAGAAGAGCCACGATACACAGACTGCCTGCAGACACCATCTTTGATGAGAGCTCCACCTCTTTATAGGAGTAGTACAAACTACTTTCTGTAGTTTGTATTCCAAAATGATGGGTATATCTTTCCATTTTTTCAATGTAAATTTTTAGATTGGATATGCTTTCCCAAACTGGACACACACTCACAGTTTAGAATTCCAGCTATGGCTTCCTCTCAGATTATTAGCTCCTTATATATTCCCTGACTCCTACCTCCTGCCTCCCCTATGGTGGGTCTCTATCCAAGGAAGAGGTAGCCCTGGTCCTCTAGGCTGACTGGGGCTTGGAGGAAAAGCCTGGGTGACTGTAGGAGCTAGAAGGGCCCTTGGAATTCAGGTGGGGAAACTGAGGCCCTGAGAAGGCAGTCCTCACATTTGCATTCTACCTGGAGAAGGGCTGGGTCTCCTTCCTGAGTGGCAGGCCCAACTTCACCAGCCTGGCCCTCAGTCAAGCTGGCTGTCCAGGCCCGGCACACCTCGGGTGGGTGACCAGAGGCAGCGGTGCCATAAAATGTGTTTGCTGGGAGATCCACCCCCAAAGCACAAAACATTCCAGGGCTGCTGATTTGGGCAAGCCCCCTTCCTTCTCGGCCCAGTGTCCCCATCTCTACCACCGCTGTGTGGGAGGGGACTTCTCTCTAAGGCTGAGCAGCAGATTCGCTCCCAAGCGCCTACACCGCCCAGGTGGCCGGCTCCTCTGCACCCACGCTTCAAGAAAGTCACCTCTTAGGCAAGGAAGGAGCCTCGGCCCTGTTGGGAGCGGGAGTCGGTATACTCCCAGCCTCCCAGACTGCTGGGGATGACCCGCGGTGCCTGCAAAGCCGGTGTCATCCAGCCCACTGCCCAGCCCACAGACACTCGCCCTGGAGGGTGGCCCTGGCCCTGGCAGCGGCTCCGAGAAGAGGCGGCCCCCACTCCAAACCTGGCAGACCCACCCACGCAGGCCCGCCCCCGCTGCCTCAGCGAGTGGGCTCAGCCCTGCCCACGCCCCCATCTGGCCGGGACAATCTCGGGCCACTCCCCCGGGCGCAGGGCACCCTCCCTTCCCTCCCACCTGTGGCCAGTCCAGCCCCTTTCAGCCCAACCCAGGCGCCCCTCCCTCCTTCCCCGAAAAGAACTCACCGCGCCCGCAAAGGGCGACCAGGAAGAAAAGGACCAGGGAAGGCGCGCGCCTCATGGCCGGCGGGGCCGGGTGGCAGCCGCCGCGAGCTCCGCTGTGGGGTCACAGGGCACCCGTGAGCCGCGCGGTCGAGTGAGCGCCGGTCCTGGCCCCCGAGGTTTGCTGGCGGGGCGGCGCTCACTAGGACCCCGCGGAGAGCCCCGCCGAGCCCCGCCCACTCAGGGATGTACTGGGCCCGCTGCTCCGCCCCGACGCCCCCTGGGTGGTCTGGACCCCACCTGCCGCCTGGCTTCCCTATCTCTTCGGGCCTCGCAACCTTCCCCCAAGGAAGGCAGGCAGGACAGTGCGGGCACCCTTGGTACAGCTGGGGAGACTGAGCCCTCGAGGGCGGCGGACGCTAGCGCAGGATCCCTCTACTGTTGGGGAAAGAGCATGTGCTTGAGCGGGGAGGTCCTTGGGCTTTGCCTTCCCTCACCTCGAAGACGCTTTTAGGCAAATGAGTCATCTCAGGTTCATTCGCATGGGGTTTGCTGAAAGAAAGGACACTGCTGGGTGAGCCGACGCGAGGGAGCGCTGCTCTCTGCAGACTTTGCAGGGAGGACACTTAGGAAAAGTGAGTGGAATCTGGGAGGGTGAATAGCTCAGGGCCCCTCACCCAGCTTGGGGGCTGGGGAAGGAGCAGAGTTAAAAGGGAATGGGGCTGGAGTGGGCTGGCCTCGTCCTCCCCCATGGGCCTTCCAATCTGGGCTGAACAGAGGCCGCTCAGGTGATTCAAGCACATCCCTCTACTAGCCAGGGTGTCCTTGACGCGTTTTTGGAATCAGTACCATTCCCTTGCGGGTGGGGGGACAGCCCCCACCTCGGGAACTGCAGCCTCAATTCTGGATCTAGAAGGGCCTCTGGCAGCTTCTCCAACTCTCTCAGTCCGGTCCTCATACCTGCTCCCTTGTGTGGGCCCTAACAGGCAAATCTGACAACTGGAGGAACAAGACAGGAAGGGCGGGGTCTAAGGGAACCGCCTGTAAAAAGGCAGCTTTGCCACCTTATCTCCAGGACTCTCAGTCTTGCTTTCATATTGCTCCCCCCACGTCATTTTGCTATAATCTGACATGTTGACATATGGTCTTTAAAAGCAACAACAACAACACTGTTGAAGTGAAGCGGACTTCCCCTTTGGGATGCTTTGGAGAAGTTAGGATTGAGGGCATCCTCTCTTCTCCAAACTGCAGCAGTAATAGGTAAGATATGTAAAGTAAATAAAGACATGGCAAGGCTGGAAAATAGGATAATCATCTCCATGAACCAAAACCAGAAAAGAAATGCAAAGTGGTTGGAGGCTGAAGAGCCTGGAGCCTGTTGGGCTTTGGAAACCAAAGACAGTGGCAGGTCCTTTGGGATAAGCGGGGACCAAAAGACTCTTGGCTAGAAGCTGGGAGCTTGGGTGTATGCCAGTACTTGAAAGGATGCTGGGAGCGGGAGGCCTGCTGCTGATCCGTGGTCTGTATCCCTGGCTTTATCGGATGTGTACATCCCCAATATACCCAGGACAGGAGCTTGGAAAGGACATAAAACCTGGAGGCCACTGCAGAGCTGTAAAAGTTAGGCTAGCAAAGGGGATACGATGAAATAGGTTTTTATAGAGCTTTGACATGTATTTTCTTTAAATAAAAAGAAGAGCTAATTATCTATTGAGAATAATATAATCTTGGTACAAAACTAGAACAAGGATGTACAAGGAAAACACATTATAGAACAATCTGAATTATGGGTCTTTGTCACAGAGAGACAGCACAGAGCAGTGGCCAGTGCATTGCTTCTGGAGCCAGGCATCCGGATTTGTATTCTGGTGCCACTAATCTTCTCTGTGACCTTAGGCAAAATGATTTGCCTTCAGTGTGCCTTAACTTCCTCATATATAAAGGGGGAAAATAACCTTCACAATAAGCCTTTTAGGATAAAATGAAATAATTCATGTAAAGTAACTTAACAATACCCAGAACCTAGAAAACCAAATAAATGTTAGCTATTAACTTTTATGAACATGGATTCCAAAATTTTAAATAATACCAAGTTGAATACAGCAATGTACACACACACAAACAATGCATCATGATGAATTAGGTTTCATTACAATAACGTAAGGGCAGAGTCAACATCAGATAATTCACTATTAGCAAGTTAGGTTTTTTTTTTGAGACAGGGTTTCACTGTTGCCCAGGCCTGAGTGGAGTGGTGGGATCTTGGCTCACTGCAACCTTCACCTCCCAGGCCCAAGCGATCTTCCCATCTCAGCCTTCCAAAGTGCTGGGATTACAGGCATGCAACACCATGCCTGGCCCTATCTTTCTTAATGTGTAGCAATTATCATAATTAATGGTAAAACTTTAGAAGCAATTTCCATCAAAGTTAGGACGTAAACAAGGGTGCTTTCTATCACTGTTTCTTTTGAACATGGCACTGGAGGTCCTAGGCAATGTGTTAGGTTAATACATATGAAATTGCCATTTTTTTAAGATTATGAGATGCCCAACATCAGAAATGTATGTGATTCAACCTATAATAGAAATGAAGGAAATAAAATTTTAAAATTGGAAAGAAAAAACTACCTGTATTTGCAGGCAGGTATGATTGTCTATGCAGAAAATCCAAAAGAATATACAGATAAATTGTTAAGACTAGTAAGAGTTAGCAAGGTTGAATTCAAGATCATCTTTAAAAAAGAAAAAACCTATTAGCATTCCTATACATCAGTAATAACAAATTAGAAAATGAAATAGAAAAAGAGATTCTAGGCCGGGCACGGTGGCTCACGCCTATAATCCCAGGCCTTTGGGAGGCTGAGGCGGGCGGATCACGATGTCAGGAGATCGAGACCATCCTGGCTAACACGGTGAAACCTCGTCTCTACTAAAAATACAAAAAAAAAAAAAAAAAAAATTAGCTGGGCATGGTGGCGGGTACCTGTAGTTCCAGCTACTTGGGAGGCTGAGGCAGGAGAATGGTGTGAACCCAGGAGGCAGAGCTTGCAGTGAGCGGAGATTGCACCACTGCACTCCAGCCTGGGTGACAGAGCGAGACTCTGTCTCAAAAAAAAAAAAGATTCTATTCACAATAGTAACAAAAACCTTAGAATATATCTAGCAAAATATACGTAAGGCCTTTCATGAAGAGTGTTGCTATGGTCTGAATCTGTCTTCCAAAACACATTTGTTAAAATTTAATTGCCAAGATAATATTAAGAGGTAGGGCCTTTAAGGAGTGATTAAGTCATAATGGCAAGTCCTCATAGATGACATTAGTGTCTTATAAAAGGGCTTGTGTGGGGGGTTTATCTGTTCCTTCTGCTGCATGAGAACATAGCATTTGTCCCCTCCAGAGGAGCCAGCATTCAAGGCACCATCTTGGAAGCAGATACCAGGCCCTCACTAGACACTGTACCTGCTGGTGCCTTGATCTTGGACTTCCCAACCTCCAGAACTGAGAAAATAAACTTCTGTTGTTTGTAAATTACCCAGTCTCTGGTATTTTGTTATAGCACTACAAAAGGCCTAAGACAAATACAAAAATACTCAGGAAGAGCTGACTAAATTGAAATATAGACCATATATATTATGAATGGGAGGACTCAATACTATAAACATATTACTTCTCACCAAATTAATCTATAAATTCAAGCAATTCTCAAACAAATCCCAATAGATTTTTTTGTGAACTTGACAGGCTGATTCTAAAATTCATGTAGTAATTGAGGGGCCAAGAACAGTGTGCAGACACCGCTGGTGCCCTCTCCATACCCCTTGGCATTGCCAACCACATATATGCCAGGGAGCTGATGCTTTTAAGAGCACCCTCAGTGTATTCATCATGCCTTTTCATTTCCTGAATTTCCTGATGTTTTGACAGCTGAGGCCTTGCTGATCCTGGAGAGACTGTTCCTCCCAGGGCTAGCCAATTCCCCGAGACAGTAAGGGACTCACCTGCAAATGCACCTTCCATACGCAAACCAGCCAATCCGAAGCCCACACCCCCAGCCACCTCCTTCATCAGACTGTTATACTGGGCCATTGTCCGTCTACCCTAGTCATCCCAGGGCCATGAACCAGACAACCAGGGACAGCCCTATGCTCTGGAGCCAAGTGAAATTATTTAAACTATTAATAGCTAATCCTGTGCCTGCTTACCCTGGCTTGACTTGCCTTTCTCTTGGATGCCACAAATAAAGCTCTTGCCCACATTTCCCCCCAGCTCCCTTTACTTATTGACCAACCCTGGTGCCTCCCCATGTATCCCTGCCTGGCATGCCATGTCTCTTGTTTCTAGGGACCTCTGAGTATAAAAAACTCTACTTCAGGACAGTCATTTCCATATCTGTGTGTCTTGCCATATCTAATGAAAATCTTGAGTGCATTTTAAAACAGCCATGAAGAAAGGGAGTTGGTGGATAAATACCACAGCTTCACCACCCCTCAGCTGGAATAACTGAAGGGCCCAGTGAGATTGAGCCCCAGTTACCTTTTGTGGCAACCTGCTCATTAATGTACCATCTATTGACTTTCTTCCCTTCCCTATCTCACTTCTCACCCTCTTACCTTGCTTCCTGGAATCATCTTCTAAAAAAATGCATGCACCCAAATCCTTGACTCAGGCTCTCCTTCAAGCAGAACCCAAATGAATATATTTTTAAAGAATAAGAATGACATAGGCCGGGCACGGTGGCTTACCCCTGTAATCCCAGCACTTTGGGAGGCTGGGGCGGGTGGATAATGAGGTCAAGAGATTGAAACTATCCTGGCCAACATGGTGAAACCCTTTCTCTACTAAAAATATAAAAAAATTAGCTGGGTATGGTGGCGCACACCTGTAGTCCCAGCTACTTGGGAGGCTGAGGCAGGAGAATCACTTGAACCTGGGAGGCAGAGATTGCAGTGAGCCAAGATTGTGCCACTGCACTCCAGCCTGGGCGACAGAGTGAGACCGTCTCAAAAAAAAAAAAAAAATGAATGACATAGAGGTCAGTGAGTAATGGAAGGTTTAAGATTTGTGTACATACGATAATGTCATAGGAATCAGGACAGTTAAATGTTGAGGGGGATGTACAAATTGACCACTGGAAGAGAACGGGAGCCCAGCAAAAGATCCATGACACACGGAAACTTGAAATAAGACAGAAGTTGCCTTGTAGATCATTGGGGAAAGGATGGATATTCTAAAAACGATGTTGGGACAATTGATTATCCATATGGGAAGTAAATACAACTAGATCCCTAGTTCACACCGTACCAAAAATAAAATCCAGGTTCATTAAAGATTTAGTTTGAAAAGCAAAACTTTGAAAGCATTTAGAAGCAAACATAGGAGGATATCATTATGACTGGGGTAGTGTCTTAGTGTGGGCTGCTCTAACAAAATGCCATAGAATGGGTGGCTTAAACAACACACGTTGATTTCTCCCAGTTCTAGAGGCTAGATGTCCAAGATCAGGGTGCCACCATGGTCGGCTCTTGGTGAGGGCCCACCTCCTGGTTCACAGAGGGCCATCTTTTTGTATCCTCACATGGCAGAGAGCAAGACAGACAGGAGGCAACTCTCCTGCATCTCTTCTTATGAAGGTGGTGATCCCATCACGAGAGCTCCACCCTCCTGACCTAATTACTTTCCAAAGGCCCCATCTCTTAACACCATTATATTGGAGGCCAGGATTTCAACATATAAATTTAGAGGGGACACAAATATTCAATCCATAACAAGTAGAAAGTAATTTCCTAAACAAAATACTGAAAGTGGCTGGGTGTGGTGGTTCATACCTGTAATACCAGCATTTTGGGAGGCTGAAGCAGGAGGATTGCTTGAGCCCAGGAGTTCCAGACCAGCCTGGGTGACATAACAAGACCCCATCTCCTCTCTCTATATAAAAAATTAGCTGGGTGTGCTGGTGTGTGTCTGTAGTCCTGTACTTAGGAGGCTGAGGCGGGAGGATCACTGGAGCCCAGGAGTTTGAGGCTGCAGTGAGTTGTGATTGAGCCACTGCACTCCTGCCTGGGCAACAAAGTGGGACTGTCTCAGGAGAAAAAAATATTAAAAGCATAAGCTCAAAAGAAAAATGGTAATAGATTTGACTTCACTAAAGTATTTAAACTTCTATTCAACCAAACATACCACAAATGAAGTTTAAAGAGAAACCGTAGATTAGAAGATATTTGCAATTCATATAATCAAAGGATACATATCTAGAATATTTAAGGAATTATATATATAAACATTTTATATATATAAACATTAATATTTTAAAAAGTCAACCAACCAAAAGAAAAGTGGGCAAACAATATGAACATGTAATTCATAGAAAAGAAAACTTGAATGACCTGCAAACATAGGAAGAGGTTTACCATGGATAGGAGTGAGGGGAATGGACACAGAAGTGATAATGAGATACTAGCATTCCTATACATCAATAACAACAGGTTAGAAAATGTATTAGAAAGAGATTCAGCCGGGTGCAGTGGCTCACGCCTGTAATCCCAGCACTTTGGGAGGCCAAGGCGGGCAGATCACAAGGTCAGGAGATCGAGACCATCCTGGCTAACATGGTGAAACCCCGTCTCTACTAAAAATCCAAAAAAAAAAAAAAAAAAAATTAGCCGGGCGTGGTGGCAGGCACCTGTAGTCCCAGCTACTTGGGAGGCTGAGGCAGGAGAATGGCATGAATCCAGGAGGCGGAGCTTGCACTGAGCCGACATCACACCACTGCACTCCAGCCTGGGCAACAGAGCGAGAGACTCCATCTCAAAAAAAAAAAAAAAAAAAAAAAAGAGATTCTATTCACAATGGCAACAAAAACCTTACGATAAATCTAGCAAAATATACATAAGGCCTTTCATGAAGAGTATTGCTATGGTCTGAATGTGTCTCCCAAAATTCAAATTAATTGCCAAGATGATAGTATGAAGAGGTAGGGCCTTTAAGAAATGATTAAGTCATAAGGGCGAGCCCTCGTGGATGAGATTAGTGCTTTATAAAAGGGCGTGGGGGTGGTAGGGCCGGGCGAGGTGGCTCATGCCTGTAATCCCAGCACTTTGGAAGGCCTAGGCGGGTGGATCACGAGGTCAGGAGATCAAGACCATCCTGGCTAACGCAGTGAAACCCTGTCTCTACTAAAAATACAAAAAATTAGCTGGGTGTGGTGGCAGGCACCTGTAGTCCCAGCTACTCAGGAGGCTGAGGCAGGAGAATGGCATGAACCTGAGAGACGGAGCTTGCAGTGAGCCGAGATCACACCACTGCACTCCAGCCTGGGCGACAGAGCGAGACTTGCCTCAAAAAAAAAAAAAAAAAGGAAAAAGAAAAGGCATGGGGGTGAATCTGTTCCTTCTGCTGCATAAGAATATATTCTTATTGTTGGCTGGGCACAGTGGCTCACACCTGTAATCCCAGCACTTTGGGAGGCCGAGGCGGATGGATCACAAGGTCAAGAGTTCGAGACCAGCCTGGCCAACATGGTGAAACCCTGTATCTACTAAAAATACAAAAATTAGCCAGGTGTGGTGGCAGATGCCTGTAATCCCAGCTACTCAGGAGGCTGAGGCACAGAATTGCTTGAACCCGGGAGGCGGAAGTTGCAGTGAGCCAAGATCGGCGCCACTGCACTCCAGCCTGGGCGACAGAGTGAGACTCTGTCTCAAAAAAAAAAAAAAAAAAAAAGTAGATATCTTATTGTTATTTTGAGACAGGGTCTCACTCTGTTGCCCAGGTTGGAATACAGTGGCACAATCACTGCTCACTGCTGCATCAACCTCCTAGGCTCAAGTGATCCTCCCACCTCAGCCTCCCAAGTAGCTGAGACCACAACCATGCCACCACACCTGGCTAATTTTTGGGATTTTTTGTAGAGACCGGGTCCCACTATGTTGCCCAGGCTGGTCTCAAACTCGTGGGCTCAAGCAGTCCTCCTGCCTTGGCTTCCCAAAGTACTGGGATTACAAGTGTGAGCCACCGCTCCCGGCAGTTCATATTATTTTGAAAGCCCTATAACAGCAAGTGCTAGTAAAGATGTGGAACAGCAGGAGCACTCGCCAACTGCTGCTGGGGATGTAAACTGGGGCTGCCAGTTTGGAGAGAAATTGATAATGTATTGTAAAGTCAAAGATGCTTCCGTCCAATGCCTAGCCCTTCCATTTCTCGGTGTGTACCCCAGAGACACTCATTTATATGATAATGCTCATAGTCACCCTTGTGTAGTGAGAATTGGAAACCACTTAGATGTCCATCAACAAGAACACGGAGGAATGAACTGTGGGATACTCACATAATACAATATGATCTGGAGCTGGGGCCAGCAAACTACCGCCCATCTGCCAAATCTGGAGCTAAGAAGAATGGTTTTTATAACATTAAAGCACTATAAAAAACAAAACAAAATAAAACAATGCAAAGCAAAGACTGCAACAGAGACCATATGTTGCCTGCAAAGCCTAAAATATCTGCTATATGGCTTTTTACACAAAAAGTTTGCTGACCCTTGATCTAAAGTCACAATTATTAACAAAAATCTTTAAAAAATGTTAAGCAAAAAAGTTTTGAATATGTACAAATCACATATAACATACGTGGACATATACATATTAGCTAACATTTAAAAACATGTTTAAAGATACCCACGTAAGTAGCAGAAGAATAAAATTGCACGAGTGATAAACTCTAAATTCAGAGAAGTGGTTACCTCTGGGGATGGGAAGAAAAATAATCATGGGGGGAGGTTCTGGGGGTTTTGTTTCATAAATAAATTTGCTTTAGTTCATAAAATGAAAAAAGAAGGTCTGAAGCAAATATGACTACATATGAGTATGTTTGAACAACTCCGGATAATGGTTCCCAGGTGTTTGTTATGTGGGTTCCTATAGATTTATGTATGTTTGAAATATTTTATCAATTTTGTTTTTTTTAAAGGAGTGCCTTTTCATGAGTGTGCCCAGGAGGAGGATGGCTGTGGACATGGGCAGGCGCCCTCCCTGCTGTGCACCCGGTCCCTTGTCTGGCCTAGCCAGGCCCCAGCTGCAGGCTGAGCAATTGTCCATAGGCCAGAGAGACTGACATCCTGGCCTGGGGTTCTGCCCGTGACTGTCGTGTGCCCTTCTTACAGTTGCTTTGGCAGTGGGTGAGCCTAGTTGGCTCCACTAGCTGAGGCCCAGGCTGCAGTGGTGCTGGCCAGAGAGGATGGAGTTAGCAGCCTGGGACCTGCCACAAATGACAGCAGGAGTCAGAGCCCAACTTCCCCATCTGTGGAGTGAGATGATAGATCTCATGGTGTCCAAGGATTCATCCAGCTCTGTTTTCCTGGGCCCAGGGTTTGTCCTAAGACCTGTAGCTGATGCCTTGGGCTCCAGACTCTCTAATTAAGGAAGTAAGAGCCAAGCAGAAGTTGGTCTTCACATTCCTGGCTTTTCACCCCCAACCTGAACTGCCTTTCTCTGGCTTCCCCATCAGTGCTGGTGCCCCTTGAGGAGAAGCCTTACAGAGGAAGAGTTGGCCAAAAGGGGCATTTATGTGTGATTTGGAAGGCAGAAGGAAAGAGGCAGCCATTGCTGTCTGAAGGTGGCCGTGGCCGCAAGTGGTGTCACTGGCCAGGTCTAGGTCCATTCTGCCGGTGTACAGCAAGTCAATCACTGTGACACAGGTCCTGATTTATGCACAAGGCCACCAAACGAGGAGGGGGAAGAACAGCTCTCAAATCCACCTCTGCAGAGATAAGGCTTAGGGTTGCTTATGGGCTAGGGAAGTGTGATGGTCTAAGATGTGGGGAGAGGTGATTGGCAGCGGGGAAAAATGAAGTCATAGGTTTGTTTCGTGCAAGTGTAGTCGGGCTTTGTGAGATTTCATAGGGCGTAAGTGCAGAAAATGATGGCATTAGCATGATCTGAAGGTGGAGTATTTGGCCCTCTGACATCAAAATGGACCTTTTCTCGGGCATTGGCACAGGTCCAGTTGAAGGGTCAGTGATCTCAACCAGTTTGAACTGGACAGGAGCTGGCCCAAGTTCCTGAAAAACAGCTGAAGCAACCATGACCATGGCAACCTATGACTCTGATCTATAAAGCAGCCAGTGATCTATAAAGCAGCCAGTGAAGGTTGAGGTTCAGCCTTCAGTGGACTAAGGCCTCAGGGTTCATGGATAAAACAAAAACAAAACAAAAAGCAAGCGGCCAAAAGCAAGCAGGGTGGCAGGCAGACCTGATCAAATTCACCCCTTGGTTTCAGCAGTGACAGATGTAGTGGTGCTGGCAAATGCCAGCTTGTCCTCACTCTGCCCTGAGTCCAGCTCTTCTCCCCGACTGCTGACCATATGACCTGCACTGACCCTAAGTCTACCATAGGCATTTTGTGCAGATCCACAGATGTGGGAGCTCTGCAAGGCACAGCTGCCCAGAGACCTCTCCAGGGCCTTGCCCTTGGTGGTCCCACCAGAAGCTGGACATGTTTCAGCTTCTCAGATTGACCGAGAAGTGGACCCCTTCTCTGACTCTCCAGCTCCCTCCCCACACCTCTACTTCCCAGCCCCTCCACAATCATGTAAGGTCTAATTGTGCAATAAATCCCTTAGCCCATAACTCACATGGTTCTGTTTCTTCCCTGACTGAATCCTGACACTTCCATCAAGGAGGGTGTAAGCGGCAAGTGCTCTCTGAGCCCTGGGAACACAAGTGAACCAGGATGCCCCCACCCTGGGTAGCCTTCCTTTCTTTAGCAGCTCCAGAAGAAGGCCTGCTTCCTTCAGCCCCTTAGCAGAACTTTTCTTGAAAAGGGTTGCATCTGCCCCACACGAGCCCAAAAGGGCTGCAGGGACAGGGCAGGGTCTTGGATCCTCATCTCTTAGGACAGGTGGTGAGGAAGCCACAATATACCTGGTAGCTACTTGGTGCTAGATACTTCATCATTTTGTCCTCACAAGAAGCTACTGCCCCATCTTCCAGTGAGAAAGCTGACAGGGAAGGAGTTTGGTGAAGCTGGAGTTTGAACCTGTGATTACCAAGCAGCAAAATCCACAGGTCCTTCACTTGTAACTTGCCCACAGCTGCAGCAGGAGGTGGAGCAGTAATTCCTGCCTGTATCTGGCCTCTGCTGGGTCATGGGGCCATAGTCTCCCAGGCCCTGCTGCTCTCTGCTCTTCCCCTTTCCACCTGTGTGCCTCAGTGTGCCTCAAGGCTGAACCTCAACCTTCGCTGGCTGCTTTATAGATCACTGGCTGCTTTATAGATCAGAGTCATAGGTTGCCATGTCTGAGGCACACAGCAGCTGAGGCCACAGAGCCAGTAGCATTGGTGGCTCTGCCAGTGGGGCCTGAGGACATGGGTCAGGGCTGACTCAGACATGAGGCCTTGTGGAGTGCAGCCACTCAGCCTGAAGGGCTTGAGACAAGGAACAGCTGGTTCCCACCCCTCTGGCCAGCACCATCTGAGGCCTCATCATCTGGGCTGGTGGTATCTCAGTGCCTGCTGCTGGCCTGATACCTTGCTCAGTCTCAGAGAATCCTCTCTTCATGCAGCAGATTGGAGTGAGTTTCCTCCACGGCACTTCCGGCCTGGTGACTCCACGACTTTCCATCTATAGATGGTAATGAAGGTAGTGAGCTCAACAGACAAGGGTACCCATTTTGGTTCTGCCATTTTGGAGCTCCATAACCCTGGACTAGCTACTTTCTCCTTTTCCTCATCTATAACGGCTGTCCTGATGCTTCAACAAGGTAATGTGGGTAGAGCATGTCGCAGTGATTTGGCACTCAATAAATGCTCAGAAATGATGGCGGCACTAGGGGTGGTGGTGGAATGGGAGAAATTATAAAAACTTATGGTTGGATTGACTTGGCCTCAAATCTGTTTGGCCACTTAGCAGCTGTGGTGGGCAAGTTATCTCACATTTTTGAGGCTTGCTTTTTCCATCTATAAAAAGAGGGTGATAGTTGTCACCCCGCTCATAGGGTTGGTCTGAGGCTTAAATGGGATAATGAAAGCCTCAGCAGATAGCACACCACCCCTTCCTTCTCTTTTCTCCTATCTCCTTTATAACAGATGGGAATTCAGTAGGTGCTTAATAGTGGCATGATCCTTTGACAATGTAATCCTGACTGTTGCTTCCTCAATCAGTCATAACTAATGATGTGTACTTCCATCTGAAAGTTCTGAGGGAGGCAGGACATTAAGCTGTTTCAAATTCTGGCTTTAAGTCTAAAGGGTTCACTCTACCTTGTCCTGAATCATCTCCTCCCTCCTTCCTGCTAATCAGAAGCATCTGGGCTTTCAGGACTTATCTTGGAAAAGCCGGCCCTGATTCCTCTCAATCTTTATGGACCTCCTCATTGAAGGACCTCCTTACTCCATATTTGATTCTCCATAGCTTGCCTCACCTGGCTCCCCAGCTGTCCACTGACAGCCAGGCAAAGGCTGGCAGTGCTGGCGGAAAACCTGCTGGGTGTTTTTCTTCCCTTTTGTGACTGTGACCACTGCAGAGATATTCAAACCTCCTAGCTGCAAGAATGCAGTTAGCTGCCTGCCTCCAGTGGCTAGCATCTTCAGGCTTTACCTCAGCTTTTGAGGTAGAGGCCACACTTTTCCTGGCAAGCCCCCAAACCAACTACTGAGCACAGCGAGAGTCCTAGGGCCTGCCATTTTTGCTCAACTCAAACTCCAAGTCCTCCTGTTGCGGGGGCTGAAACTTTGTTAGATCTGGCATGGCAATCTGAAGTCTTCCCCTGCCCAATCCAGCTACCTCCTCCTCTTATCATTTACAGTAATTACTGGTCCCCACTGAACCCTCTCCCATTCTTAACTACATCTCAGCATCTGCTGTCCAGAGCACTTACCATCTCCAGCACCATGGAAGGGATGGGTTGCAATGGGCTCCAGGATGAAAGGCTGTGCAGAGGAAGCTCAATGGCTTCAAGGACTCCAGACCCTCAGGGGCTAAAAAGGGACCTGAGAACCTGTCTCTTCCAATTCCCCCTTTCACTTGTTCACATAGCATAAAGACCCAGATCTGTGCCAGGCCATGTGCTTCAGGGATGGATGAAGCCAGGATCCCTCCTCTGGATGAACTTACCAGGGAGAGAAGAAGCCTAATGCTCTGTACCAGGGTTTTGGCACGTTGCTGGGAAAGCCTAATACTCAAAGAGAATTGAGGTAACATTGCTGGGTGCTCCACGTAAGGGCAGATGTTGATTTTTAAGTCTGCCCTGATGGGGTCTGATTTCCTTCTGTTTCCTTTGTTGGAAGTATTTTCAATGGAGACACCTTAAACAATAACAATGACCGCAAAGAACATGCATTCAGTGCTTTCCCATCTGCTGAGCACTATGCTAAGTGTATCAGGTAAAGCCTGGATTAGGAGAGACTGCAGAGGTGAGTCACAGCATCATGTGTCCTGGGCTTGCAATCTGCAGCTTCCTAGCTGTGTAACCCTGGGCAAACTCTTTAACCTCTCTGTGCCTCATGTTTTTCATCTGTTAAGTAGGGAGATCAAGAGTATCTTCCGTGTACGTGCTGTGAAAAATAGGCAATGTGAAATCCAGACAGGCAGATTCCGGAGTCCAGATCATCCCTATACTGTCTGTAACTACAGCACTCATCTAAGGTCTGGTGAAAGAGCTTTTTTAAAAAAACTTTTAATTGAGATATATGTATAGAATAGTTCACAAATAAATGTTCAGCTAAATGAATTTTCACAAACTGAACACACCTGTGTAACCAGCATCCAGCTCAAGACACAGACATTACCAGCACCCTAAAAGACCCCCTGTACTTCCTCCAGGTCCCCACCCTCCCAAATGGAGCCACTGTTCTAATTTCTAAATGGTATAGATTTATTTCACCTGGTTTTAAGAGTTTCCCCCCACCCCAACTTTATGGACGGATAACTGGAGTACAATCAACTGCACATTTTAAAAATGTACAACTTGATTAGTGTTGTTTGTGTTCACTCATGAAGCCAAAATTCAGACAGCAAACATTTCCATAATCCCCCAAAGTTTTCTCATGCCCCTTTGTCATCCACCGCTCCCTCCAATCCTGTCCCAGGCTGATCTGCTTTCTGTCTCTATAGATTAGTTTGCACTTTCTAGAATTTTGTATGAACACAATTATACAGTACATAATTTTTTTTTTTTGAGAGTGAGACTTGCTCTGTCACCTAGACTGGAGTGCAGTGGCGTGATCATGGCTCACTGCAGCCTCAACCCCCAGGCTCAAGCGATCCTCCCCCACCTCCCAGCCTCCCTATCCTAGCAGCTGGGACTACAGCTGCACACCACCACACCTGGCTAATTTTGTGTATATATACGTTACATATCTATATATATCTATATATCTATATCTATATATATCTATATCTATATATATCTATATATCTATATCTATATATATCTCACATATAATTACATATGTATATAAAATAGAAAAAATTAGCCGGATGAGGTGGTACTTACCTATTGGTCCCAGCCACTTGGGAGGCTGAGGTAGGAGGATCGCTTGATCCAGGGGAGGTCAAGGCTGCAGTGAGCCACGATGGTGCTACCACACTCCAGCTCGAGCAACAGAGCGAGACCCTGTTTCAAAAACAAAACAAAAATTGTTTTAGTTACTCTAGGTCCTGTCCATTTTCATATGCATTTTAAAACCAACTTTTCAAATTCTGAAAAAAAGAAACACAACAATGTCTGCTGAAAATTTTGGTTGGAATTACATTGAGTATATAGACAAACTGGGAAAGAATTATCATATTGGGCAATTTTGTGTCTCCCAATACAAAACATGGCATATCTCTCCATTTATTTAGTTCCTCTTCAATTTCACAGTGTTCTATAGTGTTCAGTGTAGAGGTTTGATAGATTTATTTTTAGGTATTTTATAAAATTTTTGGTGCCACTCTAAATGAGATTTTCAAAATTTCACTTTCAAATTGTTTGCTCCGACATACAGTTAGAAGGAATAAATTCAAGACTGGGTGTGATAACTCACACCTGTAATCCCAGCACTTTGGGAGGCCAAGGCAGCCGGATCACTTGAGGTCAGGAGTTTGAGACCAGCCTGGCCAACATGGTGAAACCCCATCTCTACTAAAAATACAAAATTATCTGGGCATGGTGGCACGTACCTGTAGTCCCAGCTACTTGGGAGGCTGAGGCAGGAGAATTGCTTGAACCCGGGAGGTGGAGGTTGCAGTGAGCTGAGACTGCACCACTGCACTCCAGCCTGGGCAAGAGAGTAAGTCTCTGTCTCAAAAAAAAAAAAAAAAAAGGAATAAATTCAATGATTGATAGCATAGTAGGGTGACTAGGGTTAAACAAAAATGTTCTACACTCATGAGATGGACAGCCTAAATACTGACTTGATCACTATGCATTATATACACGTAACAAAATTTCACACATGCCCCATAAATTTGTGCAAGTAAGTAAATAAAAATCACTTGTAGAATAAAGTAACACAAAGCAAAAAAAAAAATTTGCTGCTAAAAACTTTTATGATGAACTCTCCTTCGTTTCACAACAGGGATGTTGGGAGCACCCAGATATACAGGGAATTCCTGCAGCACTCATTGGCAAACGCTGTAGAAGATAAGATGTCAAAAAGCTGAAAGAAGAGCAGAATGACTAATAAGACTCCAGAGACGGGCATAAAAACCTCCCTTCTTCTGATTCCCTTAATTATACCTCTCACTTTCCAACACGGGGTTTGGGTTGCTCTGGTGGTGAGAGTTGGGGCAGATCCTGCAGTGGGAAAAGATCGAAGGCCCTGGGCCCTCTTATTCTACATTCTCTCCCTAGCACACCTGCATGCATAGCTTACAATATCTTCTGTACATTGGAGACCAGGCATCTGCCCTAAGTTCCAGGCATGTATCTCTCATAAGCCCTTAAACTCAGCTTCTCTAGAATGAAACTCACAATCTTCCCTCCAATTGTTTTTCTTTTCTTCTTTTTTTTTTTTGGAGACAGTTTCTGTCACCCAGGCTGGAGTGCAGTGGTACAACCCTGGCTCACTGTAACCTCTGCCTCCTAGGTTCAAGTGCTTCTCCTGCCTCAGCCTCCTGAGTAGCTGGGGTTACAGGCACATGCCCCCACGACTGGCTAATTTTTGTATTTTTAGTGGAGACCATGTTGGCCAGGCTGGTCTCAAAGTCCTGACTTCAAGTGATCTGCTCACCTTGGCCTCCCAAAGTGCTGGGATTACAGGCATGAGCCACTGCGGCCAGCCTCAAACCTGTTTCTTACCCAATGTTTCCTTTACTGTAAATGGCAACCTCCTCCACCAGCTGCACAACACCTAATAGGAATAGTAGTGAATATCCAGTAAATATTTGTTGTATGGATGAGTGAATGAAGATTGGTAGCATAGAAAGTGAATTTACTCTATATAAGTTTTGAAGAAAGTTAACTCCTTTGAGCTGGCTTGGGATGTCTCATGCCTGTTCCCATAATGCTAGAGGCATATTTATTTATTTATTTATTTATGAGACGGAGTCTCACTCTGTCACCCAGGCTGGAGTGCAGTGGCACGATCTCGGCTCACTGCAAGCTCAGCCTCCCGGGTTCACGCCATTCTCCTGCCTCAGCCTCCCAAGTAGCTGGGACTACAGGCACTCCCCACCACGCCCGGCAATTTTTTGTATTTTTAGTAGAGACAGGGTTTCACTGTGTTAGCCAGGATAGTCTTGATCTCCTGCCCTCATGATCTGCCCGCCTCGGCCTCCCAAAGTGCTGGAATTACAGGCCTGAGCCACCGCGCCTGGCTGAGGCATCATAATTTAAATAAAGTTCCATCAGACTCTGTATCAGAGCAGGTCCTTTCTCCTGTGTTGCTCTGGGACCTCACTGAGACCACAGCTACAAGCAGGGAAGAGGGTGGGGCACTTTTGATTCTGGGGACACATATATCATTATTCCTCACAATGACTGTCTCTTGTTTCTCTTTTTTTTTTTTTTTTTTTTTTGAGAAGGAGTCTCACTGTTGCCCAGGCTGGAGTACAGTGGCATGATCTCAGCTCACTGCAATCTCTGCCTCCTGGGTTCAAGATATTTTCCTGTCTCAGCCTCCCGAGTAGCTGAGATTACAGGTGCCTGCCACCATGCCTGGCTAATTTTTGTATTTTTAGTAGAGATGGGGTTTCACCATGTTGGCCAGGCTGGTCTTGAACTCCTGACCTCAGGTGATCCACTCACCTTGGCCTTCCCAAGTGCTGGGATTACAGGTGTGAGCCACCACGCCTAGCCTCTTGTTTATTTCTATATCACCTGGGCCTTGGCTCAGTCCTAGAACGCAGAGATAATAAATGTTTGAATGAATGAATGAATGAAATAACTCCATTGTCTAAGTACTATTTGTCCCTTTTTATAGATAAGAAATCTGGGGCTCAGAGACTGCCCTCCCTAGGAAGCAGCAACAACCGGGGGACAAACCCAGTCCTCTTGGTCCCCAGATCAGTGATTCCTCTACTGCATCAAGAAAGTTGTAATTACTTGCCCTTGGTGTCTTGGAAAAAAAGAAAAAAGAAAGTTGTAATAACTAAGTACAGATTTCATTTCATCTTCTTTCCAACTAATAGTTCTTAAGTGCTTCCTGCATACCAGGATGAAGCTATCAATGTCCTCTTGAAAGCACAGCTACAAGATTTTGAAGAGGGGGAAAAAAAAGCCTTTCTGCTAGGCCCTGACCTGAACCAATTCTTGGTTATCTAAAGCAGTGGCCTCCAAATAAAAATTCCCAAGACCCTCCCCCAGAAATTCTAATTCATGCATCTGAAGGAGAGGAGATGCCTGAAAACCTCTGTTATAAACACTGCTCTGGGCTGATGTGGTATATAGGCCAGCTGCTGCACACAGTTCAGCAGGAAGGCAGCAGAAAGGAGGGTGAAGAGTAAGCATCTTTATTACTTTATTCACATACATTAACTGAGCATGTACTATGTCCCAGTCACTGTTCTAAGTCCTAGGGATACAGTAGTGGACAAAACAAAATCCTTATTCTCCCTCATTCTATGGGTGGTGGGGGTGTAAGATGGGGAGACAATGACCAAGTAAAGAAATAGGGCCAGGTGAGGGTGGCTCATGCCTGGAGTCCCAGCACTTTGGGAGCCTGAAGCAGGTGGGTCATTTCAGCCCAGGAGTTTGAGACCAGCCTGGGCAACATGGTTAAACCCCATCTCTTCCAAAACAAACAAACAAACGCTAGCTGGGTATGATGGTTCATGCCTGTAGTCCCAGCTACTCAGGAGGCTGAGGTGGGAGGATCACTTGAGACTGGGAGGCAGAGGTGAGCTGAGGTCACGCCACTGCACTCCAGCCTGGGCAACAGAGAAAGACCGTGTCTCAAAAAGAAAGAAAGAAAAAGAAACATACAGGATAACTGCTGCTTGTGGTGGTGAAGGCTCTAGAGAAAACAAAACAGAGTGATGTGCTGCAGGGTGACAGAGAAGGGGTACCCTAGCTCTCTGAGGAGGTGACATTTGAGACCTGAATGACCAGAAGGAACCAACCCTACTCTGGGAGAAGAATATTATAGGCAGACAGAGTAGGAGATGGCAAAGTCACAGAGGGACAGTCTTGGCATGTGAGGCTGATGTTGTGTGAACAAGGAGAACAGCCTAAAATATGGTTAGACAGAGATAGTGAGGCAGGAATCATCATTTAAGGTCTTCAAATTAGGAAAAGGGTTTAGTTTCTTCTGGAGAGTTTTAAGCAGGGAGTGATGTGACATGATTGCTTTAATTGGCTTGTTTTAGCTGCTGGATGAAGACAAGAGTCTAGGGGTTCAATGTGGGAGCAGGGAACCAGTGAGGAGGCTCACAGGAGTCCAAGCTAGAGATGATGATGGGTGCGGTGGCTCATGCCTGTAATCCCAGCAGTTTGGGAGGGTGAGGCAGGTGGATCACTTGAGGCCAGGAGTTCAAGACCAGCCTGGCCAACATGGTGAAACCCCTTCTCTACTAATAATACAAAAATTAGCCAGGCGTGTTGGTGTGCACCTGTAATCCCAGCTACTCAGGAGGCTAAGGCAGAAAAATTGCTTGAACCTGGAAGGCAGAAGCTGTAGTGAGTCGAGATCACGCCACTGCACTCCAGCCTGAGCAACAGAGCAAGACTCCGTCTTAAAAAAAAAAAAAAAGTGAATATAAATATGACTACAAAACTGCCTGTGAGCTGCTACTCTGGGCACACTGCCTATGGGGTAGCCCTGTCCCACAAGGAGCAGTCCCTCTGCTGTTGCAGTACACTGCAGCTTCAATAAAAGTTGCTAACAGCACTGGCTCACCCTTAAATTGTTTCCTGGGAGAAGCCAAAAACCCTCCTGGGCTAAGCCCCGATTCTGGGGCTCACCTGCCCTGCATCAATATTCTCCTTTCTAGTAAAAACCTACTATGACGTGGCACTCTTCTGGACATTTGATAAACTTACCTCTGCTTTCCCATCAGGTCTGTGAGGTGGTGTAGTTCTTGCCATTTGACAGGTAAGTCGGCAGAGGCTCATAGAGGGCCCCACGTCACAGTCCCTGTAAGGGTCAGTGCGACGACTGGAACCCAAGTGTGTGTCACACTGACCTCATGCTTGTCCATCACTCCACACAGCCTTCGATGCAGGAAATAGGCTGGTTTCTGATGCACCTGGTGTCTGAGAGAAGCTTTGGTTCTTTCACTTTTCAGCTTTGCCCTGGCCTGGGCCCAGGCCCTACTCCCGAGGTCAGGCTTGTCCCAAGAGAGGCGGGGCTAGGGTGGGTAATTATCTCAGCGGTTGCTGTGAGCTCCATCCAGCTCAGGTGAGTCTTGGGATCCTGGCTTCTCAAACTTTCACGTGCACACAATTGCCTGGGGATTTGATTGAAACGCAGTTTCTGACTCAGCAGGACAAGGGTGGGGTCCACATTTCTTTCTTTCCTCTCTTTCTCTCTTCTTCCAAAATCTTTTTAATAAGAGGGTAGGCGCCAGGGTTAGTTTTTGTAGTCTCGGCTGGCCCTTTGACCTCTGGCGCGCTTGAACTTCCGGCCCTTGGAGCGGACGTAGGCTTTGGTGTGGCTGTGCGGCGTTCCTGGGGCCTTGCCGAAATGCCGGTACACCTCTTGGCCCTTGAGAGAACCAAAGAGCGGAATGGTGCTGCTGCCCTTGGGGGAGTCCAGGGCCAGCTGGTCAAAAGTGAGGATCTTGCCCCCTGCCCCGCCCTGAGGATGCGGCGGCAGCCCGGCTGGTCACACACAGTGCACACACCTTCAGGTTGAGAACCTCCTGAACCCGCACATCATCCATTATGGTCCCCAAGACCACGGCCATTTTGTTTTCCCGGCCAGGAAGCTTCATCTTCCGGATCATCTGAGCAACAGAGTGACCGGTTGGTGCGACTCATAAACAGCCTCTTCAGTACAACCTGGTTGAATATGGAGTTGATTTGTCTGGCCAGAAAGCTGTACAGCTTGACCAACAGCCTCAGGTAGATATCCCGGCTCTTGGGCTCCTTGCGCGGAACGTTTTTTGGTCCTTGTTGGGGCGGATGTCAACTCCCATGATGGCGCCTCCTGCTCGGCCAGTTCCGGAAAGCCAGGTTTCTAATTTCTAACAAGCCCCGGGTGATGTTGTTACCAAGGTCCACCTGCCACAGTTTATAGAGGGCCGTGGAGGTGGGAGTGGGGTGGGGTAGGCAGAGGAGAGAAACAGGAGGTTGCAGTTGGGACAGCTGTGCTCATCCTCACTTGTAACTGACTCTCGTAAATTGTCATTTAACTTCTCAACACCCACCCTCCTCCCTCATCAATATGATAAAGAAAGAACATCAGAACATCTGTGTTCTTGGTCTCCCAGGAAAGCCCACCCAGTCAGGACCCCAGGATGTGGCAGGCAAGTCCCTCCCTCCCCCTGAAGCCCCAGTGACTCCAGCTCTAGGTGCTTATGCTGGGGTGGGGGCAGGACACTGTGAATCTGCAGCTGCTCCCCACATTGTTGAGGGGAGCGCATAGTATGTGGGGAGAGGTGAGGAGAGGACTTTCCTCTTCCTAGAACTTCTGGTCTGGTCCCCAGGGCACAGGTGTTAATGAAGAAGGAGGAATGGCCTCTTCCTAATGGGCCTTTCAAGGCCTGCCAGAGCCAGCAGGGTGGGCAGGGGACAGGGAGGAACTTGTGCTTCCCGGCAGGGACAGGAACCCGCTGGATGCACCGCTTTGACCTTGGCTCATTGTAAACATGCTCTAATGTGGGGCGTTGAAGCCAAGAGATGGGACAATTATCATTGCAAGGGAAGTTATCTTAAAGTTAATTTATAAATTCCAGTCAAGGTCCTAAAGGAATTGTTAGAAGGGAGGGTGGTAGTGAACTTGGTAAATTCACTTTAAAATCACTGGTAAATGGAGAGAAAAATCAAGTAAATACTGAAAGAAAAAAAGAATGTAGGGGGCTATAACAGTTATAAAAGATATACCAATGTCATGTAGTAGAAAGCCCAGAAGTCCCACGTATACTTTAAATATTTAGCAAATGACACATTTGGCATTTCAAAATGGAGAGGAAATAAATATGGCTGAAAAAATTAAGGATTTGATCTTTCTTCAAACCGCATGCTAACATAAATTCCAAATGGGACAAATAGTTAAATATAAACAAGGAAAATAGAATGAAATAGAAGAAAACATTTATATAATGTCAACGTGAGGGAGGCCATCCTAAGTTTAACATGGAAATAGAAACCATAAAGGAAAGATTGGAAACGTGACTGCAAAAAGATTTATGATATAAAAATGTCATAAAATTAATAAGCAAATAAATCAGGAGAATTTAATGTATGTCAGACAGGGAGTTAATATCGGTACAAATCAATAGGAAAAAGACATATTCCCAATAGGAATGGGCACAGGGCATGAATATGTAGTTTAAAAATAAGTAGATATGGCTGGGCGTGGTGGCTCATGCCTGTAATCCCAGCACTTTGGGGGGCTGAGGTGGGCAGACCACCTGAGGTCAGGAGTTCAAGGCCAGCCTGGCCAACATGGTGAAACCCCATCTCTACTAAAAATAGAAAACTTAGCCAGGCATGGTGGCAGGCACCTGTAGTCCCAGCTACTCAGGAGGCTGAGGCAGGACAATCTCTTGAACCTGGGAGGCGGAGGTTGCAGTGAGCCGAGATCACGCCACTGCACTCCAGCCTGGGTGACAGAGCAAGACTCTATCTCAAAAAATAAAAAAGTAGAAATGACCAGTAAATATATGAAACAACTGTAACCATGAGAACAATAAAAGAAATGTGGCCAAACGCAGTGACTCACGCCTGTAATCCCAGCACTTTGGGAGGCCGAGGTATGAGGATTGCTTGGAGCTAGCAGTCCAGCACCAGCCTGGGCGGCAAAGTGAAACCCCATACCTACAAAAAAAAAAAAAAAAATTTTTTTTTTTTTGAGACAGTTTCACTCTGTCACCCAGGCTAGAGTGCAGTGCCGCGATCATGGCTCACTGAAACCTCTGCCTCCCAGGCTCAAGCGATCCTTCTGCCTCAGCCTCCCAGGTAGCTGGGACTACAGGTGCACATCACCACAACCAGCTAATTTTTGTATTTTGTGTATTCACCATGTGGTTCGTGCTGGTCTTAAAGTTCTGGACTTAAGCTGCCTGCCTCAGCCTTTCAAAGGGTTTGGATTACAGGCATGAGCCACTGCAACAACAACAACAAAAAACTCTCAAGTTTTTTTTATTTTTTTTAATTAGCTGGGCATGGTGATGCACACCTGTAGTTCCAGCTACTCCAGAGACTGAGGCAGAAAGATTGCCTGAATCCAGGCTTCAGTGAGCTATGATTGAGACACTGCATTCCTGCCTGGGTGACCAAGCGAGACCCTGTCTTAAAAAGGGAGGAGGAAGAGGAGGAGAGGACTAAAACCACAAGACACCTCTTTTTCCTGCTGAATTGGCAGAGATAAAAAAGATATAATGACAGCTGGACAGGGAAGAGTTTGAGTAAACAGACACTTATCCACTGCTGGGGCTGTAAACTGGAACAACTGTTCTGTAGGGCCAAAGCCCTAAAAATGCCCCATCTGTTTGTACCAGAACTTTTATTTCTAGAAATAGATCCTGAAGAAATAATCAGATGTGCAAAATGAATGCATCAATATGCATCACAGTCGCACTCACACATGGAATATTGAAACTGCCTAAATGTGCACCCATGAATCCAAACAACTTTCTTCTTGCTCACCCATCAGTCACCCAAGTCCTTCAGTCAAGTTTTAAAAACCAAAGCACCTGTGATTTAGCCTAAGGAGCTTTGCCCCCTTGTGCTGCACAGGGCAGGGCCAGATTGAGCTCTTTGCAGTGGAGCAGAAAGTCCCATCCAGCACTAGAGAAGTGAGTAGCTACTGAGGATTTAACTTGTGCTTTGTTTCTTGGTGTCCAGAAGGAATAGAAAGCATTTTCTGTCTCCCTAGGGACCTGTTTTTGTCTCTAAAACCTGGCTTCTTACCACTCTTGGGCCCTCAAAGCCTGACATGGTTGGATCCACCCCTCACCTCCTCCCCTGCTCACCACCTAGGAAGCCTCTTCTTAGCTCCAGCCACGCAGGTCTTCTTTCAGCTCTTCAAACTCATCATGCCCTCTCTGGCCACACAGTCTTTGCACATGCTGTTCCCTTTGCCCAGAACTTCTCCCATTCTCTCCTGCCTGGTTACTTCTGAACTTGAACGTCCCTGTCTCAGGAGGCTATCCTTGGCCTAAGTTTTTATAGGTTCCTTTTGCGCTCTGCATTCTACCTACAATTTCACATTAATTTATGCAAGTGTTTTGTTTCTGTCTCTCTCTCCCAAGATTCTCAGCACCATGTGGCAGTTGTATGTAGCTCCAGTATCCACACGGTGCATGACACATGGCTGGGCTTCAACACGGCTAACCCATGGCTCTAGGAGATTTTCTTTTATTATTTCTTTGGTAACCCCTTGCCCTTTGTTTTCTCTGTTCTCTTTCTGGAGTGTCAACTGGTTGGTTGAACTTGAATCAGTCCTTGAAGTATTTTATTTCTCCTCTTGTATTTTTTTTTCTTTTTTATGTTTTGTCTGCATTCTAGACATTCCATCAATTTTATTTTCCAAGCCATCTAGCAAGTTTTATTTTGGTAACCATATTTTTAATTGTAAAAAGTTACTTCTTTTTTGAGATGGAGTCTCACTCTGTCGCCTAGGTTGGAGTGCAGTGGCGTGATCTCAGCTCACTGCAACCTCTGCCTCCCAGGTCCAAGCGGTTCTTGTGCCTCAGCCTCCCGTGTAGCTGGGATTACAGGCACACCACTGCATCTGGCTAATTTTTGCATTTTTGGTAGAGACGGGGTTTCACCATGTTGGCCTGGCTGGTCTCAAACTCCTGACCTCAGGTGATCTGCTCACCTCGGCCTCCCAAAGTGCTGGGAGTACAGGCATGAGCCACTGTGCCTGGCCAAAAAGTTACTTCTTTTATGTTTGCACACACATGTTCACAGCAGCATTATTCACAATAGCCAAAAGGTGGAAACAACTCAAGTGTCCATAGACAGATGAATGGATAAACAAAATTTGGTATATCCATACAATGGACTATTATTCAGCCTTAAAAAGGAAGGTAATTCTGACACATGCTACATTAGTGAACCTTGAAGACATTATGCATGTGAAGTAAGCCAGTAACAAAGGACAATTATTGTATGATTTCACTCATATGAGATACTTAGAGTAGTCAAATTCATGGAGACAGAAAGTAGAATGGTGGTTGCCAGGATCGGGGCCAGCCAGGGATGGGGAATTTTTGCTTCATGGGTACAGAGTTTCAGTTTTGCAAGATAAAAAAGTGTTCTGGAGATGGTTGTTGATGACGGTTTTAGAACAATGTGAATATCCTTAATGCCACTGATGTGGTTAGACTTTGTGTCCCCACTCAATCTCATCTTGAATTATAATCCCCAGGTGTTTAGGAAAAGACCTGGTGGGCAGTGACTGGAGTATGGGGGCAGTTTTCCCTATGGGGGCAGTTTTCCCCATGCTGTTCTCTTAATAGTGAATGACTTCTCACCCGATCTGATGGTTTTATAACTGGTAGTTTTTCCTGCACTGACGCATACTCTCTCCTGCCCTCACGTGAAGAAGGTTCTTGCTTCCCCTTCTCCTGCCATGATTGAAGTTTCCTGAGGCCTCCCCAGCCATGTGTAACTGTGAGTCAATTTAACCTCTTTCCTTTGTAAATTACCTAGTTTCGGGTAGTATCTTTATAGCAGCGTGAAAACAGACTAATACAGCCACGGAACTGTACATTTAAAAAAGGTTAAAATGGTGAATTTTATATTATGTATTTGCCACAATCTTTAAAAAGATAATTGTTTCTCTGTTCCTTTTTTTTTTAATATCTTGGGTGTGTTTTTTTTAAGTTGTATTTCCTTGAGCTTTCCTGAGAATACACGTTTTCTTTATTTCTTTTTAATCTTTTATTCTCTGAAGGTTCTCTAAGGACTTCTTTGGCTCTTTCTCCTTCACTTTGGAAGCTTTTCTAAAATATATGGGGCTACCTGGTGTCCTTCCATATCTAAAGGAACTTTGTGCACAGGCCAAAGGGGGTTATGTGCACGCGGGCAGAGCTTAGAGTGGGAACCAGTCATTACACTCATGGACCCCTAAATGCCGCCATAAGGGGGCTTCCTCAAGGGTGCCGACCACTACACTAGCAGCACCTATCTCACCAGGCAGTATACACAGTTCTCTTTAGAGACAGTCTCTGATTTTTTTCCTTGGGGTAAGTGCCTGGCTGAACCCATGACTTGGGGGAAAGGGCATTAACTGTCCCTACCTGGATCTTCGTTTATTCTGCCTGTTCCAGCCCCATTTTCACTTTGCCCTCTGTGATACCTGCGCTGGAGCCTGGAGGCTCCCTCAGGTTCTCATAGGCAGATGGCTCAGCCCCGCTGCACCCCAGCCCCTCTAATCTACCCCACAGGTCTCTAACTCCTTTTCATTTTCCAGATGAAATCACTTGTCTGCTAATGACTAACGACTTTCTTCCATCCTCTTTGTTTCTTTTTTTCTTTTTTTTTTTTTTTTTTTTTTGGTTGAGGAAGAGTCTTGCTGTGTCGCCCAGACTGGAGTGCAATGGTGCAATCTCTGCTCACTATAACCTCCGCCTCCCGGGTTCAAGCAATTCTTCTGCCTCAGCCTCCAGAGTAGATGGGATTATAGGCACACACCACCATGCCCAGCTAATTTTTGTATTTTTAGTAGAGATGGGGTTTCGCCATGTTGGCCAGGCCGGTCTCAAACTCCTGACCTCAGGTGATCTGCTCACCTCGGCCTCCCAAAGTGCTGGGATTACAGGTGTGAGCCACCGCATTCAGCCTGTCATGTTTGTTGTTGTGGCTTAGACTGTTTAAAACACTGGTCCATCAGTTGAATGGAAGGAGAGGATATAAATGTGCCTTCTCAGTCCCCATCTTGAATCCCATTCATTCCCACAGCTGCTGCCCTAACTCAGCCTCATTTTTCTACCTGAGATATTGTGGCTCTGCCACCTCCAGCCCCTTCGTCCCCAGCACATGCTGCGACAGCCAGGGTGACCTTCCAAAAGCAGGAATCTGAGTGTAGATCCCTGTTTGAACTCCTCAGTTGACCTTTAGAACCAGCAGGATCAAATCTTCCATGACATTCAAGGCCTTTCGTGAGCTGGACTCTGCCTGTATCTCTAGCCTCATCTCTTTGTAGTTTCTCAGTGAGCTGTGCTCTTAGATGCCTCCTAATGTTAGCTCATGCTGGCCCCTGGCCTGGAACACTCTTTTCCCCCTTCTATTCTTAGATGGCTTGAATCCGTCTGCTGGAGGAAGGAATACTTATGCCCCTACTCTTGTTTTTTCCTTGCACGTGGAGGGAAATCATCAGGGTAACTCTCCTGGACTCCCATTTCCGCACCACCCACCTCCCTGCAGGAGCTCCAGCATTGCCTCCTCCAGACAGCCCTGTGTGATTGTCCAGTCTGGGGCAGGTTCCTCTTCTGTCCTTTACAGTCTCCGATATACTTAACACACTAAATGGCCAGGGCCTGAAGAGAGGCAGAGCAGAACAAGTCATGTTTGGTGGCTCCTATCTGCACAGCCCACATCCACGTCTTGGGGTACAGCAGGAATCTAAGCCCCTCTGGCTAAGCTGTTCCCATGCCATTCAGCATGGAGGCAGCAGTGCCTGTCACTAGGCAGGAGCTAAGTTCTGCATCCTCCTGGCTTACTCCCTCCCTCCTCTACTAGTTTTGGTTACCGGGATTCCTTCATAGCAGCCTCCCTCTCAGGTTAGCCTTTGTCCCCAATCCAGATGCCTATAGAGTCACATCACCATGGGAGGGTATGATTATGATTCCCCAAAACTGACCCTGCCCTAGAAGCCAAGTGAATTGTGCAGTATGAGTCCTGAAGCTCCTTTTGGGTTCACTCTCCAACTAACTCCATGTCTTTTTTAGGGAATGGTTTTTGTGACCTTGTCTGTAAGCGCTGGAGGTGTACGCATGCCTGATAGAAAGGTGCACAGAACCCATTTGTGTAGAAGCTTAAGGAGAAAAGAACCGGGCCAGGCACGGTGGCTCACCCCTGTAATCCCGGCACTCTGGAAGGCCGAGATGGGCAGATCACAAGGTCAGGAGTTCGAGACCAGCCTGGCCAACATGGCGAAACCCTGTGTCTGCTAAAAATACAAAATTTAGCCAGGCATGATGGTGGGTGCCTGTAATCCCAGCTACTTGGGAGGCTGAGGCAGGAGAATCACATGAAACTGGGAGGTGGAGGTTGCAGTGAGCTGAGATTGTGCCACTGCACTCTAGCCTGGGTGACAGAGCAAGACTCCATCTCAAAACAAACAAACAAACAAAAAAATATATATATATATATAAAGAGGCGTATTGAACAGCATGTCCCTGATTTTGGTGATCCATGTTTGAAATAAGTCTACCACAGACTGATAAATCTAAAATGAAACAAAACTCAGTGTGCCAAGTGTGGTACAATGCGGTCCTACAGTTAAATTGGGTTGTCCCCACTTCCCCTCCCCCAGAGATGTAGATGAGGTATGAAAGGGAGCAGAGCTGGCCTGGGAGGGAGAGGGGAGGAGGAGGAGGAGGAGATGGGGATGGTCGGCTCTGTTCCCTGAGGGAGTTGATTCATAAACTGCTACAGAAGTGGCTCAGAAAGCATGCTCTGAGGAACATTAACTTGTAAGCCCCTGCTACCAGCCCTGAAAAAGCATTCCAAACCAAATAGGTTTGGGAACCCAGAGCACCCAATGCCTCTCCTGGGGAGTCCCAATTTACATTGGCATATTAAAGGCTCTGAGAAGTCCCACAGTAAATAAACTTGTATATTTTTGATTAATCCAGTTCTTCCCAAATGTCTTTAAATTTGTTAACATTCTATGAAAATATTTTAAGAAATGTTGTGTACTTTAGGATTTTTCTACTCAAAATTTGGTTCCCAGCCAGGCATAGCGGCTCATGCCTATAATCCTGGCACTTTGGGAGATTGAGGTGGGTGGATCACTTGAGCCCAGGAGTTCAAGACCAGTCTGAGCAACATGATGAAACCCTCTCTCTACAAAAAATAAAAAATAAAAATAAATGCAAAACAAACAAAAACTTTGGTTGCGGGACCTGCAGCATTAGCATCACCTGCAAGCTTGTTAGAAATGCATAATCATAGATCCCGTCCCAGAACTACAGATTCAGAATTCTGGGGCTAGGGCCTAAGAATCTGCATATTAATCAGCCTTCCAGGTGACTTTTATGTATCCTGGGGTTGGATGATCCCTGCTTTAGGGCAGTGGTTTTCAAAGTGTGGCCCGTGAAATTCTGGAGGTCCCCAAAGCCTTTTTAGAGGATCTACAAGGTCAAAGTTATTTTCATAATAGACTATGATGTTAGCCTTTTGCATCGATCATGGAAAAGCAATGGGGAGTAAAACTTCAGTGCCCTAACCCACATCAAGGCGGTGGCACCAAACTGTTCTGGTGATCATAGTTTTCTTCACCATCACACACTTACAGCAAGTGGAACTTGGCATTTCATTTCTGACTGCCCTTGATAAAGCAAATATATATGTATTAATTTTGTGAAATCTCAACCTCTGAGTTCACATCTTTTTAATAATCTGTGAACAAATGGGAGGTAGACATAAAGCACTTCTGTTTCATAGCAAAGTATAAATATCTAGACGAAAAATATTTGTGCAGTCTTTGAGTTGCAAGTTGAACTAGTTGCATTTTTCATGAAACACCATTTTTGCTTGAAAAGATGGTGGACAGGACAGGCACGGTGGCTCATGCCTGTAATCCCAGCACTTCGGGAGGCCGAGGCGAGTGGATAACGAGGTCAGGAGATCGAGACCATCCTGGCTAACACGGTGAAACCCCGTCTCTACTAAAAATACAAAAAATTAGTGGGCGTGGTGGTGGGTGCCTGTAGTCCCAGCTACTTGGGAGGCTGAGGCAGGAGAATGGCGTGAACCTGGGAGGCGGAGCTTGCAGTGAGCCGAGATTGCGCCCCTGCACTCTAGCATGGGCGACAGAGTGAGACTCTTGTCTCAAAAAAAAAAAAAAAAAAAAAAAAAAAAAAAAAAAAAAAAAAAAAAAAGGATGGTGGACAAACTACTTATTCAGAGATGGATATTGTCTAAAAAATGAACAAAGTAAGCTTGCCACTTCAAGGGAAACTGACAGTACTTATAGGCAATAGCATTTGAGCTTTCAAGTGAAGATGAGAATTTTGGAAAACTTGTATTTGCTACCACAAGCTTAATATCTTTCCAATACTTACAGACTTTTCTCTTTCTTTTTTTTTTTTGACAGAGTTTCATTCTTGTTGCCCAGGCTAGAGTGCAGTGGCACAATCTCTCGGCTCACTGCAACCTCTGCCTTCTTGGTTCAAGCGATTCTCCTGCCTCGGCCTCCCGAGTAGCTGGGATTACAGGCACCCACCACCACACCTGTCTAATTTTTGTATCTTTAGTAGAGACGGGGGTTTCACCATGTTGGCCAGGCTGGTCTCGAACTCCTGACCTTGTGATCCGCCCGCCTCGGCCTCCCAAAGTGCTGGAATTACAGGCGTGAGCCACTGCGCCCGGCCACTTACAGACTTTTCTGATGAGATTGTGGTAAGAATAATAAACATGATTTTTTAAAAATACTATATGATAAAATGCATCAACATCTGAAAGATCTGCATAACTCAGAACACCAATATTTTCCAATTGACCAATGCATAATGTTACAAAATCATGCATAGGTAAAAAATCCATCTGAAGTGCAAGATAGATCAATGGATTTTAGAGTCACAAAGTACTGAAATTTCATCGATATGGTTTCCGAATCCACATTGCAATTAACCTTTAAGAAGTACCACTTGTTGAGTTTTGATGTAGTATTTAAGAAAATTATCCGCAATTATCTGAAAAGACTGTTAAAATATTCCGCCCTTTTCCCACACGGGCATTGACTGTATCTGAGCTTGCTTCTCTGGGCTCCGTAAAATAGGACTAAATGCTGAGGACCAGCAGGTGCGGGGGGACAGTCTGCTCTCTGGAGTCAGCAGATAAAATGCAAGGTGTCTGGGGCACCCAGAGCTCTAATACTTAATACTCATCAGCTTCCACTGCAGCTGACATAAAGACGCACTTAGCAAGGGGTGTGTGCTGCTCCAGGGAGGAAATGAGGGTAATTGAAATTAACTTGGCTCCTGCTGTTTTTTCCTCCTTTCCTAATCACCGGGAAATCTGCTGTTAGTGGAGCAGGAGAGCCTGAGGGCCAATGCTCCAGGGAGTCAGGGGCTCAATTAAGCTTCAGTAAATTGGATTTCTGGCCGTGAGGCCATGGGGCTGGGGTTGGCATTGAGGCATGAGCTGCCAGACGGTATTAGGCCAAGGACTGACCAGATGGGCCCAGTAGCTAATTCAATCTGGCTTCCCAGAAACAGGACTTGGAAGGCCAGAGCTATGGGCCTGGACAGCTGTGACTCCAGCTGGGAGGGCAAGATCTTATGTGGCACTGGGCCCACCCTGTGGCTCGTCTCAGGGAGTCCTGTGCCCGGCATCTGGCCTCAGCCAGCTGTGCACTAACAATCCTGATAACCAGTGATAAGTGGCAGTTTAGTGCTAGGGAAAAAGCCCAGCCTGGGGATTGGGGGCCAGGGCTGTGGGCTCCACACAGGTATCAGCTTGCTCTAGGAGTGAATTTAGGTAAGTCTCATTCTCTAGGACTAACATTCTTGCTTCTATGGGCTGCCATAGTCTTAAAAAAAAAAAAAGAAAAAAAGAGTCAGAAAACTCAGAATGGGAGAGAGGCTGAAACTAAGAGATTGTAAGGTACATGGATGTGCTTTGGTCTAGGAACAGGCCAAGGCGGATATTCAGGCCTGCATGACTCAGCTAGTTTGGTGCACAAGTGCACACCTCCACTTGTTATATAACCTGTTTGTGTAAGTTCATACTTGGCTTTAAGTTACTATGGTCTGTAAAAGGTATAACTGTCCTGCTGATGCTGTGCATGGGGCTTGGCTCTTGGGTGTCTCGGCTCGGCTCAACATGGCTTGGCATGGCAGGTGCGCGGGTGCCCAGAGAAAGAGAGAGAGAGTCAAAGCTCTCCATCTTGCAGATGGACAGGAGGGAGTCAGGACCCAACTTGGCTTGCTTGTGCCCAGAGAGAGAAAGAGTTAAGCTGCTGACCCTGAAGGCAAAGGAGAGCTGGCTGCACAACTGTGCGTGGGGGCAGCCAGCTCAAGCAGCCGAGACAGGGTGAACAGTGTGTGAGTAAGTTGTTAATGAGAAAGCTAATTTAAATAAGCTGTGTAAGAGAGCTGCTGCTGAATAAACCATAGTCACCTGCCTATGGCCCCCCGAGTGTTCTTTCTGCCCATCCACGCACTCCCCTTGGACTTCAGCATGGGCTGGACCTGGACCCCGGGATCTGACAGAGATCATAGTAGATAAAGATAGAATGAGATAGAGACAGAGAGAGGCAGAGAGTGAGTCAGGTACACAAGAGAGGCAGAAAAAGATACAAACAACAGGGAGAGGGAGAGACAGCTAGACAGAGCAAGACAAAGATACAGTTGGCTTAGAGAGCAGAGAAAAAAAGACAGGAAGAGAGAGACTGAAGCCAAAGTTTCACTACAAAATGAATGTTCTAAGTGGGGGCGGCAGGGCTTTTTTTTCTTTTCCTTAATAGTTCCTAACCTGGTCTTAAAAACCCAGTTCCCAAATGGTCAGAGAAGGCCCCATTCTCATTCTTGGAAAAGAGGAGAAGGAGAGTTTTTCTCTGTGCTTCTCCCGGTTGCTTTCTCCAACCAGGGCACGGAATTCCAAATTTGGAGCAGCCCTAGCAGCCCGAGCTGTCTGGTCAGTTGGCCTCAGCCGAGTCTGCACCAAAAATCTTCCCAAACCTCACACAGAGTCCTCACACCAGCCCCTTTCTGGGCCTTAGACCACCCCAGCTGTCAGAGCTGCAATGGAAAGGTCAGGGCCAGGCCAGCACAGCATCCCTGTGTCCTGATTGGCATGAATCCTCCATCGTTTCCTGCCCAGCCCTTCTTCCCAGAAGTCACACCGTGGGAGTTCCTGTGTCCTGCTGTGTCCCACTTTCTGACACCCAAAACTCACCGTGTGTCATCCCTTCAGGCCTTTTCTCTCTTGGACTGGGCCTGCCAGAGACTGAACTCACATCAGGGGTCTCTGGCAGACTGGCCGGCCACTCCCATGCCTGCCAGGGACTTGTTTCCCATTTTCTGTCCCACCCCAACCCATGCTGCAGCCCCAGGTGTCCCTCATCTGCACCAAGCCAGGCCCATCTCTTGGCTATCCAGTAACTACTGGGAGTCAGGGACACAGAGTTTCAGATCCTCAGCTTCCCTACTGGGGCATGGTGAGCCAGGGAGAGAATGGACAGACTTGAGCAGCGGTTCTTGGCTTGGACCACACATTGGCATCATCTGGGAGCTGTCAAAGCCACCCATGTGCCAGGATCCCACCCCTGAGAGACTCTGTTGTAGTTGGCCTGGGGAGTGGCCTGGACATTGGGATTTTGAAAAGCTCCCAGGGTATCCTGATATGCATCCAGGGTTAAGAACCAGTGTCATCAACCCAGGCCTGCGCCAGAAAGAGTCCACCCCAGACCTCACCTGCCAGAGACTCAGAGACAGCCAGGCCCCGGCCCAGGGTAACACAGCTGGAAGGGGCAGAGTGGTGCTGGCCAGAGTTCCTCCATCATCTTCCTCAGCTCCTCACCCCCTTCAACTCCAGGGACAAGAGCTCTGTCTCTTACCTTGGTCTGTCCACTCTGAACTCTGGGATCCCAGGAGTTGAGTTCTGTATTCACCTGTTACCAACAACATGTTCCTCTCTGACCCTCATCTCCTCGACTGTAGTTTGGAGAGAATAGTAACCACTTCACAGGGTTGCAGTGACAATTAAATGAGTTTAATATGTTAAAGGCTTATCATGGTGCCTGGCACTTAGTAAGCACTAAAATGTTATCTATTAGTATTGCGGTTACTGTTATTGTTCCCACAAAGAAAGCATGAACAAACAACAGAGTCTGGCTGGCAATTTGGGGGAGTGGGGCAATCCAATGGTGTATGTTATGAGTTGAACAGTGGCCTCCCGAAAAGACATGTCCATTTCCTAACCCGCATACCCTGTGAATGTGGTGTTATTGGGGAAAAGGGTCTTTGTAGGTATAATCAAGGATTTCAAGATGAGATCGTCTGAGCGGGGCCTAAATCCAGTGTGTCCTTATAGGAGACAGAAAAGGAAAGGCACAAAAAAGACCATGGGAAGACAGAGGCAGAGGCTGGAGTGATGCAGCCATGAGTTAAAGAATGTCTGGGTCCCCCAGGAGCTGGAAGAGGCAAGGAGGGACTCTGCCATAGCACATTCCGAGGGAACGTGGGCCTGCCAGCACCTTGATGTCAGACCTCTGGCCTCTAGAACTGTGAGCAAAGTTCTGGGATTTTAAGCCAACCATTTTGCTTTAATTTGTTACAACAGCTGCAGGAAAGCTACCTTCAGAGCTAAATGTTGCTGGCTAGAAACATCCCTGGACCAGGACAGTTGGCCCATTAGTCATACCTTAGGGAGGTGGGATTGGGGGTAGCGGCTCAGCACTGCCCTGTGTTGGTGCTACAGGGGGGCTCAGGCCTGAGGACCTTCTGGGGGCCAGGCACTGGAGCTGCCCCCTTCACTGTGGAGGCCTCAACAAGTTCCTTCCCCTCTGTAGGCCTCACCCACCCCCCTACTTGGCGTTTTGCATGTCTCTGTGAGTCTTGGGGAGAAAAGACCCCCATGTGATCAACTCCTCTGAGGTCAGGCCTGGCAAGGCCAGGAGCACCTCTGGTGTGAAGTAGATGCTCACCCACCCCTCCCTGCGCTGCCCAGGACTTCAGGGCCCAGACCTCCCAAGCTAATGGCTAATGGCTAATGCAACCAGAAAATGAGCCCTCTCATTCTACGGCCGGCTCTCCCCAAATGGACTTGAGGAGAATGAGATCTAATGAAGTCTTTTCTATGGGATAGTTCCAAAGCTTCCCTGTGGTCAGCCGAGGGGCACCATGAGGAAGCATGTGTCTGGGCAACAGGCCCCTGTGTGTTGCCAGGCAAGCCTAAGGGGGTCCATGGAGGGCTTTGTGTCCAGGGGCTCTCAGTGGTGACACCAGCAGGGCCAGCAGTTTCTGAGGGGCTACCCACCCACACCTCTTCATTCCCACTCTAACTATGAGGTGTGTGTATGGGTGGGGCTGGGGGAGGCAGGAGCAGCTGCTTGAGGGACACCAAGGACAACTTGGTGAACACTGACACTAAAAGGAAAGCCAAGTTCATTGAGTCCAGTGGTCTCATCATACAGCTGGGAATACCGAGGCCCGGAGAGGGGAGGGACTAAGGTTATACCGTGATCAGCAGCTAAGCTGATATGGGAGCCCAGACTCTCTGTCTGCCCATGAGAAGTGTGTGTTTACAAAGCACATGCTTGGGATAAGGCTTCCCTATGTGTGGGTTGAAGGGTTGGGGTGAGCACGTTCATGCAACAGTCCGTGGCTGACAGCGCTAGGTGCCCATTTGGATTGCGCCCTATGGGGAAGATGTCCAACTTGATGGCTTCCTTGAGCACTCCATGCAAGGGGGAAAGTCAAACACAAGAGGCGGGGCCCAGCACAGTGCCCAGGTCCTTATGGAGGAGGTGGAGGAAGAGAAACAGGAGGGGTGGGCGAGGAGAAGTTTGCGGCTGAGCAGGGTCAGAAAAGGACCCTGGAGCACTGTTCCTCAGTGGATGGGCAAGCTCCGTTCTCTTGTGGGGACTTTTATTTCTTCCCCTTGGGAAACCATTCTGGGCTCCTGATGTGCCTTAGACCACAGATCTAACACACACTTGCAAAAGCACTCCAAGGAGGGCGAGCACCAACTCCCTCCCACCCCAATGGGCGCTGCCAGCCCGGCACTGTGGGGCTCCAAGCTCAGCACCAGGTGAAGAACCAGTGTCTGCCGGACGACGGACTCACTGTGTGCAGAACACGGTGCTAGGCCCTGCGGGAGTTCAGTGAGAGGATTAAGGAAGAAATAATTTACCATCTCAATGCATTGAGATTCCAACCCTGTGGGAAACTGCCTGATCTGAAAACCTTTACAGAAAGCAGGTAAATGTATGCAGATCTTCACGGCCTAAGTAATTTTCTAATAAGGCATGAAAATACAGCGAGTGGTTTGGGTGAGGAAGGAGGAGGCAGGCTTGAAGCAGGGCTTTCAGGGAGGGGAGGGGCAATGCCTGACATTAAAGACAGGGAGGGTTGTGGCTGGGAAGTACAGTGGTGAGCGCAAGAGGCCCAGGCCCTGGAGCCCCCAGCCTGCTTCACAGTCTGTGATCTCCCTTGGAGCTGTGGAAGGGTTTTTTGGTCTCCACAGTGAGCCGGCTTTTTAGAAATGGGCACATTGTAATTGTGTATATTTATGGGTACAATTTGATGTGTCAATACAGATATGCTCCATAATGATCAACTCAGGGAAGTAGGACAACCATCCCACATGCATGTATCATTTCTTATATGCAATGGAGTACTATTCAGCCATAAAAAGAATAAAATCCTGTCATTTGGAACAACACGGGTGAACCTGGAGGATACCATGTTAAGTGAAGTAAGCCAGGCACAGACAGGCAAATAGCACTTGATCTCACTCACATGTGGAATCTAAAAAAAAAGTGAATTCAGGGCCTGGCCCAGTGGCCTGTAATCCCAGCACTTTGGGAGGCCAAAGTGGGCAGATCACCTGAGGTCAGGAGTTCAAGACCAGCCTGGTTAACATGGGTAAACCCCATCTCTATGAAAAATACAAAAATTAGCTGGATTTGGTGGCAGGCACCTGTAATCCCAGCTACTCTGGAGACTAAGGCAGGAGAATCACTTGAACCAGGAGGTAGAGATTGCAGTGAGCCGAGATTGTGCCATTGCACTCCAGCCTGGGCCACACACTCCATCTCAAAAAAAAAAAAAAAAAAAAAAAATTTTTGTTTAAATGTGCACTCAGGAACCACCTGAGCGAGCATTCAGTGGTGCCCAGTGGAGTGCAGCTTGATCTTTGCTACTTCCCCTCATTCCTAGATGTTTTTGCAGGAACAACTCCTTTTATCATTTGGTTCTGTCTTGTTTCTCAGTATGGTGTCCTTGAGTGGAGTCTCAGTCACTCTCTCCACTGTGTGTAGCTCCCCTCTTAGACTGGGAATGCTCTCAGCAGAGGTCTGCTGAGAGAGGGACAGAAGAGAGAAGGGAAGAAGCAAAACAAACTCCCAGTGTTGAGACCTTTCCTCAATACAGGTCTTATGTATTTCAGTCAAAGATATTTCTCTTTTAATTGTGGGGAAATACATGAAACAAAACTTACCGCTTCAACCGTTTTCAACTGTATGATTCGGCGGCATTAAGTACACTCACAATGCTGTGTAACTGTCATCACTAATCATTGCAGAACCTTTTCATCACTCCAGAAGGAACCCCGTACCCAGGAAGCTGTCACTTCCAATCCTGCCTCTTCCCCTAGGCACTGGTTGCCACTAATCTGCTTTCTGTCTCTGGATTTGCCTCTGTGTCAAGGAGATGTTTTGTTCTTTGTGTTCCACTTAAAATGCAAATAACCATAGGAGAACCCATAATCTACACTTTCTTTTCTTTTCTTTTCTTTTTTTTTTTTTTTTTTTTTTTGAGATGGAGTCTCGCTTGGTCGCCCAGGCTGGAGTGCAGTGGTGCAGTCTCGGCTCACTGCAAGCTCCATCTCCCAAGTTCACACCATTTTCCTGCCTCAGCCTCCCGAGTAGCTGGGACTACAGGTGCCCGCCACCATGCCTGGCTCATTTTTTTTGTATTTTTAGTAGAGACGGGGTTTCACTGTGTTAGCCAGAATGGTCTCGATCTCCTGATCTTGTGGTCCACCCCCCTCAACCTCCCAAAGTGCTGGGATTACAGGCATGAGCCACCGCACCCGGCCCATAATCTACACTTTCAATTCCATTAATTTCAACAATACCCACCCTCCACTCACCTCCATAGTTTGGAAATTTTCATTTTAGAGACAGGGTCTTGCTCTGTCACCCAGGCTGGAGTGCATTGGCTCAATCACAGCTCACTGCAGCCTTGAAGTCCTGGGCTCAAACAATCCTCCTGCCTCAGCCTCCCAAGTAGCTGGGACTACAGATGCACATCATCATGTCTGGCTATTTTTTTATTTTTTTATAGAGACAGGGTCTCAAATTGCTGCCCAGGCTGGTCTCAAGCTCCTGGTCTCAAGCAATCCTCCCACCTCAGCCTCTGAAAGTGTTTGGATTACAGGCATGAGACAATAAGCCCAGCTAGGAATGATGTAATCCCTACATGTTATGGGGAAAACACTAGCCTGGAGGTTCAGAGACCGGGGTTCTAGCTCATTCTGTCCAAAGTTATGTGATCTCTTATGGATGAGGATCCCTGATTCTCTTTAGGCCTTAACAATCCCCATCCTGAGGCATGGGAGGTGGACTTGGCTAATAAATTCCAGGGCCTTCTGCACCTTTGACCTTCCAGTGCCATAGTAGAAGTCCATTGACCCGGCAGAGCACAGGGTGGGTGGGACCTGGGTGACTGGGTGCCAGGAGGAAGCCAGGCCTGGGGATATGGGGAGCACTGGTGAGGGCTCAGACTTGGCCTGCCTCACCCACTGCTGGGCTCGGGGCCAGCCCTGTCCACATTAGCTTCCTGGCTGGTCCAAAGCCCTAGGCAGAGTCTGCAGGTGGGATGTGCCAGTCCCTGTCATAATGCCTGCTCTGGGGTGAGCCTCCTGGAGGCCTCAAGCAGTGGCCTTCCTGGGCAGGCTGAGGCAGGACAGGGCAGGGCAGGCCTGGGGGACCGGGAAGGGGCAGAGGTCAGGGCAGGGTGGCTGCAGAATGGGATGCAATGTCCTCAACCCAGAGGCTCCCTTGGCCCTACTTGCCCCAGCTCATGAGAGCCTGGATTCTGAGATCTGCCAGGACTGGGGCTCAGCACTGCCTATGGAAACAGGTGTGGCAGGGAAAAAAATTATAACCAAATATTTGTAGTTACATCTTCTCCCTTCTGGAAAGGGAGGGTCCCTTGTTTGTGGGCCCTTGGCCTCCTGGACATTATTGTGTGGTGAAGGGAGAAAGGTTGAGATGCAGAGTTAGAGAAACTAAGAGGGTCCACTTGAGGAAAGATGGGGGAACCCCAGGAGGGGAGGAGGGGACACCCTGGGGAAGTGGGGGGCTTTCCAGGGAGGCCAAGAAGGTGGGGCAGGATGCAGAAAGTCAGAGCACAGTTCTGAGTTTTGGAGACAGCAAGAGAAAAGAGGGAGGGATTTGGATAACTAAAGGACTGGGCTTGTGGAGAGAAACGTTTAGAGATTTGGGAGATAGTGTATCATGTGATGTATTATGAAAACCCCTTCTTCATATCCCTAGAAAACCACCACTGATGATTTATGGTACAATTCAGTGCTTTTGCAGAGAGATTGGTGTCTCTCTTTTTTTTTTAATAACGCATTGGCTTGGCTCCATTTAAATTACAGGCAGACATCTTCAGCAGATTTTATTCATGTTCCATTAGCTAAATATTGGGTTTCCTATTTTCTGGGTTGCCTGAAACCACTTTGTAGGCCCTTCCACAGTGGGAGGCACCTCAGAAATCACCTCTTTGGCCTGCAGCTCCATCTTCCCAAGCTCTGGGGTTTCTTGAATGAGTGGCCTCGTTCAGAAGATAATATAGCATCCCTAATCCGAAAATCCGAAATTGGAAATGGTTCAAAATCCAAAACTGTTTGAGTGCCGACATGATGCTCGAAGGCCAGGTTCAAAGGAAATGCTCATTGGAGCATTTTGGATTTCAGATTTTCAAATTCCAAAATCTGAAAAAAAAAATCTAAAATCCAAAATACTTCTCTAATTGTATCCTGGGATTGCAGTTGGGTCCTGACCTGCCAGCTAAGGCAGTGAGCAGTCAATAGCGGCTCTCCATGCACCCCTTCCGCGCCTCACCCTCCCACGGGCTCCCTGCTGGTTGGACTAGTGCATCAGCCCCCAGCCTCCCCTTGCACCTGCTGGAAAGCGGGCATGATGCTCCTGCCCTGCCTTCCTGGATCCTGGAACACTGTGACAATTGCAGGATTCCAGCCAGGGAAAATGCTACACGGTAGAAGTACTTGGTACACAAAGTTCCTCCAAAGAGGAGGTTCCAGCAATGGCACAGCAGCCCTGGGAGAGTCTGTGACTGTGTCCACGCCTCCAGCTCTGGCCCCTGCCTCTTGGGGAGCTGCTCAGCATCGCCCTCAGAGTGAGAGGAAGTGGGCCTCAAGCTCAGGCCTGCTTCTCCTTCCCCATGGCCTTCCTGTGGCCTCTGACCCATCTGTGAAATGAGGGCAGTAGTGTCTTCTTCAGTGCGCTGCTGGGAGGTCAGAGAGAATGGATGCAAAGTGCCGAACACAAACCCCCAGCACTGGGAGGTGCTCCCTCTACGGCACCTTGAATCCCAGTCCAGAATGCAGCGCACAAGACATTTGATCTTAAATTTCTTGATCTTAAATGCAACACTTGAGTTTCTGAAGTCAAGGTCCCCTTCCTGGGCAGTCAGGTATGCCTTAGCGCTCTGGTCCTATGTGAAGTCTGGGGGCTTGGTATGCAGGGAGATACCTGTCCTCTGTCATCCTTCCACCTTGGTTGCCACTGAGACATCCATTTTTCTCTCCATCGTTTCTGTTCTGTGGCAGGCCCAGGATCACCCCAGAGACACCATTGTTGCCGGGGGTGAAAGGAAATGCTATGCAAGAGAGTCAGGGGTCCCCCTGCCTCCTGCCTCCATCCCTCCCTCTGCTGTACCATATCCTCCCCCACAGCAGTGAAGTTTAGAGCTGCCGCTGGCTGGAATGAGGGGGAAGGCAGGAAGGAGAAAACCTGTTAATATTTCAAAGCTTGCTTCCATCCCAGTGACCTATATGTCTGAATATAAATGTTTCTTTGAGCCATCCTTCTGCCCCACCACAGCAGTGAGGCCACAGGAGAGAGGGAAGACATTTAGGAAGAGATGAGTTCATAGAGGGGAGGGAGAGATGAGGGAGCTCTCAGAGGCCATCTGGATAGTGTACTTCCCATTCCCCCATGGGGACACGTGTATGGCCCCCTTCCTAATTACTTTGCGTGCTTTAAAGCCAATTAGCGGAGAGCGCTAATGGGATTTCACAGAGGGGCTCCCTGGCCATATGGCTCAGGGCCTCCCTGGGTGCACCGGGGATGGCATTTGGGAAGCTCAGGGAGTGACAGATGGGTTTGGTGACATTCAGGAAATTATGCAGACCTGCTCAGTCCTGGGCCTGGGGCCCTGATTCATGGCAGGCCTTGGGAAGTCAGGGGCCAGGGAGGGAGGACAAATGTGAATTAATGATCACAGGAGTGTGTTCCACCAGCCCCCTTTGGAACTCAAGGGCCCTTTAAATAAAGCAGAGTGTAGATGGGTTTCCTGAGGCTTCTCCCACCCCAGGGCTGCCTTGTGCAGGGAGGTGGAGGAGGAACTTCCCCGGACTCCATAAAGAATATGCAGAGTGGAACCTGCTCTGTCGCTTGCTTGGGCAAATCACTTCTCCTTTCTAAGCCTCAGGTTCCTGTCTGTGAAACAGGATAAACCACCTCTCCTAACAGTGTGGATTCATTGAGATCATGGGTGGAAATTCACCTGGCCATGCTTGATACAATATGAATGCTGAATATAGCTAGCAGGCCACTGTCCTCACTGCCCTGGGCCAAATGAAAAGCATGCTGAAATAGAGACCCCAGCGTGGGGGCAGTGGCAGGAAGGATAAAACAGTCACCCACCCCTGAACCCACACCCCCAGGGAGGTGCCTGCAGGAGGAGGCATTGAAACAGGAACCTGGAGAATGAGAAAGACTTCAGAAGGAAGAGAAAGGGAGAAGGCAGTCCCCGTGTCCAGAGGGGCATAAGCAAAGGCTCTGAGACAGGAAAGCATCCCCTGGTTCTGAGGACGAGGCTCCTTATGCATTGGAAATGAGAATAGAATGACAAGTGGTGGGTCTTGGGTGTTCCATGAAAACATAGGCTTTATTGTGTAGGCCATGGGGAGCCCTGAAAATTTTTGAGGAGGTAAATAGCAGGATATGACCTATGTGTTGGAAGCATAGATTGGAGGGGGCAAGACTGGAGCCAGAAAGGCCAATTCAGGCGAGAGGGGATGGGAAGGGCTGGGAGTCAAGAGAGGCCATGGGTGTTGTGATGATGGACTCAACAGGTCTCGGTAAGTAATGGCCATGCAGGTGGGGGTGGGGGGTCTAAGACGATGCCCAGCAGCTTGATAGGAATTCTTAGGGGCTGAAAGGGCTGTACAGAGATTGGAGTCAGGATTAGGGGAGCAGCAGGCAAGAGCGGGGTGATGAGTTTGTGTTTGGATGTGGTGAATTGGAGGAGGCCGTCCAGGCCATTACCAGCAGCTGCGTGGGACTAAATCCCAGGGATCCGTAAGAGTTACTTGCTTGGGGTTCCCTATCCTCCCCAAGATCGCGGCACTGTTGAGTGGGCAACCCACACCTGGGTGTTGGCCGTGGGGGTTCTGGGCAGCCCCAGCTGAATGCTGTGTGACCTGGCTTCATTGCGTCCCTCACCTCCCATGCTGTGTGCTCCAGTGGGCCCAGGACAGGGGTTCTCTGAAGTGTGGGGCTCAGCTGTTCCACCTCCTCTGCCACACCCCGGGGGTCAGTGTCCCTCTTTGTGGGTGCCATGGCTCTGCTCCCCCTAGACTTTGTTTTTTTTTGAGACAGAGTCTCACTCTGTCGCCCAGACTGGAGTTCAGTGGTGGGATCTCAGCTCTCTGCAACCTCCGCCTTCCAGGTTCAAGGAATTCCCGTGCCTCTACCTCCCAAGTGGCTGGAATTGCAGGCACGCGCCACCACACCCAGCTAAGTTGTATTTTTAGTAGAGACAGGGTTTCGCCATGTTGGTCAGACTGATCTCAAACTCCTGGCCTCAAGTGATCTGCCTGCCTCGGCCTCCCAAAGTGCTAGGATTATAGGCATGAGTCACCGCACCTGGCCAAGTCCCCCAGATTTTGTAGCTTCACCTTGTCAGGATCTCCATGTCAGCTGCAGAGAACGTCCCTCAGGATGGCTACCTGGGGATTGCCTCCCCACACACTCTAATTAAAAAAATAAATAAAAATAAAAGCCCCGGCGTGGTGGCTCACACCTGTAATCCCAGCACTTTAGGAGGCCAAGGCAGATAGATCACCTGAAGTCAGCAGTTTGAGGCCAGCCTGGTCAACATGGTGAAACCCCATCTCTACTAAAAATACAAAAAATTAGCCAGGCGTTGTGGCAGGCGCCTGTAATCCAGCTACTCGAGAGGCTGAGGCAGGAGAACAGTTTGAACCTGGAAGGCAGAGGTTGCAGTGAGCTGAGATTGAGCCATTGCACTCCAACCTGGGTGACAAGAGTGAAACTCCATCTCAAAAAAAAAAAAAAAAAAAAAAAAAGATAAATTTAATCTCCCTTATTGGACTCAATGATTAAAAATGGAATTGGAGTTTTTACTCTCATGCTCCCTGGCTTGAGTGAGCTGTGCAGAGGCAGCAGGGGCAGCACCAGCAGCCTTCAGACAGCTCACAAGGCCTGGCAAGGAGATGTATTTAGGCTTTCCCAGGTGTTACCAGGAGAAGCAAGCTGCTGTCCGGGAAAAGGCAAAGGTCAACATTTGCAACCTGGGATTTCATTGAAAAGAATATCTGGGAAATTACCACTGACTGAACAACTGATTCAGAGAATGATTAGATGTTCTAACCACACACACACTTATTCTCTCCTTAGACTTTATAATCCTCATTCGACGAGCATCATTCATCCAATAAGCTCTTACTGAGCGTCTTCTTCTGTGTCAAATGTTGTGCCAGGCTTTGGGGACACAGATGTGAAGACAGGATTACACATGGAGGAACCTGGACTTTGGGGTACCTCAGGGTACAGAGTGTAATCCCACCCCTTTATCACCTATGCCAAGCCAATCATGGAATGGTATGCCCCCAGCCTCAATGATGGCTTCCGAAGTGGGAACTTGACCTTAAGTGTTCTGAGCAGAGAAAAACCTAGGACTTTTGTCCCATGGCAAAGGAAAAAGAGCTTTCTTCTGGATGCTGCAGAAGGTAGATGTGATACCTGGCACAGCTGCAGTCATTTTATGACTATGAGGAAGGCTGGAGGACAGAAAAGGAAACAGAAGAGAGAAGAGCCCTGATCCAATTCTGCCTACACATGGCGGGTTGCCAGACTACAGTTTGAACAGCCTACACATTCCTTTTAAATAAAAGGAAGTGATTTAAATAAATCAATCTGTAGCCAAGAGCTCTAACTGAAATGGGCAAGTATTATGTGCCTGCCATTTACATGACAAATTTAATTGAGTCCTCACAACAGCTTTTTAATGTAGAAATTGACAACCTCATTTTACAGATGAAAATATCAAACCTGGTGGTGAAATGACTTTCTGAGGTCGCCCCATTACATAAGTAAGGGATTTGGGTTCTAGAAGTTTGACTCCAACACCTTTTTGCTGCAATACAAAGCTGCTTACTGTGTTGCATGGGAAACTTCATCAAATTCTTCTCTCTCTTTGGGATCCTCCTGGGATTGTTTTTCCTGTTTTTGTTTTTGAAACTAGAGAATGGATCAAGTTTCATTGCTGGGTTGACAAGGGCATGCAGGGGCACAGGCCATGTGAGGCATGATGCCAGACCCCAGGCCCTTGCAGAGAGTTTGGGGAAGCCTTCAGGACGTGTGGAATTGCAGAGGCAGGACCACAATTAGCTAGATCTGAAGAGGCAGGGGACCCAGCTGCCATCTGGGCTCTGAGTAGAAAAAGAGAAATCAGAGCCTTATAGAAAAGACATCTGTACCTTGTTCTGCAGACAGACTTCCTGCTATGATGCACCTCCTTATTTTTTGCATACGGAGCAGGCTTGACATTTATGTAGATTGATTCCAACTTGGCATTTTGACCAAAGGCGCTATTAACCCTTTCCCTCCCGTCCTGGGGGAAAAATGGCTTGTGGGGCCTGACCCACAAGTGACCCCATCAGGCTGTTCCGGCCCTTTTCTGGCCTAGTCTCTGGCTGGGAATGGATGGCTTCTTTATGACCCTGAGGAGGTATGGCCAACAGGAAGCACAGTCGCTCTCTTCTGAGCTCATTTTTCACCCTGGCTGGTTTTGCTGGAGATGCAACCAAAGCTAAATCTCAATTTTGGGGGCAGGAGGAGCCGTCGGTGGAGTCATCTGCACCTGGGCTGTTAGATAAAACCTCCATGCAGCCTCTAGAAGCCAAACTCAAGATTTAAAGGGGAAGAGCTTTATTTTGTTGACAATTGCTTTACAATTCACTTAGTAACACGCCACGTCTTCGTACAGAGGTATGCACTTTCACACTGCTGCTCCATCCGATCCTAGTTACATCCCTAAAAGGGGACAGGCATGTGTCAGGATCCTCTTTTCACTCTGAGGATACTGAAGCCCAGAGAGGTCAAGCCAGTTGCCCTACTTTGCACAGCTGTTCAATGGTCAAGTCAGTGGTTTTAGCCTCTGACAATCCAGCGGCCTTTCTATTACACCGCACTGCCTTTCATGCAGATTTAGAGGGAAACAGAAAGAATCTGTGCTCCAGTGCACCGTCTCCCCGTAGGACTGTGAGCTGCTCAAGGCAGGGTGGTAATGGAGTCACATCTGGGCAGCATGACGTGGAGCACCACTGATATTTGGGAGTCCATTTGGGACTGGATAATTTTTTGTTTTACAGACATTTAAACGAGTCTGCCTTTAGCATTCCTGGACCCTGGTCACTAAACCCCAACAGTGCCTCCTCATTCTTATAAAACCCTCCTCCCCACAAAAAAAAAAGCCCCAGACATTTCCAAATCTCCCAGGGTGGAGGGAACAGAGTGGAGTAGAAGTGGGCAGTACCACCCTTGGTTGAGAACCCAGTCTTTGGAATAAGATGGCTGAGGTTTCAAACCTTGTCTCTGCTCTCCCTAGCAGGGTGACCTCGGAGGTCTGGCTTCCTGATTCAGAACATTTACCCCAGAGAGTAATCAGGAAGATGAAACGAGCTAATGGACCCAAAGCACGAAGCTCCATGCCAACATGAGATGTTTTGATCAAGTAACTAATAAAAATAACAAATGAAATCCTGTCGCATTAAGAGTTGGCCCTAGTATGTTTACAGTAGGTGTTCCATAAATGTGGCTTTCTTCTTCTGCATTCTCAGCATCTACCTCAACAACCACATCAACAAAAACAAACATTTATTGGCTTACTTTTTATACATAAAGCATTTAGCAAAGAATTTGACACATTGCCCCATTTATTCCCACAACAGCCCTATGAGGTAGTTATATTATTGTCCCTATCTTACAAATGTGGGAACTGAGAGCAGAGATTGATTAACTGTAGCCTGTGGGCCAAATCCAGCCACTGCCCGTTGTTACTGGAACATAGCCTTGTTCATTCATTCATGTGTTGTCTATGGCTGCTGCCATTTACATTGAGTAGTTGCTTGCAGCAGAAACCATATATGGCCTGCATAGCCTAAAATATTCAGTGTCTAACCCTTTATAGGAAGAGTTTACTGACTTCTACTCTAGAAGGTTAATTTATAAGGTGACAAAACTAGTTATGGTGGAGGCATGAGTCCAACTCCGTTCAGTTTGATTCCAAAGCTCAGGCTCTTGGTTGTCACATACTCCCACTGGAGGCGGTGGATTTTCATTAAGTGGTCGTTAGACACTGAAATCGTAAAACATTTATTTTAAAATAGATTATGTTATATATTTGGTTTTTATTGTGGTAAAATGTCTGTAATGTAAAACATACCATTTAACCATTTTTAAGTGTACAGTTCACTGCCATTAAGTGCATTCACAATGCTGTACAACCATCACCATTATCCATTTCCAGAACTTTTTCATCATTCCAGACAGAAACGCTGTAGCCATTCCACAGTAACTCCCCATTCCCTCTCCCCCAGCCCCTAATAATCACTATTCTACTTTTGTCTCTGTGAATTTGCCTATTTTAGGTACCTAATGTAAGTGGACTCATAAAGATTTGTCTTTTTGTCTCTTATTCCATTTAGCATGTTTTCCAGGTTCATCTATGTTGTAAGATGTATCAGAATTTTATTCCTTTTTAAGGCAGAATAATGTCCCATTGTGTGTAGTGTCAGATGTTCCTCCATTTACTGTGGAGTTACTTCCCAATAAACCCACTGTAAAAGAAAAATATTGTAAGTCACAAATGCAATTAATACACCCAACTTACTGAACCTCATAGCTTAGCCCAGCCCACATTAAACATGGTCAGAACACTTACATTAGCCTACAGCTGGGCAATATCATCTAACACGAAGCCTATATTATAATCAGATGTTGACTATCTCATGTAATTTATTGAATACTGAAAGTGAAAATCAGAATGGTTATATGTGTACTTGAAGTACAGTTCCTGTTGAATGTGTATCACTTTTGCACCATTGTAAAGTCAAAAAATATTAATTCAAACCATTGTGGGGCAGGGCATGTTGGCTCACGCCTGTAATCCCAGCACTTTGGGAAGCCAAGGCAGGTGAGTCACCTGAGGTCAGGAGTTCAAGACCAGCCTGACCAATGTGGTGAAACCCCGTCTCTACTAAATACAAAAAATTAGCCATGGGTGGTGGTACATGCCTATAATCCCAGCTACTTGGGAGGCTGAGGCAGGAGAATCACTTGAACCTGAGAGGCAGAGATTGCATTGAGCCAAGATTGTGCCATTTACTCCAGCCTGAGCAACAAGAGCAAAACTTCATCTCAAAAAAAAAAAAAAAAAATACAACATCATAAGCTGGGGACCATCTGTGTTTGTTTTTGAATAGATAGTACATGCATAGAGTACAAAATTCAAAAGATGCAAAGGACCTAGAGTGAAGAGTGAATCTCTCTCCTATCCCTTCCCCCTCCAGGCCCCAGCTCCCCTCCCAAGAGACAACCAGTGTTACTGCATTCTTGTGTATCTTTTCTGAGAGGGTCTAAGCATGCTCAGCATCTAGGTTTCAATAGTATTTTTAAATATATTTTCACACAAGTATTACTACACCTGGCATATTGTTCCTGCATCTTTCTGATAACCTTTTTCTTTCTTGAGACAGGGTTTTGCTCTGTCACCAAGGCTGCAGTGTAGTGACACAATCATAGCTCACTGCAGCCTCGACCTCACCTACTCAAGCAATCCTCCCACCTCAGCCTCCCAAGTAGCTGAGAACACAAGTGTGTGCCATCACACCCGACTAATTTTTTTGCTTTTGTAGAGATGTGGTCTCACTATGTTGCCCAGGCTGGTCTCAAACTCCTGAGCTCAAGCCATCCTTCTGCCTGAGCTTCCCAAAGTGCTGGGATTGCAGGTGTGAGCCACTGTGCCTGGTGGCTCACACATTAAGTATTCTTAATAATATGTCTTGCAGATTGTTTTGTATCATTATATCTAGAGCTATCTCACTCAACAACTGCATATAATCCCACTGCATGAATGTATCATGATTTATTTATCTGGTCATTATAAGTAGACATTTAGGTTGTTTTTAATCTTTTTCAGTTATGAACAGCTCTATAGTGAATGTTCTTTTCATTTTTTGTTGTTTTTGAGATGGAGTTTCACTCTGTCGCCCAGGCTGGGGTGCAGTGGCATGATCTCAGCTTGCTGCAACTTTTGCCTCCTGGGTTCAAGCGATTCTCCTGCCTCAGCCTCCTGAGTTGCTGGGACTACAGGTGCGTGCCACCACTCCCAGCTAATTTTTTATTTTTAGTAGAGACGGGGTTTCACCATGTTGGCCAGGCTGGTCTCGAACTCCTGACCTCAGGTCATCTGCCCACCTTAGCCTCCCAAAGTGCTGGGATTACAGGTGTGAGCCACTGCGCCTGGCCTCTTGTCATGTTTTTAAGATTAGTTCTTAAAGCCAGTGTAGTAGAAGATGAAGCATGTTTCTCACCCTCTCCATGTTGGACTGCATTTTTCAGGGAAATTGTGCTATCTGGAGAACCATATTTGGCTCAGAGGATCAGGAGTGCTTGGATCCTACCCTGGTCTAACTCCTCCCTTCCCCACATCTGGGCCAATGAGAGATGGAGGAAAAAAAGCAAGGAACAACTCATTCTTGGGCTGAAAGCCTAAGGATGTGGTCATTGGAGGACAAAAAGCAAGGAACAACTCATTCTTAGAGGGGCTGAAAGCCTAAGGCCATGCTCATTGGAGGACAACCCTTCCTCTAACCCAGAGTTTCTCTTTGACTTTTTTCTTTTCTTTTTTTTTTTTTGAGACTTAAGTCTTGCTTTGTCACCCAGGCTGGAGTGCAAGGGTGCAATCTCAGCTCACTGCAATCTCCGGCTCTCGGGTTCAAGTGATTCTTGTACCTCAGCCTCCTAGGTAGCTGGGACTATGGGCACCTGCCACCACACTTGGCTAATTTTTGTATTTTTGGTAGAGATGGGGTTTTACCATGTTGGCCAGGCTGGTCTCAAACTCTTGACCTCAGGTGATTTGCCTGCCTCAGCCTCCCAAAGTGCTGGGATTACAGGCATGAGCCACCGCACCTGGCCTCTCTGACATTTTGGACTAGATAGACCTTTTTTCTATCTAGTTCTTTACCTCAATGTAGAGGTCACAATGTCAGGCTAAGGCTTTCTAATAAAGCTTCTGGTTGTCATGTAGTGGGAGAGAGGAGAGCTGAAATCAGTATTGTGAGATATGGCTGAAATGTCTGCTGTAGCTCCAGGTGAGAGAGGCCCAAGACCTAGCATGGGAACAAAACCTCCCAAGATCTGGCAAGCCAAGCAAGTTTCTGCTTTCTTGATGTTCCTCTCTGATGCATAAAGATCACAGCTTTTGCCAGCCAAGGTGGCTCATGCCTGTAATCCCAGTACTTTGGGAGGCTGGGGCAGGAGGATTGCTTGAGCCCAGGAGTTTTGGACCAACCTGGGCAACATGGCTAGACCCCATCTCTACAGTAAAAAAATACAAAAATTAGCCAGGCATGATGGCGTGCACCTATAGTCCCAGCTACTCGGGAGGGTGAGGTGGGAGGATTGCTTGATCCTGGGAGGCAGAAGTTGCGGTGAGCTGAGATCACACCACTGCACTCCAGCCTGGGAGACAAAGTGAGACCCTGTCTCAACAAAACAAAAGAAAACACCTTTGAAAAGAGATGGGGTAAAAAAGATCACAGAACAAAGAGTTAAAAAAAAAAAACAGATTGTTCTTTAATTAAGAACAACTAGGGCTGGGCAGAATTGAAGCTGTTTCCCCTGCCAGATGATTGGACACCTTGCCTTTTAGGAGCAGGGTCTGGATGGGAGTGGGGGAAAAGCTTCCTTCAAAACCAACTTTCAGAGAGTTGGATGCTTTTTGGAGAGGACTGAATTTGGATTAGGCATTCATATTTATTTCTGCCCTTTGCAGTCATGTCATGCAAGCTAAATCGTTTCTTAAAACCAGTATTTCCACCCCTTCCAAAAGGAACTTTATCATGTAAACTGAGCGCCTGCAATCCAACCCTATAATGACTTGATTCGTCCTGGGAAAGCTCCTGCCTTTAATCCTTTTCTCCCTCATCTCCTGGTGCCAGGAAGGGCCCCCACAGGACCCTCCCAGGTCTGGAGGTGTTCCTCACTGTCACTCTCTCCTCCTCACATCACCTGCTGGCCCCGAGGCCTTCTCAGTGATGGGGAGGGTTTGGCTAGAGCCTTAGCGGGAGGAAGCCAGGAGATGCTTCCCTAGGTCAATCCCTGGGCAGGCCCCACTTCCTTCATTTCCTCATTCGTTCATCCAGTTAACACATGCTTAGTGCTTCTCATATGCCAAGCACTGTGCTCTGCACTTCACTCTGTGAGCTCTGATAATAGGGACTAGTATTAGTTTTCATTTATGGATGAGGAAATCAAGGCTCAGAGGGGTTAAGTCACTTGCCTGAGACCACATGGTTAATGAGTGGCTTTGCTGTACTGGGGACCTAGAGTCTGAATCCAGCCAAGCGACTTCCAATGCCAAGCTCACACCAGATCCACACTCGGAGCAGAGGAAGCCACATTGCAGCGGAAAACAAGGGCTTCCTGGAAGTGGTATGTGGCCTGAGGCCAGGAAAGACCAGGCTGGGAGAGGGCTACTGACTGCTTACTGTAATCAGCTTCAGATTTTCGGCATCAACAAGGCAGAACCCCAGTGAGACAGGCCAGGGTGACAGGAGGCTCTTTGGTGACCCTGGATGGGCTCTGCTCATGGGGATTTGATCCCACCATTAGTTTTTGAGCTCTTGCCACATGCCAGACACAGGCCCTGCCCCAGGAATCCCACATATTATCATGTGCCATGGCCTGGGTCTCGGCTATGGCTTCAGTGGCTCATGTTCCCCTCTTCCTGGACACCCATCTTGGACGATCCTACAGCCTCAGGCCAAGGCATCCCCAGAATCCCCCCAAGCTTCTGGGCCCCTGCCTGGCAAGACTGATGCTGATCAGAGTCCTGCCCCATCCCCCTGCTCCCAGTCCAGGCCAGGGATGGCTTCTATTTACCTGGGTCTTCCCCGAGCTCAGCTGAGCTCCAGCTCATAGTGAATCACATGTTGGGAATCAGCTGAGAGCTGGCCCTGAAGATCCCTGAATAATGCATCAAAGCCCTTCTCCCCTGCAGAGCCATTAGGGTGGGGGTGAGGGGGATAATGCAGAGGAGTCAGTGTGTTTCCCACCCCAGGAAGAATACTAGGGTTCCAAAGGCCTTTGCCCTGGTGTGCATGGGCTTGAGACTCAAAGGTCCACAGGACTGGGTGACCCAGTACATAGGTAAACCAAGGCGGGTTTCGGATGACTACAAAACCAGTACATCCTCCAAAAGAGGGCAAAGGAGGTTCAGCTTCCAAATATTCAGACTTTTGCCATTGGAAACTTTAAGAAAACAAAACAACATTTTATTTTTAGCATCCATATAAAAGTTGTATTGCATGGTTTATGGTTTTGTTTTTATTTTGAATTTTCTCCCCTGTGCAGAAGCACCAAAGCATCTTCAGTGCTAAGACCTGGAAAAGTCGAAGTCCCTCCTGGAGATCCAGTCACACCACAGGAGAGCAGAGCTGGGGGTGCCTGCTGAGTTCACTCCATCCACCCCACCCCACTCCCAGAACCGTACAGGCTGAGCAGTCCAGGCCAATTCAGGTACCCTCTTCTGGCTCTATGAAGAAAGTCTAGGAAGGGAGTGGAGAGCTGCAGAGAAGAAAGAGGGAGGGGATCAGAAGGAGGAGGAGGAGCAAGAGGAGGAAGGGGAGGGGGAGGGGGAACAGAGTGCCAGACTGACAGAAATTTTTGCACCTCCTGGCATCCTGTTCCCACCCTGGGCCTAACTGAGCCTTCCCAGGTGCTATGCACTGAATGTTTGTATCCTGCATGATGAAATTAATGCCCTTATAGGAAGAAACACGAGCAAGTAGGCCTTCTCTCTCTCTCTTTGCCGTGTGAGGATATAGCAAGGAGGTTCCATAGGAGAAACCAAGAAAAGAGTCCTCACCCAACCCAAACCATGCTGGCAGCCTGATCTCCAACTTCCCAGCCTCTAGAACTATGAAAAATAAATGACTGTCTAAGCCACCTAGTAATTTGTTATAGCAGCCTGAGCTGACTAAGGCACCAGATCACTATGTGACTTGGCTGCCTACTCTCTCTCTTTGCTGTCCAGACTCTGGGGACCCTGGTTCTCTGCCCTTTCTCTAGCTCTCCTTCTCTGTGTGCCATCCTTCTCGCAGTCTGCAGCCTCTGCTGATCCTTAGTCCACTGCTCTTGGGCATCTCTTCCACCTGTGACCACTCTCTCCTCATTCCCTCTGGGATGAGCTCACTCCCCTTTGGTACCAATTACTATCTATGGCTGTGGGTCTTGACCTTGGATAGACTCTCCAGGGACTCTGAGTGATTGGTCTGGGTGCAGCCTGGCCATAGGGCATTCTGAAAGCTCCCCAGGCCATTCTAATATAGACCACTGGACAGTAAAGGGTTAGTTTGCTCAGCAGCCTTGGGTCACTCCAACCCTGCACATTCCAAAAAGAGGATTGGCCCTTGACCACATCTGGGGAGATAACTTTAGAATATTCTGCCTTTTATTTATTTATTTATTTTTTTTTTTGAGGTGGATTCTCACTCCATTGCCCAGGCTGGAGTGCAGCGGCACGATCTGGGCTCACTGCAAACTCTGCCTCCTGGGTTCAAGCGATTCTCCTGTCTCAGGTTCCCGAGTAGCTGGGATTGCAGGCACCCACCACCAGGCCTGGCTAATTTTTTTCTATTTTTAGTAGAGACGGGGTTTCGCCATGTTGGCCAGGCTAGTCTCGAACTCCTGACCTCAGTTGATCCACCTGCCTCGGCCTCCCAAAGTGTTGGGATTACAGGCGTGAGCCACCATGCCCACACCTGGCTGAATATTCTGCCTTGTAAGAATGTTTTTGTATGCCTGAGACTTTGGGCCTTGGTGTATCAATACGACTTCTTTAAGGACTGAAGCCTGAGTAGCTGGGGTCAGTCACCCAGGAGCTGCATGCCTGCATGACTGACCCCCCAAGAAAAACCTTGAACACTAAGGCTTGCCTGGGTGGGCTTCCCAGGTAGACAACACTTAGCATGTGCTGTCACACATCATTGCTGGGAGAATTAACCACTGTCTGTGCAACTCCACTGGGAAAGCATAACTGGAAGCTGGTGCCTGGTTTCTCCTAGACTTTGTCCCTTTTCCCTTTGCGGATTCTAATCTGTATCTTTTCCCTGTAATGAACCATGACCAAGGGTATAATGGCTTTTCTAAGTCCTTTGCATCCTTATAACAAATCATTGAGCCCATGGCTGGTCTTAGGGATCCTCTACACGACCACCAAGACCAGGAACACTGAGCTGCAGTATACACATTGCTGAGCCCCACTCCAGAGATTCTGATTCAGTGCACCTGGGGTGGGCTTAGCAGCCTGCCTGGTTAGTAAGTTCCCCAACACTCTGCTCTGCTCCCATTCAGTGAATACAGGCTGCATGGCTGCCTGTCCCCTCTCCCTACCCTCTAAAGGCCAGTCACCCAGTCCTCTCAACCATCTCCACAGTCTCATCTCTTCCTTCTTACCCTCCTCTTTGCTTCATCCCCCAGTTTCATTCCACTCGCCACACTGTAGCCAAATTAAAATCTGAGTCTGGCGTTTCCCTTTGGGAAGGTGCTCAGTAGCTACGTACATGTGTTCCAAACTCTTGGTGGCATTCAGGGTCTTTCTTGGCCTTTTCAGCCTCCCCTCTAACCACAACACATACTGTCCCTTCCAGCCTTGGGGAATTCCTTGCAGCCTCAGAATAGGAGGCCTCCTCCATCTGCAGTGCCCTTTGCCCCCCTCTCTACATCCTCTCCTAGTCTACTCACCAGCCTGGATTGCAATTGCTCATTTGCTTACCTGACCCCCCCTCTCTATGCCAGAACCTGGCAGCTTCATACAAGTCCCTTAATAACTATATGTTCAATGAATGAATGAATGAATGAATGAATGAATGAATGAATGAGAGTCTTGTTCATCTGAGTTCCCAAGGCCCAGCATGGTGCTTGGCACATGATAGGTTCAAATAAATGAGAGATGAATGAACAGCTTTTGCACCCCACCCTCAAGCCCACCTCCCTTCCTTTGTCTCCCCTCCTTTCTGTCATTCTCCTTTATCACTGAGGGTCCTTTTTTGGTTATACTCTGATTCTGCTACCCAGGGGCACTTCTGTGGAAAGCCTCAGCTGCCTCCTGATTGGTCCTTTTACCTCCAGCCCCAGCAGATAAGGAACTGAGAGCTTGCAGGGGGCAGCTGAGGAAGACTGCAAATCAGTGTCAAATATCTATGTAGAGCTGAACTTGATTTGAACCTCCCATAAGCCCAGGGAGGGTGGCAATATTCTCATCAATTTACAGATGAGGAAACTGAGGTTCAGAGAGGTTGAGTGTTTGCACATAGTAGCTTGATAGCAGAGATGGGATGAGAACACAGACCTTCAGCCATACATCTTTGTGCTCTTCCTTTTAGCCAGACACCAGGGGCCTTGAAGGCCACAAAAAAAGTATTTTGGCCTTTGGATAGTTCAGGGCTACATTCCCTTCGCCAGTCTTGTCTTCTTAAATTGCTACTTTTGATGCTGACTGATCTCCAGCCCCAGGTAAAATACACACAGTTTTGTCACTATGTCAAGCAGAAACAAGTTCAGTGCTGGGAAAGGAAGTCAAACTCTCCTTGGAAAAAGTCAGATGGGACGTACTACTTTTAGGCCCAGCTGGATGTGCAAGGAGAGAGCCCCCAGACCCCTGCCACAGGCGCCAGCTCCCTCACCAGCAGGGTGCACCAGTGTTTCTCCTTCTTCCCAGAGACCTTGCTCTGCCTGATAAAGCTCCAGCTCTTGGCAGGCACTCAAGGCCTTCACTATCTCACTGTGACTGTAGGTCAGACACATTCTAGATTGACAGAATATCGCCCATGGGGCTGAAACCCACAAAATACCTTCAGTGTTGGCCAGAGGGACTATGGGGTTTGGGTTGGCCCATCTCTTTGGGAACAGCTGAACTGAGAAATGCAAACCACCTTCCTGACTGCCCCGGGGAGGAGGAATCAGCAGGGTAGCATGGGAAACACATCTCGCAGCACTAGGCATGCAATGGATAATAATTACATCTGGTAAATGGGGTATCCATCACCTCAAGCATTTATCCTTTGTATCACAAACAATCCAATTACATTCTTTTAGTTATTTTGGAATGTATAAGTAAATTATTATTGACTACAGTCACCCTGTTGTGCTATTAATACTAGGTCATATTCTTTCTAACTAATTTTTTGTACCATTAACAACCCCCACTTCCTTACCATCACCCCACTACCCTTCCTAGCCTCTGGTTACCATCCTTCTACTCTATCTCCATGAGTTCAGTTATTTTAACCTTTAGCTTCTGCAAATAAGTGAGAACATGTGAAGTTTGTTTTTCTGTGTCTGGCTTAGTTCACTTAACATAATGACCTCCAGTTCCATCCATGTGGTTGCAATTGACACATAGACCAATGAAATAGAATAGAGAACCCAGAAATAAATTCATACATCTACAGGGAACTTATTTTTGACAAAATTGCCAAGAATACACATTGTGGAAAGGACAGTCTCTTCAATAAATGTTTCTGGGAAAATTGGATATCCATATGCAGAAGAATGAAATCAAGCCCCTATCTCTTGCCATATTAAAAAATCCAATTTTCTCAGCATCATTTATTGAAGAGACTGTTCTTTCCACAATGTGTATTCTTGGCATCTGTTTTTATGCCAGTACCATGTCGTTTTGACTACTTAGCTCTCTAGTATAATTTGAAGTCAGGTAATGTGATTACTCTAGTTTTGTTCTTTTTGTTTAGGATAGCTTTGTCTATGCTGGGTCTTCTGTAATTTCATATAAATTTTAGGATTTTTTTCTATTTCTGTGAAGAATGTCATTGATGTTTTGATAGACATTGCATTGAATTTTTAGATTGCTTTGGGTACTATGGACATTTTAACAATACTGATTCTTCCAATCCATGAACATAGAATATCTTTTCATTTCATTTGTGTCCTCTTCAATTTCTTGTATCAGTATATTGTTTTCATTGTAGAGAACTTTTACTTCTTTGGTTAATTCCTATGTATTTTATTTTATTTGTAGCTATTGTAAATGGAATTAATTTCTTGAATTCTCTTTCAGATTGTTCTCTGTTGACATATAGAAATGCCACTGAATTTTGTATGTTGATTTTGTATCCGACAACTTTACTGGATTAGTTTATCAGTTCTAATAGTTTTTTTGTGTGTGAGTCTTTAGGGTTTTCCAAATACAAGATTATGTCATCTGCAAATAAGAATAATTTGACTTCTTCCTTTCCAATTTGGATGCCCTTTATTTCTTTCTCTTATCTGTTTGCTCTAGCTAGGATTTCCAAAGCTATGTTGATTAACAGTGATGAAAGGTGATGAAAGTGGGTATGCTTGTTATGTTCCAGATCTTACAGAAGAGGCTCTCAGTTTTCTCCCATTCAGTATGAAACTAGCTGTGGGTCTGTTGCATATGGCTTTTATTATGTTGAGGCATATGCCTTCTATTCTCAGTTTTTCAAGGGTTTTCTAATCAGGAATGGATGTGAAATTTTATCAAATGCTTTTCCAGCATTCATTGAAATGATCATGTAGTTTTGTCATTCATTCTGTTGACATGATGTATCACATTGATTGATTTGTGTAGGTTGAACTGTCCTTCCGGGATGAATCCCACTTGGTCATGATGAATGATCTTTTTAATGTGTTGTGGAATTCAATTTGCTAATGTTTTATTGAGGATTTTTGCATCTATATTCATCAGTGATATTGGTCTGTATTTTTTGTTCTTTAATGTATCTTCAGTTTTGGTATCAGGGTAATACTAGCATTGTAGAATGAGTTTGGAAGTATTCCCTCCTCTATTTTTGGAATAGTTTGGGTAAGGTTGGTATTAGTTCTTTAGATGTTTGGTAGAATTCAGCATTGAAGCCATTGGTTCCCAGGCTTTTCTTTGCTGGGATAATTTTTATTGCTGCTTCGATTTCATTATTTGTTATTGGTCTATTCAGGTTTTGGATTTCATCATGGTTCAATCTTGGTAGGCTGGATGTATCTAGAAATTTATCCATTTTTAGTAGGTTTTCCTATTTCTTTGCATATAGTTGCTTATGATAGCCACTAGTGATCCTTTGAATTTTTGCGGTATCAGTTGTAATGTTTCCTTTTTCATCTTTGATTTTTTTTACTTCGGTCTTTTCTCTTTTTTTCTTAGTCTTAGGCTAAAAGTTTGTCAGTGTTGTTTATCTTTTAAAAAAAACAACTTTTCATTTCATTGATGCTTTGTATAGTTTCCTTCATTTCAATTTCATTTATTTTTGCTCTGATCTTTCTTATTTGTTTTCTTCTACTAATTTTGGGTTTGATTTGCTCTTGCTTTTCTATTTCTTTAAAATGTATTGTTAGGTGGTTTATTTGATGTTTTTCTACTTTTTAAAAGTAGATGTTTATAGCTGTAAACTTTCCTCTTACTACTGCTTTTGTTGTATCCCATAAGTTTTGGTGTGTTTTGTTTCCATTATCATTTGTTCCAAGAAATCTTTCAATTTCCTTCTTAATTTCTTCATTGACCCACAGCATATTATTTAATCTTCATATATTTGTATAGTTTCCAAATTTTCTGCTGTTATTAATTTCTAGTTTTATTCCATTGTGGCCAGAGAAGATGCTTGATATTATTTTAGTTTTTTTGAGTGTTTTAAGACTTGTTGTGTGACCTAAGATATGATCTATCCTTGAGAATGATCAATGTGCTGAGGAAAAGAATGTGTATTCTGTAGCCATTGGATAAAATGTTCTGTAAATATCTATTAGGTCCATTTATCTACAGTGAAGATGAAATTCAATGTTTCTATGTTGATTTTCTGTCCAGAAGATCTATCCAATGCTGAAAGTAGGGTGTTAAAGTCTCCAGCTATTATTGTATTGGGTCTATCTCTCTCTTTAGCTCTGATAGACTTTGCTTTATATATCTGGGTGCTCTAGTGTTGGGTGCATATCTATTTAAAATTGTTATATCCTATTGCTGAATTGACCTCTCTCTCTCGTTTTTTTTTTTGTTTTGTTTTTTTGTTTTTTTGATGGAGTCTCACTCTGTCCCCCAGGCTAGAGTGCAGTGTTGTGATCTCAGCTCACTGCAACCTCCACCTCCCAGATTCAAGTGATTCGCCTGCCTCAGCCTCCCGAGTAACTGGGACTACAGGCACGCGTCACCACACCCAGGTAATTTTTTTGTATTTTAGTAGAGACGGGGTTTCACAATGTTGGCCAGGATGGTCTCGATCTCCTGACCTCGTGATCTGCCCACCTTGGCCTCCCAAAGTGCTGGGTTTACAGGCATGAGCCACCGTGCCCAGCCCTGAATTGATCCCTTTATCATTATATAATGACCTTCTTTGTCTCTTCTTATAGTTTTTGTCTTGAAATTTATTTAGTCTGTTATAAGTATAGCCACTCCTGCTCTTTATTAGTTTCATTGGCATGGAATATCTTTTTCCATCCGTTTATTTTCAATCTGTGTGTGTCTTTGTAGGTGTAGTGTGTTTCTTGTAGGCAATAACTCATTGGGTCTTTTTTTTTTAATCCATTCAGCTACTCTTTCATTGGAGAGTTTAGTCCATTAACATTCAATATTATTATTGATCAGGCCTACAGGGCGTAAGGACTTACTCTTGCCCTTTTCTTATTTGCTTTCTAGTTGTTATGGTCTTCTCTTTCTTCTTTCCTTCCTTCCTTCCTTTCTTCCTTTTGGTGAAGGTGATTTTCTCTGGATGTAAAATTTAATTTCTTGTTTTTGTGTGTGTGTATTCATTGTATGTTTTTTTGATTTCAGATTACCAGGAGGCTTGCAAATACTATCTTATAACCCATTATTTTAAACTGATGACACCTTTATATTGCTTGCATAAAGAAGCAAACAAATAAGCAAAAAGAAAACACAAAAACTTTACACTTTCACTTTGTCCCTCAGCCTTTTAACTTTTTGTTGTTTCTATTTACATCTTATTGAGCTGTGTCTTGAAAAGTTGTTGTAGTTATTATTTTTGTTTGGTTTATCTTTTAGTCTTTCTACTGGAGTCATTTACACACAATAATTACAGTGTTATATTCTGTGTTTTTCTGTGTACTTACTATTACCACTGAGTTTTGTACCTTCAGATGATGTCTTATTGCTCGCTAATATCCTTTTGTTTCTGATTGAGGACCTTCCTTTAGCATTTCTTGTAGGATAGGTCTGGTGTTGATGAAATCCCACAACTTTTGTTTGTCTGGGAAAGTCTTTATTTCTCTTTCAGGTTTGAAGGATATTTTCGCTGGATATATTATTCTAGGGTAAAATATTTTTTTCTTCAGCACTTAAAATATGTCATGCCAGCCAGGCACAGTGGCTCACACCTGTAATCCCAGCACTTTGAGAGGCCGAGGCGGGTGGATCACAAGGTCAGGAGTTCAAGACCAGCCTGGCCAACATGGTGAAACCCCGTCTCTACTAAAATTACAAGCATTAGCCGGGTGTGGTGGCAGACACCTGTAATCCCAGCTACTCAGGAGGCTGAGGCAGGAGAATTGCTTGAACCCAGGGGGCAGAGGTTACAGTGAGCCGAGATCACGCCACTGTACTCCAGCCTGGGTGACAGAGCAAGACTCGGTCTTGAAAAAAAAAAAAAAAAAAAAAAAAAAAATATATATATATATATATATATATATATATATCACACCACACTCTCCTGGCCTGTAAGGTTTCCACTGAAAGTCTGCTGCCAGATGTATTAGAGCTCCATTGTATGTTATGTGTTTCTTTTCTCTTGCTGCTTTAGGATCCTTTCTTTATCCTTGACCTTTGGGAGTTTGCGTATTAAATGCCTTGAGGTAGTTTTCTTTAGGTTAAATCTGCTTGGTGTTCTATAACCTTCTTGTACTTGAATATTTATATCTTTCTCTAGGTCTGGAAAGTTCTCTGTTATTATCCTTTTGAATAAACTTTCTACCTCTGTCTATTTTTCTACTTCCTCTTTAAGGCCAATAACTCTTAGCTTTGCCCTTTTGAGGCTATTTTCTAGATCTTGTAGGCATGCTTCATTTTTTATTTTTTTGTCTCCTCTGTGTATTTTCAAATAGCTTGTCTTCAAGCTCACTAACTTTTTCTTCTGCTTGATCAATTTTACTATTAAGAGACTCTGATGCATTCTTCATTATGTCATTTGCATTTTTCAACTACAGAATTTCTGCTTGATTCTTTTTAATTATTTAATCATGTTAAATTTATCTGATAGAATTTTGAATCCTTTCTCTGTGTTATCTTGAATTTAAGTTTCCTCAAAACCACTATTTTTTTTTTTTGTTTTTTTTGAGACGGAGTCTCGCTCTGTCGCCCAGGCTAGAGTGCAGTGGCGTGATCTCGGCTCACTGCCAGCTCCGCCTCCTGGGTTCACACCATTCTCCTGCCTCAGCCTCCTGAATAGCTGGGACTACAGGTGCCCGCCACCATGCCTGGCTAATTTTTTGTATTTTTAGTAGAGACGGGGTTTCACCATGTTAGCCAGGATGGTCTCGATCTCCTGAACTCGTGATCCGCCCACCTTGGCCTCCCAAAGTGCTGGGATTACACTATTTTGAATTCTCTTTCTGGAAGGTTACATATCTCTGTTTCTCTAGGATTGGTCCCTGGTGCCTTAGTTTGTTTGATGAGGTCATGTTTTCCTGGATGGTCTTGATGCTTGTGGATGTTCATTAGTGCCTGGGCATTGAAGAGTTAGGTATTTACTATAGTATTCTCAGTCTGGGCTTGTTTGTACTCATCCTTGGGAAGGCTTTCCAGGTACTTGAAAGGATGTGGGTGTTATGATCTAAGCTGTATCTGTATTAGGGGACTCTCCAAGCCCAGTTATGCTATGGTGCTTGAAGACTCATAGAGGTATTGCCTTGGTGGTCTTGGATAAGATCTGGAAGAATTCTCTGGACTACCAGGCAGAGACTCTTATTCTTTACCTGTAATTTCTCCTAAATAGTTTCAGTCTCTCTTTCTCTCTCTCTCTCGCTCTCGCTCTCTCGCTCTCTGCTGAGCCACTTGGAGCTGGGAGTGGGCTGACACAACATCCCTATGGCCACCACCACTGAGACTGCACTGGGTCAGACCTAAAGCCAGCAAAGCACTGGGTCTCACTCAGGGCCCACTGTCAACACTACCTGGCTATCGCCTATGTTCACTCGAGGCCCTGGGGCTCTACAGTCAGCAGGTGGCAAAGCCAGCCAGGCTTGTGTCCTTCCCTTCAGGGCAACGAGTTCCCTCAGGCCCTGGTGGGTCCAGAGATGCTGTCTGGGAGCCAGGGACTAGAGTCAAAAACCTTAGAAATTTACCTGGTGCTTTATTCTATGATGGCTGAGCTGGCACTGAAACCATGAGACAAAGTCCTTGCCATTCTTCCTTCCCCATTCCACAGGAGGAGGAGCCTCACCCTGTGGCCACCTCCACAGGCCCACAGGGAGTGCTGCCAGGCTACTGTCAATGTTCACTTAGGGCCCAAGGGCTCTTCAGTCAGCCTGTGGTGAATGCTTCTAGGCCTGGGACTCACCCTTCAGGGCAGTGGGCTCCCCTCTGGCCCAGGGCAGGTCCAATAGCTTGTCTGGTCCAGGGCTTGTCTAATAGCCAAGGCCTAGAATCAGTAACCACAAGAGCCCATTTGGTGCTCTCTGCCCCATTGTGTCCAGGGAGGTACCTAAGCTGCAAGACAAAGTCCCTTTTACCTTTCCCTCTGCTTTTCTCAAGTAGAAGAAGTCTCTCACCACAGCCACCATAGCTGGGAATATGCTAGGTCTCACCTGAAGCCAGCATGTCTCAGAGCCTTACTCCAGGCCCAAAGCATACCACCTGGGTATCACTGTTGGCTCTGCAGGGCCCAAGGGCTCTTGAGTCAGCAGGTGATGAATCCTGCCAGGACTGGGTTCTTTCCTTCAAGGCAGCAGATTCCCTTTTGGCCCAGGGTGTGTCTAGAAATGTCACTTCAGGAGCTAGGTTCTGGAATGGGGGCCTCTCTACTCTGACTGGTGTTCTATCCTACTGTGGCTGAGCTGGTATCCAAGATGTAAGACAAAGTCCTCTTTACTCTTCCCCCTCCTCTCCTCAAGCAAAAGGAAGAAGTCAGTTTAGTTGTTGCAAGCTGCGCTGCCTGGGGTTGCGGGAGGGGTGGTGCAAGCACTCCCTTGGCTGCCCTGGCTGGTGTCTCTCTAGGTTGTGTGCCACCTGAGTCCACTGGCTCTGAGCCCAGCATGGCATCAGGACTTGACTAGGAGTTGAAGTCCTTATGGTCTAGACTGCCTTTCAAGTGTATTTAGGGCCCCAGGGCATAATAGCCTGCCATGCCAAGGCTTGTCAAAACCCAAGCCTCAAGCCTCCTAACTACTGGGATGGGTGAACCCCTCTGGGTAGGGCTGGTCTAAATGCTCCCTCCATGGGCAGGTGTCACATGAGTTCCACCTGGTTTCACTTTCTGCTGTGACAGGGCAGCACTGAGTTGAAGGCAGAGTCCCACAGTTGCTGCATTCTCCCTCCCCCAGGTGCACAGATTCTCAGCACCACAGCGGCCGCTGCTGGGAGATGGGAGAGGAATGGCCTCGGTGTTTCAAGACTGTCTCTCCTACCCTCTTCAGTGCCTCTTTCAGTGTTATGAAGTTAAACCCAGGTACTGTGAGTCCTCACCTGATATTTGGTTCTTATGATGATGCTTTTTTGGTGTAGACAGTTGTTAAATTTGATTTTCCTGCAAGGAGAATCACTGATGGAGACTGCTATTCAGCCATCTTGCTCTGCCCCTCCTCCCTCACTTAACTTTACCTCCTAAGAGCCCTGTTTCCAAATACAATCACATAGGGGTTAGGGCTCCAAGTGTGAATTTTGGGGAGACACAATTCAGTCTATAGCATTTGGACTTGGGAAGAGGGAGGAAGAGAATATTCAGAGGAAGGTCACAGTGTAAGCAACAGTATGGAGGTGGGAAAGTTCAGCTCATGGATAGGAAAAATTGATCCAAGTTGGCAGGGCCCACAGGGAGATGTGGTGGGGTGGTGAGAGGTGGCCACATCAAAAGAACCTTGAATGCCAGGCTGAGGTGGGAGGCATTTCCTGTCATGTAGAAGGTGCCATGAGGTGGTGGGGAGGGTAACAGGATGAAAGGATATTTGGGAGGATGGATCTGGCATCAGTGATGGGTAGGGGTAAGGAGTGAACAAAGCTGGAGGCCAGGAAACTGGACACATGGCCCAGAGTTCAGGGTTAGGCTCTTCAAAGGCAGTTTCCACACTGAGTTCCCATGTGGATCCAAGCATACAGGGGGTAGATGATTTGGAAAAGCAAAACCATTCTCTTCCCATTACCACACAGTTTCCCAGCTGAGCTCATCACCAGAGTCCTACAAATCAGACAGTCAACCTGCCCCAAACTCTTCCCCTAGAAGCTGTGACCCAGAAGGAGTCCTCATCGAGCTGTAGCCCAGGGACACCGCAGCCTGAGCAGGACTGCACCTGTTCCCCCCCAGGAGCCTCATCTCTGTCTGGCCTGGCTTTGGCTTCAAATGCCCTCAGCTTTGGCTTCAAAAACTGTTGAGTCAGATTCATGAGAGCTCTGGCCTTCTTCAGTTTAGGGATTTTTAAATAGTTTTTTTCAAGCAGGCAGTAGATGAGCTCTGCTTGCTTACCTCTAAGAATTGGCTAGAACTCACAGAAAGCTGTTATACTCATAGTTATGGCTTGATTACATGGAAAGGAGACAGATTAAAATCAGCCAGGGGAAGAAAGGCATAGTGCTGGGTCCAGGAGAGCACCAGGCATGGAGTGTCCATTATCCCTTCCCCATGCAGTCAGAGTGCATTACCCTCCCGGCTTTGCTATGTGCCAATACACATGGAGTATTCTCAGCCAGTGAGGCTCCCTCAAGCCTCAGTGTTCAGGGTTTTTATTGGAACTTCATCAAAGAGGCATGATTGATTGTCCATGTGGCTGCTCTCAGTTTCCAGTCTCCAGTCCTTTTAGGGGTGACCTAAAGCCTGGACTCTAAATCACATAGTCACTTTTCCTGGCTTGGCTAGTTCCCACTATCTTTTTTTTTTTTTCTTTTTTTTTTTTTTTGAGACGGAGTCTCACTCTGTCACCCAGGCTGGAGTGCAGTGGTGCGATCTCGGCTCACTGCAAGCTCTGCCTCCTGGGTTCACGCCATTCTCCTGCCTCAGCCTCCCAAGTAGCTGGGACCACGGGTGCCCACCATGACGCCCAGCTAATTTTTTGTATTTTTAGTAGAGACGAGGTTTCACCATGTTAGCCAGGATGGTCTCGATCTCCTGACCTTGTGATCCGCCCGCCTCAGCCTCCCAAAGTGCTGGGATTACAGGTGTGAGCCACCGCGCCCGGCCCCCACCATCTTATTATTAGACTATCCATCATGACCCAAGATCCCCAGGCAAAGATATTCCTATCAGGCATTACGTGTTGAAGATTACCTCCCAGGAGTCTAGGACAAAAGCCAGACCTTTTTTTGGTCAAGCTTAATTTTTTAACATGTCATCATTCTGTTATCCTTCCTATCTGTTTTATCTTCAAAATAACCCTAATTGATGGGTTATTTTGGTTATCTATAATAAACATAAGAATGTTTATTATAGATGAGATCTCAAAAGGAAGGACACTTGAGCAAAGTTGCACAGTTGATCCTTGACTCATGGTACAAGACTCTTTCCACTACTCTGAGAGCCCTGAGTCCTGAGAAGAAGATGGAAGGAAGGTGGGTATACGTGTGTGTGCACGTGTGTGTGTGTGTAAATGTATTTCTAATGAGTATGTGTGGATATATGTGTGTCTCTGTGTGTGTGTATACATGTGGAGGTCTGTGTGTCTATATGTATGTTTGTGTGTGTGTGTGTGTGTGTACACATGCTCAGGGGGAAGGTTAAAGAGAAAATCAGCAGGGTGCAGTGGTGCACACCTGTAATGCCAGCTACACAAGAGGTAGACAGGGGAGGATCACTTGAGCCTGGGAGTTTGAGAGAGAGAAAATTTCAATAATCTTCTTCTTGCAGTTAGAAGGAAAAACCTGGGGCTGAGCATAAAGAGACATAAAGCACAGCATAAAGAGGCAGAGAAATGTCTAAGGGAGAACAAGTGACCAAGAATTAATTAGTTCATCTATAAAGAAATAGAGCACTTTAGCAGCAGAATAAAACTGGAAGATAATTTCCTCTAGAGCCCTGATAATCTTTGTGAGAAAACTGTTGGTCACATTAATTGCAAAAACTTGCAGGACTCTCTGCAACAGAACTGGCTAGTAAAACCATCTTTATAAAACTCACTATGCTACAAGTGGCATTCAACTCTTTCTCAACCAAGATTTCACAAACCTATCTCCAGCTTCCAGATGGTGAGGGAAAGTGTGATGAGACTTTATGATAAATTGTGCCTGTCTCTGAGCCCATCTCCTCCCGTTGAAGAGGAGGAAAATGAGGATAGCACATTATAACCCTGCCTGACAAAAGTCACAAGATAAGCAAATAATTATTATTAAAACCAGAGAGTCCTATAATTTATTCATGAATCCCACACATTCTATATTAGATCTTCCATTTCAATTTCTTGTATTCTTTGAAGCAAATTTATAAGATTTGAATTATTCAGAAAAGCTCCCAAGCTAATATAAGAAAACACTTTAACCACAGGAAGTATCATGCTACACAATATGGTGTGGTGGTGAAGGGTGCAGGCTCTAAAACCAGAAAACCCAGGTTCAAGTCCTGGCCCTACCACCTTGGGAGAGTTACATGGTCTCTCTGTGCCTCCATTTCCCCATCTAAAATGTGGGGATGACAATAATAGTGTCTATTTCACAGAGTTGTTTTGAGGAAAATAATATATGTAAAGCACTGTGAACAGCAGTCAGTGCTATGTAAGTGTTTGCTCTAGTTATTTTAACATTTTGGATTATAAATATCTACCCTGTTATTCAGATGACAAGCATCCCTAAGCTGATAACATGATGAAGAGCTCTTGTGTTCCTTGATTTTCCCTCAGCTTTGTGAGGAAAAGAATACCACATGAAGAAGAACAACTCAAGCAGGGGTGAGAAGGAAACTTGGCTTAAGTTTGGGGGGCTTGAGTTTATTAGGCTTTTGTCTTCTAAAAATCTCCTAAGCTTCATTGATAAGATGTTTAATATCAATCTAGCTAAAAAGGACCAATATACCCCACAAAACACTGAGTTAGACATAAAAACAGAAGGGTAATAAATGAAATATGGAAAACTACACAACCAGAAAAATAAACAACTACCAGTACCCAAAACATGGCTAAATCTCACAGGATTATGTTGAGTGAAAGAAGCCAGCCACAAACCTGCACATACTGAATGATCCCATTTATATGAAGTTCAAGAACAGGTGAAACTAATCCATGGTGACAGAGGTCAGGATCCTGGTTAACTTTGCAGGGACAGCAACTAAGAAGGCGCAAGAGGGAGCCCTCTGTGCTGATGGGAACATTCTGTATCTTGAGCTGAGTGGCGGTCACATGAGTGTGCACATATGTAAATAGTAAGGAGTTGTAGCTTAAGGTATATGCACCTCGCTGTATGTAAGATACTGTCTTAGTCCATGTGTGCTGCTGTAACAAAATATCTGAGACTGGGTAATGTGTAAAGAACAAAAATGTATTTCTCACAGTTCTGGTGGGTGGGAAGTCCAAGATCAAAGCGCCAGCAGGTTTGTAGTCTAGTGAGGGCTGCTCTCTGCTTCCAAGATGGCACCTTGAATGCTGAGTCCTCCAGAGGTGAGAAACGCTGTGTCCCAGCATGGTGGAAAGAACAGAAAAGCAAAAGAAGAAAACTGAGCTAGGTCGCTCCCTCAAGCCCTTTCATAAGGTCGCTAATCCCATTCATGAGGGGGCTCCTCCCTCACGATTTAGTCATCTCCTAAAGACACCACCCCTTAATACTATCACATGGGGGTTTAAGTTCCAACATGAATTTTGGAGGAGACACAAACATTCCAACCATAGCAAATATACTTTACTAAAAAGAAAAAAAAAGGAAAATCTTGTCTCTAAACATGATATTTTAAGTGTTTATATATTTACAGCCCAATTTTCTGCTTGCTTACATAGATATTTGTGACCATGAGTGTCATTCTTAGCTGAGAAAATGTTCAGTAAATTTAAAAAAGCCTCACATTATCTATTAATATCTTACTCAGATAAGATCAAATTTCTAACCTAGATTTTAGGTTAAGATAGAAACCCATGGTCATTTGCTGCAATGTGAGAATGACACAGAGAGATATTAATTAGCAGAATTCCACTATAAAACTAAATTTAAGGGCACAGTTCTCTACTAATGACTCCTCCAGACAAATCAATTACTTGGATATCAATGAATCAACTAAAAATGGAAGTGAGAACAGTTTGAGTCCTTTTTGCAATGGATGGATGTTTACGAGACTATTAAGTGAAGACGGTTCAGAAACAAGGAGATAAATGGCATGCTAATTTGGGGTTGAATGGAGTAATGGGGTGATCTTGGAAATATAAGAATCCTGCTTAATGGGGCTTGTCTGCTTGTAATTTGATAAACTAATATATGTAAATTCAATGAGATAAAGGACATGAGCACTCAGAACAAAATTACAGGAATAAATTTAGCAAAGAGGCACCAAAGTTGAGATAAGGGTCACTGTTCCACGTCTGACATCTTTAATTCTTGAGTCATGGGGATGGTAAGCCAGAGAACAGAGTCTTCTGACTGGAAGCTAAAACCAGCCTTTGGGGTGGGTTCAGAGACACTGTTCAGACTCAAGATGCGAAAGCAGATGTTGCCCTGTTGAAAATATCCCAATTGCAAGGGCATTTTCAAAGACAGTGGTGCTTGGGGGAAAGAGAATGCTGTGTGTTTAAAAAGAAAATAAATTAAAAGAAAGAATGGAAACAAGGAAGAAAAAGTGACCGGAGGGTAGGGTTGCAATATGTTCTGGTTTGCAAGGTACAGCTAAGGTTATGTCTGTTGTGCCGGTGCAATTATAATAGTGTCCCTTTCACTCTCCGAAGAATTTGGATGATAAAGCATATGATCACCCTACCAAAGAGAGGAAATGAGCCAGACGACCCATGTGTCTATTTCAAACAGTGTGGACTGATCCGCAGCCCTGTGCCACTGCCCAGATGAGCGGTGTGCACAACCTCTGCCTTGCCCTACCCCGCCCTGCTCGGGTCTCCAGGAAGGCTGGAGCGGAACCCTCGGCTCCCGCGCTGCTCTGGTGCCACCTGCAGGTTATATGCGGGAACTGCTTCTCTCCACCCTACTACCCTCCACCCAGCCTCCCGACCCCGACCCTGGATAGCCTTGGACTTGGCCAAAAGACATTCAGAGCACACGAAGCCCTGGCTGGGGAGTGGGCTGGACCCTGCAATGAAGCCCGCGTTACAGAATCAGACGAGCCCAGCTTAAACCAACAAGGCCAAGCTCCTCCTCTTCCTACCCACTCCTGTCCTGTCTCATTTTGTAGACGGGAAACTGAAGCCTAATTCAGATTTTTCGTTGGTAGGATTGTGAAGCATACAGCTGGAGCCTCCCAGGTGCCATTCCCCACATCTGTCTTTCCGCTACCACTTTAGGATAGTGAGGAAGCAAGAGAGCTTAAGCTTACTAAGCTCCTACTGTGTACTGGGCACAGAGTGGACACTTTTCTCTCCAGCCTCGCAATTGATGGGAAAGAGGTGATTATACAACTAGGAGACAGGATCAGAGTGGGCTAGCGATGTGCTTACAGTCTCTCAGCTGAAACTGGAACCCAGGGGTCTTTGACTGTAAAGCTAGTGCTCGTTTTGGGTCTCCAGCTTGAGCAATAGTTGCAAAATGCAAAGAGCACCTGAAAATCTAATATCAATCCATATAAGACTGTATTGTAAACAGAAACATGGAGTGTCTTTGTGGGGGTGATGGCAAGGTGGGGAGATTATCTCAATTCTATGTAACCTGGGAACTCTTGGAGGAAAATGAAGCATGACTGAGTGCAATTTGTCTGATAAACAAAATCTGTCAGGACGTGGGACCTTATTGGTCCTGGGTAGTGAAGGTAAGAAATCATGGTGCTGGACCTTTCTTAAAGTGCTTATAAAATCACTCAGGGCCTCAGTGCCTCCACCTTCTCCATGACCCCAGGCAGTTTCCCCATCTGTCTTCATCCTACTGCCTGGCACACTATCCATCAAACTGCTTTTGGGGTTATGTCTCAATAAAACAAAAATCATGGTGGGAGTCATTTACACCCTAGTGAGAGTCATCTAAGATTCCCTTTTCTTCTCAGACCTTTTAGCTGAAGTTGGTTATGAGAGAGGATGGGGAGGGGGAAAAGGGTTGGGGCGAGCACTCTTGGAGCTTGCACTGTTTCTTGCCGGTGCCCAGGCACAATGCGAATATGTCAGTCTAAATGGAGAGCTCCATGCATGTTCCTCTCTAATCCGTTTGTCACCAATACCAGTTCCCAAGGCAGAGCCCCAGGAGGGCTGGACTGAAGGACCTGGAGGTAATAGAAAACAACTTGGCTTTGGGTTTCAGGTCAAGCTGTGCCATGACTTGCTGTGTAACATCAGACAAGTCAGTTCACCACTCTGCACTTCAGTGACCTCATCTGTAAAAGGCTGGTCTGGACTAGATTAATGATTTTCTTTAGGTTTTGCAATTGTTTTGTTGTTGTTGTTTTGTTTTGTTTTGTTTTGAAACGGAGTCTCACTCTGTTGCTCAGGCTGAAGTGCAGTGGCACGATCTCAGCTCACTGCAACCTCTGCCTCCTGGGTTCAAGTGATTCTCCTGCCTCAGCCTCCCAAGTAGCTGGGATTACAGGTGTGTGCCACCACACCTAGCTAATTTTTGTATTTTTAGTAGAGATGTGGTTTCACTACATTGGCCAGGCTCATCTCCAACTCCCAACCTCAGGTGATCCACCTGCCTCGGCCTCCCAAAGTGTTGGGATTACAGGCGTGAGCCACCGCACCTGGCCTGCAATTGTTTTTTGTTTTAACATTATATTCAATTCTTCCTCCATCTTTATTAAAGTATAATTGATAAATAAAAATTGTGTATGTTTACAGTGTTCAATGTGATGTTTTGATATGTGCATACATTATGAAATGATTAAATCAAGTTAACATTTTCATCACCTCACATACTTTTATTATTATTTTTGTGGTAAGAATATTTAAGATCTATTTGCTTAGAGTAGTGTTTACTAGAGGTGAGGAAGGGTAAGGGAGAGGGGGTAGCCAAAGGTTGGCTAACAGGTTAAGAGATACAAGAGTACATGGCTGGTGGCTAACGCCTATAATCCTACCCCTTTAGGAGGCTGAGGTGGGAGGATCACTTGAAACCAGGAATTTGAGACCAGCCTGGGCAACATAGGGGGATCCCATCACTATAAAAAATTTAGAAATTAGCCAGGCATGTTGGTGCATGCCTGCGGTCCCAGCTACTCTGGAAGCTGAGGTGGGAGGATCACTTGGGCCCAAGAGGTCAAGGCTGCAGTGAGCTGTGATTGCACCACTTCACTCCAGCCTAGGGGGCAGAGTGAGACCCTGTCTGAAAAAGCAAAAGACAAACAAACAAACAAACAAAAAACCCCAGCTAGATAGGAGGAATAGTTCTAGTGTTTTTTTGCACTATAGGGTGATGATAATTGATGACAATTTATTATATATTTTCGAATAGCTAGAAGAGTGCATTTTGAATACTCCCAGAACAAAGAAAGGATAAATGTTTGAGGTGGTGGAGATGCTAATCGCCCTGATTTAATTATTACATATTGTATACATGTATAAAAATATTATACTGTACCCCACAAATACGTACAATTATTGTGTCAATTAATAATAATAAAAGCAAAAAATCTTCTTTTAGCAATTTTCAAGTATATATTATTATTAACTATAGTCATTCTGTACAACAGATCTCCAGAACTTATAACATTATATTTAATTTCAATCAAAGCGCTAGATACACAGAGTTAAGAACAAAATGGGGCTGGGTGCGGTGGCTCACCCAGTGGATTACGCCTGTAATCCCAGCACTTTGGGTGGATCACGAGGTCAGGAGATCGAAACCATCCTGGCTAACATGGTGAAACCCCACCTCTACTAAAAGTACAAAAAAAAAATTAGCTAGGCCTGGTGGTGTTCGCCTGTAGTCCCAGCTACTCCGGAGGCTGAGGCAGGAGAATTGCTTGAACCTGGGAGGCGGAAGTTGCAGTGAGCCAAGATCATGCCACTGCACTCCAGCCTAAGTGCCAGAATGAGACTTTGTCTCAAAATAAATAAATAAGTAAATAAAAATAAAATTTTAAAAAGGAACAAAATGGTATCTGGAGCAAGAAATCCTCAGTACAAAAAAAAAAGGAAGAAGAAAAAAGAACAAAATGGTAATAATAGGCTTATATCAAAAAGCATTTCCTATGCCCTTTCTTTTCTTGCCTTTGTGTTGGGAGAAAGGCTGAGTGCTGGGAGAGAAGCCGAGGTGGGCTTGGAACATGTCCGGGGTCCGGGGTCCGGGGTCTAAAACCTCTCATGGCCTTTGGAATGTGTCTAGACTTGCTGGCTCCTTGCTTCTAGCACTCCCATTATCTCAAGTAGCCATATGTTTCAAAGAAAATGCTACACCATCACAGCTGTAGCTTATATGCTTGATATGTCACTTCCTTTCAACCCCCACATCCTCACCACCTGCTTCTTTTTTTGATCACCAATAAATAGTGTGGGCTCCCAGAGCTCAGGGCCTTCACAGCCTCTATACTAGTGTTGGCCCCCTGGTCCCACTTTCTCTCTCAACTTGTCTTTCCTCATTCCTTTGACTCCACCGGACTTTGTAGCCCCCACGTCCTGGTGTTGAGTCTGATCACCCCAACACCTTTGTATCCTAATTCCCAGAGGCCGTCACTTTAAATTCATTTTGCTACTTCCTCTGGTATTTGCATCATATTTCTAAAGAATGTTTACGTTGCTATTTCTTGATTTGTTTTCTTCAGTATCTGTCTACTTCCTGGAATAGCACAGTATAGGGCTTACCTCCCTTATGAGGTCTTAACAGTTTCCTTGCCTCCATTCTACCAATTTCACTGGATCAAAATCTTGTGAAATCAAAAGCATTTACATTCTTGTAGATATCTAAATTTTGTTTCCTAAGCCAAGTCCTGCACTGAAATTGTTTCATTTCTTCCTTTTTTTCCCCCTGGAGTTAATAATTGCTTCAAATTTTTTCCCTTCGTTTGCTTATATGTTTTTGTACCTATTAACTACCTTTCTTTCAGTTACTCCAACTGATCTATGAAATGCCTGGTAATAATTATCTAAAACTAAGATACACGAGCTACTCTATCAGCCCTGTTATTTTCCTGGAGGCTTCCCTCTCTCCCTTGCCCTCCATCCTTATGCTCCAAACTGGACTCAGCTCTCAGCCTGTGGCATGGCTGGCATTCTGACATGTCTCTGCACCATTGTGTGAATTTCCTGCTGCCTCTTCTGTGTGCATCTCCTGTTCCCTTGCCCCAGATCTTCTTTTTCCCTGGTTCACTGTCTCATTATGTTGCAGTACATCTTCCAGTGGCTTCCTGAAAAGCAGTGAATGGAAGCCAAGCTTTCTTACCTTCACATATTTTAGAATGTCATTGTTCTACCCCAACTCCTGATTAACAGTTTGGCTGGATATAATGCTCTAATTTGAAAGTAACTTCTCACATTGGGAAATACTGCTCTATTATTTTCTAGTTCCCAGTGTTGTTGGTAAGAAGTCAGTATCGTGCAGAATCTTGGCTCTTTACATGTGACCTGTCTTTTCTCTCTGGAAGATATTAGGATTTTCTATCTTTGGATTTCTCAATGATGTGCCTTGTTGTAGGTCTTTCCTCATTCACTTTGCTAGTCACTTGGTAGACTCTTTTGAATTAGAAAATTTTGTGCTTCTATTGCGGGAAGCCACGAGCAGGTTTGAGTGAGCTGGGTAATCACATTCTTTTCTTCCAAGGACAGAGGTATCAAGGCCCTGGGAACCTTATAAGTGGATGGGGAGAAAGGGGGCCTGAGGTGAATCCAACAAAGCTGCAGCATCCTCTGAGCTCATGTCCCAAGGCTAGGCTCTGCCTGAGGACAGGAGACATGGGTGAGACCCACTTCCTGCCCAGTCTCATAGTGGGGCTCAGGACACACATGGTCCAGGAGGTTCCCAGCCCCAGCTACATTTACATGCACCTACCTGCATGCAGCAATCAGTGAGCCACAGGACAACTTAGGGGAAGGGGCAGCTCCAGAGAGCAGGATAGGAGGGAGGTAAATGATTATGGGTGGGGAGTGGCCTTGTGAGGAAGGGGCAAAGTCAGGGCTCTGTGTGTGTGTGTGTGTGTGTGTGTGTGTGTGTGTGTTGTGTTGTGTATTGGGGGAAATGGGGAGAATATTTTGTCTGCCCCCTTTTCTGGCCACTGCACCCCTTTTTTCATGAATAGTTTTTCTTCCCATCATGGACTGAGTGTCTCTGTCTCCTCCAAATTCATATGTTGAAGCCCTAACCCTCTGCATGGCTGTATTTGCAGATGAGGCCTCTCAGGAAGTCATTAAGTTTGAATGAGGTCCTAAGGGTGGGGCCCTGATTCAGTAGGATTAGTGTCCTTATAAGACAAGACACCAGAGGGTGCACTCACTCTCTCTCTGCACAAATACAAAGAAGAGGTCACATGAGTGCACAATATGGCAGCCACCTACAGGCCAAGAGAAGAGGCCTCAGAATGAAACCTACCTTGCTGGCACTTTGGTCTTGGATTTCCCAGCCTCCAGAACCGTGACAAATAAATGTTTGCAGTTTAAGCCACCCATCTGTGGTATTTTGGCATGGCACCCTGAACTGACTAATACATCTCCCGGCCCTGCTTCAACCACATGACACTAGAGGGCTTGGCAGTTTTAGCGTCCCAGCTACCCAGCCAACCCAGACCAGACCAAGCAGAAACTTTCTTCTGGAATTTTTTTGTTTGTTTTTTTGAGACGGAGTCTCACACTGTCGCCCAGGCTGGAGTGCAATGGCACAATCTCAGCTCACTGCAACCTCCGCCTCCTGGGTTCAACTGATTCTCCTGCCTCAGCCTCCCGAGTACCTGGGATTACAGGCATCTGCCACCACGCCCGGCTATTTTTTGTATTTTTAGTAAAGACAAGGTTTCAACATGTTGGATAGGCTAGTCTGGAACTAGTGACCTCAGGTGATCCACCCGCCTTTGCTTCCCAAAGTGCTGGGATTACAGTCATGAGTCACCACACCGACCTATTTAAGCTGATTCTTTAAGGGTGAGTAGAAATTTTTTCCAGGTGAATAAAACCTTGAGATATTCCAAGCAGAGACCAGCAGGTGCAAAGACACAGGGATATACAGATGTTGAAATTTACCAACCACTGCTAGATTAGAAAAAACAAAAAGGAAACAATCAAAATAAAAATTTAAAATTAAAAATCACCTAAAAAAAAAACTAGGAATGGGCTTGGCCAGAGGTCACATTGCAATTGAGTTAACTATGACCATAGACACTCAGTAATGGATGGAAGTTTTAGGGAAAAACATAACATTCTCAGGTTGTTGCAGAGTATCTAGAACAATTTAGAAATACAGGCATTGAATTCTGGGAATAGTTACACTGTAGTGAAATCATGTCCTTCTCTGCATATGAAGCATATATGTGTCACACTGTTCAAAGTGCTGAAAATCAGACTCTTCTCAAGGAGCTCATGAGCAATCAAGGGAGATGGATGGGGGAGCAACTGATTATCATGTGACAAGTGAGGTAATAGAGATATGACTAAGATGCTATCAAAACAAGAATAAAGGAATTATTCATAATATATGGAGTGCTGGGGAAAGATTTCTCAAATGAAGCCAGCTGGGCGTGATGTCTCACACTTGTAATACCCACACTTTGAGGGGTGGAAGTGGGAGGATCCAGGAGGATCTAGGAGTTCAAGACCAGCCTGGTCGACAGAGCAAGGCCCTGCCTGACTCTATATTTGAAAAAAAAAAATTTTTTTTAAATAAAGTGATATTTGAGCACTCTGGAGCACCATACAAATATAGGACAGACAAGGAATGTATCCAGCTTAATTTGGGTTAACATTTTTTTGAAATTTTATATTGCAAAAATAGTACATATTCACTGTTGTGAAATTAGGAAAAATTGATAGGCAAGGAGGGAGGTCTACAAAGCTCTCCATAGATCCACTGTACTGAGACAATGCTTAATGCTTTGATGGATTTATTGTATACTTTCTATGCATATGCATGTAATGTATACATACATGTGCATGGTTAAATAGACATGGTTCTCCTTGGTGTTCTGTTTATCCATGTATTGTTATGAAGTAAATCCCCAAAAAGTACATTTGCTTTGCCCAAGGGAGTCTTTTGCTACATACTGCTGTACATAAGGAAAACTAAAAAACTGGCTAACTTTTCAGCCTTGTGACCTTGTGGTGATTCAGATAGAGGCTTCATCAAAGGCAGATTCAGAAATGAACTTGGTGTGTGTGGGTGGTTATGCTTGGCATTATTGTTTGTAGTAGTATGATAGGGATGACTTCAGTGTCCACCAACAGGGAACTGGTTAAGTCAACTGTGGTACATCCAAACGATGAATACTGTGCGGTTGTAAAGAAGAATGACAAAGACCTCTGAACTCATGTGGAAGAACTTGGATATATTGTGTGTGTTTTTTAAAGGAACAAGGAATGCTATAGTATGTATGGTATGCTACTTTTTGTGTTGAGAGAGAAGAGTAGAATAAGAACATACATTTGTATTTGCAAAGATAAATTCTGAAATGATATATAAGAAACCAATTAAAAGTGTTGGCTGTGGAAGGAGAATAAGACTGTGAATGGGATTTTGCCACATACTTTTATAGATAGTTATATTTAAATTTTTTCTGAACTATGTATTTGTACACATGACCCTTTTAAAAATAAGCAAATGAACGAATGAAGTAGGATTATGCGAAAGAAATAAGAAAAAAGGATCTAAGGGGCTGCCCAACTTTTTAGTACCCAGTGAATATTAATATATAACAATAGCAGCAAAAATTGGAAGAGTAGCCCCAGGAGGGTAGGGAGTCAGCCATTCCTTTGTCTTTTCCTAAATTTCATATATTTTTAAAAAGTACTCTGAGAACAATAAAATAATTTGAAACAAATATGTCTCCAGATCTCTTAAAATAAAAGGAGGATAGGGCAGCTTTATGTAGTGCACTTCCCAAAAATTGACTGATTTACCTCAAGAGGCAGGGATTCTAGCATACATGGGATACATACAGGAGAAAAAAATAAGAAAAAGAAAAGAGATTTACATATAAATAAATGAAAATAACACTTCTTCCTGATTATAAAGGAAATCGCATTCTTTTTGTAATAATTTGGATGACTGATATTAAGAAAAATCTTTAATTTGCCACTCAAAACATTCTGGTTTGTTGCTTTTTATACTTTTTTTATGCATATAAACCTTTTAAAAACTAGAATCGTAATATATAGTCTTCTGTCACTTACTATATTTTGGGCATATTTCTGTGGCAGTAAATATATCCTGGCATCATTTTTAATAGCTGGATGTATATTAAGTTAATCATTGCTATTCCAGAGGTGAATTTTCTTATATATACATTTTAATGGTCTCAAGCAAGCATTTTTGGACTAAATTCATAGAAGTAGAATTTCTGGAGGAAAATAATTTTTAGGGTTTTTAATAGAAATTTTCAAATTATTCTCCAGGAAAAGTGACTCAGGTTATACTCCCACCAACAAGGACAGAGCTCTAGGTTCCCCTTTCCATTTGTCATCTTTGCTGCCTTTATACAGAAAATCTCATTGTTTTCATCACATTTCTTTGGTTTCTAGTGCTTTTGAATTTTTTTATACGCCTATTGGTCATTTTTATTCTTGTGAGAAGTGCCTGTTTCTCCATTGCCCATTTTCTGTTGAAAATCATTTGTTTTTTTCTCAGTAATTTTAAAGATTTCTTTAAAGACTAAGGATACAAACCTTTTATCTGTCACTGAGGTTACAAAAACTTTCTCCCAGTAAGTAGTTTGTCATTTCACTTGATTTCCTTTCTCGCTTTCTTTTTTCTTTTCTTTTTTTCCTTTCCTTTCCTTTCCTTTGCTTTCCTTTCCTTTCCTTTTGCTAGCCAAGCTCCAAAGTCACATTTCACTTAATTTTCATCCTGCCAAATTTGAAAACATTTTAACTTAGTGATTTTAGTGTAAACAGGAGCAGGAGAGAGTGTATTTAAGTCTTGTTCTGTCACCCAGGCTGGAGTATAGTGCCATAATCATAGCTACTGCAGGCTTAAACTCCTGGGCTCAAGCAATTTTCCCACCTCAGCATGCCAAATAGCTAGGACTACAAGTGTGTACCACCATGCCCAGCTAATTTTTAAATTTTTTTTGTGGAGATGTGAATTCGCTATGCTAACCAGCCTGGTCTTGAACTCCTGACTTCAAGTAATCCTCCCACCTTGGCTTGCCAAAGTGCTGGGATTACAGGTGTGAACTACTGCTCCCGGCTGAGAGTTTAGTTTTGTTTGCTAGTGGCGATCTTGGTATCTTTTCATATTTGAGGCTTTGTTGCTAGTGCTGAAGTATTACACTCACCATCCAAGGTTTAAAGGACTTTTGTTTTAATATTGAACAGATGGAACTGTTTAGTTCTGCATCTTTGCATGTATACAAAATGTGCCTAGCAGGACTCTGCTTTATATCCTTTGAAAGCAAGAAGTAATACAGTAAAACTTTGCCTGGCTAGAGGCTTTGAAAGAATGGAGTATTCTGATTTAATTCTATTAATTTGGAAGTATGAAAGTCAAAATAATTCAAAACTTATATTTCCTGTTGAATGCAATTTGAAAATAGAGTCAATGATTCCACTTTTCTTCTCTAGTAAGTTTGGACGTTCTGATCTACTTGGTGTTTTATTACAGAACTGCTAGTGTGCCTGAGACTTACATTGTGAAGATACTTTTTTAAAACTTGAGAGGTAAGAGGGTGTAAATGGTATTGTATGAGATCAGGCTGGATGAGAACTGACTCTTGTAAATATACTTTTTAGACTGAATTTCTGGTTGCCATCTGTTTTCTTATTTAACTCATAAAAATAAAACACATTGGATGGAGGGTGGGAGTAGGAAGGAGATTTATGTCTTTTAATTGCATGTCATTGTTTCATATCAAGACAGAACATATGGTATCCCTGGCTTTGGACCTACAGAAGGAAACACATTTTTCTACCTGCTGTATGCCAGAGGTTCTTGAACACCTGGAGGGATGACCACAGCACAGATTGCTGAGCCCTACTCCAGAGTTTCTTGATTCACCAGGTCCAGGGTGGGGCCTGAGAATTTGCACTTATAAAAAGTTCTCAGGTTCTGCTGGTGCTGCTAGTCCAGAGACTACATTTTTGAGAACCACTCTTGTCTACTAACTGTGAATTGTAGAACTCTAGAAAAAAGCTGAGGAGCCAAGATGGCCGAATAGGAACAGCTCCAGTCTACAGCTCCCAGCGTGAGAGACGCAGAAGACGGGTGATTTCTGCATTTCCATCTGAGGTACCGGGTTCATCTCACTAGGGAGTGCCAGACAGTGGGCGCAGGTCAGTGGGTGCATGCACTGTGCACCAGCCGAAGCAGGGCAAGGCATTGCCTCACTCAGGAAGTGCAAGGGGTCAGGGAGTTCCCTTTCCTAGTCAAAGAAAGTGGTGACAGACGGCACCTGGAAAATCGGGTCACTCCCACCTGAATACTGCCCTTTTCCGACTGGTTTAAAAAACGGCGCACCAGGAGATTATATCCCTCACCTGGCTCGGAGGGTCCTACGCCCATGGAGTCTCGCTGATGGCTACCACAGCAGTCTGAGATCAAACTGCAAGGCGGCAGCGAGGCTGGGGGAGGTGCGCCTGCCATTGCCCAGGCTTGATTAAGTAAACAAAGCAGCCGGGAAGCTCGAACTGGGTGGAGCCCACCAGAGCTCAAGGAGGCGTGCCTGCCTCTGTAGGCTCCACCTCTGGGGGCAGGGCACAGACAAACAAAAAGACAGCAGCAGCCTCTGCAGACTTTAATGTCCCTCTCTGACAGCTTTGAAGAGAGCAGTGGTTCTCCCAGCACACAGCTGGAGATCTGAGAACGGGCAGACTGCCTCCTCAAGTGGGTCCCTGACCCCTGATCCCCGAGCAGCCTAACTGGGAGGCACCCCCCAGCAGGGGCAGACTGACACCTCACACGGCTGGGTACTCCAACAGACCTGCAGCTGAGGGTCCTGTCTGTTAGAAGGAAAACTAACAAACAGAAAGGACATCCACACCAAAAACCCATCTGTACATCACCATCATCAAAGACCAAAAGTAGATAAAACCACAAAGATGGGGAAAAAACAGAGCAGAAAAACTGGAAACTCTAAAAAGCAGAGCACCTCTCCTCCTCCAAAGGAATGCAGTTCCTCACCAGCAACGGAACAAAGCTGGACGGAGAATAACTTTGACGAGCTGAGAGAAGAAGGCTTCAGATGATCAAATTACTCCGAGCTATGGGAGGAAATTCAAACCAAAGGCAAAGAAGTTGAAAACTTTGAAAAAATTTAGAAGAATGTATAACTAGAATAACCAATACAGAGAAGTGCTTAAAGGAGCTGATAGAGCTGAAAACCAAGGCTCGAGAACTACGTGAAGAATGCAGAAGCCGCAGGAGCCGATGCGATCAACTGGAAGAAAGGGTATCAGCAATGGAAGATGAAATGAATGAAATGAAGCAAGAAGGGAAGTTTAGAGAAAAAAGAATAAAAAGAAATGAGCAAAGCCTCCAAGAAATATGGGACTATGTGAAAAGACCAAATCTATGTCTGATTGGTGTACCTGAAAGTGACGGGGAGAATGGAACCAAGTTGGAAAACACTCTGCAGGATATTATCCAGGAGAACTTCCCCAATCTAGCAAGGCAGGCCAACGTTCAGATTCAGGAAATACAGAGAACGCCATAGAGATACTCCTCGAGAAGAGCAACTCCAAGACACATAATTGTCAGATTCACCAAAGTTGAAATGAAGGAAAAAATGTTAAGGGCAGCCAGAGAGAAAGGTCAGGTTACCCTCAAAGGGAAGCCCATCAGACTAACAGCGGATCTCTCGGCAGAAACCCTACAAGCCAGAAGAGAGTGGGGGCCAATATTCAACATTCTTAAAGAAAAGAATTTTCAACCCAGAATTTCATATCCAGCCAAACTAAGCTTCATAAGTGAAGGAGAAATAAAATACTTTACAGACAATCAAATGCCGAGAGATTTTGTCACCACCAGGCCTGCCCTAAAAGAGCTCCTGAAGGAAGCGCTAAACATGGAAAGGAACAACTGGTACCAGCCACTGCAAAATCATGCCAAAATGTAAAGACCATCGAGACTAGGAAGAAACTGCATCAACTAACGAGCAAAATAACCAGCTAACATCATAATGACAGGATCAAATTCACACATAACAATATTAACTTTAAATGTAAATGGACTAAATGCTCCAGTTAAAAGACACAGACTGGCAAATTGGATAGAGTCAAGACCCATCAGTGTGCTGTATTCAGGAAACCCATCTCACGTGCAGAGACACATATAGGCTCAAAATAAAAGGATGGAAGAAGATCTACCAAGCAAATGGAAAACAAAAAAAGGCAGGGGTTGCAATCCTAGTCTCTGATAAAACAGACTTTAAACCAACAAAGATCAAAAGAGACAAAGAAGGCCATTAGTTAATGGTAAAGGGATCAATTCAACAAGAAGAGCTAACTATCCTAAATATGTATGCACCCACTACAGGCGCACCCAGATTCTTAAGGCAAGTCCTGAGTGACCTACAAAGAGACTTAGACTCCCACACATTAATAATGGGAGAGTTTAACACCCCACTGTCAACATTAGACAGATCAACGAGACAGAAAGTCAACAAGGATACCCAGGAATTGAACTCAGCTCTGCACCAAGCAGACCTAATAGACATCTACAGAACTCTCCACCCCAAATCAACAGAATATACATTTTTTTCAGCACCACACCACACCTTTTCCAAAATTGACCACATACTTGGAAGTAAAGTTCTCCTCAACAAATGTAAAAGAACAGAAATTATAACAAACTATCTCTCAGACCACAGTGCAATCAAACTAGAACTCAGGATTAAGAAACTCACTCAAAACTGCTCAACTAAATGGAAACTGAACAACCTGCTCCTGAATGACTACTGGGTACATAATGAAATGAAGGCAGAAATAAAGATGTTCTTTGAAACCAACAAGAACAAAGACACCACATATCAGAATCTCTGGGACGCATTCAAAGCAGTGTGTAGAGGGAAATTTATAGCACTAAATGCCCACAAGAGAAAGCAGGAAAGATCCAAAATTGACACCCTAACATCACAATTAAAAGAACTAGAAAAGCAAGAGCAAACACATTCAAAAGCTAGCAGAAGGCAAGAAATAACTAAAATCAGAGCAGAACTGAAGGAAATAGAGACACAAAAAACCCTTCAAAAAAGTAATGAATCCAGGAGCTGGTTTTTTGAAAGGATCAACAAAATTGATAGACCGCTAGCAAGACTAATAAAGAAAAAAAGAGAGAAGAATCAAATAGATGCAATAAAAAATGATAAAGGGGATATCACCACCGATCCTACAGAAATACAAACTACCATCAGAGAATACTACAAACAACTCTATGCAAATAAACTAGAAAATCTAGAAAAAATGGATAAATTCCTGGACACATACACTCTCCCAAGACTAAACCAGGAAGAAGTTGAATCTCTGAATAGACCAATAACAGGAGCTGAAATTGTGGCAATAATCAATAGCTTACCAACCAAAAAAAGTCCAGGACCAGATGGATTCACAGCTGAATTCTACCAGAGGTACAAGGAGGAACCGGTACCATTCCTTCTGAAACTATTCCATTCAATAGAAAAAGAGGGAATCCTCCCTAACTCATTTTATGAGGCCAGCATCATCCTGATACCAAAGCCTGGCAGAGACACAACCAAAAAAAGAGAATTTTAGACCAATATCCTTGATGAACATTGATGCAAAAATCCTCAATAAAATACTGGCAAACCGAATCCAGCAGCACATCAAAAAGCTTATCCACCATGATCAAGTGGGCTTCATCCCTGGGATGCAAGGCTGGTTCAACATATGCAAATCAATAAATGTAATCCAGCATATAAACAGAACCAAAGACAAAAACCACATGATTATCTCAATAGATGCAGAAAAGGCCTTTGACAAAATTCAACAACCCTTCACGCTAAAAACTCTCAATAAATTAGGTATTGATGGGATGTATCTCAAAATAATAAGAGCTATCTATGACAAACCCACAGCCAATATCATACTGAATGGGCACAAACTGGAAGCATTCCCTTTGAAAACGGGCACAAGACAGGGATGCCCTCTCTCACCACTCCTATTCAACATAGTGTTGGAAGTTCTGGCCAGGGCAATTAGGCAGGAGAAGGAAATAAAGGGTATTCAATTAGGAAAAGAGGAAGTCAAATTGTCCCTGTTTGCAGATGACATGATTGTATATCTAGAAAACCCCATTGTCTCAGCCCAAAATCTCCTTAAGCTGATAAGCAACTTCAGCAGTCTCAGGATACAAAATCAATGTACAGAAATCACAAGCATTCTTATACACCAACAACAGACAAACAGCCAAATCATGAGTGAACTCCCATTCACAATTGCTTCAAAGAGAATAAAATACTTAGGAATCCAACTTAAAAGGGATGTGAAGGACCTCTTCAAGGAGAACTACAAACCACTGCTCAATGAAATAAAAGAAGATACAAACAAATGGAAGAACATTCCATGCTCATGGGTAGGAAGAATCAATGTCGTGAAAATGGCCATACGGCCCAAGGTAATTTACAGATTCAATGCCATCCCCATCAAGCTACCAATGACTTTCTTCACAGAATTGGAAAAAACTACTTTAAAGTTCATATGGAACCAAAAAAGAGCCTGCATCGCCAAGTCAATCCTAAGCCAAAAGAACAAAGCTGGAGGCATCACACTACCTGACTTCAAACTATAGTACAAGGCTACAGTAACCAAAACAGCATGGTACTGGTACCAAAACAGAGATATAGATCAAAGGAACAGAACAGAGCCCTCAGAAATAATGCTGCATATCTACAACTATCTGATCTTTGACAAACCTGACAAAAACAAGCAATGGGGAAAGGATTCCCTATTTAATAAATGGTGCTGGGAAAACTGGCTAGCCATATGTAGAAAGCTGAAACTGGATCCCTTCCTTACACCTTATACAAAAATTAATTCAAGATGGATTAAAGACTTAAACGTTAGACCTAAAACCATAAAAACCCTAGAAGAAAACCTAGGCATTACCATTCAGGACATAGGCATGGGCAAGGACTTCATGTCTAAAACACCAAAAGCAATGGCAACAAAAGCCAAAATTGACAAATGGGATCTAATTAAACTAAAGAGCTTCTGCACAGCAAAAGAAACTACCATCAGAGTGAACAGGCAACCTACAAAATGGGAGAAAATTTTTGCAACCTACTCATCCAACAAAGAGCTAATATCCAGAATCTACAATGAACTCAAACAAATTTACAAGAAAAAAACAAACAACCCCATCAAAAAGTGGGCAAAGGACATGAACAGACACTTCTCAAAAGAAGACATTTATGCAGCCAAAAAACACATGAAAAAATGCTCATCGTCACTGGCCATCAGAGAAATGCAAATCAAAACCACAATGAGATACCATCTCACACCAGTTAGAATGGCAATCATTAAAAAGTCAGGAAACAACAGGTGTGGAGAGGATGTGAAGAAATAGGAACACTTTTACACTGTTGGTGGGACTGTAAAGTAGTTCAACCATTGTGGAAGTCAGTGTGGCGATTCCTCAGGGATCTAGAACTAGAAATACCATTTGACCCAGCCATCCCATTACTGGCTATATACCCAAAGGACTATAAATCATGCTGCTATAAAGACACATGCACATGTATGTTTACTGCGACATCATTCACAATAGCAAAGACTTGCAACCAACCCAAATGTCCAACAAGGATAGACTGGATTAAGAAAATGTGGCACATATACACCATGGAATACTATGCAGCCATAAAAAACGATGAGTTCATGTCCTTTGTAGGGACAAGGATGAAATTGGAAATCATCATTCTCAGTAAACTATCGCCAGAACGAAAAACCAAACACCGCATATTCTCACTCATAGGTGGGAATTGAACAATGAGAACACGTGGACACAGGAAGGGGAACATCACACTCTGGGGACTGTTGTGGGGTGGGGGGAGGGGGGAGGAATAGCATTGGGAGATATACCTAATGCTAGATGACAAGTTAGTGGGTGCAGCGCACCAGCATGGCACATGTATACATATGTAACTAACCTGCACATTGTGCACATGTACCCTAAAACTTAAAGATAATAATAATAAAAAAAAAGAAAAAATAGAAAAAAGCTTAGTTTGGTGTGGGAAAAGAAGCTCACAGGTTATGGAGCAAATCATGTAAGATTCAACCCTTGATCTCAGCCTAGTGTGGAATTCAAGTAACAAGCAATACACAGTGACATAACACAATTCTTGGTTTTCATGATTGCAAGTCATAGCCAAGTATCAAGTGAGAAATTCAGTTTCATTTGCAAGGCTTAGAGAGGCCAGGTGATTCTAGAAAAATAGGCCTTGTATATGCTTTAAACCAGTAAAGAGCTTTGAGTGCTTATTAAATTGAAAGCTTTGTGTTTTTATTAATTTTTTACTTTTTTTTTTTTTTGAGATGGAGTCTCAGTCTGTCACCCAGGCTGCAGTGCAGTGGTGTGACCTTGGCTCACTGCAACTTCGGCTTCCAGGTTCAAGTGATTCTCCTGCGTCAGTCTCCCGAGTAGCTGGGATTGCAGGTACCCATGACCACACCTGGCTAGTTTTTGTATTTTTAGTAGAGACGGGGTTTCACCATGTTGGCCAGGCTGGTCTTGAACTCCTGACCTAAGGTGATCCACCCGCCTAGGCCTCCCAAAGTGCTGGGATTACGGGAGTGAGCCACTGCACCCGGCACAAAAGCTTTGTGTTTTTAAAGATATTAGACATGTTTCTTATTTTTTAAAAAAAAAAATCTTAATAATGCAGGAAATTAAGAAAAACTTTTTCCAAAAAAAAGAATTCATTGTGATTATCTTATTGGAATGTTGGATAATATAGTCCACTTCATTAAACATCAAGCATGCTATGGATTTTCCATTTTTATAGGAGTTGTATCTCAATTGAAGTAACACTGGTAATTCTTGTACTTCATTTGAAGATGAAAAATGTAGGCCAAAATCATAGACCTTGCATAGAAGCTGGATAATGAAGACAGCTCTGGTGGAACACGTAGACATATGCACACTGATACACATATATAAAAAGTATAAGCACATATATTTTTTAAAGTTTATTTTTAAAGTTTTAAAGCTTTTAAAGCAAAAGCCGGCCCCTCCCCTCTCCTGGAGTGGGCGGCCCCTCCCTGCTCCTGGAGTAGGCAGGCCCCGCCCCTCTCCCCAAGTGGGCGGGACAGCAGTTGCATGGGCAGCTTTCCTTGTGATGCCACAGGTTCCTCTGGACACACTGCTGCCTGGCCACGCCTCCTTTCCCTTTCATCTTTCTCACTGACCAATGGGCTTGGAGCATTAAGGCCCCGCCCCATTCTGCATTACAGTGTGGCCCTGGTTACACCTCCTCTGGCTCAGTCACACAGCTGCCTGGTAGGTGACTGGAGGTGTTCGCTGATGTGGCCCTAACCCTGCCTCCCTCCCCACCCCACGATGTTAGAAGAAACTCAACAGAGGAAACTGGCCACAGCCAAGAAAAAAGTAAAACGCATCAGATCATGGCCCCCCCAACCCAGCCACAGATCCCCTTTGATGGCAAGACCACTGCCAGAGTCCATACCAGCCCTTAGGCACACCGGGCTGGGTCCCCCCACACTGGCACCTCTGTGCTCCCTCCAACCAAAGTCTTGTCAGTCAGTCCCGCCCCTTCAGCAAGCAGCTCAGGCCCTGCCCTCACCAATCACCCCAGGGTGACTTTGGGCGAGTGACTTCTGGGGCTCCCGGCTCCATACTCAGCCTTCACATCCTGCCACCCCAAGCCCGACCTCCCTGAGTTCTTTGGGCTCACCTCTCCAAGGACCTGGGTCCCCCAGCCCCAGGCCCCACCCTCACCAGTCATCCCTGGGTGACTTTGGGCTGGTGACTCCTCGGGCTTCCTGCTGCAGACTCTGCTCTCCCCTCCTGCTGACCCAAGCCCGACCTCCCTGGGCTCTTTGGGCTGGTGTCTCCGTGGACCTGGGTCCCAGCCCTACATCCCCCTGCTCCATTGTGAATCGGTGACTCAGCCATCACACTGATGTTGTTCCCTCCCTCCCCTAGGAGGAGTGGAATGTAGTGATGTCACAGTCCCCCCAGGAACTGTCATTACTGCTTCAAGACCGGCCTTTGATCTTACAACCCAGTCCCCTAAGCATTCTCACCCCATTTCTGGTTCCTGTGGTCACAGCACAAATTTCCAGCTGGAAGGGGAATGGGGACTATGGGACCTAGGGGCAAGAGGTTTCAGGCTGCCTTACTCCCTTCACATAGACATTGACAGCGTGAAAAGCCTACAATTCCCCCGTGAGCTCAAAACATTGACAGTATCTCTGGGTGGCAATGGGAGAACAGGTTTGGTTTGGTTTGGTTTGATTTTCTCCCAGGCTTCTACTCTCCAGAGAGACTTTAACATTATTTTCTCAGTTCTCCACCTCATATTCTAATTCTTCATGGTTCTGGGACCAGACTGCCCTTCAGTCAATGGTCGCTGGAGTGAGATTTGCTCATCTTCTGTGGAATAGATCTGGGGAAATTGAACTTGACAGCTTGAATCTTCCTCTTATCATCCCAATCTGGGGTACTTTGAGTGCCACAGGATAAGTGTGGGAGATCTTTCTGAAGCATCAATTTCCCTTGATTCCCTTGAGAGAGAAAAAGCATTAATGTACTTAGGGAAGACAGTCACATAGGTTTCTAAGAGTATACCAGACTTCTCTCTGAAATGAGACTTGGGTTGTCCTCTTTCTGATAAATTCTGAGATTTAACAAAAAAGCTGCCTTCTGCCATGAGGACACATTGATATAAAAGTTTAAGAGGTACTGGTGCACTTCTTCACACTAACAGACATGTGAGGATGTATGACTGTAACCCACACAGAGTGCAGTTCCTGTCTACTTAATGTTTACTTTTCTACCTCTGCCTCTGGTTTTGGTCCCTGGCAGCTGCTGATTCATGGCAAAACCCCAGAGCTTGGAGTCAGAAGACTGAGTTTAAGTTCCATTATTGCCCCTGCCCTTTTTTTTAGCTATAATATCCATCTCTCTCTGTCACTAAGTGATCGTGACAACACCTTGTAGTTGTTGGTGGCATTAAATCAGATGGTGTATAAGAGTATTTTGCAAAAACTGTAAAGGAGAATGTGGCTGTAGAGGCTGGAAGTTCTCACAAGTATTACTGCTCTTCTTTCCCACAGCTAAAAGAATATCAGCAGAGGAACAGCCCTGGTGTTCCAGCAGGAGCAAAGACAAAAAAGAAAAAAACTGGCAGTAGCCCTGAGACAACCACTTCTGGTGGCTGCCACTCACCTGGGGATGTGAGTCTTGGCTGGCCTGGCTCCTGGAGACGGGGGGCCCAAGGGGCAGTGGAGGGTAATTGTTGAGATTGCTGGGTACTGGTTAAGAATTCTGGGTTTGAATCCTGCCTCTCCATCTTCTAGAGATCTGATTTATGGCAAGTTGCTTGAGCTCTTTGGGCCTCTCTTTTCACTTCTGTAAAATAGGGGGAATATTGTTTGACTTCCATTTGTGAAGTTTAAATGAGATTCCTTATGGTTGTTTTTATGTTAACCCCTAGTATGTGGCCTGCTGTAAACACCCAGGATACCCAGGAAATGGTCATTGCTGTTTGATTTTCCTGATGCCCAGTCTCAAGGGGAAGCTGGGCCAATGAGTACAGCCACTTGCCATCAGGCTGTCCCTATAGGAGTCACTGAAGGGGGCCCAGGGTGTGGTGAGGAGAGCCCCAGACACCAGGAGTAAGAGAAGATCTAACTTGCCACCAGCTTGCTGGATGACCACAGAAAAATCACTTCTTCCTTTGGACCTCAGTTTCCTCCTCTGTAAGATGATACTGGATAAGATCAGTGTCTTTCAAACTTGTTTTTTAGCTGGAGTCCCCTTAGTTCAAGTGAACCCTTACTCAGGAGTCTGTTTTTTTTAATGGAGGTGGAGGTCTGGAGCTCTACGAGATTCATCACCCATGTCCTGGGCCTGAGGAGAGGGGACCAGTGAGCATATTAAGAGCTGCATTGGTCAGCTGACTCCACTCTGTGACTGCATCGCTCAGGGGACTTTTCCATCTATTTGTTCCTGCCCCTGGCAAGGCAGCAGGTGGCCATTTGGAAGAATGGCACAGGCCATGGTTTTAATCTCCTCTGCTCTTCTTCAGCGTTTTGTTTTTCTGAACCCACATCTTCCTCCTACCCTGACTTTCTTGCTTCTCTCTAAGCCACTTCTGTCTTTCGCCCCCTGCCCTTGTTTTTCCCTTGTCACCTCCTGTAGATTCAGGACATTCTGAAGGTGCGGGTGTCCAACCTTAACCACTCCAATGGGGTAGTGCTCCCCCATTGGACAAGTGGAAGGTGAGGCAGTGCCAAGACCCCTCTCTGGCTGCTGTCTCCAGCTGTGCATGGCCCTGAGGCTTCTCTGGTTTGGGGGATACTTGGCCTCTGCCTTGTTTTATGTTGCTGCCATTAACCTTCAGCCTGTTTCTGTCTGCTTCTTCACCTGCTTGATTGATTGGGTTTTTTCCTTCCCCGCATCTTTTATCATCTTGGAAATGTTGAGACCTTAAAGTTTAAAAGTAATTTGGGAATAACAGACAGTGCAGGCATGTGGGATTTGGGGCTTTTTTTTTTTTTTTTTTTTTTTTTTGAGACAGAGTCTCACTCTGTCACCCAGACTGAAGTGCAGTGGTGTGATCTCGGCTCACTACAACCTCTGCCTCCCAGGTTCAAGTGATTCTCTTGCCTTAGCCTCCTGAGTAGCTGGGATTACAGGCACCTGCCACCATGCCCAGCTAATCTTTGTATTTTTAGAAGAGACGGGGTTTTACCACGTCGGCCAGCCTGGTGTTGAACTCCTGACCTCAAGTGATCCACCCACCTCAGCCTCCTAAAGTGCTGGGATTACAAGCATGAGCCACCATGCCCGGCCCTTGCTGTTTTTATACTTTCTCTATATCCATAACTGTTTCCTATGTAATCTTTTTTTGAATTTCTCATTTTTATAACTCCTGCATCATCTGTTACCCTGAAGGATCTGGAGGTAAGAGGCCCTGGGCCAAGGTGCAGTGACCCTGCAGGCCAGCCCTCCAACCTCCTTTCACAGCAGGGGCTGGGTGCCCCTCTGCCAGCTGAAACAGCCCGACAGCCCACACACACCCCAGCCCTAATGATTGTTCTCTCCACCTCTCCCCACAATCCTCCTCCAACTCCTCCTCTCTGCATGCGCCTCAGAGTCGGTACCAAGAACTGGAAGTAGCCCTGAACTCAAGCTCCGCAATAATCAATCAACTAAATGAAAACATAGAATCATTGGTAAGAGTCCAGTGGGGTCCCGTGATTCCACGCTGCCAATCCTGGCCTTTAGTTCCCCTTGGGGCCCTGAAGAAAGGAGCTGGGGGCCCCTGGTGCCAAGGACAAATGGGGAGCTGGAGCACCCAGGCCTCACCTGGAGGGACCCCAGAGCAAGGAGCACACAGCATGGCTCTTCTGTCACTGCCCTCTTTGCCGACTCTCTTCTCCAGACACCCCACTCCAATCCTTGCCACACATGCCCTGGGGTTGTCACCTCTCAGGGAAGCACTAGCCTGACTGGTTGTCAGGGGCCCCGTATTTCTGCCCTGACTCAGTCCCTAATTTGCTTTGAGTCTGGAAAAGCCACCTGTCCTCCTTGGGCTCATGTTTCTGGAGGAGGTAGAGCATCTCTCTGTTAGCTCTGAAAGTCTGAGATTTAAAGGCCCCTAGAATGGAAACCTGAGGGCCAAGGGCTCCTGTCTGTCCTTTTCCATCCTATATCTGCTGTGAAGAACCATAACTGTCCTGTATGTGCTCAGTAACTGTTTGTGGAATGAAGGCACCTTTCTAAATCACAAGCAGGCAGAAGGGTGGGCCTTTCTGAGTCTCCGTCTCTAGAAGTTTATGTTACTGTCCTTTTGAGAGAATCCAGATTCAGACTTTGAGTTCTGTGGCTGTGGGCAAAAACCAACAAAGACCCAAATCCTCTGTCTTTGGGAGCTTGAGGAGAGTTGACCAGTTCTTGCCATTGGTTCTGAGAACATTGCCTTTAAAATCCATTCCTGACCACTGCTTACCACTTCCTGGTCTGGGGAATGGAGTTGAGGGGGCCACCCTCAGTCACCTGAATTTGACTCTCCCCACAGAAACAGCAGAAGAAACAAGTGGAACATCAGCTGGAAGAAGTAACGTGATTTCTTTGCTCACAACATGACTGCTGGGTTTGGGGGGCACTCAGATGTAGAGGCGCCAATCTCGTCTCACCCACTCCCAGCCTGGGGAAGAAGGCTCACCCCTCAGATTCCACCCCATCCCCACAGGGTCCCTGATAACCTGGTCCCATGGGTGGGCCTGTCCTGGGGCATTGGTGGCATTCTGGGGGCATGTCTCTTGCTATGCCATGTCTGCCTCCCTGTGGTAAGAGCCCTGTCTTCCTCTTCCTATAGGAAAAGAAAGCAAATAAGGAAATACACAAAGCACAAACGGAGCAGTTAGAGGTGAGTGGTGGGTGGGGAGTTTTCTCCTGTCCTCCGGAGAATGTTTCTTTCCTTCTCTTTCAGCACTTGCTTGGCTTTTCTCCCAAACATTCAATTCCAGACAATCAACATCCTCACGTTGGAAAAGGCAGACTTGAAGACCACCCTTTACCATACTAAACGTGCTGCCCGACACTTCGAAGGTGGGAATCTGGGCATCCCGTCATCCTTCAACCTGGCACTTTGACAGGTCTTTAGGGGGAGTCTTTTGGCCCCCATCTCAACCTCTCTCATTACAGAAGAGTCCAAGGATCTGGCTGGCTGCCTGCAATACTCCTTACAGCATATTCAAGAATCGGAGCGGGCTCTCTGTGCTGTGTCTACACAGCAGCAGGAAGAGGACAGGGTGAGTCCGACCAGCTGCCCCATCCCCTGGCAGCCTGGCTTCCCAGATGGAGGAGTGAGCCTAAAGGTTCCTTCTCCAGGATGGAGTGTCCTGCCCAGAAGGCAGCATGGTCATTTCTCGCTGCTTTTGTGTATGGTTGTTAGAGGCAGCCTGGGGCTGAGTCAGCTGCTGTGGCTAATTTGGGGGGCACTGTTGGGAGTAAGCACTGGATGCAGAGCTCAGAGGCCAAGTTTCTGCCCTGCCCTTACCTGGTTGTGGCCTTGGCCAAGTCCTAGGTGGGGTATTTGGTACTTGTACTGTGAACAGAAGAGTACCTTTTGTATGTTACCATTTCTGTAGAGAGAGGAAAGGTGTGTGTGTGTACTATTATAAGATACATAAAATATGTCTGCAAGCATTCCTAAAAAACTCAGGAGAGAGTAACAGGGTGCCTGGGAGACACCTCCCTTCTGTACCTTCTGAGTTTTGGACTATATGAATGTATCATCCTTTCAAAAAGTGAACAAAAGATTAATTTTCCCCTTCCTATCTGTGCTCCCACCCCCAGCAAGAAAAATGGGCTTAGAGAATCAGATAGACTCGGGTGTTCAAATCTCAGCTCTGTCTAAGTGATCTTAGGCAAGCACTTAACTTCAAATACTCCATGTTTTTCATCTACACAATAGAGGTAATCCTAGTAACTGTGTCATATGGTGGTTGTGAGGATTAAATGGGATTGCTAGCATGGAACCTGGTGAAGCACTCCATAACGGTTCAAACAGTGGTAGTAATAACAGTAATAACAATAGCAATATTATCTGATCTCTCTGGGCCTCTGTTAGCCAGCTGTAAATTCGATCTCTTTCCCTCTCCCTTCCAACTTTACTGAGTTCTTTTAATAACCAGGCCACGGGCTTGGAAATGCCTTGACCTTTACTAACCGAGTTGTATATTGAGCCTAGCCCTAGCCCTTTTAAGGGGCACTGCCCGGGCTCCCCAGATCGAAACTTCTCACTCTTCACCCTCCAGTCCTCGAGCTGCAGTGAAGCGGTCCTCCAGCGGCGGTTACAGCAGACCATAAAGGAGCAGGCACTGCTGAACGCACACGTGACACAGGTGAGGCTTTGCAGAGGGAGGGATGTGGAAGGAAGATGACCCCAGGTGGCCAGGAGCAGGTGAGGACCAGTGACAGCCCTTCCTAACTTGTGTGCCCATTTCTTGCAGGTGACAGAGTCACTAAAACAAGTCCAGCTAGAGCAGGACGAATATGCTAAACACATAAAAGGAGAGAGGGCCCGGCAGCAGGAGAGGATGTGGAAAATGTCGGTGGAGGTGAGGTCTGACCCTTCAGCCCCCATCTTAGATAGGTCACTGGATCTTTCTGGGCATCTGTAGAATGGGAATAGTACAGCCAGAGGTGGTCATGGGTCTGGGCTTTGTGGAGATGGGGGCAGAGATGCAGATGGTAGCCTGTCCAGCCACCAGCCCCTCTCTCCAGGGCCCTTTCCCCTGTGCTTTCGGCAGGCTCGCACATTGAAGGAAGAGAAGAAGCGTGACATACATCGGATACAGGAGCTGGAGAGAAGCTTCTCTGAACTGCAAAACCAGATGGGTAAGATGGGGCTGGTGTGACCTGGGAGCAGGACTGGCATCAGAGGTCTGTGGGGGTGGCTTAGAATGCCCCAGGGAGGTGGGTGGATGGAAGGGCTTTGAGGCAGAGGGAAAGAGGTCTGTGCCAGCAGATGGCAAGTTTTGTCATCTCCATAGCCTCAGGGTCCCCATAAGCAAAGAGGGAGGAGTGCTCGTTGTCAGCCACCCACAGTGCTCTCTATGTGAAAGTGGCTTGGAAACTGGCTACCATCGGGTGCGAGGAATCATTAGCAGTGAGGCCATGGCCATGGGAAGCCTGAGAGGAGCTGTGCATCAAGAGGAGGGTTTTTTTTTGTGCGGGGGGTGGGTAGCGGGGGAAATCCAGAGGCTCTTATTGCCTGCTTCATTTCTCAGCTGAGCCCCAGTCCCCGGCACCCCCAGCAGGGACCTCTGAGTTGGAGCAGCTACAAGATGAGGCCAAACAGCTGAGGAAGGAAGTGGAGGGACTGGAGGGAAAGCTCCAATCCCAGGTGGAAAACAACCAGGCCTTGAGTCTCCTGAGCAAGGAACAAAATGAGAGGCTCTGAGAGCAGGAGGAGCGGAGGGTGCAGGAGCAGGAGAGACTGTGTGAGCAAAATGGGAGGATTCAGGAGCAGCAGAAGAGGCTGGGGGAGGAGGGTGAGAGGCTGCAAAAGCAGGAGCAGAGGCTATGGAAGCAGGAGGAAAGGCTGCAAAAGGAGGAGGAGCAGCACGAAAGCAGGAGGAGAGGCTGTGGGACCAGGAGAAGAGGCTGTGGGAGAAGGAGAGGCTACGAAAGCAGGAGGAGAGGCTCACACTCTCCCAGAACCACAAGCTCGACAAGCAGCTGGCCGAGCCACAGTGCAGCTTCGAGGATCTGGTGGGTTGCCCCACCTGGGGAGCCTGCCCTCATCCCTATCCCTCCAGGCCTTTGTTTCCCCACCTGTAAAACGGGGCAGTGCAGCCCTCACATGAAATGGTACTTCTAAAGGCACCTGTGAGCCAGAGCTCATCAGGCCCTCCTCTGATGGCTGTGGGGGAGAGGGGATGATTTTTCTAACCTGCCTCCACCTTTCCAGTGACATGGGAGGCAGACACCAAGTTCAGGGGTCTCCCGCTGCAGTGGATGGCCACTGATTGTTTCTGTCCAGAACAACGAGAACAAGAGCACACTGCAGTTGGAGAAGCAAGTAAAGGAGCTGAAGGAGAAGCCAGGCGAGGTGAAGGAGATGGTAACCTCCACCCCATCCAAGAAGGGCTGGGAGGCGGGCACCAGCCTCTGGGGAAGGGAGGTGCCAGGCCAAAGGCAGCTCCAGCTGGGGGGCAGGTGACCCCAGCACCCTCCAGGGCAGCCCTATGAATGTTTCTTGCTTCCTGCCCTCTGACTTTTAGAGGTGGGTAGCCCTGGGTTCCTCCCAGGTCTGGACATCATCCCCCCAGCTAGAGGCATGGATTCCCCCAATCGGGGGAAGAGACAGTGGTACAAGAGGCTCCTTATGCGGGGCACATTGGCTTGCACCTGTAATCCCAGCACGTTGGGAGGCTGAGGCAGGAGAAGCACTTGAGGTCAAGAGTTTGAGACCAGCCTGGCCAACATGGCAAAACCTCATCTCTACGAAAATTAAAACAACAATAAAAAATTAGCCAGGCATGGTGGCGCATGCCTGTAATCCCAGCTACTCAGGAGGCTGAGGCATGAGAATCGCTTGAGCCCGGGAGGTGGAGGTTGCAGTGAGCTGAGATTGCACCACTGCACTCCAGCCTGGGCCACAGAGTGACACTGTCTCAAAACAAAACAAAACAAAACAAAAAAGCCTCCTTAGATTCAAACTGGATTCCGACCTCGGTTCCACTGGTCACCATTCAACTACTGTTCATCTCTTAGTCTCTGTTTCTGTAACTTCAAAAGGAAGTTAGCATTTTCCTTGCAGAGGTGCTGAGGATTGAATGAGAGAATACCTGGAAAGCATTAGGCATGTAGCACACTTAGCAGATGGTGGTTGGCTCCCTCTGCTTTTCCACCAGTCTGTGGCCTACAGTTTAAATGGTGGGAAGAAGGACATGAGATCTGAGGCTGGGGAAGGAGGTATGGGGTTCTAGGCAAGGGAGGAAGCCTCTTAGGCCTGGAGCAAGGGAGCAGGGTCCTGGGCAGGTGACAGAGCCCCACAGTGCCCTAGCTACCCTATTAATGGGCCCAGAACCTGGAAGCCAGCCACCATGTGCCCTCATGCCCAGGGTCTTCCTGCAGGTGGAGATGAAGAGCCAAGAGTCTCAGAGTCTGCAGCAGCAGTGAGACTAGTACCTGGGTCACCTGCAGCAGTACGTGGCCACCTATCAGCAGCTGACCTCTGAGAAGGAGGCGCTGCACAGGCAGTTACTGCTGCAGACCCAGCTCGTGGACCAGCTGCAGCAGCAGGAAGCTTGGGGCAAAGCGGTGGCTGAGATTATAACATTTTAAAATATGAATACAGTAGTTTAAAACAAAGAAACTGGAGGAAGGAAAAGTAGAGAAAGAGATGCCAATTCAAGTCCAAACCTTTATTTGCCAAGTTTTCTTAGAATGACTTTTACCAATTGATGAATTCCTGTAAACAGAATGTATAATGGAAATACGGAAACTGCCTAAAGTGGGATTATTCACTGCTACTGTGATGCTACTGTAATGTAATAAATTATTAAATTGTTGCAAAGTGCTGTTTTTGCCTTAAAATTTTATGTGTCTTGAAAACTATAGTATTAAGAGTATTGAGACTGTGAAAATGCTGGGGACAGTTGGCATGAGATAATCAGTTTTTATTTTTATGAAATTGTAATGTAACTATGCAAGTGTGTTTATTAAAGGAACAAACTAAAAAGAAGTTACGGGAATTTTAAAAAGTTGTGGGATGAAAAAGTTATGGGATAAAAAATGCTGTGGAAAAGTTGTGGCAAAAGAAGTTGTGAAAAAAAGTAGAAAAATGTTTTATGAAAAGTATTTTAAAAAGTTATGAAAAGGAAGTTACGGGATTTTTTTTTAAGTCATGGGATAAAAATAAAAGCAGGTCTCTGTCGGCACAAGCCTGGAGAAGTGGGACTGGAGACTTCGCCCCCGCCATGGACCAACCACCCCTTCCCAGTCACCCCTTTACCATTAGGGTGGCAAGACAAGATCCCTGCCTAATGGGGGGAGATAAACAGACCCTTTGGCACCTGACCAGGGCTGAGTCCTTAAATTTCTGGATGATGATGATTGTTATTTAAGAGCCAGAGGCTGGCGGAGTTGGTTTGTTTGGAGGAGGCCTGATGGCCTCCCCTACTCTCACCAAAGCAACTTTTCCCTCAGGGGGCTCCCATCTTATTCAGAGAGGCAGCTGAGGCGGGACAGTGGGGCTAACTGTAGAGCAGGTGAGGGCTCGGGCTGCTGGGGTGGCCCCCCTTCCCCAGTGTACACATAGTATCTGTGTAACATTTTGTATATTCCGGGGGGTAGGGCCACCCCTTGTATCATACCTACCAGAGGCTGGAGCTGGCATATGAGGAGGAGGTTCTAATCATTATTTACGGCTGGGAAACTTATTTATTGATAGCATAGGACAGAGGAAGGAGGAGGGGATGGGGTCCTGGCTGCCTTGGTGATGTGACTCCTGTTTATTTTGCTTTCCATTTTGGAATAAATGGATTTAGCCATACTGCTCAGCCTGGTGGGTTCCCATTTCCCTCACTGGGTCCTGGAGTTTGCGCCACTGAATGAAGAGCCCCAGAGTGAGCATGTCCAGCTGGGCTGTTGGGGACCTTCCAGGCCTGTTACCTGTATGCTGCCTGGTGACACCTGGTAGATTGCATGGGGATTGCTATGGCGCCTATGGGGCACAGTCCGGCCCTGACAGCCAACAGGCTCAGAAGCCTGATCTAGCGGTGGCCGGGAAGGCAGATACGAGCACCCAAGGCCACTGACTTCCATTCACCCCAGTCGTCTTCGGTTCCGTCCCCTTGCCTCCCTCTCCTGTCTGCACAGGGTGGCCTGTTCTGTCTGGCCCTCTAGAGTGTCAGCTGCCCCGCAGGCTCCTCCAGGCTGAGTTCATGGTCCTGCCCCCTAGTGGCCAGAGCCAGCTTCACAGGATAAGAGCCAGCTAAGCTCCAGGGGCTTTCCAGGAAGTGTCCCTTGGAAAGGGTGTGGCCTTTTCACCGCTCCCAACAGCACCCTAGAAATGGCTTGGCTTTTTCCCTCCCCTCAGCTCCACAGAGAACACAGCCAGCAGAGGACACATTCCCCATCATCCAGAAATGGGTTTGATTCTCAGCCAAGGGACACCAGGGCTGGTAGAGACTGTCAGGCCACACAGCTGCCTGCACAGCACCCCCATGCTTGGTGGGGGGTGGGAGGGATGGCGGGGGGTGGGACGGTGGGGGGGTGGGACGGATGGCGGGGGCTGGCTGTCCACAGGCTGGGCATGACAGGCAGGCTCACTGGAGGTGGCACACTTTGGAGGGGCAGTGTCAGGGGAGACCTTCCTTTTGTTGGGCCACAAGACTCCACAAGGACAGCACGGTGACTGATTCCCAGTGCTAGAGGCGAGGTGGTCGGCCATATGTAGGTGTGTGTGTGTGTATATATATATATATATATGTATATTTATATATATATTTATATATATGTATATTTATATATATATTTATATTTATATATATATGAGTATTTATAGCTATTTATAGAACAAGGCAGGGGCATACCACAGAGGGGCCACAAGTTTTCAGCAATGGTCACACCTGGATGTGTCAGCTCACCACTACAACAGACTAAGTCACAGATGAAGGGGGCTGGCTTTGGGGCTGGGGAGCCACTGTCAAGTCACAGGACACCCGCCCAGGCAGGCTTGGAAAGGGAGGTCTCTGAGAAGAGGAGGATCTGTTTAGAGGTTGGAGTGGGGCTGGAGCTCTCAGGATGGGATGGACTTGCCTAACCCAATCAGTTGGCAGTTGGAGAAAAGCAGAGAGAAAATAGGAGAGAGAATAGCAAGCAGAGAGCTGGTGATGCAAGCGCAGAGCACGGGCATGTCGCAGCAGCTGTGGGAGGGCCGGGGAGGGGAGCGCGCAGGTGCGGGTGTAGCAAAGGTTCCTGGAAAAGAGGGGCTGGAAGGGAAAGGGGAGGAAGATGGAGGGAGAAGCCAGAGCTTCACAGGTAGTGCCTGGGGGCTGCGGCAGCCCTCCCCAGCTCACACACACTGGCCTCTCCCATGGCACCCAGGCAGTGCACCCACACTTCAGACCAATGCTCAGCCGCTTTGGGCTTCTCTCTTCTCTGGTCACCCTGCCTTCCAACCCACTGGCCCAGGGCCACCTCTTGCTTGGGGAGCCCCACCCAACAGCCACCTGGCCTGATAAGGAACACTGCTTGAACCAAAATGGTGAAGCTATAAGGGATGGATGGCTGGAGTGAGTACCAGAGGCCCCTCTGGTGGTGAGAAAGTCCAGGGTCCTCTGAAGGGACCCTGGGGAAGGCAGGGAGGGCAGGTAGCCGGATGCCACTGGCCATAGACTTATAAGTCTAAGAGGGGAGCCTCAGCTGGTTGCGGGGTGAGGGGGGCTGCAAGTTTCATAGCTGAGGCTGGGTCCTTCCTGCTGGGAAAAGCAGAAGAGGGAGAGTCCATGGCAGGAGAGGCAGGTGGGCTCGCTAGGCGGAGCTCAGCTGGGCCAGCAGGCACTGTGGTCCCCTTGGCTGAATAGCACAGGCGACCCCTAGGAGCAACAGGCCAAGGTGCGTGAGCCTGCTGGTCGGCGATAGTGCTTCAGTGGGGGCCAGGGACCCTGCCTTCAGTCACACGCTAGCAGCTGCGGTGGTACCTGGCAGGGAGGGAAGGGGGCTGTGTGTCCCTGCCTGGCCTGTGAAGTGTGTTGTGGGATGACCGTGTGTATGGGACTCTTAAGGTTTTATCCTAGATCACCAGGGATTGCCAACAGATAGAGGAGGTGGGACCCTGACTATCACCCCTCCTCTGCAGTGGGTTTGACTCTTGACACTCCCAGGCTGGGATCTGGATACCCTGACCTGGCAGCATGACTCAGACTGCACGACAGGTACAGCGTGCCCAGGATGACGTTCCTAGACCTCTAGCTGCCTCAGAGTCCAGCCGCACACACAACCCCGTCCAAGCTCCCAGCCCCTACACCATAAATCATGAGCTCTCTGCCCTCTCTGATGACTACAGAGAGCACCCATGTCTGCCAGCTTGGGCATGGAGACTGTTCCAACAGCCCCCAGGCTCAGCCATGGAGGCCTTGGGCAGTGGCGCTGAGTCCCATGGCTTGCAGGGAAGGGAGGTGAGAGAGCCAGCAGCACGAGGACAGAAAGAGGAAAGAGCAAATCTGCAGCTCCAGAAGGGAGGGGCAGGGAGCCTGGATCTGAGGTCCCAGGTGCGCCCCCGTGTGGAGCCGGTGCAGCGGGGCAGGAACACCGTTCATGGAGCAGGCGGTGAGGCATGTACCTACCATGGCTGATGCTCCTCAGGGACCACTGATAGTGATTCTGAAAGCATCAGATCAACATGACAGGTCACACGCATGGGTGGGGCAGGCCTGGGGTTGGGGGACACACACACACGCACATGCCGGGGTGTGCACACACATGCTATGAGGCCCCACAGCATGCACAGCCGGCATGCACACGCTAACACACATGTCCACAACACGCATACGCCTCCTTCCCCGCCACATCCTGGTACCCAGCACCCTCACTGGCTGGCACGTGCAGCACAGATCTGGGGTGTGCAGCCACTTGGCACACTGAAGCACACATGTGAGCAGAGTCACAACACAGAAGCTCACCCAAACACAGAGGTATTTGCACCAGCTCCCTGCACACTCATGCCTGGCATGCTCAGAGGACCACCGGTGCTGCTCATGGAGACAGGGCTTGCTCGCTAATGTTCAGCTGTCATTTATTTACCTCAGGTCAGAGAGTCTGACCCACCTGAGAGCCTTCCATGGCTCCCTATGGCCTGCAGCATTGAGCCCCAAAAGTCAAACTCTTCGGACTTTGAAGGTCTTCCACCCTATGCCCCACCCTCCCCACAGATGATTCTGAGGATGGCGGGAGAGGTCAGCTGTGACTCTTTTGCTCAACTGTTGGACAAGAGTAGGCTTGAAGTTGATAATCTCTATTCCTCTCCCGGGTAGTGCTTCTCAAACTTCAAAGAGCATAGGAATCACCTGGAAATCTTGTTAAATGCAAATTTGCTTCAGCTGGGCTGGGTGAGATTGCCAGTCCGTATGTCTAACAAACTCCCAGGTGAGCCAATGCTGCTGGCCCACTGACCACCCCCTGGGTAACAAAGCTCTATGGTTTTAATTTGCATTTCCCCAGTGGTTAGTGTTGAGGATCTATTCATGTGCTTTAAGTTAACTCATTTTTAAAACCTAAATAAATGTACTTAAAAAGGAAACTTTTGCTATAGGAGGCCAAGGCAGGTGAATTGCTTGAGCCCAGGCATTCAAGACCAGCCTGAACAACATGGTGAAACTCCGTCTCTACAAAAAATAAAAAAAATCCAGCATGGTGGCATGTTCCTATGGTTTCAGCTACTCAGGAAGTGAGGCAGGAAGATTGCTTGAGCCTGGGAGGTCGAGGCTGCAGTGGCTGTGATTGCACCATTATACTCCAGCCTAGCTGACAGAGCAAAACCCTGCCTTAAATAAATGAATAAAAAGAAACTTGTGGTTAGTGGTTCTCAAAGTGTGGTCCCTGAGCCAGCAGCATCAGCATCCCCATCAGCTGAGAACTTGTTAGAAATGCAGATTCTCAGGCGCCACCCCAGACCTCCTGAATCAGAACCTCTGAGGCGTGGGTTCAGTGACCTGTGGTTTAACACGCCCTCCCGGTGAGAATCGGTCTCATTCACTACAGATAGAAGGAAATGGTTAAAATCAATTCATCCGCATATCGCCTAAAATCCTCCTGTGGGCCCCAGGTTGGCACAGCACACTTTTGGGCAGGAGCCCCACTCACAGAGGCCGTGACAAGAATGCTCCTGCCCCTGGGGTTGTGCAGTGACAGCTCACACAGCTCCACGTGGCGGTTCTGAGTTTGGGAAGCGCTGATGTAGTCCTACTGCAGCCCTTCCTGCCCTTCACCGGACTGAGGAAATCCAGGCTCTGAGGAGGGCGAGACTTGCCCTAGGTCACCCAGCAACATGGTCAGTCTCCTTTCCCAGGGCCCTCACAATGCGTGGCCTGTTTAAAGCCTGCCTCTATTCACTGCTGAGTGAAAAATCCAGCTTCAAAACAGAATATGGGGAAGGATACTATCTTGTGCAACTTAAGTTTATAGCTGCAGATACATGAGAAAAAAAGTCTGAAAATACTGTTGAAGTAGTTACTTGGGGAGAGAAGGGGTTTGCTGGTTTTTGTGTTTTTAACTTTTATATTTCACAATTTTTATCACAATGTTTAGTTACATAATCAAAATTTATTAAATGTTAAAAATTGACATGAAGCCTGATCCAGCCACAGCCTATCATTGGCAGAGCCAGGAAGCCTTCCAGATACAGCAGCCCTGCACCTGCCCCCGGTCACACCCTGGGCCTGGGCACATGCTAGGTCCTCTGTCTGGACACCCTCACCCCCTGGTGGCCTCCATGTCAGTACCCACCAGCACCTCCTGTGGGCGAGGGCCGCCCCTGCATCCAGCCCTGGGTACCCCCTAGCCCAGAGGGCACCTCATGGTGTGAGAGTCCGCCTGCCTGTCTCTAAAGAGAGGAAAGCTCCTTGGGACATGTGTTCTGCTTGACCCATCACCTCTGGCCTGGTACAGAAAGGTGGACAGTGGGTATTTGGTGAATAAATGAATGAATGATTGGAACGAACCCCCTAAATGGTGATTTCCTGAGGCCCTTCTCCAGCTGGCCCAGGTGGAACCAGTTCCACGTTTCACAGGAAAGCCAGGTGTGAGGAGTGGGGCAGGTGTGTGTGAGGGGCCAGGTTCTTGAAGGCTGCATGGAAACGGAGCTGGTGGCAGGTCTGGGGGTGGCAGTGCTGCTGTAGGAGCCTCAGGGAGGGCTCATCCCTGGAATCCCCCAGGGTATCCTAGTGCCCCCAGCTGCTGCATGGCATGAGAATTCCTGGCTGGTGGGGGACACACAAGGACTTGTTTGGATTGGCCACCTGGTCCAGCCCAAGGAGCTGCGCCTCCAGCACCTTGGGGGAAAAAAAGCACTTTTGATGTGTGACAACAGCTGCAGGCAAGGGGAGGGAGAGGTGTGCTGGGCCTCGGCCTTAGAAGCCAGAAGCCAGTTCATGCCCCTACTTGGTCTACGTGGGAAAGGGATGTGGCCTCGGCTAGCTCTAGGGTCCTGGGTTATGGAAAGGGCCCTTCCTTATGGACCCAGTGACTTAGGCTGACCCAGCCCCTCCCTGAGCCTCATCAGTGAAACCAGGGCTGGGCCAGGGCTCTCAACACCTCCCAGCTCCAACCTCTGGCTTTGTCCCAGGAGGGCAGGAGATCAGACAGAGGTGACCCGGGCTCCCTATTTACCTCAACCTCCTTGTGAAGCCTCCCTCTTTCTGCCTGTGAGGTGGGTGGGGCTGGAAAGAGGGGCATTCACCTGTGGGTCTCTGACTTCTCTGCCCAGGTGTGCCTGGGGAGTCTGGTCTATACCCGGTGCTCTGCTATACCCCACAGCCTGGTCACAACCTCCCTGCCTCCAGAGCAGCCCTGGCCCAGGGAAGAAGCGGGTCTCTGCATCCAATGATAGGTAGAAAATGAACGTGGGGATGATAGCACTGGAAAGGAGTCAAGGAGGAGGTGCCTTCCCAAGGATGTGGAGGGTTTTTCCAGAATGGAACTTGACTGGGGTGGGCAAACATCAGGAAGTGGGAAGGGTGGCTCCCTCTGTGGGAGCTGGGGCAACTTGCCTGGGCCAAATGGTGGTAGGCTGTGGGTGTAGGGTGGGCAGAGCTGGGGTGCCCAGAGCCTGGGGTCCCTGTCCTTGCAGAGGACTGGAATGCAAAACAAGTGCCCCCTGCCTTCTGGCTGCGGGACATCCTCTGCTTCCAAGCCCAGACATACACCTGCTGCCACAAGCCCCTGAGGCTCTTCAGAGGACCAATGGGCAGCCACACCCATGCTGGGCCAGCCTGCTGGGCCCACCTGCACCCTGGTCAGAGCCCATGACTGAGGGGACTCTCTGGGGACAATGGGGGCAGTCTCATGCTGCCCTCTTACAGGTGGATCAGTCCCTGGGATCTGGTGCTGGGCTGGGGTGGGCTGAGGCTGTTCTCTGCTGGGGTACCTGGTGGACAGCAGGTGGAGCAACTTCTCCTTGGCTTTCCTGGACCCCAGGACACAGCTGAACACTGCACTCTACCCTGGATGCCTTCAGATGGGACCATGGGAAGGAAGAGGGGCTACCCCTGCAGGGGGCCAGGACCGTGGCCCATGCTTGCTCCCCGCAGCAGGCACCTCCTCTCCAGATTGACATCACCTGATTCCTGAAGGCCTGGGCTACTGACCAGAGTCCCAACATCCTCACCAAGGTCTGTTTTTACATCAGAGCAGCTAGTACATGAGTTCGGAGCTGAAGGGGGCAGAGAGAGAACACAGGGCTCTGTTAAGAGTTCTTGGCTCCCTGCTGTGGTGGGCCCCGTAGAAGGCCCCCCAAAAATTTGCAGCTGCTATAAGTCACTGGGAGGAAGCTGCAGCAGACACGTGTTTCTCAGCCTGGTAGATGCAGAGGGGTGTCCGGACCCCCAACTGGGAGGCCCAAATGTGGCAGTGCAGGAATTCTAGCCAGCTCTGGGACCCTGGGCAAGTCATGTAACCTCTCAGAACCCCATTCCTGGTCACCATGGGGCTCTTGTGTGGATGTAAACAACCCTCAGGCCACTTATGTCCCATCAGTGGAAGCCTAGCATGGGTGGAGACCCCCGAGACTGAACTCAGTGGCGGGATCCAGCCTTCCCAGCTCTTCTACATAGAGCCCAGAGCTAGCAGGGTGGGCTGCCTGGAGAAGCAGGCACTCCTGTGGGCTGGAGAACATGAGCAGTGGTCCCTTTGGGAAGGTGGAAGAGGCTGTGGTCAGTGGAGGCCATAATGGGGCAGAGGTTGGACAGAAGGGGCATGATCGGGGAATCTGAGACCCAACAGAGACTGGACTGAGGACTCTGTGCCACTCAGGCAGTGGAAACTGAGCTATGGCTGGGACCCATGGTCCTGAGTGAGGCCTGGCCAGTCTTGGAAGCTGTGCCAAAGGTGGCTTCATGTAAGGGTGCATCTGAGCACTTTTTTTTTTTTTTTTTGAGATGGGGTCTTGCTCTGTCATCCAGGCTGGAATGCAGTGGCACGATCATAGCTTACTGCTGCCTCAAACTCCTGGGCTCAAGTGATTCTCCCACCTCAGCCTCCCAAAGCGCTCAAATTATAGGCCTGAGCTACAGAGCTGGGTTTTAAATCTTAATATCTCCTCCTGGTCTGCTTCCCTGGCTGACACACATGCTGGCATCCTGCGCCTAGACAAACATGTTTCTGGACTTGGTTCCATTTGTTCTGACGGGCTTCTCTCTCTCAATGACCGCACGTTACATTATTTGGCTATTCTTACACATTTCCGTATAGAACTGAGGGTTAGTGTATTAATGTCAAAGTTCTACTGGTTTTTCGAGGCTGGGTGGAATGTTTGGGTTAATTTAGTTGTGGGCATCTTGACAATATAGGCTTTTCCTCCAGGAATGGTGATTCTGGGACGCAGGTTTTGCACATTCTGGTTTATTGCTTGGCTCGCTGCCACAGAGGGATGGCACTGCTCCACACACCATGCCCTAGAGATGTCCCACCTTATCTGTCTAAATCAAGCTGGATGTTCTCAGCTGACAGGATATCATATCAGTGCTGTGGGGACTCACTCCCCTCAACCCGAGACGAAGTGAGGTGGAGACTATGGAGCAGATCCGTGCCGACTGCATTTGCCCTTCCTGACCCGCACTGCTGCTGGGTGGGGCTGTGTCTGAGCTGATAGAGGGCATTGATTTGGGCATGGGGAGGGGTCAGTACTGGAGAGATGCCCCTCACCTCCCTTAGCTCCTCCTGTCCACTCAACACTTGGTCACCAAGGTCCCCGACTTCCAGGCCTCAGTCACCACTAACGAGGTGCTGCATGGGAACAAAGCGTAGGCCCACAACCTGGAGTTCAGGTCACTCCTCCTTCCAGTTGAAGCCTCTATCCCTCCCAGGTGATTCCAGCCTCATTTCTCCATGGGCCAAATATCCTAAACAAAGGCCTGGACAGGGGGTCTTTATCCGAGTGCCCAAAAAGCACATGCAGAAAGGCTCTGCATGCCCCCTGTGGCCTGCCAGAGGTAAGAGCCTGCCCGTCAAAATGCACAATCCTGGTTCTTGCAGGGAGGTGAGGAGGGGAGGAAGAAAAGGTCCATCTCATTCTTTCATCAGGAACCTAAACTTGGGAAAGCCAGATATAGTACATTTCTTAATGATCCTGATACTTTTATAACTGGTTACAGCTGGGTCACATGCACAACTGTTTTCTAACATCTTTCAACTGGCCACATAACACCATGTAATTTATTTTTTTATTTTTATTTTTTAAGGCCAGGGGGAGTGGCTCATGCCTGTAATTTCAACATTTTGAGAGGCTGAGGCAGGAAGACTGCTTGAGGCCAGGAGTTCGAGACCAGCCTGGGCAACACAGCAAGACCCTGTATGCAATGGAAAACAACCCTATTTCAAAAAAAATATTTTTTGAGTACAGTGGCTTGATTACAGCTCACCGTAGCCTCCAACTCCTGGGCTCGAGTGATACTCCCACCTCAGCAGCTGGGACTCTCAGAGCACACCCCCACATCTGGCTGATTTTTTAATTTTTGGTAGAGATGTGGTCTCACTATGTTGCCCAAGCTGGTCTTGAACTTCTGGCCTCAAGAGATCCTGCCAATGTGACCTCACAATGCACTGGGGTTGCAGGCATGAGCCACCATGCAGCCCCTGCAAAATCTAACTGTCCTTCAGGTGCTCCTTTTGGACCTCCTAGCTAGACTGCCATTGGCAAATGCCAGTTTATTATCCACCCACATGTATGTTAATGGATTTCCCATGTTTTATTTGTCTAGACCAGGCTTTCTCCACAGCAGCACTGTTGATGTTTAGGGCTGGACAGTTCTCTGTTCTGGAGCTGTTTGCGCCTCGCAGGATGTTTAGCAGCATCCCCAGCCTCCGCCTGCCACATGCCAGCAGCACTCCTCAGTGTGACAGCCAAAGTGATTTCAGATACTGTCAAATATCCCCAGGGCGGCAAAATCACCTCCAGTTGAGAACTGCTGACCTAAAACCCTCTGGAACAATGTTAGATCATGGTAATGATAGCGCATACTGCTCCTGACCTTAATGGGAATACCTCTAGCATCAAAGTATACTAGTACCTGTATACTACTGTCTGGGCTGTTATTAGTACACTGTATTAGTCCATTCTCACTCCGCTATGAAGAAATACCCAAGACTGGGTAGTTTATAAAGAAAAGAGGTTTAAATTGACTCACAGTTCTGCATGGCTGGGGAGGCCTCAGGAAACTTACAATTATGGCAGAAGACTCCTCTTGCCAGGGCAGCAGGAGAGAGAAGGAGAGCCGAGCAAAGGGGAAAGCCTATAATAAAACCAACAGATCTCGTGAGAACTCACTCACTATCACGAGAACAGCACGGGAGAAACTGCCCCCATGATTCAATTATCTCCACCTGGGCCCACACCCTTGACACGTGGGGATTATTGCAATTCAAGATGAGATCTGGATGGGGACACAGAGCCAAACCATATCATATCCTTTATATTAGCATACTGTATCAAAGTATAATTTTCTTTTTTCTTTCCTTCAAGAGAGAGCCTCGCTCTGGCTCTGGCTGGAGTGCAGTGGCACGATGTCATCCCACGGTAACCTCTGCCTCCTGGGTTCAAGCAATTCTTGTGCCTCCACCTCTCAAGTAGCTGGAACTACAGGTGTGTGCAACCACACCCAACTAATTTTGATTTTTTTTTTTTTTTTGAGTACACATGGGGTTCGACATGTTGGCCAGGCTGGTGTCAAACGCCTGGCCTCAAGTAATCCCATCACTTCAGCCTCCCGAAGTGCTGGGCTTACAGGCATGGGCCACTGCACCCAGCCTGAAGTATAATTTTCACAATGTGAAAAGCTTGACTTTCATACAGATAATGAAGGAATACGTATAAGATATTTTCTTTAATTTACAAGGGAGTCAGCAACACGGTGAAGCTAGTTCAAGGAGCATTTTGAGAGACAGTGTCTGTAGTGCTCCAGGAAGGGCATTCCGAAATGCATTCTGAGATAGAGACAAAACTTGTTAATATCCTATAGGGAGGCTGGGCATGGTGGCTCACACCTGTAATCCCAGCACTTTGGGAGGCCAAGGTGGGTGGATCACCTGAGGTCAGGAGTTCAAGACCAGCCTGGCCAACATGGTGAAACCCCGTCTCTACTAAAAATACAAAAATTAGCCAGGCGCGGTGCTGGGTGCTTGTAGTCCCAGCTACTTGGGAGGCTGAGGCAGAAGAATCACTTGAACCTGGGAGGTGGAGGCTGCAGTGAGCCGAGATCATCCCACTGCACTCCAGCCTGGGTGACAGAGCAAGATTCTGACTTAAAAAGAAAATCATATCGGGAAATAAAAACGTCACCTTTGGGAGTTATCTTTTCTACTGGACAGAAATCTGTAAGCTAACATATATACATATTCTCCAGTATATTCATAACATATTCTGTAGTATATTTCCCTGCACTAGTGCTTTTCAAAGCATGGTCTCAAATTGGAAGCATCAGCGTCACCTGGGAACATAGACATGCAATGCTTAGGCCCCACCTCAGTCCTACTGAGTTAGAAACTCTGGTGTGAGGCCCAGCAGCCGGTTTCACAAGCCCTGCAGGGCATGATGATGCACTCTAATGTGTGAGGACCACGGCTCTAAATAATCAATCTTTAATAGTAAAACAAGTATCTATGAAACAATGCTCCAGTATGACATTAAAAGGGCACACCATCCACCTTTTAACTTTATTTCTCAATTTAGATATTTTGTCTGATGTTAAATTTGCTGTTTTGTTTCTCAAATACTCTTAAGACAGTTTTCATCTGTTCCTAATTTTCTCTTTTTAAATAAAAAATGGTTTTCCAAATCTGTCCATTTTACTCTTCTTTAACCTATTGATAGGATGAAGTAAAAGTTGAACCATTCTTACCTTTTTTTTTTTTTTGAGACGGAGTCTCACCCTGTTGCTCAAGCTGACTGAAATGCAGCGGTGCAATCTCGGCTGACTGCAGCCTCCATCTCCCAGGTTCAAGCGATTCTCATGCCTCAGCCTCCTGAGTAGCTGGGATTACAGGCACCCGCCACCACGCCCAATTCATTTTTTTTTTTTTTTTGTAGAGACAGGTTTTGCCATGTTGGCCAGGCTGGTCTCCAACTCCTGACCTCAAGTGATCTGCCTGCCTCAGCCTCCCAAAGTGCTAGGATTACAGGCATGATTACCCACATCTGCCAGCTTGGGCACGGAGCCTGTTTCAAGAGCCCCCAGGCTCAGCCATGGAGCCTGGGGGACTTTGGGACCGTGGGGGCTGGCCCTGGTACCTGCGTCCAGCTGGGATGCTCTGCACCTGCAGCCAGGAGTCATCCACGGGCCCCCGTGGGCGTGCTGACAGTGGTCGTGTTGATGTTCACCGATGTTGCTGGGTGCCTCCGTCAGCACGTGGCGCTTGCGCAGCATCTCGCCGCCCCACTGTGCCTTCTCTGCCAACTCCTCCATCAGCGTGTTCTGGTCCCCATGCGAGTACAGGTTGGACAGCAGCTCTGAGAAGATGAATTCCTTGGTCTGAGAGTGGGCAAAGAGGGAAGGAGGTTGGGACCTGATACCTGTGCCACCCTGGCCACCCCGCTGGGCCCTGCTAGGACTGTGTGCTGGACTTGGAGCCCCAAGTATGGCTTTTCAGATGCGGCTTCTACACTGCTTCAACTTGAAGATCTGCGTCCCCACTGCCTTTTCTCACTCAGATGGGGACACTGAAGTCCAGAGGAAAAGCCACCTGTCCAAGGTCACAGATCTGGAAGGGGACCCAGGACCTGTCATGCCACCAGGACACCTGTCTACTCAGTTTAAAAAAATTTTTTTTGGAGGTAGGATGTCGTTCTGTCACCAGGCTGGGGTACCGTGGATGAGATCACCACTCACTGCAGCCTCAACCTCCTGGGCTCAAAGTGATGCTCCAACATCAGCCTGTTGAGTAGCTAGGACTACAGGCACGTGCCACCACCAAGCCCAGCTATTTTTTAAATTTTTGTGTAGAGACCAGGTCTCACTATGTTGCCCAGGTTTGTCTCAAACTCCCGGGCTCAAGTGATCCTTGACTTGGAAGAGCCCTGTGTTTCTGGCCTGGGCAGCCAAGTATTCAGGAACCCTCCCTGGCCACACGGTCATTGCCTGTTCTGGGCCACCCTCATCCGTATATCCCCTGGACCGCAGCTGTTGGCTGCTCTGACCCTGAGAGCCGATTTGGACAATGGGAGCTGAGGTGCTGGCTGAGGCCATGCCAGGCTTCCTGGAGGTCATCGCTATTTTTAGTCTTTTACTGGGGAGTGTGTTTGTAATAGTTTCAGGCTTACTAATAGCACCAACAAGAGTGCCCTGATTTCTGCCAAATGAGGAGGGATATGGGAATCATATTTGCGGGGGAAATTTGATTCTGAGTCCTGGGGTGAGCCTGGGGGGTTTCTGTTCATCTCGTGTTGGGTCAGGATTGCCGAGAGTGACAGGGAGTGAGCTCACCCATGCCGACAGCTAGGGCAGTGTTGGGAGCGCCGCTGCCCTCAGTTCTGTACTGGGTCCCAGGCGCTGCCAGGAGGAGCCGAGGCGAGTGGGCGTGGCTCTGGCGAGTGCCCGCCCCTTCCCTGGCACCGCAGGCCGACCTGGCCCCTCCCACACTGCTGGGCCTTGCATGGTCCTGCAGCGCCTCCTTGTGAGCGGCTCGCGGTACGGTCTCCCCTGCAGCTTGCTTTAGAAAGCGGGGTCGCCACACCAACAGGTGCTTTAAAGAGTGCCAAGGCGGTGGCAGGCTCCCCGCTGTTATCAAGACTGCAGGGGCCCATAACCCGCCTCTGGGCTGGAGCCTCAGTGTTTTAATGAGCTTCCCAGACTAGTGGTTGCAAGGAGGCCAGTCCTGCAGCACAGCGATTGGCCTTCAGAAACACAGGGAGGGAGTTGTGTGGTCAGCTGCATTCAGGAGACGGGAGTTACACAGGATTGAACCACGTTCTGCAGCAGGACTTCTAGGAGCCTTTTAAGGCGCTGAGCATCGTCTCCCAAATTTAGCTGACCATGGGACACCTTCTCATCTCCCAGAGGAACCTTCCAGGCCTGAGGCAGAGGTGGGGTCTGGCTTCCCGGGTGCCAGCCTGGGCCGAGGGGTCTCTGTCAGCTCCTGACTGAGGAGCAAATGAAGAATTATACTTCGGGCTCGTGTTCTGCAGCACAGGAGTGTTGGGCGCCGTAGGTTTGGGGTTTGTGGGGGCTGTGGGCTGACAGCTGTTGGGGAGAAAGGACTGGTGGTGGGGACCCTGTGCCCCGTTCACACGGAGCCTCCTCCCACCTGCTGGGGCTGGCAGCCCGGTCTGCAGAGCCAGGCAGGAGGCGGAACCTGAGAAATCCACACGCGGGGACCCCTGTGCTTGGGCGTTCTCTGTTCTCTGGTGCTCCCATGTTCCAGAACACACACTGGTGAATTCGGAATTTAAATAAAGCTGGCCTTTCTGACCTTAAGCCTCTGGATGAGAGTTAAGCATGTCCAGGTAGTAGTGGGTGTTTTGAAACATAAAAGGTTGCACCCTCGTGTGTGCCTGTGTTAAAAGGAGCCCACGCAGCCGACAGCAGCAGGAGCAAATGGCCTGCTCTGATGGGGACAGGCAGGAAGTCCTTCGGGGCATTTCTGTTTCATCACAGCTTTTCCTGGGGCTGGTGAGTCTGTTGGGCCTTTGGTTGACAGGGAAGCGCATGAGCCCATGTTGGTGGATACAAAGCATCTGGGGCCTGGCAGAATCCAGAGAGGGGAAGATGGTGGCCCCAGTGTTGGAGGAACTGGCCTATTTTGTGATCCCCAGAGACCAGTGTGACTGACCCATTAGTGCTACAAATCCATAGCCAGGCCTCAGGACAGCTTTTGGTTTTGTTTTTATTAAGCCACTGACCAGTGGTTAGGAGCAAGTGGATCATAACCTTAACATTTTATTGAAAATTGGAGCCCTGACCTGGGGATGTGAAACCCACGAGCTGCACATTTCTCTGTAGACTGCATCTGGACACTTGTCACATTGCCGACTAGGTCTGACAGTCATCACCAGGACTGCCTGGGCCTGTGTTCATTCCCAGTCAATGAATCCTGGGACACAGACGTCCTGGACTCGTGCCCGGTGCCAGGCCTCGTGCCTGCCCAAGGATGCAGACATACCCACCATCACCATGCAAGTGCCAGGAGCTCTTCTCAGCGCTTATGTGTGGGAACACGAGTAATCCCACACCCTAGGAGGTGGCACTACTGTTACCCCAGTGTGCAGATGAGGAATCAGAGGCCACAAAAGGCAGTGACTTCAGTCACACAGCAAGCATGTGGCAGAGCTGGAGTGCAGGCCATCATTCTGAACCTGCCTCTTGCTGGGCCTTTGTTCCTTGTCACCTCTCTGCAGAAGGTGGGCCTCGTCCCCTGCATCAGGCCCCCAGCCTGGCCAGTGCTCTTCCCACCCTGCCCCAGGCCACCTGCTGTGCCTGTGAGGGCTGTGTGTGAGCACTCTCTGGAGCGCCGCTGATTCTCTTGTCTCTCCCCTGCGTCCTGCCAGGAAGCTGATCAGTATCTCCTTTGGGGACCTGAACCCTTTCCCCGTACGCCAGATCCGGAACCGACGTGCCTACCACTTGGAGAAAGTCCGGCTGGAGCTGACCGAGCTGGAGGCCATCCGTGAGGACTTCCTGCATGAGCGGGACACCAGCCCTGACAAGGGTGAGCTGGTCAGTGACGAGGAGGAGGATACCTGAGTGGGCTCCGGGACGCTGCTCTTCCTGCCTTCACAACCAAAGTGTGCCCAAAGGGTGAAAGTGCACTTAAAAGCCAGAATGTAACGTGTGTGGCCTCTGGGGATCTGCTGGGCAGATGTCCCAAGCCAGGCTGCCCTTCCTCATTTCCCACTGTGCGGGGGGCAGGGGTGGGAGGTCTAATCTGTTTACAGCCATTTCCGTGCCATACTTTTGGTTATACATATCTCAGTCACGCTTTCTGCCTGATTGGTGGATCCTCGGGCTTACCAGTGGCTATTTGCAAGAGCCTGTTTCCAGCCTCCGTCAGCCTGTCGGTGCTCTGACCCTCTGAAACCTTGCTTTGCTGGGCATCTCCCCATATTCTCTCTCCTGTACATAGTGGGCAGTGGTGTGTGGTTTTGAATGGCAGTGCTATGAAGGATGCCCACTATGCTTCAGGCACCTGTAGGCCAGAGGGTTGCTGCCTCAGGCATAAGGTCGGTATGAAAAGGGGCTGCCTTAGAAAAGCAGGCACATCCTTTGTTCAGAAATGGCCACTGTAGAAAGCCCGTGAACCTCCCACTGGTGGCTTTAAGCTGCCAGCCATGCCCCATTTCTAGAATAGCCTGTGCTCTTCCACACACAACTCTTCCAACAGTGGCTCCCAGCCTGCATGGGGAGGGCCTGGCTGCCCAGACACCCACCCTCACTTCTCATGGCCAGCCTGTGTTTGCAGATCACTGGGCTGCTCTGTCCCCAGCTTGCCCCATGCCTGACATGGCTCCATGAGATTCTGTGGAATGCCCTTCTTGACTCGTGGAAATCATTCACCAAGTACGATGGGATGGGATTCCAAGTAAACAGTGGACCGTCATATTGCAAAGCAGGCCCACGCCTGGGCTGGCCTTGGTTGAGGGGATGGAGGAATGTTTTCGGGGGTGCTTTGCAGGGCAGTGGTGCAGCCGCAGTGTGAACGGTCTTGGACAGCTGAAAACCATGGCCTCCTTGGGGATGGCCAGTGCTCCTGGTGTCTCCTCCACCTGCCTGGGTTGTGCAGGAGGCCAGCTGCCAGTGCCTGGGGCTGGGAAACTTTTTTGCTTGGGGCAGGCTTGGGCGAGCTCTCCCAGATGTGTGCCCACCCCACCACTGCCTGGAAGCATCCTTGTTCTCTGCCAGGATGCAGGGTCACTGTTGCCTCTGACACAGCAGTTTCTGGGAACTCAGAGGACTGCCTTTCTGAAGGCTGGGGAGAGGCTTTGAGCAAGGAGCTTGTTTTTGCTTAATCCCTCTAGACCATCCCTGATGCGTAGATGTGAGAGGATGTTTTCTGGCACAGTGTTATGAAAATACAGGAGAAACAGTCTCAGTGGAATGTTTCATATTACCCGAAAAAAACTGGAAACCATCCTCTGTTGATACGAACACACTGAGACTAAGAATTGAAGTAATGCAGTTTTAAGAAGTACTTTTTTCCTATTATTTTTTGCTGTCAACTTTCTAGCAATGCCACGGCAAAGTTGGTGTTTCAGCACATGCTAGAGTGAGCTCCGGCTTCGTGTCTTTAGCGGAGTTGGTTAATGTTTCACTGGGTAGACGGAGCTGGCCTCTATATTTAGCCAGAAGCCTTTGCCTCTTTTCAGGCATCAAAAATGGGTGTTGTCATTGTCTTTGAGAACAGCAATTTGAGGTCTGACTCCTTCAGTTGTCCTGTGAGCTGGGCGTTGCAGTCCGCTCGAATCAAGTGTTGGAAACCCCCCACCCCACCCCTCAGCCCATCGTGAAACGACAGCTGTCAGCCTGGGGGGTGGCTGCTGAGGAGGTGCAGCAGGAATGGGGCTGGGCCCGTGGGCCAGCACCAGCTGCCCTTAGGTTTTACTTTCCAAGCCAATGGCCCCTGGAACATGCCAGCACACACTGCCATGTCCTGGGGCTAAGAGCTGCCTTTAGGGACAGGCTCGTGTTGTCCAGTTTGCCCTGAGAGATGCACCTGACCAGGGGCCCGTCGTGGCTGCAACCCACGGTGGTATGTTAGTGTTTCCAGGCAGTTGTCAGCAGCTGCCGGGTAGTGTGTGTGTGCGACAGCAGGAGAGTTCCTGGAGGAAAGGGACTGGGGACACTTTCTCAGAGGTTCTCCTGCCTGGAATCAAGTGATGCGTGTCCAGAAGGCAAGAGAGGGCGGCTCCGCCTGGTTAAAGTTTGGGAACGGGACGGAGCCAACTCCTCCTTCCAGGACTGTGGGCCCCACTCTTTTGCGCTAACACTTCCCCTCCCTCGGGTCACTGAGGAAAGAGCTGCTCTGTCCCCTCCAGTGCCCTGAAGGTCCCTGGCCTCCACTGGCTGCCATGGCAGGGGGCCCTTCTGACAGGGGCTGCCCCAAGCTGCTGTTCCTCCTCTGAACCTTCACCCCAACACCCAGCCCGTGGCCCCTGCAAGGGGGACCCTGCCAGCTGGGAAACCCAAAGGCCTGTCCAAATGCGCGCACCAGGACCGAGGGGAGCTCCCTCCCCACATCTGCTGCGAATTGCCAGCTTTTAAATGGATGGGGTTTTTTATGGGTTGAACCTCTGTTAATACTTTTGTACACTCTCACTACAGTTTATATTTTTATAGGCTATTTTCTCAAGGTGTTTCTAGATTCCACATATCTATTTTATATAACAAGTTCTTATGTTATGTGTGTGACTCCCTTGTGTGTATCTGTGCCAGCCTCAGCCTCCGAGTTGCTTTTCCCTCTGGCCCTGACTCTCACTGACTCACCGATGTGATGTGCAGGCCCACTTCTTACCCCAGATAGCCTCGGGTGCTGCCTGTAGTCATGCTGACAGCTGTACAGTAGCCGCCAAGACTGCTGACGGCTGGAGACGGTTCTGGTTTCAACAACTACGGTATATTGATATCGGAAGTATTCTAGACAGATCCTCAGTTGGGTTTTCTAGCTACATGTTTGTATTGCACAGATCCCCACCTGCCATCCTATAGTGTTGTCTTCCTGTGTGTTCCGGGGCTTCTGGGCAGCTGGGCCTGCCCGGGGAAGTCCTTGCAGGTGGGAGGCCATACAGAGACCCAGTGTGTGCCACTGAGCGTCCCACCGCTGCTGGGCAACTGGAGGACTGCAGGGGGCGCCAGGTGACTCTCTCCTTTTATATCACAGCAGCTCCTGTGCTGACCTTCAAGTTATGTTTTGGAACTGTAATACTAAAGGAAGAAATAAACTACTAATTTGTATAATATTCTGCATTGAAATTCAGTTATAGTCACTAGTGATGGGGCTCACCCCAAGGGCTTGGAGGGTGGGGCAGGGCTTATTGGTGTTGCGGGGGGCGAGGAGGGGCTCTCCAACCTTCCAGCCTGGCGTTTCTGGGTGTCTCTGCCCTTGGCTCACCCTGGGGCGGGTGCATCAGGATGCCTTTGCCAGCAGGGGCAGCCTTGGGAGGCCCCAAGAACCATGGCCAAGCTGCAGGTGTGGGCTGGGGGCACCGAGGTGGGAAAGCCGGAAGCTGGAGACTCCCTGTGTCCGGATAACCCCCCGCCCAGCCACAAAGAACAGGCATGCCTCCTTCCGCCAGCTGTGCCATGCCCTGCCTGAGTCACAGGCTTGTTTGTCTCCCGTCTTGGCTGACAGCTCAGGCCCAGCTGCCACTGGGGACACCCCCAGTCATCAGTGGAAAACACCCAAGAATGATGAAGACCAAAGGGGTTCCCATAGGGGTGTTTCGGGGTGGCTCCATCAAGGATTCCCAGACAGGGCAGGCCAAGGCCTGGCAGGCTTTTCTCTTCTGGGGACGTGGATTCAGCGAGGCTGGGGGTTCCTGGAGTCACGCAGCAGAGCGGCGGCGGCAGAGCTGGGACAGGGACTGGTTCGGTGTGTGGGTCAGGAGCAAGTCGACAGGCCCTGCTCCCCACCCCTTGGAAGGGAGTGCCACCAGGGGCCGTTCTGACTAAGGCCTGGGAAGCCGTGACTCAGAGCGTGGGTCCCCAGGGTCTCTTTGGGCCAGCCGGGCTGCTGCAGACAGACAGGAAGCACGCCTGACGCTCCTCCACCCTCGGGCAGCACAGCGGGGCTGGGACTCACGCTAGCTTGCCCAGCAACTTGCTTTCCTGCGTGAACTCTGGCAGGCTGCCCTCTCTGTGCAAAGCCACCACTGGGACCTGCTTGGGGCCCTCTCCCTCTTCCACCTGCTCAGGGTAGCCTGGAGCTTGGAGGTGGGCAGTCGGAGCCTAGGATGGGCCTGTGTCACCAGGGCATGTGCCCTTGGGCCAGGTACTTCCTCTCAGAGCCTTGAGTTCCTCCTCTGAGGATCGGGCTTGTTGGTGTGAAATGAGGTGAGCATGTTGAATTGGGGAGCAGCAGGACACGCACCTGCAGGCAGCTGCCGTGGCCATGCTCCCTCCCTCCCTTCCAAGTCCTGGGACAGACGCTCATCGCCGAGGGGTTCAGCCTCTGATACTGTTTCTTGGTCTCAGCCCCTAAGGAGTAATTTTATTTTATTTTTTTTGTGTGAGATGGAGTCTCGCTCTGTCGCCCAGGCTGGTGTGTAAAGGTGCGAACTCAGTTCACTGCAACCTCCGCCTCCCAGGTTCAAGCGATTCTCCTTCCTCAGCCTCCCAAGTAGCTGGGATTACAGGTCCCCATCACCGCACCTGGCTAATTTTTGTATTTTTAGCAGAAATGGGGTTTTGCCACATTGGCCAGGCTGGTTTCAAACTCCTGACCTCAGGTGATCCGCCCGCCTCAGCCTCCCAAAGTGCTGGGATTACAGGTGTGAGCCACCGCGCCCAGCCAGGAGTGATTTTCAGTGGTGTCCCCTCCATCCCCAGCATATACCCAGCCCTGAGTGGCTGCGGCTGCCACATGCAGGCTCCAGGGCTACATTCACCTTTCGTCCAGGGTTGTCATACGCTGGAGAGTAGAATGTGAGAGGTGACCCCTGTAGGCTGCAGGGCGAGCTCTCTGAACCTTAGTGTCCCCCACCTGGAGAAGGGGCGTAACACCTTCCAGGGGGAGGGCTGAGGAAGAAATTGTCAACGGCTGAGTCTAAGGCTCACAGCCAGAGGCCAGGGTTGGATCCAGGGCTGGGCCTGGGCCTGGGGGGACAGTGTCCGCCCCTTCCCCAGCCTCCCGCCCCTGGTCAGGCCAGGACCCTCTTCAAAGCACCTTCATGCCCATCTGTTCCCTGCTGTGGGCACTACTGTCTGGCTCCATGGGACTAGATTTTATGGGAGGGGAAGGGGCTGTGGGTAGGCAGGTGCCAGGTGCTGGACCATAGATCAGCGTGGTAGGAACCTGTAGCTGGGGCTGGTGGTGGGAAAGGGGCCAACCTGAGGCAGTGACAATTAGCCCAGCCCTATCTCTGGGCACAGAGATGAAGGGACACGTGGGGACACAGTAGGGCACAGCTGGCCAGCCTGCTCTTCCCCTCTCTGCCTGCTTTTTGCAGAAGAGTCAACAGATAGAACAGACAGGGCCAGGGAGGTCCCCATGGGGGCCCCAGTCCCCACCACTCCAGGGGGCAGTCCCTGCAAGTGACATGGTGGGCTCAATCCCTGTGGAACAGGTCTCTGAGGACCACAGAGTGGGGCCCCAGGGAAGGCTGGGAGCCTGAGCTGAAGGCAGGCAGCAAGTAAGGGCCAAGCCGTGCCCCTGCCCGGAAGACCTTCCTGCCCCCAGAACCCCACCCTCTGCAGACAGCCCTCCCTGGGGAGCAGCCCCCCAGCTTCTGAGGCCTTCCGTGCCTCACCAGATGCCATGCTCTCAGGGACTCATTTTCTACGCTGCCCCCTGCAGATCTGTCCCAGAGGAGCAGGTGAAAAGCCACGCCTGCCGAGGTGCTGTGGCGGTGGAGTTTTGGGCAGAGGGGTGGGGGGAAGAGTTTCTCACTTTTAAGATTCTCCAAATCCAAGACGAAGTCACGCTGTGCTTTGGAATGGTAGATGCTCATTTATGTAAAATCATAATAAATGTTACACAAACTGTTAGAATAAAAAAATACCTTTTTTGAGGGGGAGGAGGTCCCCAGCCTGCTGCTGGGTAGTGAGAGGGGGTTAGCACCATTAGGGCGCAGGGGGCGGGAGCTCCGCCACAGCCCGTGGTGGGCACTGAGGTCTGTCGGTCGGTCTGTGCATCCTGGCGCAGTCAGCGGCGGGCAACCCGCTGATGGCCTCGGGAGGGGGCGCCGTGGCTGGGCGGAGAGCACGAGCGGCAGCACTGGGTGCGGATGGTGGGCAGCTGGCAGCGGCCCAGTAGGCGCAGCGTCTCGCAGAACCCGAAGGACAGGCGGTCCCGCTCACAGCCTGGAGTGGGGGGGCAGAGAGGCATCAGAACCAGTAGCTTGGGGTACCCAGAACCTGGCTCCCTACGCCAACCACCTTAAGGAGGCTCCAGCAGCTCCCCACCAAGCAGAGAGCCCCAGTTTCTGGAGCGGCTCCCGAACCGGAGTTGCAGGTCTCCAACTGTTGCTGTCTCTGTCCCACCTACTCATGGCCAACCCCAGGACTCGAGAACGGGTGCTGCTGGGCTGAGGTTTCTGGAGGAAAGGTCCTGAGACCCCACCCTGACCCCCTCACATGCCTGTTAAAGAGCCTGCCCAGGGCGACGCCTTGCCACCCCATCTCCATCCTTGCTCATCCCTGGTGTTCCCGGACAGATCCTGGCACAGAACTGCGGTCCCGGGGCCTCCTGCCAGCCTGCAGCGGCCTCTGCCCCCGACTCCCGCCACCGCCCCCTGCCCCAGTGCATCTGTCCTGCCAGGCCTCCGTGACCACCTCCAGCCACAGGGGCTGTACTCAGCCTCGGGTTCTGAGTCACAGGGTCCCATCTCCCAGGCCAGCCTCCCACTTCTCAGGTGGGCCACGAAGCCTAGAGTGAGTGGGCCTTACAGGCCGTCAGCGGAAACCAGAGACTGAGCCCAGCCTGCTGGGGAGGGAGGCCAGCTGCAGGCTGTGCTTGTCAGGGCTGAGGCTTGGCTGGGCCCTCCTGCCCCGTGGTTATCAGAGCTATTTTGGGAAGTGGCTTGTTTCCAGCCTCCTGGCCTTGCTCCTGATGCCACTGCCACTGCTGACAGCCCCCAGCTGCCACCCGGGCCCTGCTTACTCCAGCAGACCTCCCTGGGGAGGAGGAGCAGGAAGGCAGCAGCCAGCCCTGGGCCTGGGACATCCCCCAGGCCCGGCAGAGGGCACGAGGCAGCAGGCAGGCTCCTCCACCCCAGCTCCAGGCAGAGCTCCAAAGTGCACATCTGCAGGCCTGCATCCTGGTCGCCCGGGGTGACCTCAGACAAGCTGCTTCACCTCTTGGGCCTCGGTTCCCTCCTCTGTCAACCCCACCTCCACAGCAAATGGATGTGGCCATGCTGTGTCACTGCAGTGAGCACACACACACGAGTTTCCCAGCTTTCCACATGTCCCGCCAACTGTCCCACAGACCAGCAGAACATCTGGGAATTCCAGGTCTCCAAGTCCAAGACACCTTCCCAGCCCCCCTCCACTGTTCACTGATGGCAGAAAACTCCTCACTTAGGACAGCTTCTAGTTCAGCCACCTAACCAGCCCCCATAGCCCACTCCCTGCAGCCCACTCACACCCGCCCCTGGGAGACCTTGCAAGCCCAGAGCCTCCTGGGCCATCCGTCCTTGGTTCTAGGCCCCCAGGGGCCTCAGTTTCTGTTCTCTGCCCCATCTGGTCCTCCCCCACTGGGATCATAACCACCCCGCTCCCTGTGGCCAGCCCTAGCCATAAAGGTGAGAGACGTGGTGCCAGCACCCAGCTCAGGTAGCACATAGGAGTGCTCTGAGATGCTGGCTGGGTGCGTGCTGAGGGCAGGCAGGACAGGGTGGGGGCGCTGCCACTGGGCCTTGAGGTTTGAGGCAGGAAGACCACCCATGCCAGAGGCAGGGCAGCGAGGCATGGCAGGGGCCACTCTGAGCCTGAATGAGGGCTGCCCAGGAGCTGGCACAGGTAGAGAAGGCAGCGTTGGACAAGGGGAGAAGGCAGACCGGGGAGATTGCAGGGGGCCCTGAATGCCAGCTTGAGGGCCCTGGCTGAGGACTCTGTCCTAGGGGCAGGGAGCAGACAGCCAATAGCACAGGGGACACAGCTCTTCACGCCACGGCTTCTGGATTCCTTAGACTGGCAGGGTCAGCCCCAGGCCCTCTCCCTGACCTTGCAATTGGGGATGACAGTGGCTGTGGGGGAGGGGAAAAAGCCACCTTCCCTGAGCACCACCTGGATCCCCACGCAGTGCTGCGTGCTTCATGCCCAGACCTCATTTATGCAAGGATGGGGCTTGGCAGCCCCTTTATTCAGCACATGAAGGCCCTGAGAGGGAAATGGAGCCCAAGGCCACACAGCTGGTGAGGGGAGCCTAGGTGACACTCCAGGGCCACCCCATTTCCTGCCCTCAGCACTTCCGGGAGCAGCTGGGGCTGCAGGAAGGAAGTGTATGACTGTGTGTGTGTGTGTTGGCGTGTGTGTGTGTGTGCGCGCACGCACACATGCTGGAGGCGGCGGCAGGGGTGTCCAGAACCACCTCTACCTCAGGCCCTTCCACCAGGACCCAGCTGGCCAGGAAACCCCCCACCACTGGGATTAACAGGACCCTGGAAGGGAGGCCCTTCCTGCCTCAAACCCCATTACCTCATTAGCAGGACCCTGGAAAGGAGGCCCTTCCTGTGGTTCCATTGCTCACTCTAGGCAGTCCTCTAGCCAGGGAATGGACAGGCCAGGGCTGGGGACAGGGACTCACCCAGGCCCAGTTTTCACACAGCCTCAGGGACATCCCTGGTCTCACTGTGGGAAGACTGAGACCTAGAGGAGAAAGAGCTTACCCAGGTTCACACAGCAAATCAGGGGCCAGGGCCACTCCCTCTACTCCCCCAAGGTCAGACAGCTGCCTATGGGATGTTGTGTGGCCGGGACTCCCCTTGACTGACTCCCAGCACAGCCCAGCCTCCAGCATGGCATCCTGTGGCATCAGGATTTTCAGTGGCCATGTGGCTCCTGAGCCCAGACTACAGATGGAACCAGCCAGTGCCGTGGGCACAATGGTTTGACGACCCCATTTCCCCATCACCCTCCCCACCCCACCTCACTTCAGCAGGGAGCCTGGGGTCAGGGGACTCACGGGGAGGCTCGACGGGCTCACAATCCTCGGTGCCACACGGCCGGGAGCTCTCAGGCCAGGCCTCGTGGCCACACTGGTCACTGTCTTCCTCGGGCAGCCCTGTCTGGGTGTTGACACACTTGACCAGGCGCCGCTGGACACCACCACCACAGGGGCCTGAGCACTGAGGGGAGCGGGGGAGGAATGAGTGTCTCCAGGGCCAGCCCTAGCAGTGGGGGCAGGGACACCTCCTCTGGGAAGCCGTCCCTGCGCCCTGTGCCTGACTGGCCTGGCCTTGCTCCCAGCCGCCCCCTCAGTGCCTCCTGGAGCACCTGGTCCCATTCCTAGAGCCCACTTGGTGCTGGAACCCCACTCTCACTTGTGGGATCGGCTCCTGCAGAGGGAAGGGGCGTGAGAACCGTGGGACAGCCCTCGGGGCGGCAGGGCAGTGAGCCCCTCACACAGGACATGCCTGAGAAGCCTGGGCAGGGGCGCCGGGATGGAGCCCTGATGCAGCAGTGGGCAGAGATGTGGGCGAGACACCGCTGTGCCCGAGGGACAGGGCAGAGGACCTGCCGCAGCCCATGGGCAGGAGGGCAGGAGACAGTTTCACAGCCGGGGCCCAGCCCGCCAGGCTTCGTTGTTATCAGCCCTAAACATGCACTGAGTCTGTGCCAGTGTCATGCTGTGCCCGGCCCTGTGCTTCGTTGCGTTCCTTCATTTAATCCTCCTGACCCTCCTCTCCTAAGCTGTTCCAGTTTTACAGATGAGAAAACAGTGACCCAGCAACGCAAAGCAACCTGCCCAGAGTCACTCAGCAGCCAGTCGGACAAAGACGCAAACGCTGGCCCAGCTGACTCCAGGACCCAGCTCAGGGCCCAAATCTGAGATTTCTGAACCCCTCAGTTCCAAACAGGCCCAGCAGAAGGTGTCCTGCCCATCTGAGGCCCCTCTTACGCCCCCTTCTGCCGCTGGCCTTTGCCGGGCTCCCCGGCCCCCTCAAGCTCGTCATTCCTGCCTCAGACTTCACACCTGATGTCCCTTCGATCCCTGTCCTTGGCATCACTGACTCCTCCCTCGGGTCTCAACCCCAGACCCCTCCTTGGAAGGCCTTCCCTGACACCACAGCACACGCGCCCTTTCCTTGTCTGTTTCTCCCTGGCAGGTGTGAGCACCAGCCGGGCGGGGCCTCGTCCAGTGACAGGGCCACAAAGAGCCTGGCTCACAGCACACACTCCACAGCTCCTTCACCCAACCCAAGACTGACCAGGCGCCACCAAGCACTTGCTCCCTGCTCCTCCCCGCAGCCCGGCTCACCTGGCCCCAGGGCCCCACCACCCACTGCGTGCAGGGGTGGGTGTTGCAGGGCCGGGTGGTGTTGGGTCTCAGCGCCTCCTCGCAGAGGCCTGGCTCCGGGCAGGTCACTAGACGCTGCTGCTCACCACCGCCACAGGCCTCGGAGCACTGGGTGGGCAGGGAAGGAGTCAGGGCACAGCCAGGGTCTGAGGGCGTCCCCTCCCCCCAACTCAACGGCCAGGCCTCACCTCCCTCCAGGAAGATGTGTACCAGCTGAGGCAGGGCTGGGCCCCGCAGGGCCGGTGCGCAGGCGGCTTGGCAGGCCCGGGCTGACAATGGAAGGGCCGCAGTGGCCGGAGGTCCCGTGTGTCCACACACTGCACGTCCCGCACTGAGGAACCTCCGCCGCAGCTGCGGGAGCACTGGGGACCGAGAGACGTGTATGGACACATCCCCATGTGCAGGCCCACAGGCGTGACCCCGTGAGGTGTGTGGCGGGAAAGGCATCCAGGCCCACGCCCCAGCCCGGGGGAATAGCTGAAGAACCCCAGCGAGAGGCCAAGGCTGGCAGGCCCCAGGCAAAAGGTGGCATGGCCAGGGGCTGCCACGGGCTGGGACAGACAGAGAAAGGGAGGAACAAAGGCAAGCTGGTGAAAGACAAGTCCAGATGGGGTCAAAGATACAGAGGAAAGGAGACAGGCCAAGCCAGACAAAGATGAGAAGACTCCCAAGAGATTCAGAATCCGGTGTGATCGGGCACACAGATGTGCAGCCTGGGGCCCTCCCCTTCCCTGCCGCTCTCAGAACACAGGCCGTGGGGAACCAGGGCTCCACCCCATGCCCTGGGAATGCCTGTCCTGGCTCCATCCTCACGCACCTTACTCCAGTTGCCTGAGTGCCAGGTGGCACAGGGCCGCAGGTGGCAGCGGCGGGCAGGCTGGGGCCGGCCAGCGGGGGCGCAGTCCTCATCCCGGCCGGAGCTACAGCGCACCGGCCTCCAGACCGCACCCAGGCCACAGGTGGTAGAGCACTGCGGGGCAGAGACCCGTGAAAGCCAGGCAGATCCCATCCCCGCCAGGCCTCCACAGCCAGGAAACTACCCACCTAGGCTAGCGAGACCTCAGCAAGACAGGGGCCCTCTTCTGGGCCTCAGTTTCCTTATTTGCAAAATAGGCTCCTTCACCCACCTCCCAGGAAGACCGTGAGAATGAAAAGTCAAATCCCCTCAGCAACCAGCCGTCCCTGCTCACATGGGACAAAGGGCCTGTGTTCCAGTGTCATTGGTGCAGAGGTGGGGGGAGGGGACCCTGTGGGCACCCCGACCAGCTATCTTGACCAGCCTCGTCGCTTCCCAGAGGCACCAGGGAAGGAAGGCTGGGTCCTGGTACCAGCAGCCAAATCGCTGGGTATCCCTGCGCAAAACAAGCCCTGTGGGCCTCAGCCTGCCCCTTCCCGCCCCAAAATTAGGGATCTGAACAGAAGCTTCCTTCTCCTGCAGTGACCATCTGGGGACCCAGGGAGGGGCACTAGCCAGCTTCTTTCTGGCAGCTCAGACCCCTGCAGGTCACTGCCAAAGGAGGGTGGAGCCACTGAGGGCAGAGCCAGGTGGCAGTGGGCTGAGCCCAGCCTGGAGAAGCCAGGTCCAGCCTCAGGGAAGCTGCTGCCTGCTGGGGAGGACTGGGCCTGGCGGCCATGCGGGGACCGTCCCCACTGCACAGCTGTCTGAGCCAGCTCCATTCTGGGGTGTGCTGTGCTGCCAGAGTGTGCCTGCCCCTGCCTTCCCTGAGGCCCCCTGTGCTGCCCAGGAATGGGGCCCGGGGTCCCCTCATCCCCCTAATCCTGGGAACCCCTGCCCCAAGAGAGGCTAGACAGACGGCGCCTGTGTCCCACTCTGCTCATTTTCAGATGAGGAAATAGTCACCAAGGTCCTGCGCAAACTCCCTGCCCGCCCAGCCCACACCACTTGCCTCGCTCCAGTTTCCCGCTTGCCAGCCGGCGTTCCTGACAACCAACGGGTCCGCGGGGGGCCCCGCTTCAGCCAGGCTGGGAGCCAGCGGCTGGGTCTCAGGGACTCTGTGGCTGTTGGCGGGGCTGTCCCAAGCTGGTGTGGACAGCAGCCTAGAGCTCAGGGGCACCTCAGGGCTGAGGGACTCAGGCTGACCCTTGGGTCCTGGGTTCAGGGCAGGCTCAGGCATGTGCCCGAGGCCAGTCAGGGTTGTGGGGAGGAAGGTCCCCCACACTGCCACAGTCTGCAGGTCCCATGAGCCTGGTCCTGGGGTTGGGAAGGAGGGAGTCCCCGGCTCCAGGGAACTGTCCCTGACCTTCATCTCTGGCAGAGGGGCTATGGGAGGAGGAAGGAGAGAAGCCACCCCAACAGTGGGCCACAGTTCACTGTCCACAGGCCCCAGGCCACCCTCCAGAGCTGGCTCCCAGGCCACTGTGCCTCCTGTCCACAGCTCCGCCACGTCAGGACTAGGAGAGGAGTGGGTGCTGCCAACAGGGGACAAAGGGGGCAGCGTGGAGCTGGGTCTCGGGGGCAGGTGGGGTGCTCCTCGGCCCTTGGGTTCCTCATCATCCTTGAAAACCTCATTGGTCCTGTCCCGCCATGGAGGGGGCAGCTGGCTCTGGCTGTCCTTGCCAACTGGGAAATCATTTTGGCTCTCAGGGGTGGCAGGTGTCTGCAGGCCATCAGTGGAAACCCTGGGCCAGGACAGGCTGGGGAGCCCAAGATCTGGGGCCCCTATGGGGGTGTCTTCCTCAGGCAGGAAATTGATCAAAGGGTTCCCAGGGGTCTGCTCTGAGGGTGGGGGTGGGGAGCGGCCGGCCTGGCTAGGCCAAGGGCTCGGGGACCAAGGTCCCAGTACCCCCTCCTCCTTGGCTGCAGGAGGCTCTGTGGCAGGCACGGGGCTACCCGTGGAGGGCGCAGCAGGATGGCTGTGTGGTGGGGGTGTCCGGTCCCCTGTCCCCGCCAGGTCTAGATCGGGCTCCTCAGAGGGCCCGTAGGACAGATCCTCGTGGAAATTGATGAAATTGTAGTCGTAGTAGAAGTCGTCCACAAACACGGGCCCCGGCAGGTCCAGCTCTGGAGCCTCCTCCTCAATGGCGTTGCCCATGGTGCCTGGCTTGGGTGATGAGGCGGGTGAAGGGCGTGGGGCCAGGTGGTGCGGGATGAAGTCAGCCTCGTTGAAGAGCTCGTGGCTGGAGGAGCCGCTGCCTGAGCCTTCAGGGCCCAGTGTGCCCAGGGGCCACCGACAGAGTGGCAGAGAGCAGGTGACTTCGCTGGCTGGCTGCTGGGCCTCGTCACAGGGGACACCGGTGTCATTGGTGCAGAGGACATTTCGGCGCTGAGTGCCCTCCCCACATGTCACTGAGCACTGCAGGGGAAGCCAGGGTGAGGGGCTTACCCTGGGAGGCAGGCTGCCAGGGGACGCTGGGGCAAGGCTGGGTAACCTGTCCACTGCCCGATGTCAGAGTGGCAGAGACCCCAGCCAGCCCTCTCTGGCCCTTCCCAGCTCAAGGCCATGACTGTGGCCATGCTTGCCAGGGGCTTCCTGATCCCTGAGGCTTTAGAGTCAGGGGCTGGACCCTGGAATGCCCAGGTTCCCTCCCACCCACAAGGTCTCCAGGAAGGCTGTCTGCCTCCCTGTAGCTGAAGACCAAGGGTGGAGCTGGAGGCGGGCCCCTTCCCATCCCACACTCACCTGAGACCAGTTCCCCACAGCCCAGGTGGCCGGACAGGGTACATGGCGGTTGCAAGGGGTTTCAGTAGGGGGCCGGGGAAGGTGTTCACAGGCGGGTGGCTCCAGGGCGCTCTGCTCATCCAGCCCCACGCTGCGGATGCAGAGCACGGCCCGGCGGGAGAGGCCCCCAGGCCCGCAGGAGCTGGAGCACAGCTGCCACTCACCTGCCCACCACCTGGCGAGGGCACACAGGTGGCATCAGTGTGGCATCAGACAGGTGGCCTGCAGGCTCACCAGCAGGGGGGGCCAGGCTGGGCTTCCAGGCCCTCGGCATTTGGGTAGAGCTGGGACTGAGGCCAGTGGTTGATTCTCCAGAGCTCCAAGCTCAGGTAAGTGTCCTGCCCTCAAAGCCTGGTGACATGGCACAGCCCCTCCGCTCCTGCCAGCCTCCCCTCAGGAAAACTGAGCATGACCTAAGGCCTGTTTCCACATCCAGGGACCCAAAGAGGAGGACCACAGGTGTCCAGGCTGGCCTAGGCTGGGGTGAGGGGTAACCGGGGGTTGGGGCTTCAGCCTTGGGAAGAGAATAAAAGCCCGGCTCCCTCTGCTCCTCCCCAGGGCCTCCAGGGACCCAGATGTAGGGACCTGTGGCAGACCCAGGATGCCTGGGGGTGGGGAGTTGGCGGGGGATGGGGTGGGGAGTTGGCGGGGGATGGGGGTGGGGAGTTGGCGGGGGATGGGGTGGGGAGTTGGCGGGGGATGGGGGCGGGCTCACCTGGCAGGGCAGGGCTGCTCGCTGCACTTCCTCTGTTGGTCATCAGGCCGGCCCAGGGGGTCACAGTGCTCCTCGTCCACGGGCCCTGCCTGCCGCTCCAAGCAGTACACATTCTGCCTCTGCACACCTAGGGGCCACGGGGCTCAGCCTGGGACTGGCACCCAGGTGCCCACCACCCAAGACCCAAAGACACCCTCTCTGCCAGAACCCTCCCAGAACAGCGCCTTACTGCCCGTGTCAGGATGCCTTACTGCCCATGTCAGGATGAAGGCAGACCTCCACCGTCGCCTCCTCACTGTCCTCCTGGTTCTCACCCGCCCCCTCTCCTATGTAGCCTCCCCTCTGACTGGAGGGGTGGCAGAGTGTGGATGTTTAGTGGGTTGGGTGCCCAGACCCTCTGCATCCCAGCTGAGATGCCTGGGCAGCTCATTTGGCCTCTCTGAACCTCAGTGTCCTCCTCTGTAAAGTGGGAGCAACAATCCTGCCTCCTCCATGTCCTGGAGGGAGGACTGCGTGTGTTCTTGCATGTGCAGGCTCAGCCCGTGCCCGGCACATCCTAAGAGCTCGATCCATGCCAGCTGCTGTTAGCATGCAAACCCAGCCATGGCTCCTGCCACCCTCCCCTCAGGGAAACTGAGAGTGACCTGAGGCCTATTTCCACATCCAGGGACCCAAAGAGGAGGACCACAAGTGTCCAGGCTGGCCCAGGCTGGGGTGAGGGGTGACCGGGGCTGGGGCTTCAGCCTTGGGAACAGAATGAAAGCCCGATTCCCTCTGCTCCTTCCCGGGGCTGGCTTGGGTGATGAGGCGGGTGAAGGGCATGAGGCCAGGTGGCGCAGGATGAAGTCAACCTCATTGAAGAGCTCGTGGCTGGAGGAGCCGCTGCCTGAGCCTTCAGGGCCCAGTGTGTCCGGGGGCCACCGACACATCATCCCACCATCCACACCCTTCCCAATGGCTCAGAGAACCTCCGGACAAGAAATGGGGCATCAAGGGGCAGCCCCTGCTCTCCATCCCCACACCAGGCTTGGCACTGCTCCTGTCCTTCACACCCTCTGTCACTGCCAACCCTGGGGCCTTTGCACAGCCACGCTCCTCACCTTGGACACTCACTTCCATACTGCCTGTTGAGGCCCAGCTGCAGGACCCCCTCTGCTGGTGGCTCTGCCTTCTCTGCTCCACCCCCTGCCCCGTGGTCCCGAGAGTAAGTTGTCCCTCCCCTGAGCTGCCAGTCCCACATCCGTCCCCCTCTTTCCTCACCAACAGATTCTGATTTTGTTCAAGACAGCAATGGGACCTGCTGAAAACACACCCCACTGCCGCTCCCTTGCAACTAGGGGGGTCTGGGACACAGTACTGGCTCGGGAGAAAAAGGCACAAGTCCCTCGCTGGGAGTCAGCCCTTTTCCCTCTCCTTCTTCCTGCCCAGAACACTGCAAGAGCCCTGGAAGGGAGGACACCATCTGTGGCAAGCAGGAGTGGAGGGGAGGCTGCTGTGACAAGGACGGTGTGGCTGAGGGCCAGTCAGCTCCAGGTCCCGCCAGCTTAGACTGTGCATCTGGGACTTCCTGCCTGAGACAAAGAACCCCTGTCTGTTCCAGCCACCACAGGGCACTTGCCTCTGCAGATGCTCCCAAGTGGTCCACCTGCGAAGCAGCCAATTTGCTGAAAGACAGTTCCCCAAATGTCTAGTGCTGCAAGTGTATTTGTTGGTTTTCAAGTTTGTCCAATTAAAGACACCTGTATTAGGCCAGGGGCAGTGGCTCACACCTGTAATCCCAGCACTATGGGAAGCCAAGGCGGGCAAATCACCTGAGGTCAGGAGTTCAAGACCAGCCTGGCCAACATGGTGAAACCCCATCTCTACTAATAATAAAAAAATTAGCCGGGCATGGTGGCACGTGCCTGTAAATCCCAGCTACTCGGGAGGCTGAGGAAGGAGAATCGCTGGAGCCTGGGAGGCGGAGGCTGCAGTGAGCCGAGATTGTGCCATTGCACTCCAGCCTGGGCAACAGAGTGAGACTCCATCTCTAACAAATAAAATAAAATAAAATAAATAAAATAAAATAAAATAGCAAAATAAAATAAAGACAGCTGTATTAGATAAAATGGGTTTCCTAGCTTTGGAAGGTATCTGCCCAGTTCTCCAGTTTCACTTTGTCATCATAATAGCATTTGAAGGAATGCTCAAATGTCTGTATCTCAGATTCCCAATTCTGAGACCCTGAGGATACTGAGTGTCAACAATGGGAAGACTGAGGGGAAAAGGGGAGAACTAAGAGACAAAGGGGGAAACTGAGGTGTGGGGAGATCAAGGAATGGCAGGGGAGACCAAGCAGGGGGAGGAAGACCGAGGGGCGTTGGTGGGGGGGACTAGGGGGCTGGGGGGAGACCAAGGAATGGTGGGGGAGACCGAGCTGTGAGAGGAGGACTGAGGGGTGTGGCGGGGGTACTGGAGGGCTGGAGGGAGACCGAGGGATATGGTGGGGAGACCGAGGGGTATGGGGGGAGACCGAGGGGTATGGGGGAGACTGAGAGGCATGCGGGGAGACTGAGGAGTATGGGAGGAGACAGAGGGCCAGAGGGGAGACTGAGGAGCAGTGGGGAGGAGACAGAGAGAGAGGGGACTGAGGAGCATGGGGAGAGAGGGAAATTTGGGGAGGAAGAGTCAGAGTTAATGAAATTGCCCTACTTTTTATAAATAGTTTAGGGAAATAAGTCAGTGTGGTGAGGGGCCACTGGACTGGTCTATCGAGGGGGAGCTGTGTCCCCTGGAGGGAGAACGCCAAGAGCTGGAGCACACTGAACATGCGCCGCGAGCCAGCACCCACCTGCCTCATCCATGTACCCTCCCAGCGGGCCTGGGACACAGGGCAATCGCTAGCCTCATCTCACAGATGGAGAACTGAGGCTCAGAGAAGCAAACTTCCAAACCCGTGGTGGCCCAGCAGTGAGCTGGGAGCTGAAGCCAGTGTCCCTGTCCAGACACTAAGCCCCTGCAGGTGGGGCTGTGCCTGCCCCACTTCTCACCTCTGCCGCAGGTGACTGTGCACTTGGTCCAGGGCCCATAATGCCAGGAGAACACGGGCGGCGGGACCTCGTCGTGGCCACCTGCCTCCCTGTGGATGGTGTACTCGTAGTGCACCCCAGGGTTGCTCTCCTGGAACAGCAGCTGGGTGGGCAGGCGGGGGCCCATGAGCACAAGGTGTCTTCTCCATCCACCCAGTCCTAAAGGAGCTGACCCCAGCCACCTCTGTGAACTGCAGCTACAAGATTGGGCCATTTTAAAGATGGGGAAACTGAGGTAGAGGCCGCAGCAGGAGGGCCTGGCTCAGAGCCAGGCTCTGTGACTGAACCAGGGCTCACTCCTCCAGGACGAGACCTGCCATGGAGGGTGCTGGGCCTGGGGACTCCGCCTCTGCTCCCCCCGCCTGGGCCACGGGAGGCAGGCACCTGGATCCAGACAGGCTCCTTGGTGGGACCCGGGGACGTGAGGTTCTCCCAGTTGCCCCTGCGTGCGTATGTGAAGGTGGTCCCTGCCACCTGGTAGTCCCCGTTCCACTGGATGGTCCAGCCACCATTGAGGAAGTACTTCTCCGGGTCCTCGCTCCGCAGTGCCAGGAAGTTGGCAGCCTCGGCAACCTCTTGGATGCGGATCTCGCGTGCGCCCGCTGGGATCAGCCCCACATCCACATACCCTGTCAGCCAAGGGTTGTGCATAGGTTGTGCCCAGGGTGAGAGGGTTGCTTATCCCCACCCGCTCCCCTCATGTCTCTCCCCACTTGCCTCCGCCTGCTGATGCCAAAGCTTTAAAGTCTGAGCTCCCTAAATTGCTCGGATCTGTCATGGGTCACCAAAACCTCGCAGAGGTGCCACAAATCCTGACCCCGTGGCCATGCCCCATCACTCCTCTCTTGGGGACCTACACTGGTCTCATCATAAGGCTGGATCCATTCCCTACTCTAAGGGCTGGCTGGCATCTTCTTTCTAAAAAAACCAAAGTGCCCAGGCCTTTCTCCTGGGACACCCTCCTCATCCCCATGCGGCCTGCTTTTATTCATTCACTTCCATCACACCCATCACGTGCCAGGCACTACTCTCAGCACCTCACATGTGTAAGCTCATGGGTAATGGCCCTATAGCATAGGTACTATTGTTATCCCCATTTTACAGATGAGCAAAGTGAGGCAGACAGGGATAGTAACGTACATGAACATCCTGCTGCGGTATGAGCAGCCTCCATGGCCAGTGCTTTATCCACCACACTGCACTGCATCTCTGGGAGAAAATCTAAGCTTCTCAGCCTGGCACTCAAGGCCCCATAGCTGGCCCTGCCTTCCCTTCTTGCCTCCAGGCTCTGGCACAAGCTCTTCTTTCCTCCATTTGGAATGCCCTTTCCATCTCTTCTGAGTTTTATGATTCAGCTCGACTTCCGCCTCCTACAGGAAACCTTCCCTGACTTCCCCAGGCCAGGACCTTCTTCCTCAGTGCTCCCACAGCCCTCCGGGCCTCCCTCCACTGCACTGGTCACACCAAAAGGTTCTGTCCCCCTCCAGGACTAAGCGCTTCACCTGCATGTCCCCATCACCTAGCACACAGTCAGTACTTGAGCAACGTGTGCAAAACAGACCGGAGGTGAGGACACGGAGCTGGGGTCTCAGAAGCTTCAGGAGGAGACTACCATTCTTTGGAAGGCCAAGGGGCCACACACAAGCCGGGTTGGCCCTATCTGGGGTGTCTGGGACAGGAGGACTCCCCATGGGGACAGGTCTCTGCACATGGGCCAGGGGTCCCCTGACTCCTGCAAGAATCCACCCCAGCAAGGCTTCCCTGCTTAGCCATCTCCAGGCTGGGTGGGGGCCACGAGGCCAAGGACAGGGGCCCAGGGGAGATGGGGAAGGGGCCATCAGGTGAAGAGCATACCCCTCCCCACAGCGGTCCCACCCCATACCCAGGCCCTCGGCCTCCTCGAAGGTCCCGCTCACGGTGTGGCAGGTGGAGCCGTTGCCGTGGCACACACCACAGCGGTCCTCCATAGCACCGGAGTCAATCTCGAAGTCACAGCCCACGTTCTGCAACACACAAGGAAGGGAGGGCCCTGGTGCTGGCGGCCAGCCCTCTGTGGCCCCAGCCCCGGGGCCAGCCAGAGTCAGGAGAAGAAAGCTGGGAGTTGGGGTCGGGAGGCCTCTCTCTGGCCCTGCCCCACCTCAGCTGTGCCTCTGACCCAGGTGAACCTCTCTACTTCCCTAAGCCTCAGTTTCCTCAGATGTGAGACGGGGAGACCCACCCCTCCCTTAAAGGCATGTCATGAGCATCACATGAGACAAGAGAAGGGAAGAGTTCTGCAAAGCCTGCGGGCAGGCAGGGGATCTGACACGCCACGGGCTCCTGAGCAGCGCGTGCAGGGAATTTCAACGTCAAAGGCACTGGGGGTTGGCACCTCCCTCCTGGTCCTCCTCGGAGCCCAGGCCTTGATACCCCAGAGGCTTAGAGGGCAAGAAGCAGGGACAAGTAGGTCGCTGGGGACATGGGCAAAGAGGAGAGGCCGTCATTGTTATTAAAAATAAGAATAGAAATTGTTACCACACACTGAGGGCTACTCTTTGCGGCTCAGAGCCCTCTGTGTCACCTATGCCACCTCATTTAACCCCTTCTATCAGGGAGCAAACCACTGCCTGTGGTCAGCCAGCCAGCAAGAGGTCAAGCCACTGCCTGAGCTCCGGTTTCCTGGCTGGGGCGGTGCTGGTGCAGGCATCCAGGGAGACGCAGGGGGGCGAGGCCTGACTGGAAGGGTCCCCAGTGCCAGGAGGCGTGGTAGGGGCTTTGCCTTAGAGGTCATAGAGGGTACGGGCTGGGAAGCCCGATGGTAGAGCATGGGGAGGGTGGCCCGAGGAGGACCAGGAGGGACCCAGGAGAGAACCTGGGGCCCGCCATGGCCCGAGGAGGATCAGGAGGGACCCAGGAGAGAACCTGGGGCCTGCCAGTGGGGCTGGGGGCAGGCAGTGCTGGGAGAGCCTCTTCCTAACCAGGCACACCTTACAGATGCCGTTGATGCAGAGGTCCCGGCTGGCTCGGACCTGGTAGCAGGGGGTGCCATCGACCACGGCGTCCCGCAGCTTCTCGGCAAAGTACTCATTCGCGGGCCGGCAGTGCAGCTCGCAGGGGTTCACTGAGGGCCCAAGTAGAAGAGTCATCAGCAACAGCTGGGGCGGGAGTATGGAGGCCACCAGGAAGACCCCTCCGTGACACACATCCATGGCAGGCTGGAGGCTCCCAAGCAGCACCAACATGCTGGAGGCTCCGGCTGGGCTGATAGCTATCTGCAAGGCTGCAGACTGGGGAGCTAGGGGCGAGCAGCAGCCCCAGGGGACAGTGGGAGTGGCCCAGGCTTGGGGTGAAGACTGGGCCTCCTGCTCGCATCACAGGGTAACCTTGGACCCACACACCCCCAGCCCTCTAAGCCTCAATGTCTCCATGGGGGGCAGCACTCACCGTCATTGACCACGGGCACCCATGTGTGCAGCTGGCCCTTGTAGAGCATAGCGTCAAAGTGGCTGCACTGGACGTGGCGGAAGGAGGGGCGGCCAGCAGGGCAGGCCTGCAGGTTGCAGAGGCGGAAGCGCTTGCGCTCACCCACACAGTATCTGCCTTTGTATTTGGGCCTGTGGGGAGAACCGGGGTGGGCCCCAGTGACGGCCCAGTGAGTGCTACTGCATGGCCACAGCCCAGAGCAAGCAACTTCCTCCTGCATCCACACCCCGAGATCCCTGCTGCCCAGCTTTGTGCACGCTGCTCCCCTCCCTTGGGCTGCCCACCCTCTGGCCCAGACACACTCTCCCTGTTTGTAAGGACCTGTGGGGAGGTGGCAGCAGGAAGCCTGAGCTCTGCCCCCAACCTACAGTGTGACCGTGGGCAAGTCTTCGGCCACCCTCTGGGCCTCAGTTTCCTCATGTATAAAGTGGGGTTGGGGCTGCTTCTGCAGAGGGCTGTTGAGAAGCTGGGACAAGCTGCAGGCATGACTAGCACTGGCTGGAGGGACTGCTCCGAGTCTCCAGCCCATGACACCAGCATCCTAACGAGCCCTTGAGTCCTCAGCCTTCCTCCTGGTGGCAGTACCCCCAGCCCGGGTCTAAAGGAAGTGCCTAGGGCCCCAGCCAGCTGAAAGGTCTGACCTAGCACAGCTCCTGAAATCCTCCGCATCTAGGCCAGGGTCGCTGGCCCCCACCCAGCTCAGACCTGGAGGCCAGGAGGCAGGGAGGGGCACAGGCCACTCTTGGGTAAGCGCAGGGCCCTGGGTGGGGCTGGCTGTGAACCCCATGCCTGCCCCGGGTGGCCTCCTGAAGTGAAGATCAGCCGGGTAGTGCCTCGGTCTACAGTACCACTTGCCTCTGCTTCTCACCAGATCTTCACACCCCCTGCACCCCCACCCCCCCGTTTAGATGGGGAAACAGAGGCCCAGAGAGGTGAAGTCGCTCACGTCAGGCCACCCCTTCAGTGCTGTCCCATCCTCCCAGCTGCTCCGTCTCATCTCAGACCTTTGTTGAGCCTCTGAGGCCACCAAGCCCCTCCCGCTGAGTGCCCACTACAGATGAGCTGCAGGGCTGAGGGCCTGGCCTGCATAAACTGCATTTGCCCCTGACTACAACTTTACTGGATGGGCACTGCTATTATACAGATGGGGAAATGGAGGCCCAGAGAAGGGGTGAAGAGGAGATTCGAACCCTGAGCCATCTAAGGTCCAGGGCCCATGCTCTTCCCCACTGCCCTCTCCTGCCTCCTTCCAGCCAGCAGCTGCTTTGCCATGTGGCCTCTGATGAGTCTCTCTAGTCTCTGGGCCTCAGTGTCCCCCTCTCTGGAAAGGGGTCAGAAGTGGGGACCCTGTCAGCCCCCAGAACACTCCTTGAAAGTGACTTAAGGTGGCCTGGACACTCGGACTGACCATTATCAGGACACTTCTAAGAGCCAGGGGCTGGGACAGAGCCAAGCTCCTGCAATCGGCTGACTGTTTGGGTCCCTCTGTCCCACTGCCCAAGGGCACCCTGGGCCCCACACTCACGTAGGCTGCGTGCACTGCCGCTCGGCGCTCTGTACGCCCATGCCACAGCTCCGTGAGCAGATGGACCAGGCGCTCCAGCCAGACCAGCCACCATCCACGGCCTCGGGCCGGAAGCCCACGGGTACGCACTCCCCACTGAGACACCACTACTGAGACAGACGGAGGTAGAGCCACCCCACCCCCAAGTCTATCAGTCATCCTCACCCTAGTGAGAACAAGGTGGGTGGGAAGGCTGCGAAAGGCACAGAGGGGAAGGATGGAAGGTGAGAGAGGCACCCTCACAATCATCACAATCATCTGTGACCCAGGCCACATGGAGGAGCTGAGCGGGGAGTAAAACAGCCCACATGCTGACTCAGCTGAAGACACCCTGGGGAATCATGGAATCAAGCCCTGGCCCCAATGCCTCCACTTTGCAGATGGGGGCTTGGGCTGCAGAGAGCGTGGGGCTCTGCTAGGAGCACAAGCAAGACTGTGAGCCGGGGCTGACCCCAGGGCCTGGTCACAGCAGGAAGTCTGGCCTCTCACACACCCACTGCCGGGACTGGGGACATCCCCTACCTTATTCTCCCCACACCGGGTGCCGTCCACAGCTGCATCCAGCTTGGAGTGACAGGTGGTCCCCACAGAGCACCAGAGTGTGTGGCAGACATTCTGCGAGGAGGAGGGCATGGGCCATACCCTCACACCCTCCCCAGTGCCGCCACCCACCCTGCCCCCCTCCCTGTCCCCAAGGGTCCCCTGGGCACCCCTCCACATGGCAGGGGCCCACAGACCCCCAGAGGTTCCTTCTTGTGTGCCTGCTCCCACCTTCCTCCCCGGACCATGTGGTGGTGTGGGGCGCCCGGGGCTGCGCTGCTCAGAGCGGTCCCCAGCTGTCCACACCTCTCCCGGCCCAGCCCCTCCTCTGGAAACACTCCTGTTAGAAGATCACTTCAGGCGATCTTCGCCAGGATAAACAGACCCTCTCCACAGGGGTTCCTTTTCCCTCTTATAAGCCAGCTCCAGAGAGGCGAAGGGACTTGTCCGAAGGGTCACAGTTGGTCCATGGTTGACCCAGAATTCAGAGCTGGGTCTGTGGCCGCCCATCCCTGGCCTCTCCCACAGGCCACTTGACGTCTCACAGTGTCACTCAGGGGCGCAGCCCAGGCCAGGAGAGGTTGCTCCCAGGCTGGCATCCACGGGCTGGTGAGAGCTGCCCCCTGAGCCCTCCTGCCGGGTCCCCACACCCCCACACCCACACCGGCCCCACTCACATCCATGTCCTCGCAGAAGGCAGAGTAGGCCCCGTACTGGAGGCGGCACTGGTGGCTTACATCATAGAGGACGCCAGGTGGCACCGAGGGGAAGTCGATAATGTCCTTGGCAGGAGGGTCGTCCAGGCACAGGCCCCACCCACGGCTAAAGATGGGACGGGAGGATGGAGGGGGGCGCAGCCTGTGAGACCCATCGGAGAAGCCTTGGTGGGGCCGGGACAGGAGGAGAGGTGGGAGGGGGCACAGAGCCCTACAACTGTAGGAAACTCCAGCCTCCCCGCTCGGCTCAGCCGATCCTCCACCTGCAGCCAGCAGCACAGGCCCTCCCGGCCTCTCTCATCTCACCTCCTGGGCACTCCAGCTGGCTAAACAATCCCAACCCCAATCCCAGGCCTCCGCACACGCTGCCAGGGCCCTTCCCTCAGAAGGCCTCCTGGACCACCAAGCCGTCATGTGGCCCTGCTCTCCGACCCTGCAGCCTCCGTGTCTGAGCCCAGACCCTGGAGCCAGGCCCGACAAGGATCCGGAGAACATCACATCACAGTTGACACAACAGAGCCTCCGACGGCCCCACCCAGGCAGAGACCTTGGGTCATCTGTGGAAAGGCGAGGTCTGGAAAGCAGCCCCTCCCCTGGGAGAGAGCCCAGGGCAACCATGCCTGTCCCGTTTCCCCCACACCCCGACAGGGCTGGCCTCCGGCCTCTGTCATACCCTATCTACTCCTGCCTTCCTCCAGCTGGCATTCCCTGGCAGCGGTAGCGGGGAAACTGGCAGACACAAGCAGGCGCCATCTGTGTCCACCACACACTCCTGCTGCTGTGGTGTGGTGAAGACAAGGCTGCTCAGACACAACACCATGAGGCAGGAAGCATGGAAGCAGGGACCCTGGGGAGGGCGGCCCAGTCCCTTCTGGCACCCGCTTCTGCCCCTGCCTCACTCTGTACAACCCTCAGGCATGCTATTGCTTCTGGGACCAGTGACCAGCCTGCTGCCCCTGCTGGACCTTAGGTGGCCACCACTATGGCTTAGCAGCAGGAGTGCCCTGGCATGCTGACCACCCTGCCCATGGCTCATTGCTGTCCTGGAGGAACTGGAGGAAGGTTTGCTGCCTTCTGGGGGCAGCAGTGGCTGGGGAGAATTGAGCCACACAGACTTGCAGGGCTGGGGACGACCCAGGCAGCCACGACTTGGGCAGAAACAATGGAGGGAGGCAGGACCCGCGGGACCTGGGGCCTCTAGCCAGGCAGAGGAGATGGGGAGGCACAAACCCTCCAGTTCTCCAGTCTGGGTGGCCTCAGGGCAGGTGGCGCCAGGACAGAGGGTCAGGATGAGCATACAGTCCTGATTGGGACAGGCAGGGGGTTGCACAGGGAAGAAGGGCAAAGGTGATAGATCCTGGAGTCCAGCAGGGAGAGAAAGAGACACTCCGAGATGTGGAGAGGCTGGGAGAACACGAAAGGGTCAGGAAACAGGGCCAAGACCACTGAAGGCAGGTGTGGAGAGAGGCTGGGAGGGTGGATCAGACCATGGACTCCCGAAGCCCTGATTTCAGAGGAGGGGGCCTGGCAGCTTGGAGATCCAGAGTGGAGTGGGTGTTTGCGTGGTCTCCTAAATCCCCCGACCAGTGACAGGCCCCCGGCCCTGCCCAGAGCTGCGGAGAAGAAAGCCAAGGTGACCAGACTTCTACTGAGAACCCTGGAATCCTCCTGGAATCACTCAGACTGCCCATGCTGGCTGGAAACAGATCCTCTAACATGGGCGTTGGCAGATGAGCAGCTGCTGGATGCAGTCCTAGTGCCCAAGATGATCACATGCCAGGCTGGTCCAGGGTGCTGGGGGCATACCCTCTCATTTGCTCCTCACAACATCCTGGGCAGACTCTACCATCATCTCCCCTCATGCACTCAGGGCCCATAGGTCACTGGCCCCGGGTCGCACAAGAGAGATGTGATGGCCAGGATCTGGAGCCAGGCCCAGGCTGCCTGCACCAGGCTGTGTCTACTCACTGGGCTACCCCCAGTGCAGGGCTCCTCCCATTCAACTGCGAGCCTGGCCTCAAATACTTCACCCCACATACAAGTTCAAAACCATGGCAGCGAGACCTGGTGGGGAGAAAGGAGTGTCCCAAGTGCTCCTGCGGCTTGGGGCTCCCTGAGCCTCCCTGGGCCTGCACCCGGGGCAGAGTATCAGCGGCGGGTGGTGGGGTCAGCTGGCCCTGGGCTCCCTCCTTCCCGCTAGCATTCTGTGGCTCGAGGAGGTAGACTGGGGGCTCACCCATCCCAGCCAGGGGGTCCTCTGACCCTGGGGCTGAGGGGTCCAATGCACCTCATCCCAGCACCAACAGTCCCTGGGCTGCAGCCCAGCCCTTCTGCTTCCTGGCTGCCCCAGTGCTGACTCGCTGCACATGTGGCTCCTGCGGGCCTGCTGTTGGGCAGCTGAAGCCACAACAACCTCTCAGCCCACCCTGGGTGTGTGGGAGAAGTCGGGAGCATGAGGCGACCCTCACAGAATCCACTGTGAGAATCAGGCCGAGGTGCTGTCTTGGGAGTCAGAAACCCAAGTTCTACTCTTTGCCTGGCTATAGATGCTGTGTGGCCTTGGGCCTTCACGTCCTCATCTACAAGAGGCTGATCCCAAGCTACAGGGGTATAAATAGCAGTGTCTTCTTGGGAAAAATCACACAGGCGGCCGGCAGCCAGCCCTTCCTTCCTCTGGCAGGCTCACTGCCAGGTCCTCTGCGCTGCCGACACACCCGGATCCCCAAACCCGTCAGCCCTTCCCCTCCACGCCCCTCCTTAAGCTAATTATAGCGGGGCTGGGCAGTCCCACAAGAGGTCAAAGGAGACAGTAGGTGACTCCAGTCAGAAGCCTCACTCTCACCTTGAGACTGCAAAGAGCTGCCTGCCACTGACAGGAGAGACCTGGGGGCCCGCTCCCCTGGCCACCCCTGGCCACCCCAGGGATCTGGTCATGGAGTCACTGAATGGGGGGTCCACGGGGTGAAGTGAAGGACCCCACATGTGACCCAGCCTGCCTCTCTCCCTGTAGAAATGCTGGCTTTGAGGAAAGCAGGGACCAGGGCCTCCCCTCCTCCCCACCCAGGTCCAAGTTGACACTGGTGAAATGCTGTGACCTCTCCCCAGGGTCCCTTAAAGCACCTGTCAGTCCGGAAAGGTTCTTAGAGTTCTTCAGGTCAACCCTCTTGGACAAGCTCCAGAAGCTACCCTCCAGTGCCCCCCCACCACCTCCTGAGGGTTCTTCTGCCCCACCCTATACTCGCATGGCCCCGGCCTCTGCCCAGCCTGCCCTCCACTTACAGCAGCACCCTTCTTCCTCGGCGTGGAAGCTGGCCTTTAGAAGGCAGGCTCCTTCTCCGAGTCACTGTTCCTGACCCCAGGAGGGCTTGGTGGCCCTCTCCCCATTCCTACAGACCCACGAGGACTGCATGCCTCAGTGCCAATCATCCCCAACTGTCATCTGTCCATCTCCCCATGGTGTGAGGGCCTGGAGGACAGGCACCTGGAGGTCTGTCTCCTTTACCACGGTCCCCACACACAGGGCCTGATGGACATGGAGTCTGTGGACACAGCAAGAACGAGTTTGGATTCAGCCCTGTGGGTCTACCTGGCTGGATAAGCATCTATATGCAGGAAGCCAAAGGGCTTCAGGACCAGCCAGGATGAGAGGGTGGTCTGTGAGTGCCTCTGCGACGCCCCCAAGTCCTAGAAACACTGCCTGACTGTTTGGCACTTTCGGTGAATCTCACTCATTCTGTCCCCCAACCTGCTTGGGTGGGGCCCATCCTGTCTCTCCTGTCCCATCCCCAGCAAGGAGACCAAAGGCTGCAGGCTGGAAGACAGGCTGCTGCCACCCTCCCCACCTCCGCACACCCTCTTCCTTCCACCTCCTGGGCCTCGGGAGGGCCCTGCTGCCTGACTCCCAGGATGCAAAGGTGAAAGTGTGAAAGGACCTTGGGAGGATGGGGTTCTTCTTCCTCCCAAACACCCCTCCATTGGGGAGGCACGTATTGCTCTGCTTCTGTCTGGTTCTCCCCGGTGCCAAGGCTCTGGGAGGCCCCGGCTGGCTCTGACTCTCACCCTGTCCTCTCACCCTCACCCCAGGCCCCGAGCCAAGTCCCTCAAGCATTCCAGCAGCTGAATGAGGACAGAGACTTGTCTGTCTGTCTGTCTGTCCTAGAACCAGGCTGTTGGGCAGCACCCTGGGTCTGGGCAGCTGGGAACAAGCCCTGGGGGTGCTGTGGGGGCAGCTACTATTCTGATTTTCTGAAGCCATTCTCTCATTCTCTGCCTCTCTCTGGGGAAGGAGACACACCCTCCTCCCCATCTTCAGGCCACTTCCCTGGTTCAAGTCCATCCCATCTATCACTTGGTAACAGTGGAAGGAATAGTAATGAGTGTGCGTGAAATGCTTACTGTGTGGCAGGCACTGTGCTAAGCACTGCACGCGTTTTCTCACTTATTCCTCATATCACATGCACAAGGCAGGCCCATCATCATGTCCATTTTTTGAGGCTTAAGAGCTAATATAACTTGTCTGCCAACACAGGTAGAAGCCTGGGCCACAGTCTAGGTTCTTTTTTTTTTCCCAAGATGGTCTTGCCCTGTCGCCCAAGCTGAACTGCAGTGGTGTGATCTTGGCTCACTGCAACCTCCACCTCCCAGGTTCAAGCAATTCTCCTGCCTAGCCTCCCGAGTAGCTGGGATTATAGGCGTGCACCACCACGCCCAGCTAATTTTTGTATTTTTAGTAGAGACAGGGTTTCACCATGTTGGCCAAGCTTGTCTCGAACTCCTGACCTCAAGGGATCCGCCTGCCTCAGTCTCCCAAAGTGCTGGGTTTATAGGTGTGAGCCACCGTGCCTGGCCAGTCTAGGTCCTTAACCACCAAACAAAACTCTTCTCTGCTTCCAATCCCACCCCCCACCCCAGTACTCCCTCTTCCACTGGAGGCCAGCATCCTTGCTCTTACATCCCTAATGGACCTGGTCACATCCCTGCTTAAGCCCCACAGTGAGTGGACTTCTAGAAAAATATGGCATGTTGAGCAGACAGATTTATCGCTGCTCCCTTCCAAAACTCCACTATGATGACAGTAGAGGAAATAAACAAGGCATAAATCCATAAGGGGTGATGATGGGTAATGAAGGATGTCAACAAGATTCTGGAAGCTGGGAAGCAGATGGCCAGGCAGTAGCTGACTTGGTAGAGTGATAAAAGCTGAGAGCCAACTGCCTGCAGGGAGGAACCACCCAGAAGGAGAAGCCCGGAAAGGCTCAGGAATGGAGTTTCCAGGGACCCCTCAGGGCCTTAGTGCCAGGAGGGCTGAAGACAGTAGGGCTGAAAGTCTGTAAGAACCGATCAGACCCTAGAGCCCCTCCCCAACCCTGAGTAGCCAAGTGATGGCCACCTGCCACCCAGCAGAGGGCCGGGGATCACTCCCTGGGGAGGGTGAACCAGGAGGCTCTGGCCCAGGAATGGTAGACATACATGAAGGCCCAAGGCAGAAGGACCTACAGAGAAAAGGGGACGAGCAAAATCTACACATTGAAGGGTAAGAAACACGCCAAGCTGGAATGCTGCAGCCAGACATACACTCTCCCAGGAAAAGCCTAGAGGATTCCTCTCGGAAAACTGAATCACTCAGAAAAATGACCTCAGATACTGAAATTAGAGGATCTCCCCAAAATAGCCCCCATCCAAACCAGTCCTTCAGCAGAGACTTGGAAGAGTCCTGCCCAAGTCCACAAACTGCACAATGAGTATCTCTGCATCTCCTTGCTATATATGAAATACAGCCAATGCATTTTAAGAAAACTTTTTTTTGAGACAGAGTCTCTCTCTGTTGCCCAGGCTGGAGTACAGTGGCGCAATCTCAGTTCACTGCAGCCTCTGCCTCCCGGGTTCAAGCGATTCTCCTGCCTCAGCCTCCTGAGTAGCTGTGATTACAGGCACCAGCCACCAGGCCTGGCTAATTTTTTGTATTTTTTTTTTTTAGTAGAGACAGGGTTTCACCATGTTGGCCAGGCTGGTCTCAAACTCCTGACCTCAAGAGATCCGCCTGCCTTAGCCTCCCAAAGTGCTGGGATTACAGGCGTGAGCCACCACGCCTGGCCAAGGAAACTGTTAACATGAAACAAATATTTTTTTAAAAATAACCCAAAGGAAAGAAAAACATTTCAGGGAACAGAAGAAAAAAGTCAAATCCATGTAAGTAATAACCTCGCAGAGATAAGAGAACATACTGTACCCATGAAACAAGAATAGGATCAAAAGGTGCACAGGTTGAGCATCTCCAATCTCAAAATCCAAATGCTCCAAAATCCAAAACTTTTGAGCACTAACATGATGCTCAGAGGAAATGCTCTTTGGAGCACTTCAGATTTTGGACTTTCAGACTGGGGATTCTGAACTGCTAAGTATAATGCAAATACTCAAAAATTAAAAAAAAAATCCAAAATCTAAAACACTTCTGGTCCTAAGTATTTCAGATGAGACACTCAATGTATATTTAGTGAATGAGAAAGTTTAAGAAATTAAAAGTAGAATGAAAAAAATGAAAATTTTAATAGAAGGATTGTAAAGTATAGATAAATCAGATGCCCCCTAGAAAATAGAAACAGGTGGCTGGGCACGCTGGCTCATGACTGTAATCCCAGAACTTTGGGAAGCTGAGGGAGGAGTCCAGAAGTTCAAGCCCAGCCTGAGCAACACGGCAAAACCCCATCTCTAGAAAAAATTAAAAATTAAAAAATTAGCTGGGTGTGGTGGCACACACTTGTTGTCCCAGCTACTCGGGATGCTGAGGCAGGAGGATCATTTGTGCCTGGGAGCCCAAGGCTGCAGTGAGCCATGATTGTGGCACTGCACTCCAGCCTGGGCAACAAAGCGAGACTCAAAGAAAGAAAGAAAGACAGAGAGAGAGAGGGAGAGGGAGAGGAAGAGGGGGGAGGGAGGGAGGGAGGGAGGGAGGATAGAAAAGAAAATAAAATAGAAAGAGATGAAAAATTGTAAAATGTTTAAAAATAAGAAAGTGAGAGAATAGCTGAATATTAAGGGTTCCAGAAAGAGAAAATGTAAGAAAGTTGTCAAATAAATAATACAACAACAGTTCAAGAACTGAAGGGCACAAGTTTCTAGATTAAAACAGTCCAATGAGTGCTCCCTCAAATTAAAATAGACCAAGGCATATACTGTAAAATTTAAAATCACCAAAAAGAGAGAGAGAAAGAGAGAGAGTCCTAAAAGCTTCCAGATTTTTTAAAAGGTCACATTCAAATCACAATGGTATGGGACCTCTACAGAGCAATATTGGAAACTAGAAGACAACAGAAAAATGCCTTCGACATTCTGAAGAAGAGTCACTTCCAACCCGAAGTTGATATCAAATCAAAATATCAATCAGATGTGAGGGAAGGATAAAGACACTTTGAGACAGGCAAACCATTTACCTCCATGCACTCTTTCTCAGAAAGCTGCTTGAGGATGTGCTCCACCAAAACAAATTAAAAAAAAAAAAAAGGTACCTCCCCATAAAAAAAGTAGCATGGGATCCAAGAAACAGGAAGACCCTCCATGAATATTTTGGGGCAGGTCTAGAAAGCATCCAGTCTAAACTGGAGGACACAGGGAAGTTGGGAGGAGGGTCCAAGAAAGAAGGGAACTGCTGGATTATCTGGTAGGGATTACCTTTGGGAAAACTGGATTAAAAGACATCTTATAAAACTATTAAAGGATCTGGAAGGCCTGGAGAAGCAATGAAAACCAAGCAAATAAAAAACTTGTTCTTAAAAAGAAATGCCATCTAGATGGGGCGCAGTGGCTCTCATCTGTAATCCCAGCACTTTGGGAGGCCAAGGTGGTGAATCACTTGAGGTCAGGAGTTCGAGACCAGCCTGGCCAACATGGAAACCCCATCTCTACTAAAAATACAAACATTAGCTGGGCAGGGGTGGCAGGTGCCTGTAATCCCAGCTACTTGGGAGGCTGAGGCATGAGACTCACTTGAACCCAGGAGGCAGAGGCTGCAGTGAGCTGAGATTGCACCACTGTACTCCAGCTGGAGCAGCAGAGTGAGAGTCTCTCAAAAAAAAAAAAAAAAAGAAAAGAAAGAAAGAAATGCCATCTTATTACAACACTTAGTTCAGACATCAAGATTTACAGCCATAATAATGAAAATGCGGAATATGGACTTAATCCAAATATGTTAACACTAAATTGGGATGAAAAGTGAGGGGACAAATGTATGTACAGGAAGTGATGCAAGGGTGCTAAATCCCAACCTTCCAGATAATATCTAAACTGGAAAATCAATAAATGAGAGTCTAGCAATACTTTTTGGAAATAGGAAAGTAAATACAAGAAAAAGCTAACAATGTTAAGTTTGAAGGTGGTTGCCTAGAAAAAAGCAATGGAGGGTGGGGAGAAGTGGGGCAGGTGTACAATGCTCTGCTGTTGCCATCTTCTATTATTTTTTTTTTTTGAGACGGAGTTTTTTTGCTCTTGTTGCCCAGGTTGGAGTGCAGTGGCGCGATCTTGGCTCACTGCAACCTCCGCCTCCTGGGTTCAAGTGATTCTCCTGCCTCAGCTTCCCAAGTAGCTGGGATTACAGGCACACGCCACCACACCTGGCTAATTTTTGTATTTTCAGTAGGGAAGGGGTTTCACCATGTTGGCCAGGCTTGTCTCGAACTCCTGACCTCAAGTGATCCACCTGCCTCAGCCTCCCAAAGTGCTGGGATTACAGGCATAAGCCACCACAAGCAAGGTCCGGACAGTAAGCAAGGTCTGATGGGACAAAAGAGCCTGTATCTGAGCAGAGGAGACACAGGCAATGTCTGTGTCCACCATTCCTTGCTGCCCCATTTGCATCTCACATTTACTTTGGTCCATGAGCTCAGAACCTATAATGTGTAGGAGTTCGGTGAGACTCAAAGCAATTAGATGTTAAACATGTTATGTCAACAACTGAGTAAGGGACAGGAGAGCACTGACAGGCCCAGAGGCTGCATTTTCCATTTGAACCAGACTTACTTCAAATGCAGAAAGAAGACAATGACCAAGGTGCCCCATCATCCTTTCTTACCCATGTTAACACCCCTGTATTAGCCAATCGCTATGCAGAAAATGAAGACACGGGAGGAAAGAGAACCCCACAGTTCCTTCTCCTTTCAGTCTTTCCTTCCTCATTGGTAAGAAAAGGTAGACAGCCTGGGTAGAATGTGCACATACCAAGGAGTGAGATGAAACCAGTTGAGATAATTTTATTCTGTTTCATCCTCTGGTAAATATGAGCTACAAAAGACGAATTGTATAATTTCAGTGACTCTGCATACAAGTTAATACAGCTCACCTTTGAACAACATGGATTTGAACTGCACAGGTCCACTTACATGTGGATTTTTTTTCACCTCTGCCACCCCTGAGATCATCCCCTGCCTTTCTCCTCCCTCCTCAGCCTACTCAACATGAAGAGGATGAGGATCCTCTTCCACTTAATGAATATCCACTTCCACTTAATGAGCAGTGAACATATTTTCTCTTCCTTATGATTTCAATAACATTTGCTTTTCTCTAGCTTACTTTATTGTAAGAATACAGTATATATTATATACAACATACAAAATATGTGTTAACTGTTTATGTTATCAGTAAGGCTTCCAGTCAACAGTAGGCTATTAGCAGTTTTGGGCGAGTCGAAAGTTATACATGGATTTTCAATTGCACAGGAGTCAGCACCCCTGACCCCCGAGTTCTTCTGGGGTCAGCTATACTCATATTTGCATTTAAACCTGGCACTGCACAAAATAAAGATGAATGGTACAATTTATGCCAATAATTTAAATTTAAAACTTTTTCTTACTTAGAACATTAAATAGCAAATTTGAAAAAAAAAAAACAAAAAAACACCAGAACAGGCCGGGCATGGTGCACCGCTCATGCCTGTAATTCCAGCACTCTGGGAGGCAAAGGTGGGCGGATCACCTGAGGTCACGAGTTCAAGACCAGTCTGGCCAACATGGCAAAAGCTCGTCTCTACTAAAAATACAAAAAGTAGCCAGCCGTTGTGGCACACGCCTGTAGTCCCAGCTACTCAGGAGGCTGAGGCAGGAGAATCGCTTGAACCCGGGAGGCGGAGGTTGCAGTGAGTCAAGATCGTGCCATTGCATTCCAGCCTGGGCAACACAGCGAGACTCTGTCTCAAAAAACAAACAAACAACAACAACAAAAACACCAGAACAAATGAAGAGAACATGAAAAAAAAGGAGAAAGCTTCGTATTTCAGTTCCCTTAATGGCCCCTTCTTCCTGTCTCTGACCGGACCTTGTGGCTGTCCCTCACCTCCTCCAGCTTCATTTCCTACGCAGCCTTTGCTCCCATAGCCTTGCTCAGGGTTCCGCCGTTCCCTGAAAGCTCTCCCGCTCCTTTACCGCTACAGGCCTTTCTCAGGCTTCCTCTACCAAGAACACCATTCTTCTCCCTTCTGCACATGTGTGAATTCTTGCTCCTCCTCCAAGTTCAAGCCTCCTTCCAGGAGGACATTTGGGATGCCGGCACCACATCTTTGCCAGGTGCCCCTCTGTTTCCCTCTACCCTGGCCCTGCAGTGTGACTGTCTGCATCACCCCCATTAGACCTTGACCTCATGTATCAAGATCTTGCCCCTCTGCTTCCCTCTACCCCGGCCCTGCAGTATGACTGTCTGCATCTCTCCCAGTAGACCTTGACCTCATGGATCAAGGTATAGGGGCCCAGGGCTGGGGGACTTACTCAAGGAACCTGGTGATATACTGGCGGCTGCAGCGGGACCAGGTGAGGGGAGCGGCGTCGTACAGGAGCTGTGGAGACATGATGAAAGGTCGTTTCCCAACGGGCTCACAGTCATTGCCGCTTCCGTCATGCTGAATGCCAAAACTGTGTGAGAGCACAGGCCCCAGGGGCGGGTGAGCCGGCGGGAGGCTGCCAGCCTGCCCTCCCCTGGACACCCACAAGGTGCGCAGTCCTAGTTCCCAGGGCTGGTTCTGCCACCCAATGGCTGCACCCAATGGCTGCAGAAAGTCACATTCCCCTCTCTGAGCCTCAGTTTCCTGAATGTAAAATGAGGGTATGACAGCTAGTATCCCAAGGGCTCCTGTTCCAGCCTGAAATGAGGGCCAGGGACCCAGAGCAGCCCTGCCCCTGCCTGGGGGCCAGCCAGCAATGGCAAATCAGGTGGCACAGATGTGGGCCCGTGATGGCCCCTGCAAGCTCACTGGCCTCAAGAACAGTCTGACAGCGGTTCCCACTCACAGGTCCTTGTCCCAAGGCTGTGCACTTGAGTTAAGGGATCTGAGCTGCTGTATCACAGAAAGGTCTCCAGAGACCATCCTTGGGAAGGATACAAGAAAAATTATTTCCTGAGCATCTACTATGTGCCAGGGGCCATGCTAAGCACTTTCAGAAACACAATCTCACTCAGTTCTCATTATTACCCTCAGGAAGGCTCAGAGAGTCTAAGGAACTAGCTAGGGTAACACAGCCAGGAAATTGCAGTACTGTGGCAGGCTGTTCTTTCTGCAGCCATAAGCAGCTTCAAGGTCCTGCAGGCACGGCCATCGCCTACGAAACCCGGACGTCTGAATGGATGACCCCAACAGCTTTGACCCACAGAACGTTCTGGGAGCCTGCCTTTGATGGCTTGCTAGACAATCTAAGATGCTGCCATATTCGCCAGCTCAACAGCCAGGGCACAGGTGGCTGGAGGCCTGTGAAGACAGGAGCCTCAGGCAGCAGTGTCAGATAGAGGGAGCCTTGGACATCACTGAATCCAAACCCCTCAATCTATGGGAAGCACACAGAGGCCCAGAGAGGGCAGGCACTGGCCCAGGCCACAGAGCAAACAGGAACAGGGACAGGGATCGAGAGTAAAAAATACAGCACTGAGGGCAATGGGGAGGGACAGCCAAAGACCTACAATGATTTTCCGGCCCATCACAACTCCCCTTTAAATAAGACTCCCTCCAGGCCAGTCCTAGAGATGCCCAGGCAGCCCTCTCTCCTGCTTTACAGGGAAGCAGCCTGGTTGTGGGGAGGGGACAGTGCAGGGGCAGCACATGGCCAGTCAGGGCTCCTTTTCCAGAGAGCTTCCTTTCCCCTGGACTTTGTGACCCACAGGCTGGATACCCGGTGCCCCCAGGCTGCGAGGGTGAAGCTCGGCTCTCAGTGTAGCAATGGGGGCAGGCACAGTACCTGTGCCCGAGCTCGTGGGCTACAGTGAAGGCCAGCGGCAGGCCCGTGTCCTCGTTGATGCTGCAGCTGCGGTGCGGCTGGCACATGCCCGCCACATGGGACAGTCCCAGGGTCTCACAGGGCCGGTTCATGGCTGCACACAGGTCCTTTCTGCACAGGCAAAGAAGCAGCCTTCAGGCTAACCTGGCCCAGTGCCAGGCCCACCTGAGCTAAGGCCAGGGAAGGGTCCCCCCGAATTGATCCCAAGCGAAAAGGATGTCTCTCCCACCGTTCTGTGACATGAGGCCAGCACGGTGGCCGCTTGGGAAGCAGGTGCTCTCATTTACACACAACCGGCTGGGCATCTCTTTGGCCCTTGAGAGCACAGACCCGCACAGAACAATTTTGGTTACTATCCAGCAGGGGTGCTGACAGATGCCTCCAGAGTCCAGCAGAGGGAAAATAACTGCCTCTGGACAGATCAGCAGTTGCCGGAGGTTAGGGGAGGAAGGTGGCTGTGACTATAAACGGGTAGCATGAGACATCCTTCTGATGGGACAGATCTGTATCTAGACTGTGGGGGTGGGTAGGTGAACCCACAATGATGAAACTGCAAAGAACTGAATACACACACACACACAAAGGGAAGTACGTGTGGAACTGATGAGATCTGAGTAAGTCTGTGGATGGTATCAGTGTCAGTTTCCTGATTGGGATACTGTGCTCTAGTCATGCAAGATGTTACCACTGGGGGAAATGGAGGAAGGCTATACAGGCCCTCTCTCTATTATTTCTGATAACAGCGAGAAAATCCACAATTATTTCAAAATAAAAAGACCTCCCCAAGTGCGGACAGAATCCAGCCTTGGGCCAAAGGTGCGCAAACTCTCCTCAAAATTGGGCTCCCTGACAGCACGGCCCCCTCCTCCACCAGGGCTTCTTCTGCAGGGCCGGGAAGCACCTCCTGAGATGCAGGCTCCCACCCTCCTGCGGCTGCAGTACCTGGTGAGCAGGATGGCAGTGTCATGGTGCAGGGGATGGGCATCCCCCTTCATGTTGATGCTTTTCTGCCACTTGCAGAAGCTCTTCAGGGTGTTGTCTGCATGGTGCGTGATCTTTAGGTCCTCCTGGGGGCAGAGAGAGTGACTGCTCATGCCTCCCCTGAGTTCCAAGAAGGTCAGGCCCAATTCTCCCCCATACGAAGGCAGGAGACAGAGGCCCAGCAGGGAAGTGGGAGGCCCGCAGGCACCAGTCGAGCTTCCAGCCTGACCATCCCTCCTGTAGGAACCTCCTGCAGAGGACCTGGGACCTGAGAGAGGGTCAGTCAGGAACCAGGGGGTGGCAGGGGACACGGTCCAGGCCAAGGCGGCCTTCACTGTGCCCTTCCATAAAGAGCAGCACAGGTCATGCGGCAGGAGGGCTCTGGCAGCCGAAGCCATTGCCGGGCAGCGTGGGACCACATGACCACTCACCTCCTCATCTTCCAGCAGGACCAGGCGCACAATGGTGATGTGGATGGGGTTCCCAATGCTGGGGTCATGAAACAGGCCAGCCACCTGCCCAAGAGATGGGGGGGTCAGGTTGTCACGAGGATGAAGGATACAAGCAGCCAATGCCCACCCCAACCCACCCACCCACGCAGGGCAACGCACACCTGTGCTCACACACAGGGACTCTCACACTGGTGCACACAGGCTGCACAGTGGACAGGCGATGCATGTGCACCAATGCATGAGTGTCCCCACACCTCACACACACTGCCCCAATGTGGCAGCAGCAGAACCTGGAGAGGACAAGAGGCCTCCGAGGCCCCTTCCCAGAGTTGCAGCCTCTCCTGAGCCTCAGTTTGGGATCTGCTTCCCAGTACCAACTCCATGCCCACCCAGCACAGGCGATGGCAGCTCAGACCTCCAAATTCTGGTTTCTTGGCCTGTCGCAGGGCCCTAGTCCTACAACTGCCAGGGCTATGATAGCAGTGCCCTCCTGACCTGGGGATGCCAGGACCAGCATCCCAGGAGTGCACCCTCCAATGAGGCATAGAACTGGGCAGGGCTCAGAGGGTAGAGTGAGGGTAGGCACAGGCCTATGGAGCCTGCCCACTGCTCTGCTATTCCATTTCCCCGGGGCTGACAGCCATGGGGCCAAGGAGGCAGGTGTGCACATCTATCAGAGGCCCCATGGCTACATGGGGCTCCCTACTGAGACCCAGGAGACGGGGCTATCCCCAAAGATGGAAGATAAGCCAAGGTGAGGGGAAATGGCTGGGGAAAGCCATCTGCTCTTTTAAAACTCCCTCAGAACAAAAAAGAGGCCAGCCCATGACTGGGGACAGCTGGCAGGTTCCCAGAGGGCAGGGATGGCAGAACAGGCCAGTTGTGAGTTGGCTTCTAGCAATGCATCAAGAAAAAGAATATTCAAATAGCAAGGAACCAAACAAACACTGTTAAGAGGGCACCAAAGTCCCTGATTATGGGGATGAATGACACTCTCAGAACCCAAGGTCAGAAATGGGGAAGATAAACAGCGATATCATGTGCCACCGTCACCTCCACACACAGGCTGGGAGCCCGGGAGCCTTGAACCACCTTTCTCCAATACAACCAACCAATTTTTGCCTCCCAAGTTTTGCCCGACTCTGTCTCTTCTCTCCATCTCCAACACCACTGCCTCGTCCAAGTTACCATCATCATTTCGTCTGCTCAGTTGTTGAGGTCTCCTACGAGTGTCCCCATATTCTGCGGCCCCTCCAGACCACCTGCAGCCTAGCAGCTCCACCATCGATCTTTGAAATGCAAACCTCATCATGACATGCCTTTGCCTAAGGCAGTAAGTGGTTCTTCACTGTCCAGGAAAAGGACAGAAGTCCCCAGCCTAGCCAACAGGCTTCTTGGATCTGGTCCCTGCCTTCCTCTCTGACCTCCCCTTGCCTCTGAGGTCAGGAGTTCGAGACCAGCCTGGCCAAATGGTGAAACCCGTCTCTACTAAAAATACAAAAATTAGCTCGGCATAGTGGTGCATGCCTGTAATCCCAGCCCCCTGGGAGGCTGAGGCAGGAGAATCACTGGAACCCGGGAAGGCAGAGGCTGCAGTGAGCTGAGATTGCACCACTGCACTCCGACCTGGGCGACAGAGCAAGACTCCATCTCCAAAAGAAAGAAAGAAAGAAAGAGAGAAAGAGAGAGAGAGAAAGAAGAAAGAAAATGGGGTAAAAAGGGACCTGTCTTGCTATCCTTGGGACAGACCCACCCAAGCTCTAGGACTCAGGTCTGAGTCTAGCACGGGGAGAATGCTGATAAATTGGGGTCTGTAGGTAGCATTGGTAAAGAAAGATGAGGCTGTCCTGAAGGTGGCTGTGGGTCAGATACTGCAGCAGCCAAAAAAATAGCCGCAGCCAACCTCAATCGAGCTTAACACGTACAGTCCCTGTGCTGGGGGCTTAGCATGCATTATCTCATTTAATCTTCTTACTTCTAAGGTAGGCACAATTATCCTCGTTTTACAAATGAGGTAAGTGAAGCTCAAAGAGAGGGTAAAACTGGGCTCAGAACCCAGGTTTCGCTGCTTCAAAGCCCCTGCTTATATCCTAAGTTTGGGGAATGCTGCCTGCCTATTCTGTTGGGGATTCTCAATGCATATTTACTTTGAAGGGTCTGAGAAGTCCTGTAGTAACGAAGTCTGTTTTACCTTTTTTTTTTTTTTCTTTTGAGACAGAGTCTCACTTTGTCACTCAAGATGGAGTGCAGTTGCATGATCTCGGCTCACTGCAGCCGCTGCAGCCTCCACCTCCTGGGCTCAAGCAATCCTCCCACCTCAGCCCCTCAAGTAGCTGGGACTACAGGTGTGCACCACCATGCCTGGCCCGTTTTACTTTTTTTAACCCTGTGTGGCCAAACTTATTCAACAGCAGCATCTTTTTTTCACAGTGCACTACTGGCATTCTTTGGAACACACTCCCTGAAATATTCCTTGGGAAATGCTACAATGAGACAGAGTCCCCAAGTGTAGGATCATGCTCTTCCACATCCATCACTTTATCCCAGGTAGAGCGATGGCTCTCAACAAGTCAGTCTTAAATAAACATCTGATCCCGAGGGAACATCTGTTCCCCATCCTTCTGGCCCACCCCGGCCACCATGGCTTCCCAGCTGCCCCTCTCCAGGGCAGGTTAAGGGGCACAGGGGACAGAATGGGGCTTTGGAGGTAGACAGACCTGAGCTCCAGTCCCAGCTGTACCACTTACTAGCTGCGTGACCTTGAGCGAGCCCCTTGACCTCTCTGAATCTTTGTTTCCTCAACTTGAAAATGGGGGTGAGGGCCGGGAGTGGTGGCTCAAGCCTGTAATCCCAGCACTTTGGGAGGACGAGGCGGGCAGAATAGCCTGGCCAATGTGGTGAAGCCCCCTCTCTACTAAAAATACAAAAACTAGCAAGGCATGGTGGGGCACGCTTGTAATCCCAGCTACTCAGGAGACTGAGGCAGGAGAATCACTTGAACCCAGGAAGCGGAGGTTGCAGTGAGCCGAGATTGTGCCATTGCACTCCAGCCTGGGTGACAAGAGTGAAATTCCACCTCTAAAGAAGTAAATAAATAATAAAATGGGGGTGAGGCTTAGATGAGGTGGTGGGTGTTGAACACTGCACAAAAGGTAGACAGATATTCACAAGGCTCCAGCCCTAACCCACCAGGGCCTTAGGCCGTGGCTCCACAGTCCAGGCTTCCTCAGAGGCTGGCCATATGGGTTCCCATGTCCCTGCCATCCCTGCAGCCTCCTAGGGGGTCCAGCACTGTCAGGCTCATAGGTGCCCCCATCCTGTCCTGAACAATGCTGGGCTCACCAGCTCAGAAAAGCTTGATATTGTCAGAGCAGGTGAGTGTGAGAACCAGTCCCACCCTCTCCCCGAGGATGGGGCTCACCAAGTGAATGGGTAGGTCCTATGAGCCAGGGCAAGGCAGCCAGGAAGGGGCCAGGCCCTGGGGCAAAAACACCTGAATCCTGTCACCCAGGTTAAGTTATGGGGTACCTGTTGGGTTGGGCAGGTCTTTTTTTGTTTTTGTTTTTGTTTTTTTTGAGATGGAGTCTCGCTCTGTCACCCAGGCAGGAGTGCAGTGGCACGATCTCAGCTCACTGCAACCTTCGCCTCCCAGGCTCAAGCAATCCTCCCACCTCAGACTCCCAAGTGGCTAGGACTACAGGTGTGCACAACCACACCCAACTATTTTTTGTATTTTGGTAGAAATAGGGTTTCACCATGTTGGCCAGGCTGGTCTCCAACTCCTGACCTCAAGTGATCTGCCCACCTTGGCCTCTCAAAGCGCTGGGATTATAACCATGAACCACAATACCCAGTCGGGTGCGTCTTACTCTGCCCAGAATCTGGAGCATAGGGGACACTCAGAAAAGTGGGGGTGAAATGAACCCAGTTAACCATTGGTGGCTCAAGTCAGCCTCCAGGGTCTTTCAGGCTGAGCCCCCAAAGTGCTGAGAATGAGAAGGAGGGAACCTCAGGGCCTGAGAACTTGGCCTTGCCCCTTGCTCCACCCCTATAGCCCAGGGGCTGGGCCCTGCTGTCCAGCAATAGCCCTGCTGAACCCTGGCTGTTAGTGGCTCCCCTCCCTGGGCAGATGAAGCTTGATCTGGGCCTTCAAGGCCTCAAATGCCAGGCAGAAGGCTGTGACTTTTATTCCATATGGAACAGGGAGCCAATGAGGGTGTCCCAGTGAGGGAAGAACTGGCCCAGAGCTGCACTCACTGATGAGGACTCAAGTAGTGGGGACGTGGTGGCCAGCAGGTAGAGATAACAGCCCTGGATGCAGCCCCTTCCTCTCTTTGAGCCTCAGGTTTCACAGCGATAAACTAGGGGGCCAGACACTGCATGATCTCAGAGGGTACTTCCTTTAGGGTTGCAGGAGGTGAGGGGCTGGCAGGGGGAAGCAGCAGCATAGGATCCTGGCCCCAGGGCTCCTTTAGATATTATCCTGTTCACAGCACACGCACTTACCTTGCCCCCAACAACCCAGCCCAGGAGAGAAACAGGGTTATATGGTGGCCTGCCAACCAGGTGGCTGCTAAGAATGCCAGGGGCAGAGATCTTTCCTCCCAGGGGCTGCAGGAAGCAGCTTGGAGCCTGAGGCCTCCACGGGCACCCACAGGGCAGGAGCAGGGAGTGGCAGCTCTGCAGTAGTCGGCTCCAGGAATCCCAGCTGCAATCAGCCACAGTGCCCCCGGTGGGACTTAGGACACCTGAGCTCCCATCTGGCTCTGCCCTGCCTGGTTGTGTGACCTGGGCAAGTTACTCGCCCTCTGAAGGCCTCTGATATCTCATCCATCATGTGGGGTCAAGAGCAGTTTGCCCACCCCACAAGGTACTGTCGTCATGCCCAGTTCACAGATGAGCAGGCTGAGACTCAGAAGGGGCAAGTGACTTGCCCAAGGCTACCAGCTAGTGACCATAGAACTGCACAGATTCTTCTAACTGTAATGTGTGCTGATGTCTCAGGCAGAGTCTCAGGCAGAGTGTAGTCTGATCAGGCATTTCTGTGTTTCCAGCATCTAGCACAGGTCCTGACACAAAGGAAGGAAGTATCTGTGCAGGGAAACATGAAGGACCCAACTAGTCTACAAGCCCCCCAGGCAAGCACAGGGTTGTGGCTGCCTCAGTCTCCCACTCCTGCTCCCCCTCCTAGTGGCATGACACCCTATGGTGTCCCCACAGCAGCCCTCTGCCCAGGCTCTCTCATAGTGACTAGCTGCCAAGACCCCCACCCCTTCCTGGCCTCAGGAGCTTGGATACCCTTCTTCCTACTTGGGGCCTAGACCTGGGTCTGGGGTCCAGCCTGACAGCCTTCCTGCCCTGCACCCACTCTTTGCACCCCACCCCCCAACACCATCCCCGCCACCCGCTCCTGGCCCACACAGACTCACCATGTTCATGATGGTCAGCACATAGCTCTCAACCTGCGGCTGTCCGTGGTACTCCACCATTTTGGCATCAGCTACTACCAGGGTCTCCACCCACTTCTCTTTGCTGACCGACCGCTGGTGTAGACGCCTCAGCCGTGGCCGCCGCCACTGCTGCCGCTGCTCCCAACGCTCCCGTCGAGACTCCAGCTCTGGGTACACTGGAGGCCCAGATGGGGTGGAGTTAGCTGCCAGTGGACAGGCCCAGGGCACACGTCTCCAGGGCCTCTCCTCAGTGAGCTCTCTCTGGGGCACTGGGAACCACACAGGGATCAGAGGCCAGGGGCCTGAATTCGCCTCCTGGCTCTGTCCCAGATCTGTGCTGTGTGGCTCTGCCTGGTCACTTTCCTTTTCTGATCTTGAGATTCCCTGACTAAAAATAGGAATAAATTGCCTCACAGGGGGACCTCAAAGGGCAAATGAAATGGTGGATATAAACATGGTAAAGTACTGTGTCCATGGGAGGGGAACTCCTGGGCCTGACAAAGCTGGCAACTGGGCCCCTATCTCCCCGTGTCACTTCCTCCCACCCTGGGGGCTTAGTGCATCCCAACACAGGCTGACCCCACCCTCTAAACCCCAGCCTGGGGAGGCTGGCCAAGACCCAGCCCAGCTTGCCCTACTGGGCCTGCTCCCCTGACCCAGGCTGCTCCAGATCAGAAGAGGAAGCACATCTATGAAGCTGAGGAAACTGAGGCCAAGAAGCATGCCTCTGTGGATATGTGCTCCAGCAAATGCAGTACCAGAGCTGTGGGCAGCCTGAGATTGGCTTGCTAGCCAAGCATTCCCCAAACCCCAGCAACCCTTAGCAGGCAGCTCCTCACCTGGACTGGCCGGCACTACTGCTGCTCTGCAGAGGAGGCACTGGGTACCACACTCCAGGTCCCAATAATAGAGGTTAGTTATTCTAGGGTGGGAGCAGGGTGGTGGTGGGAGGGAAGTTCCTGGCTAGTGGCCCTGTTGGAGCTGGGCACAGCTCACCCGGCCTGGGCACTGGAGGAAGAACGGCTGGCAGAGCCAGGTACCATAGGCTGTTGGCGGGGAGGGAGCAGAGGGAGGCTGAGCCCCAACGTGGGAGAAGTAGGTGAGATGGAGCGAGGAAGGTCAGTCTAGGGGATTGACTGGGGCAGGCCCGAAAGGCAGAGGACACAGTCTTGTGGCACAATTAAGGGCACAGGCTATGGTAAAGTATCCATCTGTCTGTCTGTGTCATCTGGTCTAAGGGGCACTGGGCATGGGGATGTTAAGGGGGGCTTCTAGAAAGGCCCCTTCATGTCCCCAGGCCCAGCACCCACCCGAGAACTGGGAGCAGAAGAGCATACCTTGCACTCCACAGGTGCTTGGAGCACTGGAATCACCCCGCTGTGCCAGCCTCTCCGGGGCCTGACGCTTGTACACCACATGGGGCTGGGCGTGGCCAGGCCGGGCCGGGGCACTGTCCAGGGGCTCAATGAAGTAGTCCTCGTTGGAGAGCTGGAACACACCTTTCTGGGGAAGAAGCACCAGGGTCACACAGGGAGGGCTGGCCCTCAGCTGCTCTTCTTGCACGTCCCAGAGGCCCGTCCTGCTCAGCTGAGCCCCCACTGCCCACACCACCTGTGACTGCCCGCGGACACACTGTACTTTCCTCCCGCTGGGCCTTTGCTCACTCTGTAGCCTCCATCTGGAAAGCCCTTCTCTGCCATTTCACACACAGCCAAACCTTCAAAGCGGAGCTCAGAAGCCTCCGCCCCTGGGGATGCTGCCCCACACACCCACCCCATTAGGAGAGGGAAATGTGTCTGCATCCAAATCTGACAAAACGGTGTCTTAGTCCCAGACAGCCATCCTGAGTGGGGCAGCTTGTGCCCAGGCCTCCAGGCTATTCTCCATCTCCTCTGCATGCCAGCCATTTCCAGCACTGTGCTCCCTCCCAGCTGGCCAGGGCTTCTGACCTTCCCTCTATCTCCCTAAGGCAATGAATCACTCCAAAAGCATCCACAGCCACACCCGAGCGGAGGAGATGCCCACGGCCACCAGGACACCCTGTTCTCTGGGCCCAGGGCTGCCCAGAGAAGGGAAGCTGGCAGGAGTGTCTTGGACATGTCCGCCAGCATTCAGAGTCCAGGGAGGGGAGGGGCCCTGGGAAGCATCTTTGATGCCCACTACCTCCTGAGGAAGCTCAGGGCTCCAACAGGAAAGAAGGTTTTATGTCCCTCGGACTTCCCCTCATAGGCACCAATTCTGCCCCTTGGGTCACACAGGACCAGGGGGCCTGGAGGGAGGGCTGGAGAGTGCATCAGCTCTTGGGTCTGGAGACCTGGGTATGAATGCGGAGTCCCCCCCTCCCGCCCACCACTCACTGAATGACTAGGTGACCCTGGGCAAGTTCCCCTCTGAGCCTGTTTCCTCATCTGTGAAATGGGAATGATGCCCCATGTGCACAGCTGTGGCACAGGCTCAACAAGATCAATTGTACATTAAGGGACAGGCACAGGCTCCATAAATGGGAATACTGTGCAGGGCAGATGGGCCTTCAAAGGTCCAGACGTTGTGCAGCTTGCGTTGTGGGCTGCCCTGTCATTAGGCCCTGTGCGGCCACAGCCCATGGTTTTTGCCTGAGCAATCTAAGCTGAGGGCCTCCTGGGAACAGTGGACGCTGAGAGTGTGCACACATCCCCTACTCCTCCCAAACCCCCACCCTCCAGAGCTGGGAGAGTGGGGCTGGTCACCTGAACACGAACAGAAAGGGGCCCTACTCTGCCTGGAGTGGAAGCTGCTCTAATCAGCACCCAATCAGGGAGCAATTAGGGCTGCAGTAGCCAGCACCACCCTTCAGCCAGGCGAAGCCAGGAAGCTGAGACCTGCTTTTCCTGGAGTTCTGATTCGAGCAGAGGGGCTGAAAGGGGTTCCTCACCACACCCTGCATAATGGCTACAGGGTGAGGGGTAGCTTTCCTGGAGAAAAGCAGCCTAAAGGGACCTGTGAAGGAACAGTCATAACTGATGCCCCAAGGAAGAGAAGTCAACTGCTTTTTCAGTTACTTAGTCCAGTCAAACGGAGGTTCTCAAAATGGGATCTCTGGACCTGCATCTTCAATATTACCTGAGATGTTTTCAGAAATCCAAGTGTTTGGGCGCTATCCCAGACCTATCCTGCAAAAATTCTGTTTAAACAGGGCCTGCAGGTGATTTGAGCTCATATTAAACTCTCTTTTTCTTTTTCTTTCTTTCTTTTTTTTTTTTTGAGAGTGCCTGGGGTCTCGCTGTGTCGCCAGCTAAGCGCAATCACCACACCCTACATCCTTGAATTCCTGGGCTCAAGTGATCCTTTCGCCTCAGCCTCCCAAATAGCTGGGACTACAGGTGCACCACCACCCGGCTTTCACATTAAACTTTGAGAACTGTTATCCTAGAGATCAACGAGGCCTGCGTTGTCACTCCCACTTTACAGGCGTGAATACCGAGGCTGGCAGAGAAAAAGTGCACTGGGCAAAGCCACCAGACAAGTGCGTGGCAAGGCTAGAGCCAATCTGCACATCCCACCACCCGAGACTGCCCCAAGTATACATGTCCCAGCTCACTCACCAGGCCGTCGCAGGCGCTGATGGCCGCCAGGCCACCCTCGAGCTCAGGGTCCTGCACCTCGCCAAGCAGGTGGCAGGCCGGGGTGTGGGCCCGGATGTGCGCGCGGCCCAGGCCGCCGCGCCGCCGCGTCTCGCTCACAAAGCCGGGCGCCAGCAGGTGCTGATTGGCGGTCAGGTTGAAGCGCAGCTCGCGCCCGCGGTATTGTAGCTCGTAGAAGGCGGGCGCGTCTCGGCGCACAGATACATCCCGCTTGCGCAGTGCGCGGGGCCACAGCTCGTAGGACAGGAAGGAGCCCCCCGCGTCGACTCGAACCGGGTGCACGATGTCCAGTGCCGCCCGGCCCTCGGTTGCACGTCCTGCAGGGAGAGAACCACAAACGCCTAGGCCCAGGGCAGACCCGGGTCCTTGCTGGTGGCCGGGGACCAGAAGGGAGCGGCCAAGAGGGGGCTGCTGGAGTCAGAGTATCTGGATTCAAATCCTCGCCGGGCTATCTACTAACTCTGCTATTTCATCTTTCCGTGCCTCAGTTTCTCCATCTGGATCGTTGCAGTAACTTCTTTTGTTGTTATTGTTGTGTTTTGGGTTTTTTGTTTGTTTGTTTTGAGACAGTCTCGCTCTGTCGCCCAGGCTGGAGTGCGTGGCGCGATCTCGGCTCACTGCAACCTCCACCTCAGGAGTAGCTGGGACTACAGGCACACGCGACCACGCCCAGCTATTTTTTGTATTTTTAGCAGACACAGGATTTCACCATGTTGGCCAGGCTGGTCTCAAACTCCTGAACTCAGGTGATACGCTCGCCTCGGCCTCCCAAAGTGCTGCAATTACAGGCGTCAGCCACTGCGCCCGGCCTGGATTGCTGCGGTAACTTCTTAACAGGTCTCTCTGTTTTCACTATTGCCTACCCCAGGTGCCCCTCCCCTCGTGTTTTCACCAAGGGAAAGCAGCCAGAAAGATTCATTCAAAACCAGCGCGATCATCGTCTTACTCTGCTCATCGTCTTACTCTACTCATCGTCTCTCCTGCAATGGCGCCCATCTCACTCAGAGCAAAAGACAAAGTTCTAGCCTGTATGAGGCCCTAGGCAAGGTGACCTCTCCAATCTCATGTCCAGCTACACAGCCTTAGTTCCCTCCACTCCACCCACTGGCCTCCTTGCAGTTCCTCCACAGGCCAGACGTGCTCCTGCTTCAGGATTTTGCATTGCTGTTCCCTACACCTGGAACACTCTTCTCTCTGTTTTCCACATGGCTAAACCATTCACTTTTGGGTTGTTGTTCAAATGTCTCCTTCTCAATGAGGCCTCCTCTAACGACTTTATTTTAAAATTGCAACTCCCTAGCTCTCCCTATCCCCCTTCCTTGCTTTATTTTTCCCCACAGCACTCCTGACATACCATATCACTTAGCATTTTCATTATTTTTTCTATTTATTTGTTTTCTCCCTTCCCTCCCAGTGTAGTCTAGGAAGGCAAGAATCTATATTCTTTGCCCCTGCTTTTTTTTTTGAAATGGGTTCTTGCTCTGTCACCCAGACAGGAGTGCAGGTGGGCAATCATAGCTCACTGCAGCCTCCAACTCCTGAGCTCGAGCCATCCTCCCATCTCAGCCTCCCAAGTAGCTGGGACTACAGGTGGGTGCCACCACACTTGGCTAATTTTTTTTTATTTTTAATTTTTTTAATACAGATGGGATCTCACTATGTTACCCAGGCTGGTCTCAAACAAACTCCTGGGCTCAAGTGATCCTTCTACCTCAGCCTCCCATAGTTCTGGGATTACAGGCGTGAGGCACCAAGGCTGGCCCTGGATAATTTTTTATTTTTTTTTGTAGAGATGGGAGTTTTGCTGTGTTGCCCAGGCTGGTCTCGAACTCCAGGTCTCAAGCGATCCTCCCACCTCAGCCTCCTAAATTGTTGGGATTACAGGTGTGAGCCACCACACTTGGCCCTTTATATTCTTTGTTAAAGATTTAAGTGTTAGAGGAAGTGTCCAGAACTTAGTCCTTTTTTGGTATTTATTGAATGACTCTGTAGAATGCAGATAACCACAGCACTTACAATCTCGATGCTGTCGTGAGGATTAAACCTGGTGGAGCTACTCCCTTTAGCAGTGCCTGAGCCACTGGTTGAATATGATGGCAATTATGATTGTTATGATTATTATTAGCCTGACGGATTTAAAAATGTGCTCTCAGATGCGTGAGCATTCTGCAAGTGTCTCCAGGCCTCCTGGATTGGGGAGACAGAGAAAGACCACCCCACTGGGGCTCCCTGGCCGCTAACCACCACTTCAACAGGGTAGCTCTGGTTTCTTTCTTTTACATGCAAGAATTCATTTAAAGAAAGGTTCCAGGGATGGAAAAAATTGGCAGACCTCTGCTCAGGCCCTTGCAGTTTAAAAACCCCTCTCTGTTGCTCTGTCCTCCTGGATTTCCTAGTAAGGCCTGGATTCTTATCCTTTTTTGCCACAAACCCCTTCTCCTCAGAACAATGTTTTGAAATGCATAAAATAAAATACACAGGAGTGGTTGGGCACGGTGGCTCATGCCTGTAATCCTAGCACTTTGGGAGGCCGAGGCAGGCAAATCACTTGAGCTCAGGAGTTTGATACCAGCCTGGCCAACATAGTGAAACCCCATCTCTACTAAACATGCAAAAATTAGCCAGGCTTGGTGGTGCCTGCCTGTAATCCCAGCTACTCAGGAGACTGAGGCTGGAGAATCACTTGAACCTGGGAGGTGGAGGTTGTAGTGAGCCGAGATCGCATCACTGCACTCCAGCCTGGGCGACAGAGTGAGACCCTGCCACAAAAAAATAAATAAATAAAATAAAACATACAGGAGTACCAAGGAAATTGATTAGATTGAAATACAGTTATCAAAATAATTTAAGGCCAGGCATAGTCGTTCATACCTGTAATCCCAGAACTTTGGGAGAATGAGATGGGAGGATCACTTGAGCCTAGGAGTTCAAGACCAACTGGGCAACATAATGGGAACTTGTCACTACAAAAAAAAAAAAATTAGCCAGGCAAGGTGGTGCACACCTATAGTCCCAGCTACTTGGAATGCTGAGGTGGGAGGCTCTCTTGAGCCCAGGAGGTCGAGGCTGCAGTGAGTCATGATGGCGCCACTGCACTCCAGCCTAGGTGATAGAGTGAGACATTATCTCAAAAACAAAACACAACAAAACAAAAAATAATTTAAAAAGTAGGGTGTGGAATTATACTTTAAACAAGATTTTGTGGCAAATTTAACAACTATGGTCTTTTTTTTTTTTTTTGAGACAGAGTCTCTCTCTGTCACCCAGGGTGTAGTGCAGTAGCTCAATCTTGGCTCACTGCAACCTCTGCCTCCCAGGTTCAAGCAATTCTTGTCTCTTAGCCTTTCAAGTAGCTGGGACTACAGCTGCATGCCACCACTCCCAGCGAGTTCTTGTATTTTTAGTAGAGACGGGGTTTTGCCATGTTGGCAAGGCTGGTCTTGAACTCCTGGCCTCTAGTGATCCACTCACCTCAGACTCCAAAAGTGCTAGGATTACAGGCGTGAGCCACTGTGCCTGGCAACTATGGATATTTTGAAGTAGTGATGAACGTAAACCTTATTTCAAGATACGTGCAACAACTGTAATGAGATAGAAAAATATTTGGTTTGCTGTATTGGTAACAAAACCACAGGTGCTGCTGGGATTTGCTAATAATATTCATAATTGAGGGAAATGCTAAATTTCGTTGAGAGATTACAAAAAGTAAATATGTAATATTTTCCCATTCAAGTTCACGGATCCCCTCAGTTCACGGTCCCTTAGGCTGTGGACCCCAGGTTAGGACACCTGCAGTAAGGTGTCCAGACTGCTTCCTAGGTGAGACAGCAAAGGGAGGCTCAGAGAGGTGGAGAGACTGGCCTAGAGCCACACAGTAACAGTGAGAGTGGCAGTGCTGAGACTGAGACTCAAGTCCCCCAAATGGTTTCAGTCTCTTCAGTAACATTGCTCTATATTCTCAACAGTCCATCCCTTACTGGGCCTCAGTTTCCCCATCATTAATGTGAAAGAGTTGAATTAGATCACGTTTCTCAAATCTCTTTGGACACCAGTTCTAGTCTCAAGAGAAATCTCATGTGCCGGGGGTTGGGGGAGCTCTGGCATCCATGCTTTCCCCCCTCTTTTCCCTCTCTGCAGTTCCCAGGCTCTAAAGAGCACAGTTAGGGAACTTGGCAATCCGGAGTTTCTCGATTGGATTTATACCCAGCTCCCAGGATCCTGGCTGTTCACGACAATAGACTCTTCAGGCTCGCATGAATGCCTGAGCGCCCTGCTGACATCCCACCAGGGTTCCTTCTGCTGCTGCCCAGCCCGAAGCTCCATCCCAGCAGGCTGCGGAAACCAAACTTGCCCTCCAGTCTGTCCTCTGCCGAACTGCACGTAGAGTGCCCTGCACATGCCAGTGCTGTGCCCCTGCTGAGAGCATCTCCCTCTGCTCACAACCGCCGCAGCGATGCCAGCCTCAAAGAGCTTTCTCTGAGAGTCAAGAGACTGGGTAGGCTGGGGCAACGTGCTGTGTGGCTCTGAGCTAATCTTCCCCATCATTGAGCTTCAGCGGGCCACTAGTGCAAGGATTTTCCAGACCTCACAGATGAATTTCTTAAAAAAAAATTCCCAGGCCCCATCCCAGACTCACTAAATCAGCATTTCCAGGAAACTAGGACTAGGGACTAGGAAGCTATGTTTTTACCAAGAGCCTCCGGGAACTGTGATCCTCAGGAAAGTTAGGAAATCCCCCACTGGGAGTGAACCTGGCTGGTCATCAGCAGTACCTGGAGAGCTCTGAAAAACTGCAGATGCCCAGGACCCAGCCCAGAGATTCTGGTTGCACAGATCCAGGGCTCTGGGGGCCCTAGAATGTGTATTTTCTGTGTTTTTCTAGACCTTCCCAGGGATTCTGATCTAGCCAGTTCAGAGGCTGGCATTCAGAAGCCACCGGACTGGATGATTTAAGGCGACTTCTTGCTCTGACATCCTAATAAGGGCATATGGGACTACAACTCCTCAACCACAGCGTGCAGATTTGCTTGTGTTGATCAGTTATTGATTTTTTGGTTTGTTTTGGCTGACACAAATATTGAAAAACGTTTTAGTCAATTGCCAATGTTTAAGAATCACATGATCTTGTACAAAAATCTCAATTTTCAGCTTTTCTTGAAAAGTCTTATCATCCATCCATGTCAGGCTTAAATTGCTCCCTGGCAGAAGTGGCTGGGGTGGAGCAGTGAGTTCCCTTTAGGAAGGGCCTATGCTCCCCGGTCCTCAGTCCCCACCACTCCATATTCATTCCCAGTACTGTGGCTGCAAGTAGGCTCCCTTTCCCATCATGCTTGTGTTTCCTTTCACTCAGTAAAGAATGGAAAAGTGGGAAAACAAGAGATAGGCCAAGAGGCCCCATGTTTCAGGAAAAATCTGTCTCCCTACCCACCTTGTTTGCTCATTTACGTTACCTGCCTAGTCCACGGCATTTGGTATGTGACCCTTGGCTACTAACTGTGAGGGGGCACTAGGTGCTCCAAAGTCCAGGAAAGTGGGTAAGACACCATCCTTGCCTTCAAATGGAGAAATGGCCAGACGCAGTGCCTCACACCTGTAATCGCAGCATTTTGGAAGACCGAGGAGGGCAGATTGCTTGAGTTCAGGAGTTCGAGACCAGCCTGGGCAACATGGTGAAATCCCATCTCTACAAAAATACAAAAATTAGCCAGGCATGGTGGTGTATGCCTATAGTCTCAGCTACTCCGGAGGCTGAGGTGGGAGGATTACTTGAGCCTGGGAGGCGGAGGTTGCAGTGAGCAGAAATTGTACCACTGTACTCCAGCCTGGATGACAGAGCGAGACTCTGACTCCCCCCCCCAAAAACACACACACACACACACACACACACACACACACACAAAAAAAAAAAAAAAAAAAAAAAAAAAACAGAAAAATGGGTGCAGTAGACCCAAGACCCCCACTCTGGCACAGTGCTGACAAGGTCCAAGCAAGGGGAAAGGATGACACCTTATGGATGCATTGGAATGAAGAAAAGTTTCATCAAGGAGGATGCATTTGAGATGTCCCTTAACATATGTTAATTCAACAGTGAAGACAAGAAGGGCCTCATGGTGGTAGGGGCACTGTGTGGTAAACCCTCAGAGAAGTGGGGAAAAGCCAGAAGTAAGAAAGGGCAACAAGAAGTTTAATCTTGGTCCAGGCATGTGTTTTGTAAAATGGGAGGCAATGGAGGGACAAAATAATGCACTATAGAGCATGGGCTTTGAAAGTAACAAGACCCAGGGCAGGCCCAAGTGGGCCACTTAATAGTTGTATAATCTGAGTCACTGCATATCTCTGGGTTTGTTTCCTCATCTGCTTGGAGAATCCAGGCCAGAAAACGTAAGGAAGGGAGCCCAGGTCAAGGAGACGAAAATGACAGAGATAGGGAAGAACTACTTCCCAGGTTCACTCGCAGTGGGAGATTTCCTAACTTTCCCAAGGATCACAGTTCGTGGAGGCTACAACTCCAAGGCTTGTTTTTGTTTTGTTTTGTTTATGTTTTTGTTTTTTTGAGAGAGAGTTTCGTTCTTGTCCCCCAGGCTGGAGTACAATTGCATGATCTTGGCTCACTGCAACCTCCGGCTGCTGGGTTCAAGCAATTCTCCTGCCTCAGCCTCCCAAGTAGCTGTAATTACAGGTGCAAGCCACCATGCCCAACTAATTTTTGTATTTTTAGTAGAGGTAGAGTTTCGCCATGTTGGCCAGGCTGGTCTCGAACTCCTGACCTCAGGTGATCCACCCGCCTCAGCCTCCCAAAGTACTGGGATTACAGGCATGGGCCACCATGCCCACCCTCCAACACTTGTTTTAAGTGAGTATTAACGTTGGTTCCCAGGGCAAGGACAATCCCAGCCAAGGCAGCTAAAGATGAGCTGAAGGTCAGGGGGGCACTGATGCCAACCAGCTCTAAAATTCTCAACTGGGGGAGCTACATGACACTCTTTTAGGCAAGTTTTGTCCTCAAATGCATGTGGTTGGGGAATGGAAGCAGGTATGTAACTGAGGAATCAACCACTGGGGAGAAAAGGCCCCAAAAGCTTAAAAAAAATAAAGTATCTCTGGGGAAGAACCCATGCCCCAGCGGATGTACAGTCCTGTTGAGAATACCTGCTGTAGATCCTGGGCAAATATTGCAAGACAGAAATTCCAGATGACTTACAAAGAAGCATCCTATTAAGTTCAAAAATGTGGACAGGGCTAAGTAGAGCTATGCCGCAGGTGAAAAGCATTCGGATTAGTGAGCTCTAGAGCCAGAGAGGCTGTGTTTGAATCCCAGCTCTGCTACCCATATCTGTGAGACCATGGGTAAATTACTCAACCACTCAGAATCTCAGTTTCTCCATCTGTAAAATGGGGATGATAATAATTACAGCTGCTCTCTTTGGTTGTGTAAGAATTAAATGAGTTAGTATGTAAGTGCTTATAACAACAGCTGGCACATAGCAAATGTGAGCTAAGTTATGACTGAAAATTAGCAAGAGAACTTCTAAAGTATATTTAGCTTTTTCTTTTAAAAACTTGTTGTTTTATCTGTTTGCCTAATGGCTTAAAAACAAACAAAACAAAACAAAACAAAAAACATGTTTTTATTTATTTATTTCTTTTTTTTTTTTCTGAGATCTCCCAGGCTGGAGTGCAGTGATGCGATCGTGGTTTACTGCAGCCTTGACCTCCTGGGCTCATGCAATCCTCCCACCTCAGCCTCCCAAATAGCTGGGACTACAGGCGTGGACTACCAGGCCTGGATAATTTTTAAATTTTTTTGTAGAGATGGGGTCTCATTATGCTGCCCAGGCTGGTCTTGAATTTCTGGGCTCAAACGATCTGCCTACCTTGGCCTCCCAAAGTGCTGGAATTACAGGTGTGAATCACTGTGTCTGGTCTAAAACATGTTTTTCAATCAACAATAAAAGAATAGACTTACAGGATGTTGCCACTTTTATTGCAATAATTTTTTTCTTGTTTTGTTCAGATTTTTTCTTTTGAGACAGTCTCCCTGTGTCACCCAGGCTAGAATGCAGTGGTGCGATCTCGGCTCACCGCAACCTCTGCCTCCTGGGTTCAAGCAATTCTCATGCCTCAGCCTTCCGAGGAGCTGGGATTACAGGCATGCACCACCATGTCCAGCTAATTTTTGTATTTTAATAGAGATGGAGTTTCACCATGTTGGCCAGGCTGGTTTCGAACTCCTGGCCTCAAGTGATCCGCCAGCCTCAGCTTCCCAAAGTGCTGGGATTACAAGCATGAGCCACTGCAGCCCGCCAGCATTACCTTTTTTTATAGTGAACTTGTATTGTTTTGCCATTAAAATATTTTTAAAAAGTGCAGGGGTAAGTTTAAAAATAAGTAACTTTCACTGTAGCCTAGTTGACCTCACTCAGTAGAGATGTTGGTGGCTGAAACTAGCACCACCCAGTGCCAGCAAGGAGTAATTGCAGGTTCCAGTCTCGACCGGTTATGTGCTTGCAACAAAGCTGAGCCTGCAGAGTTCAAGTGACAGTGGGATGGCAACAGGCACCATTCAAGAGGACTGCCAGAGATTCATGGCCAAATCTATTCTGCCAAGTCAGGAGGTCTGTTCTGATTGGACCAAGCTCCTGCCACATTGGGTGTTAAATACTTTTAATATCTCCCCTGGGTGACAGAACTGTCACTTTGGAGCTTCTACCAAAGAAATGCCAAGATGGTGTTTACCCTCACCTCCCTATCAAGAACCTGAGTTACAATCCAGCCCTTCAAATGACCCACAGCTCATGCCAAGGAGGAAAAATAACTGGCAGGGTGGGGGGTAGTATGTGAATGCCCTCCTCTGTGAGTTCTAGTATGCACAGAAACACATGCACACAGAGTTCACATGTGCCATACGGCATGAGGAGGACACATGACTGGGCTCCAGCCTCAGAAACCCTAGCAGGTCCCTGGGTCAGTCACAAGTGGGGAAAAGGGATATATTTTCCTAAAAGTGAGCCCAGGATGAGCCCTTTGGTCTTAAAGAAGGTAACATTCAGTGGTAGGAGGAGCCCCAGGCTTAGGTCCTGGGCTTCAAAGAAAATGACAAACAGGCCAGCAGCCTCAGAGTCACCAATCCTGAGGGAGTGCAGAACAGGAAGGACCCCATGCTCTATATCTATGGGAACACTAGAGACAGACTTCACCCTTGGAGTGTTTGTGCCCAGATTAGGTTGGAGAGAGTGCCTGGCCTGCCTCCACCCTCAAACAGCAGGTCCAGGTCATCTGGGGAGTCCTGGGTCGGCCTGGCAGATTAATAAAAATAATGACCACTACATTGTAGTCACTGTGTCCTGCCTGAGCAACTGACATATTCAATATCTCATTTAATCCTCATAAGAATCCCACGAGGTTGACCGCACCCAACTCTTCCCACAGCTGCCAGGGGGCCAGGACCCAAGTCCTGAGGGAAGCATTTTCCTGCTCTCCCATTCCCATCGCCCGGTTCATCCTCCTCAGCCCCCAGCTCTGGACAGTGGAAAACACAAGCCTCATTCAGGAAGCTCAGGAGTCCAACCCCACAGGTCGCTCTACTCTGAGCCTGTTTGCTGGTCCATAAAAGGACTTTCCATCACTTGCTTTGCACGGTTGTTGTGGAGATGATGAGAAATAAGAACCCGTGAGGCTGGCACACAGTAGGTGCTCATTAAATGTTCGCTCCCTCTGCGCTCTGCGCATGGCTGCTAGACCAAATCTTTCCAAAACACTGCTTTCATCAGCTGCTCCCCTCAACGGCTTCCCAAACCTCTAAGATCAAGAGTCAATGTCCCCATCCTTCCCGCCCAGACTACTTTCTCGTCACAATCCCTCCAGTGGGGAGGCAGGTCGACCCCATCCCAGCAAGCAACCCTAATCCAGTCCCCCGACTGATGCTCCCCAGGGGAGGGCCCCACTCCCTCCACGCCCTTCTAGCTCATCCAGAATCCATCCATCCTTCCAGTCTCTCCAACCTCATGCCCCTCCTCTCCTACAAAGCCTGCCGGTCGGCTCTATTGCAGGACTCTCCCCACTATCCACCGGCTCCCCTGACTGGGAGCTCCCTGAGCACCGGGCCTGGGGTCTCCTACATCCTCGGTTACTGAATTCCCAGGCCGGCTGCGTCGGACGCGCCAGCAGCGCGGCCGCCCGGCAGGTCGCCGCCAAACAAGAGTCTGGACGCAGGCCAGAGGCTCGTCGGAGGCCGGCCCGGCGGGGCGGGGAGAGTTAACCCATGGCCGGGAAAAGAAGCTCCTGCTCCCCGCTCCACTCCCGGCGTCTTCACACTTGGGGAAGGGAGAGGCAGGAAGTGCAAGGACCGCGCAAGACCCGGCCCCCCGAGCCGCCAGGGGCCGCGCCAGCAGCCCAGATGCGGTGGGCGGGAGCTGGGGGGGCGGCGGGGTCCCGCGAAGACCTGCGACCTGGCGCCCTCGCCGGCTGTGTCCCGGCCAGCCCGCTTTCCAGGCGAGCCTCGCTAAGGAGTGTGAGAAACCAAATCCTCAGTGGGTAAACCGCGCTCCGTCCAGCCCACTCGGACGAGAGCTCTCCCGGGAGCCAGGCGCGTTGCTGCACCCGAGGTGGGGAAACCGGAGCCCGAAGAGCGGAAGGGGCTTATTCCAGGCGACAGGCAGTGTCAGTAACTGAATCAGGGGCCGAGGAAGTTTCCCCAGAAGCGCGGCTTCGCTCCCGGCCCGGCCCGACCCCGACTACTGTCCCCTAATACCCAGGGAGCGGAAGACGCGACCAACTCCAGGCACAGCGGAGCCGGCGCGGGGTCCACAAAGGTGAGGAGGGACAAAACCGAGACTGGGGGAGCGGGAAGGGGTGGCAGGCCCGGCTGGCCGGGGAGGGGCGGACACCCACCTGGTGCGGGTCCGGGGGCGCCGGGAGCCAGAGCGCAGAGGAGCAGGAGGAGGGGGCGCAGCAAAGGCGCGGGGCTGCGGGGACTGGGGCCGCCGGGCATGGCAGGAACCGGGCGGCCGCCGGGTGACCCCGCGCGCACGCTCTCGTCCGTCCCGTCCGGTCGCTGCCTGGTCCCAGGTCCGGCTCAGGACATGCCCGGCCGGCGTGCAGCTCCCGGCGACCCGGCCCCGACTCCGTTCGGCTGCGCTCGGTCCGCGGGCAACAAAGGCTGCAGGGCCCGCCCCCTTGGCCGCTGCAGAGGCAAAGAAAAGACAAGAGAGCTAGAAGGAGAGAAAGAAAGAAAGAAAGAAAGGGAGGGAGAGTGAGGGAGGGCGGCTGCCGGCCCCCGCCCCGCCCCTCGGACTCCTTCCCCCGCCCCTGGCCCCGCCCCGCCCCGGCCGGCCCCGGCCTCATCGGCCCCGCAGGCCGTGCTCGCCTCAAGGGCTGGCCGGCCCGGCGCAGGCAGCGCCCCGCAACGGATGTCCGCCCCCCTCGCCCCCCTGTCCCGAGCGCCCCCTGCCGGCGGAGCCCTGCCAGGCCTTTCCGACCCCGGCCGGTTGAGGACCCCCGGAAAGAATCTGGAATTTCCAGAATTAATGTGTTGTCCCTAAATTGGGCTCCACGAGGTGCCCTTCGCTGTGTTCCCCAGGCCAAGCAGGGCAGCCCCTCAAAAGGGGACGCGGGAGGCCTCCAGAGGGCCACACCGGGGGCCCTGCTTCAAAGCTATCTGCGGAGACAGGCCTGGGCCCTCCCTGGACAGACAGCGGTTGCCCGCGCGAGGTGGGGCCCCGCAGTTCCTCGTCTCCTGACTCCTCTCCTAGTGCGTTTGCTTGAAGCAGAGCGCAGAGTTGAGCCCACAGGCGGGGGACCGCGGCTTCGCCCAGGCCAGCGCCCACAGACTTTCAGCAGGGGCTCCCGGGGAGCCTGGAGGCCGGCCAACCCCAGCCTCACATCCCAGGCCAGCCTCCGCCTCCAACACCGGCCGTCTGTCCTTCGTGGCCCCAGCCCTGGCTCTGGCTTCCGGCTCCCCTTCCCCCTGTGCTCCCAGGAGCTTCCTTTCTCCCTTCTGCCGTCACTAAACATGGCCCTGTACCGAGGACGCCCGTCTTGTCCTCGGGGCGGTTGCGGTCAGCTTCCTCCCCTTGGTTAGTCTTTGTGTGCCCCCTGCCCTCTGAGGCCCGCACACCTCCTCATTGTCCAATCTCCTGGGCCCTTTCATTCAATTCCTGGAAGCTCACTTCTGGCTTCCTCTCCACCCTCAACCTGTCTGTCCTCTAGGGAATTTGTGTAGTACAGGGTCACCTACTTCCTCCATCTCATCTCCAGTGACCTTCCACTCCACCTCAGCCATCAGGTCTCAGGGCCAAAGCCTGGGCTGTGTCATCCCTCAGAACTGCTCCATCTTGGAAATCCGAAGCTCAGGTGCCCCCCTGTCAGACCCGACTCTGCAGTCCTTTCCACCTTCACAGTCCCACTATGTATTGCTCTTCCTCCAGTCCCTTGATACCTTCCTCTTCGCCCAACCTACCAGCCCCTCCTGGCTTCACCTACTTCCCTCCCAGCTACATCTACTGCTTGACTCCTGGCCCCTACCCAACCACCTTGCATTTCTTCCCCACTGCTTACACCAGCTGGTCTTGCTGCTCAGTGACATGGACAATTCAGACCACCACATCCTACCATGCACACTGCATACAATGAGCCTTTGTAGCTGGCACCCACTCACTTCTCCCTCCATCTGGACACAGTGAAACAGGTGCCCTCCAGCAGTCAGAGACAATGCTTCCACCAGGGCTCTGTGGCTCCCTCCCCTCCTGTCTCCTCAAAGGTCCTGCTCCAGGTGTCCCCCGCTTTCCTTGGTCTCCTTGGGTTGGTGACCGTCAGTCTAAAAACATTCTTGTCTTCCTCCTATTAAAGATACTGATAATAGCTGGGTATAGTGGCACAGGCCTGTAGTCCCAGTGATACTCAGGAGGCTGAGGAGGGAGGATTACTTGAACCCAGAAGTTCCAGGCCAGTCTGGGAGACATACTGAGACACTGTCTCTAGGGAAAAACAAACAAACAAACAAAAAGCAGGCAAGGTGCCTCACACCTATAATCTCAACACTTTGGGAGGCTGAGGTGGGAGGGTCACTTGAGCCCCGAGTTTGGGACCAGCCTGGGCAACATAGTGAAACACCGTCTCTACAAAAAAATTAAAAATTAGCCCAGCATGGTGGCATATGCCTGTGATCCCAGCTATTTGGGGGGCTGAGGTGGGAGGATCACTTGAGTCCAGGAGATTGAGGCTGGGCCAGGCCTGGCCCCACCAATGAGCAGTAGCCAAGATCACGCCACTGCATTCCGGCCTGTGCAACAAAGTGAGGCCCTGTCTCAAAAAAAACAAAAAAAGTACTGATAATACCCCTCCATGGACTGGGTGTCCCCTCTAATTCCCACCCCACATATCTGCTCCCTGTCTTAGTCAAACTTCTCCCTCAAGGTTGTCTAGATTCCCCCTTTTCCCATTTGTACCTCAGGCTAAGCCTCTTGTCCCCCCATCTTGGTGTCAAAGCCAAATTCCTTCTCCACCTTGACCTGCACAGTGCATTCTAGAGATACCCTCCCTGTTCACATACCTCCACTCTGCCCTCATCACCTGGCACATCTCTTCTTCACTCCATAAGATCAAGTATGCACTGCAGACCCAGGGCACTGGGGACACAGCTGTGAACAGGTGGATAAGGTCTCTGTTCCCTGGAGCTCCCACTCTGGAGGAGGCCATGGACAGCAAGCAAATAGACAGATGGATAAACAATTCAGACCACCATATAAACAAGACCAGCTACAGAGAGGTGCTTTGAAGAAAATAAAACCGGAAGTGACTAGAGTCTACTTTCCATGGGGTGGTCAGGGAAGGCCTTCCTAAAAAGGTGACATTTAAGCTGTGATACCAGAATGACAAAAAGGAGCCAGTCATGTGAAGGTGAAAGGGAGAAGATGTGAGCCAGGCATGGGATGCATGCCTGTTGTCCTACCTGCTCAGGAGAATGTGGAGGGAGGATCCTTTGAACCCAGGAGATCGAGGCTGCAGTGAGCTCTGATTGCACCACTGCACTCCAGCCTAGGCGAGAGAATGAGAGACCCTGTCTCTAGAAATAAAAATAAATCTTAAAAAGCTGGACACTGGTCAGGCGCAGTGGCTCACACCTGTAATCCCAGCACTTTGGGAGGCCGAGGATGGCGGATCACTTGAGGTCAGGAGTTCGAGACCAACCTGGCCAACATGGTGAAACCCCCTCCTCTAATAAAAATACAAAAAAAATTAGCTGGGCGTTGTGGCGGACAGATGCCTGTAATCCCAGCTACTCAGGAGGCTGAGGCAGGATAATTGCTTGAACCTGGGAGGCAGAGTTTGCTCTGAGCCGAGATCCTGCCACTGCACTCCAGCCAGCGACAGAGCGAGACTCAGTCTCAAAAAATAAAAAATAAATAAAAGATGGGCATAAACTTGATGTCCCTGAGACTTGTCCTTTCAGACCTAGGCTGTACGTCACCCCTTCCAGCACGTCCCCCCTGACCTCTTAGGTTCCCCAGAGCACCCTTTGCCATCCCCGTTGACAGCTCACTAGACTGCTATTGTCTGGTTATGGGTCTGTCAACCCCGACACACCGTGAGATGCTAAGGTCATGTCTTGGTCTTTGTGATCCCTGCCACCAGCACAGCAAAACCTAGAGATCAGGAGGATCTGGGGAGGGGACACACAGCCCTCCCTGGCCAACACCACAAACTGCCTCCATGCTGCCAAGGCCCAACAGTAGATTGGAGGCTTTTTTGAAATGCAGCCTTGGAGTTTGTGTTTTCAAATCCCACGTCTGATGACAGTCCCTGCCTGCTTCCTCCTCTGTCCCAGGTCCTGGTCTTTACTCCATCCACACCCTGCTGGGTGCCTTCATTTTAAAGCTTCTCGGAAACCATAGGATACAAAAAAAGGATACAAAAAATGATAAGCCTTAGTCATGCCCTCATGATGCAAAAATAATTCAACTGGAAAAACAGGAACAGCCAACTCCAAATTTCGGGGAGTGAAGTGTACATTTTGTTTTTGTGTTTTTCGGTTTTATTGTTGTTGTTGTTGTTTGAGATGGAGTCTCGCTCTGTTGCCCAGGCTGGAGTGTAGTGGCACGATCTTGGCTCACTACAGCCTCTGCCTCCTGGGTTCAAGCAATTCTCCTGCCTCGGTCTCCCAAGTAGTTGGGACTACAGGCATTCGCCACCTCACCCAGCTAATTTTTGTATTTTTAGTAGAGACAAGGTTTCACCATATTGGCCAGGCTGGCCTCAAACTCCTGACCTCAGGTGATCCGCCCACCTTGGCCTCTCAAAGTTCTGGGATTATAGGCGTGAGCCACCATGCCTACCCCAAAGTGTACATTTTGAACAAAGCAAGAGATTTGATATTTCAACACATATTTTATGTCATTGTTCAGAGTGTCAAGTATCCAGTTAGTGAGCTTCCCCCCTGTATCTTGATATAAATTATTTCATTTATTGTTTAAATGATTATCATGCTATATGACCCAACATCTCCAGTAAGCTTTAACATAGCTAAAACATTACCAGAAACTGATCAAAATTTAAAAAGAAACTATATTTATTCTGCTTTCATATATCCATTTATATATTGATAGATTGCTTAAAAAGTTGGAAAGGGCTGTATGTGGTGGCTTTTGGGAGGTTGAGGCAGGAGGATTGCTTGAGCCCAGGAGTTGGAGACCAGCCTGAGCAACATGGCAAAACCTTGTCTCTACAAAAAATTAGCTGGGTGTTGTGGCACACACCTGTAGTCCCAACTAATCGGGAGGCTGAGGTGAGAGGAATGCTTGAGCCTAGGAGGTTGAGGCTGTAGTAAGCCGTGATTGTGCCACTGCACTCCAGCCTGGGGAACAGAGTGAGACCCTGTCTCAAAATAATAAATAAATACTAATAAATAAAAAGTAGGAAAGTATAGCAAAACAGTGTCCATTTAAAATTATAAATGAATAAATAACAAAGAAAATGAGGCACACAATTTTTTTTTTCTTTTTGAGACAGAGTCTTGCTCTGTCACCAAGGCTGGAGTGCAGTGGCGTGCTCAGGGCTGACTGCCTGACTGCAGTCGCAAACTCCCCAGGCTCAGGTGATCCTCCCACCTCAGCCTCTCGAGTAGCTGGGACTACAGGCGTGTGCCTCATGCCCAACTAATTTTTGTATTTTTTGTAGAGATGAGGTTTCGTTCTGTTGTCCAGGCTGGTCTCAAACTTCTGGGCTTAAGCGATCTGCCCTCCTCAGTCTCCCAAAGTGCTAGGATTACAGGCATAAGCCACGGCACCTGGCCAAGGCACACAATTCTTAAAAACAAAATAAAACCTCTTTGGGCCTCAACTTTCTTATCTGTCTAGTGGAGACAGTGACCCTACACCCCTATTTCATGTGTTATCTAGAACAGTGGTTCTCAAGCGGGGGTGATTCTGCCTCCATGGAATTTGCAATGTTTGGAGACATTTTTGGTTGTCACAACCAGGGAGAAGGTGCTACTGGCATCTAATGGGTAGAGGCCAGGGATGTGGCTAAATGACAACCCCCTGCAACAAAGAATTCTTCAGCCCCAAGTGTCAATAGTACCAAGGCTGAGAAACCTGCTCTAGAGGAGTAAAGAAAGGGTTTGAGGCATTTGGCAAAAGTAAAAGCCTTTATGTTTTATTTTGTATTTTGCGGTAAGACAGCACAGAATTAAAAATGTAAACTTTACAAACATTGAAAAGTAATTATTCCCTTCCAAACCTGACCCCTGGTCCCTCAGTGCTCCTTCCCAGGGGCCATTACTTGTTTCAGTTTATCATGAATCCTTCCAGAAAAATGCATTGCAAACACAAAGATATATTTTACACACATGCTAGCATATATCCTCTCTATCTTTACCTGGCTTTTAAAAAAAAATTAACACTATAACTTGGAGGCTGGGTGCCCTGGTTCATACCTGTAATCCCACCACTTTGAGAGGGTAAGGTGGGAGGATTGCTCAAGCCCAGGACTTCAAGACAAGCCTGGGCCACACAGTGAGACTACAAAAAATAAAAAATTAGCCAGAGAGGCTGTGGTGAGCTATGATCATGCCACTGTACTCCAGCCTGGGCAACAGAGCAGGCAACAGAGCACCCTGTCTAAAAAATATATATACATAGGCCAGGCGCGGTGGCTCACGCCTGTAATCCCAGCACTTTGGGAGGCCGAGGTGGGCGGATCATGAGGTCAAGAGATCGAGACCATCCTGGCTAATATGGTGAAACCCCGTCTCTATTAAAAATACAAAAAGTAGCTGGGCATGGTGGCGGGTGCCTGTAGTCCCAGCTACTCAGGAAGCTGAGGCAGGAGAATGGCGTGAACCCGGGAGGCAGAGCTTGCAGTGAGCCGAGATCGCGCCACTGCACTCCAGCCTGGGTGACAGAGCGAGACTCCGTCTCAAAAAAAAAAAAAAAAATATATATATATATATACACACACACACACACACACACACACACACATACATACAAAAGTATATAAACTTGGAGATGGTTTCATATCCTTGGTTGTGGAGCTTGTGGCACATAAGCCACAATATGAGATCTATGAGGGCAGAGAATCTTTATTTTGCTCTCTAATGTGTCCTAAGTACTTCGAACAGTGGCTGGCGTATACTATGTGTTCAATAGCTATTTTCAATATTTAAATAAATGTTACATGATTGATATTCCATTATGTGCATATGCCATTATCCTCATCTCCTACTGAAGGATATTTAGATTGTTTCCAATCTCTTTCTGGCCATGTCCATGATGCACCCATGTGAGTACATCTTTAGGATGAAGTCCTTGAACTGAGATTGCTGTCAGAAATGTGTGTATTTGTAACTTTGATAGACAGGTATTGCCAAATTAAAGACATTATTTTTGGTGGGTCCCTTCCACCCCAGTAAATTGCAAGGATTGCAAAATGATCGAAAATGCCAGTTTAGGTTGCAGATTTCTAAACAAGGATGCTCAAAAAAGCTCCCTCATAAGACAGAACTGGGCGGAGTATGAGCTGGCCTTGAAAATGTATGGGATGATTGACTTGGAAAGGGATGCTGAGCTGCCACTGTGGGCCTGATTAGTCATTGTTCTGGAAGCCCTGGAGACATGGATGTTTTCAATCTATCCCCATTCTCTAGAGCACTGCGGCCTTCACCTGCGAAAGCCATGGCCACAGCTGCCTCTGCAGCTTCAGAGTGTGTCCTGCCCCCACACTGTAGGGGAGAAATGCCACAGGAAGAGTCATGAAAATTATCCACATTGAGATTTCAGAGCCATCAGTTAGCTGATGGGAAAAAGGCTCATGATTGGCTTCTACTGCCTTTGAGCCGCCACTTGGGCAGTGAGAATGATGATTTGATGGAGGCAAGTTGAGATAGTGAAGGAATGCTCTATCCTATCTTCTGTCACTGTGCCTTACACACAATGTCTCATGTAATCTTTCCAACATGAAGCAGATATTATTTTCCTCATTTTATGGATGAAGAAACTGGGGCATGGAAAGGTTAAGTAACTTGCCCAACGTCCCACATTTGGAAGTGTCGGGGCCAGGACTGGCCTAATTCCAGTGCCTGGATTTCTAATCGCTCCATATCACTGCCTCTCCAAATTACCAATTTCGGCTTCTATCATTAAAGGATCTGTTTCTTCAGGACTCCTCCTTTTAGAGTTGTTTCTAAGTCGGTCAGACAGCTCGATATATGGGAGGCTGCCACATCCCCTTCACCAGAGACTCATTGATGAACACCTACTAAGTGCTAATTGCCAAGAGCCATGATGATTTCCAAAGGGACCCTTAATGATAGCTATCACGTTCTTTCCTGCAGTCAAATCTTATCTTCTTCACTTCTAGCTCATCAACACCAAGAGGGTATGGGCCATGTCTGATGGGCTGGTGCTTAGTAGGATCTCAGAAAACTGCTGTCTGAGAGTCTAACCAGCACTGGAAGTGTGAGCCAGTGCACCCTACCTGACCCTTGTCCTGGCACAAACCCAACCATCTTTGGGTTTCTTTACCACCTTGATGCTATAGCTTACTTATTGGCTTGGCTGTTTTCTTCTTCTTTTTTTTTTTTTTTTTTTTTAGACTGAGTCTCGCTGTATCACCCAGGCTGGAGTGCAGTGGCATGATCTCGGCTCACTGCAACATCTGCCTCCCAGGTTCAAGCGATTCTCCTGCCTCAGCCTCTTGAGTAGCTGGGATTACAGGTGCCCGCCACCATGCCTGGTTAATTTTTGTATTTTTAGTAGAGACGGGGTTTCACCATGTTGTCCAGGTTGGTCTCGAACTCTTGACCTCAAGTGATCCACCCGCCTCAGCCTCCCAAAGTGCTGGGATTACAGGTGTGAGCAACCATGCGTGGCCTCTTCTTCTTTTTAAAATTGTATTTTTCTTCTTTGTTCACACCATTGTTTCAGCAATGGATGTTCCATATTTTTGTGTCTGGAAATAATTTGAAAACTTTTAATGCTTTTCTATTGTGTTTACTGAATATTTAGGAGCTCTTTCTGCTCATTATTTATCTTTTATTTTTTCATGCATTTTACTAACTTTTGTAAAGAAAATATTTGTTTTCACATTTAAAAATTAGAATCCCGGCTGGGCATGGTGGCTTATACATGTAATCCCAACACTTTGGGAGGCCAAGGCGGGTGGATCACTGGAGGTCAGGAGTTTGAGACCAACCTGGCCAACATGGTGAAATTCCGTCTCTACTAAAAATACAAAAATTAGCCGGGTGTGGTGGCGGGCACCTGTAATTCCAGCTACTCAGGAGGCTGAGGCAGGAGAATCGCTTGAACCCAGAAGGCTGAGGTTGCAGTGAGCCAAGATCGCACCATTGCACTCCAGCCTGGGTGACAAGTGAGACTCTGTCTCAAAAATATATAATAAATAATAAATTTAAAAAATAAAAAATAAAAATCAGAATCCCTGCTGACAATAAGATGCTAGATAAAATGAATTACATGGATCTTCTTTCTTTTTTTAAATCAATAAGTCATTTCACTCTTTTATTTATCTAACAAATACTCACTCATTTCTGCTGCCTGCCGTACAGCTTAGACAAGAAAAACAGCATGAGCCTTATTTTGAAACTGCTATTGCCAACATAAAAAGTGAAGTTGGTTATATAATTTTGGGGTTGGGAAGAATATTTTAAAGATGAAATCAACAGCAAAATCTGTAGGAAAACAGTTTATAGATGTGCCTGCATGAAAAGTAAAAACTTGTCCATATCTTAAAACTTCATAAATCCAACATCCAAAAAATAGGAGACCTAGCAAGATCAGAGGAAACAGAGGGAAGACTATCAAATAAATAATACAAGAATTTTCTCAGAACTGAAGCACATGAATTTCTAAATGGTTTTACTGGCTTCCAGCACACACACAAAAAGACCCACACCAAGACATGATATCTTGGCGTACCGTAACTCTTGGATATTAGAGAAAATTGTTTCCAGATTTTCCAGAGAAGGAAGAAAAATAGTCCCAAAGACTCTGTAATTGGAGTGCAAACAGAATTCTCCTCCAGCAATGCTACAGATTAGAGGTAAACAGAGCAATGCCTTCAAAATTCTAGGGAGAATGGTTTCCAACATAGGATTCAACTCCCAGAGTCTTGATCAAGTGTAAGAAGGTGGAATAAGAACACTTTAAGACATACAAGCTCAAACTTTTTTTTTTTTTTTTTTGAGTCAGAGTCTTGCTCTGTCACCCAGGCTGGAGTGCAGTGGTGTCATCCAGGCTGGAGTGCAGTGGTGTGATCTCAGTTCAGTGCAACCTTCACCTCCCAGGTTCAAGCAATTCTCCTACCTCAGCCTCCCGAGTAGCTGGGACTACAGGCGCCTGCCACCACGACTGGCTAATTTTTGTATTTTTAGTAGAGGCAGGTTTTTGCCATGTTGGCCAGGCTGGTCTTAAACTCCTGACCTCAGGTGATCTGCCTGTCTCAGCCTCCCAAAGTGCTGGAAGTACAGGCGTGAGCCACCACACCGGGTTCAAAATATTTGCCTTCCATGCACCCTTTTTCCAAAAGTTACTAGAGGTTGTGCTCCACCAAAATGAAGAAGTAAGTCAAGAAAGAGAAAGGCTGAGGACCTAAGGAACAGATCCAACACAAACATAAGGTGATGGGAGCCCGCAGAATAATAGTAAAGGTAGATTCTGGGATCACAGCTGGTGAGTAGGCCAGAAGAGACACCAGTCCAGACAGAAACAGGAAGGCAGAGACCTAGGAGGGAGGCTTCACAAGAAAGGAACAAAACCCAAAGAAATAGAGATTATTGGCTCTATGAACAGGAACCCACAAAGGCTTAATTGCAAACCATCTGAATGACCAATTGTAACACCTCGTGGTAGAGACAAGACCCACAGGCCTGGCTCAGCTCAGCTGCCTCCCTCCAGGCTAGATTCAGGATCTGGATGTTCTTAAGGTGAGCTGCACATAATGATGGAATGGGTGGCAGGCTCTGGAGTTAAATGTAGTTGGGTTCAAGTCCCAGCTCTGCTATGTGTTTTTTGTTTGTTTGTTTTTGAGATGGAGTCTCACTCTGTCACCAGGCTGGAGTGCAATGGCGCAATCTCAGCTCACTGCAACCTCCGCCTCCTGGGTTCAAGCAATTCTCTTGCCTCAGCCTCCTGAGTAGCTGGGACTACAGGCGCTTGCCACAACACCCAGCTAATTTTTGTATTTTTAGTAGAGACGGGGTTTCACCATGTTGGCCAGGATGGTCTCGATATCCTGACCTCGTGATCCACCTGCCTCAGCCTCCCAAGGTGCTGGGATTACAGGCATGAGCACTGTGACCGGCCTTTTTTTTGTTTTTGTTTTTCAGACAGGGTCTTGCTCTGTTGCCCAGGCTGGAGTGCAGTGGCGTGATCTCGGCTTATTGCAACCTCCACCTCCCAGGTTCAAGCGATTCTCCTGCCTCAGACCCCCTAGTAGCTGGGATTACAAGCTTGCACCACCATACCCGGCTAATTTTTGTATTTTTAGTAGAGACAGGGTTTCACTGTGTTGGCCAGGTTGGTCTCAAACCCCTGGCCTCAAGTAATCCACCTGCCTTAGCCTCCCAAAGTGCTGGGATTACAGGTGTGAGCCACTGCACCCAACCAATCCTTCTGAGTCTTAAATCCTTACTATAAAAAAAGAGCTGGTGGCTGGGTCCAGTGGCTCATGCCTGTAATCCCAGCACTTTGAGAGGCCAAGGCAGGAGGATCACTTGAGCCCAGGAGTTCGAGGCTGCAGTGAGCTATGATCACAGCACTTCACTACAGCCTGGGCATAAGAGCTAGACCCCAACTCAAAAGAAAAGGGCAGGGGATTAAAATAACGACTCATGATATAATAATGATTACAGTAACACCCTATGACATTAAAATAATGCCCCAAATGAGATGATATATGTGAAAGTACTTTGTAAACTAGTGTGAGTCACAGTGGAAGTTCCTTAGCAACCTCTGCCAACCTAACTCACTACAACACCACCAATCTCCCAGTAAAACACAGAGACTAATGCCCAGCCATGCTAGCCCATTGCTACTAGTACAGTATCGTTTCCTTCCCTACATTAAATGTGGCCCTTTGGACCAACAGCAGAGCATCACCTAGGAGTTTGTTAGAAATAAAGCATCTGGGCCAGGCACGGTGGCCCACACCTGTAATCCCAACACCTTGGGAGGCTGAGGCAGGCGGATCATGAGGTCAGGAGTTCGAGACCAGCCTGGCCAATATGGTGAAACCCATCTCTACTGAAAATACAAAAATTAGCCTGGTGTGGTGGCACGCACCTGTAGTCCCAGATACTTGAGAGGCTGAGGCAGAAAAATCACTTGAACTCGGGAGGCAGAGGATGCAGTGAGCTGAGATCATGCCACTGCACTCCAGCCTAGGTGACAAAGTGAGACTCCATCTCAAAAAAAAAAAAAAATGAAAAAGAAAAGAAATACAGCATCTGGCTGGGTGTGGTGGCTCATTCCTGTAATCCCAGCACTTTGGGAGGCTGAGGCCAGAGGATTGCTTGAGACCAGGAGTTCAAGACCAGCCTGGGCAACAGAGCGAGACCCTGTCTCTACACAAAATCAAAAATTAGCCAGGCGTAGTGGTGCATGCCTGTAGTCCCAACTACTTGAGAGGCTGAGGCAGGAGGATCACTTGAACCTGGGAGCTGGAGGTTACAGTGAGCTGTGATTGTGCTACTGCACTCCAGCCTATGTGACAGAGTGTGATGCTGTCTCAAAAAACAAACATACATACATACAAACAAACAAACAACAGATATACTATGTCCTTCTGAAGGGAGGAAGGAAAATTAATAGAATACAGGCCAGGCACGGTGGCTCACGCCTATAGTCCTAGCACTTTGGAAGGCCAAGGCGGGTGTATCGCTTGAGCTCAGGAGTTTGAGACCAACCTTGGCAACATGGCAAAATTCCATCACTTCAAAAAATACAAAAATGAGCCAGGGTGTCAGGGAGAGGCAAGTGGAGATAGTTTGAGCCTGAGAGGCAGAGGTTGCAGTGAGCCAAGATCGGGCCACTACACTCCAGCCTGGGTGACAAAGCAAGAGCCTGTCTCAAAATAAAATAAAACAAAATACAGCATTTAAAAACATTATTTTATTTTTCAATTTTTATTTACTTATTTTTTTTGATACCAAGTTATGAGACTGGCTAATTTTTTAATTTTTGGTAGAGACAGGGTTTCACCATGTTGCATTATGTTAATTTTCTAGTTAAAAGTTGAGCAACCCTATGAGGTAAACTTACTACAGGTTGAGCATCCCTAATCCAAAAATCCAAAATCTGAAATGCTCCTTTTGAGCACTGACCTCATGCCACAGGTGAAAATTCCATACCCGACACCTTTGCTTTCTAATGGTTTAATGTACCTAGACTTGGTTTCATGCACAAAATTATTTTAAAAATATTTATTTCTGTAAACTGTTTGAGTGCAGAGATGTTCTTCACAATCTCAATACAGTACAAATTTCTTCCCCGAAACAAAATGAGCAAGGAAAAGAAAAAGAGCTATATAAAATGTGCCCATGAAGAACCAAGCCAATCTCATCTTTCTTTAAAAACAAAACAAAACAATCCTTTTGAATGTGTCGTGCAGGCCTAGGATTGAGGCCGCAGGCTTTTGGGGCACCATGAGCCCAGGGCTTTGCTCAACTCACAGCTAGTGTGGCAGGCGGAGTAGCCCCCTAGCCCCAGCCATCCTCACTGCTTGCGCAGAAGCTTCCTGAACCTAAGGGATCTGTTCCCAGCTCTCCTTAAATTCCCAGTCCCCACCCTGTGCCTCGCTTCCTAACACCCTCGTCGTTTTAGGAGTCCCAGAATTGAATCCTGAAATACTCCCTCCGTCAACTCTGGGCTCAGACCTTTGTCCTTCTCTGTGTCACAAGGAAATTTCAGTCGAGAGGGCGGGAACGGGTGTTTTCAGACCGTGCAGCAAAGCCATTGCCAGGCAAGTTTTAAGGCAAATTTTATCTCTTCTTATTTGATCTGAGCCAGACCTAACCTTCTCACCACCAAGCAATCCTGCCTCTGCTGGACCTACAACTTAGGCAACTCTGGATGGAGGTGGGATGAGGGAGCCCAGGACAGATTTCGAGAGGTCTGGGAATGGATGTGTGCATGCACAAAATTATTTAAAATAATGTATAGACTGGGCATGGTGGGTCACGCCTGTAATCCCAGCACTTTGGGAGGCCGAGGCGGGCGGATTACCTGAGGTCAGGAGTTCGAGACCAGCCTGGCCAACATAGTGAAACCCTGTCTCTACTAAAAATACAAAAATTAGCCAGGCATGGTGGTGCCCATCTATAGTCCCAGCTACTCAGGAGGCTGAGGCAGGAGAATTGCTTGAACCCAGGAGGCGGAGGTTGCAATGTGCCGAGATCATACCACTGTACTCCAGCCTGGGCGACAGAGGGAAACTCCATCTCAAAAGAAAAAAATAAATAAATAAAATAAAACAATGTATAAAATTACCTTCACGCTATGTGTATAAGGCGTATATAAAATATAAATGCATTCCATGTTTACACGTAGACTCCATCCCCAAGATTTGCATTATACATATGCAAATATTCCAAAATCCAAAAAAATCCAAAATCTAAAACACTTCTGATCCCAAGCATTTTGAATAAGGGAAACCCAACCTTTATCTCCAATGTACAGACAAGAAAAAATGGAGATTAAGTCCCTTGCCAGTAACTGGCAGAGCCAGGACTTGTAGGTAGATCTGTCTGCCTCCAGGTGCCAGGCCCCACAGCCATTACCCTATTCCCTGGAGGGAAATGCCAAAAGTGTAGAGAAAATACAGATGGTGCAGAAACATTTGAGAAATGTACAGCCTTGCCAGAAATTAAAGGAATGCAAATCCAAGCAACCGTGGAGCATTTACCACCTATCAAATTTGCGAAGGTTTTTGTGCTTTTGCTATTTAATTTGCTTTACATCCAAGTAATACATGTTCATGGTTTAAAAGAGTCAAGTTGTATTACAGAAATACAAGCTGAAAACCAGCCCACTCTGCCCTAGCCCATCAAACACACACACACACACACACACACACACACACACGCACACACGCACTCATGCAGTGGGAGGAGGGGAAGGCCCCTGAGCCAGGCCTGTCTCCCTGCCATGGCCTTGACCTACTGTCTGTTGCTTCCGGACCTCCCCACTTCCTCTGGGCTCTCCAGGGACTCCGGGAATACTGGCCTGATATTTCTGTGATCTTCCCAGTGCAGCAAAGCAAGGGGCCGAGTGGCCTATTGTGGAGATGGGAATGGGGAATCAGAGGGATTATGCAGCAAGACACCAAAACTTGACACAGTCACCTATAATCTCATGGTGGGAAGTTTTCTCAAGGGAAAAATCAACACTGGCCACATAATTTGTATAAAACTACATGTGGAAATGCTATATTTTCATTGCAGTAATAATATAAAGAGTTTTGTGTTTTAGGGTTTTTTTTTTTTTTTTTCGAGACAGGGTCTTGCTCTGTCACCCAGGCTGGAGTGCAGTGGCATGAACATGGCCCACTGCAGCCTCAACCTCCTCTGCTCAAGTGATCCTCCCACCTCAGCCTCCCAAATGTTGGGATTACAGGGGTAAGCCAGTGCACCTGGCCATAAAGGGATTTTTTTTTTGAAACAGGGTTTCCCTCTGTTGCCCGAGCTGGAGTGCAGTAGCACAAGCATGGCTCACTGCAGCCTCCAACTCTTGGACTCAAGTGATCCTCCTACCTCAGCCTCCTGAGTAGCTAGGACCACAGGCACATACCACCACACCCAGCTAATTTTTTTTTTTTTTGGTAGAGAAAGGGTCTCACTATGTTGCCCAGGCTGGTCTTGAACTCCTGAGCTCAGGTGTTCCTCTTGCCTTAGCTTCCCAAGGTGCTAAAATTACAGGTGTGAGCCACTGTGCCTGACCATAAAGATACTTTTTTAAAAGAAAAATAAATGCATCCAGCCAGGCGCAGTGGCTCACACCTGTAATCCCAGCACTTTGGGAGACCGAGGTGGGCAGATCACTTGAGGTCAGGAGTTCGAGATCAGCCTGGCCAATATGGTGAAGTCCTATCTCTACTAAAAATACAAAAATTAGCCAGGTATGGTGGCACACACCTGTAGCCCCAGCTAATCAGGAGGCTGAGGCAGGGGAATTGCTTGAACCTGGGAGGTGGAAGTTGTAGTGAGCCAAGTTGGAGCCACTGCACTCCAGCCTGGGCAACAGAGCAAGACTCTGTCTCATAAATAAATAAATAAGAAAAGGAAATGTATCCCCAAATTGTGACCCTCTCTCACCAATAACTGTTTCTCTTGGGAGACTCCCCTGGTGTGCAGATTTTAGGAGTGTTGTCAGCAGAGCACCTCAGGGAAAACTGGACAGGCTCTTCAGAGGGAGGCTTCTGTTCACCTGCTGGGTGGGCCTTTGGGCAAGTCCCCTCTCTGAGCCTGCTTCCTCCTGTGTAAGTCAGGATCACATTCCTTGTCTCACAGAGCAGTCATGGGGACCAGATGAGATGATCCTTATAAAATGCCTGGCACTGGGCCTGGCACATAGTAAATGCCCAGCCAATGCAAAGAAGCTGCAGTGAGCTATGATCAGGCCATTGCACTCCAGCCTGGGTGACACAGTAAGACCTTGTCTCTAAAAACACTCTTAGAATTAGAAGGTGTCTCATTTTACAAATGAGAAAACAGACCAGAATGGGACAGTTACTTCATTTTACACAGAGTGTTAGGGCACAGAGACTAGAACCCAGGCCACTTGACATTCAGTGACAACTTCCATTCAAGGAAGAAAAAGTCCCAGGCATCAGGCCCTGCTGGAAGGAAACCCTGGGAAAGCATGATCTAATTTTGCAAACTTTCGATCAGATTCCCAGTTCATCCAGGCTCTGGCCTAGTCTATGTCTTGGTAAGTAGGTTAATCTCCCCTTTCCTAACCGCTGGGGAGAGAATGTCACTTAACTGCAGATTCCCTGTCTCCTGGGCAAGCAAGGCAGAGGCCTGGGAGTGATGGGGAGCCTCTGGTGGTGGTGATTGATTGAGGGCAGGAGACATGAGGGAGATCTGCCCTCTAGGGACTACCTCCCAGCTCCTGGTGGCATGTTGTGCCTGTGTTCTTTTTTTTTTTTTTTTTGAGACAGAGTCTCACTCTGTCACCCAGGCTGGAGTGCAATGGCGTGATCTTTGCTCACTGCAAGCTCTGCCTCCCAGGTTCACGCCATTCTCCTGCCTCAGCCTCCCAAGTAGCTGGGACTACAGGCGCCCGCCACCATGCCCGGCTAATTTTTTGTATTTTTTAGTAGAGACGGGGTTTCACCATGTTAGCCAGGATGGTCTCGATCTCCTGACCTCATGATCCACCCGCCTCGGCCTCCCAAAGTGCTAGGATTACAGGCGTGAGCCCGGCCTGTGCCTGTGTTCTTGATGGAGGTAGGAAAGAAGGAAAAGGTAAGTGCACAGTATGCCAGGGTTGACATACAGTGGGAGCTCCAGACTAAAGTTGGCAGAGAAGGTCCAGAGAGGGCCTTCAGCAAAACGGGAGGTCACTCTAGCCTCTCAATAATAATCACAAGAAGAAGAGTTCCGCACCAGGCACAGAGCTGAAGGCTTTCTCTCTGGAGGCTGGTTAATTCTCCTATGACCCTGATGAGGGGTTATCAGCATCTTCTTTTACAGATAGGCAAGATTAATTAGTTAACCCCCGGCCGGAGGTGATGGCTCACACCTGTAATCCCAGCACTTTGGGAGGCCGAGATGGGTGGATCACCTGAGGTCAGGAGTTCAAGACTAGCCTGGACAACATGGCAAAACCCTGACTCTACTAAAAAATACAAAAATTAGCCAGGCGTGGTAGCAGGCACGTGTAATCCCAGCTACTTGGGAGGCTGAGGCATGAGAATTGCTTGAACCTGGGAGGCAGAGATTGCAATGAGCTGAGATCCCGCCACTGCACTCCATCCTGGGTGACAGAGCAAGACTCCATCTCAAAAATAAAATAAAATATGAAAAATAAAAACTGGTTATCCCCAAGACACATACCTGGTAAGTGGTATAAAGGGGACCATGGTCTCCTCCTCCCCTGGGAACCCTCCCATCCCTAAACTCATACCCCTTCCTTGAGTCTCCTGCCCTGCCCTTCAGTCTCTGTCTTGTTACCCTGCTTTGTTTCATTGTCACTCTTTCCCCCATGAGTTCATCTCATTTATTTGTTTGTCTTTATCCCCCAGTAGAAGACACACTGCAGGCTGCATCCTGCGTGCTTAGCAAGGTGGTTGGCACATAATGGGCATGCAATGAATGCTTTTGGAAGTAAACAGAGTGGTGGCAGAGGGAAGTCTTTTCTTAGGAAGTGATATTTGGGCTGAGGCCAGAGTGCTGAGAAGGAGCAGCCACATGGTAATCTGGGTGAAGGGCATTCTTGGCAGAGGGAACAGCAAAGACAAAGGCCTGAGGCAGGCCAGAGTGGTGTATTTGGGGAAGGGCCTGTGTGTCTGGAGTGAAGTGAGCAAGGCTCGGAGTGGTAGGTGACAAGGTCTAGGAGGTGGGCAGAGAGACCACAGACAGAGGACTTGTCAACCCTGGCATACAGTGGGATTGCCTAGGCACTTTTAAAAATACCAGGGCTGGCTGGGCACGGTGCCTCACACCTGTAAACCCAGCACTTTGGGAGGCCGAAGTGGGTGGATCAGCTGAGGTCAGGAATTCAAGACCAGTCTGGCCAACAAAATGAAACCCCATCTCTCCTAAAAACAAAAATTAGCTGGGTGTGGTGACGCACGCCTGTAGTCCCAGCTACTCGGGAGGCTGAGGCAGAAGGATCACTTGAACCCAGGAGGCGGAGGTTGCAGTGAGCCGAGATCATGCCACTGCACTCCAGCCTGGGCAACAGAGCAAGACTCTGTGTCAAAAAAAAAAAAAAAAGCTGTAGTGGGTGCCTCTGTCATGAGGCCTTGTAGTCCAAAGCAGGAAATCTGGATTTTATTCTAACTGTAGGAGGAAGTCACTGGAATTGGAAGCCAAGGCAGGATTGGGATCAGCTCAAAAATCACCTCCTCCAAGAAGTCTTTCAGGATTCCCCAGGCTTTAGGCCCCTCCTCTGTGCATGCTGAGCATGAGTGCTGGCCCAGTCTTAGTCTCCCAACACTGGACTTTTTTTTTTTCTTGAGATGGAGTCTTGCTCTGTCACCCAGGCTGGAGTGGAAAGGCCTGCCATCTCGGCTCACTGCAACCTCCGCCTCCCAGATTCAAGCGATTCTCCTGCCTCAGCCTCCCAAGTAGCTGGGATTACAGGCGCACACCACCATGCCCAGCTAATTTTTGTATTTTAGGTAGAGACGGGGTTTTACCATGTTGGCCAGGCTGGTCTCAAATTCCTGACCTCAGGTGATCTGCAGCCTTGGCCCCCCAAAGTGCTAGGATTACAGGCATCAGCCTTTGGGCCTGGCCCAGCACTGGTCTTTTAAACCCTGTTTGCATGTCTCTTCCTCTGACTGCTCCTAGATTAGTTGCTTCTCCGTCTTCAGCCCAGTTGTAAGCAGTGCGGCTGACCTTGGGAAGAAGATCAGGGATACTTGCAGAGCAGACCACAGTGAAGGTGGGAATGAAGGGTACCCATGGCTAAAGCAGGGGAGGAGAAATGCCTTATCAGGAGCAGGGGTTCAAGGAAGCAGGGCTGGCGGGCAGGGGGCTGCCAGGCCCCACTGGTCGGACTTGGGCACCCCTCCTTGGTCTTCAGTTGGCTATCTCGGGGCCCACAGGGGAGGTGGAGGGGCGCACTGCCTCCACGGGAAGAATTTATATGACCTCCCTTCAGCGCCCCCCGAGTATCAGAGTCCCTCTGGGAGGCACTGGGAAGCTGGAGCTGCGTCCTCGGGCGGGAACCGGCAGCTGCGGACCCACACCTTGGGTGAATTGCAGACGCTGTTTCCTCCGGTTCGGGCTTCCGGCCCCCGCGTCTCAGTTCACCCGCAAAGGGTCCCCAGTTCAACGCTAATTCAAGGGTGAAGAAGCAGCTACTGGAAATAACAGCTCGGAGGCCTTTGGGGTGGGCCACGGGTGCAGCTGGCCAATCGCAGGCTAGCAGGTGGTTCCCCAGTTTTTTAAAGGTGCTGCCGCGAGGCACTGCAGACCCCCTAGTTCTCTCCCAGCGGCTGCCGGTGTTGGAGTGGATCTGAGCGGATCCCTGCATCGCCATCAACGGCGATGGCATCCGCCAGAGGCAGGGTCGAATCGCCCGAGCTGTCTGGGCCGTGCTTCCCTTCAGCTGGCCGGAAGAGGCGTCGGGGGCTGCTCCCTAACAGCTCCCTGGGCAACGGATCAGAGAACACTAGCCCGGCCCGGAGTCCCCGCAGCCTGCATGGCCTGGACGGGGTGGCGGGGGCCGTCCGGGCGCCGGCGCTGCGGGCTCTGATTGCGGGCGCCTACTGGGCCCTGTGCGCTGTAGGCCTGGTGGGCAACGGCTGGTGCTAGTCCGGGTGAGGTCCCAGCAGTGGCGCCGCCACTGGCTGCTCAATTGCTTCCTCCTCAATCTGGCAGCCACTGACCTGCAGTTTGTGCTAACGCTGCCCTTTTGGGCCGTGGACACGGCGCGCGACTTTAGCTGGCCCTTCGGGGGTGCCATCTGCAAGGTGATGCTGACGCTCACCGTGCTCAACATGTATGCCAGCATCTTCCTCCTCAGTGCCATGAGCGTGGCACGCTATTGCATTGTGACTGGCGCGCTGCCTCCGAGCCATCGGGGCGCATCACGGGCCAGCTGTGTGTGCTGCCTGCTCTGGGCTATGGCCGTCCTGGCTACGGCGCCCACCGCCCTGTTCGCCACGGCAGCTAGGGTGGGGGGAAAGCACTCGTGCCTGCTGCGCTTCCCCGCCGGCGGCCCCAAATGGCAGGTGCTCTACCACCTGCAGAAGATCGCAGTAGCCTTCGTGCTGCCGCTGGCCACGCTGGGCACCTGTTCGCTGCTGCTGCGCTTCCTGCGACTGTGGTGCGCACGCTGGCCGTCGAGGGTCAGGCGCCGACTGCGTTCCCGAGTCACCTGTGCGCTGGCCTGCGTGCTACTGGCCTTCGTGCTCTGCTGGCTGCCCAGCCAAGCGTTCACACTCTGAGGGGTGCTGATCAAACTGAACGCCATGCCCTTGGACCGCGCTTACTTCCTGGCTCAGGCCTACCTCTTCCCGGTCTCCATCTGCCTGACGCACTGCAACAACAGCCTCAATCCGCTGCTTTACTGCCTGCTGCGGCGCCACTTCCGACAGGGCCTTCGAGAGCTGTGTAGCTGAGCCCAGCGGCCGGTGCCCCTCCGAGCAAGCTCCCACGGCAGCGCCCCAGCGGCTGCACTCTTCCAATGAGGGCCGCTTGTCGCTGCGTCAGTATCAAGGGCATGGGGTAAAGTGGCTCATATCTGGTTGGGGCGATGACGTCATGAAGCAGGGTCCGACGTCAAGGCCGGTATTCTGGGGTCTCTCAGAAGGTCAGGGTTGGTCCATTGGTGGAGATTACTTAAGATTGAGAGTACACCATTAATCTGTGTATCCTAAGGTGAGTCCCATCTCCTCTGGCTTCAGTTTCCCCATTTGAAAAGTTTGGGGATGAGATGAATCCTGGGGACTCTGCCAGGTCTAGCACTTTGATCCTCCTAGCACAGCCTTCGCAAACAGTATGAGCTCCATTCATTGCACTTTAAGGGACTTAACTGTCCTGGCTTCTGTTTTGTTTCCTTTTTATTTTTAGGAGGGAGCTCCCAGGGAGAGGTCTGGGCCATTTTTGGAAACCTACAATGGAGGAACATCAGGCTCAAAGACAGCCCTCAATGGCTGAAGATTTCTGAGCTTTCATCTTTAAGACCTTCCTGTTACATGTCCTCTTAAGATCCTGGGGACTTAGCTGACCCCAAGCAGCACTGATTCATCAGTATGCTGACTCTGAGAGTGCTAGATGTTGCATGAAAAGGGGCTGCAAGAAGCAGCCAGAGGGCTGGAGCTGTGCAGTTTGGAGAAGGGGACAGGGTAGTCACCCTCTCCTACCCCCAGGCTGGATGAAGCAGCAGTGGCCCGGGTGGCCACAGAGGGCAGAACTGGGACCAGTGGTAGAAAAGTCATAGGAAGCAGATTTCAATCCTAATTATGACAGAGTTTTTCCATTTTTGAGCAACTGAGCCTCATGAGCTCCCTGTCTTTGAAGGTATTCCAGCAGAGAGTAGCTGATCACTTACCAAGAATGTTGGAAACAGAATTGGTGCATCTAGTGGGGCTGTGGAGTGACTAGATGATTTCCGCAATTCCTTTTAGCCTGGAGACCCTGCACCTGATATGGGACCAGGTAGTAGTATAACTTCAGTGTTTGCGTGATGTAAGCCTTAGCAGTCAGCATCCTCTCTTCCCCTGCTCCCCAAAAGCACCTGAAGGTTAATCTAAAGACAGCCAACTTAAATCCTTTCTCTGGTAGGCAGCACTTGAGTCTCATATTGATGCAGAGCCACCATAAAGCAGCATTCTCAATATACATCACTCGAGATTAGATGGCCAGAGGTCAGAATTTAATTTGCATACTTGCAAAAAGACCTGCTCATAAATTTCATGCCTGATGCCTTGAATGGAGAAAGACTTGATGCTTGAACATAGAGGGAAAAACACATTCCACAATGCCTGCTGTCCAAGCAAGGAGCCTACACAGGACCTTGTGTCAACCCAAATGTCTACAGATGTATCATCCCAGAGCAGCCCGAATTGGGGGCGATGCCCATAGCTGGTGCCTGATGGAATAAGAGTGCCTGAACTGATTGGTGTGGGTGATACTATTATTCCTTCAAAGTACTCCAGATGGAAGAATCTTAGCTCCTATTGTAGCGGTTGTCTTAAAAGGAAAGTTATATTTTTGGAAAGAAGAAAACACAGTGTCAGTTCTAGGAGTCAGGAAACATTTAAAAAATAAAGAAAGAAGAGAATGCAGTGGTTCACAGGTAGCTCTAAGCCTTGATTATTTTTCTTGGTGTTCTTTTTTTTTTGAGATGGAGTCTCACTCTGTTGCCAGGCTGGAGTGCAGTGGCGCAATCTTGGCTCACTGCAACCTCCACCTCCTGGGTTCAAGCAATTCTCCTGCCTCAGCCTCCCGAGTAGCTGGGACTACACTACTGGCACATGCCACCATGCCCAGCTAATTTTTGTATTTTTAGTAGAGACGGGTTTCACCATGTTGGCTAGGATAGTCTCGATCTCTTGACCTTGTGATCCACCCGGCTCAGCCTCCCAAAGTGCTGGGATTGCAGGTGTCTGAGCCACCGTGCCCGGCCTTTCTTGGTGTTCTTTTTAAAGTGAGTCATGGCCGGGCGCAGTGGCTCACACCTATAATTCCAGCCCTTTGGGAGGCCGAGGCCAGCAGATCACCTGAGGTCAGGAGTTCAAGACCAGCCTGGCCAACATGGTGAAATCCTGTCTCTACTAAAAATACAAAAATTAGCCGTGTGTGGTGGCACATGCCTGTAGTCCCAGCTCCTCTGGAGGCTGAGGCAGGAGAATTGCTTGAACCCAGGAGGTAGAGGTTGCAGTGAGCCAAGATCGCACCATTGCACTCCAGCCTGGGGGACAAGAGCAAAACTCTGTCTCAAAAAAAAATAAAAAATAAAAATAAATGAAGTGAGTCATTTGTAGCTCATTTCTCCCTCAAGTGCAGGGGTATGTGTTTTGTGGGAGCAATAGGAGGGAGAATTCCCTACTGATGCTTTCCCCTATCTTCCTGCAGCCTATCCCCTGAGTTAGAACCAGTCCTAAGAATGAAAAGAGTGCTGAGGCGGGAGAATCGCTTGAACCCGGGAGTCAGAGGTTGCAGTGAGCCAAGATCGCGCCCCCGCACTCTAGCCTGGGCAACAGAGTGAGACTCTGTCTCAAAAAAAAAAAAAAAAAAGAATTAAAAGGGTGGAGGCCAGGCACAGTGGCAGTGGCTCATCGCCTGTAATCCCAGCACTTTGGGAGGCCGAGGCGGGTGGGTCACTTGAGGCCAGAAGTTCCAGATCAGCCTGGCCAACATGGTGAAACTCCATCTCTACTAAATATATATATATATAACTTAGCCAGGCATGGGGGCACCTGCCTGTAATGCCAGCTACTAGGGAGGCTGAGGCAGGAGAATCACTTGAACCTGGGAGCAGAGGTTTCAGTGAGCCAAGATCATGCCACTGCATTCCAGCCTAGATGACAAAGTGAGACCCTGTCCCCCACCCTCCAAAAAAGAAAGAAAGAATACCTTATTAAATAGAACTCCAGGGCAACAGTCACTTTTTTTTCTTTTTCTTTTTTCTTTTTGAGATGGAGTTTCACTCTTGTTGCCCAAGCAGGAGTGCAATGGCGTGATCTGGAACCTCCACCTCCCAGGTTCAAGCGATTCTCCTGCCTCAGCCGCCTAAGTAGCTGGGATTGCAAGTGCCCGCCACACCCAGGTATTTTTTTTTCTTTCTTTTTTTTTTTTTTTTTTAGACAGAGTCTTGCTCTGTCTCCAGGTTGGAGTGCAGTGGCACCATCTCGGCTCACTGCAACCTCCACCTCCCGGGTTCAAGCGATTCTCCTGCCTCAGCCTCCCAAGTAGCTGGGACTACAGGCGCCTACCACCACGACTGGCTAATTTTTGTATTTTTAGTAGAGACAAGGTTTCACCATGTTAGCCAGGATGGTCTCGATCTCCTGACCTCATGATCTGCCCGCCTCGGCCTCCCAAAGTCCTGGGATTACAGGTGTGAGCCACCACTCCTGGCCTACGCCCAGCTAATTTTTGTATCTTTAGTAGGGACGGGGTTTCATCATGTTGCCCAGGCTGGTCTCAAACTCCTGACCTCAAGTAATCCGCCCACCTTAGCCTCCCAAAGTGCTAGGATTACAGGTGTGAGCCACTGATCCTGGCCAACAGTCACTTCTAAAACCATTCTCTTTAAAGAATATCGCAGAAAGCTATGCCAGTTACTCCATAAACACCATATAGTGGACAGCAGGGTGTGGAGGCAAAGGCATTCAACTTAGAGTCAGCCTGGTCAGAAGCCCCTACTCTGCCTTGCCCTGTGACCTTAAGCAAGTAACTTTGCCTCTCTGAGACCCAGTTTCCTCATCTATAAAATGAGAAAAGTTGAGAATTCCTTGTGCATTTTTTCAGATCAGTGGTTAATTTTTACCCACTCTGTATTCTTTTCTAATTACTCTTTATGCACAAATTGTTTTTGGGTCATTTCTTGCCACAAAGTTGAGATCCTAGAAAATAGTGAACTTTTAGTTTCTGAATGTTTTCTTTTATCAAGGTCAGGGTGAAATTGTATTGGCTTTTGTTATAAAAGCATCAGTTGCTCACCCAGAAGAGGATTGGCTCTTAAGAGGGGAAGATCAAATAAATACACATATTGCCAGTACTGGACTGTGCGCCCAGCTCTGAGCTGTGCTCTTGAGTCCTCTGGGAACTGTGCTACAGCGTGGACATGGGTCTCTGGTGTGCCTCCAAAGGAAGGCATGGGGTTACATGGAGAAGATGGTCTGGATAGGGCGGCTGGAAGAGTGAGTAGAGAAGAGAGACACAAAGGAAATGCATGTAGAGAAATGCAGAGTACGTGAGATTTCTGAAGGAAAGAACAAACCCCAGAGCTTGTAAAAGAGCCATGAGCTGGCATTTATTGAGCACTTGACAATGAGGCAGGTGCAGCACTTTGTGTATGTTTAACCTTCACAAATGTTTTGAGTGCATCATATTATTTATGCTGTATGGAAGAAGCTGAGGCTCAGAGAGGTTATGAAATTGCCCATGGTCACACAGCTTGTAAGGTGGCATAGCAAGTGTTTCAGTTCACAGCTCCCTGATTCTGAAGTCCAAACTCTTGGGGTTTTTCATTTGTTTTGTTTTGTTTTGTTTTTGTTTTTGTCCTTGAGGCAGGGTCTCTGTTGCCCAGATTGGAGTACAGTGGTGCAATCATGGCTAACTGCAACCTAGACCTTCTGGGCTCAAGGGATCCTTCCACCTCAGCTTCCCTAGTAGCTGGGACCACAGGCACATGACACCATGCCCAGCTTTTTTTATTTTTATTTTTATCTTATTTATTTATTTATTTTTGAGACAGAATTTTGCTCTTGTTGCCCAGGCTGGAGTGCAACAGTGTGATATTGGCTCACTGCAACCTCCATCTCCCGGGTTCAAGTGATTCTCCTGCCTCAGCCTCCCTAGTAGCTGGGATTACAGGCATGCACTACCACATCGGGCTAATTTTGTACTTTTAGTAGAGACGAGGTTTCACCATGTTAGTCAGGCTGGTCTTGAACTCCTGACCTCAGGTGATCCATCTGCCTCGGCCTCCCAAAGTGCTGAGATTACAGGGGTGAGCCACTGCACCGGCCTTATTTTACCTTATTTTATTTTATTTTGTACTGAGACAGAGTCTCACTATGTTGCCCAGACTGGTCTTGAACTTCTGGGCTCAAGCAATCCTCCCACCTTGGTCTCAAAAAGTGCTGAGATTACAGGTATGAGCCACTGCGCCTGGCTCCAAACTCATAATCACTAATGGCTCATCTGCCAGGTGCCAAGAAGGGGAGCAAAGTGCTCTAAAAGGCCAAATAAGAACTTACATCCTGTGCACAGAGGCAACAAAGGAGCCAGGTGCCTGGGAAAAAAATAGGTGCTCTGGGTGAATGAATGAATGGCGGCTGGGTTGGTGTTGGTGTCAGATGCTGCAGAGGAGGGGAGGAGGGTGAGAAGCAGTGTCCTGAGCAAATCATAAGCATGTGTGATATTGTCATTCATCCCAGCACATCCCAGTCCCCTCAGCGGCAAATGGGGGAGGGGTGGGAGGGGCAGCTCTCCATCTCCTGCACCCCCTCCAAGAGGGCAAATGTGGGTGGGTAGCGAAAGAGCATCTTCAGCTCACAGAGGTGTCCCCCACCTCTCACAGCAGCCTGGCTTCTGCAGGCTAGGCCCTGTCAAGATTTCTGTGCTGAATTCTCTCCTGAAGAGGGCAGGCCGCTTCTCTGAGCTCCCCACCCTAAGTCACACAGCCTCGCTGGCGTGGAGCCCCTCCTGACTCTGGCCACCTTTGTCTTTTCCCCTTCAGACAGGACAGCAGCTGAGCCTTTCTTTCTCTTCTATTCCACCTCGCTCCTTCCCCTCCGTGGAATCTTCCAGGTGATGGAACCTCAGGCAGAAATGTTCTAGTCCTGGCCGGGTGCGGTGGCTCACGCCTGTAACCCCAGCACTTTGAGAGGCCAAGGTGGGTGGATCACCTAAGGTCAGGAATTCGAGACCAGTTGGCCAACATGGTGAAACCCCGTCTCTACTAAAAATACAAAAACTAGCTGGGCATGGCGGCAGGCGCCTGTAACCCCAGCTACACCAGAAGCTAAGACACGAGAATCACTTGAACCCAGGAGGAGGAGGCGGAGGCTGCAGTGAGCCAAGATTGGCACTCCAGCCTGGGCGATGGAGGGAGACTCTGTCTCAAAAAAAAAAAAAAGAAAAAACTATTCTAGTCTTTTCCTCAGCCCCAGCCTGCTCTCTTGGGGGCCCTTGTATTCCCACTTCGTGCTCCCTACTCCACCCCCATGTGTCCTGTGCCCTCTCTCTGTCTGTATTGTGGCTGTCACTCTCCACTCCCGGGCACCCTGCACTTCCTCTGGCCTACCTGGCTCCCCCGGCACAGTGCTTTGCCTGTGAAGTATAGAAACCTGAATGCTGAGTATGTTTTCCTGTCTTCTTTTCAATTATGAACTGTCAATGTCTGTGTCTGACTTTTGCTTGAATTGCTTATACAGTAGGTTCTCAATAAATAACCAATATATGAGTGCAGTCTACATGGTACATCCTCACTCTCCAGTTCGCCTGTGTATGATGCTGTCTTCGGTCTCTTTCCTCATTCCCTTAGCCTGAGCAGAGTCTGCCAAAGCCTCGCATAGATTGCAGAAGGCTGCTTCTAAAATCCAAGCTCTTGAGGAATGGGCCAGCTGGCCTGAGTCTTCTCTGGCACTCACATTTGTTCAGCCTGCCACATTCCCCTTTATGTCATCATCTCAGTTAATCCTCATAGCATCTTTGGGAGCTGGATCTCATTATTATTCCCATCTCCTGGAGGAGCAAACTGAGGCTTCAAGCAGAGGAGTGGCATACAGCTGCTCCTGTATGCCACAGAGCTGTAACAACAGAGCTGAGAGACAATCCTAGGTCCCCCACCCTGCACTGCCTTTAGTAAGAGTTGTCAGACAGGAGTTAATCAAGACAGAAATGATTAGAGTAAATGTGGAGGTGACTGATGGCTTGCTACTTTCTATAGTTGTTTTATTTTATTTATTTATTTATTTATTTTTGAGATGGAGTCTCACTCTGTCGCCCAGGCTGGAGAGCAGTGGTGCTATCTTGGCTCACTGCAACCACCGCCTCCTGGGCTCAAGCGATTCTCCTGCCTCCCGAGTAGCTGGGACTACAGGCACACCTGGCTAATTTTTGTATTTTTAGTATAGGTGGGGTTTCACCATGTTGGCCAGGCTGGTCTTAAACTCCTGACTTCAGGAGATCTGCCCGCCTCGGCCTCCCAAAGTGCTAAGATTACAGGTGTGAGCTACCACATCCGGCCAACAGTTGTTTTATCTTAATAGAGGCTGTCCTAGAGGCTTTTGGATTTGTAGGGGTTGCTTGAGGAGGGTGGACTTGGGTTTGAAGCAGAGGCTTCAAGATACTGTCCGAGAAATGGAGTCTTGACCACTGACAGATATAAGGCCACTCCTGGCTAAATTCCAACCTCCCAGGACAGGATGGGAGAGAAGCAGAGCAGGGAAAACCAGATCACAGCAGCTGGAGGAATAGGTGGGAGGTGAGAAGAAGAGTCTGCAATGTCAGCACATGGGAGGCGAGGAGCTGAGACTGCAAATGCAGACAGCCCTTTCAACATGACCTGGTATGGAGAAAGAGAATGGGAAGTTGCCATAGGTTTGTGAGAGAAGCAGGTGGCTCTTTAGGTACTAGTGGGAAGGAGCCAGTAGAGCAGAAGAGGCTGAAGACAGAAAAGAGAGGAGACCATGGAAGAGTGAGCACTTGCGGGGGATGAGAACACCTGGAGTTATTAAGGGGGCTGGGGGAGGTAGTTGTAGATAGCATGAACCCCAAGATTGACAAACATATTTGAAAGAAGATGCTCTTGTGCATTGAATTGTGTCCCCCCACCTCCAAAAAAATATGTTGAAGTCCAGCCCAAGATTAGAAGTATGGGAGTGGCCCCACATGGTCTAACAGGGAGCCACAGCAGAGGTTTTGGGCTGAAGGAGGCTAGTTGACTGGGAAGGACAGACAGCGTGAAAGTGAAGGTGGCTCTGGTTGCAGTACAGGTAGTGTGGCACGGAGGAGAAAGCATAAGCACTGTCACTTCTGGGCTGTGCATTCGGTTGTGAGTGAAGCATGCCTTTTAAAAATATTTTTTTTCTTTTTTTTGAGACAGAGTCTTGGTCTGCTGCCCAGACTGGAGTGCAGTGGCACAATCTCAGCTCACTGCAACCTCCGCGTCCTGGTCTCAAGTGATTCTCTTGCCTCAGCCTCCCGAGTAGCTGGGATTATGGGTGAGCACCACCAAGCCCAGCAAATTTTTTTAGTTTTAGTAGATATGGGATTTCACCATGTTGGCCAGACTGGTCTTGAACTCCTGATCTCAAGTGATCCACCCACCTTGGCCTCCCAACATGCTGGGATTACAGGCATGAGCCATCATGCCTAGCCAAAATCTTGAGTTTTGTCTTCAAAAGTAGTTTAGTTGGTTGTCTGCTGCCTACTGTATACAAGTTTATTTTACAGCAAAAAAGAATGATCCCCTTCCCCCATCCTCAAGTGACTGATGCTCTTGGAAGATACTCCAACTATATCCTGAGTAGCACTGTGGAGAGCCCCAGTCTGAGAAGCATGAACTTTGAGAAGCAAGGTAAAGCCCAGAATCCTTTGCCTCCCCCATGGCCTTGGTGTGGCCCAGGCTCCCTCTCCAGTCTTCTCTGGCTATGCCCCTCATGCCTGTGCCCTGAGCAAATCCACTTCCTGCTCTTCCTTCTGCCTGGAGTGCCAGTCCTGCCCTGCCCTGCTGGGTGGGAGGTGTTCTCGGGCTCCCACAGTCCCTTGTGTATCCGGTACTGTGGTGCTCCGTTGTCATGGCTGCTGATCCCTAGACTCAGCGCCCTGAGTCAGAACCCGCTTCCCTTTTTGGCCTTCTTGCCTCTCAAAGCATTTTTTATCACCTCTTTTAAAGCACTCAGGTTCCACAGACAGTGATTTGGGCCTGATGGAGTTAATGTTTTAGACCCCCAGATACGGCAGGTTTGTACTAAGTCATGCACTTGTTCAGGCTTCCTCTGGTTCCTGGGGGCCCTGAAGAGCACCTGCCACAGGGTACTTCTGGTTCCATCCCTTGTGGGCATGGCCCCCCTTCCTGGGCTGAGCAGGAGCTTCTGGAAGCTGGGACCATGCTTCTGCTGTCTGTGTGTGTCTCCCCCACAACAGCCTCTGGCCTGGAGTGGGCGGTGGAATATTCCTTGCTGAAATGGAAATGTGTGTGGCTCTGGCTCTTGACCTTTCCCCTTTAAGTTTCTCTGCTCTTAACTCCTTGATTAAAATGTCAAGTAAGCAGGGATCTGTAAACCCATTTTTAATTCCATGGGGAGTGGAAAAGGGCTCCATTTTAAATGACCTTCTGCTGTGGCTGGCATGAATAATCATCTCCTAAATGACACCCTTTGAGAATGGAAAAAGTAAGACTCTGTGCGGGGAGTAGGGGAGGCCACCCCTGCAGGGATCTAGTGGTTGCTGTGGTTTTTCAGCACTGCCCCAGGGAGTTGGGAATATAGGCAAGGGACCAAAAATGCTATTAATCAACAAAACATTGGTTCAGAAACTGTGGAACGTGTAAGCTAGAAGCATCCTCAGAGGTGCTTTCGAATGCCTCCCCCCAACTTTTTTTCATTGTTGTTGTTGAGATGGAGTCTTGCTCTGTTGCCCAGGCTGGAGTGCAGTGGTGCGATCTCGGCTCACTGCAACCTCTGCCTCCCAGTTCAATGATTCTCCCGCCTCAACCTCCCCAGTAGCTGGAACTACAGGTGTGCACTACCACGCCTGGCTAATTTTTGTATTTTTAGTAGAGACGGGGTTTCACCATGTTGGCCAGGCTGATCTAGAACTCCTGACCTCAGGCAATCCGCCCACTCAGCCTCCCACAGTGCTGGGATTACAGGCATGAGCCACTACGCCCGGCCTAAATGCCCCTATTTTAGAGATGGGGAAATTGAGGTCCAGGGAGGGAGGCTGCTGTCCGAGGATACACAAGGAAGAGATGTCACAGCCTGCCTCTCAGTCTGACAGAGTCCCAGGAGGAAGCCAGGCCACCCCGGACAGGGTGACCAAGCATCTGGTTTGCTTGGGACTGAGGGAATTCCTGGCACCTGGAACTTTCATTGCTAACACTGAGACAGCCTCAGGCAAACCCCAGTGGTGGGTCATGGTTTCTCTCTCTGGCTATAAAGGCTTCCAGACGAGTTCTAGAAGAGTGAAAAGGCAGAGGTATCTGAGGCCCAGTCTGTCACTTGGACCCAGCAGGACCAGTGGTCCAGCTGGCAGTGAGGTGGGCCGCCAGGCCTAAGGTGGCTGAGGCTCTAAAGCTTCCCAGTGTCTGCCTTGCTGGGCACTTCCCTCTGGGCCTCCAGCTCTGCCCGTCTTTGACTGTTGTGCTCTGTCTGTACAAAAGACACGATTTTTAAAATCTCTCTTGGGCTGTTTAACTTTGATCTCTGTAAACATTTATTTCAATAAATGTACATCCACATGGTATGTATTTTGAGAGGTTCAGTTTAGCAACGTGCTGGCAAGTCTTTCTGATGTTTTGCAGCTTGGGGAAATCCAGCTAGCTCAGTTCCGTGCTCTCTGTGTGACATCTGTCTGTAAATTCCTGCATCTCTCTGAGTCTTGGTTTCCCCATGTGTGAAGTGAGAAATGCAAGTATCTACCTTGTTGAGTTGCTCTGAGAAGTAAAGAGAAACAACTGCAAATTGCCTGGCACGTAGTAAGCACTCAGTAAAAGGTAGCAGTTCTTTTTTTTTTTTTTAAACTTTTTTTGTTGTTTTGAGTCTTGCTCTGATGTCCAGGCTGGAGTGCAGTGGTGTGATCTCTATTCACTGCCACCTCCGCCTCCTGAGTTCAAGTGATTCTCCTGCCTCAGCTTCTTGAGTAGTTAGGATTACAGGTGCATCTCATCACACTCAGCTAATTTTTGTATTTTTTGTAGAGACAGAGTTTCACCATGTTGGCCAGGCTGGTCTTGAACTCCTGTCCTCAATTGATCCGCCTGCCTCGCCTTCCCAAAGTGCTGGGATTGTAGGTGTGAGCCACTGCACCTGGCCAAAAGTTAGCTCTTCTTATCTCGACTCCCTGGTGGCTCTAGGTCTAGTTGGTCCTTGCCTTTGAGGTATGGGGGAGTCAGCCAGGGATTAGTGAAGGCACTGGAATTCTCTATGGATGGAAATTTAAGATTTTTCCTCCTGGCTCCTGTAGGTTCAGAACTTAACTCTGCTGTTAAATATGCATTAGTTTCCATGCAGAGGAAACTAATAGGCTTTTCACCAGAGCTTCTTTTCTCCTTAAATTCTCAGAACAGAGCTGGATTCTGAAGGAGGCTCATGTCTTCTCTATACAGAGCTGCCATAATCCAACAGTAAGGAAGACTGGACGTGGGGCAGGTGGAGGTGGAGTAAATGGAGGGGAGCAGGGCTGTGGCCTGGGCATCAGGAGACAGGGCTTGTCCCAAGTCTGCCCCTCATGTGAGTGATGTAAGGAAAGCCCTTTCCTCTCTGGGCCTCTGCTTCCCCTCTGTGAGATAAGTAGGTCAGAGTCAGTGATCTCTAAGGCTCTATCTAGGTCTCGATTCTTTGACTCTAGGCTCCTACATCCAGCCCCATGCTACATACACAGTATACATTGATAAAGATGACATTTAATGATTGTTTGTTTAATGAATTGATATATGGGGCGGGGGACGTTGCTGACACTCATGGGGACTTTGACCCTTACCATTCTCTTCCGTGGGGAGGGTCTGGCCCTAGTGTGACATTCACTTTTTTTTTTTTTTTGAGACAGATTAGCACTCTGTCACCCAGGCTGGAGTGCAGTGGCACGATCTCAGTTCACTGCAACCTCCGCCTCTTGGGTTCCAGCGATTCTCCTGCCTCAGCCTCCCCAGTAGCTGGGATTACAGGTGCCCACCACCACGCCCAGCTAAGTTTTGTATTTTTTAGTAGAGACAGGGTTTCATCATGTTGACCAGGCTGGTCTTGAACTCCTGACCTCAGGTGATCTGCCTGCCTTGGCCTCTCAAAGTGCTGGGATTACAGGCGTGAGCCACTGTGCCCTGCCATATTCATTTATTTGCTATCCATCCCTGGCAGCACAGTCCTGAAGAGAAGTGTTGAGGGCCAGGATGTCTGTCTCCCCTCCCTGGGGTCCCAACCCTGACTTTCTCCTTCCAGGGGAGGAAACTTCTCTTCCAACTTAGCTCCTCTGGAAAGCAACCAAGAAACCTCAACTCCTTTTATTCAAAGAAACTGGCCTGTAGACCAAGGCTGCCCTACCTGATCTCTAGTGTACCTGCAGGAGTGACTCTGGTTAGCCCAGGATGTTCAGGGCCCTGGTGGCAAGAATGGCCTGGACAAAAGAGCGGCTCAGGAGCTCTGCTGTTCTTAGAATAGATGGGGTGGGCTCGCCTTCCAGCTCAGGCTTCCCTGTGGGAGCTCTCACATAAACTCACTGCACTTAAACTCTTTGCAACTGTTCCAAATCAAAAGGCGAGGTTCTCAGTTCATACAGCAAAAGTTAGATGATGACAGTCAGTGTTTCCACTGGGAAGAAATGGGATTATCCATCCTCATTCACTGGCCACAGCCAGTCTTCCTTCTGTTTCTCCTCCTATGATCAGCTCTTCCCCCATTTGGGGCTTTCACTCTTGAAGTTGGTTCTGTCTCTCCAGGACATTCTGCCCCTCATCTCCTGCCTCAGGTGACAGCCTTCGGGTCTCAGCTGAAATGGCACTTCTTCAAAAAGGTCTTCCCTGACCTCTAGTCTAAAATAGGTGTCTCTACCACAGTTTTCCTTTGAGTTCTCTGTGCTTTTCCAAAATAATACTCACTGGCATTGGTATTTCTTTTTTTGTTTGTGTGTGTCTAGTCCAAGTTTCCCCTACTGCAGTCAATGCTTATGGGGCAATGCCTTGTCTTTTTCATCCCTATATCCCTAACATCTGGTCATCTTTTCATTTCTTACAATCTCTTTTTTCCCCTTTTTTGTATTAATACAGTCTCACCAGCTTTCTTTTCTTTTTTCTTTTTTTTTTTTTTTTTGAGACCAGGTCTCACTCTGTTGCTCGGGCTGCAGTGGTGTGATCATAGGCGCCTCGAACTCCTGGGCTCAAAATAATCCTCCCACCTCAGCCTCCCCAGTAGCTGGGACTACAGTTGCATGCCACCAAGCCCAGCTAATTTTCTTTTTTTTTTTTTTTTTTTGAGACGGAGTCTCACTCTGTCACCCAGGCTGGAGTGCAGTAGCGAGATCTCAACTCACTGCAAGCTCCGCCTCCTGGGTTCAAGCGATTCTCCTGCCTCAGCCTCCCGAGTAGCTGGGATTACAGGCGCCTGCCACCACACCTGGCTAATTTTCATATTTTTAGTACAGACGGGGTTTCACCACGTTGTTCAGGCTGTTCTCGAACTCCTGACCTTGTGATCCGCCCTCCTTGGCCTTCCAAAGTCCTGGGATTACAGGAGTGAGCCACTGCCCCTGGCTTTTTTTTTTTTTTTTGAGACGGAATCTTGCTCTGTTGCCCAGGCGGGAGTGCAGTGGCACTATCTTGGCTCACTGCAACCTCTCACTTCCCAGGTTCAAGTAATTCTCCTGCCTCAGCCTCCTGAGTAACTGGGATTACAGGTGCACACCACCACGCCTGGCTAATTTTGTATTTAATTTTCTTATTTTAATTTTTTTTTTTTTGTAGATATGGGGTCTTACTATGTTGCCCAAGCTAACCAGCCAGCTTTCTTTTAGTTAGATGTTGTTAGGCATATTTTTATCTGTGTCTATTTTAGGTGTTTCTCTTATAAACTTGGTTTTGTTTTACTTTTAATCCAGCTTGACAATTTTTGTCTTTTACCTTCCTAATTTAGTTCATTCACATTTATTATGGTTTTCACTGTAATGGCTAGATATGTTTCTATCATATTTGATGCTTTATCATTATCTTTGTTTTTCTATGTTTTAATTTCCTCTCTTTTCATTTGGATTTAATTATTTTTCTCATTTCATTTTTTTCCCTCTAGTAGTTTGAGAGTAGTACACTCTATGTTTAGTTTTTTTAATGACTATCCTATAATGTTCAACATTTCTTCTTGAATCTCAAACTTATCGGAGGCTCATTTTCTCTTTTTCTGAACTATTTCCTTTAAACATGTCTTTAGTGAAGGTTTGTTGATAAACTTAATTTTTGTCTGAAAATGATCTGATTTCCTTATCATTCTTGAAATATAGCTTCATTAGTTTAATTGTATGTTGATTGTTCTTTTTATTCCAGCTCTTTGAAGACATTATTCTACTGTCTTCTGGTTTTCCATCCTTGCTTTTGAAAAGTCTGCTATCGATTTAATTGTTTTTTTGTTTTGTTTTGAGGCAGAGTTTCACTCTTGTTGCTCAGGCTGGAGTGCAATGGTACGGTCTCCACTCATTGTACCCTCTACCTCCCGGGTTCAAGCAATTCTCCTGTCTCAGCCTCCCGAGTAGCTGGGGTTACAGGCATGCGCCACCACGCCTGGCTAATTTTTGTATTTTTAGTAGAGACACGGTTTTACCAGGTTGGTCAGGCTGGTCTCAAACTCCTGACCTCAGGTGATCCACCCACCTCGGCCTCCCAAAGTGCTGGTGAGAGGTGACAGCGTGCTGGCAGTCCTCAGAGCCCTCGCTTGCTCTTGGCACCTCCCCTGCCTGGGATCCCACTTTGGCGGCATTTGAGGAGCCCTTCAGCCCCCCACTGCACTGTGGGAGCCCCTTTCTGGGCTGGCCAAGGCTGGAGCCCACTCCCTCAGCTTGCAGGGAGGTGTGGAGGGAGAGGCACGAGCGGGAACCGGGGCTGCGTGCGGCGCTTGTGGGCCAGCTGGAGTTCCAGATGGGCGTGGGCTTGGTGGGCCCCGCACTCGGAGCAGCCAGCCAGCCCTGCTGGTCCTGGGCAATGAGGGACTTAGCACCCGGGCCAGTGGCTGCGGAGGGTGTACTGGGTCCCCCAGCAGTGCCGGCCCACCGGCGCTGTGCTCAATTTCTCGCCAGGCCTTAGATGCCTTCCCGCCGGGCAGGGCTCGGGACCTGCAGCCCGCCATGCCTGAGCCTCCCACCCACTCCATGGGCTCCTGTGCGGCCCGAGCCTCCCCAAGGAGCGCCGCCCCCTGCTCCACCGCGCCCAGTCCCATCGACCACCCAAGGGCTGAGGGGTGCGAGCGCACGGCGCGGAACTGGCAGGCAGCTCCACCTGCAGCCCCCGTGCGGGATCCACTAGGTGAAGCCAGCTGGGCTCCTGAGTCTGGTGGGGACGTGGAGAGTCTTTATGTCTAGCTCAGGGATTGTAAATACACCAATCAGCACCCTGTGTTTAGCTCAAGGTTTGTGAATGCACCAATCGACACTCTGTATCTAGCTGCTCTGGTGGGGCCTTGGAGAACCTTTATGTCGAAACTCTGTATCTAACTAATCTGATGGAGACGTGGAGAACCTTTGTATCTAGCTCAGGGATTGTAAACGCACCAATCAGCCCCCTGTCAAAACAGGCCACTCGGCTCTACCAATCAGCAGGATGTGGGTGGGGCCAGATAAGAGAATAAAAGCAGGCTGCCGGAGTCAGCATTGGCAACCTGCTATTGTCCCCTTCAATACTGTGGAAGCTTTGTTCTTTTGCTCTTTGCGATAAATCTTGCTACTGCTCAGGTCCACGCTGCTTTTATGAGCTGTAACACTCACTGCGAAAATCTGCAGCTTCACTCCTGAGCCTAGCGAAACCACGAGCCCACCGGGAGGAACAAACAACTCCAGACGCGCTGCCTTAAGAGCTGTAACACTCACTGCGAAGGTCTGCACCTTCACTCTTGAGCCAGCAAGACCACGAACCCACCAGGAGAAAACTCCGAACACAACTGAACATCAGAAGGAACAAACTCCAGACGCACCACCTTCAGAGCTGTAACACTCACCGCGAGGGTCCGTGGCTTCATTCTTGAAGTCAGTGAGACCAAGAACCCACCAACTCCAGACACACTGGGATTACAGGTGTGAGCCACCGCGCCCGACTGATTTAATTGTTGTCTTATTTTAGGTAATCTCTTTTTTCTCTCTGGCTGCTTTAAGTTTTTTATTTTTTAAGAGACATGGTCTTGCTCTGTCATCCAAGCTGGAGTACAGTGGCCCAATCACAGAGCATAGCTCACTGCAGCCTCGAACTCCTGAGCCGAAGTGATCCGCTCATTTCAGCCTCTCGAAGAGCTGGGCCTATGAGTGCACACCACCTCATCTGGCTAATTTGTTTTATTTTACTTTTTTTAGACAGAATCTCGCTCTGTCACCCAGGCTGGAGTGCAGTGGTGCGATCTCTGCTCACTGCAAGCTCCACCTCCCGGGTTCATGCCATTCTCCTGCCTCAGCCTCCTGAGTAGCTGGGACTACAGGCACCTGCCACCACGCCGGGGTAATTTTTTTTTGTATTTTTAGTAGAGACAGGGTTTCACCGTGTTAGCCAGGATGGTCTCTATCTCCTGACCTTGTGATCTGCCCAAAGTGACCTCGGCCTCCCAAAGTGCTGGGATTACAGGTGTGAGCCACTGCGCCTAGCTATTTTATTTCATAGAAACAAGGTCTTGCTTTGTTGCTTATGTTGGCCTTGCACTTCTGGGCTCAAGCACCCCTCTTGCCTTGACCTCCCAAAGCGCTGGGATTGCCACAACACCTGGCTCCTTCCCATTTTTGTTAGTCTTTTGTTTCTTACTCATGTTTTCAAGTAGATCTTTTATTTCTTTAAACTAAATGGTATTATAGTTTAATCATAGCAGCTTAAGTTTTATGGGCATAATTCTGCTGTCAGTCATGTCTGTTGATGTCACTTCTGATTGTGAGGTCATGTTTATACACACTTTATATCTAGGAATTCTTTGCCATCTGGGTTGAAGGTAGCCTTCACCAGAGAGATTTTCATTTACTTCTGCTATTTTTAATTAAGATACAGCTTGGGCAGGGCACAGTGACTCAGGCCTGTAATCCTAGCACTTTGGAAGGCAGAGGTGGGCAGATCAGTTGAGGTCAGGAGTTCAAGACCAGCCTGCCCAACATGGTGAATGAAATCCTGTCTCTACTAAAAATACAAAAATTAGCTGGGCGTGGTGGTGTGCACCTGTAGTCCCAGCTACTCAGGAGGCTGAGGCAGGAGAATTGCTTGAACCTGGGAGGCAGATGTTGCAGTGAGCCAAGATCATGCCATTGCACTCCAGCCTGCATGACAGAGCAAGACTGTGTCTCAAAAACAAAAACAGAAGAGCTGGTATTGTTTTGGACCACATCTTAGTACATGAAGTATATGCTTTAGGCCCTAAAACCATAAACCAAAGCCACACTATAGTTATGAATTCTCAACAGGAGATTTTTTTGCCCTGGTTGCCAGGGGCTGGGAGGAACTATGAAGAAAATGGTATAAAATTAGGTAGTGGTGGTGATTACACACACACACACACACACACACACACTAAAAACCATTGAATTGTACAATTTAAACAGTTTATTCAATCTAATCCTCGAAACTGTCTCAGCCTCCCAAAGTGCTGGAATTACAGGCATAAGCCACCATGCCTGGCCTTTTTTTGTTTTGTTTTGTTTTAAGACAGGGTCTCACTTTGTCACCCAAGCTGGAGTGCAGTGGTGTCATCTTGGCAGGGGGATCACTTGAGTCCAGGAGTTCGAGATCAGCCTTGACAACATGGGGAAACCCTGTCTCTACAAAAAACACAAAAAATTAGCTGGGTGTGGTGGTGTGCACCTGTAGTTCCAACTACTCGGGAGGCTGACATTGGGAGAATCACTTGAACCTGGGAGGCAGAGATTGCAGTAAGCTGAGATCACACCACTGTACTCCAGCCTGGGTGAGAGTGAGACCCTGTCCCCCCACCACCCAAAAAAATGTTAGTTGCCAACATTTAAAAATCAGGAGTTGGCCGGGCATGGTGTCTCATGCTTGTAATCCCAGCACTTTGGGAGGCCGAGGTGGGCAGATCACCTAAGGTTGGGAGTTGAAGACCAGCCTGACCAACATAGAGAAACCCCGTCTCTACTAAAAATACAAAATTCCCCGGGCATGGTGGTGCATGCTAGTATTCCCAGCTATTCGGGAGGCTGAGGCAGGAGAATTGCTTGAACCCAGGAGGCGGAGGTTGCAGTGAGCAGAGATTGTGCCATTGCACTCCAGCCTGGCGAACAAGAGTGAAACTCCATCTCAAGAAAAACACAAAAAATCAGAAGTTTTAACTTAAAATCCAGATTTCCGGTTCCTTTCTAAATCAAGTCAGCAGAACCAGTGATCTTGGGCCTGCACATCCAGAAGTGGCTGCCCCTTTAGGTCAGACATTTAAAAAAACCAGTCTCACAGGCACCTCTGGCCTTTCACTCATCCAGTCAATGGTAGACCTGGGCGCCAGAGCTCTTAAAACTGTACATAAATCTCTATTCAGCCAATCAAGAAATTCTTCATAAGTCTCTCAAAGTGAAAGGTCACATTCAAGAGCTCTTCAGCTGTGTGGTACATAATGGTAAGAGCGTGGACTTTGGAGCCTGACTGCTTTATCCAAGTTCCAGCTCTGCCATTTATTAGCTGTGTGACCTTGAGCAAGTTACCTAACCACTCTGCCTCAGTTTCTTCATCCTTGTGGTGATGACAACACTCCCTCCTTCCAGGATTGTTATGAGGCTTACATGAGTTAACATACACGAAGTCTTAGGAAAGTCTCTGGGACATGCAAAATGAGAAGAAATACAGAAGGAAGTGACCGTGGCATTGGTAACTGGAGGCTTTGAAGGTGTCCAGGACTGTGTGTGAAGCCCAGCACTGCCACTAGCTAGCTGTGCAGTATTGGACAAGTCATTTAGCCTTGCTGAGATCCTTTTAGTACTTGAAGGGCCTCCACAAAGTGGAGACTCCACAAATGGCTACTATGTTCATTAAGTGCCTGCTAAATCTTCTTGGCTTAATTCTGTAGCATTCACCAGCCCTGCTGCCCACCCCTTCCAGAGCTGGGGAATGGATATTGATCTGAAAGAGGCCTGAAAAGAACAAAGAGGTTCTGCCAGGCACAATGGCACCATTGTGAGCTCACAGGGCTCACAATTTCCTTTCTGTCCTTTCAACCTGAAGGGATGCCATTTGGGGCCTGGGTGGGAATGCGTGGGGGTCCGTGCAGAATTCCACCAGCCGACTTCAGGGAAGGTCAAAGTTGTGCAGGATGCCAGAGAAGGGACAGCCTGAAGGATCCAGTGCAGCAGTCTCCTTGTTATGTAAATGGAGATCCTGGAACTCCAGTGGGAAGGAGACTTGCCTGGCACCACAGGGCAAATCAGCAGCAGACTTGCGGCTGGAACCAGAGCCTCACACGGGGGGTCAGCAGGGAACCCCGCTGCTCCAGGCCATACATTCCCAAAGGACATTTGAGACATTTTGACTCTAGACATTTGACCTTTTCTCCTTACAGAGTTGTCTATTCTATCATTAAACACACTGACAAGATGCAGCAAAGCAGACATTTATTTTGCAACTTAAATAAATATTTAGAAAATATCTAAACCCTGATAATCTTGTTTTGTCATGTTTTCCCTTCCTTTTAAAATAACAGCTTATTAAGATAAAATTTACATACCACAAAGTTTGCCCTGTTAAATTGTACAATTCAATGGTTTTTAGTTTATATATGTGTGCAGTCATCACCATTATCTAATTTTATACCATTTTCTTCATCCTTCCAGCCCCTGGCAACCACTAATCTACTTTTTTTTTTTTTTCTTTGAAACGGAGTCTTGCTCTGTTGCCCAGGCTGGAGTGCAGTGGCGTGATCTGGCTCACTGCAACCTCCGCCTCCCGGGTTCAAGTGATCCTCCTGCCTTAGCCTCCCGACTTGCTGGCATTACAGGCACCCACCACCATGCCCAGCTAATTTTTTGTATTTTTAGTAGAGATAGGGGTTTCACCTTGTTGGCCAGGCTGTTCTCGAACTCCTGACCTTAGGTGATCCACCCACCTCGACCTCCCAAAGTGCTGGGATTACAGACGTGAACCACTGCGCCCGGCCATTAATCTAGTTTCTGTCTCTGTGGATCTGCCTCCTACATGGAATCATACAATATGTAGTCTTTCGTGACTGGCTTTTCTTCACAGAGTAGAATATTTTCAGAGTAGAATGTTTTCAGAGTAGAATGCTGTAGCATGTATGAGTACTTCATTTACTTTGTGTTTGAATAATATTTCATTATATAGAATATAATATTATAGAAGGTTTTATGTCTCTATTCACGAATTGATGGACATATGGTTTGTTTTCACTTTTTGGCAATTTTGAATAATGCTCCTATGAACGTTCGTGTACAAGTTTTAGTGTGGACACGTTTTCATTTCTCTTGGGTCGCTACCTAGGAGTGGAGTTGCTGGGTCATGTGGTAACTCTATGCATAACCTTTTAAGGAACTGCCATACAATTTTCCAACTACACCATTTGACATTCCTACTAACAATGTATGAAGGTTCCAATTTCTCTCCGTCTCTCCAACACTTGTTATGATCTGTCTTTTTCATGCTAGCAGCTTGGCAGCAGTGTGGCCTCTCCTTGCCTTTCAGGCTGCTCCCTTGTCCCTATCCCCACAATGCCCCTGAATCTGCCTTGGTTGCCCCCTCCCTTACAATCCAACCTTATGTGAACTACAATACCATCTCCTCAATGTGAATGAGGTAACTGGAGAGCACATGACACCAAGTCCCTAATTTAATGGGCATCCCAGGCACGGTGGCTCATGCCTGTAATCCCAGCACTTTGGGAGGCCAAAGTAGATGGATCCCTTGAGACCAAGAGTTCCAGACCAGCCTGGACAACGTAGGGAAACCCCATCTCTACTGAAATAAACAAATATATAAAAAATAAAAATTAGCCAGGTGTGGTGGTGGGGACCTGTAGCCCTAGTCACTCTGTGACTCCAGCTACTAGGAAGGCTGAGGAGGAAAGATCTCTTGAGCTCAGGAGTTCAAGTCTTCAGTGAGCTATTATTGTGCTACCGCACTCCAACCTGGGTGATAGAGTGAGACCCTGACACTAAAATAAAAATAAATAAATGAATGAAAGAAAGAAAAAAAGGGCACCCATTAAGGGTAGAGCACAAGGTCCGGCTGAGTTCACAGATTGATGGGAGGAAGCCAAGTGCTCTACAGGTCAGGTACCACGTACCACACATATTCATTCATCCAGTCCTCACAATGCTCCTATGAGGTAGGTGGGCAATTTTCAATGTCCTATGGTTTTATGAGTGGCCTGGTCAGGATTTGAACCTAGGTGGTATCACTGGGTGCTTCCTCTCTGCACTAGCCATGGCAGAGGGACTGTGTTGAGTCAAAAGGGAGTATAGTCAAGTGTGGGTGCATGAGAGAGCACATTTGCCTTCCTGGTAAGCTGTAAGGCCTTCCTGGAGGAGGTGCTTCCTGATAGAGGTCTTCCAGGATAGAGTTGAGAAAGGAGAGTGGGGAGCAAGTATTCCAAGGTAAGGGAGGAGTGCGCTTGGCATCCTGGAAGCTTGAAAGTGCATGACTTGGCCAGGTACAGTGGCTCATGCCTGTAATTCTAGCACGTTGGGAGCCTGAGGTGGGAGGATGGCTTGAGGCCAGGAGTTTGAGACCAGCCTGGGCAGCATAGCAAGACCCCATCTGTATAATTTTTTTTTCTTTGGCGGGAGGAGACAGCGTCTCGCTCTGTCACTCAGGCTGGAATGCAGTGGTGTGATCTCTGCTCACTGCAGCCTCCACCTCTGGTTCAAGCGGTTCTTGTGCCTCCACCCAAGTAGCTGGGACTACAGGTGTGCGCCACCATGCACGGCTGATTTTTGTATTTTTAATAGAGACAGGGTTTCTCCATTTTGACCAGGCTGGTCTCGAACTCCTGACCTCGAGTGATCCGTCTGCCTTGGTTGGCCTCCCAAAATGCTGGGATTACAGACTTGAGCAACCGTGCCTGGCCAAATTTTTTTTTTTTTTAGACGGAGTCTGGCTCTGTCGCCAGGCTGGAGTGCAGTGGTGCGATCTCTGCTCACTGCAACCTCCGCCTCCTGGGTTCAAGTGATTCTCCTGCCTCAGCCTCCTGAGTAACTGGGACTACAGACGCGTGCCAACATGCCCAGCTAATTATGTATTTTTAGTAGAGACGGGTTTCACCATGTTGGCCAGGATGGTCTTGATCTCTTGGCCTCGTGATCCGCCCGCCTTGGCCTCCCAAAGTGCTGGGATTACAGGCGTGAGCCACCGCGCCTGTCCAAATTTTTTTAATTAGTTAAAAAAAAAAAAAAAAAAAAGGCTGGGTGCGGTGTCTCACGCCTGTAATCCCAGCACTTTCGGAGGCCAAGGCGGGCGGATCACAAGGTCAGGAGTTCCAGACCAGCCTGGCCAATATGGTGAAACCCCATCTCTACTAAAAATACAAAAAAATTAGTCGGGCGTGGTGGCGCAGGCCGGTAATCCCAGCTACTTGGGAGGCTGAGACAGGAGAATTGCGTGAAGCTGGGAGGCAGAGGTTGTTGCAGTGAGCCAAGATCGTGACATTGCACTCCATCCTGGACGACGCAGCATGACTCTGTCTCAAAAAAAAAAAAAGTGCCTGGCTTTGCCCTTTCCAGCAGCTCCACGTGGCTGGAACATCCCATATGGGTTGCCAATCAATTAGGCCTGAGAGGTAAGCTGAAGCTAGACCATGCAAGATGTGGTAGGCCTTGTTAAGGAGTTTGGACTTTGGACTTCATCCTGAAGCAGTGGGTAATTTTGCAGAGGTTTAGGGAAATATCAGAATGATTGTGCTGGCTGCAGAGGTCTCCACAAATCACTGAGGAGTCTGGTTTAGCTGCAGCTGATATATGGGGGAGAATGGAAGGAGACTGGAGTTCAAGGGTTTTTGAGTCTCATCTCAGCCGTCTCCATGGTGACACTGGAAGATGGTACAGTTCCTCCTAATGAAATTTCCTTACTGAAATTTCAAGTGTTTTGTTTCATGCTGGCCTAGACCTTGGCTTCACCCCCTTCTCTCTGACACATAGAGGCAAACTGAGTAAGTGAGGGGGTGGGGAAAGAAATACTGGGATGAGATGGGGAGTAGTGGAGGGGCCCTGTAGTGCCACCAGCCTGTGCAACCTTGGCCACCCATCCTCCGTTCTCCAGCCCCAGGCCCCTCCAGGACCAGCATCAAGTAAAAATCAAGTTGTGCCTCTTGGGAAGAAGAGCCTTTCTTCTTGTACTTACTCACAGAGACTCTAAAGAGGGGACCAGCACTTTTGTCCAGGGTTCTGAATGATCATCAATTCATGAGTTGTAAGGCTGGGAGGCTCTTTAGAGATCTCCTAAAGCCCTCCCTTGACTTAGTCCTCCCTCTGCCTCTCACCCCGCCTTTTTATTTGTAGATGAAGAAACAGAGGCCTGCATTATGGAAGTGACTTTCATAAAGGTTAAAATTCCAAAGGGGCCGGGCGCGGTGGCTCACACCTGTAATCCCAGCACTTTGGAAGGCTGAGGCGGGCGGATCACTTGAGGTCAGGAGTTTGAGACCAGCCTGGCCAACATGGTGAAACCCCAACTCTACTAAAAAAAAAAAAAAAAAAAAAAAAAAAAGACGGGCATGGTGGTGAGTGTCTGTAATCCCAGCTACTCAGGAGGCTGAGGCAGGAGAATTGCTTGAACCTGGGAGGCGGAGGTTGCAGTGAGCCAAGATTGCGCCACCGTACTCCAGCCTGGGTGGCAGAGCAAGACTCCATCTCAGAAAAAAAAAAAAAATTCCAGAGGAACTCTCAAAAAATTAAAAATAGAATTACATGATTCAACAATTCCACTTCTGAGTATATACCCAAAAGAATTGAAAGCACGAGCTCAAACAGATATTTCCATACCAATGTTCATAACAACATTAGTCACAATAGGCAAAAGGTGGAAGCAACCCAAATGTTCATCAACTGATGAATGGGTAAACAAAAATTCCCTGATATATACATATAAGGGAATGTTATTCATCATTCAAAAGAGATGAAATTCTGATACATGCTACCATATGGATGGACCTTGAAGACATTATGTGAAATAAAATAAGCCTGACACAAAAAGACAAAAATTGTATGAGTCCACCCATATGAGTACCTAGAATAGTCAAATTCATCGAGACAGTAGAATGGTGGTTACATACAAAAATTAGCCGGGCGTCGGCCTGGCACAGTGGCTCACGCCTGTAATCCCAGCACTTTGGGAGGCCGAGGCGGGCGGATCATGAGGTCAGGAGATCGAGACCATCCTGGCTAACACAGTGAAACCCCGTCTCTACTAAAAATACAAAAATTAGCTGGGCGTGGTGGCAGGCGCCTGTAGTCCCACCTACTCGGGAGGCTGAGGCAGGAGAATGGCGTGAACTTGGGAGGTGGAGCTTGCAGTGGGTCAAGATCGCACCACTGCACTCCAGCCTGGGTGAAAGAGCGAGACTCCCATCTCAAAAAAAAAAAAAAAAATAGCCAGGCGTGGTGGTGCGCACCTGTAATCCCAGCTACTTAGGAGGCTGAGGCAGGAGAATTGCTTGTACCCGAGAGGTGGAGGTTGTAGTGAGCCGAGATTGCACCATTGCACTCCAGCCTGGGTGACAGAGCGAGACTCTGTCTCAAAAAAAAAAAAAAAAAAAAAGAAAAAAAGTGGTTGTTGCAGGAGCTGATGGGGGGAGAGGGCAATGTGAAGTTACAGTTTGCTAAGCATGCAGTTTCAGTTTGGGGTGATGAAACAGTTCTGGTGATAGATAGTGGTGATGGTCACATAATAATGTGAATGTACCTAACGCCATTGAACTGTGCACTTAAAAATGGTTAAGATGGTAAATTTTATGTTATGTATATTTTGCCACAATTAAAAAAAAAAAAGAGGCTGGGCGTGGTGGCTCATGCCTGTAATCCCAGCACTTTGGGAGGCCGAGGCGGGCGGATTACAAGGTCAGGAGTTCGAGATCAGACTGGCCAATATGGTGAAATCCCGTCTCTACTAAAAACATACAAAAATTAGCTGGGCTCCCAGCTACTTGGGAGGCTGAGACAGGAGAATTGCTTGAACCCAAGAGGCAGAGATTGCAGTGAGCCAAGATCACACCACTGCACTCCAGCCTGGGCAGCAGAGTAAGACTCTGTCTAAAAAAAAAAAAAAAAAAAGGAAAAGAAAAAGAAAGAAACGCAGACACACACATACAAAAGGAACAAGGATCCAGATATCTTAGGTTTAGCAGCATTTATTTCTGAATAACAGGATCTATATACTCCTCTTGCTTTTTGATCTGAGTAACCAAGGAGTTGATTTGGTTTAAATGGCTTCATTGTGAGGACCCTATGAATTGTGTAACTGATCAGCTTTCCTTTTCCACCATGACTGCTAGAAAGCTTCGGATGAGATTTGTAGTCCACTTATACAAAAGAAGTATCCAGAACTTCTGAGTCTCTCTTTTTTTTTTTTTTTGAGACAAGGTTTCTTACTGTCACCCACTGAAGTACACTGGAGTACAATGACGTGACCAAGGCTCACTGCAGTCTTGACCTCCCAAGAGAGGCTGAGATGGGAGGCCCAAGCGATTCTCCCACCTCAGCCTCTCAAGTAGCTGGGACTACAGGTGTGTGTCACCATGCTGGGCGTGGGGGGTCTTGCTTTGTTGTTAGGGCTGGTCTAGAACTAGTAGGCTCAAGTGATCCTCTTACCTTGGCCTCCCAAAGTAGTAGGATCACAGGTGAGCCACCTTGCCTGGCCCAGATCTCATTTCTGTAAGTCTAATTGTTGGCCACATTTTAAAGTTTTATCTTTGCTTTCCTTTCTTTCTTCTTTCTCATGTACTTTTAAAAAATAACCCTTTTAATATTACAGAAGTATACATATGCATTTTAGAAAATTTGAAAATAAAGACAAGCAAAAAATTAAAAAAGTAAAACGTTCAGATTCCCACTACCCAAATAATAATATTAATATCTTAGTAAATGGCATTCTTTTTACCAAAATGAGTGATTACATTTATTCTATAACTTGCTTTTTGCAGCCAAACATCTCCACTTTCCATTACAGTAAATTTTCATCTCATCCAATATTCAAACTATATGCAAGTTTCTCCAGTTGACTCCAAAATCTCTTTATAACTAGTTTTTCCAGAACATATCCAATCTAGGATCACCTATTGCATCTGACTATTATGGCCCTTTTGTCTCTTTTAATCTAGCAAAAGTTGACCAGGCACTGTGGCTCACACATGTAATCCTGGTTCTTTTGGAGGCCGAGGCGGGTGGATCACCTGAGGTCAGGAGTTCGAGACCATGGCCAACATGGTGAAACCCTGTCTCCATTAAAAATACAAAAATTAGTTGGGTGTGGTGGCACGCACCTGTAATCCCAGCTACTCGGGAGGCTGAGGCTGAGGCAACAGAATCACTTGAACCCGGGAGGCAGAGATTGCAGTGAGCCGAGAGTGCGCCACTGCACTCTAGCCTGGGCCACAAGAGCAAAACTCGGTCTCAAAAAAAAAAAAAAAACTAGCAAAAGTCATTAAAAAATATATAATACTTCTTGAAGGTTAGTTGTCCTGGAGAATTTCCCACCCTCTGACTTTGTGTTATTGGCTCCTTATGGTGTCATTCATCTTGTTCCTCTATCCTTTATATTTCCTGTAAACTGGAATTAATATCAAAAGGCCTATGGACCTTTAGATACTAATTAATCAAAAACATTTTTTGACTAGAATAAATAATTATCATTGATTTTGTGTTGTATCACTGCTAAAGATACACTATCTATCTTGTTGAAGATTAGTAAAGCACTAGCAAAACTCAGATTAATTTCTGGATTAAGGTAATAACAACCTGAACCCGCCATCATTCAGTGAGATTGTCCTCCTTGCATCTAGTAACCTGTGTGGTGTTACTTCGACCCTGTAAATATCCAGTTCTCTACCAACTATTAACATATAAAATTAACGTAATGGTTTAACCATAATTGACAACCCTTGTTTAAAAGGATTTGCCACTGCTGGATGCGGTGGCTTACTCCTGTAATCCCAGCACTTTGGGAGGCCGAGGCGGGTGGATCACCTGAGGTCAGGAGTTTGAGGCCAGTCTGGCTAACATGGCGAAACTACATTTCTACTAAAAATACAAAAATTAGCCAGGCGTGGTGGTGCACGCCTGTAATCTCAGCTACTCAGGAGGCTGAGACAGGAGTGATCATTTGAACCTGGAGGTGGGGGTTGCAGTGAGCTGATATCGCCCCATTGCACTCAGCCTGAGCAACAGAGCAAGACTCTATGTCAATAATAATAATAATAAATGAATTTGCCAAAGTATGCTTTTCTAATCCTGCTTTTTTTTTTTTTGAGACAGGATTACACCCTTGCCAGGCTGGAGTGCAATGGCACGATCTCGGCTCACTACAACCTCGGCCTCCCACGTTCAAGCGATTCTCCTGCCTCAGCCTCCCAAGTAGCTGGGGTTACAGGCATGCGCCACCACGCCCGATTGTACTTTTAGTAGAGACGTGGTTTGCACCATGTTGGCCAGGATGGTCTCGATCTATTAACCTCGTGATCTGCCCGTCTCGGTCTCCCAAAATGCTGGGATTATAGGCGTGAGCCACCGCGCCCGGCCTTTGTTTTTTTCTTACAAAGTAGTTTCCCTCATTAACTGGGACTGTTTGGCTACTGTGAAATCACTTATTCTGGAAAACAGAATAAATCTTTATTTATTATTTTTTTTTTTAGTAGGGAGAGGCTTGGAATAATGGTCCCTTCCCACACTGAGGTTCTATCAGTCTATGGAATAAATTTTTTCACTTTTTAGTTTTGAGTGTGAGCAAACTCTACGGTATTTTCAATTACTCGCTGAGACTGCTTTAGCTTTCTAATCTCTCGTGTAAACACCATGGTATGTCTTAGTTGAACCACCGTCATGCCAAAGAAAAGAATTCCGAAAATCTCTAAGTCACACGATGCCGAGAGGCCAGCCAGCTCTGCAGCTGGGCTTTCAGTTCCAATTGTTTCCAGAGAGTGTGCAGGACATTTCTCCGCAGCCATCTTTTGCAGTGGGCCACGAGGGTGCTGAGAACCTCTCTGGTCCCCGCGCTTCAAGGGGTGGGCGCTCTGCCGGCGGGAATCTTTAGGATGAACTGGAAGCACCCCTACACTCACTCCTATTCTCCGGGCTGGAGTCGGCATCGCCTTCCTTGGCCCGCCTTACCTTTAAGGAAACGGAAAGGTGCTGACCACTAGAGGGCTGTTTATACATTTTTATTAAACAACAGAAGTTTGTGCGCACAGAATCAGACATGAAACACAAGTTTTAAAAGTCATGAAAAACTTTACCAAAAAAAAAAAATATATATATATATATATATATAAAATAGAAAAATCATTTAATACGAAATGTAATTCTTAGAACAAATCAAAACAATCTTATTCCTTTGAAAAGATCTAGGAACAACACTTTTCTCTAACTGCCCGGCTAGCTCAGTCGGTAGAGCATGGGACTCTTAATCCCAGGGTCGTGGGTTCGAGCCCCACGTTGGGCGGGTTTGTTTTGCTTTCGTTTGACCAACTTCAGGTCTCATCAACGGTAGTAATTCCACCAGTTTCAGTTGTCATCAACGGTAATAACAGACTTCAGCCCGGATGGTCTTATTTTCAAATAATTCAATACATACAAAACTACCAATACTATTTTAAAAAAGGAACAATGGGCCTGGCACGGTGGCTCACACCTGTAATCCCAACACTTTGGGAGGCCGAGGAGGGTGGATCACGAGATCAGGAGTTTGAGACCAGCCTGGCCAATATGGTGAGACCACCCCACCCCCTGTCCCCCACCCCGTCTCTACTAAAAATACAAAAATTAGTTGGGCGTGGTGGCGCGTGCCTGTAGTCTCAGCTGCTCGGGAGGCTGAGGCAGGAGAATCGGAGGCTGTGGCAGGAGAATCGCTTGAACCCAGGAGGTGGAGGTTGCAGTGAGCTGAGATCCGGCCATTGCACTCCAACATGGGCGACAGGGCAGGACTCCGTCTCAAAAAAAAAAAAAAAAAAAAAAGAACAATGAAACCAGTAAATTTCATCTTGTAAATTACACACTTAAAGGCTATCTGCCCTATAAAAGTATTTGTTGCTGAGTGGCCTGTTTAAAGGGCAGCCGAACGCCAAAGGTTAGGGGATAAGAAGACATTAAAATTCATGAAATTGTAGAGTTCATAATATTGCTGAAGTAATCTGTTAAAACGTTTGAAATGTTTATTTTTTACTTAATATTATGTGATATTGAAGATTAGTTTGGAGAACAATTCTGTATATTTTTAAACCACTATTAAGATTGCTTTAGTGATGAACGAATATGGTGGTTATTGTGAACAGGGTCTTAGAACTTTTTTATCCTTTTTTTTTTTTCTGAGTGCTTCTATGTAGATACCCTTTTTTCTTTTCTTTTTTTTTTTTTCTTTTTTTGAAACAGAGTCTCGCTTTGTCACCCAGGTTGGAGTGCAGTGGCTCAGTCTTGGCTCACTGCAACCTCCACCTCCCGGGTTCAAGCGATTCTCCTGCCTCAACCTCCTGAGCAGCTGGGACTACAGGCGCACATCACCACACCCAGCTAATTTTTGTATTTTAGTAGAGATGGGGTTTCACCATGTTTGTCAGGCTGGTCTTGAACTCCTAACCTTGTCATCCACCTGTCTTGGCCTCTCAAAGTGCTGGGATTACAGGTGTGAGCCACCACGCCTGGCCAGAAGCTCACTTTCTTTGAGCAAAACTATTATATGTTGACAGCTGCAAGTTTTTTCCTCGTCCTAAATATTTTTAGTCATTCCCAGCAATTCTCAAATGTTCTCCACAATTACTATATGTTAGCTCATCAATTCGAAATACAATTTCAGACCTTGTTAGAAAGATATTAAAAAATTTCAGCATCAGAAATGAAGATACCCAGACACCCCCATTATTACAGATGCATAATTAATCTCTACGTGATGTGAGGTGAGGTAAATTTATTTATTTATTTATTTATTTTTTTGCTGAGACAGAGTCTCGTTCTGTTGCCAGGCTGGAGTGCAGTGGTGCGATCTTGGCTCACTGCAACCTCTGCCTCCCGGGTTCAAGCGATTCCCCTGCCTCAGCCTCCTGTGTAGCTGGGACTACAGGCCCGCACCACCACACCCGGCTAGCTTTTTGTATTTTAGTGTAGACGGAGTTTCACCATGTTGGCCAGGATGACCTCGAACTCCTGACCTTGTGATCTGCCTGCCTTGGCCTTCCAAAGTGCTGGAATTACAGGCATAAGCCACTGTGCCCGGCCCGGATTTTTTCCAGAGAAGTAAACCAGGTGGGAAAAAAAGCAAATTGGTAAATTGATGAAAGGTCAATGAAAATGTTATACATTAATTTAAAATAGAAGAGCGGGGTTACTTTTGTCCCCCAAAAATTCATATGTTAAAGTCCTAACCCTCAGAGCCTCAGAATGAGATCTTATTTGGAAAAAGCTCTGTTGCAGATGTAATTAGTTAAGATGAGGTCATACTAGAGTAAGGTGGCCTCCTAATCCATTTTAACTGGTATCTTTATTAAAAAGGGGGAAATTTGGAAAAAGACACACAAACCCAGACACCAACATCTGGAAACCTGGGAGAAAGCCATGTGCAGACGAAGGCAGAAACTGGGGTAATGCTTCTACAAGCTAAGGAACACCAAATGCTCCTGCAAGCTAAGGAACGCCAAAGATTGCCAGCAAACCACCAGAAGCTAGGGGAGAGGAATGGCACAGATTCTTCCTCACAGTCCACAGAAGGAACCAAACCTACCAACACCTTTATATGGGATGTCTAGCCTCTAGAACTGTAAAATAATAAATTTATGTTTGGCAGTCCTGGGAAACTAATACAATCAGTATTCCAGTTGGGAGGTAATTTTGATTTTAAATTTTATTATTTATTATTTTATTATACCTTATATTAAGTAATTGTCATCATCTTCATTCCCAAAAAGTCTATGAGAAACAATAGTTTTTTTTGATGCAGTCCTAAATTAAGGTCAAGTGAGGAAATTAGGATCACTGAGCCTTCAGAAGTAGCATTTTAACAAGCTTAATCTTTTTTTTTTTTTTTTTTTACAGCCCAGAGGTCTTTTATTTATTTATTAACACCTGTTATGCCATGAATTCATAGGGAATAGGTTCCAGCAGCTCAGGCTCCTTCGCATTGGTTCTCACAAAGTGTGCTTCTCTGGGTGGAGCAGGCTGGTGCTTCTGTTGAACCCAGGTACCTTTCTATTTGGCTTCCTTCTTTTTCTGATCATTTTCCTTCATGTGTTTCAGGAAACTATCTCAGCTTTTAGAGTGCTTAATGTGCTCAATACGCACATTAATTCTCTTGGCAAGAATCTTGCCCTTAACTTGTGTGTTTACAACAATGCCAACAGCATGCTGGGGGACATTATAGACTCTTCCAGTTTTGCCATGGTAACACTTGTGGGGCATTCCTTTTTGAACAGTACCCATTCCCTTGATGTCTACAATATCACCTTTCTTATAGATTTGCATATACGTGGCCAAAGCAACAACTCCATGTTTTCTAAAAGGCCTAGAGAACATATATTGGGTGCCTCTCCTCTTTCCCTTTGTGTTCGTCATTTTGGCGAATTACTGGAAGATGGCGGTTCCGGCTGAAAGGAACAAGCTTAATCTTAATGGATATTTTTTCTTATTTTGGCTGATGATTCATTATGTTGAGTAGTGACTTATTACTATTTGTACTAAAAAATGCAAAGATATACAACGTCAAATACATTTTATTCTCCCATGGAACTCATATTTGAAGATGTTATGTTCAATTAATCTATAAATGAACACTTTAAGACAGTGTGCTAATTTAATGCAGTCCAGTTTCTTCAACAAGTAAATGGCAAAAAAAGAGACAGAGATACCTTAATGGAATGAAATGTGTGGACTTTGTTTCCATCTTGATTTGAACCAGTCATAAAGAAACATGTATGAGACAATCAGGGAATCTGAACACAGACTGGGTACTTGAAGATAAGGAGTTATTTGCAATTAAATGCAACAACGTCATTTAGAGATACATACTAAATTGTTTATGAATAAAAAAGACATGATCTCTGGAATCTGTGTATATGCATTTTTCGGGGGAGAGGAATGAAGAGATACCAATGAAACAAGATTGGCCACATGTTAATAACTGTAGAAGCTGAGTGACCCATACAACAGAGTTCATTACACTATCACCTCTGCTATTGTATATGTTTACATTTTTCCATAAATTTAAATATCATTAGATTCTGCAAAAACAAAAGTGTCTTAACCTCTGTAGCTCAGTGATCACACTTAGCATCACTAACAGTGGGACAACCAGATATCATGTGCCTGCTGATGTAATGCAATGAGAACTGCACAGCATCACCTTTAAAATAATCTTGTCAAAACACTCAACTTAGATCTAATCAAGTCTTTAGACCTAACTTTACATTTATAGGAAATGTAAATAACAAGTAACACCGTGAGTAAATAATCAGGTGAACCCAGAATGTCAGACATTCAACAAAGGCCTGGGCTCTTCAGAAAGCAAATACTAATACTAAACAAAGACTAATACCACTACTAATAAAGGCTATGTGTGTGGGGGCAGACTGTATTTGAGCCAAAGGCTTCCCCTCCAGCCCCACTGACAGTCTGGTGAAGCCAATGAATTCTTTTCTCAGAATGTCTTAAATGCATGAAATAAAAAACAGGATCATTAAAAAATAGGTTTTTTTTTTTTTTGAGACGGAGTTTTGCTGTTGTTGCCCAGGCTGCAGTGCAATGGCGCGATCTTGGCTCACCGCAACCTCCGCCTCCCAGGTTCAAGCGATTCTCCTGCCTCAGCCTCCCAAGTAGCTGGGATTACAGGCATGTGTCACCACGCCTGGCTAATTTTGTACTTTTAGTAGAGACGGGGTTTCTCCATGTTGGTCAGGCTGGTCTCAAACTCCTGACCTCAAGTGATCTGCCCGCCTCGGCCTCCCAAAGTGCTGGGATTACAGGTGTGAGCCACCACACCCGGAGAAATATAGTTATCAAAATATTTTAAAGTACAATATGGAATACACATGTTCCATTATTAATGCACTAAATAACAAGATCTAGCAGCAGGTCCAATAACTACAATAGTTTTATTTTATTTATTTATTTAGAGACAGGGTCTTGCTCTGTCACCCAGGCTGGAGTGCAGTGGTACAATCTCAGCTCACGGCAACCTCCACCTCCTGAGTTCAAGCCATTCTCCTGCCTCAGCATCCCGAGTAGCTGGGATTACAGGCATGCACCACCACACCCAGCTAATTTTTGTATTTTTAGTAGAGACGGGATTTCACCATGTTGGCCAGGCTGGTCTTGAACTCCTGACCTCGTGATCCGTCTGCTTCGGCTTCGCAAAGTGCTGGGATTACAAGCGTGAGCCACTGCGCCTGGCCAACTATAATAGTTTTAAAGTAGTGATGAATATAAATGATATTTCTGAGATATTTTCATTAGCCGTAATGTGATATGAAAACTTCTGTAATTTATATTGATGACAAAGCCACAGCTCATAGTATTGTACTTCGTTATCTTCATTTGTAATGGAAGGAAATGCTAAATTTTTTTTTTTTTTTGAGATGGAATCTTGCTCTGTTGCCCAGGCTGGAGTGCAGTGGCGCAATCTCAGCTCACCGGAAGCTCTGCCTCCCAGGTTCACAGCATTCTCCTGCCTCAGCCTCCAGACTAGCTGGGACTACATGCGCCCACCACCACGCCTGGCTAATTTTTGGTATTTTTAGTAGAGATGGAGTTTCACTGTGTTCGCCATGATGGTGATGGTGTTGATCTCCTGACCTTGTGATCCGCCCGCCTCGGCCTCCCAAAGTGCTTGGATTACAGGCATGAGCCACTGTACCCGGCCTAGGAAATGCTAAATTTTAATTAGAATTTGGTGAAAATAAAAATGTAATTTTTGCCTCATCCAACTTCATGGACCCTTTGAATTGTATCCACAGACTCCTAACTTAAGAACTTCTGCTCTACGTTTAAAAAGACAAGAGATTTGGCCAGGCACGGTGGCTCGTGCCTGTAATTCCAGCACTTTGGGAGGCTGGGGGAGGTGGATCACTTGAGGTCAGGAGTTTAAGACCAGCCTGGCCAACGTGGTGAAATCCCGCCTCTACTAAAAATACAAAAATTAGCTGGGCGTGGTGGTGTGTGTCTGTAATCCCAGCTACTCTGAGGCAGAATGGCTTGAACCCAGGAGGCGGAGGTTACAGTGAGCCGAGATTTGAGACTCTGTCTCAAAAAAAAAACAGAACAAACAAACAAAAAAACAAGAGATTGCTCAGTTCTGGGGCATAATTAAAAAAAAAAAAAGAGATTGTAGCCAGGAGTGGTGACTCACACCTGTGACCCCAGCACTTTGGGAGGCTGAGGCGGGCAGATCACCTGAGGTCGGGAGTTCGAGACCAGCCTGACCAACATGGAGAAATCCCATCTCTACTAAAAATACAAAAATTAGCCAGGCATAGTGGCGCATGCCTGTAATCTCAGCTACTCAGGAGGCTGAGGCAGGAGAATTGCTTGAACCCGGGAGGCGAAGGTTGCAGTGAGCCGAGATTGTGCCATTGCACTCCAGCTTGGGTAACAAGAGTGAAGCTCCGTCTCAAAAAAAAAAAAAATTTAACAATCAAATGTAATACATTGTTATTTAATAGGTCTTGTTTTGAAAAAAGGAGGACACAAACAAGCGAGGAAATCTGGAGTGAGTACTGCATAATTTTAGGAAACTATTGTTATTCCCTATTGACATAGGTTTCTAATAGCAACAACTTGAAAGCAGACTGCATGTTATTGTGCTGGATGTGATATGGTATTGTGGCATGTAGAGAATGCTTATTTTGGAAGTACATACTAAAGAAACCAGGTGTGAATGGTTATTATGTGTTTACACACACACACACCCCACATAAATATGTCAATATAAGGCACATCCGGGGAAATGTTCACAGTTGTTTAACGGAGGTGATAAAAAATGTCTTTTTCTTCTTCTTCTTTTTTTTTTTCCTGAGATGGAGTCTTGCTCCGCCGCCCAGGCTGGAGTGCAGTGGCACAATCTCGGCTCACTGCAACCTCTGCCTCCCGGGTTCAAATGATTCTCCTGCCTCAGACTCCTGAGTAGCTGGGACTACAGGCATGTGCCACAGCGCCCGGCTAATTTTTATATTTTTAGTAGAGACGGGGTTTCACCATGTTGGCCAGGCTGGTCTCAAACTCTTGACCTTGTGACCCACCTGCCTTGGCCTCCCAAAGTGTTGGGATTACAGGCGTGAGCCACTGCACCTGGCTAAAATGTATTATTCTTTCTACTTTTCTGTATGTTTGAACTTTTCATAATAAAATCTTTAAAAAGCGACTTTAAAAATATTTTTATTGAGGTATAATGTAGGTTTGTTAAGGTGCATTACTAGTAAGTGTACAGCTTGATGAATTTTTACATGTGTAAAACATGTAACACCATCTAACCACACCAGATTAAGATACAGAACATTTCTGTCACTGTTCTGTAGTTTCCTAGTGCCCATAATTTCTAACACTATTGATAAAGTATATACTCTTTCATGTCTGGTTTCTTTTGTACAACACGAGTTCCTGTTATATTAAAGCCAGTTTTCATGCAGGGCACAGTGGCTCACACCTGTAATCCTGGCACTTTTGGAGGCTGAGGCAGGTGGATGGCCTGAGCTCAGGAGTTCAAGACCAGCCTGGGCAACACGGTGAAACCCCGTCTCTACTAAAATACAAAATGTTAGCTGGGCATGGCAGCGTGCACTTGTAATCCTAGCTACTCGGGAGGCTGAGATAGCAGAATCGCTTGAACCCGGGAGGTGGAGTTTGCAGTGAGCCGAGATCATGCCATTACACTCCAGCCTGGGTGACAGAGCGAGGCTCCACGTCAAAACAAAAACAGGCTGGGCGCAGTGGCTCACGCCTGTAATCCCAGCACTTTGGGAGGCCGAGGCGGGTGGATCATGAGGTCATGAGTTCAAGACCAGCCTGGCCAAGATGGTGAAACCCTGTCTCTACTAAAACTACAAATATTAGCTGGGCATGGTAGCAGGTGCCTGTAATCCCAGCTACTTGGGAGGCTGAGGCAGGAGAATCGCTTGAACCCGGGTGGCGGAGGTTGCGGTGAGCCAAGATCGTGCCACTGCACTCCAGCCTGGGCGACAGGGTGAGACTCCATCTCAAAAAAAACAAACACCAGTTTTCAGAGACTCCATGATGCCATGTTTGTCAAGAATGTGGAAAAACAAGCCTTTTCTTAAATTGCTAGTTGAAATGTAAAATGATGAAACCTTTCACAAGGCAATTTAAAATGCCCACATTCTTTGACCTAGTAATTCTACTTCTTGGGTCCTGAAAAAATAAAAGCAAAGTGCAGAAGGCAGGCATGGTGGCGTGATCTGTATTCCCAGCTACTCTGGAAGCTGAGGCGTGAGGATTGCTTGAGCCTAGGATTCCAGGCTGGACACTCTAGCCAGGACAACATAGCCTGGCTGTGTTGACACGCTACCCTGGACAACATAGTGAGACCCTGTCTCTTAAAAAAAAAAAAGAAAAGAAAAAGCAATGTGCACAAAGATTAGATAAATCTTGAAATATTTATACTATGGTATGTCGAAAGCTATTGAAAATGTGAGGGACTCATGTTTGTAATCCCACCACTTTGGGAGGCAGAGGTGGAAGGATTACTTGAGGCTACGAGTTGGAAACCAGCCCAGTCAACATAGCGAGAGCACATCTCTGCAAAAATAAAAGTATTAGTTGGGTGTGGTGGCATCCACCTGTAGTCCCAGCTACTGGGGAGGCTGAGGCAGGAGGATCACTTGAACCCAGGAGCTGCAAGCTGCAGTGAGCCATGATCATGCCACTGTGCTCCAGCCTGGGAGACAGAACAAGACGCTGTTTCAAAAAAAAAAAAAAAAAAAAGGTGAGATAGGCCTGTATGTAATTTGAACAATCTCCAAGATATATTATTATGTTAAAAAAGAATACAACTGGGCCGGGCGTGGTGGCTCACGCCTGTAATCCCAGCACTTTGGGAGGTTGAGGCGGGCGGATCACAAGGTCAAGAGATCGAGACCATCCTGGCCAACTTGGTGAAACCCTGTCTCTACTAAAAATACAAAACTTAGCCGGGCATGGTGGCGGGCGTCTGTAATCCCAGCTACTTAGGAGGCTGAGGCAGGAGAATCGCTGGAATCCGGGAGGCGGAGGTTGCAGTGAGCCGAGATCTCACCACTGCACTCCAGCCTGGCGAAAGAGCGAGACTCCGTCTCAAAAAAAAAAAAAAAAAAGAATGCAACTGAACAATATGTACAGACCATTTATGGTTAAAAAAAAAAAATGGAGAAAAATGCACACGCCAAATGGTGGGAAGGTAAATGGGGGGAGCGGGGAATAAACATGTTCCTTAAGTTTTGCCCTGTATTTTATATTTCTCAATTGTTGCATCATGAGCCCAAATATTTGAATATTACCTGTGTAATTAACACATAAAGGCAAATAAGTTAACTTCAATACAAAAGAAGAAATAACACAAAGAGGGTTCTAGGATAAAAAAACTCATGGATTCCCAAACAACTCATAACAGTGGGGGAACTGGGCAGATGAGGGGTGGAGGTGGGAAAGAGACTTTCACTATTTTCTTTTTTTTTTTTTTTTTGAGATGGAGCCTCACTCTGTCGCCCAGGCTGGAGTGCAGTGGCGTAATCTCGGCTTACTGCAAGCTCCGCCTCTTGGGTTCATGCCATGCTCCTGCCTCAGCCTCCTGAGTAGCTGGGACTACAGGCGCCCACCACCACGCCCAGCTAATTTTTTATATTTTTAGTAGAGATGGAGTTTCACCGTGTTAGCCAGGATGGTCTTGATCTCCTGACCTCGTGATCCGCCTGCCTTGGCTTCCCAAAGTGCTGGGATTACAGGCGTGAGCCACCGCGCCCGGCCCACTATTTTCATTTTTGTATTTTTAAACGTTTGGATTAAAAAAGTATGTGCAGGCTGGGCGCAGTGGCTCACGTCTGTAATCCCAGCACTTTGAGAGGCCGAGGCGGGTGGATCACCTGAGGTCAGGAGTTCGAGAACAGCCTGGCCAACATGGTGAAACCCCATCCCTACTAAATATACAAAAATTAGCCGGCCATAGTGGTATGCGCCTGTAAACCCAGCTACTTGGGAGGCTGAGGCAGAAGAATCGCTTCAATCTAGGAGGTGGAGGCTGCAGTGAGCTGAGACTGCACCACTGCACTCTAGCCTGGGTGACAGAGTGAGACTTGGTCTCATAACAACAACAACAACAAAAAATTGGCTGGGCGCAGTGGCTCATGCCTGTAATCCCAGCACTTTGGTAGGCCAAGGCAGGAGGATCATAAGGTCAGGAGATCGAGACCATCCTGGCCAACATGGTGAAACCCCATCTCCACTAAGATACAAAAAAGTAGCTGGGCGTGATGGCACACCGAGTCCCAGCAACTCAGGAGGCTGAGGCAGGGGAATCGCTTGAACCCAAGAGGCAGAGGTTGCAGTGAGCTGAGACTGTGCCACTGCACTCCAGCCTGGCTACGGAGCGAGACTGTCTCAAAAAAATAATTTAAAAAAAGTACGTATTTTATATTCAATAAAAAATTTAAAAGTGTACAGGACAGTTTTGGTGGGGTGGGGTCCAAAGAAGCCCTTGTCCCTTTTTACAATTTAGCAATGGTGTCCAAGGGAGTGAATACAGTCATGGGTTCTTAGTTTCTGTTTCTGGTTGGGCCAGTAAAGCCCCTTCCTCATCCCCCTTTTCCACTTATCACTAGAGACTGAAACTAAAAACCATGGCTTCAGGGTGCTAAAAGCCTAAACAAAACAAAACAAAACAACAACAAAATAAGACAGGTTGGACAAGCTTGCGAGAAGTAGTCGTGACAAGATGGTGTATATTCAACTGGAATAAGGAAGGTTTTTGTGGGTTTCTGTTGTCAGAGAAGGGGTTGTGTTAAAAAGACTGAAGGAGAAATGGAAGTCAGATAAATGGAGAGGGGCCCGGAATTGGTGGGGTGTGGAACCCGGGCAGGGGAGGGCTTAGAAAAGCCATGGAGACAGGCTGGGCGCAGTGGCTCACGCCTGTAATCCCAGCACTCTGGGAGGCCGAGGCCAGCGGGTCACCTAAGGTCGGGAGTTCAAGACCAGCCTGACTAACATGAAGAAACCCCATCTCTACAAAAACACAAAAATTAGCCCGGTGTGGTGTCACATGCCTGTAATCCCAGCTACTCGGGAGGCTGAGGCAGGAGAATCGCTTGAACCTGGGAGGCAGAGGTTGCAGTGAGCTGAGATCGCGCCTTTGCACTACAGCCTGGTTAATAAGAGGGAAACTCCGTCTCAGAAAGAAAAAAAAAAAAAAGAAAAGTCATGGAGACAAAGGTTTGCGTAGGAGGATAAAGGTTTACATAGGGGATGCAGGTAGGCTAAGGGCTGTTTGTGGAAGGATTTAAATACCAGGCTAAGGACTTTGAGATTTATCGTCTAAAGTTCATTGAGCACTTATTCATTGTTGGGTACCGCGCTAAGCCCGTATATGTAATTCTCACAATAAACTGACGGAAATGGTGCTATTTTGCAGCTTAGCCAACAAAGTTGTTTTTGAACAGGGAACGACATAAATCCGTTTGTTTAGGCCAGGCACGGTGGCTCACGCCTGTAATCCCAGAACTTTGGAAGGCCAAACCGGGCGGATCACGAGGTCAGGAGTTCCAGACCAGCCTGGCCAACATGGTGAAACCCAGTATCTACTAAAAATACAAAAATTAGCTGGGCGTGGTGGCACATGCCTGTAATCCCAGCTACTCCGGAGGCTGAGGCAGGAGAATCGATTGAACCTGGGAGGCGAAGGCTGCAGTAAGCAGAGATCGCGCCACTGCACTCCAGTCTGGGCAACGGAGCGACACTCCATCTCAGAAAAAAAAAAAAAGGTATAATATTGAAGAAATCCGTTTGTTTAGAGTGACAAGAAGCACAAACAGGGCAGGTACGGAATACAGACGTTGACATATTCACACTAGCCTTTTTCAGAAAGCAGAGCTCCATTATCTCAAAAAGCTAAAGCGTGACTAGTGTTTCCCACGTCATCATCCTCATTTCCGCAAGGCTGGGCTGGAGAAGAGGAGGTAGACCTAGGAGCCAACAAATGGCTATCAATCCCACCAAATAGGCTCCGCAGTGGGGTTGCTAAACAACGAAGCTTCCAGAAGCGGACCCCAGTTCCCACCCTCTTGCTGATCCTAAAGCCTTTCTATGCAAAAACTAGCGGAATGCTATTGAATGTAGGTTTCCGAGCCAGCCCTATTCTCTCCGACTACTTCAACATCAACGGGGGCTTATTTGCCCAAGGGACGTCGCAACTGGGCCTTTCCCATTCTATTATCACTGGTGGCTCACCACCCCCACTCTCCCCCATCGCCAGCTCCGCCTTAACCTCCCACGAAATCAAATCCCCGCTTTACCAACCCGCAGCAGCCGGGGGCATGGAGAGAGAAGCGGGGGTGGGGTGGGGTAGGGTAGCCGGCCCCTCCCCCACCCGGGGGGGGGGGGGGGGCGCCTCCACCGACTCCGAACTACCAGTCCCGGCGTGCCCTGGGGCGGCGCGGGCGCAGGGGCGCGTGCGCGGCGGGCTGTCGTTGGCTGGAGCAGCGGCTGCGCGGGTCGCGGTGCTGTGAGGTCTGCGGGCGCTGGCAAATCCGGCCCAGGATGTAGAGCTGGCAGTGCCTGACGGCGCGTCTGACGCGGAGTTGGGTGGGGTAGAGAGTAGGGGGCGGTAGTCGGGGGTGGTGGGAGAAGGAGGAGGCGGCGAATCACTTATAAATGGCGCCGAAGCAGGACCCGAAGCCTAAATTCCAGGAGGGTGAGTGTGCGCCTTTGGGAAAAAGGCACCTAACGGCGCAGGAGATAGAGGCGGGCTCGAGGTGATTGAGGCTTGAGGGCCGGGGGCGGCGCGGGCTGCGCCCTGAGAAGGCGGCGGTCAGTGCTTTGTGCGGGGAAAGCGCATTGCGGATGGCAATTCCGGTGCGTCATTGTGAGAAAGCGCTTTGTGAAGCGAGAGTGCTGCGCAGGCGTTAGAGTGGGAGAGAGAGCGTTTGGCGCGTGGCACACCCTCGTCAAGTGTTTGTTATTGTTCTGAGGAAGAGGGCGCGGAGAGAGCAGCCTATTGTAGGGAGGCGACGGGAGCGCCATGGCGGCGGTTAGGGGAAGTGATGTGGCGGCGGGGGGGGAGGGGCGGTGGCTGTTTCGGGCGGTCCTGCGGCGCGCCCGGCCGCTTGGGCAGCTACGACGGGTTTTTCGGTGCTTCCTGGAGCCCCGGGGTGGTTGCGTTCGGTGGCAACTCAGCTGCGGATGGGGGTGGGTTTGGCGCCACGGGGCGGGAGAAGTGCGTTGTAAAATGGCCGTTGCAAGATGGCGGCGCCATCATGGCCGCCGGCGTCTCGGTCCCGTATGGAGGCACAGCTTACGGGCAGATGCAGCGCCCCCTTCCACGACGACCAGAAGGTTGCCGGGGCCCTCCGCATACCACAGAGTGGTGGGTGGGGACAGAAAAAAAAAAGTGAGATGAGCGTTTTCCTCCGCTTTGTGTTGCCTGGAGGCATCACTCTGCTATTCTTGGGCGCAGTGCCGAGATCCTATGGTAATGTGAGTGAGCTCTCGCTTTGCAGTTGCTCGTAAAAAGTAAATAAAAATGATCTGAATGCAGTGTTGACGCCGTTTGCATTTGTAAGTCCCATTGCCTCGACGTCATTTTTTAAATGCAGTAATTGTTTGATTAGTTGCAGTGTTTAACAATGACTTGAAAGTTGAATTTCTTTTTATTAATTGGTTTTCGATTGACATGAGTTTTGGGTAAGGTTAGACTGACTCCCAGTGGAAGGCAGCTCTTTAAATTTTCACAACGCTTCAGTTAACGTATAATAAGGTGGAGGTCTAATAGCTAAAAAGGAAGTAAAGTCCTGTTGAGAAAGGAGGAACACTTTAACATTCCTTTTCATTGCTATGGAAATTTATGCTAGTTACCGTAAATACGATGTCTACATGCGTACGATTTTTGTTCTAGGGGTTTTTAGACTTGCATTAGAATTCCTTTTAGAGCCGTAAACCTCAAACCGTAGTACTGCGTATTTTAAGTTTATGGAATATTTAAGGAGGTTTTAGGGGTATTTTGTTAATGAGTGACTTTTTTTGTTTGTATTTTTGAGACGATGTTTGTCACCCAGGCTGTAGTGCAGTGACGCTATCTCGGCTCACCTCTGCCCCCCACCCGGGCTAAAGCGAGCCTCCCAAGTAGCTGGGATCACAGACGCGCGCCATCACGTCCGGCTAAGTTTTGTTTTGTTCTGTTTTGTTTTTTAGGGTTTTTGTTTTTTCTTTTCTTTTTCTTTCTTTTTTTTTTTTTTTTTTTGTATTTTTGGTAGAGACGGGGTTTCATGTTGCCCAGGCTGGTCTCGAACTCCTGGGCTTGAGCGATCCACCCGCCTCGGCCTCCCAAAGTTGTGGGGGGTTAACGGGCGTGAGGCATCGCTCTCGGCCGTGTGACTTTTAATACCCCTCTCTCACCTTGAGAAGCTGTTGACTCTACCTCCTATGGGTTCATTATTTTACTAGACATTTTAGAGCAGATATTCTTAATCTAGAGTCAGTGCATTAATTGAGACGGTGCGTGAAATTGAGGAAGATTTTTTTTTCTATCTCCCAAGTTTAGTATTTCAATTAACAGTGTAATTGCTCCCCCTAAACCCCGAAAAAAACCACCACATTAGCATTTTCAGTATATTTTCATATCTCAACATTACAGTTATGGAAGATGTTTTCAGTTATCGCATTCTTATTTCTTCAAAATTAGGGTAGTTATTGTATTAGCAGCCAAGTCTTGTTTGTCCTGTAATGTCATAGAACGTGACATTTAAAGTGTTTTGTTTCAGTACAGTTGGTTTCCTTTGTACTAGTGTGTGTTTTATGTATTTATGAAACTATTAGGCTCGTAGGGTTTATCAGACTGTCAAGGCACAAAAAGTTAATCGCTGCTGTGGGAACAACCTAAGGATGGCTGTTCTGGAAGAAGCGCTTTAGTTCTAGAGGGTTGCTAGTTAAGAGAGGAGTAGCAGCAGAGATTTCCTTGTGCCGTTTTAAGTGGGGTAATTGGAGAAGAGTAGGAACCAAGGTATCCCCAGGTAAGGGTTTGAAAGCTGTGTAAGAGAGTCTGTATTTAACATTACTTTCCAGGTGTGTTTTGTACTTGTGTTTAAAATGGAATTGTGTAACCACGTTTTAAAAATGATTTTAGTGGGTGGGGCACGGTGGCTCACGCCTCTAATCCCAGCACTTTGGGAGGCCGAGGTGGGTGGGGGCGGTGGATCACCTGAGGTCAGCGGTTCGAGACCAGCCTGGTCAGCCTGGTGAGCCTGGTGAAACCCAGTCTCTACTAAAAATACAAAAATTAGCAGGGCGTGGTGTTAGGCTCCTGTAATCCCGGCTACTCGGGCGGCTGAGACAGGAAATCGCTTGAACCCGGGAGTCGGAGGTTGCAGTAGGCCGAGATCCTGCCATCGCACTCCAGCCTGGGCCACAGAGTGAGACTCCATTTCAAAAAAAAAAAAAATTTATTAATTAGATGATCGGAGAATATCTTGCAAGGGAAAAAGAATATTTGATGAGTGCTAACAGAATCGTCTTGAAACACTGTAGAGTTTATGTAATGGTAGAGAAAAGAGTGGCGAGAAGTAGTGTTTTTTTGTTTTGTTTTGTTTTTTTCTTTTTGAGACAGTCTTGCTCTGTCGCCCAGGCTGGAGTCCAGTGGCGCGATCTCGGGTCACTGCAGCCTCCGCCTCCTGGGTTCAAGCGATTCACCTGCCTCAGCCTCCTGAGTAGCTGGGATTATAGGCACGCGCCACCACGCCCAGCTAATTTTTGTATTTTTAGTAGAGACGGGGTTTCACCATGTTGGCCAGGATGGTCTCGATCTCCTGACCTCGTGATCCGCCTACTTCGCCGTCGCAAAGTTCTGGGATTACAGGTGCGAGCCACCGCGCCCGGCCGAGAAATAGGGTTTTTAATGATTCTTGTAAACTTGTTAAAAAAAAAACAACTCGTAAACTTATAAAAAAGTTTTTTTTTATTTGATAATGGCGTGCAATATATGTTGTATAAGCAATTCTTAAGGCATAGTGATTGCTTTGCACTGGACTTGGTTTTCCATTGGAAATTCTTTTTTGTTTTGTTTTGTTTAGATTTTGAGACGGAGCATTTGCTGTCCTGGGTCATACTCCTCAGCTAGCTGTATATTTTTTCAACAAAATACTAGGGCCTCGTAGCTAGAATGGAGGTCACAGGGCCTCGGTTTCAGTGCACTTTTTTTTCCGGCAGTAGCAGCCAAGGGGAGAAAAATGGTAGGCCATTTTCAGAGTGCCTTTAAAATGTACCAGGAGAGTGAAATTAGGAAACACAGATCTGATCTGATCTTGTTCGCTGTTTATTAGCAGTATAGTTTACCCATTTTAGTTCTCGTTCCTGGGCCGTTGGAGAAGTCTTTGATCTTCCCGTTTTCCAGTCTCCGTCTTTAATTCAGAAATGCTATTCGTAGGTCCAGCAGCCTCTAGCAGTGATTCTTTATAGAGTGACCACTTAAAAGAATTATAGAACTGATTTAAAAATAAAGTTAATAGGTCGTGCTCTGGGAGAGTCTAATAATATGGGTCTTTGGTGGGGCTTGAAAATACATAGTTTTAAAAAATATTTTAAATTTTAGTGGTTTTTTTTTGAGGCGGAGTCTTGCTCTCCCATCCGGGCTGGAGTGCAGTGGTGTGATCTCTGCTCACTGCGACCTCCAGCTCCTGGGTTCAAGCGATTCTCATGTCTCAGCCTCCCGAGTAGCTGGTAGCTGGGACTGAAGGTGCACATCACCACGCCCGGCTGATTTTTTTTTTTTTTTTTTTTTTTTTTTGAGAGGGCGGCTCCTTCTCACCCAGGCTGGAGTGCGGTGACAAGATCTTAGCTCACTGCAACCTCCACCTCCCGGGTTCAAGCGATTCTCGTGCCTCAGCCTCCCGAATAGCTGGGATTACAGGCACACACCACCATGCCTGGCTGATTTTTGTATTTTTAGAAGAGACAGGGTTTCGCCTGTTGGCCAGGCTGGTCTCAAACTCCTGACCTCAGGTGATCCAGCCACCTCGGCCTCCCTAAGTGATGGGATTACAGGCGTGAGCCACCTCGCCCCGCCTGCTCTTTTAATTTTAGAGCTAAAAAAGAGCTGACATTCTTGGATATTTCAGTTGTCCATGGGTCTTTTGAAACCAAGTGGACTGAAAATAATGTGTGCAAAATCTTTCAAGCTACACTCAAATGTAATCTGAGGTACTGCCTAGAATTGCTTCCAAGACTTCCAGGTCCTGACATTTTCTTTAGTCTTGAAGTAGGCTCAACGTAGACTGTTACGTTCCAAAGGTTAGGCTTTATTGTCTCATTTCTTTGTTCATTGAAGCAACTTAGCACCTAGAACATCATTCCACATTTGAAGAATGAACATAGTGAGACCCCTTAATCCAGCCAATCTCTGATGCATATTGATATTTTAATTTGTACGATATTTCACTGAGTAAAAGGGTTGGAAGCAGAGATACAAGTGGAGAGTAAAGGTCCTCAACTTAGAAAAACAGATGAGGAAAGCATTTAAAAAACTGTATTTTCAGATATATAGTTAAAACCAACCAACCAACCAACCTCGACAGCTTTGCAGGAGAGTCCGCTTATGTGCTTAACAGGTGATAGATGATTTGATTATTTAAGTAGATTGACCTGCTAATGAATTGTTTTTGTTTTTACCATCGGATACCAACGTGTTTTTGTCGTAGGGTATAGTTGAAGTTTGAGCCAAAGTGGTGCTCTGTATACCCGTCCTCATTTTTCCTAATTTGGCTAGGAATACCTTAATAAAAGTGTGATGACTCTCTAAGATGTTAATCTTTTTATATATGAGAAGAAATTACAATTCAGTACTTTTTCTCCCTTTACAGGTGAGCGAGTGCTGTGCTTTCATGGGCCTCTTCTTTATGAAGCAAAGGTATGAAACTTGTTTTCTTTTGAGAAGTTGGCCAAAACTACTGGTTAGATCTGGCCATTTAATATACAAGTACAGTATTTTGTTGTTGCCTCAGTAAGAGAGTTGCCTTTTTTAGGTTCGTAGTTAATAAATTTCTTCATCTTTCTGAGATTCTTATTGTTTTGCTTAGTGGCTCAAATGAATTAAAACATTGCTACTCTCTTCCACTTTTCTTACTCATCTGGAAGTAGCATTTGAGGGGAATGTTAGAAGGGGAAGATGGGCTGTGGGAACAAAGAGCATTTTGTGGTTAATGACTTGGTGAGAAAACATTGCTGAAGTTACTTTTAAAAGTAATATATGCTGAGTAAGCATTGAGCTAATTATATTAGGTTAAAGGTAAAAGCCAATATTAAAAATAAGTACATTTAACTGTTGATTGTTGATTTGTCTGGCAAAGTTTGTATTCTGGGAGGCCCCCTTTGTATCAGGGTGTGCTCAAGTTATAAAAACTGATTTTACATTTAGCTGAAGGTAAGCAGGAGAATGCATTCCAAAGTAAAAAAAAGTTTCAGTATTTTGTTTCTGATAACTTTTTTAGTACAAATATTTAAGACTTGACTATACCTTAAACAGTCGTAGCTCCAAAAATGAGCCCGTAAAATACAAAACAGTATAATGTTTAATTTATGTAATTTCTGCATAAATTCTTGGTGAGTAGTTTTATGCTATATGTGTCTGAAAATAGCCTTAAAGTGTCAGACATTTCTGACTAAATATTAGCCATTTTCACTACTTTTTTTTTTCCTGTGTTCTAAATACACAGAAGTGTATTTTTAAAGTTCTAAAGAGCCAAACGCGGTGGCACATGCATGTAGTTTCAGCTACTCAGAAGGCTGAGGCTAGAGGATTGCTTGAGCCCAGGAGTTCAAGGCCAGTTTGGGCAACCAAGCGAGACTCTCTCTCTCTTTATTTTTATGCTCCCCGCCCCGCCCCGCCCCCCAAGACAGTATTGCTCTGTCGCCCAGGCTGGAGTGCAGTGGTGCGATCTTGGCTCACTGTGACGTCCCCCTCCCGGGTTGAAGCAATTCTCCTGCCTCAGCCTCCCGAGTAGCTGGGATTACAGGCACCAGCCACCACACCTGGCTAATTTTTGTAGTTTTAGTAGAGACGGGGTTTCACCATGTTGACCAGGCTGGTCTTGAACTCCTGACCTCGTGATCCACCTGCCTCGGCCTCCCAAAGTGTTGGGATTAGAGGTGTGAGCCATTGCCCCTTGGGAGACTGTCTCTTAAAAAAGAAATCCTAAAATGACTGAATTTGGATGTATGGAGATGGTCAGGAATTTCTAAGTATATGTATACGTACATACATCTTAATGATATAATGTTTGTAAGTGCTAAATTACGACTCATGGCCAGGGGCTGTGACGTACAAGCCTGTAATCCCAGGGCTTTGGGGAGCCAAAGCAGGAGGATCACTTGAGGTCAGGAGTTTGAGATCAGTCTGGGCAAGATAGCAAGACTGTCTCTACCAAAAAAAAAAAAAAAAATTATGTCCTGTTAATCGTTTTTATCCCTGAATGTTGTTATTGTTGTATCAACGTTTGGCAAACTCTACTAAACTGGCTGATTTTTCTCCTGGCACCTGACACTCTGGTGAACAATTTTCGAATTGAAGCTATTGAAACAAATTAAACTGTTGTGGTTATTTTGGTTTTCTCTTAAAGACTTTTAAATCCAAAACCAGATAGTCATCACTTGTCATAGTTAATGACTTGCCTCTAGTAATTCCTTTTGTCTGGCTGCTTTTAAGAAAAGTGAAATATTTTTAATTCATTGCTTTACAAGTTGTTTAAACTAACTTTTCAGAAACAGGTCCATTTACTGCCTTTCATAAGCTAATGAAGTTTTTTTATAATATAGTTTAAAGACTTTGCTTTAGAGGAATTTGCTTTTGAAATAAATATAGCTCCTGGCTGATTAGACTGAGAAGACACAAGCATAGCTTTCATTAGCTGTCCTTGGATAGCTTTTGTAATCCATTGATTAAAGATTTAAGGTGACCTTTTATGCTTGTGGTTCTCAGCTTTGTTGGACCTTTTGTGACTAATCTTCAGTTTTGTAACTTGAGTATTCTACAAGCTTAGTGTTCTTAGTCATTCTGTTTAGGCCACCATAAAGCTTGTGTAGAGTGTCTTTGAAGGATGATTTGAAAAGGTAGTGTCTTTAAAAAATTTCTAAGTGAATTATTATTTTTTTTTTGAATTTCAGTGTGTAAAGGTTGCCATAAAGGACAAACAAGTGAAATACTTCATACATTACAGTGGTTGGAATAAAAAGTGAGTATTAGATCTTACAATTCTATTTGTAATTAACAAGATAGCTTGTGTCACTGACTGGCTTAGCAAGCATATGCTTTTCAATTCTGCAGTTTTAATGTAATATAGTACATATTGAAGCAAAGGTGAATCATTTGTAGTATGACAAAACTATTAGAAATTAGGGTACTGAGCCATTTTAATTTAAATATACTTGGATCTTGGGAATATTTGTTATGTTCTAGTGTAATATCTATTAGTCATATAGTCAATCAATTATTCTGGTTGAATGTGGCAATCACATTTTTCTGTTTTTTTTTTTTTCCTGGTTTTGGTACATTTTTAGGATGGCCTGAATTATTTGGCCTTACCACAAACATGTTGATTATATATGTTATTTCAAGCAGCTGTGCTAAAAAAAACTAGTTGGGTTTTCTGTCTAGAAAAGGGGAAAGGATAAAGGTTGCTTGATTGGGAAATAAAGACAGAATTTACCAGTCCATATTCTGAACTTTGGAAACATTATTTAGTGTTGACCGAAAATGACTTCATGTGACTCACTTTTTAGCATGGTTTAACACAGAAACATTCAATTATAGAGTCTTAATTTCTCACCCCTAAGAGTTAAGCCTTTTTTTTTTTTTTTTTTTGAGAGATGGAGTTTTGCTTTCGTTGCCCAGGCTGGAGTGTGCAATGGTGTGAGCTCGGCTCACTGCAACCTCCGCCTCAGGGGTTCAGGTGATTCTCCTGCCTCAGCCTCCTGAGTAGCTGGGATTACAGGCACCTGTCACCATGCCCAGCTAATTTTTTGTATTTTTAGTAGAGACGGAGTTTCACCACATTGGCCAGGCTGTCTTGAACTCTTGACCTCAGGTGATCCACCCGCCTCGGCCTCCCAAAGTGCTGGGATTACAGGTGTGAGCCACTGCCCGGCCTTTTTGTGTGTGTGTGTGTGTATGTAAAGTACCGATGTTATTGATCTTGTTCTAGGAATGGACAGTGGGTATAGATTGAACACATTCTAGAATGTCCATCCAGTGGAGCTGTTTTTCAGTGATGGGACTTTTCTCCTTGGGCCTCACAAATAACCCTGTCTAAAAATTTACCCAAGTCTCCTATTTGGTGATTGTAATGAAAAGACTTGTAATTTTTACTATGGGAGGTTTTACATTTTATTAATGATGCCTTGTCCTTCAAAGATAGCACTGCCATTGCTATTTAGTATTGTTCTTGTGGAATTGTCCTCTAGTAACTTAAGGCTTTGTGTCACCTGACTCAGGCTCTTTTACCTGGTTTACTATGGGATCAGTGCCATCTGATTTGATGAGTATTCTGTTACTATGGAAGGAGTTTATTTTTCCTGTGAAGTTCACTGGCCCTGTGACTTTGGTCTTGTTTCATCTAGTACTCTATCCAGGTGACCAACCCAGTTAATTTTATTTCTTTGTTAGGAAGTTGTTTTCACGTATCAGATGTTTTCAGCTGAGAATTTATCAGACCTTTTACTTCCATTAATATAAATGTGGAAAGGTAGAAATCTGAAATGCATAGAAGTGCATCCTGACAACTTGTGGGTATTTTTTTCCCAGTTAATGATAATTAAAGTATTTCTAATCAGTGAGGTGTGGTGGTGTGCACCTGTAGCTACTTGGAAGGCTGAGGCAGGAGGATTACTTGAGCCCAGGAGTTTGGGGCTGCAGTGAGCTATGATGTGCCACTGCACTCTAGCCTGAGTGACAGAGCAAGATCTGGACTCCTTTAAAAAGAAACAACAACATGTATTTCTAATAATGATAGGTAATATTTAATAATGATAGGTAACTCCAACCTCATGGACTTGTATTTTAAATATTGAGAAGTTGGGAAAATAATGGAGAAAACTGTCTTGGTAGAAGTAAACTGTGCTTTTAGTACTAAATGGATTCTAATATCTAGGAAACAGGAAAATAGTGACTCCTAGTGTATCTCATAGCTTTTTATTACTAAACAATGCCTTGCTAAAACTGCATTTCAATCTTTATTAGACTTATATTTTGTGTGTTGATATTCTGACAATATCCAGATAAAGTTGAGAGTGTTAGGAGAATTTCATTTCTCTACAGGAAAGATAACATCTTAATTTTATGCATACTATGAGTGGGAAAGACCATATAGGATATCAAAAAAAAACACAAAGCAAATTTATGGTTTAGGCTTAATCTCCTCCATCTCCTGCATTTTAAAGGAATTGTTTTAGAGCCAGTATGGTGGTGCCTATAGTTTTAGCTTCTTAGGGAGGCTGAGGTTGAGCCCAGGAGTTTGAGGCCAGCCTGGGCAACATAGGTAGACACCCCTCTTATAATTAAGCAAATAAAAATTTTAAAAAAGTGTTTGAGGCTGGGTGTAGTGGCTCATGCCTGTAATCTCAACACTTTGGGAGGCCAAAACGGTTGGATCATTTGAGGTCAGGAGTTCAAGTCCAGCCTGGCCAACATGGTGAAACCCCATCTCTACTAAAAATAAAAAAATTAGCCAGGTGTGGTGGCACACGACTGTAGTCCCAGCTGCTGGGGAGGCTGAGGCAGGAGAATCGCTTGAACCCAGGAGGCGAAGGTTGCAGTGAGCTGAGATTGCACCACTGTATTCTAGCCTAGGCGACAGAGTGAGACTCAGGAAAAAAAAAAAAAAAGCGATTGAACACATAAAAAACTAAGGGAAACTACGACAAGGGAATAGAATAAAGAAGATATTTTTAAAAACCTTAAAAAATTATTTTAGAATTTCACCTTAGTAACTGTGAATACAGCTTTTGTGCTTAGTTCTTTTTCACATATAATAGATAACCCTGTATAAAATTGCACACATAGATGTGTACAGCGCAAAGACTGGATTTTAAGTGGCATTTGTAGCTTGTCACAAGTTGTGAAAATACCAAATGCTTGTATTTTCAGATTTTATTGTTTCGAAAAATAATGGGCATTTTCCTCTTTGGTGTATTGTAGTCCAGTAACTCAAAGAAATGATAGGTTTGTGTAGATTTTTTTGTTCTCAACTAATTTGACACATATTAATTACTGTTGGGGAAAGTTAAGAAAAAATAGCATCAAATATTAGAGATTTGTTACTATCTTTGTAGATGTATTGAGGAATATTAATATATCAGAAATGTCTTTGGTTGACTTGGCATGTAGATAAATATATGCAATGTTGAAAGAATGATCTTAGCTTTAGAAAGTCTTTAAAGAAACCTTTAAATTCATTTTGAAAGGGGGAGGAGTTATTCAGATACCTAGTGTGTTGTGTATTTAGTCTATGTAAGTACTGCCCATGGATCATTGTGACTCTGGGAATTAGTCACATTACCGTTAGAAAACTATGAAATTCTGGGCCAGGCGCGGTGGCTCACACCTGTAATCCCAGCACTTTGGGAGGCCGAGGCGGGCAGATCACAAGGTCAGGAGTTCTAGACCAGCCTGGCCAACATGATGAAATCCCGTCTCTAGTAAAAATACAAAAATTAGCCAGGTGTGGTGGTTCATGCCTGTAATCCCAGCTAGTTTGTAGGCTGAGGCAGGAGAACTGCTTGAACCTGGGAGGCAGAGGTTGCAGTGAGCCGAGATCGTGCCACTGCACTCCAGCCTGGGCGACAGAGCAAGACTCCATCTCAAAAAAAAAAACAAAAAGCTGAAATTCTTGCCAGGCGCGATGGCTCATGCCTGTAATCCCAGCACTTTGGGAGGCCTAGGCAGGTGGATCACGAGGTCAGGAGTTCAAAACCAGCCTGGCCATGGTGGTGAAACTCTGTCTCTACTAAAAATTAGCTGGGTGTAGTGGCGCGCACCTGTAGTCCCAGCATTTTGGGAAGCCGAGGGTGGGCGGATCACCTGAGGCTAGGAGTTCGAGACAAGCCTGACCAACATGGAGAAACCCTGTCTGTACTAAAAATACAAAATTAGCTGGGCGTGGTGGCGCATGCCTGTAATCCCAATTACTCAGGAGGCTGAGGCAGGAGAATCGCTAGAACCCAGGAGGCAGAGGTTGTGGTGAGCCAAGATCACGCCATTGCACTCCAGCCAGGGCAACGAGAGCGCAACTCTGTCTCAAAAAAAAAAAAAAAAAAAATACACACACACACACACACACACACACAAATATCTCAAAAATAATCTCATTTTGAAAATGGCTTGTGCAGGGTACTTTTTAAAATTCGTACAACAAAACCTTAATCCCTAAATTGGAATTCTCTTAAACTTCAGTTAATCTTTTTTCAAAAACATAATAGATGATGGAGATTTCTAAATTTTCAAACCTCATTGGAATTTGTTGACACACACTTAAATACTCCATTTGTAAATGAATCTTAATAAAGCTGAGGCTCAATTCTGCACCTGGTCACTGAGATTACTTTGTACTATGCTGTCTGTATCAGAAGTGCTGTGAGGCCCAGGCGCTCTGAAAAATCTTTGAAGACACATGAGGATATTGTAGCCCTTTTTCCTGTTCCTGAAGGAGCTCCCTCAGTACACCACCCCCTCCTGACCTCTAGGTAAATGCATGTTTTGAAATTTTCTCTAGGAAATCATGTTCAGGATTGCTTTTTATTATTTTCCTCTTGGCTGTATTATATAAGAGGTCAGAGGTGGGAAATCATTAAACAAAAGAAAGTCTTAAATTTTTTTTTGTAATTGGGTGCCTTGAGAGTACACCTAATTGTGTCACTAAAGGAGCTCCATCAGCAGGAGAAAAGATTTACTGCTCAAAAAAAGTTAGCATTCCCTAAGAAATTACATTGTTTTTGTTTGCCATTTTGGGGGAAAAAACACATAATCAGAAATTGTGTTTTGAACAAGCTCTTTGAAGTGCCAGAATGTCTTAACATTTTTGAGAGAGTTGGTTCTGCCTTCTAATATTTAGAAAGCCAGCTTTCTGATCAGCCTTGAAAGTTATTAGTGTGTATTCATTTGTGACTGAATGAAGGTGGAGAATGGTGTCAAATCATTTTAATACTTTACAAACTTAAGTTAGTCTAGTTGGTGTTTGAGTATTGTAGACTTCCTAATATGTTTCTGACATACCTTTAGTGTTGTTTTGTGTCAGGGATTCTCAGGTGTTTTACATGTATTCTCATAACAGTTATTTGAGATAAGTACTGTTGTTATCCTCATTTCATAGAGAATGAAATGAAAACACAAAGCTATATGGAACTTTGTCATTACACACAGCTGGTTTTAATTTTTAAAAATAACTGAGTTTTTGACTCCTGTGCTTTATTTTTGACAATAAAAGTCTTTAAGATAACATAAGACTAATCACTTAGTGAATCTTACATTAAGTGCCAAACTCTTAAGCCATTTCTAAAAATGATTTGAATAATCTGCTTTTGGACTCTGGCAGCTTAGATTTGGAATGCTGCTTTTTGAAAATAAAAAGTTTTCCTTTTTACAGAACAGACTTCCATTAGATCTTCATTTTAGTTGAGAATATATTTGTAGTGCCAGTTCATCAAATTACTTAAGAGAAATCCAGTCTTGCCTCTTGATCTCAGAAAATTAGTTGGAGAACAGAGTATTTTTGAGTTAAATTTTAACTTTCCTCTTTTTCAGTTGGGATGAATGGGTTCCGGAGAGCAGAGTACTCAAATACGTGGACACCAATTTGCAGAAACAGCGAGAACTTCAAAAAGCCAATCAGTAAGTTTGTTTTGTGAACTGAATATTAAGGAGAAATGCCTGTAGATTAATTCTGGACATGGAATGAACAATGGAGATCATGTTGGCTGCCCTGCCTATAAAATGATTCCTGGTACCTTTCAGCTGCTGTGTTACAGCTTTGACTTCAAGCGATCAAGCCATATCTAGGTAAAGGAAGTAGCATACCTGCCATTACTTGAGCTTATCTTAGACCTAGGTAGAAAACAGCAGAATGTTGTTGGAAATTGCTATAGGTATGAACTCACTGATAAAAATCTTTATTTTCGGGGGCTCTGGAAGACAAATTTGGTGGGGAAACAAGCAAACGAGGCATTTCCTATTCTGCTTTTCATCTCTGAAAGCACGGGAAAAGGGACCCTGAAAGACTCTATGATTTATAGGGTAATCTCAAAGTTGAAATGTATTTTTAAAAAAATTAAAACGATGGCTGGGCGCAGTGGCTCACGCCTGTAATCCCAGCATTTTGGGAGGCCAAGGCGGGTGGATCACGAGGTCAGGAGATCAAGACCATCCTGGCTAACACGGTGAAACCCCGTCTCTACTAAAAATTCAAAAAATTAGCCGGGCATGGTGGCGGGCGCCTGTAGTCCCAGCTACTCCGGAGGCTGAGGCAGGAGAATGGCGTGAACCCGGGAGGCAGAGCTTTCAGTGAGCGGAGATCGCGCCACTGCAGTGTAGCCTGGGCAGCACAGTGAAACTCTGTCTCAAAAAAAAAAAAAAAAAGAATTAAAATGGTAATGGGAACAAATAAAACACTGGGATTAGTGAATTCCAAAACAAATGGAATTTTCAATGCTATGAGAACAGTCTATTACAGTCACTTTTTATTACATTGATTTTAATTGAGCCTTTTGCTGTTTCTTGAGTGTTTTGTTTGATTTTTGTGGAAATATCTCTGTCCAACTTGTTAAAAACTTGTTGCCAGAATTTGAATGTAAATTCCTAATGGAATCAGGCTGACAATTTTTTTTTCACATAAATGCTCATTTTATGTTGACATTACTGAAATTATTTTTGAAGGGAGCAGTATGCAGAGGGGAAGATGAGAGGGGCTGCCCCAGGAAAGAAGACATCTGGTCTGCAACAGAAAAATGTTGAAGTGTAAGAAGCTCTTTGTTTTGATTTTGCATACTATATGTGAAGATAATATTTTATGTTCATTGTGTGTTAGACTGTGTTGAAGTGGAAACTTTGGAACATTGTTGGAACCAGTAAGAATCCCATTCCTCAGGTATCAGGTCGTTAAAGTAGTTTAAAATAACGTATTCCTTAATTTTCCTCAGCAGGTTCCCCCTCCCTTTAACTTGTGTGTATAAATATATGTGTGTGATGTTTTCTCTTACAAAGATAGTACTAGTGGTTATAAGTTTTGAGATAACTTTTGGCAAGCCTTTTCAAACCTAAAAAGCAAGTGCTGGCAAGTGCTAAAAATACATACGAATTAACCTCCACTTTGGTGAAACTCATGGTAAGAATATGTGAGAAGTTAAGGTTTCAAATAACTGCCCTCCTCATCCCCACCCCTAAGAAAACCATTGCTTTTTTTTGAGACAGAGTTTCCCTCTTGTTGCCCAGGCTGGAGTGCAGTGGTGTGATCTGTGCTCACTGCAACCTCTGCCTCCTGGGTTCAAGTGATTCTCCTGCCTCAGCCTCCCAAGTAGCGGGGATTACAGGCGTGTGCCACCACGCCTGGCTGATTTTTGTATTTTTAGTAGAGATGGAGTTTCACCATGTTGGTCAGGCTGACCTCCTGACCTCAGGTGATCCACCTGCCTTGGCCTCCCAGAGTGCTGGGATTATAGGCGTGAGCCACTGCTCCTGGCACAAAACCATTACTTCTTGTTAACTCTAGATTTTAGAACATCTGATAAGAAGCCTAGAGTGAGAAAGTCATGTGCATGCATACATTTTGTATGTTTAAAGTTTATGTAGGACGGTGCGGTGGCTCACACCTGTAATCCCCCTACTTTGTTTGGGAGGCTGAGGCAGGAGAATGGTTTGAGCCCAGGAGTTTGAGACCAACTTGGGCAACATCGGGAGCCTCTGGTTCTACAGAAAAATAAAAAAATTAGCTCGGGGGTGGTGGCACATGCTTGTAGTCCCACCTATTCAGGAGGCCGATGTGGGAGGGTCACTTGAGCCCAGGAGGTCAAGGCTGCACTTTAGTCTTGGCGACTGAGTGAGATCCTGTCTTTTAAAAAGAAAAAAAAAAAAGTTGATGTACCTGAAAGTGGATGACAAGAGTGGTAACTTAATAAGTATTCTTAAGTATTTGTAATAATAAAAACAAAAATTATAACTTTTATTAAGAGGTCATTTTATTTCCTACCAGAATTACTGATCTGATTTTTCTACTTAAAAGTAAGGTGTTACACCCAGTGCTTTGGGAGGCTGAGGTGGGAGGGATTGCTTGAGGCCAGGAGTTCTAGGCTGCAGTGATCTGTGATTGCACCACTGCGCTCCAGCCTCTTAAAAAAAGTAAGGTGTTACTAATGAAGGTATTTAGTATTTAATGCATTTGGAGATGTTTGAAGCTTTTTATTTTTTTTTAAACTCTTTTTGGTGAGAAGATAATTGGCAAGGATTAAGTGTGTTACTATTTGAGGATTGTTCATAGTTTTAATAAGTGGTAACATGTTTTCATGATCTGGTTCTTTGGAAAACTGTAGTGTAGTATTTCATTAGGATTTAATAGTAATTATGTCTTAAAAGGCAGTAATTTTCTCTATATAGAAAAGATTTTTATCAAAAGTAATAGTTCATAACTAATTCTTTATCACTGTGCTAAGTTATTATATAGAAATCTTAAGTGGTAGTATGCCCATAAGTTATTTGCATTTGAATACAGCATTGTGCAGTCTCCACTACAAAAATAATGGCTGAGTAAATATATGAAGTAAAGCTTTAAAATTTAAATTTCCCATTCTTGAACAGTAGAAGCCTCTTCAAACTGGCTTCTGAGTCTTTTGAAGGATCCTCAGTCTAGACGTTTGAAGCATGAATGTCAAGCTCTTACTACTAGGACTTATTGAAGTGTATGGGTTGAATATCCCTTATCTGAAGTGTTTCGGACCAGAAGCGTTTCAGATTCCAGACTTTTTTTGGATTTTGAAATGTTTGCGTTATACTTACCTGTTGAACATCCCAAATCCAAAATGCTTCAATGAGCATTTCCTTTGAATGTCATGTTGGCTCAGAAAATTGGGATTTTTGGAGCATTTTGGCTTTGGGATGCTGAACTCATCTATATTTTATAGATCTTTTACTTTAGAGTTGAGATCACCTGTCAGTATTTTAGTTTTATATTACAGAGGTGAGTGGGTAAAGGATTGAGTGTGAAGACTATTGGTTTCTCTTGGTCTCCACATATTGACACGTGCAAGTAAAGTTCATGGTTGACTTTGACCGAGAAATACAGTCCAACAGATTTTTACAAAACTAACAGACAAGAGAAAACCTATACACAGATTTTTGTGTTTATATCCAAACATAAGTTAATTTGAATTGTCAAACCTTAAGACCTAAATTAAATGAATATATTTAATTAATAACATTTATAAGTATTATTTAAAGCTACAGAAAAGTAAAAAATCCAGGTGTTATAGTATCTTTCCATCGAAAGTAATCCATAATCATGGGCTCTATAAACTGTTTCCTTTGTGGTCTAGAAATAATAATGTAAAAAAGCAAAATTAGGCCAGGCATGGTGGCACACGCCTGTAATAGCATTTTGGAAGGCCGAGGTATGCGAATCACTTGAGGTCAGGAGTTTGAGACCAGCCTGGCCAACATGGTGAAATCCCGTCTCTTAAAATACAAAAATGAGCTGGGAGTGGTGGTGGGTGCCTATGGTCCCAGCTACTTGGAAGGCTGAGGCAGGAGAATCGCTTGAACCCGGGAGGAGGAGGTTGCAGTGAGCCGAGATCACCCAACAGACAGAGCAAGACTCCATCTCAAAATAAATAAATAAAGCAAAATTAGCAATTTACCATTTGACAGTATATAAGTGACGTGAGGTAAGTTGCTGTTAGAGATGATAATCAAGATGAGGAGACTTAAAACAAAAAAATTACACAAATCTAAAAATATTTTGGGGAACAAAAATAATTGGAAAAAAATTTTAACCTTTGACACCTTTTTTTTTTGGTGGGCCTAATAATGTAGTATATACTATAACATATATTAATATAACCCTGGAAGAACGAAGTTGTTTACTAAAGTGTTCTTGGTTTGCTTTTCTTTTTTTTTTGTCTTTGAGACAGGGTCTCTGTCACCAAGACTGGAGTGCAGTGGTGCAATCAAGGCTCACTGCAGCCTTGGCCTCCTGGGCTCAAGCAATCCTCTCACCTCAGCTTCCCAAGTAGCTGGGACTATAGGCGTTTGCCAGTATGCCCAGTTAATTTTTGTATTTTTTATAGAGAACAGGATTTGCCATGTTGCCCAGGCTGGTCTGGAATTTTGAGCTCTAGAGATCCACCCCCTCTTCACCTCCCAAAATGCTGGGATTACAGGCATGTGCCACTGCGCCTGGCTTGGTTTATTTTTTTCTATTATGTGGAGAGAGATGGGAATTTAACCAACTATCAATAAAAATCCTTGTGTCTGAGTAGGACACATATTTACCACCTGATCCTTTATCCAAGTTAGTATTTCTCTGTGAACTTAACCCTGATAAAGGGAGTTGAAACAGAGGCAGTTTTACTGGAAATAATTATTTTTCTTTTTTTTCTCTCCTTTTAGGAAAACGAAAAAGAACAAACAGAAAAGTAAGAATATTAACTTTCTTAACGTTAATTTATGTTACCTCTATGACATTGACGTTTTTATTTTGAAAGCTATGAAATTTTGGAGTAAGCTTATGTTTATTGATTATCTCAAATAGGAGTCTCACAGCAGTGTTATAAAATAGGTACATGGTGGTAGAGACCTCTTTTTGCCAAGGAGAAACTTGTGAGCATTTATTTTCATCTGCTTTAGTCTTAATGTCTCCCACTGAGAAGATAACATTTATAAATAAATGGAAGATGGTGATACTAAATGTTGTCTATACTAAATGTTCGGTAGAGCTCTTCATGAAAGTTGTATTTTTGGTAGGAATATGATTCTTTAACTTAGATTGAGGTAACAGCTGTGTAATGGAGAAATAATGAAAAGGGTTAATGTGTCAAGAGACTATTTTCCTTATAGAGTTTGTTAAATTAGCTAAATGAGACCCCTCCCCGCCAACATTTACAGCACCTGGAAATGGAGATGGTGGCAGTACCAGTGAGACCCCTCAGCCTCCTCGGAAGAAAAGGGCCCGGGTAGATCCTACTGTTGAAAATGTGAGTTTTTCTTGTGTTTATGAATAGCATGTTAGGATTTTTAGTCTCAGTTACATGACATAACCATGGGAGCTTTGATTATCTACAAGATTTGCTTACATGGTTAATACCTGAAATTAAAAATTTTCTCTTTTGGGGGTAAAGGATAAATTTCTGTATATCTTTATTTCACCTGTAGCTCCAGATTTACCTACCCAATTGATCATTTGTTGTGTAAGCTTCATGTTCACCTACAAGACTATTTCTTTGGTGTTACGTATTTATTTTTAGGAGTTAAAGATGTACCTTTAAGATGGTTGTGTTTGGAATAGTTTTGATATCCATGGTAAATAAGAAAATACTAAGTTAAAATGTATCAAGTCAGGGTGTTTCATTTCCTGAACAAGAGGAACCTTACTGAAGAATTTTTACCTTTACAAGAAAATGCACTAAATAGACTATAGTTCAGGTCAGATTCTTTTCTCCCAACAGCGAACCGCGTATGGTCGTTTTTATTAATGATTTTAAAAAATGACAGTACAGCTGTATGCTTGGCTACTTTAAGATTTATCCCTAGTGCCTCTAAAAGTCAGCTCCCCTCCATGTTTGGTATTTAGCAAGAAAGGTTAGGTTTTTAATACTCCTCCTGTTTCTGTTTAGGAGGAAACATTCATGAACAGAGTTGAAGTTAAAGTAAAGATTCCTGAAGAGCTAAAACCGTGGCTTGTTGATGACTGGGACTTAATTACCAGGCAAAAACAGGTAACTTGAAAAGCTACCCAGATTGTTAAGCTATATGATACATTCTTGCTAGCAAAAAAAGTTTTTAAAGGAAAATGTTATATTGACTTGAATTATTAAGGTATGACTGATAAAATAATATTTTAATTTAGAGGCTGAACACTTTAGAACTACTACCAGAAAGAGTAAGTTAGAAGAATAAAAGTTCACATATAAATTTTATGAGGTTATAATGATAAAGGTGGAAATAACTCATTTTTGGAGATTGCTAGGGCAGGAACTCGTTCTGAAAATTCATAAAGGTGAAGAAGCATATGTCTTACTGTCATTGCTAATGGTAGGCCATAGAAAGCACACACCACCACCTGCAAGGTATTCATGACCCTGAAAAGAACCTGAATCTTACTAAGCGCCTGGATCTATTGTTAGTTTGCAGGAAATAGGATGTTTAATGGAGTGACATGTTTGTCAATCGTTGAACTCTATAATTGAGAATTTTATAGGACAAATGAAGCTATTTGAACAAATGGCATAGGTAGGGTTAGGGATAGTTGGGGGAGATGATTAGGGACTGCTTGAGGATTATGAGACTTAAGAGACCTATCAGTCATATACAGTATGTGGATATAGTTTGAATTCTGATTTGAATCCTTTGGAGGGTTATGCAGTTACAGCTAAACTGCGAAGATTCAAGCATGGCTGTATCACTTATTATTTGTGAGTTTGGACAAGTTTCTTAGCCTTTTTGTGCTTCTGTTTTTGCATTTAATGGAATAATAGTTTGTATTTGACAATGCTGATGAGAGGACGAAAAGATAATTATTTTAATGCTTTAGACTAGATCTAGCAAATAGTATGCATAACAGTAAATGATGACTTGGTAGTACCACAAAGGCACATTCGTGTCTGTTATGTGTGTGTGACAGATTGACATTTTTAAAAGCTGTGCTGTTCTGTCTAGTAGAGTCTCATTTGGCTGTTTAAATATATAGATGCTCCATAACTTAGAATGGGGTTACATCGCAATAAACCCAGCAGAGAGTTGGAAAATTAAGTCCAAACCATTGTAAGTTGGGAACTGTCTGTAGTTTCTCAGCCACATTATCCATGTTTTAAGTGCTGAATAGTATCTTTCCTAATTTGAAATACTGTTACTGTTACCTGATCTTTGTATAAAAACTTGCCTGGTATGATTTTTCTTTAAAAAAGAGAGTGCTTATATTTAAGCATATTTTTGTCTTCATAGCTCTTTTATCTTCCTGCCAAGAAGAATGTGGATTCCATTCTTGAGGATTATGCAAATTACAAGAAATCTCGTGGAAACACAGATAATAAGTAAGAATATACATTTTTCAGATGACACTCAAAAGACATTTAAAAAAGTTTCTAAATAAGTCATCTGAAACTTGTACTGACTCCGAAACATTAATACCACCAGAAACTAGCAAAATAGAATTTCACTGCTTTGACACAGGAGTTGGCTGGCTGACTTTTTCTTAAAGGGCCAGATAGTAAATATTTTAGGTAAAATTTAAGCTATCATGTAGGTATTTGCATAACCATTTAAAATTTAACCATCTGAAAATGTAAGAATCATCTTAATTGCTTTAGTTTGTCAAACCCTGCTTTCATATGCCCTTTAAAAAAATCTCAGCTATGGTTCATTATTACTAGCTCAGCTTTTAATTCTTTAAATTGGTTGAATTATTCTCTATGTCAGTTATTTTTATTGACCAGTTTTGGAATATTTTTGTTCATTTATCAGGGAGTATGCGGTTAATGAAGTTGTGGCAGGGATAAAAGAATACTTCAACGTAATGTTGGGTACCCAGCTACTCTATAAATTTGAGAGACCACAGTATGCTGAAATTCTTGCAGATCATCCCGATGCACCCATGTCCCAGGTGTATGGAGCGCCACATCTCCTGAGATTATTTGGTAATATGTCATGTAGAAAATAATGGATTTTACTTTTTGGGGGGTCTTCTCTAAATGAATAAGAGGTAAAGTAATTAACTTTCCAAAACATGACTCCCATTTTAATTTGAACTTTTATCTAGAATGTTAAATAGCAAAATCTCTTTAGGAGCAAGAGTTTTAAAAATCGTGTATTTTATTTTATAATTTTTTTTTTTTGAGACAGACAGTCTCTGTTGCCCAGGCTGGAGTGCAGTGGTGCGATCTTTGCTCACTGCAACCTCCGCCTCCTGGGTTCAACAATTCTCCTGCCTCAGCCTCCCAAGTAGCTGGGATCACAGGTGTGCACCACCACATCTGTGGTAATTTTTGTATTTTCTGTAGAGATGGGGTTTCACCACGTTCGCCAGGGTGGTCTTGAATACCTGACCTCAAGCGATCGCCTATCTCGGCCTCCCAAAGTGCTGGGATTACAGGCGTGAGCCACTATGCCCGGCCTAAAATCATGTATTTTAAAGGAATTGGTGGTGTTTGCTCACATAATTAAAATACATGGTTGTAGTGCCCCTGCCTTGGATGTAACTTTGGATAAATTCTCTTGTTTAAACAGTACGAATTGGAGCAATGTTGGCTTATACACCTCTGGATGAGAAGAGCCTTGCTTTATTACTCAATTATCTTCACGATTTCCTAAAGTAAGTCTGTGCTTGAAATTATAAACATGGATTTGAAAATTAGCGTGTAATGGGAGGGATTGGCAGTATAGATGCTAAAACATTAAACATTATATTGGTACAGGCATAGATAGTTGGTAATGGAGCAGTAAAAGTAAGTGCAAACACATGGGAGTCTCAGAAATGATAGATGGTATATAGATGATATATTGGTGCAGTAGGGGAAAGCAGTGGAGTCTGGTAGATTGGTGATAAGACAGCTGACAGTTTGGAAGAAAACAAAGCCACACTTGTCATGTACCAAAATTCTAGATGAATCTGAAGTTTAAAATTAAATTGTTAAGATAATGAAAGGAGAAATGTAATATTTTCATAGTTCTATAGTGTTCCATTTATGATAAATGGTTGGTACCTTTAATACACACAGAGTTCTTCGGTAAGAAATGAACAAACCAGTGAAAAGTAGGACAGGAAATTTACATCAATGGCAGCACAAAGGACCATTAAAAATATGTCAGAAATAATGATGAAAGTATAAACTGTCAGTAAAGTAGCACTTGTCAGATTGGCTAAGGTTTAAATGTTTGAAGAAATGGAGAAAAGGGCAATCCTGGTTTCTACAAGTTTTTGGAGGGCATTTTTATAATAGTGAAGAATTTGAAACAAGCACTTATTAAAAGGGTGAGGTCACTCTAAACATACTGATAAAGATGTCCATGTTTTCAATTGAAAAACAGCCAAGCTGTAGTAGAGGAGTATGGTGTAATTGTTACTTGTAGAGAAACATTATTTTAATCTTTGCATAAGATCTGGCTTTCCAATGTGGATCTTAGTTAATACTGGGTTATTTCTTGGGCGTGGTGTTGGAAGGGAGGGTGGGAGTTTTCAGTTTCTACTTTGTATACTTCTGTATATGAATTTTCTCATTACAATCGTTTTACAGTAAATTTAAAACTGCAACGTGGACTTGAGAATGTAGGCAAGATTTATCATCTTTTCTTTACTAATGATAAATACCTTCTTTGGACCTCAGTTTCTTTATGGAATGTGCTCTACTACTTGACATTTCACGTTCCCTTTTATGTAATTAAAAAAAAAAAGTTTATTCATTTAGAGATGGAGTCTTGCTCTGTCGCCCAGGCTGGAGTGCAGTGATGCGATCACAGCTCACTACAACCTCCGCCTCTTGGGTTCAAACGATTCTTGGGCCTCAGCCTCCCAAGTAGCTGGGATTACAGGTGCACACCACCATGCCTGACTGATGTTTGTATTTTTAGTAGAGATGGGGTTTTGCCATGTTGGCCAGGCTGATCTTGAACTCCTGGCCTCAAATTTTTGTGCCTCGGCCCCCCAAAGTGCTGTGATTACAGGTGTAAGCAACTGTGCTTGGCCTGATAGGATTTTTTTCTTTTTTCTTTTCTTTTCTTTTTTTTTTTTTTTTTTTTTTTGAGATGGAGTTTCACGCTTGTCCATGCTGGAGTACAGTGGCGTGATCTCAGCTCACCACAACCTCTGCCTCCAGGTTCAAGCAATTCTCCTGCCTCAGCCTCCCGAGTATCTGGGATTACAGGCATGCGCTACCATGTCCAGCTAATTTTGTGTCTTTAGTAGAGACGGGTTTCTCCACTTTGGTCAGGCTGGTCTTGAACCCCAACCTCAGGTGATCAGCTTGCCTTGGCCTCCCAAAGTGCTGGGATTACAGGCATGAGCCACCACTCCCGGCTGATAACGATTTTTTTTTTAGAAAATGTCTAGATGTTCTTTTAGGGTAATGCTGTCATGTAATAGGATAATAACTGTTTCTTAAAGATGGTTCAAGCTCCCAAGTTGGTATTCTGCAGACATAACTGTTCTTTGCTGTTTAGAAATAGGGGAGTAACTCCAGAGTTCATTCCTTTGTATATGTATAGTGTTGTTCATTGTATAACCTTATTTATTTACCTGAATTGTCATTATGTGTGGTTTTACTGTGAGAGAATGTCTGGTTTAATGTATTTTAGGAAAGTGTTTTCTGTGGCTTATGTATATAATATATAGGAAGAGATTTGGATCAAGATAATGACCTTTAAAAATTTTTGTAATGAATATTTTATTTTTAGGTACCTGGCAAAGAATTCTGCAACTTTGTTCAGTGCCAGCGATTATGAAGTGGCTCCTCCTGAGTACCATCGGAAAGCTGTGTGAGAGGCACTCTCACTCACTTATGTTTGGATCTCCGTAAACACATTTTTGTTCTTAGTCTATCTCTTGTACAAACGATGTGCTTTGAAGATGTTAGTGTATAACAATTGATGTTTGTTTTCTGTTTGATTTTAAACAGAGAAAAAATAAAAGGGGGTAATAGCTCCTTTTTTCTTCTTTCTTTTTTTTTTTCATTTCAAAATTGCTGCCAGTGTTTTCAATGATGGACAACAGAGGGATATGCTGTAGAGTGTTTTATTGCCTAGTTGACAAAGCTGCTTTTGAATGCTGGTGGTTCTATTCCTTTGACACTACGCACTTTTATAATACATGTTAATGCTATATGACAAAATGCTCTGATTCCTAGTGCCAAAGGTTCAATTCAGTGTATATAACTGAACACACTCATCCATTTGTGCTTTTGTTTTTTTTTATGGTGCTTAAAGTAAAGAGCCCATCCTTTGCAAGTCATCCATGTTGTTACTTAGGCATTTTATCTTGGCTCAAATTGTTGAAGAATGGTGGCTTGTTTCATGGTTTTTGTATTTGTGTCTAATGCACGTTTTAACATGATAGACGCAATGCATTGTGTAGCTAGTTTTCTGGAAAAGTCAATCTTTTAGGAATTGTTTTTCAGATCTTCAATAAATTTTTTCTTTAAATTTCAAAGAACAATGTGCTTGTGTTGATGCCTTACAAAAACCATTGTATATTTGTGTATTCCTTCTTGTATTTAGACAGTGGTTTTTCAGGTGCGTGCTTTGTTTTCTGGTATGGCCTTTATGGAATGAGACGCTTTAGCTTTGGTACGTAGCGCTAATCCATAGCAGCTTTGGCAGTTTGCTGTCTTGAGTCTTAGCTAAAAAGTTAGAAGTTTACATGACTGTTTTTTTTATTTTCCCTAAATTATTACTTACTCTGAGCATTAATTAAGGGCATTTTCACCTGTGTAAAATTATGGTCAGCTTTTTTCTGTCTATAATTGTTTACTTTTGTGGGTTTACTCTAGAAACATGAGCCAAAAATGTCAATAGACAACACAGTATTAAAATAACCCAAAAGTTGTAAAGGGCAACGTTTCTCCCCTTTGATAGGGACACTAAAGTGGTCTGTACTTGGGTAGAGGATGGCAGACGTTAAGAATTAAAATGCGTCTGGGTGCAGTGGCTCACGCTTGTAATCCCAGCACTTTGGGAGGCTGAGGCGGGCGGATCACCTGAGGTCAGGAGTTCGACACCAGCCTGATGAACATGGAGAAACCCCATCTCTACTAAAAATACAAATATTAGCTGGGCGTTGTGGCGCACGCCTGTAATCCCAGCGACTCACGAGGCTGAGGCAGGAGAATTGCTTGAACTCAGGAGGCAGAGGTTGCAGTGAGCCAAGATTGTGCCATTGCACTCCAGCCTGGGCAACAAGAGTGAAACTCTGTCTCAAAAAAAAAAAAAAAAAAACCCTCAGAAAACAATTAAAATGCAAAGCAGCAGATAAGTTCAGATGGCGAGAGTTACAGCAGCAATACAAGAGGGATAATGAGTGCAGGAGGGAAATAGGAGTAAGTTCCAAAGAAGCAGGATTTGCTTGGGTTGTTTGAAGGGAACTGCTTCTACCCATAGTTGTCTTCCTGCCGCCTCCTTCATTCGGCTTACTTGTTCTCTTTTTCTTTACCCTTTTTGTCACAACTGTACTGATTTAGTTGGATTTCTAACAAATAGGGATTGTTGTTGCCTGGGGTCTTTCAGCTGTTGAAAGTTCTTGTTTATCTAGATGTGACTTAAAAAATGAAACACTTCAAGAATTTACGTGTCATTCTTGGCACAGGGGCCATGCTAATCTTGATTGTTTGAATTTTTAATATTTTTGCTAACAAAATGAGCCCTAGATGTGATTTTTTTTTTTAATGTGTACTCATGGTCCCTTGAACATTAGTGTTACTGGTTAGGTATTTAAAGATTTTCTTGCCGAGCGTGGTGGCTCACACCTGTAATCTGTAATCTCAGCACTTTGGGGCTGAGGTGGGAGGATTACTTGAGCCCAGGAGTTTGAAAGTAGCGTGGGTAACGTAGGGAAGAGACCTTGTCTCTACAAATAATTTTTTTTTTTTTTTTTGAGGCAGAGTCTCTCTCTGTCATCCAGGCTGGAGTGCAGTGGTGTGATCTCGGCTCACTGCAAGCTCCGCGTCCTGGGTTCATGCCATTCTCCAGACTCAGCCTCCCGAGTAGCTGGGACTACAGGCACCCGCCACCATGCCTGGCTAATTGTTTGTATTTTTAGTAGAGATGGGGTTTCGCCACGTTAGCTAGAATGGTCTCGATCTCCTGACCTCGTGATCTGCCTGCTTCGGCCTCCCAAAGTGCTGGGATTACAGGCATGAGCCACTGCACCCGGCTTCTACAAATAATTTTATGAGTAGCCTGGCATGGTGGCGTGTGCCCATGGTCCCAGCTACCTGAGAGGCTGAGGCAGGAGAATCACCTGACCCCAAGATATCAAGGCTGCAGTGAGCTGTGATTGTACCATTGTGTTCCAGCCTGGGTGACAGAGCGAGACCCTGTCTCCTAAAAAAAAGTTGAGGACTCGATCTTTTCGTTTATATTATCAATATTTACTGTGCTAGAAATTAAAACTTTAAAACTTAAAAATACGTGTCTTCATTAGTCATCAGAATGATACCGTCACACATCATGTAACCTCAGGAAAATTTCATGTACACTCGAGAAAAAGACTGATTTAAAATAGCTTTAACCTCATAGGCAGCATGAAAATATCTCAGGTACTGCAGAGATCTCTGGACCACTCGTTGAGAACTGCCGCTATAGATATTTGTGTCCTGAGGGTTGTAACAGTCTTAGGGTTCTGTATTCAGAAATTTAAACATTCCTTCACAAAACCTGAAAGTCAAGATTTTGTTCGTTATTCATTAAGCCTCCTCCCTCCATTTAAATATAGCATTAGAAAAGAACATTGATAGGTTTACCTGATGACACTAAAAGAGGCAGTAATCTTTGGACATTAAATCTACAGAGTATTTTGAATATGTTTTCATTTACTAGTAATTTTAATGTCGCTCCAGAATATCTTACATATTAGTAGTAAGTAGCTGGAATGATGTAATCAAAATCATACTGATTAATAATTACTTACCAAAACATGAAATTAGATGAATATTAATATTAGTACCGTTAGGTTTTAATACGGTTTTTTCTTTATTTTTTATTTTTTGAGACAGTCTTGCACTGTTGCCCATGCTGGAGTGCAGTGGCGCGATCTCGGCTCACTGCAACCTCCGCCTCCCAAGTTGAAGCAATTCTCCTGCCTCAGCCTCCCGAGTAGCTGGGACTACAGGTATGAGCCACCGCACCCAGCTAGTTTTTGTATTTTTTTAGTAGAGATGGGGTTTCTCCGTGGTCGTCAGGCTGGCCTCGAACTCCTGACCTCAACTGATCCACCTATCTCAGCCTCCCAAAGTGCTGGGATTACAAGCGTGAGCCACCACGCCCGGCATGTTTCCAGATATTTTTACTCTCTGGTGTTTATTAAACTTAACCCAGGCAGACTGAGTCTCAGCCATGTTAGAGATTTTCCTGGATTAGCTGCCTTGTAGTACAATCTAGAATTTTTAGTGTTCAATTTATTTCTTGAACTAATCATTCAAGTAGATTGAAGGAAGAGTTACTGGAAGGGTAGGAAGAAGCATGGCTTGTGATGAAGGGTGCATTTTGACAAGTATTCTTCTGGCTCTTTGCCATCCTCTCCTTTTCCTGTTACTGCTTCTAATTAAAGGTTCTGGTCTATATCTAAGTAATACATAGGTTTTTTTTTTTTTTTCTTCTTTTTTTTCTTTTTTTTGAGACCGAGTCTTGCTCTAGAGTGCAGTGGCTTGATCTCAGGTCACTGTAACCTCCACCTCCCTGGTTCAAGTGATTCTCCTGCCTCAGCCTCCTGATTAGCTTCGATTACAGGCACCTGTTGCCACGCCCTGCTAATTTTTTTTGTATTTTTAGTAGAGATGGGGTTTTCACCATGTCGGTCAGGCTGGTCTTGAACTCCTGACCTCAAGTGATCTGCCGCCTTGGCCTCCCAAAGTGCTGGGATTATAGGTGTGAGCCACTGCACCCGGCCAATACATAGTTTTTTTTGTTTTGTTTTTTTGAGAAGGAGTTTTGCTCTTTTTGCCCAGGCCTGAGTGCAGTGGCGCAATCTTGGCTCACTGCAACCTCTGCCTCTTCGGTTTAAGCTATTCTGCCTCAGCCTCCCGAGTAGCTGGTGTTACAGGCATGCGCCACCATGCCTGTCCAGTTTTGTATTTTTAGTGGAAACAGGGTTTCTCCATGTTGGTCAGGCTGGTCTCGAACTCCCGATCTCAGGTGATCTGCCTTGGCCTCCCAAAGTGCTGTGATTATAGGCGTGAGCCACCATACCCGGCCTCAATACATAGTTTTTTAAAGTTCACTCTTTTTTTTTTTTCTTTTTTGAGATGGAGTCTTGCTCTCTTGCCCAGGCTGGAAGTGCAATGGTGTGATTTCCACTCGCTGCAACCTCTCCCTCCCGGGTTCAAGCAATTCTCCTGCCTCAGCCTCCTGAGTAGCTGGGATTACAGGTGCGTGCTACCACACTGGTTAATTTTTGTATTTTTAGTAGAGACGGGATTTCACCATGTTGGCCAGGCTGGTCACGAACCCCAGTTTTTTATTTCTTTTTAAAAAAATTCGTTAATTTCCAATGAGCACAAGCCAGGCAGTTTTTATAGTTTCTCCCATTAATCAGTTGTGATATTTTCTAAGTTTTGAAATTATTTCCTCAAAATCGAGGTAACTGGCCCTTGATTCTCCTTTCTTGGGCATCCTTATAACTGCCATGTCTTATGGGCATTTGTTGTTGTAATATCTGCCGTCATTTTTGCAGTGTATATTTCAAACAAAGTTAGTTACAGAGGTTTAGTAACCTTGCCTATGGTCTGGTCGTTTAGCTAAGAAGTGACAGCGCTGAGTTAAACACCACCTTGTTTCCCAGCCACACACATATCCATTAAATTCCTGAGTCTTATGAATTACCAAATACTTTTGTCTGTCCCATCTGCCTCTTAAATGTCTACAGTGGAGAATGTATTTTAATAGTTTTCTGGATTAAAATAATCATGCTCCTTTCTCCTTTAAAACAAATGGTTTCCTGTATGATAGTGTTTTGAATCATGGGAGTAAAGGGCAAGTTAGGTTAAGGTACAAACTCTGAAGCTAAACACAGCTTCTGTAGCGTCCAGCCCCATGGGGCTTAGGGGGTGTTCTCCCCGTGTGCAGAGACGAGAGATTGTAAGAAATAAAGACACAAGACAAAGAGATAAAGAGAAAACAGCTGGGCCTGGGGGGGGCCACTGGGTGTGCTGATATTTATTGCATGCAAGACAAGGGGGCAGGGTAAGGAAGGTGAGCCCTCCAAGTGATTGATAAGGTCAAGCAAGTCATGTGATCACAAGACAGGGGCTCTTCCCTTTTAGGTAGCCGAAGCAGAGAGGGAAGGCAGCATACGTCAGCATTTTCTTCTATGCACTTATCAGAAAGATCAAAGACTTTAAGACTTTCACTATTTCTTCTACCGCTATCTTCTAAGAACTTCCAAGAGGAACTAGGGGTACGGGAGGAACATGAAAGTGGACAAGGAGCGTGACCATTGAAGCACAGCACCACAGGGAGGGGTTTAGGCCTCTGGATGACTGTGGGCAGGCCTGGATAATATCCAGCCTCCCACAGGAAGCTGGTGGAGCAGAGTGTTCCCTGACTCCTCCAAGGAAAGGGAGACTCCCTTTCGTGGTCTGCTAAGTAATGGGTGCCTTCCCAGGCACTGGCGTTACCGCTTGACCAAGGAGCCCTCAACTGGCCATTATGCAGGCGTGACAGAAGGCTTACCTCTTGCCGCCTTGGTTACTTCTCACAATGTCCCTTCAGCACCTGACCCTATACCTGCTGGTTATTCCTTGATTATATTAGTAGTACAATAAAGAGTAATGTTAAAAGCCAATGATTAATAATGTTTATACTAATGACTGATAATGTCCATGATAATCTCTGTATCGAATTTGTATTATAACTATTCTTATTCTAGCTATTTTCTTCATTATACTGAAACCGTTTGTGCCTTCAGTCTCTTGCCTCGGCACCTGAGTAATCCTTTGCCCACAAGCTTCCCCAGTCTTCACATCACCATGCTGTGTTTCAGTCAGTTCTCCTTTGCTTTTTGCTTCTAAGCTTGCTTTCACATGCTGTTGAATGGAAGAAACAAGTTGGAGAACAATAATACAGTATATGAAAAAAATATCGTATTTCCTAGGGTATATACATATGTGGGTTGGTTTTTTTTTGTTTTTTTGTTTTTTTTTTTGAGACGGAGTCTCTCTCTGTCGCCCAGGCTGTGCAGTGGCACGATCTCGGCTCGCTGCAACCTCCACCTCCTGGGTTGAAGGGCTTCTTCTGCCTCAGCCTTCTGAGTAGCTGGGACTACAGGTGCCCACCACTATTCCTGGCTAATTTTTGTATTTTTCGTAGAGATGGGGTTTTACCATAATGGCTAGGCTGGTCTCCAGCTTCTGACCTTGTAATCTGCCTGCCTCGGCTTCCCAAAGTGCTGGGATTACAGGTGTGAGCCACTACACCCAGCCAAATACAGTTTCCTCTTAAATGCATAAATGAGCAAAAAAAAAGGAAGAGACTAAAACTGAAAACCCCAAAATTTTGCCTGCCTTCAATCTAGGTAATACAGAGATACTGCATACAAAGTATCTTTAAAATATATAAAAAGAATTGAAAATGTGAGAAAAGGGAACAAAATAGACTTAACCAAGACCAGCATAAAGTAATGGCATACTTTGTAAATAATTCAGAGCAATCTTCCACTGAAGACAAGAAAATAAGCAGAGATATAAAACATCTGCTTGAAGGCATTGGAGACCTAAGAAAATGGCGAAGACTTAATGGGCCAGCATTTGGTAGAGAATTGAGTTTCAGGGCTGTAAGTCCATATTCAGTGTGGCTTTTATTTTGCAGTTGTTTGCAAAGGTCAGAGAGGCTTTTGGTCTGGTTCTTTTGATAGTCTCACTTGGACTAAAGGACATGATTTGGAGTCTGATATCTGCCAAGAAATTAGGACCCCAAAAGGATATACCCCAGGAATAAAGATGAACCAAATTTAATTACTTCTTCAAACAGTTTTACAAATATATGCAGCAAATAGCTAGTTTTGCGTGAGACAAAACTACATGAAGTCAGGTGTGGTGGTGTGTGCCTGTAGTCCCAACTACTTGGGAGGCTGATGTGGGGGGATTGCTTGAGCCCAGGAAGGCTGCAGTGAGCTGATTGCCTCACTGCACTCCAGCCCGAGCAACAGAGAGACCTTGTCTCAAAAAAGAAATAGAAGTACTTGGAGAAAACATCAAGAAACTCATCTGAGAAACAGAGACAGGATATAGGCTGTTGTAGATCCAGTTTACTTTAAGAAGTAAGTGCTGGTGGGGTATAATGTTTCACGCCTATGATCTTAGCACTTTGGGAGGCTGAGGCAGGAAGATCACTTGAGCCTAGGAGTTGACGATCAGCCTGGGCAACATGGCAAAACCTCATTTACAAAAAAACACAAAAATGAACTGGGCACGGTGGCTCACACCTGTGGCCCCAGCTACTCTGGAGGCTGAGGTGGGAGAATCACTTGAGCTCAGGAGGTGGAGGTTGCAGTGAGCTGAAATTGCACCACTGCACTCCAACCTGGGCAACAGAGTAAGACCCTGTCTCAAAAACAACAAAGTGCTCTACATCATTCCTTAAGTAAGGAAAGTCAGATACTGACATTTTAAGACATTTAAAAAAGTATGCTTACTATATTTAGAGAGATGAGATAACTTAAACAGCAAACTTTAAAAAGCATATCAGAATTCCACATGCAAAACACAGTAGCTAAAATAGGAACTCAATAGGTTTAACAGTGGGAAGATAGGTCAGGAAACAAATACGCATATTGAGGGACAGAGACATTAAGGATAGACAATGCATTGGTAAACCTAACTGAAAATATAATTATTGCAGGAGCGAATGGGGCAATAATCGAGATTGATGACTTTGCAGAACTGTTAATAAAGTGTTAACTTTAAGCATGACAAAAATAACCAGTTAAAGATATTAAGACTAGGCACTGCAGCTTAATTAGTGTAATCCTAGCACTTTGGGAGGCAGAGGTGGGAGGATTGCTTGAGCCCAGGAGTTCAAGGCTGCACTTCAGCCTGCATAACAGAGCCAAGACGTCTTTAAAAAAAAAAAAAAAAAAAAAAAGCGTATATAATTAAAACCTAAAGGCAATTTTAAAGGCATCCCAATTAAAAAGACTTGACAATGCAAATAATGGAAGCCAGGAGGCAATGGAGTATGTTTAGAAAGCTGAAACAAAACTGCAATTTAAAATTCTAAACTCAGTAAAAACCCTTCAAGAAAACATTTTCAGACAAAACTCGAAAAATGTGTTAGAAAATTTACCAGCAAACCCAAACTGGAGAAAAAGTTATTTTGTTTTTTGAGATGGAGTCTCGCTGTCACCCAAGCTGGAATGCAGTGGTGCAGTCTTGGCTCACTGCAACCTCCACTTGCCGGGTTTAAGCAATGCTCCTGCCTCAGCCTCCCAAGTAGCGGAGACTACAGGCACGTGCCATCATGCCCAGCTAATTTTTTTGTATTTTTAGTTAACCAGGATGGTCTCGATCTCCTGACCTCGTGATCCGCCCGCCTCGGCTTCCCAGAGTGCTGGGATTACAGTTTGTTTCTTAAATGTTCATTGCAAGGTGGACTGTGAAAGCATATCACAATTTAAAAAAATTGTTACATTAGAATTGTTAGATTAGAATCATTTAGTATTTGCATGGATATTTTGCTCATACATGGTTTTGTAAGATTTTGCATTGGTCATTTGGAAAATATTTACTGAGTCACGCAAATTTTTCAAATATTGACCTGCCTTACACAATATGGAAGACTGATGCAAGGATTTCTGAGGAGGAGTTATGTAGATGGGCCTCTTTAGATCCAGAGTGAAGATATTAGTGTCTTGTATGAAAGTTCACCAAAGGGCATTCATGGTAGACAAGGCTTCCATGTGTCATCTCGTGTAAGAAGAATTGTAGGTGTTTTAACCACGTCCCCAGCTAGGGTCTCATTGCCAGACGTGAGTGAGCCTTCTGATGATTATAGCTCCCAGTCTTTGAGCCCTCCCAGCTGATGCAGAATGGGACAGAGATGAGCTGTCCCCTCCAGCTCCTACCCTAATGGCAGACTTGTGAGTCAGATAAATAATGTTCCAAGCTACTAAGTTTTGGAGTGGTTTGCTATGTAGTAGTGGGTGACCTGAACACTTGGCTACTTGCCATTGCGATTGCCAAATCTGCCATTCCCTGATATGGTGTATTTCCTGAGGTTACAAGCCAGCCACTTGGTGACAGGTTAATTACGTTGGACCCCTTCCATCATCAAAGGGATGCCAGTTTTTCCTCACTGGAATAGACATGCATTCTGGATATCTGGATTTATTAATATAATATTAATACTTTCCCTGTCTAATGCTTTTGCTAACACAATCATCCGTGAACCCAGAAACCTTTATTCATGGTATTCCGTGTAACATTGCTTCTGGCATACACTATCAGCCTGAGAAAATGGAATGAGCTATTGAGGAGTCAGTTGTGGTGCCAGTTGGGAGACCTGAAAAGTTGAGGTTCTTAATTAAAGGATGCAGTATATGCTGTGAATATGGCCCATAGATGGTGATCTCTCATGGAATGCACAGGTTTGGAAATTAATAGGAGTGGCTTCTCACTATCACAAACCAATTACAGAATGTGTGCTTCCCATTCCTGTAACTTTGCGTTCAGTTGGTATAGAGGTTTTGGTTCCCAAGGAGAAATTCTGTCATCCAGGCAACATGATGGGTCAGTTGGATTGGAAGTTAGATAGCTATTTTGGTCATCTCATACCACCGAGCCAACAGGCAAAGAAGAGAAGTACTGTACTGGCTGAGATGATCGGCTCTGATTACCAAGAAGAAATTTGGGTGCTGCTATATACAATGAGGAGAGAAAGGACCATGTCTGGAACCCAGAGGATTCTCTGGGATATGTCTTAGTACTTCTGTGTTCCTAGGTAAAGTTTAATAGAAAAGTACATAAGTTAAAAAACACAAGACCACTGAGGTTTCACATTCTTTTAGGAATGAGTTTTGAAGTCACCCTATCTGGTGACAAAACAAGACCAAAACCAAAAACAGCTGAGGTGCTGGCTGAGAGCAAAGGAAACATGGAACAGGCAGGAAGAGGAAGAAATATCAACTACATAGGGTCTTAACGACCAGTTATGAAGACAAGATGAAGACAAGGACTATAACAGCTTTGTGCCTTTTTTCATGTTATAGAATAATCAGATGGGATTACATTTGAATTAGAAAAGTAATTAACATTGCACAGGGAGGGATACAGACTGTTGACACTGGTGAAGAGGATGAGAGTGTCTACCTTTGTATGAAGGATATTGTATCTTACTAGGCCACAGCATGAAGTGGTGGTGTTATGTGGTGATTAAAATATGTGTGGAAGGGTGTATATGGATGCCTAGCATCCTAAGGGGAGGACTGAGTTGGTTATGAAGTTACTGGATCTCAGCTCTAAATCCTGCTCTGTGATCCTGTGGCTGGGACCCTAAATTATTTGTCAGCTGGCTTCTTGTTAGGTTCTGCCAGTAGAGGGCATTAGAGGGACACTGGAAGGCAAGGGTCGGGGGCCGGGGGTGGGGGGTGGTGCGGGGGAAGGGTCTTCCTCCTTCCTGGTGGCTTGCTGTTCTGTTAGCTGCCTGACAGCAGCTGTTGGGTCCAGTCTCTATTTTGGGGGTAGAGGGGGGATGCTCAGAAGTGGCCTCAGAGGTTCCAGCACCCAGAACAGTTTTGCCTTCATTCTCCTCCTTTGCTCCTTGTAACACATATAAATCACCTCTTGGGGGTTTCGGAATTGCCCAAGCTGAGAGGTAGCAGTATCTCCTTGTTATAGTTATCACATTTCTATATTTCTTCCAGATGGAGGAAGGATTACAAAAAGGCAAATGGCCAAATCTTGTTTTACTGGGGCAGGCTTTTCCAAAGGACCAGGCAGAAGCACCATTTTATTTATTTGTTTTAATTTAAAAAAAAATTTTTTTTTGAGACGGAGTCTCGCTTTTTTGTCCAAGCTGGAGTGCAGTGCAGTCTTGGCTCACCACAACCTCCACCTCTCATGTTCAAGCAATTCTCTTGCCTCAGCCTCCCGAGTAGCGGGGATTACAGGTGTGTGCCACCATAACCCAGCTAATTTTTTTGTATTTTTAGTAGAGACGGGGTTTCACCATGTTGGCCAGGCTGGTCTTGAACTCCTGACCTCAAGTGATCCGCCTGCCTTCGCCTCCCAAAGTGCTGGGATTACCATTTTATTTTAAAACACAATTGTGGTTATATTGTTTTGATTTTTTTGAAAAGCTTTACATGAGATTTGATTTCTGGCTGTCTTTTGCTGCGCTAACAAACTGTCCCAGAACTTTATAGCTTAAAACAACCATTTTGTTTTGCTCATACCTTTCTGAATCATGAATTCAGGATAGGCTTGGTTGGGCAGTTCATCTTTGATCCATTTGGCGTTAGCTGCCGTGGCTGAAATTGTGGAGGATCTGCTTCCAAGATGGCTTCTTCACTCATGTATCTCGTACCTCTGTGTTCCTTGGCCCCTCTTTCCTCGACACAGCATCTCAACCACTGAGGGCTTCTCTGCATGGTTTGCACATCTCATACTGTGACTTGCCAGCCTCAGGCTGGTATCTCAGGACTCCAAAATTACATGGTATCTCAGGACTCCAATAGTGAGGGTTCAAAGAGATAAGAAATGGAAGCTGCCAGGCTAGTTAAGGGCTGTGGTTGAAAGTACTGGTTTTTTTTTTTTTTTTTTTTTGGGACAGAGTCTCACTCTGTCGCCCAGGCTGGAGTGCAGTGGTGCAATCTCGGCTCACTGCAAGCTCTGCCTCCTGGGTTCACACCATTCTCCTGCCTCAGCCTCCTGAGTAGCTGGCACTACAGGTGCAAGCCACCATGCAGTAGTCTTTACACTTATTTATTTCTTGACATTTAGAATATTGGAAACAATTAAGAAAATCAGAATTGAAAATGAGGAAGAAGAAATGTGAGATGAATGGTTGGTTTCAGAAGAACAGAAGCATGTGCGTTTGTGATGCAGCCTTGGGGGAGAGAGAGAAGGGCAGCTGAGCCTGGGATATGCTTCCAGTCCTGGGGAGGGGTTTGGGTGGTTGCTGGTGGTGTGTCTAGGGGTGATTAAGTTTAGACAAACCTCTGAGTGTGTGCGTGTTTGTGTGTTTGTGTGTGAAGAGGGAAGTTTGGTATGTCCTTGACCTGGTGCTCTGTGGCATAAAGTTACCATGGGCAGAGCTAATGGCAGATTGTCCTGGGCCTAGGAATGGTCTCAGCATTGCAAAGCTCCCTGGTGAACCTGAGCAATAAAGGTAGCACGTTTCCTCTATGCTTGTGACATATGTGAGGGCTACATGGTTTCCTTCAGGAACTAAGTCAACCTGCCCTTTCTGACCCCAGAGCCGGAGACACAAGGACTCACTCTGGGTGGACTGATCTGGGACCCTGGAGGTTCCTGGTACAACCTGTGTCCACTTGGGACACATTCTTGCACTTTTACTTTTCCAGAGGATTGTGCAAGCCTTTACTTCCATAGGCAGAGAATCTCATCCTTCCCCCTTGATCACCCTTCTCTTCATTATCCAAGAATTCCAGTCTTTCTGAAGCCATACTGGGAGACCAGAAAATTAGATGTGCGCATTATGTTACCATAGTGGCCATAAGGTGTCGCTGTTGTAAGGGTTTCCCCACAATCCATGGGCTCAGCCCATTCCGCCCACCTTCACAGGGCCGAGGTGGCATCCTACTCCAGTGCCCTAAAGCTGCTCCTCTCTTGGCCACCTCATGTTCAGCCATCATCCCTCACAGTAGGACACCCACCAGAGTTTCCAATCCTGCAGCAGCTTCACTCAGCCTACCCACTGTGCGAACCTGGCCTCTGTGAAATTTTAGATCCTGAACTGGGGCCAGCCTCCTCTCCTCCCCTCCCTTCTGAGGGAGTCCCCTTAAGATCTTTTCCTGCCGTGAGCCTGCTTCAGCGCATCCCAGACCACCCGAATGGCTGTCCCCAATTTCATCTCTGGGTTCCTGTGCAAATTGGTCCACCTTGCACCCTGGAATCCCGAGAGAGATCGTCTTTGCTGAACTACAAACAGCAAACCGGAGATCTTGTGTATAGCATTCCCCTAGAACAACACACACTGACTTTACATTCACATAACCACGGGAAGTTGGTCACATGATTTTTCCCATAATAATGAAAATCTGTTCTCTGTCTCTAGCCTAGACTTACTCTATCACTCTACATTTGCATAATTCCCTTAAAATGTTTTAAAAATATGCCAAGAACTATTTTTTAAAAAGCATCCCATAATATTACCTTTCAGCTACTCCCTTGTATCGGCTAGGCTCCCTGAGAAAGAACACAGTCTACTGGGTACTGTGAGGGGAGCTTGATAAAGGACTTGTTTACCAAGGTGGACAGGAGGAGGGAACCCACCAGGCCTTAGATGGGGCAGTGCCGTAGATGGAGTTACGTAGATGGAGCTCAGTTACCACCCTGGGCCTGGCGGGCAGGGCCAGGTCTCCTCACAGCATAGTCATTTTGAATCACTTTCAGACTTTTTAAGAATCCTAAGGACTCTGCATCCTCTTTGGAGAGGCAGCAGAGAGGGAGGCTGAGAACAGATACTCTGGAGCTGGAGGGCTCGGGTATAAACCCTGATTCTGCCACTAAGCAATTTTGTGGTTTGGGGCAAGTTGCTTAACCAATCTGTGCCTCGGCTTCCTCATGTGAAAGTGGGGATCATGATAGTATCTACCTCACAGGGTTGCTGTGGGGAGTTAGTGTGCTGTATATTTCTTAGTGCAGTGCCTGGCCAATAAAAAGTGTCTGTTAAACCAAGAAAACACCAGTGTTTGAGCTGAGCTGATTAACCTGCTTCACTCGCAAGAAGGAAGGGCTTCTCTCTTGCCCTTTGATAGAAGTCAAAAGACCAGCATCTCTGTAGGCTCTCAGAGTCCCTCAGGAGCATAGGGGAAATTGCTCTGTCAGTTTTCTTTTTTGAGACGGAGTCTCACTCTGTCACCCAGGCTGGAGTGCAGTGGTGCAATCTCAGCTCACTGCAACCTCCGCCTCCCTGGTTCAAGCAATTCTCTCGTCTCAGCCTCCTGAGTAGCTGGGATTACTGGTACCCGTCATCATGCCTGGCTAATTTTTGTATTTTTGTAGAGATGGGGTTTCACCATGTTGTTCAGGCTGGTCTTGAACTCCTGACCTTGTGATCTGCCCACCTCGGCCTCGCAAAGTGCTGGGATTACAGGCGTGAGTCACCGTACCTGGCCTACTCTGTCAGTTTTACCATCTTCTCCTTAGGTTTCTGGCGCAGGGGCTTTGGGCTTGGCAGGCCAGGAGTGCCCTTGGGCGGGGTCACCACAAGGGCTGCAGCCCTGATTCAGTATTCTTAACCAGCTGGTGGGATGCTTCCTCCTCTGTCCCCCATGGTTGCTGTTTCCCAGGAGGCCCTGTGGTCCTTCATGCAAGTTGCCTTTGGCCCCGCTCTCCAAGTCAGTCCAGGCTAATACAGCCTCATGCTGAAACTCTTGTGTTTACCTAAACTCTGAGTGCTGTTTGGATGCTAGGAACAATTACTAAAGAAAATGTATATATACACAGTGGAATGCTATACAACCTTTAAAAAGGAAATCCTGCCATTGTGATAACAGGGATGAACCTGAAGGATTTTATGCTAAGTGAAATAAGCCAGACACAGAAAACAAGTACCGCATGATCTTCACTTATACGTGGAATTTTAAAAAGTTGAACTCATAGAAGCAGAGAGTAGAATGTTGATTAGCAGAGGTCGGAGGGGGAGATATAGGGAAAGGGAGATATTGGTCAAAGATGTTGGTTTCAGACATTTTAGAGATCTGTTGCACAGTATGGTGACCATACATTTCAAAATAGCCAGAAGACTAGATTTTAAACATTTTCACCACAAAAAAGGGTAAGTAGGTGAGGTGTTGGATATGTAAGTTTGATTAATCTTTCTGCAATGCGTACATATATCGAAACATCACATTGTACCCCATAAACATGTATAATGATTGTCTGTTTAAAAAAGTTTATATTTCATCCTGAGTTCAAAACCCGTAACTGAATTAAGTGACTGCTGGTGGGAACCAGGTAAACCTTCCATTCAGCTTAACTTTTGAGATGAGCTTGGCATTTCTTGATGTTGCTAGGGGAAAAACCTCAGGAGTTGTGTTGTAACAGGAAGTTAAGAGTAAGATTGCTGATTTCATTCATTAGTTCAGTGAGTTTCTGTAATGAAGAATATATGTGTACCCATAAGAGTCAATATGCATGTTTACTTTGTAAAGAAAAAAGCATTTCATAACGAATGACTTGAATTTGGCCTCTTGGTTTTTTGTGTAATTACATGTAATGGAGACTGGTTTATTGCTGACGGTGGGGTCTTCCTGGTTCATTGTAGTGGTGCTTGTGAGCTGGGGTTTTATCCTAATGTCACTCTACCGTGGGAAACGTAATGATCTGTTTATTTGGAAGCCTTAGAACAATGCTACATCTCTAAAAAATACTTTGACCTTAAAATTTCAGGTCATACACCCATTATGTCAAGTAGATGCTGTAATCCTGTGAGGAAGGTGTTAGTCTCACCTCCATTTTTGAGGCTCACAGCAGGAGTTGGGAAGTAAGGAGGAAGAGCAGTAAAGATTTTAGGAGTTAGACCTGGGTTTGAATCCCAGCTCTCTTGCGTTAGTTGTAGGGCCTTGGGAAAGTGAATCATTCTCCCACCTGTAAAATGAGGATATTAATAAATCCTACCTTATAGGTCATTGTAAGGGCTGGAAGTAATAAATGTGAAATAGCATAGTCCAGCATAATACAGCAAGGACACTGGAGTAGGTTTTTATTGATTTTTGCTCATGGTGATAAAGTGAATGGCTGAGCTGGAATTTGAACCCAGGCAACCAGAGGCCACCACCATTTTGTACCTTCTTTGTGTTCGGGTGATGATTAATTCCCACGAATGATGGCATGGCTCCTGCTGGAGCTGTGAATGCCTTCTGCTCTGGAAGCCAGTGAGGATTCCTGAATCAGTTTCTGGGCCTCCACCTAGCACATGTTCTGGATGAGGGGTCTGGCACAGGTGGCCACCAAGAGCAGGGCTAGTGACCCCAAGAGCAGATGAAGGCTTTATGTACACCAGAGCACAAGGCAGGTGGACCCAAATAGGGTGACCACTTTCTGTTGGTACAGCTGGCTGCATCAAAGTGAAAATGCGGGGCCCCTTGTTCAAAAAGCAGGAAACCAGGCTGGGCACAGTGGCTCATGCCTGTAATCCCAGCACTTTGGGAGGCTGAGGTGGGTGTTGAAGACCAGCCTGGCCAATGTGGCAAAACTCCGTCTCTACTAAAAATACAGAAATTAGCCAGGCATGATGGTGTGCGTCTGTAATCCCCGCTACTGGGGAGGCTGAGGCATAAGAATCACTTGAACCTGGAAGGTGGAGGTTGCAGTGAGCTGAGATCACGCTACTGCACTGCAGCTTGGGCAACAGAGCAAGACTCTGTCTCAAAAAAACAAAAAACAAAGCAGGAAACCAGTGCCATTAAAGGTATGAGAAAATACAACATATTTTCTTTTCTCCTGTGGCCTCTCTCTTGACCTCTCATAGTGTTTTCCATGTGTTATTTAATATTGTACTCCCTTGGACATAGGGAGAATTGCCTGGCAGGTACAGGCTGTCATAGGCATCTGGGGTCCTGCTGTGCAACTCCATGTACACATGGCCCATCAGCCTCCAAACAAATACCTGGACCTAGCCGGGGCAGGAAGTCAGTCTCCCCCTTCCATGGACCTGCTGTTCCTACTCATGCAGACAGGTGGCCCACAGGGATTGCAGCCTCTGTGCTGGAACGTGTTTTATATCTCGATCGGGCGGGTGAGAGGTTCACTCCCACTGAACCTGGCGTGCCATAGAGCTGCCAGCCTGGGTCAGGGGTAGCCACCACCATGCCCCATCCTGAGCTGCTATGAAGCGTGCGTGCCTGGCTCCAAATCCTCCCGATCTCTCATTCAGGCTTCTGCCATGTGTTAGAGAAGTGAGTGGCTCAGAAACTGGCCAAGAGAGGCAGGAAGGTGGTGGGAGGTGGTAACACGTGTCAGCCAAGGCTCCACGCCCCCTGGCATGTGCTCCAGTTGTCCCCTTGGACTCACTTACAAAAACACATGTTCAAAGAGAAAATAATTATGCATGTTAAGATGATGACGGCAGAGCATTAAAACCCCAGTGCTGTATGACTTCACTGGTCATATGCCCTTGGAGCCAGCCCTGCCTGGCCATGTTCCTGAGGTTTTTTGCAGTTTTAATAGCACTAAAAGTTCCAGGTCCCAGAAGTACTCTCAGTCCCAGGCAAATCGGGCTGGTTGGTCACCACACACCCAGAACAAGGCTACTCCCAGCCTAAATTCTTCTTCAGTGATCTTAGCTAGAATTTGACAACCTAGAAGGAAGCTATTAATTTTTGCATGCATGTACATTTGTGGCATTTCTTTTTTTTCTCTTTTTTTTTTGAGATGGAGTTTTGCTCTTGTTGCCTAAGCTGGAGTGCAATGGTGAGATCTCGACTCACCGCAAACTCCACCTCCCGGGTTCAAGCGATTCTCCAGCCTCAGCCTCCCAAGTAGCTGGGACTACAGGCATGCGCCACCATGCCCGGCTAATTTTGTATTTGTAGTAGAGACGGGGTTTCTCCATGTTGCTCAGGCTGGTCTCGAACTCCCAACCTCAGGTGATTCACCTGCCTCGGCCTCCCAAAGTGCTGGGATTACAGGCATGAGCCACCATGCCTGGCCCATTTGTGACATTTCAAGCAATATACATTTATTCTACATTTTATTCACACACATATATCTAAGTAGGAGAAGGGGCTTAATCTTCCCAGATCTTAGGACTGCTGAAGTTCTTCAGCCTGGTCCCCAGCAGGGTAGCTTCTGTGCCCTCCAGTAGTGGCTGAATTCACAAAAGGGGGCAAATCAACTTGCACCCGGCTCTGCAGGAGTGGACATTTTTGCACACGCCCCTGAATCACTCCCAGAGGCCACCAGCAATTGTACCAAAGAGAAGGTTCCCGTACTGAGGAATCCAGCCCTTGTCACAGGCGTCTGGTTGGGTGGAGCATGTGCTGGCTAGGGCCCAGACCACCCCAGGTTCCTCTCCTATGGCTTGTAACCATGGGCAAGCCACATCATCTCACTGAGCCTCAGCTTCCTCTTCTATAAATGGGACTATCTTGCCTCATAGACCAGGAGGGAGGACTAAAGGAAGTCAGATGACTGGAGTGCCAGAACAGAGCCTGGCCTGCACTAGGTGCTTAATGAATAAGAGCTTGATCTATGCAGATGGAACTTTTACAACAGTCCCACATGAAACCTGGCTGGCAGGATGGCTCTTGGCTGTCTCCAGGGCAAAGTGAAAAGACTCACTTGGGTGAGGAAGCTCATGAGTTTGTAGGTGCAGCTAGTAGACCTGACTTGCCCCTGCTGTGTGCCGCCTCTGCCTCCTAGGGCAGGGCTGGGCATGTGTCGCAGTTTAATACATGATTATTGGACAAATGAGTGAAAGATAACTCTCTTTTATGAGTGCTTACTAAGAGCCAGATGTGACGCTGAGTATTTCCATAAATCATCTCAATTCTGTCCACAAAATCGTGAAGGCGGCCAAGCGCGGTGGCTCAATGCCTGTGATCCCAGCACTTTGGGAGGCTGAGGCGGTATGATCGCTTGAGTCCAGGAGCTTGAGACCAGCCTGGGCAACATAGTGAAACCCCATCTCTACAAAAATTAAAAAACTTTTAAAAATCACGAAGAAAATATGATTATATCAATTTGTAGACAATGAAATGGAGGCTCAGAGAGGGTAACTAACACCCCCACTACCGCCAAGGTCACACAGAAAATTCAAGGGAGAACTGAGATTGGAATCCAGGTGTGTCTGCTTCCAAAAAGTTGTGTTCCATTAGCATTCTTTCCACTGGATATTCTGGCAGGAGCTGGGCTTCCTGTCACGGACACTATGGTTTTGGGAGGAGATGCTTAGTTCACTCACACTAATAATGACCATGGTAGGGACATGCCCTGAGCCCCCACAATTAACATGTCTTGAAATTTTAAAGTCTTGAGTACACAGGCTTCTGCTTTTTTTCGTTTTCTTTTTTTTATTTTTATTTTATTTTATTTTTTTTTGAGATGGAGTCTTGCTCTGTCCCCAGGCTGGAGTGCAGTGGCGTGATCTCGGCTCACTGCAAACTCCGCCTCCCGGGTTCCTGCCATTCTCCTGCCTCAGCCTCCGGAGTAGCTGGGACTACAGGCGCCTGCCACCGTGCCCGGCTAATTTTTTTGTATTTTTTAGTAGAGATGGGGTTTCACCGTGTTAGGATGGTCTCGATCTCCTGACCTTGTGATCCACCCACCTCGGCCTCCCAAAGTGCTGGGATTACAGGCGTGAGCCACCTTGCCTGGCCTTTTTTTTTTTCTTTCTTTTCTTTTCTTTTTTTTGAGACAGTATTGCTCTTCACTCAGGCTGAAGTGCAATGATGCAATCATGGCTCACTGGAGCCTTGACCTCCTGGGCTCAAGTGATCCTCCCACCTCTCAGTCTCCTGAGTAGCTGGGACTACAGGCTCTGCTATCATGCCCGGCTAATTTTTTGTTTGTTTAGTATTTTTTTGTAGAGATGAAGTTTTGCCATGTTGCCCAGGACGGTCTTCAACTCCTGGCCTCAAGAACTTCTCCTGTCTTGGCCTCCAAAAGTGCTGTGATTACAGGTGTGAGCCCACTGTGCCTGGCTCATATAGACAGAATTACACAATGTGTAGTCTTTTGCGTCTGGCTTCTTTCACTTGGCCTGATGTTTCCAACGTTCATCCATGGTGTAGTGTGTGTCAGCACTTCCTTCTTAGGCTGGATGTTTCTTTGTATGGATGTATCATATTTTATCTGTCAGTTGACAGACATCTGGGTTGTTTCCCCATTTTGGCAATTATATATAATGTTGTTAGGAATATTCATGTACAAGTTTCTGTGTGTACATGTTTTCAATTCTCTTAGCAGTGGAATTACTGGGTTCATATAGTAATACTTTTTTTTTTTTTTTTTTTTTTTTTTACCCAGGCTGGAGTGCAGTGGCACAATCTTGGCTCACTGCAGCCTCCACCTCCCGGGTTCAAGCAGTTCTCCTGCCTCAGCCTCTGGAGCAGCTGGGATTACAGGTGCACACCACCACGGCTAGCTAATTTTTGTATTTTTAGTAGAGATGGTAAATAACTTTTGTATTTTTAGTAGAGATGGTATATAATTCTTTTTATATATTGCCGGATTTGGTCTGCTAGTATTTTATTGAGGATTTTCACATCTGTATTGATAAGGAACATTGCTCTGTAGTTTTCTTTTCTTGTGATGTCTTTGTTTTTAACCTTTGGACTTTAACTGTTTTTTGTTTTTTTAAAACTCTGCTATCTTTTCCCTAAGTGCAGGAGCACCTTAGTGTTAAAGACATAGTCCATGGGCCTGAGATTGCTAGAGGTCCGCACGGGGCCTGTCATGGAGTAGGGGCAGGGGTGATGACTGAGATCAATTAGGCAGTACCTGCTGTGTACCAGGCTCTGTAGCATCCTTAGGGTTCAAGTGCATTTGAAATTTACTTATCTCAGTTGGATGTAGCCATGTCTGCCGATCTCTTTAAATCCAAACAGCACCAAGGCACAGGCCATGCTGCTTGTTTCACAACAGTCCTGCCAACACTGGATGTTATAAACATCCTGTGTGCTCCCTGGTGCCTGGCACAGGAGAGGACTGCACACAGTGGATACTCTGCAGGTGTTTGGTAAATGGCTGAAAAGGAGGGAATTGGCCCCTGAAAGTCCCCCCCCCGCCCCCTCCCCCTCCCCCTCCCCCTCTTTTTTTTGAGATGGAGTCTCGCTCTCTTGCCAGGCTGGAGTGCAGTGGCACGATCTCGGCTCACTGCAACCTCTGCCTCCCGGGTTCAAGCGATTCTCCTGCCTCAGCCTCCCAAGTAGCTGGGACTACAGGTGCGTGCCACCACGCCAAGGTAATTTTTTTGTGTTTTTAGTAGAGACAGGGTTTCACCATGCTGGTCTCGAACTCCTGACCTCAGGTGATCTGCCCACCTTGGCCTCCCAAAGTGCTGGGATTATAAGCCGTGAGCCACCACACCAGGCCTGCAGGCCTTTTTATAATAAAAGACTCTCATCATTGTCTGGGTTTGAGACATTCGGGGCTCTTATGGAAAGGAGAACTCTGCTTCAAAGTCTCAGGTCTGTGTTCCAGCCCAAGCCCACAATCCCTGCGGAGCACCTAAATCCCTCAGGGGAGGCTAATTTTGAAAACAGTTATTTGATTTTTGTGGTAATTTGAATTTCTTTGGAACCTCACCCAGGACCCTCCCTTTAAATGAGTATTTAATTGGAATGTGGTTAATAATGTTCTATATTGGATCATTAATTGTGACATTTGTATCAAACTACTACATTCATCGCAGAGAGATCTGGGTGTGGGTGTGCAAGAATTCTCCTCTGTCTCCACAGTCATTCTATATCTAAACCCGTTAGAAAAGAAAATGTTCACTTTAAAAACAATATAGAGCTGGGTGAGGATTTAGGTTACATTGTTTTTCCAACCTACTGTTCAATTTCTAGCACTATTTTTTTTTTGAGACGGAGTCTCGCTCTGTCACCCAGGTTGGAGTGCAGGGGTGCGATCTCCACTCACTGCAACCTCTGCCTGCCGGGTTCAAGTGATTCTCCTGCCTCAGCCTCTCGAGTAGCTGGGATTATAGGCATCCGCCACCATGCCCGGCTAATTTTTGTATTTCTAGTAGAGACAGGATTTCACTATGTTGGCCAGGCTGGTCTTGAACTCCTGACCTCGTGATCCATCTGCCTTAGCCTCCCAAAGTGCTGGGATTACAGGCGTGAGCCACCGCACCCAGCTTCTAGCACCTTTAATTGAATGGTGAAAATGGACTCGTCTGTGACGGATGTATCGAATTCTTACTTCCTAGACCTGAGTGAGTAATCTATTCTTAATTGGCACACTGTTTTAAGGGTTAACATTTTGTAAATTTTAATATGTGAAAAAAATCCACCCTCATTGCTCATTTATAAAACTACCTTGGCCTTTTTTCCCCCAGATAAAAAGGATAACAGAATTTTATTGGGATTTTAGTTGGAAATATACCATCTGTACTTTTATTTCTGGCAATAATCAACTTATTTATGCTAATCTTTCCATTCAAGAATATGGTGTGCCTCGGCCGGGCATGGTGGCTCATGCATGTCATCCCAGCACCTTGGGAGGTCGAGGCAGGTGGATCATGAGGTCAGGAGTTTGAGACCAATCTGCCAACATAGTGAAACCTCGTCTCTACTAAAAATACAAAACACTAGCCAGGTGTGGTGGTGGGCACCTGTAATCCCAGCTACTCGGGTGGCTGAGGCAGGAGAATCACGTGAACCCGGGAGGCGGAGGTTGCAGTGAGCCAAGATCATGCCATTGCACTCCAGCCCGGGCAACAGTGTGAGACTCTGTCTCAACAACAACAACAAAAGAATATGGTGGCTCTCCATTTATCTAAGTCTTCCTTTATAGTGTTATTAATTTAGTAATTTTCTTCATATAAGACTTTTTGGTGGTTATTCCTAGCTGCTGGTTTTGTTGCAATAGTAAAGTTGCAATAGTAACAAAAAATAGTGTATTTTTTCTGAGTTTTTGATTTTTTTTTCTGGTATCCAGCCACTTTCAGAACTCTTTCATTAGTTCTAAGTTTTGTTGATTCTCCTGAATGTTTTTAGCCACATTATCATGCTGTCTGCAAATATTAATTGGGTTTATTTATCACAGCAGCCAGATCTTCCAGATAGATGTAAGCAAGAATGGTACCCTTAGACTTATTTGCCATGTATCTTCAATGGGAATCCTTTTATACCACTGACTTCAATGGGAATCCTTTTATACAACTGACCATTGATTTGAGAATCTTTGTCAAATTCAGAAATTATGCTTTCAGGCTGGGTGCGGTTGCTCACACTCCTGTAATCCCAGCACTTTGGGATCACTTGAGGTCAGGAGTTCGAGACCAGCTTGACCAACATGGTGAGACCCCATCTCTACTAAAAATACATAAATTAGCCAGGAGTGGTGGTGCATGCCTGTAATCCCAGCTATTCAGGAGGCTGAGGCAGGAGAATCGCTTGAACTGGGGAGGTGGAGGTTGCAGTGAGCTGAGATCACACCACTGCACTCCAGCCTGGGTGACAGAGTGAGACTACATCTAAAAAAAAAAAAAAAAAAAGAAAGAAAAAGAAATTATGCTTTCATTTCATGTTAGTTTTTTTTTAAATCTAGAATAGAATTCCATCCAATGAAGTCTATTATTATTATTATTTTTTTTTTGAGGCTGGAGTGCAGTGGCATGATCTCAGCTCACTGCAACCTCCATCTCCCAGGCTTAAGCGATTCTCTTGCCTCACCCTCCCGAGTAGCTGGGACTACAGGTGTGCACTACCACTCCTGGCTAAATTTTTTTTTTTGTATTTTTATTAGAGACGGGGTTTCACCATGTTGGCCAGGCTAGTCTCAAACTCCTGACCTCAGGTGATCCACCTGCCTCGGCCTCCCAAAGTGCTGGGATTATAGGCGTGAGCCACCATGCCTAGCAAGGTGATTGTTTTTTGTCTTATACAGTTGTGGTCTTATGTTACTAGAATTTTCTAATAAATTAAACTATATTTGCATTATCTAAATAAGCCTTATCATGAACATATATATTTTTCAAATATTCTCAAGCCTTTAGCTTTTCAGGAAGCCCAAATAAGATGACAGCTTTTATCATTAAGAAAGTCTGTGAGCCATAGGACAAAGAGCTGGTGGACTCCAGCTTGTTCTACAGACATCCCAGAGCCCGGAGGCTTCAGGAAGCAGCAGCAACTTCATGGCCGCCCTCTAAACAGAGATCAAGATTTCTCAAAAGGCAAGATAAGGGAAGGGATGGTGTGGAAACGACAGGAGCATCTGGGCACGTTTGAAATAAATAAGGGGTTGGTGAGGAAGGGGTGGGCAGTCTCATGTGGAGGTGGGGGGCAGAGTCTGAGTAGGAGTAGGCAGCTGAGACTGGGGAGGCCACACAGAGAAGTACAGGCTTCTGGGCTGACATTGTGGGTTTGAATCCTGCCTCTGCCGCAGCTTGGCCCGTTTTTCTCCTTCCTCCCCACCTCTCCACTCAGGTTTGGGACAAATAGTCAAGATCTCAAATTAAGCCTGCTCTTCATCCTGGATACCCCATCTGGTGGATAATACCGCCAGCACCCCCACCATCCTCCCAGCCAGAGCCTGGACACCCCCTGATGCCTCCCTCCTGGGAGACTGAGTGGCGAGGACAGACCTGGTTTGAGTCATGGCCCAGGACCAGCATGCTCCATCTGGGGAGGTGCTCACTCAATGTTTATTGAACAGCGAATACAGAAAAGACAGTCCCTGGAGCTCTATATGTGGAAAGTAGCCCTTCTGGACAGAAAGAATATTCGTGGTCCATGTGGTTTGAGTCTGTTAAGAAGGACACTAAGGCACATGGCTGGTGATCTTTGCGTCATAGACACGGGTGAGCTCATGGTGGAACTCCTCCTTGTCTGTAGGTTTCCAGGCTGGGCACAGAGGTGAGGGCAGAATGTTGGGGGTCCCAGTGGATCTCCCCACAACTTCCTCCAGGGCAGGATTTCCACCCAGGCCCAGGCTGCCCGTTCCTCTCCTTCTCCGCCAGTCTGCGCTGCGGCTGCCACGGCTCACACCAGAGGGATGGGGTAGGAGGCGCAGGCAGCCAGGCCACACATGTTCTTTCCGCGCTCGATGAGGAAGTACCTGGGCAGAAAGAGGAGCTGAGGCCCGGCCGGCGGTCTCCCCACCACAGGCCTTTCTAGAATGTTTTGCTGCTCACCAAGAGCTGACTTCAGGGGTGAGACCCTCTAAATTTATTCATAAAACAGTAGCATTCGGCTTATTTGATCACCGGCAAATCACGGACCTGACTTTGTGAAGAATTCATTCTTCCCTCTCCTTAGCTGCCAAATGAATGATCCATATCCCACTTCTCCCGAAAATTTACCGAGGGCCCCCTCTTAGCCCTGGCCGGGCCCTCACACAGCTATTTTATCACCAGGAGCCCGAGGGAACAGGAAAGCTCTCCTTTTCAGACAAGGACATGGAATCTGGGAGGACAGGACAAAGGCACAGCAGCATATACACCCAGGCCGCCCCATGCCAGCCTTTTCTCCCGGAAGGAGGGGCTGTCAGTGATCAGGGGTACATTTGTTGCTTTGATTTCTCAAAGACGGACCCTCCCAGACACTGATTTCGTGCCAGCAGAGTTCCAAGTTCTGAGCTGTTTTCCTAGCAGTCCTTCTGAGCCAGCTGGCCTCCTGCTCTCCCTGCAGCGTCCTAAAGACCTGGGGCCCTGTGAGGGCTGCAAATGGGGGCTTGGAAATGTGGAGGCTACATTCTCATGCTCCCTTTCCCCCTGGCCTGGCCTAGGGCTTGGCTGACCAGCTCGTCTGTGGAAGCCGTAACTCTGAGGTGGAAGTGATGCCCCCAGGGCCTCCAGGCCTGAGCAACATCCCCCTCCCAGAAGTGGGACCTGGGAGCTGCTTACCCGTTCATTCCCCACTGGGGACCCCAAGAGTTTTTCACGATCCAGTAAGGGATCCCATTTTTTTCTCCATACCCAACAGCCAGTACTGCATGGTTTACTTTATCTGGAGTTTTATGGCAGGAAGTACTGGAAAACAAAATTCAAAAAGAGGTGATCATATGGGAAGGATAAAAGCAATGACAGTCCCATCCAACAACGCCTCTTTGAGCGCTTTAGAGCAATGTTCCCCACAGCGGACCAGGGAGGCATGTAAGGTGGTGATGTAATCACATTTAGTCTCCGTGAGAGAACTCCTTTCAGTTCTTTTTTTCTTTTGAGACGGAGTCTCACTCTGTTGCCCAGGCTGGAGTGCAATGGTGCAATCTCTGCTCACTGCAACCTTCACCTCCAGGGTTCAAACGATTCTCCTGCCTCAGACTCCCGAGTAGCCTGATTACAGGCGTGCACCACCACACCCAGCTAATTTTTGTATTTTGGGTAGAGACAGGGTTTCATCATGTTGGCTAGGTTGGTCTCGAGCTCCTGACCTCAGGTGATCCACCCACCTCGGCCTCCCAAAGTGCTGGGATTGCAGGTGTGAGCCACCGCACCCGGCCCTTTCAGTTCTTTTGGTTCTTCTGCTTCTGTCAGGAGAATCTCCATATGGTGCTGGCCCGTGTCTCACCCCTGACACTTTCTACTCCCTCTTTCCTGGCAAGGAGAGAGCCACCTTCCTGCTGCACCTTCTGTAGGCAACAGTGTCTGGCAGACTTTAACACAGCTTTGCTTTGTTGCCACTGCATTTATTAAATATTACTTTATACCTATGGCAAAAATACAACTTTTTCTGTTTACAAAAGTGAACTAGCCTCCATAAGGAAATTCCAAGAAATTCAAGAGAACAAACTGCAGTGGTCAGGTGTGAATTCAGCTGATGTGTAAGTGGGCCATAGGCTCGCGCCAGGGCCAGGTGCCGGGATCCAGGCAGCATGCATAACTGTCCCTTGGAAGCCCTGTTTGGCAGGGAGCAGGTTGGCAAAGAGGCTGCTTCTCTACAGTGGCCTGAGGGCTCTGACAGTGGGAGGGCGACAGAGCCCCCAGGAGGTGGGGGGGATCCAACCCAGCGGGGGGGGGGGGGAGGGTGGGCAGGGTGGGTCAGGGAAGGCTCCCTGTGGAGGCGGGGAACGCCCATGGAACTGCGAACCCTTCTGCGTGGCTGGGGTGGGGGCTGCAGGGTGGAACGGCGGGGACGGGTTTGATGGCAGATGAGTGTGGAAAAAGAGGGAGGACCAGATCATGAGGGTCCCCCTCAGGGTAGGACCCTGGGAAAGCAGGGACACTGGTGTGTTCAAAGGTTGGCGTTGGCAAGAGGAGTGTTTCAGAAGGCAGACAGCTCCCAGTGGAAGCTGGAACAGTGTGTGGGGGGTTAGGGGGTCCAAGGACAATGGTGACCAGGGCAGAGCCTCAGGGAGGGAGAGGAGAGCACAGACGTGAGTGACATTAGTGAGTGACGTTAACGGGCAGCAACTGATGAAGGGAGGGAAATGAGGCTGCAAACCAGGCAGGCGAAAAGGTGTGGGTGAGAGAAACCCCATAGTAAAGAGGCTAAAGCTTGGTTTTTCTGAAGAAGCCTGGGGTGACTCCTCCAGCACAGGATCCTAGTGTGTGAGGGCAGCTACTCTTCTCCCTATTTTACGTCTTCAAATCTTTAAACATGGGTATTTTTTTTTTTTTCTGAGACAGAGCTTTGCTCTGTCACCAAGGTTGGAGTGCAGTGGCACGATCTTGGCTTAGTGCTACTTCCACCTCCTAGGTTCAAGCCATTCTTGTGTCTCAGCCTCCCGAGTAGCTGGGATTATAGGCATGCACCACCACGCTGGCTTTTTTTTTTTTTTTGTATTTTTAGTAGAGATGGGGTTTCGCCATGTTGGCCAGGCTGGTCTTGAACTCCTGGCCTCAAGTGATCCACCTGCCTCGGCCTCCCAAAGTGCTGGGAGTACAGGCATGAGCCACCACGCCTGGCCTGAACATGGGTTTTTTTTAAACTGGAGGCAACTCTTCTGTTAAGGAGCACAAAGCTCTCAAATTTTGGCCCTAGCTCTCACTAGCCAGGTGGCCTGTGTCTGTCGTATCCCTTCTGACCACCTCTCCTTTGCTGTGAGAAGAGGCCATGGCTCCTGGCCCTTGGGGCTGTGTGAGGATTAACTGAGGGATGTGCAAAACGCCCAGCACCTGGCAGGTGTCATGAAGGGTCTGACACACAGGAGTCTGGGCCACGAGCCCAAGTCCCACGAGTGGGGTGTGAGGAGGCCCACCAAGCCCCTCCCCACTGTCCCTCCTGGCTCCTGGGACCCTGACTCACCTGGAGTAGATGCCGGTTCTATACATCATGAAGTCCTGAGTCACCTCAAAGGCAAAGCTCACAGGGTTGTAGAGGGCCACAGCCTCCACCATCGCTTCCTCGTCATACTGTGGAAACAGGACCGAGACAGAAACACATGGCCTGTCACCTCCCCACTCCTTTCACAGTACAGCCTTTTGCCTCAAGCTAGGGGCTAGAGGCCCAGAGCAGCATGGATGGCCAGAAGCAGCTCCCCTGCGGCCTCTCTCCCTTCCTGTCTCTGGCTGGGTCTGTCTGGCCATCTCTCGTTCCTCTCCCCAACTCTGCTCCTAGGAAACCCTGCACCCTCTGAGATAGGGACCACGGGGTACAGCGTGGACCTACTCATTCAGTCATTCACATCCATTCCCTGAGGTCCTCTCCTGGGCCAGCAGCTCTCACCCCTACACCCATAAACCCAGAGTCTACAAAGCTTTGCTGCTAGAACACAGGGGTTATAAACCATGGACGGGTAGGTCCCAGATGGCGGTGGAAACGAGAAGACCCATCCGAGGGCTGTGTGACTTCTGAGTAGAACCTGTCCCCTCCAAGGGGGAAGGTAGGTGGGGGGAAGTCAGGGTGGCTTCCTGGAGGCTGCAGCTTTGGAACAGAGCTGCAGAGACCAGGTGACAGCAGCAGGTAGAACCCCATGCAGAACCTTAAAAAAACCCCAAGTCCAGGCTGTGCCTCAGACCAACTACAACAGTATCTGCAGGGTGGGTCCCAGGCATTGGCACTTTTTGGAGCTTCTGGGTTGGGGGTGGCTGGGTTCAAGTGCACTAACCAAGAGACCTCTGGGAGCTGAAATGAGGGGGGAAGTTACCTGTGCTGAGGCCAGGGCCCTACTGAAGGAAAGCAAGTGCAGGAGGGACGGGGCGCCCAGCCTCCCTCAGTCCTGCCTCCCTAGAGGGGTGGACAGAGACCCAGCTGTGAAAAGCAAACAGGTGCCTGGCAAGGGAGTGCCCTCCTTCCTGGTATGTGGACAAGGCCTTGTGAGCCCAACAGGTCAGGGCATATCTGAGACATGGAGGGCACAGAGGCCAGCCCAGCACAGGGGCGATGACTTCTGCAGGTGGCACCATTTCCACCCCATGGGCCTGCCCAAGAGGGCTGAATGCTAGTTCTGGCCTGGTCGTCAGGGCCCTGCAGGTGTCACCAATGAGGCTCTCCTGGGGACCATGCAAAGGGATACCTTTGAGGCCCAAATTCACCTGTCCTTGGGATATCATGGCCCAGAGCAGCCAGCTTGAGTGACAGCAGCAACATTCTGAAGAGGGTGACATCCTGAGTACAGGATTTGCGCTGTATGTTGTCAAGGCAATGAGCCCTGGTTCTGGAATGACACATTCTTAGTTCAAATCCAGCATCTATTTCCTAGCTCTGTGGCCTTGGGCACATTACTTAACCACTTGGAGCCCCCGTTTCCTCACCTGTCAAATGAGGTAATAAGGATACTCATCTCCTAGGGCCAGTTCGGGTCTAGAGGGGATAGTGCGTATTGAGGGTTGGTACAGCACCTAGAAGTACTCCATCAAGTTAAGATGTTATTGCTGAGAGCTTGGCACATGCTTCAACTAAATGGCAGCCGCTGTCATTACACAGACATCACGTTTGTGAACTGTACATACATTCGTGGGCGCACACACAACCTAAGCGATATTCCTCCACTCCTCACACACCCTCCCACACTTGCATGCATGCACACTGCAGTCACGAAGGCGTTCATTCACGTTCCAGTTCTCTCTGGGAGAAGCAGGGTAAGACCACACTTCCCTATTCACTTGAGGTCAACTGTGACTGGGCGGCTTGTTTTGGCTTTAGAGCTAGGGCATCATTTACCACCTTCTTTCCCTCTAGTCCTGGCGTGAGGCCAATGACACGGAGCACACACCACCCTCCCTAAGCTGTGCATGGGCGCAGGAGTGCCACACACCCTTTGACTGTTGTCAGCCATGCAGATTGGGCACGGTTGTTATTGCAACAGAACCTGGCTCATCCTGAGTGACACACACTCACCCTCCTCAGTTTCACACACGCTGTGTCAAGCACGTGCTCATACCCTCTTCTGCAGGATGCGGACAATTGCTTGCATTTTACAAGCAAGAAAACAGAACCAAAAGAATGAAGGCATGTGTGGATCTGGAGTTCAGAACCAGAGGGCCTGCCTGCCAGTTTGCGCTCTCCCTCCCATCTCCTGCCTCGCCACCATCACAGCGACTGAGACCCAGGGATAATATGAACTCGTCAAAGGGATGTGCTGCCAGAAGGGCTGCCTTGCTGGGCCCACTGGCTATCCGACAGCATGAGAGAGGCCTCCTCATCAGGACACATTCCCCATCCCAGAGGGGGATCGGCACTCACGATTGTGATGTTGGCTACATCCTTGACAAAGCCGATGGCCTTTCCAGGTTGGAACTTGCAATAACCATCCTGTTGAGGATGCAAAGGGCATGAAATACAGGTTATGGACCCGAAGTCTCAGCCTCCCCACGCAGTTCAATAACATTTACTAAACAAAACAAGATGTGCCAGGGCCTGGGGGATGGGATAATTTCAGAGAGAATTAAAGCATCCTTGTCCTCAAGGAGCTTAGGGTCTGGTAGCAGATGGTCCTGTGCTGGCTTTGGCAGAGGTGGGCACACATGGTGTGTGGTGGGAGCCTGAGGAGGGGCCTCACCCGGCCTGAGGAAACTCACTGAGAAGTGGAGGCCGAGTCAGAGCCTGTGAGGCAGGGGAGTGGGGACAGTCTCAGCCCAAAAAACAATGCTGGCAAGAGGCAGGTGCAGGGGTAAGGTCACAAGGAGGGAAGCGCAGCCCTTTCAAGGCAGGAGAGAAGGCAGCAGGACAAGGGACAGAACTAGAGGGAGGGTAGGACCTGGCATTTAGGAACCAGCATGTGGCTGGGCCTGGGCGTGAGGTTAAGAAGGGAGAGTTGGCCGGGCACGGTGGCTCACGCCTGTAATCACAGCACTTTGGGAGGCCGAGGCGGTAGATCACGAGGCCAGGAGTTCAATACCAGTCTGGCCAAGATGGTGAAACCCTGTCTCTACTAAAAATATAAAAAGTTAGCTGGGCGTGGTGGCGGGTGCCTGTACTCCCAGCTACTCAGGAGGCTGAGGCAGATAACTGCTTGAACTCGGGAGGCGGAGGTTGCAGTGAGCCGAGATTGCGCCATTGCACTCCAGCCTGGGCAACAGAGCAAGACTCCGTCTCAAAAAAAAAAAAAAAAAAAAAAAAAGAAGGGAGAGTAAAAGAGACAGGGAGACTGAGTTGGAGTCTGGGCTTTCTCCCGAAGGCCGCATGGAGCCTCGGCGGCATTCTGATCGAGGCAGGCGTGGGGTCTGAGCTGGGTTTGAGAGGCCTGGGGGAGGCCACCCTCAGGGGTCTGGATGGAGGCCCCGGTCTGAGTGGTCAGCGACACAGATGGGCCAAGGGAGTCATGTGAGGTCTGTGGTGGTCAGCAGGCTGGCGGCAGGGTGGGGTGGAGAGGGGGACCGGCCCAACAGGACTGTGGACACCTGGGAAATTCTGAGGGAGGCCAGTGCTGCTCATCACCACGAGGGGAAATAAAGGAGGAGCAACAGGTCTTGGGGAAAGACAAGGCACTTGGCTGTGGCCAGGCTGGGCGGAGGTGATGGTGGGAGGCCCAGCAGCCTTGATAGGGTAGGGGTGGGGGTGGGCCCCCAAAGGGTCCTTGGCACAAGAGGCCAACTGCATGGACAGAGGCGAGAGGATGGCGCTCGTGGCAGGAGGGAGAGGAGCCAGGAAGATGGGGCAGGTGGGGGGAAGGAGGGGTCCTGAGAAGTCTGGCTCGGGAAGGAAAGAGATGGTGCCGCAGAGCGGGTATGGGGTGAGAATGATAAAGAGGCCCCTGGACTGGTGAGAGCAGTGGGCTCAGGTGGGTGGAGGAGGGGAAGGAAGAATTTGGAGAGAACAGACAATTGTGAGAATTCCGGCGGGAGGGAGGTGGGGGGAGAAGGGATGTCTTCCAAGGCTGGGGAGGGAGTGAAGCTAGGCATGCTGTACGCCAAGAAGACAGAGTGGAGGCTGTTGGAGTTACCTTGCCCTGGTAGGGGTAGGTGTCTTCACCCATGATCCCCTTGTTGTACAGGATATACTCGAAAGCCTGGCTGGGGAGACCCCTGCAAGAAGTACACACAGGTGAGCCCACCTGGGGCTGTCCTGATAGAGGCGGGGCCCTCGGGGACTGGCGTGGCGAGATATCTGGCCTGGCAGGCTGGGGACTTGGTTGGGCATGTCCCAGTGGCAGAGGGGGTCTCTGAGAGGCCCAGCCTTGGGATAAGACTCAGCAAACTCAGATGAGGCCACCGGAGTCCAAGGACCAGCCCAAACATGCCTCAGTGGGATAGAGACCCCTTAAGGCCAGCCGCTCTGTCAGGAGTGCACAGCCCCACACCATGGTCAACAGCATCAGCCCAGAGCACTGTCATCGCCACAGCCGAGCCCCTGGGCAGGTGCTTCCCAGGCATGACTCCCTGACCCCTCGTGTCGACCCTGTGTGGTGGATGCTGTCACTGGCTGAGGCAAAGAGGCTGAATAACCTGGCCAGGGCCACACAGCTAAAGCTGGGAAGTGGTTCCAAAAGTGGGTCTTTTCTACATCATGTGGCCTCCCAGAATAAACAAAAACTCAGCAGCTGCCCAGCAATCCCCGTCCCTTCTCTGTTTCTCTCCATAGCATTCCGCACCGCCTGACCTAGTCTAGCCTTGACTGTGGTCTCTCTGAGCCTGCCAGAATGCCCGCTCTTCCAGTTCTGCTGAGCGCTGTATCCCCAGGGCCTACACACAGCGGGTGCTCTGTGATATTTGTTGTATGAATGAGAAAAGGAAGTACTGTCCTGAACCAAAGCAAATAGACTCCTTTGAAAAACAGGCTGGATGTGGTGGCTCACACCTGTAATCCCAGCACTTTGGGAGGCCAAGGTGGGTGGATCACCTGAGGTCAGGGGTTCGAGACTAGCCTGGCCAACATGGTGAAACCCCCATCTCTACTAAAAATACAAAAATTAGCCAGGTGTGGTGGCGCACGCCTGTAATCCCAGCTCCCTGGGAGGCTGAGGCAGGAGAATGGGGTGAACCCGGGAGGCGGAGCTTGCAGTGAGCTGAGATCGCGCCACTGCACTCCAGCCTGGGCAACAGAGCGAGACTCCATCTCAAAAAAAGAAAAAATAAATAAATAAATAAATAAATAAATAAATAAAAAATAAAAACGGTGGGACCCCAGAGTGCCCAAATGTCAGACTCTTGTTATGGGTTGGGTTTCTAAGCTGTGGAGTGGAAACAGACCAAAAGTAAGGGGACACTGAGCATGATGGTGGATCTGAGAGCAGGCTACGACGTCACCCCTGGGTCCCCAGGACTTGGCTGCAGCACGGCTCCCTGCAGGAGGAAGAGCCAGCTCAGAGGGGCTGGGGTCTGGGAGAGGGATGTGCCCCAGGGAGGTGGAGGGGAGTCGAGGCACGGCACCCCAAGAGCCTGGCTTTATGCACACCATGTGCCAGGTGAGCAAAGACCACAGAAATGTCTCAGAGCACTGCATGAAGGGAGGGCTAGAGTCACTGTAGAAATGTCAGCAAATTCCTGGCAACCTGCTTTACAGTGGGCCAGGAAAGCAGGTCCAGGCAAGGTACAGCCCTTACACACAGCCACCTCACCCTCACAGGGCGCAATGAGCTTGGGAGGCTGGGACTTTAGTGAGTTCATCTAAAGGCCAACCCTGTATCTGTGTGTGGATCTCGGGTTTGGAGGATGATGTGTAATGGTGTGTTGCTCACTCTATTAAATTCTTTTGGCCACACTCCCAGAGGCCTTGGTGGCGGGTGAGGCCAACCGCACTGTGGAGAGCCAGGTGATACAGTGGAGAGAGGACAGAGGCCTGGACTCAGATTCCAGCTCTGCCCTGTCCTGGCTATGAGACCTGGCCATGTGAGGTGACCACCCCTGTACAACAGAGACCATTTTGCCATCGCCCAGGGCAGTGGTGGGTTATATCTGTGGCAGACCCAGCACACACTGGATCCTGTCGAAGCGGTCAGTGGGAAATGAGGAAGTTTTGGGCCCCTTCTGGTCAGAGACGTACCCTTGGCAGCCGTGATTATTGAAGTCCTGGGCGCAGTCCACCAGCTGCTGTTCCGCCTGGAAGAAGGACACAACCCAGTGACCTGCCAGCTGAGAAGCCGTCAAGGCTTTGGCGTGAGGCGCTAAGCCTCCCTGGCTGAGCCACATCTGAGGCCCCGTCAGTGCTGTGTCAAGGTGACCAAATTATAAACTCCCCAAGGGCAGGGACAGTTGCTGTATGTCCTGCAGTGCCAGCCCAGCAGCTGGCACATGTCGGGAGGGGCTCAGTAAGCAGGGGCAGCCAGGGAAGGTGAGAGGGGGCAAGGGCTGTTGGGTCCAAACCCCTGCCCCGTAGGTGTGCCCATACGATGCAGAGTGTGGGGTCCCACAGCGGTGTATAGGATGGGGGAAACAGGCCCAGCCAGAGACCCTACCCCCACCTGTCCACAACCCAGGGTCCTCATGGCATCACCAGGCCGGCTGTGCACTGTCCCTCCTTTCTCCACAGAGGCAGGGGCTAGGATAGTTCCTTCAGGGGCATCATCCGTCTCTTGTGGGCGAGGGGATGGATGCATAGGTCCCGGCTCTTCCCTCATGAAGACAACTGAGGCTGCTGGGAAGGGTGTAGCTCCTAGTTGGCTACCCACCAGGCAGGCTCCGCCTTTCTGAACCCCTCCGCCGGGAAGGCTCCAGGCTGTCAAGCTAAGGACCACCCAGATCCATCTAGGAATGAGCCCTTGGGCCGGTTCCTTAATAAACTCAGATCCTTCCCGGGAAAAGCATCAATTGAGATTCTCATGCCAGATGTCCACAAGGCTGGGGCATCTGGGTCCACCTGAAACAGCACCCTTAGCCAATGCTCCAGGGAAACCAAAGGCCCAGGCCTGGCCCACATCAGGATGGGGTGTCCTCCGCAGGGGGTCGCCTGTGGCTGATTTCTTACCAAGGACAGCATCTTTCCGGTTGCGATGGCGATCGCAGACTCCAGGGCCCCAGTGGTGGAGAAAGTCCAGCAACTGCCGCAGGCACCCTGGAAAGGCCAGGGGAGAGCAGAGGACATCAGTGATGGGGACGCCGTGAGACAGCCCTGCCTTCTGCCTTCCTCTGCTGACCCTGCCAGAGCTCCCGAGTCCCCAGGTGCCTTGGCAGTTTACCAAGCCCTGTTCCAGATCCATTCATTCTGAGCCTCGCAGGCCCTGTTCCAGATCCATTCATTCTGAGGCTCGCAAGCCCTGTTCCAGATCCATTCATTCTGAGCCTCGCAAGTCCTGAGAGGCTTGCAAAGGAGCAGGAGCAGCAGGTGGCCTCTGACCAGTGCCTGTGGACTCCCAATCACCACCTCTTGGTGGCCAATCCCCACCATTCTGCCAGGGCCTGGAGTCCCCCACCCCATTCTGCAGTCTTCTGGCTCTCTTCCTTCTCGATCTTCACTGGCTCCTCTTTTCCCTACTGGTTCCCTGCAGAAGGATGCCCCAAAGTTCTGTTTTTAGAACCTTCTCTCACCTTTCCACCTCCAGTCTCTTCTGCCCAGTCCTGTTAAACTAACAGCTCCCCAAACCCTAGCCCAGTGCTGACCTCCACTTAGGCTCAGACATCCAACTAACTGCCAGACAACCCCACCCAGACACCCCTGACACCCCAGACTCTGGGGGACCCGCCCCATCCACCCATTTCCCCACCTTCTAACAGTTCATTGCCGCTGCCTAGCCCCCTTATTCACAACACCTCCAGAATAACATGAGGATTAGGTGTGGGGGGCTGCAGCCTGCCTGCCTGGTTCACATCCCAGCTCTGCCACACACCAGGTGGGTGACCTGGGCAAGTCACTTCCCCTCTCGAAGCCTTGGCTTCATTGCTTGTAAAGTGGGAATGGCGAGGGTTCCTGCTTGCAGGGCGCTAGCAGGGTTAAGTCAGATTCTGCTGGTCAGGCAGTCACCCCCGTGGGCACAATGCTGGTGGCTGCTGTAAGGATTTCTCTCAGGTTCATCTCTGTTTCCTCACCTTGCTGGTTCAGTCTTCCAGCTTCTACTTCTGAAATGTCTCTTAAGTCCCCTACCTGCCTCCCAGGTCATCACCCTAGGTTGACACTGGCCTCACCCAATCTCTTCCCTTCACATATCTCTCTCAGCTGGGGGAGGGAGGGACGGCCTGGTGAGAGGGTCCATGAGACAGTCAACGAGGCAGACGTGGCCACTTCGGGGGAGACTAAGCTCACTGCTGAAGGAGGCGGAGCTCGGCTGACCCTTGGGTGCTCGACTTGGGGCAGGGGCCTGGTTTTGAGTCCCCTTTGTCACTTACTTACCTTGGACCTCAGGCAAACCACCCTCCCTCTCAGGCTCTCCCTCTGTAAAGTGAGAAACTCTCAAGGAGGGTGCTGAGCTGATGGACGCTGTGGCTGCTGTCCGTCTCTATCCCCACACAGCGGCCACAGTAAGAGACGGCACACATCTGCGTCAGGAAGCACCTCATTCCGCTCCCTTAGCCCAGCCGGCTGCGTCCTGCCTGATGGCCCAGGATCAGTTAACAGGAGGACTTGGAAAATTCTTGGTGGGCCTCTCTTTCCCACCTGTCCAAGTGGTGGGCAGGTTTAGGTTACGTGTTGCTCTGAATTGTCATGTGGTTCTCAGAGGGTCTAAAAATGTCACGGGGCAAAGGCAGGCTTCTACTCCACCTCCTGCTGCAAGGGGAGGTTTGCTTTGGCTCCTGATGCTAGTTAAACATCCAGCACTTGGCAGGCTCCAGGAACACTGCAAGCCCGGGAGGCTTTAAAGCTGTGCTGCATGGATGGCTTTTTGGAAAGTGAAAAAACATTTCTCATGGAGAATTTCGATGGAAAGCCAGGAGTTTCCAGGAAGGAAACCTTCACCTCATATTTCCTAGAGTCCAGAGGTCGGCATCCTTCTGAAGAAGGCCACGGCAGGTTCCCTGCTAGGGGAGGGGCCGCAGCAGGCCGGGAGAACAGCGGGGGCAGGGTCCAGACTCTCTGGGACAGGGCCTGTGCTGAGATGCCCCCAGACTGCTCCCCCATGGAGGAAGGCAGGGCCTCTCACCTTGCCAAGCCCTCTGTGCCCCACAGCAAGGGCCACGGAGGCCAGCCCCTGCCATGAGAAGCTTGCTGATGCATGACACATGGACTAACCAGAGGGAGGCGGCCAGCCAGGGCAGGGGCTGGACCCTGGTGGCTCGGAGAAGATGGAGGCGGGAAGAGGAGATGCATGGGGTTCTGGTGTCCAGATGGGCACAGGGAACATAACGTTTTGGATGGCTCTGTAGGAGAGACCTGGGACCAATGGGAAAATCTGGGGCGTGGGGAAGGAAGGGAGTAAACTTTAGCCCAATAAAGAGGAACTTTTGCATCCTCCAGAGCAGCCTAGAGAAGTGCTGACCTCCCTGGCCCCTCAAAGGAAGAGGGCTGGAGAGATGCCGAGAGGAAACAGAGGCAGGGATGTGCTTGTGGTGGTTTTGTGGACCTTTTGAGTTGTTCTTCCTGGTGTATTGTCTGGGAGTGTGGCCGTTTTGCAGGGAGAGGATGGAGATTGCCAGGCATACCTGATTTTTCACAGGTGAGACAAAATTTCCTTTTTTCCGCCAGTCCACGGAAGGTGGGTAGGGACCAGTACCTCGAAGGTAGTTACTTTTGGTGGCTGAGCAATTCTGGAACAACCAAACACATTATTTTCAGGAAAATAAACAAAACCAAAAACCTTTCTGACAACAAGAAGAAGAAATGTATAAACATGGAATCACCAAGAGAGAATAAGAAAGGCTGCAGCTCTCAGAACCTTCCCTCTCCTGTCTACTGGTCCCAAGTGCTAAATGACATGTCCCCTTGAGAGTCCAGAGCATTAGGATAGGGTAGACAGATGTAGCAAATAAAAATACAGCTCACCTAGTTAAATTTGAATTTCAGGTAAACAACAAATAACTTTGTAGTGTAAGTATATCCTGTGCAATATTTAGAATATACTTATGCTAAAGAATTACTTGTTGTGTATCTGAAATTCATTTTTAACTGAGTATCTATATTTTAATCTGGTAGCCCTAAGTTAAGGGTCCACAATGCTAAGGCCATGGGCCTGGACTGAGGAACTGCTGAGAGCTGACTCTTCTGGTTCCCCCAAAGAATCTGGGGATACCCTCAGCTGCATCTGGGGATGGGACTGAATCTGCCTAGAAGCAGAGCAGGCTCCAAATTTATTCCAAAGGTTTCAGTAAAAGGATTCAGATTTGGTTGCAATGAATTATACCTACCTGAGGCTCTGACCAGAGATACTTGTGTTTTATTTCAGCAAAGCTCATGTCTGAAAATTGGTTCAGTGCCACTACAAAAGAGAAGGAAAAAACCAAAACAGAAATGGTTAGTGAATCACTAATGAAGAAACAAGAAAAAGTGATGAAACCTCCTGTTTACCTGTGTCGTATTTAGAACCACTGCAACCCATCTCCTTTAAGTTTTTGTATTTAATATAATTCAGTAGATAATTCAATCAGCCCTTACAGTGCTGCCAAAATACCTGGGGAGCTTTTTCAATGGTATAGATGTCCGGGCCGTACTCCAGAGATGCTAATGCAGTTGGTCTGGGGTGGGGCCTGGGCACTTACTTTTTTAGATACTCCCCTCGTGAGTCTGATGGATAGCTAGGTAAAGAACCACTCCACTGGTGCCAGGGGCCTTCCCACCTGCTGCCTAATTTGGTCTCTACACAGCCCCAGCAGGGATGCGTGATCATTTCTGCTTTTTCTTTTCTTTTCTTTTTTTTTTTTTTTTTTTTGAGACAGAGTCTCGCTCTGTCACCCAGGCTGGAGGCAGGGACGCGATCTTGGCTCACTGCAACCTCTGCCTCCCGGATTCAAGCGATTCTCCTGCCTCAGCTTCCCTAGTAGCTGAGACTACAGGCACCTGCCACCATGCCCGGCTAAGTTTTGTATTTTTAGTAGAGATGGGGTTTTGCCATGTTGGCCAGGCTGGTCTCGAACTCCTGACCCTGTCTTTAGGGATTATAGGTGTGGGCCACCACACCTGGGCTCATTTCCTCTTTACTGCCCATGTTAGCATCCCTGGAGGTCACAGGCTAGGACTGGGCAGAAATGAGGTTCAAGCCCAAGTTTCTTTCCAGCTCATGCTTGATGCCTTTATTACCAATTTAGTCAACTACCAATATTTCTCAGAGTCCTCAGAAAATACGCTGGACGTGCGTGTGAGTTTCTTTTTTTTTTTGAGATGGAGTTTCACTCTTGTTGCCCAGGCTGGAGTGCAATGGCACTATCTCGGCTCACCGCAACCTCCACCTCCCGGGATCAAGTGATTCTCCTGCCTCAGCCTCCCAAATAGCTGGGATTACAGACATGCGCCACCAAGCCCGGCTAATTTTGTATTTTTAGTAGAGATGGGGTTTCTCCATGTTGGTTAGGCTGGTCTTGAACTCCCAACCTCAGGTGATCCACCCATCTCGGCCTCCCAAAGTGCTGGAATTACAGGCGTGAGCCACCGCGCCCGGCCTATGTGAGTTTCTAGTGAAATTAATCCGGAGTGAAGGCAGATGCTCCCAGGGGCTGCTCTGAGCCCATGAGCAACCCCTACCCCCCGCAACAATCCAAAGACAGACCTTGGCTTCCAGGCTGGACCCTCAGATGGCAGGAATGGGGCAGGGGCTTCTACAGAGTCTCTTGTAAACTTCACAACCACCCAGAGGGGTACCGGCTTTGTCCCAAATTTACGATCCCACATTACACAGAGAGTAACAGCGGAGCCACAATCTGAGGTCAGCCAAACACAGCTTCAGAGCCTGGGCTTCTGCTCCCTCCACCCACCAGCCCCCAGCGGGCCCTTTCATGGGCTGGGTCACTAACTGACATCCTTCCAGGAAGGAAGGAAGGCGTTCCACGTACTTTTAAATGTGTGGTTCCCATTGTTGTGGGCGTTTATCTTCCTCCAGTTGCTGGCAAACGTCTGCAGCCTGTGGTGGTACTCCTCCGTACTGTAGGTCTTACGGTGCTAAAACAAAACACGCCAGTAGCAAGTCATGGAAACAGGCTGCAGCTCCCTAGAGGGAGACCTTTTTGTTTTCCTAAGAGGAAAGATGAAGGTTTTCTTTCTGCTATGATTCTCAGGCCAAATCTGTGTTAATGGGCGGGGTACTGCTGAGAAATTTGGGAAGTTACAAAACAACCCCGTTTTCAGGGACCTGTGGCCAGAATGAAGACCATGCAGCTGCGTGAAAGTCAGAATGTGGTCCAAGAGGCACTGGTGAACAAACCTGCCACATGTGGGGCACTCCTGGACGCCACTGCTGGTGCTGGGTCAAGTTTACAGCAAAGATCACCATTTTTCAAAAGCACATGCACTGGTGTTCCCCAACTGATTCTGCAACCAGTACACAGTGTGCTTTGGTTTTCTAAAAACAAATGTGTATAATTTTTTATTGATATATAACTGATGTACTTTTTTTGGTAAATGTAATATTTCGATACATTCATATAATGTGTAATAATCAAATCAAGGTCATTGGGAGATCCATTACTTTAAAAATTTCTTTATGCTGGGAACATTCAAATTATTCTCTACTAGCTATTTGGAAATACAAAATAATGATTGCTTACTACAGTTGAATCTACTTGTTTTTTGAACACTTGGTCTCATTTCTTCTAATTATTTTTGGGCCAGGTGCAGTGGCTCACGCCTGTAATCCCAGCACTTTGGGAGGCTGAGGCGGGTGGATCACCTGAGGTCAGGAGTTCAAGACCCACCTGGCCAACATGGCGAACCCCCATCTCTACTAAAAATACAAAAATTAGCCGGGCATGGTGGCAGACACTTGTAATCCCAGCTACTCAGGAGGCTGAGGCATGAGAATCGCTTGAACCCAGAAGGTGGAGGTTGCAGTGAGCCGAGAGTGTGCCACTGCACTTCAGCCTGGGTGACAAAGTGAGACTCTGTCTCAAAAAAAAAAAAATATTTTGTACTCAGGAATCAGTTTATCTTCATCCCTGCTTCCCTGCCCTTCCTAGCTTCTGCTAGTCACCATTCTACTGTCTTTCTTCATCAGATCCACTTTTTTATCTCCCACATACGAGTGAGAACATGTAATATTTGCCTTTCTATGCTTGGCTTATTTCACTAAACATAATGACCTCCAGTTCCATCCATGTTGCTGCAAATGACAGAATTTCATTCTTTGTTATGGCTGAATAATATTCCATTGTGTACATACACCACATTTGCTTTACCCATTGATAGGCACTTAGGTTGATTCCATATCTTGGCTATTGTGACTAGTTCTGCAATAAACATGAGGGTGCAGATATCCCTCCAATATACTAATTTCCTTTCTTTTGGATATATACTCAGTAGTAGGCTTGCTGGGTCATATGGTAGTTTTGTTTTGAGTTTTTGATGGAACCTCCATACTGTTTTTTTTACAATGGTTGTACTAATTTACATTCTCCACAATGTGCTTTGAAAACAAAATACAGAAATGAATCCCAGGGCTTGGAAGGCTGTCAGCCAAGTTAATCACTTGGGACCACTATTTGGAAGGAATTTACTTAACTGCATCTTTCCCAGTGTTTGGCCAGTTCAACTTCTGGAAAGACCCCACTAGGCAAAGTTGGAAATTCCCTTTTTCATTGTCTCAAATCTGGGACAGTTTGGTTTGATAACAGGAAACTTTGTGAAATGAAAAACTTCAAAAAGAAGAAGTTGGGCACTGACCTTAGACATCCATGACTTGAAGTGAAACTTCTCTGTAAAAAGAAAAAAAAAATTAGGTCTGGGCGCATCACAGTAATGTTGAGTCTATAGCAAAGTAGGGCACTTTAGAACTGATTTGCATTTTCGAAAACTGGACTAAATTTAAAACACCAAAAATGGTGTTATATAATGCAGAATGCAAAAAGAAACTCCGACTCTTCCTGGTTTTGTACCCCAAATTAATGTGAAAAAGTATATACTATTAGTCAATGGTGTTGAAAGTCAGGATGGTGGTTATGCCTACTGGGTCGGGGTGCAGAAAGCACTTCCGGGATGCTGCTCATATCCTGTTTCTTCAACTGGGCGCTGGTTAACTGAGTGTGTTTAGATTGAGAAAATTCGTGGAAATGCATACTCAATGATTTGTGCCCCTTTCTGTATGAAGTTATATTTCGGTAAGAAGTTAATTTAAAAAGCTATCTACTCCAGCTGGGCGCGGTGGCTCATGCCTGTAATCCCAGCACTTTGGGAGGCCGAGGTGGGCCGATTGCCTGAGGTCAGGGGTTCAAGACCAGCTTGGCCAACATGGCGAAACCCTGTCTCCACAAAAATATAAAAATCAGCTGGGTATGGTGGTGTGTGCCTGTAATCCCAGCTACTCGGGAGGCTGAGGAGAATCGCTTGAACCCGGGAGGCGGAGGTTGCAGTGAGCCGAGATCGTGCCACTGCACTCCAGCCTGGGCGACAGAGAGAGACTCCGTCTCAAAAACAACAACAACAAAAAACAAACCTATCTATTCCAAGGGCAAGCACTGTTTTTCCTTATGGGGACAGGTAGTAAATATTTCAGGCTTTGCCATCTATATGGTTTCTGCCACAACTACTCAACTCTGCCCCTGCGGCTCAGAGACAGCCACAGAGACTGTGAACATTAATGGGTAGGACTGCGTTCCCGCAAGACTTCACAAAAACGAAACCTCACATGTACCCCCAAATATGTACAGATATTATCAAAAACATAATAAAACAAACAAGACAAAATATTTTACAAAAGCAGGCCAGCCATTTGTTTTTGGATTCCTGCCGTATTTCCCCATGTATGTTCTTATCTAAACATTTCATTTTAAATTTGAATACCTCCAAAGACATATTCCAACTTATAAATATTGAGATTTAAAAATAACACCTGGCAGTGTGGCCCAAGCCTATAATCTCAGTACTTTGGGAGGCTGACACAGGCGAATCCCTTGAGCCTAGGAGTTTGGGACCAGTCTGGGCAACAAAGTGAGACCTCGTCTCTACAAAAAAATAAAAAAAATTAGACGGGAGAATCACTTGAGCCTGGGAGGTTGAGGCTGCAATGAGCTATGATAGCGCCACTGCATTCCTGCCTGGGTGACAGGAGTGAGACCTTGTCTCAAAAAAAAAAAAAAAATCTCTAAAAATAAGATTGTTATATCATTCTTTTAAAGCTAGCCAGTGGAATCTAAATACCATGATGATTTGATATCCACCATCAGTAACATGAACAAACTTTTCTATAAGAGTCAGGTATTTAGGCGGGGTGTGGTGGCTCACGCCTGTAATCCCAGCACTTTGGGAGGCCAAGGTGGGCAGATCACCTGAGGTCAGGAGCTCATGACCAACTTGGCCAACATGGCAAAACCCCAGCTCCACTAAAAATACAAAAATTAGCTGGGCATGGTGGCAGGCGCCTGTAATCCCAGCTACTCAGGAGGCTGAGGCAGGAGGATCGCTTGAACCTGAGAGGCGGAGGCTGCTGTGAGCCGAGATTGTGCCACTGCACCCCAGCCTGGGTGACAAGAGCGAAACTCCATCTCAAATAAAGAAAACAAAACAAAAAAGAGTCAGATATTATACAGAGTTTCTTTTTCTTGTTGAACACCTATCTCCATCCCCACCTGGCAGAATTTTATCCTAAGGGAACATACATTTTTATGCTTGATCACCTTCACATTCTTTTCTGCAACAACAACAAAAAGTTTAAATTTAAATTATTTATTTTGGCTGGGCGCCGTGGCTCATGCCTGTAATCCCAGCACTTTGGGAGGCTGAGGCAGGTGGATCATGAGGTCAGGAGTTTGAGACCAGCCTGGCCAACATGGTGAAACCTCATCTCTACTAAAAATACAAAAATAAGCCAGACGTGGTGGCATGCACCTGTAGTCCCAGCTACTTGGGAGGCTGAGGCAGAAGAATTGCTTGAACCTGGGAGGCAGAGGTTGCAGTAGCCAAGATCGTGCCACTGCACTCCAGCCTGGGCGACAAAGCGAGACTCTGTCTAAAAAAAAAAAAAAAAAAAAAAAAAAAATTAAATGTTTTTACTACCTGTGACCCATACATCTGTGAATATTATAAAAATTTATTCTGGAGCTGGGCGCGGTGGCTCATGCCTGTAATCCCAGCACTTTGAGAGGCTGAGACGGGCGGATCACGAGTTCAGAAGATCGAGACCATCCTGGCTAACACGGTGAAACCCCAACTCTACTAAAAATACAAAAAACAAATTAGCCGGGCGTGGTGGCGGGCGCCTGCAGTCCCAGCTACTCAGGAGGCTGAGGCAGGAGAATGGCGTGAACCCGGGAGGCGGGGCTTGCAGTGAGCCGAGATCACGCCACTGCACTCCAGCCTGGGCGACAGAATGAGACTCCGTCTCAAAAAAAAAAAAAAAAATTTATTCTGGATTGAGTAATCATAATTATTATTAGTGTCCCAACTGATTAAAACATTTCAAATGTATTATACATTATGAAAAGTAATTGTTAAACATCAAAAGTAAAATTGTATCAGAAATGCATCTCTTAATGTGATAAACAGTACTCTACTGCCCATCCCCCGCAATGGATTTATATTTTCATGAGTGAATATTGTTTGGTTGAGAAAAGGTTCAGCATTAATTCTGGTCTTATTTTTGTTTCTTATAGGTCAAAGGGCTGGGAAACCCTGCTCAAATAAGCAGCTGGGAATGGAGGCAGTTTTTAAGAGCAATGCCACTTAATTCTTCGCACTCCTTTCTGTGCATCCAATCCCATGGTGCTCTATCACTCAGCCCTCCCTCCCTCCCTTTCTTTCCTTCTTTTTTTTTTTTTTTTTTGAGAAGGAGGCTGGCTCTGTTGCCCAGGCTGGAGGGCAGTGGCACGATATCAGCTCACTGCAACCTCCACCTCCCTGGTTCAAGCAATTCTATCTCAGCCTCCCAAGTAGCTGGGATTACAGGTGCCCACCACCACGCCCGGCTAATTTTTATATTTTTAGTAGAGATGGGGTTTCACCATGTTAGCCAATCTGGTCTGAAACTTCTGACCTCAGGTGATCCACCCACCTTGGCCTACCAAAGTGCTGGGATCACAGGCGTGAGCCCCCACGCCTGGCCTCACTCAACATTATTTTTAAGACCTCATCAGTTGATATCCCCATGAAGTCCTCTCCTCTTCAATTCAGTTTCCTTGAGGAATTGAGAATGCCAGATATGAACGATTTATTACCGTTTTGTCTTTTTGTTTGCTGTCCCTATTGTTTTTATACCCATGGGTTCAGGTTCAGATTGAATGAGAGGAAAGAGGTTCCCCCTTGCCTTCAGGGGCTCTCTCCCAGTTTTAGCAAAGAGGACACTTGGAAATAAAAGGTCTGTAAATGGATTTCCAGAACACTCTCTGCCGGCATCACTTGAAATATCTTCCTGTTTCCCCAAGGATCCATACCTCCAGTGTGAAGATCACTACCACACAGCATTTAGATCTCCGTTTTTGGGTCTCGAACCTGTTCCAGAGACCAATCTATGGCCGTTTTCCCTGGGGAAAATGCACATTTCCTCAACATGGCTCCCTTTAGGGTTTCAGGGGATTCCAGATCTTGATTAAGGGCCCTGCTGCAGCTGAGGGCTTTAGAGGAAGACAGACCTCAACTCAGGACAAGAGTTGGAGGCAGGGTTTGAGTTTAGGACAATTGACTACCAGTTTGCCTCTGGAGAGATTATTCTGGGGCCAGAATAATCTGCTGGTGAACCGTGCCTTACCCTAAAATAGATCCATTCCAATCTAGTCAGGACTTTAAAAGTGCCATAATACCTTGCCTGGATTTACAGCAGGTTTCAGGAAAGTACAGTATTCCCCTGTTTGTTTGTTTGTTTGTTTTAGATGGAGTCTTACTCTGTCACCCAGGCTGGAGTGATCGCCACCTCTCAGTTTCAAGCGATTCTCCTGCCCCAGCCTCCTGAGTACCTGGGATTACAGGCACCTGGCTACCACACCCAGCTAATTTTTGTATTTTTAGTAGAGACAGGGTTTCACCATGTTGGCCAGGCTGCTCTCGAACTCCTGACCTAAAGTGATCCGACTGCCTCGGTCTCCCAAATTGCTGAGATTACAGGTGTGAGCCACCGCAGCCGGTCCCTGACTCCTGTTTTAGTACAGCTCCTGGGCTACAAACGGTTTCTTACAATTTTAAATGGTTAGAAGAAACATATTTCGTAGCACCCAAAAATCCCTTGAAACTGAAATTTCAGTGGCCATAAAAATCATTTATTAGAACCCAGTTACACTGACTCACTTACATACAATCTATGGTTGCTATCACACTACCATGGCAGAGTTAGTAGTTGCTACAGAGACCACCATAAAGCCTAAGTTATTTACCGTCTGGTCTTTCACAGAAAAAGTTTGCCAAGCCCTGCTCTGGAATTCAGACAGCCTCTCAGCGCCAGCCTTCTCCAGGCAGCCCTCGCTTGCGGCAGCTAGGTTTTCCTTAGGCGGGAACTGACCTGGAGCTGGGCGCCCACTGAGGTTTGCAAGGCTGGGGAGCTTTTTAAATAAATAGGTGGGAAGGAATGAGGCAACCCTCTGGCCCAGATTCAGCCTCAGTGATCTCTGTCCCATCCCCTGAGCCTCTAGCTGGGGGAAAGCCCTGTCCCGTTCCTCCAGAGCTCAGGGCACCCCCCCTCCCTAGGTTCTTGGCTCCTTGGGTTGTTTCTTGGCTACTTTTCTCGGTGAAGGGGGCAGGTGGTCTTTAAGTTCAGAGCCTGTGGGCTGAGGCTGGGACCAGGGACAGTAGGAAAGGAGGGAGGCAGTAGGGAAGAGCAGGCTCCTTGCCTTCAGCCAGGGGAGGTGCCTGAGCCCGGGCAGTAGACAGGATGCAAGGGCAGCACGAAGCTGGACCAGTCGCAGCCAATCTGGCCAACAAGAGGAGTCCTGGGGCTCCACCTGACGCCATGGGCCCTGGGGTGCTGTTAAAAGCGCTGTTGGTCTGAGTGCTTTCCCTGGTGCCGTTGCACAGGGATTCACTGTTCCAAACAGCCCGTCCAACCTACTCTACAGATGGGACTCCCAAGACACTACGGGGATCCCCTGTGTGCCAAGTCCCGGGGGAAGCTGCTAGAGAAGGCTGGGACGTCCTTGCTCACCTCTGGCAGGGACAGATCAGAGTCCTCTGTGTGACACTCTGTGTCCCCAGTTGAGGAAGGCGGAAGGAGCTGCGGGCTCCTTTGGTATTCTAGGCTGGAGAGCCACCTGGCTAGGTGGGACCCTGGACACTCAGCCCATCTGCTCCTCTGGTCCTACAAGCCGCCCACCCTCCGAGAACCCCCGCCTATAATGCAGTTTACCCCTCCCCGTGCCAGCACGCAGAGTTCCTGGCCTCTCACCGGGGAAAGCTCTGCCCCGTTCCTCCGGAGCCCAGTGCGCCCCTGGCCAAGTTCTCCCAGCGTCCACTCTAGGGCCTGCTAGCACCCTCTCGGGCGGCGCGCCCTCTGCGTACCTAAGGAGTTCACGCACAGTTCGGCGGCACCGCAGACGGGGACTCCCAGGAGCCAGGCCCCGGCGCAGAGCAGCGGCAGCGTGGCCCACATCGCAGCGCTGGCGGCTTGGCTCTTGCGCTCAGGGTCCGCGGAGGTGGCGGCCCAGAGCGTCAACTGGGAGCGCGGGGGGGGAGCGGCACGAGCGTGGAGGAGCGGCGGGAGCGCGAAGGGGCGGAGCGAGCGCGGGGCGGAGCGAGCGCGGGGCGGGGTGGGCGGTACTCCCCCGAGGCCGGGCTCGCGGGAGGGGGCGGCGCCGACTAACTCGCCAGCTCTAGTTCACCTGTCGGCCGGCCGCGTCGCTCCCTTATCTCCTCTGGGAGGAAGGGCTTATCTGGGTATCAGGCCTGGCTGAGTCCTGGATCTGCCTGGACTGGCTGGCACCGCGCGGGGAGGTCTCAGCCTGGCCTCTCCCTCTCCCAGCCTGTCGCCATCCCCACGTCCCCCATCTCCCTGCGTGTCCCCACCTCGCACCCCCCCATCTCCCTGCCTATCCCCAACTCGCACCCCTCATGTCCCTTCCTGTCCCCACCTCACACCATGTCCCTGCCTGTCTTCACCTTGCACCCTCCATCTCCCTGCCTGTCCCCACCTCGCTCCCCCTATGTCCCTGCCTGTCTCCACCTCACACCCCCATCTCCCTGAATGTGCCCACCTCCCACCCCCTATGTCCCTGCCTGTCCCCACCTCCCACCCCCATGTCCCTGCCTGTCCCCACCTCGCACCCCCATGTCCCTGCTTATCCCCACCTCGCACCCCCCCATCTCCCTGCCTGTCCCCAACTCACACCCCCCATCTCCCTGCCTGTCCCCACCTCAGACTCCCCATGTCCCTGCCTGTCTCCACCTCACACCCTTATGTCCCTGCCTGTCCCCACCTCGCACGCCCCACGTCCCTGCCTGTCCCCACCTCGCACTCCCCATGTCCCTGCTTGTCCCCACCTCGCACCCCCCATCTCCCTGCCTGTCCCCACCTCACACCCCCCATGTCCCTGCCTGTCTCCACCTCACAGCCTTATGTCCCTTCCTGTCCCCACCTCGCACCCCCCATCTCCCTGCCTATCCCCACCATACCCCTATGTCCCTGCCTGTCCCCACCTCACACCCCCATGTCTCTGCCTGTCCCCACCTCACACCCCCATATCCCTGCCAGTCCCCACCTCACATCCCCCCATCTTCCTGCATTTCCCCACCTCACACCCCTATGTCCCTGCCTGTCCCCGCCTTGCACCTCCCATCTTCCTGCCTGTCCCCACCTCACACCCCCTCATGTCCCTGCGTGTCTCCACCTTGCACCCCCATCTCCCTGCCTGTCCCCACCTCATACCCCCCATGTCCCTGTGTGTCTCCACCTCAGACTTTCCCCCACACTCCCCACGTCTCCCTGCCCTGGTTAACCACATTTCCCTGGCTTCCCTTTTGCTTGGAGTGGACTTACAACTGAAGAAGCTAGACGACCTCCTTGTGAATTGTTTTGCCCCCTCAACAGACATTTTAGTCTTTCTGCTGAGGAAGCTACATTAAGAGCTGTAGGGCCATTCTCTGTAGTTTGCAAAGCTAAAGAAGATGGTATGTAAGGGTCTGGGTGTGAGACAGACAGAAGAACGTGCGTTCCAGGCTGAGGAGGCCGGTGCTGTCACTGCTTTGGGTGAGGAGAGGGTGATTCAGACCAGCCTGTGCCGTAGCCTCAAATGCCCAGTGATGCCCTGTTCTTCACTTACATCATCACCTTGCAAAGTGGCATGTTGTTGACCCCCCATTTTACAGATGAGGAAACTGAGGCCACAAGAGTAGATGGTAACTTTCCCAGTCTGTGCGCAGAGAGTGTCTGAACCCAGCCTTGACCTACTGCAGTGCTCTCTGCTCTGGGCTTGCTCTTTCTCTGTCTCTTCATTTTTAAATTTTTATTTATTTATTTTGAGACAGGGCCTGGCTCTCTTGCCACCCAGGTTGGAGTTCAGTGGCATCATCACAGTTCACTGCAGCCTTGGCCTCCCAGGCTCAGGAGATCCTCCCACATCAGCCTTTTGAGTAGCTGGGACCACAGGCTCGTACCATCACGCCCAGCTAGTTTTTTTGTATTTTTAGTAGAGATGGGGTCTCAAACTCCTGGGCTCAAGTGATCCTCCTGCCTCAGCCTCCCAGAGTGCTAGGATTAGAGATGTGAGCCTCTGTGCCCTTCCCTCTCTTTTTAAAAATGCATCTTTCCAACCTGTGAGTAGAGCCAGATCTGAGCTCTCTCGTGGCCTCCCTCCGACTGGTGTTTCATCCCCTGATGTTCTAGCCCAGACTCTGTGTCTCAGGCACCTGGGGAAGCAGATTCCTGGACTTCTTTCCTGGGATATGACCTACTGGGTCTGGGTAGGGCTCAGAAATCTGCATTTAAAGAGCCTCCCCCACAGTCTCTCTCCTCTCCTGTGGCCAGTGTGGCATGTGGACATGGAATCTCCATGGAACCAGGGTGAGCTCCAGCAGGCACCTTTTTTCAGATAAAGCAGATCTTCCTTAGGTTGTGACTCCATCTCTGTCTGGATGCCCCTCTCTGGGTGTGACCAGTCTCTCTGTGCTTTGAGGCATATGTCTCAGAAAAGACCCTGCTCGGTTACTATTTGGAACAGAAGTCGCTGGCCTTGGGATAAAGGTGTCCTTCTAGGCAGATGTCCTGCCCTTCATGTGTACCTGGAATGCTTCACCCCTCTGCCCATCCCAGCCACTTGGAGGATGTCAGAATTGAAAGCTCTGCATGCTAGACCTCAGGCCCCAGAGCTGCCTCCTGCGCTAGGTCCCTGGTGACCCTCCTTTGTGGATCGTTCCAGCAGGCCAGGGCCCCTGGGTGCTGAGATGTGGAGGGCACTGACCTGGTTAATTGGAGACCAATGTTTGGTTCTAGCCCTACTACAGATTCACTGTGTGACCTAAGCAAATGGTTCCCCCCCGCCTCCCCCCCACCAGCCTCAGTTTCCTCATCTGTAAAATGGAGCAAGTATCCCTGCTTTCCAGGGTAGTTAGATACGGTCATGCAGTTTAAATATAATTATAGGTAAAATACCTGGCCCTGAGCATGGCACCAGAATAGAGACTCCCCCCATGCATGGGCTTTTCTGATGCTCCGTTGTGTGCTTTTTATCCTTTGCTACCTGCACACACTTTTCATGGTGAGTTTGTCTGACCCTCTGGCTCCAGCTGGCTGGAGGGCTTCTCCGTGGTTCCAGTCCTCTACACCTCTACAGAAATGAGGCTGAGGACTGCAGCTGCTGGCACAGTCTTGGCTGGACAGGGCTGGTAGGCAGAACTCGAAAGCTTCCTATTCACTCAAGCACAATCTAGCGACTGCCATGGAGGACTTTGCGGATGGAATCAACGTTTGAATCAGCTGACTTTAAATAGGATTATCCTGGGTTATCCGAGGGGCCCTGTGGAATCATGTGGGCCTTTAGAAGCAGAAGAGCATAGGAGAAGAGTCGGAGAGAGGGGGCAGAAGGAGAGGTTGGAGAAGTCAGAGGGGGGATGAGGCAGGTGGGGTCAGAGAGCGCTGAATCATGAGAAGGACTCTATCTGCCACTGCTGGCTTTGAAGAGGGCCAAAGCCAAGGTACACAGGCAACCTATAGAAGCTGGCCGTAGTGACAGCCAGCAAGGAAACCAGGACCTCAGCCCTTCACCAGCATGGAACTGCATTCTGCCAGCCCTCTGAATGAGCTTGGAAGCAGATTCTCCCCCAGACCCTCCAGGGAACCAACCAAGTCCACATGGACTTCTGACTTACAGAACTTCCGTAGAGTACATTTGTGCTATTATAAGCCTCTAAGTTTGTGGTAATTAGAACACAACAATAGGAAGAAACCAATACACCAGATGAAACACCCAAACTGGCAGGTGCCTCATTGGTCTGAAGGTCTGGTGCATATGGGGGCTGAGAGGCCAAGGGCAAAGAACAGGCCTATCCATGGTCAGAGTCATGACCTCTTGTGGGGATGTGTTGGACCCTGCTCCAAGTGCCTCACACAAATAAACTTTGTGACTCTTCACCTTTTATTTTATTTTTATTTAGTTTTTTTGGAGACAGAGTCTCGCTCTGTCGCCCAGGCTGGAGTGCAATGGCACGATCTCGGCTCACTGCAACCTCCGCCTCCCCAGTTCAAGCAATTCTCCTGCTTCAGCCTCCTAAGTGGCTGGGATTACAGGTGCCCACCACCACGCCCAGCTAATTTTTTGTATCTTAGTGGAGACAGGGTTTCTCCATGGTGCCCAGGCGGGTCTCAAACTCCTGAGCTCCGGCAACCCACCTGCCTCGGCCTCCCAAAGTGCTAGGATTATAGGCCTGAGCCACCGTATCAGCAGAATCTTCACTTCTTAATCCCCATTGTACGGATGGGGTAATTGAGGCACTTACGTACATTGTCTAAGGCCACACAAGTAAGTAAGAGTGGGATTTGAACCCCTGCTATGAACCCCTGGCTACCTGAGTCCAGAGTTCTCCACTAAAGCATTTGCCCCATGGGAACAAGTGATGACGATGAGTCCTGAGGCTTGCCTACCTACCTGAACTTCCAGGTCTAGAGTTCCCAGAAACATCAATAGGAGTCCGCTAACCACAGGTCCTGGAATCTGCAGTCACTGCCTGCATGCAGAATGCCTCCTGCATGAATGTTCTAGTCATTGTTACCTGCCCCACATCCATTTATTCTTTTCCTTAAGCTGAATCTGGGGATAACAAAAAGGATAACACAACTTTATCACCCCCCTCCCCCACCCCCCACAACTGTTAACTACAGGTTTGACTGGTTTTCCAGATCACCTGTTAGAGCCAACATTGTAGCAGACAAGCTGGGCCTTTTGCCACATTCATTTTCTTACCATGGTAATATAATAGCCACCATTCACATGGGTTTTGTTATTTACTGCTCATAACAACCCTGTGAAGGCCCTTATGAGCATACACATACTCAATTTTCAGATGAAGAGATTGAGACTTGGAGAAGTTAAGTAGGCCTGCTGGTAAGAGGTGGGACTCCTTCCACATCCACAGGCTGATTTTATATGGTAGGTCGGTAGGGGATTGGCTCAGTGGTTGGGTGCCTGGCTATGTGTTTGGATGCATGTGTGGATGAATGAATAGAAGAAGGGATGGCTGGATAGACGGCTCTGTCCATGGCAAGATGGACCAACAGCTGTATTGTTGGATGGATGGGTGGAAGGAGGGATGAATGGATGCAGGGATGAGTGACCAAAGTTTGTAGAGTGGAAAAGGTAACGAATACAGTAGGGGTGTAAGTCCGCATCAAGGAGGTTCAGCCACCAAAGGAGCTTCAGCTGCCTTGTAATGTGAATTTGAACTCTTGTTAGTTCTGTTGGCCAGGAGACATCCTGCCTAGCCACCTTGATTACTTCCCTTGGCTGTGGGTCAGAGAATTCCAGCCTGAAAAATGTCCATTGACTGAATGAGAAGGCACTGTTTGTCCCCTGGAAAGCCAGAGAACATGGAGAACACCACCCCTTTGGCCAAACCCTGGAGATGCTGCACCCACAGCCAAGAAAAGTGTGGAGACCTGCAGAAAAGTCCAGAAGCTGGTGTTTCATCACAGCCAGGATCAGGGTGAAGCAGCGAGGTTATGCTGTGCAAGTCCAAAGGTCGATTATTTATTTATTTATTTTCGAGACGGAGTTTCACTCTTGTTGCCCAGGCTGTAGTACAATGGTGCTATCTCGGCTCATTGCAACCTCCGCCTCCCAGGTTCAAGCAATTCTCTCGTCTCAGCCTCCTGAGTAGCTGGGATTACAGGCACCCGCCACCACGCCTGGCTAATTTTTGTATTTTTAGTAGAGACGGGGTTTCACCATGTTGGCCAGGCTGTTCTCAAACTCCTGACCTCAGGTGATCCGCCCGCCTCGGCCTCCCAAAGTGCTGGGATTGCAGGCGCGAGCGACTGCCTGATCCCATATTTATTTTTAAAACGTGACATTTTGCTCACCATGTGTTTTTTGCATTAACTTTTCATTTTAAAACATTGCATTCAAGTATTATTTATCTTGATTACTGCATTTTTGGACACTCCCTGACATTTTGCACCTCAGTAGTATGCCTCACTGCTCTCGCCCTAGTCCTGGCCCTGTAACAGAGTACTCATTTCTGGACTTTTCTGCAAGCTGCAAACTCCCGTGCAGTGTGAGCTTATCCCAGCTTAGTTGGCATAATTCCTACCTCTAGGGGAAGTTGGAGTTCAGAGGCAGGAGTTCTGAATCCCACAGTTACAGCCTCGTTGTTTCTTCTCCAGGGCCTCCTTCAGTCTCTCTTTGTTCACAAATTTTCACAGCCTATACTCCTTTGCTTTGCACTTAGGACCCTCTGTGATTTTTCCTTATCCTGCTTGTAATGCCCACCACCACTGCACTCAGCATCAGTTCACAGGTCTACTTCCTGTCCTGGACACAGCCCCATCCCAATTCTTCTGCCCACCTCTCCTCTTTCTTAGCCACACCGTCCCCAACCCATTCCAAATTTCACCCCAGTTGAATTTTTCCTCTACGGAAACTTCCTCTTCCTGAACTCCTGAATTAATAATCTGCACCACACACTCACGTTTAATCCTTTATGACTTTTCAGGGTTTCCTGCAGCTGACTGATCTTTAGCCAGTTTGTACCAGTTTGGCCGTGAGTCTGAGTGGTTCAGTGCCCACGCCACACTGGTGGTTAAATATTTTGAAAATCACTTCCCTGGTTTCCTGTGTCTTCAGTGAAATGGAACACACTCGTGTGTTAGTGCTCAAACACAGAGCCTGGCTCTCTGCAGGCACAACACAAATGGTAGCAGTAGCAGTAGCAGTGGTTGTTACTGTTTATTCTGAGTCAGATGGTAAAAGGCTTGTGGCATTGAAGGTGATGTTTGAAGGGCTTCGGGTCCTGGAATAAAGACATTTGGAGGTGCTGTACTCACCTCCTGATTAGGCTTGTGGGTGCCTTGAGAAGTCTCTCGAGAGAAGCAAAAATGGGTGGATGGTGTTTGCAGGTGGGTGCAAGGTTTAGAGGGAACAAAGAAATAGAAAGGCACAGTTGGGGCCATGGAGAGACCCAGAAGAGGCAGTGACCAGAGAGGATTGCAAGTTTGCTTGGACCTGCCCGACGTGAGCAGAACATTCCTAACTCCCCTTCCTGGCGATGAGAAGGGCCTTGACTATTTCTGGGTCATGAGTCACTTGGTCTGATTTGGGTAATAATTGCATAGTAAACAAGCAAACAAGGGCTGATAAGGGCTTGACTGAATGAAAATGGAATCAGGCCAGGTAGGAACTGAGCCTGCAAGATTTCAGCACCAAAGCCCTATTGTGGTGCCTCTGCACACTTCCGGGACCAGCCACCCACCCAGCCCCATACCCAGGCCCACCCACCCGCCACCTGCCTCTACCTCCCTGCCGCCCCCAGGGTCCCTCTCTCCCTGGACTCCTCACCCCATTGCAGCTCAACCCATCACTTACGTCTACCTTATCTGGGTCACCCCAGCCCCTCTTCTCTCCAGAAACCCTGGGCTTCTTCTATTCCTTCAAGAACAAGTTTAAGACCCTTCCTCTGAGAAGCTCTGCCTTGCCAATCCCTTTTTCTTTCTTTTTTTTTAACTTTTAAAAAATTAAAGTGAAATTCATATATCATATACTCAGCCATTTTAAGGTATGCAATTCAGTTATCCCATTAATCTACATAATCTCCTGATCACATCTGAAGTGCTTTGTGAATGAGCAGTTACAGCCAGTTTTCCTCGTTTTGTTGAGGCAAAATTCACATAACATGAAATAGGCCATTTTGAAGTGTATAATTCAGAGGTGTTTAGTGCATTTATAATGTTGTGCAACTATCACCTCTCTCTAGTTTCCAAACTTTTTCATCACCTGCAAAGAACACCCCATACCCATGAACTAATTATTCCTCATTCCCCTCTCCCCACCCCATTCCCCTGGCACCCACTACTCGGCTTTCTGTGTCTATGGATTTGCCTATTCTGGACACTTCATGTAAGAGGAATCATATGATAAGAGACCTTTTGTGTCTCTCTTCTCTCAGCGTAATGTTTTCTAGGTTCTTCCAAGTTATAGCATGCGTTAGTACTTATTTCTTTTTAAAGCTGAGTAATATTTTATTGTATGGCTATACTATGTTTTGTGTGTGTGTTTGTGTATGTGTGGGTGTGTTTTGAGATGGAGTCTCGCTCTGTCACCCAGGCTGGAGTGCAGTGGTGCAATCTTGGCTCACTGCAACCTCTGCCTCCGGGTTCAAGTGATTCTCCTGTGTCAGCCACCCTGAGTAGCTGGGATTACAGGTGCTTGCCACCACGTCCAGCTAATTTTTGTATTTTTAGTAGCGACGGGACCTGTTTTTGTTTTTGAGACAGGGTTTTGAGACAGAGTCTCCCTCTGTTGCCCAGGCTGGAGTGCGTTGGCGTGATCATAGCTCACTGAATCCTCCATCTCCCAGGCTCAGGCGATCCTCCCACCTTACTCTCCTGAGTAGCTGGGACCACAGGCACTCCCCACCATGCCCAGCTAATTTTTGTATTTTTTTTTGTAGAGACAAGGTTTCACTATGTTGCCCAGGCTGATCTGGAACTCCTGAGCTCAAGCAATTCATCCTCAGGCTCAGCCTCCCAAAGTGCTAGGATTGCAGGTGTGAGCCACCCCGCACCTGGCCTATACTACGTTTTTAAAATCCACTCATCTGTTGATGGACATTTGGCTTGTTTTCACCTTTTGGCTATTATGAATAATGCTGCTATAAACATTTGTGTACCAGTTTCTGTGTAGACACATTTTTGTTTCTCTTGGATATAAACCTAGGAGTGGAATTGCTGGGTCATATGGTGACTCTCTTTATTTTTTGAGAAACTGCCAGACTATTTTTTCACAGCAGCCGAACCATTTAACATTTCCATCAGCAATGTATGAGGGTTCTTATTTTTCCATATTCTCACTGACACTTATTATTTTCCATTTTTTTTAGATCATAACTCTTCTAGTGGGCATGAAGTGGTATCTCATTGTGGTTTTGATATGTATTTCCCTAATGACCAGTGGTATTGAACATCTTTTCATGTGCTTGTTGGCCATTTGTGCATTTTCTCTGGAGAAATATCTATTCGAATCTCTTGTCTATTTTTTTTTTTTAGATGAAGTTTTTGCTCTATTGCCCAGGCTGGAGTGCAATGGCCCGATCTTGGCTCACTGAAACATCCGCCTCCTGGGTTCAAGCGATTCTTCTGCCTCAGCACCCCAAGTATCTGGGATTATAGGTGCCCATCACCATGCTTGGCTAATTGATCTTTAATTGGCTTGTCTGGTTTTTGTTGTTGAGTTATAGGTGTTCTCTGTGTATTCTGAATACTAAACCATTGTGAGATACTTGATTTGCAAATATTTTCTGCCCTTCTATAGGTTGTCCTTTCATTTTCTTAATGATGTCCTTTGATGCACAGAAGTTATAATTTGGGTGAAGTCCACTTTATCTCCTTTTTTGTGGAGCCCCACTTTGAATCAGACCTGACTCCTGAGCATCTCCCATGGGTCAGACATGGATCAGTTTGCTGCATGAGACAATAGCCAAGTCAGACTTCCCTGGCCCATGTAGAATCTCGTGTGAGGGAAGTGACATGGGTCTGTGCCATCAGATAGAGCCTATTGACCTGAGATGGGTACAGATGAAGCCCTTGGCTGGGAGAAAATCAGGAAAGGCTTCCTGGAGGGAAGGACATTTGAAGAAGGATGGGATTTGGAAAGGCAGAAAAGACAGAGCAAAAATGGTGCTCAGGGTGGAGGGAAGAGCTTTGACGAAGGCAGGGAAGTGGGAAGGCAAGGTGAACCTGACAGGAGACCCTTGCTCTGACATTTATTATTAACTTTGGTTCTGGCCTGCACAACTGAGTTGGGGGTTGAAGGAACTGAGATATGATGGAGAAAATGAGGTCAGTTTGGTCCAGGTGAATTGGAGGTGGAAATAGGGCCCCCAAATCGAGACGGCGTCTAGGTGGTTGGCTATAAGGATCTGGAGTCTGGAGTGATGTGTGGGCTGGGAGCTAGACACATGTTATTTGACTTGTGGTTTTCCACTCTTCAGCTGGGTCATGGGCTCGGGGAGGTCAGGAGCTGGTTAGATGCTTGTTACCTAGGTATGCACACACAGGCGCTTCATGAATACTTGAAGGCTGGGTGGTTTTGGGTGGCACCTTCATACTCCCCTGACAATAACAACCTGCCTCTTCAGCTTGTTATTGGCCTGGCAGCCAGGGAAGCCTCCACAGGGCCACTCTTGGGAAAGAGACTGTAATCACTAAACACCAGGCAAGAGCATGAAGCCTGCTGAGGGGCAGTCATACATCAACAGGTGACACCATCTGCCATTGTGAAACCCACTTACACCAAAGAATGCTAATAGGCCAGGTACAAACTTTCTTTTGTGCTGACTTTAAAAAACTCCTTCACAGAGTTGGGAGGGGAGACCCTAAAAATCCAACCAACCACGTACATCCGCCAGTAAACAGAGAAGCTAACCAAATCCGCTGCCTCTCTCCCCAGGAACTAGCCTAGAGCCTGGAGTGCTATTTCCTTTCGTGACACTAGAAGTATTTTATGATTCATTGACCAAGGGCCAAGAAGCCCAGTGTCTGCCATTTTGAAGAGTGAGGCAAAAGAAGAACACCAGAAATATTGATCCTGTCTTTGATGATTTTGGTATTTTGGTCATTGTGGATTTTATTGTAAATTTTGACTTTTTAAAATATTGCCGTAAAATGTTATTCATTTCAATAATAATACTGTTTTTTTTTTTTGGTGGCCCCTTAAATGTTATGCCTGGGTGGGTGCTTCTCTTGCCTCATCCTAGTGTAGGTCCTGAGAAAGCCCCTGAGAATTGCCCAGTGCCTCCTGCCGGATCAGAACACTGACCATCTGCAGCAGGTTGTTACCAAACAGAACTTGGGTCTGCCCACCTGGTACAGCAAAGCCAAGCACTGGCATTGGGATTGCAGTAAGAGAAAGGGAGGCAATGATTGCAGGGCACCCAGCAAGGGGAATTGGGCAGCTCATACTTAAGACTGAATTCCCTCATGGCTTACAGCAAGGGCTTTTAAAGATGGAGAGGCAGAGGTTACAGGCAATGTCATAAATCAATACATGGAGGCAGGCTGGGCAAGGTGGCACACACCTGTGGGCCTACCTACTTGGGAGGCGGAGGCAAGAGGATCACCTGAGCCTAGCAGGTTGAGGCTGCAATGAGCTATGATCATGCCACTGCACACCAGCCTGGGCAACAGAGTGAGACCCTGTCTCAAATAAACACCACCACCACCACCACCACCACCACCACCACCAACAACAACAACAACAACAACAACAACACCACCACCAACAGGCTGGGCGCGGTGGCTCACGCTTGTAATCCTAGCACTTTGGGAGGCCGAGGCGGGTGGATCATGAGGTCAGGAGATCGAGACCATCCCGGCTAACACAGTGAAACCCTGTCTCTACTAAAAATACAAAAAATTAGCCAGGCGTGGTGGTGGGCGCCTGTAGTCCCAGCTAGTCTGGAGGCTGAGGCAGGAGAATGGCATGAACCCAGGAGGCGGAGCTTGCAGTGAGCGAGATCGCGCCACTGCACTCCAGCCTGGGTGACAGAGTGAGACTCTGTCTCAAAAACAAAAACAAAAACAAACAAACAAAAAAACACCACCAACAAACCTCCAAAACATGGAGGCTATATATTTGGTTGGACCTAAAAAGTCTAGACATCTTGGGGAGGGGGGCATGGGTCATAGGTGGATTCAAAGATTTTCTGATTTGTAATTGGTTAAGGAAGAGAAGCTCTGTCTAAACATTTGGGATCAGCAGAAAAGAATGTTAGCTCTGGCTCGTGGGCATGACCTCCTCCAGGCCCCTCAGGAAGAGCAAAGAGTAGGGGACAGCGGTTAGTCCTGGTTCCCCCTTACCTGAGGTCTATGTGCCAGGGTCATCTGGGTTTCTGAAAAATAACATATATTAAGAGGTTATCTTTGGTTTCCATAGGAAACATCCCAACACTCTAACTTCCTTGGCTATTGTTTCAGGCTACTGTTACCTTCTTGCTTATCAAGTTTCTCATTTGCTTCTCAGGGAGAGCTAGGTGCCTGGAATTTCCCTTGAAGGAACTCAAGATTTTCCTTTATTTCCATCCCTGGGGGGTGCCCAGCAGGCCTATAAGAGGAGTCCTCTCAAGGTGAGTGAGTGATGACCTCACAGCTTCCTTAACAATAGGTGTCTGGCTTTGCATTATCCAAGTTTCAGGCTAGATGTCCCAGCCTCAGTGTTCCCCTAATGGTTGTCCTCGTGGTCTTTATTGCCCTACCTTGGGTATTTCATTTTATTTATTTATTTATTTAATTTTTTTTTTTGAGATGGAGTTTTGCCCTTGTTGCCCAGGCTGGAGTGCAATGGTGCGATCTCGGCTCACCGCAACCTCCACCTCCTGGGTTCAAGTGATTCTCCTGCCTCAGCCTCCTGAGTAGCTGGGATTACAGGCACAGGCCACCATGCCCAGCTAATTTTGTAGTTTTAGTAGAGATGGTGTTTCTCCATATTGATCAGGCTGGTCTCGAACTCCCGATCTCAGGTGATCCACCCACCTCTGGCCTCCCATAGTGCTGGGATTACAGGCATGAGCCACCGTGCCCAGCCTCCTTGGGTATTTTAAAAAATTGCTCACTGTCCACCGCCCACTAGAACATAGGCCTTGTGTGGGCAGGGATCTTGTTTGCTTTGTTCATTAAGTCAGCAATGCCTGGAATGGGGCCTGATACAAAGTAAGTGCTCTAGAAATAGTTCATGAATGAACAACAGCTGATGGTTCTCAAGCACTTGCCACGTGCTGATCACCTCACCTGTAGCAGCTCATTTAATACAACAACTTTGCAAGGCAGGTACTATGCTTGTCTCCATTGCACAGGTGGGAAAACTGAGGCATAGAGTGGTCTCGTAACTTGCCTAAGGTCGTATGGCTAGTAAGCAGTGAAGCCGGGATTTGAACCTGAGCAGTCTGGCTCTAGAGCAGGGATTCTCAACCTCGGCATGATTGACATTTTGGGCTGGATAGTTCTTTGTGGTGGGGGCTGTCCTGTGCATTGTAGGCTATTTAGCAGCATCTCTGGTCTCTACCTAGTAGATGTATCACCTGGCCTCCCCAACTGTGACCACCAAAAATGTCTCCAGACTCTGAGGCGAGGAGTAAAATCACCCCGTTGGTAATCGCTGCTCTAGAGTTTGTTTTTGTTTTGAGACAGTCTCGCTCTGTCGCCTAGGCTGGAGTGCAGTGGTGCGATCCTGGCTCACTGCAACCTCCACCTCTGGGGTTCAAGCGATTCTCCTGCCTCAGCTTCCAGAGTAGCTGGGATTACAGGCACGTCACAATGCCCAGCTAATTTTTGTATTTTTAGTAGAGACAGGGTTTGACCATGTTGGCCAGTCTGGTCTTGAACTCCTGACCTCAAGTGATCCGCCCGCCTCGGCTGGGATCACAGGTGTGTGCCACCACGCCCGGCCTGCTCTAGAATTTGTAATCACTCCACCACGCTGCCTTCCTATTTTGAATAAATGAAGAAATGCTTGACTTCCAATCTGATGCATCCATTGCCCCAGTGTCTGCTTGTAGGGACAGAGGCAGAAGCCTCCCTGCTGAGGCTGGAAGGCCAAGCCGCCCAACTGTGCTTTTCACCTTCGGTGAAGAGGAAGAGACCCCACCAAATGGACCCGCTAGCACATAGAACTGAACTCTGACTGCAGTTTTGTTCTAAATTTCTTCCTGAGGGGCCTGTGGGAGGTCATGCCCACAAGCCAGAGCTAACGTTTTTTTCTGCTGATCCCAAATTTTTAGACAAAGCTTCTCTTCCTTAACCAATTACAAATCAGAAAAATCTTTAAAAATTTTATTTATTATTATTTATTTATTTATTTTGAGACAGAGTCTCGCACTGTCGCCCAGGCTGGAGGACAGTTGTGCTATCTCGGCTCACTGAAACCTCTGCCTCCCAGGTTCAAGCAATTCTTGTGCCTCAGCCTCCCCAGCAGCTGGGATTACAGGTGTGCAACACCATGCCCAGCTAATTTTTTTTTTTTTTTTTTGAGATGGAGTCTCACTCTGTCACCAGGCTGGAGGGCAGTGGTGCGATCTTGGCTCACTGCAATCTCTGCCTTCTGGGTTCAAGTGATTATCCTGCCTCAGCCTCCCGAGTAGCTGGGATTACAGGCGCCTGCCACCACATCCAACTAATTTTTTTGTATTTCTAGTAGAGATGGAGTTTCACCATGTTGGCCAGGATGGTTTCGATCTCCTGACCTTGTGATCTGCCCACCTCGGCCTCCCAAAGTGCTGGGATTACAGGCGTGAGCCACTGTGCCTGGCCAATTTTTTGTATTTTTAGTAGAGACGGGGTTTCACTATGTTTCCCAGGCTGGTCTCGAACTCCTGAGCTCAGGCAATCCTCCCGCCTCGGCCTCCCAAAATGCTGGCATTACAGGTGTGAGCCACTGAGCCTGGCCCAGAAAATCTTTGAGTCCACCTATGACCGGTGCACGGCACCCCCCTGAAGATGTCCCGCCTTTATACATCAACCAATGTGTAGCCTCTGTGGTTGATTTATGACCTTGCCTGTAACCCCTGCCATCCCAACTTTAAAAACTCTTACCTGTAAGCCATCAGGTAGGGTAAAGACTTAAGTTCAGGTGTTAAGCATGAGCGGCGTGATTCATCTTGCTTGGTGCCCTTGCAATAAATGCCTCACTTTCTCTCGCTGCAATCCCAATGTCAGTGCTTGGCTTTGCTGTGCCGGGCAGGTGGGCCCAAGTTTGTTTTGGTATCAAGGCCACTGACCCATGGAACCCCAGGACGGCTTTTGGTGCCAGGAGTAACAGCTGATGTCTTGCTTAACAAAGCAGCTTGTCTTATACTACTTCATTGGCACCTCAAAACACATTCTTCCTTCTTTACCATTAACTGTTTAATAGTACTTAATACCATTAATTATAATAATTCATTTAATTCTACTCTGTAATGAGATACCATTTTCATCCCCATTTTTCAGATGAGAACAGTGAAGCTCTGAGAGGTTAAGTGACTTGGCTGAGCTCATGAAGCAGGTAAAGCTGGCAATCAAAATCAGCTGGCAGTCAAAAGAAGGATCTAGAATCTTCTCCCTCTAGATCCCTTCTTTCTCCGCTTGCTATCCCCCTCAGATCCCAGCACAAAGTAGGGCTAGGATGAAAATGCCTGGAGGAAACGGAAAAGCAGTTATGGAGCCAGCTGGCTGCAGGTCCCAGGGGAGGCGGCCTTGGGAGCTCTGGAGTGGGTTGTGCCTTGCAGTGGGCCCCATGCCTGTGACTGAGGGTGGTGTTCCGGGGCTTCCCTTCCTGGGTGACAGTGAGGACACATCTGGGCAGGATGGCATCTGGGCAGCCTTGTAGCTTCTGCCTGAGGCTGCTGGAACAGTCGCTCTTGGAACCCAGCTTCCGGACTGTGAGGAGCCCAAGCCACACAGAGAGGCCACGTGTGGATGCTCCCATGAACAGCCCCAGTGCAGCCCAGCAGACATCAACATCCAGCCATGTGACAGCGCCATCTTGGTGCACCAACTAGAGCACCACCCGGTCCAGTTGAGCCTTCAGATGACTCCAGTCCCAGTTGCTGAGTGACTGAAACTTCATGAGAGACTCCAAATAAGAACTGACAGCTGGACCCAGTCAACCCATAGAACTGTGAAAGGTAACAAAAATGGTTTTAAGCCATTATGTTTTGGAGTGGCTTGTTCTTGGTGCAATAGGCAACTGAAACAGTCTTCCCCACCAAACTGTTGGTGCCTAAAAAGCAGGTATGGTGTCCTTGACACTCTGGATCTCCGGTCCCAGGCTGGGCTGGGTAAGGAGCAAGTGCTCATCAAATATTCCTTGACTGAACGAATGAAACCCATCAAAACTCGCTGTTCACCCTGAGATAGAATAGATTTATTAGCAAGAGGTAATCAGGAAACATATATTTTTACAAAAATGGAAATTTTTTTCCAAACAAGCTGTAAGTTGAAATATTTTAGGACTTGAAATAGAATTCTCATACCACTAGGTATTGCTTACAGCAAAAGTTGTCTGTCTGTTGTAGTGGAGCATGCCTGCCACTTCGGAGTTAACCTGTGTTTTCTATACTGTACAGTGTAAAAAATACATGGTAATATTCACAGAATAAGCACTACATTACTATATTCCTGCTAGAAGGCATTTAGACAGGACTACAGTATATGCAATAAAAACACTTGGTTATTGATTTCCTAATTCTACAGTGTGGTACTAATTATCACAAGGTATACAGACTTAGAGCATCTCAATGTAAGCTTGTAGTGACCGTTAGGCAGCTTAAAGAGGAAAAGTGACATTTTTGTGTTCCCGACTTTCAGTGGATGCTGGGCCAGTGGTCGGCAAGAGTCGACGTGGCTTGGTGTTTGTGACTCCATTTCCTCGGGAAGTCTAGGGCCTCATCCAGTTGTATTGAGACTGCTATTCATGCTATCTGGTGTTAATCCTAGAGCAAGGAGCGACGTGGGGCCTGAACGAGATGGCAGCATTGGTACGAGGGGTGTGGTTCTGAGCAGAGAGGACTCCCTTCCGTCCAGGTTACTGGGAGACACATGGGGAGTTTTGAGACCTGCGATTTTGGCTGGAGAAGCTGCTTTGGAAATTGACATCACCATCAGCGGGAAGATTTGTCAATGACTGGACTTCAGGGTATGGTTTCCCCCTCCCGCCGCCCCCCACCCCCCACCCAGTTATAACAACTACATGGAACATGCTGGGAGGATGCCTGGGTGGCCACCTCAACCCAGGAGCCTGGGCTGGGGAGGGACGGAAGCAGGACTGGAGTCTAAGATTCTTGTATGCAAGGGTGCTGTTTCCCCTCTGAGAAGAGTGAGGAGTCTAGGGAAGAGGGACCAAGAGTACAGCTGTTTAAAAGAAACAGGCACTGCAGGAGACGAGGGGAGGGATGGGTGGGCGAAGTCTGAAACGGTGCAGAAATTCATATTCCGGTTCTACAGGAATCTAAGAACAAGGACGATTTGTATTCTTGGAGAAGCACATACTGAAGAAGAAAATCCAGTGAAACCAAACGAATATGTACAGTATCATCTAGCACATGTCCCCGGGAGCAGCTGGGTCTGGGCTGGGCTCAGCTTCAGGTGGGGAGTTTTGGTTCTATTCGGAGAGAAGACTCGTAGAGGCTTTCTTCATCCATTACAAAAGATTGGTCCAGTAAATATTGCGTTACCTGAGAAAAGAAAAGAGAAAAGGGAATGGGAGGGTTGTGGGACCTCCATAGTACTGATTGTGGATGCACTTTATCTCCTAGGGCCCAAGCCTCTTACTGTGGAGAGTCAGGTGGGCATATGAGGCAAAAATGCATTCAGTAGTGTTCCATCTTGACATAAGTTTTAAGCAGTCGACGTAAGTATTGTCTTAGGATTATTATTTAATATTGTCATAATATTAAGGCTGGTACAAAAGTAAAAAAAAGTCAATTGTAGAAACTAGGTGGCAGATATATGTGTTCACAATTCTGCCAGTGTTTCTGTATGTTTGATCTGTCTGTCACAATTCTGTCAGTGTTTCTGTATATTTGAAAAGTTTCATAAGGCTGGGCGTGGTGGCTCATGCCTCTAATCCCAGCACTTTGGGAGGCTGAGGCAGGAGGATCGCTTGAGCCCAGGAGTTTGAAACCAGCTTGGGCAACAAAGTGAGACCCTGTTTCTACAAAAAATCAAAAAAGTAGCTGGGTATTGTGGTGTGCACCTGTGGTTCCAGTTACATGTGAGGCTGAGGCAGCAGGATCACTTGAGCCCAGGAGGTCAAGGCAGCAGTGAGCTGTGTTCACACCACTGTACCCCAGCTTGGGTACAGACCTTGTCTTAAAATAAAATAAAATAAAATAAAAAGTTTTATAATAAAATGTTGGGACAAAATGTATTAAAACGCTAGGATTACATGGTACTGTGAGAGATCCACTCCAAGAGAGGCAAGTGGAAATGGAGGCTGTGTGAGAGAAGAGCCTCCCTTTTTCTCACCCTGGGGAGAAATCTTAAGAGTGGAAAATCAGAAAGATGCACTCACATGAGTTAGGTTATCCTGTCTTCTCCTCTCTCCCCACCCCACTCCTGCTCTGAAGCATTTTGCTGAATGCCTGCGCATTAAATGTGCAATGAGAGATCTGAGCTCTAACCTCACAGGCAGCCCCCTGCTCCAAAAAGTATCTTTCCAAGACTTATTTACTTGTCAGTTGTTTGGAACTAAAGGCACATTTTTCCCCGCTACATAAATCCAGAGCAGAAAGAAAAAAATTTTCTTTTTTTTTTTTGAGACAGCATCTTGCTCTGTCGCCCAGTCTGGAGTGCAGTGGTGCAATCTGGGCTCACTGCAACCTCTGCCTCCCGGGTTCAAGCAATTGTCCTGTCTCAGCCTCCTGAGTAGTTGGGATCCCAGGCATGCACCACCATGCCTGGCTAATTTTTGTATTTTTAGTAGAGACAGGGTTTTGCCATGTTGGCCAGGCTGGTCTTGAATTCCTGGCCTCAAGTGATCCACCTGCCTTGGCCTCCTGAAGTGCTGGGATTACAGGTGCGAGCCACCGTGCCTGGCCAAATTTTCTTATTATATGTTTGGGAATCTTTTGGTAGCTGCTTGAGAAAAATAAAGTCTGCTGCTTTTGTCTTGGCTAATTGACTCTGCTACTATAAAGGTTGGAACCGGCTGTCTGCTATGCTGATTAATAGTCACAGATAAAGTGATTACTATGTCTGATTAGCAGCTCGTTCCCAGCACTTCTAGGAAGATGACTTTAGATATCACAGTCTGGTTTAACCTACACCCAGTGATAAAGACATGGCGATTTTATGACCATGTGAAATAGTCTTTTATACCTAGATAGTAGTGTCATGTGAACAGTCCTTTCTAGAATGCATGAATCTCTACCTCCCAAGCCCCCTGGGGATCAGGAAACTGATTAGTTTCCTCCGTAGTGAGCATGTGCAGGATCAATTTTAGTAGAGACGGGGTTTTGTCATGTTGGCCAGGCTGGTGTTGAACTCTTGACCTGACTTGGCTAAGTCAGGCTAATTTTCCTAAGACATTGTACTTTCGAGGAAGACTGGCAGCATATAGCACCATTGCAAAGCAGTTAATGAAAGAAGTCTGAGGAGCAGTAATATTTATTTATTTATTTTTTTTTTTGAGGGGGAATTTCATTCTTGTCACCCAGGCTGGAGTACAGTGGCGCCATCTTGGCTCACTGCAACCTCCGCCTCCCGAGTTCAAGCGATTCTTCTGCCTCAGCATCCCGAGTAGCTGGGATTACAGGCATGCGTCACCATGCCTGGCTAATTTTTGTATTATTAGTAAAGACAGGGTTTCACCATGTTGGCCAGGCTGGTCTCGAACTTCTGACCTCAGGTGATCCGCCTGCCTCGGCCTCCCAAAGTGCTGGGATCACAGGCATGAGCCACTGGCCCTGGCCAGTAATATTTATTTGTATTGCACATCAAAGTTTAAGGAGACAAAAGCAGGAGATGGAAGAAAACCCTGAAATTTTCTTGGTAACTTCTGAGACTTTCCAGGGCCCAGTGTGACCACGGTGCCTTCTGGATGAGCCCTGTGTGATCCACATGGCAACTCTGTGGTTCTCAGGCTGGATGAACACACAAACACAGACCCTCAAATACTGCTGAGTTATGTTGATACTTTTATCTTAATATTTTTTATTGTAGAATAAAGGACATGACAATATAAAATACATTTTTGGAGAAAAACAGAAGCCCATAATCTCACCACTCTAAAATAACTGTTTTCATTTTTTTGTGTGATCGTCTCGTTCTTAGAATACAAAAGTACTTTTCCATAGTTGTACCTATGGAATGGACAGCACTTGGTATGCTTTCATTTATACTATTAGGTTTCACCATGTTGGCCAGGCTGGTTGAGAACTCCTGACCTCAGGTGATCCACCCTCCTCGGCCTCCCAAAGTGCTGTGATTACAAGCATGAGCCACCGCGCCCGGCCGTTTTCAGGTTTTTTGATATTTTATATATAAAATAAATGTTGCAATGAAGATCTTCTAGAATACAGCCTTTTGCCTCAACTAAGTGTTTAAATCATAAATCCCTAGGAGAAGGATCATGGGTTTCTTACTACAACGGCCAACACTGTCAGCAGAGTAGGCTTGTCAAGGATTGAGTATCATTTTACTTAAAAAAAGGTACATACAGTACAACTCACTCTTTTTGGTGAGCATGATTCGGATGCACACGGACACTGGAGACCCACTGCCTTTAAATCCCTCTGCTCTTTCCCGGAGGTTCTTGCCCCCAAAGCAGGGGCTCTAGCCCTGCAGTTGCCAACAACCCCCCTCTTTAGCCACATTAGACCCCCTCAACAGGCCCTCAAAATCCCCTCACTCATTCATGGAGACCAGAAACCAACCGTTACTCATGTATGCATGAGTTCTTGCATCAGACAGCAATGCTTTTTTTATAAAGTCCTTTTACAAAGGTTGTCATATTTAATCATCAAAAACAACCCATCCCACACTGGTATAAGAATCTCATGTGACCAGCCAGGCGCAGTGGCTTATGTCTGTAATCCCAGCACTTTGGGAGGCCAAAGCAGGTGGATCACTTGAGGTCAGGAGTTTGAGACTAGCCTGGCCAGTGTGGTAAAACCCCATCTCTACTAAAAATACAAAAATTAGTCGGGCGTGGTGGCAGGCACCTGTAATCACAGCTACTTGGGAGGCTGAGGCTGGATAATCACTTGAACCTGGGAGGCAGAAGTTGCAGTGAGCCGAGATCGCGCCACTGCACTCCAGGCTGGGTGACAGAGTGAAACTCCGTCTCAAAAATAAAATAAAAGAATCTCATGTTACAGTTGAGGCAGAAGGTAACACAGTTGGTGAGTGGCTTCGCCGGGATTTGAACCCAGGTGTTCCCTGGTCGACTGAGAGAAGGATGTGAGAGTGGGCTGGGTGGAGGCTGGTTGGTGTTGAATAAGGCAGAGGGAGGAGCCCCAGAGATGCTGAGCAGGCTCTGGCTTGCTGCTGTTAATTGGCCAGGGAGCCATTCTGTACCCCCAGTGGCTTAGGCCTGATTCCCTTAGTGCTTTAAGCTGATGAATTCAATGTTTGATCTTGTTATTAAAATCACCATGTGTTTATCCTCTAAGAGCCATGCCCGAAAACTCAAAGTTTCCCTACCAGACCATGAGGACTTAAATTTTTTTTTTTTTTTTTTTTTTTTTAACAGAGTCAGGATCCCACTCTGTTGCCCAGGCTGCCCTGCAGTGGCACGATCATGGCTCACTGTAGCCTCAACCTCTTGGGCTCAAGTGATCTTTCTGCCTTAGCCTCCTGAGTAGCTGGGACTACAGGCATGAGCCACTACGCCTGGCTAATGTTTTTATTTTTTTGTAGAGTTGGGAGCCTTTACTCTGTTGCCTAGGCTGGTCTCAAACTTCTGGCCTCAAGCAATTCTCCTGTCTTGGCCTCCCAAAGTGCTGGGATTACAGTTGAGAGCCACCGTGCCAGGCCCGGGACTATTTATTTTTAAATTGTATTTTTATTTCTTTTTATTTTAAAGTTGATTTATATCTTATTTTAGATATAAAATTAATTTATACCTTATTTTGTGTAATTAAAAAAGCCAAGTAGCATTAAACGGTTCATAATGAAAACCAGCAATCCTTTGTTGCCCCTTCTCAGCCACCAGGCCTGGCTCTCTAGAGATAGCCATTTTCAGTTCTTACAGAGCCCCCCAAATCCAGTGCAGCAGCCATTAGCCACGTGTAGCTACTGAGCACTTGAAACAGGGCTCATCTGAATTAAGATGTGACGTGTAAAATACACACTGGATTTTTGAAAGTTTAGTATGAATAAAATAAAGTAAAATATCTCAGTCAATTTTTAAATTGATTACATGCTGAACTGACAATTATTTGGATATATTGTATTAAATAAAATATCTTATTATAGTTAATTTTACCTATTTCTTTTTGCTTTTAAAAAAAAATGAGGCTGGGAATGGTGGCTCAAACCTGTAATCCCAGCTCTTTGGGAGGCCAAGACGACAGGATCACTTGAGCGCAGGAGTTCAACATGGGCAGACCCTGTCTCTATAAAAAAATAAAAAATTAGCTGGGTGTGGTCATACCTTAAGCCGGGGAAGTTGAGGTTGCAGTGAGCTATGATTGTGTCACTGCATTTGAGCCTGGGTGACAGAGTGAGACCCTGCCTCAAACAAACAAACAAAAAAACAGGCCAGGTGCAGTGGCTCATTCCTGTAATCCCAGCACTTTGGGAGGCCGAGGCAGGCAGATCACTTGAGGCCAGGAGTTCGAGACCAGGCTGGACAACATGGCAAAACCCTGTTTCTACAAAAAATATAAAAGAATTAGTTGGGTGTAATGGTGAACACCTGCAGTCCCAGCTATTCAGGAGGGTGAGGTAGGAGGATCGCTTGAACCTCATGAGGTCGAGGCTACAGTGAGCCAAGATCACACTATAGCACTCCAGCCTGGGTGACAGGGTGAGATCCTGTTTCAAAAAACTAAAATAAATAAATAAATAAAAATAAGTTAAAAAATGTGACCCTGTAGGATACTTAAAGTTACATATGTAGCTTGCATTATATTTCTAGTGGATAGTCCTGTTTTACATATTTCTTCCAGTATTTATATCTGTTTTTCCATGGTTAATGCTTTTACTGTTGTCTGTTTTCCGGCCAACTTTTTATTTAAAAAATATAAAAACTATGCATACAACATATACGTATAATCCTTTTTCTGAGGGCTGAACCATTTGAAGGTAAATAGTGTAGTGTTTCCCCCACTGAATACTTCAGCCATGCATCTCCTAAGAATACAGACATTCTCTTACATAACCATAACATCATTATACCTAGGACATTTAATATCAATAAAATAAAATTAGCTGATGTACAGACCAGATTCAAATTTCTTCAAGTTTTAATGAATAAAATAATCTTTATAGCTGTTTTTTAAAATCCCAGATCTAACCGACATTCACACATTGCATTTAGATGTCATATGATTTAGTCTTATTTTATTATTTTTTTTTGAAAAAATTTTTTTTCATTATAGAGACAGGGTCTCACTATGTTGCTGATCTTGAACTCCTGAACTCAAGTAGCCTCCTCCCTCTGCCTCTCACAGTGCTAGGATTAAAAGCTCACCACTGAGCCCAGCCTGTGTGTTTTAGTCTTTTTTATTTTTCATGACACTGATGTGTGTGTGTGTGTGTGTGTGTGTGTGTTTTATTTTTAGACACAAAGCCTCACTCTGCTGCCCAGGCTAGTGTGCAGTGGTGCAATGATAGCTTACTACAGCCTTGAACTCCTGGGCTCAAGTGATCCGCCTGCCTCAGACTCCTGAGTAGATGTGACTACAGGCGTGCACCACCATGCCCAGCTAATTATTATTATGATTTTTGCTAGAGATAGGATCTCTGATCTCCCTATGTTGCCCAGGCTCACTTCAAACTCCTAGGCTCAAGTGATCCTCCTACCTCAGTCTCCTGAAGTGCTGGGATTTACAGGCATGAGCCACTACTCCCAGCTGATATATATATATATATTTTTAATTGAAAATATTTTATTGCTAAAAGACATTGATATTTTTGAAGACTATATGCAGTAGTGTGTTGGAGCTGGCTCATGCCAGCCTGCATGTGCCAATTTTTAGCCTCTGTTCCCAACTCTGCTTTCAGTGATGTCCAGGTGGTGGTTTGAAAGTGGCCCTGCTGGCATCACCTAACAGGCTCCTCTGAGTTCTCTTCATGCCTAGGCTTCAAATTTGGCTTGCCTTTAGCAAGAATCCCCCCACCTTGATATCTGCTCAAATTCTTCATTCTCCACCCCTGATACCCGAAGTCTTTGGCCGGACTTTAATAAAAACCTGTTAGGCCGGTTTAGCAAGAATTCCCCTACTCTTGCTATCTCCTCTTAGTAATTTTCCATCCACTGACCCCCTTTCTTGGCCCATTGACTACAAATCCCCACCTGTCCCTGTTGTATTTGCAGTTGAGTTCAATCTCTCTCCCCCAAGAAACAGTCTTGGCCTCTATTGCATCAGGTTTGAATAAACCTACTATTTTAAACAAATGTTCCAATGTTACCATTTTTAACAAGCGTTCCAATCATTTTTCTCTTCAACAGCAAATGCTACACATCAAGACTCAATCCTCTACCCCCAAGACCAGTTTAACATTTACTAGCACACCACTGAGTTACAGAGCAGTTGTCTCGCAGAATGTCCCATATTCTGAAATTGTCTGTTGGTTCCTCCTGATTAGATTCAAACACTTGGATGCATAATATAGGTGATGTTGTGGCTCATGATGCCCTTTATTTCTGTTTTGTCCAACATTGAAAATCCTAGGTCATGCCTGTAATCCCAGCACTTTGGGAGGCTGAGGCGGGTGGATCACGAGGTCAGGAGTTTGAGACCAGCCTGACCAACGTGGTGAAACCCCGTCTCTACTAAACGTACAAAAATTAGCCGGGCGTGGTGGCTCACACCTGTAGTCCCAGCTACTCAGGAGGCTGAGGCAGGAGAATTGCTTGAACCCGGGAGGCAGAGGTTGCAGTGAACTGAGATCGCGCCATTGCACTCCAGCCTGGGTGACAGAGTAAGACTCTGTCTTAAAAAAAAGAAAAGAAAAGAAAAGAAAATTCTAGGATTCTATGGCCCCCTATTCCTTTCCCAACCTCCCATTCCTCTCCCCTGCTTCATTTCTTCCATGGTTGTAATAATCATCTGTCATATTATATTTTTTGCCTCTTAGTCTATTTCCCTCTAGAACACAAGCTCGTGAGGGCCAAGAGTTTATCTGTTTTGTTCACTGCTGAGCCAAGAGCCTACTATAGTGCTTGGCATGTAGGACTTGCTCAATGAATATTTGTGGAGTGAGAGAATGAATGGAAAGCAAAGCAAAAGTGGCCAGTTTAACTAATTGTAGTTAGTCCACTGATTTTTCTCCTTCGATACGGCTATCAGCTATAAAGCAGATCATGAGTTCTCAGAATATGGCAAAAAATTGACACATTCTCAAAAAACACATTGATCACAAAGGACATTAGAAGGGAAAAACAATAAAAGCTTGATTTTCCGGTGTGCTTGAGGGTGTGTCTGGAGCTGGATGTTTTTGTGAACTGCACACTAGGAGGTTAAGATGCTGTATCTCTGGGCAGGGAAGAAAGGTCATAGGATTGGAGGCTGGGCGTGGTGGTTCATGCCTGTAATCTCAACACTTTGGGAGGCTGAGGTGAGTGGATCACCTGAGGTCAGGAGTCTGAGACCAGCCTGACCAATATGGTGAAACTCCGTCTCTACTAAAAATACAAAAATTATTGGGGCATAGTGGCGTGCCAGACCAGCCATTCTCTTACATGGCCTTGCAATCTTTCAAAAATGCAAACTAGTCCAATTACATAACCTCCTTTCAGGGCTTCCCATGGTCCTAAGGACAAAGTCCCTGATCCCAGCTATGCGGGAGGCTGAGACAGAAGAATTGATTGAACCCGGGAGGTGGAGGTTGCAGCGAGCCAAGATTGTACCACTGCAGTCCAGCCTGGTGACAGAGTGAGACTCTGTCTCAAAAAAAAAAAAAAAAAAAAAAAAGAAAAAGAAAAAGAAAAGAAAAGTCATAGGATTGGGAGCCCAAGAGTCTGGGTTAGCAAATCTGTTATTTTATCTGTAAAATGGGGCCTACAGTACAGGCTTTGAATAATGTAATGAGACTAACATGCCAACCATTCTTTTTTATTAAACAATTTTTTTTTCTTTTTGGCTAGCTGAGACTTTTTTTTTTTTTTTTCAGACCAACCATTCTCTTACATGGCCTTGCAAATCTTTTAAAAATGCAAACTAGTCCAATTATATAACCTCCTTTCAGGGCTTCCTATGGTCCTACGGACAAAGTCCCTGATCCTTTTAGGATCCCACCAGTTCCATCTGTTTCTGGCAGGCCTGATGCTACTCTCTGCAGCCAGCCATTTGGTGGTGGTGGTGGAGGGGGTCACTGTACTTAGCATTACACAAGCCTGTCTCTCTGCAAGAAAGACATGTCTACCCCGACCAGGAAAACTCTTCCAGGATTCTCCTACTCCAGTAAGGCTCTCTAGGCCCTCAGAGCAGCACAGACCCTGGGATCCATACCCTATGGCCCTCCCTGCCTGTTTCTGGATGTACAAAGTATTTCTTTGTGCCTTGTCTGTAGCAGCAAAAGATCAAAACAACCTAAATGTTCATCAATACAGAGGATTGGCTAAATAGATTTCTCTGCAGCTGTAAGAAAGAATAAGGATGCTTCTATTTTAATAGGAATGATCTCCAAGATATATTATGAAGGAAAAAAAGGAATGATACTGAGCAGTGTATAGTATGCTAGAGAATGGTATGCAAAGTTGGCTTGTGTTTATGGATTGCCTGTGGACCTAGACACAAGAAACGGGCGGAAATGTTGCCTTTGGAAGGGGAACTAGGTGGCTGGGGGACATTTCACTGTGCACTCCTTATATCTGTGGATTTTGTAACTTGTAAGCATAGTACCTTTCAGAAACAGATGTTATCAACTCTGCCTGTCTTGCCCTGGGGGAGATTAGACATGAATATAAACCATCCTATGGCAGGTAAAATCAGACAAGAGTCACAAGATGAACACAGGCCCAATTTGAAGAAATAGGGACTAGGGAAGCCTTCCTTACAGGGATGGCATTTGAGCTGGGCTCGAGAGAATTCTGGAAGGGAAAGTGGACGGGTATGGAGGGGACAGGGTGGAAGGTGGCCTAGACAGAGCCACTGTGAAAGCATGCAAGTGACCAGGAAAAGGCACAGCTTACCTTTGCTTGGTGCTCTATTTTGTAGGCAGTTTGTTGAAACTGGCGAATCTCTCGGATAATATGGGATATCTGTGGGAAGGAAGGAGTGTTTCAGAATGCAGTTTGCTCTCCTAGTTCCACCCCCAACTTTGCAGAGCTGAAGGGGCATCAACAACTAAATCTGAAGTCAGCCTCTTAATTCCATACATGTTGCCTCCTGGAAGGTCCCACGGAGGCATCATGTGTGTTTGTTTTTATTTTTATTTTTTGAGATGGAGTCTCACTCTGTCGCCCAGGCTGGAGTGCAGTGGCGTGATCTCGGCTCAGTGCAACCTCTGTCTCCTGGGTTCAAGTGATCCTCCTGCCTCAGCCTCCTGAGTAGGTGGGATTACAAGTGCATGCCACCACGCCCGGCTAATTTTTGTATTTTTAGTAGAGATGGGGTTTCACCATGTTGACCAGGCTGGTCTTGAACTTCTGACCTCAAGTGATCCACCCGCCTCAGCTCCCAAAGTGCTGGGATTATAGGTGTGAGCGACCACACCCGGCCTCATGTTTTTTTTCTTTTTTTTTTTTTAAACAGAAATCTGCTTCCAAGACTTGTCAAGACTCTATAGGTAAATTACACTATGTGACTGAGAGAAGAAAAAAAATCTCCTTTAATTAGTGGCATAAGCTACCTAACATCACTAGAACAAAACCCCACGACTCCAGCAAAAGTTAAAGGCATCAGCCACTTCCTTAGCGCCTGCTGTGCACAAGACACGATGAAAAGCAGCTTTCGCTCTTCAGGATGGTGCCTGAAAAAACCCTTTCCATCCAACAAAAATCTAATGTCAAGGCCCATTATATAAAACTGGTGCAAGTAGAGGCTTTCTGGCGAAGTGAGAGGGGAGAAGGAGACGGTTAGAATCCTGTTCCTAATGGGAGAAGTCTCCTCAGCCCTTATCCCAAGTTCTAGATTTTTCTGGGAAAACTGGAAACTTACTCTTTTAGGAGGTGCTGTGTAAGTGGTTTTACTTTGTCCACATCAAGCAAGTGTCGATACGAACAATACGGATGGGTGTGAATGACAGTGTGGGGCTTTGGAGTCACCTGGACCCGGGCTCCAGACCTGGCTCTGCCCTTTACTTGTGGGGTGACCTTGGGCTGCTCACTTGACCTCACTCAGCCTCAGTCTGCTCATCTGAAAGGTGCAGAATAAGAAGAGCAGCTACCTCTCAGACTGTCAGGACTAGAGGAGGAAATGCCGGTGAAAGCATGGCTCAGGGCCTGCCAGATTCTAACTGCTCATCAATGATAGTGATGGCTGTCATTGGGGAAGCTGGACCCAGGCTCCCAAATGGGGGCACCCTATGCAGCAGGTTGGGCCTTGGGGGGCAGAGTGTGGGTGGGCCCCAGGTTGAGTCATCTGGGCTTCAACGCCCCCCTTCCCCTGCCTGGCTGGGGGGAACGCACCATCCTCATCTTGGAGAAGTTGACCAGGCCGTCTTCCGTGTAATTGGGCGTCCCCTCCTCGATGAAGGCCAGGTCGGTGAGGTACATCCCCAGGTAAGGGACACAGGGTGGGTCACAACTTGGAAGCAAACGGCATTAACACAAGTTTTTCATTTTAAAAAAGTAACGTCTACCAAGAACAGAACATCCCGCATGCACCTTTTGCTTTGCTAGAGGCAAAGGGACTTGCAGTCACCAAGAATCACACTACACTCTAGAACTGACTATTCTACACGCCCAGGACTGTCGGCTGGGTCTCAGGGCCAGTCCTCTGGGGTGGTGGGGGCAACATGGTGCTGACTGGGGCCTCTTACACCCACTGGGGCATCTCAGATTGTCTCTTTCCTCCCTGAGCCAGAAGGTCCTCCCCTACCTCTCTGCCTTCTGTCCCAGTCAGTCCCTGGGCTCTGTCACCAGCCCCTCTGGACTCACCTTTCCTATCTCTCCCTGAGACTCTCCCATCCGGATCCTCCCCCGAATCACCTCCTGGAGGGCTCTGCAGCCCCAGCCCCCCAACTCCTGCCAGTCACCCTATCTGACACCCTTGTCTCTGCTCCCTGAGACCTCTCCTGTCTCCACTGGCATCTCCCACCCACCTAAGCACTGGGCTTGGGTGCCAGGGCAGGAAACCCTTGCTCTCTGAGATCACTTTCCTGAAAGTGGCTTTGGGGCAGGGGGTTGGGTGATAGTTTCCATGGTTGGTGACTCATGGGGGACTGCATCTTTGGGAGCTGGGCCCCCGGAGTGATGGGCCATGCCTCTCTGATTTTTGGTCCAAAGCAGGGCCTCCTGTTACTGTTCCTTCCCAGCGTGTTCTGGTGCCCTTGGCTCGGTGCTGGGTAAGGGTTGATGGAGCCTGTGATGGAGCCCGGCGGTCGTTATGTGCCGGCAGGGCTCCCTTTAGCTCCTTCTGGGGCCTCCTCCCCAGTGCTCTGCCGCCTCCTCTCAGCTCAGCACACAGATGCGGTGGCATCATCGAGCACAGTGCAGTGACCCTTATTCCCAGCCCATCTTACCTTTGTCTCTTTGTGGCCACCTGGCAACCCTGCTAGCCTGGAGGAAGGTGAGGCCGGGAGGATGATAGAGCAAGAGCAGAAACCTGGCCCCTGTCCCTCACCTGCCTGCTGTGTGACCCTAGGCCAGGTCTTTCCCTCTCTGGTCCTCAGGCTCCTCATGTATAAAGCAATGATAGCAGCTAAGACAGTTTTAGGTGGTCTCACAGCTGATTTACAGGCACGATATTAAATAACATGAATTCACGTGGTAAGAAACATTGGATTTTTACTTTTTTCCCTTCTGCTCAGGGAGAGCGCCTCATTTGGTGATAGTGTGACTTTGACACTTTTGATACTTGCCATTCTCCTCCTTTCACATTTTCTCTTTTTAGACAAATAGCAACAGGTGTCAGAATCAGAGTGTTGGCAAACATCAGTATTTGGCCAGAATTCAAAAACATTATTTTGTTTTTACCATATATTTTTAAATGGCATTCTTGTATTTACAGCAAGTAAGCTGGTTTTCCATTTGCCATGATACAAAATTTCCTTCTTATTTCTTTTTGGGAAAAAGTGAATTAATTTAAAGAGGCTGTTAGGTAAACACAAATACAGTTGGCACAGTATGGCAAAGTCGTGAAGGAGGCAGAGGCCTGGCGTTAGGGACACAGCAGACAGAAGTGTTTTTCCAAATGTAGGGCTGACCCTTTCATGGGTGTTGAAATCAATTTAGAAGGTGTAGACCAGAATTTTTAAAAAGTGAAAAAGGGCCGAGTGGTGGCTCACTCCTGTAATCCCAGGCAGTGGGATTTGAGAGGTTGAGGTGGGAGGATCACTTGAGTCCAACGGTTCAAGACCAGCCTGAGCAACATAGTGAGACCCCATCTCTATTTAATTGAAAACAAATAAAAATAACAAGTGAAAAAGAAAATATCTGACTTCATCAAATGAAATAAAGGTATATATTGTTTTGTGGAATTTTTGTTCCTGTGATGCATATATGCATTTGTATACAGGCTTGTAGTTTCAAATATATATATTTACTGTGCTTTGTGATTAAAAAAAAAAAGAAAAGAGTAAGGAGCATCCAGCCACTGGAGGGGCTGCTTTGCATCCTTCCATCCCTTCCAGTCCATGATTATTACATGCACAGGTCTTCATTTCCTTCCTTTCTTTTTCTTTTTTTTTTTTTTGAGGCAGGGTCTCACTCTGTTACCTAGACTGGAGTGCAGTGGCACAATCACAGCTCACTGCAGCCTTGACTTCTCAGGCTCCAATGGTCCTCCTGCCTCAGCCTCCTAAGTAGCTGGACTACATGCATGCACCACCATACCCAGCGAATTTTTGTATTTTTGGTAGGGACAGAAATTTTGTATTTTTGCCATGTTGCCCAGGCTGGTCTAGAACTCCTAAGCTCAAGTGATCTGCTCGCCTCAGCTTCCCAAAGTGCTCAGATTACAGGTGTGAGCCACTGTGCCCGGCCAGCTCTTCATTTCCTTTCTATCATACTCCAAGTCTGAAGCCCAGGCTTATGAGTCTGATGGAGAAATAATCCAAAGATCTGAGAAGTAACTCTGGAGTCGTAAGGCTGTGGCAGTGCTGACCGGTGGGTTCTGAGAGGTGCTCTCCCCCTTCACCCTGCATGTGTGACAGTAGCCAGGTAGCCGTGGAGTGCTCTAAGGATGGAAGGGAGAACGGGAGGCCTGGTGACTGCAAGCTGACTGCAAATGACCAAAGGACTCAGAGTGTTTCTCAAGGCTTTTGGGGGTTTCTGACCACCCAGATCAGTGAAAAGGATCAGAGGTCCTCTGATCACTGAGGGTCGACTTCCCCTGGTATTTATGGGGAGTCATGGTTCAGCTGTGGGAAGGTGGTGGATTTGCAATCGAATCACTTGCAAGTAGCACGCCCAGCCCCAGTACTAACCTCTGTCCCTATTTACTACCTCTATGGCAGGGGTGGCCAATCTTTTCGCTTCCCTGGCCGCATTGGAAGAAGAATTGTCTTGGGCCACACGTAAAATACACTAACACACTAACGATAGCTAATAAGCTGGAAAAAAATCACAAAAAAATCTCTTAATGTTTTAAGAAAGTTTACCAATTTGTGTTGGGCTGCATTTAAAACCATCCTGGGCCATATGCGGCCCTTAGGCCACGGGTTGGACAAGCTTGCTCTATAGTGAGGGGCCATGAAGGAGGGGACAAGAGAACACTCAATCAAACACACACACACACACACACACACACCCATCCGAAATCCAGAGCCATGTGGGCAAATGTATGGAGTTGCCAGATTGGGACAGAGGACTGCTGGAGGGCCCCACAGGGACACACGGCATAGGGACTGAGCCACACCGAGCCTCTGAATGAAAAGGGAAGCATGTTGGGGCTTCCTGCAGGCAAGACACCCAACAACAGGCAAGTCCTGAACCTTCCATATTGGCCTTTTGGCCTCTCTCGGGTGAGGTCCAGTCTTGCCCTTGGCAGGGCCTATCAAGCAGAGCTGATACGGGGGTGGCTTCCTCTTCTGGCAGAGCCCTCACGGGCCTGCAGCTAGCATTTTAGGGAGCAGAGAGGAAAGTGTCCCACCCCTAGCCTGAAAGCTGCTTCTGGTTTCTGGGCAAGGCCTCGCTGTCGCACTCCCATGCTGGTGACACCTGGCCTTGCCTGTGGTTGTTTGGAGCCCCCAAACTGGATGTTTCTTTCCACCAAGACGCTCCTGATGATGTTAAATGGAATAAGGGAGATTATGGGGGACCAGCTGCTGCTGGCAAGAGGCAGCTGCCCATGCTCTACACCAAACTCCAGGAAACCAACCCGAGACAAGCAATGAGTCCACCTCCCCTTCCTCTTTCTCTCCAACTTCTCTCTTCCCTGTACTGCCCTGGCTGTGGGATGGGCTATTCTCTCTTACAAGTTTCTGCCGGCTGTGGTTGGGGATCTCCTCTCTCCCATCTTGAGGCCTGGGGAAGGGCATTCAGGGAGGGCATGAGGGCCCTTGAGGCTGGGCTGTGTGGGCTGAATCCCCTGGGGCCAGGGTCCAAGGTTCTGGCACGAGGTACAGGGTGATCAGGTAAGTAGTCTTTGAAAAACAAAACTGCGATGGGGTGGGGGTGGAAAGTCCCATTTTACCACTGGGTTGCTAGGCTGCTCTGTGGTCACAGGCAGAGAATAAAGATAGAGATAGATACTTGGCTTTGCTGGAACCCCTGAGACTCTAGAGCTCAGCCTTTGGGCTCATGACATCCATGTAGATAAATTGATTCTCACCCTGATTAAAGGGTATAGGGGATGGCCTGGCAGTCAGCTAGCTGACACGCTCCTCCATGGCTGTTCCCATCCTTAATTCAGGGGAACAAAGGGGAAAGGCTTTCACTGCAGCAGCCTACAATAACAGCCTGTCCCCCGTGTTCCTCTAAATCAAGGGCTTCCTATTCAAATTAAACACAAAAGGTGCAGATATGCAAGTGTGTGCTCGGTTGAGATTAGACAGGGTAGTCAAAACTGGAATCGGCCCCAAAAATGCTGGTGACCACATTTTGCTACTAAATTCAGTTTTCAACCAAATTCTTGTTGCCTGGAGCTGGGGGAAGGTTCCGATTGCTGGGAGGTTGGGAGGAGGGAACAGGCATAGGACTTTGCCAGTATGTAGGCTTGGGGAATGAGAAGGGGAGATGAGGCCACTCTCAGGGCATCTGGCAGGGACTGAAGGGGCACACATAGTTAGGGCTGTTGCAGGTGGGGCAAGGGACATTTAAGAGAGTGGCTAGTGGGGTGTTTGGTGGTGAAGTCTCGGCTGGGAAATGCAATAAGGCCATTCTCCAGCCTGGATGCTGGCAGAAATTGGATATTTTTTCTTCTTTTTCTTTTTCTTTTCTTTTGTTTTTTTTTTTTTTTTTTTTTTTTGAGACAGTCTTGTTCTGTCACCTAGACTGGAGTGCAGTGGCACGATCTCAGCTCGCTGCAACTTCTGCCTCCTGGGCTCAAGCGATTCTCGTGCTTCAGCCTCCCAAGTAGCTGGGATTATAGGCATGTGCCACCACGCCTGGCTAATTTTTGTATTTTCAGTAGAGACAGGGTTTTGCCATGTTGGCAAGGTTGGTTTCTAGCTCCTGACCTCAAGTGATCTGCCCACCTCGGCCTCCTAAAGTGCTGGGATTATAGGCATGAGCCACTGTGCCTAGCCCGAATTGGATATCTTAATGAAAAGCTAAAAAAAGATGCCTGGGACGTATGAATGGGCTGCAGACCAACATGGTGAGGCCCATAGCAGGACTCCTTCTCTGGGGAGGTCATTGGCTATGCCCATGGACTGCCACCTCGCTACTCTTGCCCCCGTCCCCTGCCTAGTGAAACAGACGCTCAGTATTCATGCAACACCGCTCTTTGTGAAAACCTTAGAGCCTCAGGAGAGGGGGTGCGGGAAGCATTTGCCCCAGGTTTCCCCAGTCCCTCCCTCCTCTGTGTGCCCTGCCTATGTCTCTGCAAGTCCAGAACCTGGTTTGCATAAAGCTCTTAGCTTCCAGAGGCCCGCAGGCCACCTCTGCCCTGTGCTGCAGGGAGCAGGGGAATGTGGGAGAGACACTTACACGGGCCCACAGGCCACCTGAAAGAGGGAAGACGGTCAGGGTGGGGACTCAGACAGAATGGGGGGCCCCAGAGGCAGTGGAGGCAGCGGTGGTGGCGGCGGCAGACGAGGAAGCCAGCCATGTGAGGAGGTGGATGGAGTGGTGCCCCGGGGGCGGACGGACGGACAAGTTGGTGAATGCACGGAGGGGGCAGCTCCCCACAAGCACAGTCCACAGGGGCTCTCGGGAGCCCAGGCAGAAGAGAGACGGCTGGACAGCACAGATGGGTGCAACATCTGTCTGAGGACACAAACAAAGTGGAGATGGTCAAGGCGATGGCACACAGAGCTGGCAAAGGACAGACCAAATGCGGCAGGAAGAAAACGCAAAGAGGAGGCAGACGAGGCTGGCAGAGGGGTGAGCAGTCTGTCAAAGCCACTGTCAAGGGCTGGAGGTTTTGGCTGGCCCCATCCTCAGGGTCTGGGGGTAGTAAACTCTGGTGTTCCCTGCGTCAGCCGTGATCATGGGAACACCAGGAAGCGGGGAGAGGCTTCCTGAGCTATATAGGGAACCGGGACCCCAGGGATCTCCCAGGGTCTCTCCAAGGTCTGGCGAGTAGCCAGTCAGGCGAGGAGAGGAAGGAACACTCACTCAAGGAAAGGAGGGTTGAGACTAGTGCAGAAGCCTGAGTAAGCACCTAATGAGAGTGACAGAAGCAAACCCCCCACTTCATGTGAGTGTGTGGCCACAGTGTGTGCAGATGGGCTGAATCACTGCTTCCCTGGGAGAGCTCGTCTGGAGCCCAGGGCAAACCTTGACAAGCTCTGGAGGCCAGCCTGGGCCAGTCCTGGTGCTAGGCCACGGCCATGTGGCCTTGGACCGTCCACGTGGCCTTGGACCAGACACTAGCTCTTCAGTTTCTTTGTCTGGAAGAACAGGATGCGGGAAGCAGCCTTATCCTGATGGTTGTCAAGTGGGGAGGATTTTGCCCCCTAGTGGACATTTGGCAATGTCTGGAGACAGTTTTGGTCGTCACAACTTGGAGGGGTGCCATTAGCATCTCACAGGTAGAGGCCAGAGATGCTGCTAAAGATTCTACAATGCACAGGACAGTCCCCCTCAACAAAGGATCATCCTGGTCAAAACAGCAAGGGTGCTGAGGCTGAGGACCCCGCCGTGTGGGCAATGTTGATGGCGTTAAGCGCACAATGTCTAGGCAAGTGCTTTACAAACTTTAAGTATGATTATTGTAAAACTGTATTTTTTTAATTCCCGGATGCCATTGTTTATAAAATGCAAACATTTTGATGATGAATTCTGGAGTGAAAAAGGAAACACAATTGTGTTAAATAAACAAAACTGACGTTAAGACGTCTCCTGATGTCAGAATTATTAAAATGTGAAAAGAAAACGTGCATTTTAGAATCGAGAAATCTGGCACCACTACTATTATCATCACAGCTACTATGCTTTCAGGGATCCCAGCAGTATTCCTGTGCTTCTCTCAGGAAATGCTAGCAAACTCTGGAGTTTCTCTGGCAGACCATGGAGGACTCCACCATTGGGGTCCAGGAAATCTAGGGGTCTTGTGGGTAGACAGACGAACAGACAGACAGAAAGACCTCCTGCTCTGGCTGGGGGCGGCACGTGAATGCCTCTGCAATGCAGGTCTATGATTTTAAAAATAACAGCGACAAAACGACACACACTTACTTTTTCAGAGCTTCTCTGAGATTCTTAAATCTGCCCTCAGATGACACAAGCTTTTGGAGCTTATCAATCAAAGCTTTAGTCTAGAAGGAAGCAGAAGCATTTACTAACACACAGCACACGCTGTGATCCCCGAGGCCCGGGGATCAGGCCCACACTCCAACATGCTGCCCAACAGGGCTCCAGAATTGCCTTCCCTTGGGATCTGGGGGCCTCCTGTGTTTGGGCACCTTGCCCCTGAACTCCTCAGGAGTTGGGCACGGGTCCTTGTTGAGTGTGCCTGTGCTCCCACATCTCTCAGAAGCAAGGAAGTGGGTGTGAGGGACCTGAGTGTGGATTTGGCCCTTGGAAATGCTGCAGGATCCCGAGACCTGGGCAGTTTAGAAGGACTTAGTGGGTGACTCCCAGGAGCCTGCGCTCAGAGCAGGAAATGGCAGATTTTTCATTTTCCTGATCTTTCTCATGAACTAGACCCAAAGGATGTGACCGTCATTTCACACGTTCCCCTTTTCACACCAGAAATGCCACCCAAATTTAAGGATCAAGAAAAAAGATGGGAGACGAACTGATCATCAGAAAAGAAAAGGCCTGGCTGGAGAAGAGGAAGCTCCACAGCAAAGGGCTTTGCCAAGCGACCTCGCCAGGCCCAGCGCACACATCAGGCTGGAGCAGAGTTTCGGTGGCTGGAGTTTGTCTGACCCATGGAGCACCCCGGGTCAAGCCTGGCTTTGTGCACCTTTCCCTGTGTAGCCCGAGGGAAGGCCCTTTCCCTCAGGGGTCCTCAGCTCCCTCATTGATAAAATGGTGAGATAGGTTAGAGACTTCCTTTGCAGCTCTGTTCCTCAAGATTCAGAATGTGGCTGAGAAACCGCGGGAGCACAGCGGTACGTCACGCCACCAGAGCCCTAGTCAGCCTGGAGGGGACACAGGCCCCGGAGGCCAAGCACACGCCCAATCTTGGGGTCAGATTTCTGCTGAGAAATTTGTCTACTGAGAAGGACAATCTAAGTCTCCATTCTGACAGGAAGAGATCTGTGTGTGCTCTTCAAGGGGAAAGAAGGGCTGAGCGTACCATTCAGTTCCATGCCTTATCAACAAGTAGAAAAAGCCTCGCCACCTGGTGTGGACTAATCCTGTTCAGAGCACAGCTGTATTCTGGATCTGGTGAAAGAGACATGCAGCAGAATAGCACACACCACACGGAGTCAAGGCAGATGATTCTGCTTTCACTTGAGATGTCTGCTGTCCGATGACTGGCAAAGGCTGGATGCCCTGGCCCACCTCCGTTCCAGAGTCTCAGCTTCCCTCCTGCACTTGCCCCTTTCCAGAGCAGCACCCTCCTTCCTTTTCTTCTCCATCCACCTGCAGAGGAATGACCTGATACGGCTTGAGGTCAGAGGCGGGGGCTGAGTCAGGAAACCTAGGGCCTCCCCAGCCTCTGTCACCTATCCCTGGCATGCCGACTGGCAAATCACCACTCCTCTTGCCTTTATGGGCCTCAGTGTCCCCATCTGGAAAATGGGAGGGTAAGTCCAGGTGTTCCCTAAGGCAATACTAGCTCAGATACTCTAGAATTGTGGAAGACACAGAAGCTTGATCAGGAGGTCCCAGTGGCCATGCAGTTCTAGATGAAGTGTCACCGTACTCTGAGGCTGTGAAAATGTGCAGAAGATATTCTGGAACCAATTTGTGGCTCTGGGCTGGGCACGTTTTTAACTTCCTCCACATCCCCGTGCTTGCTGTGTATGGATGCTCCTCTTTGGGTTGTCATGCTGTCTCCAGGAAGGAGCTCTATGGCCTGGGAAGCCACAGAATTTTCTCAGCTGCTGCTTAAAAAGTATGTTCCAAGTTGAAGCAGTTCAAGCATCTTCTAGCTGGGCCAGGAGCTTCTATCCTGTGATGCTCCATGGGATACCAAGCCTCTGGGATCTTGGGTGTCTCTGTTAGAGTGTGGACACCAGCAGGCAGAAATGGGGGGCCCTTGGAATATGGGATTGAAAGCAGGAACCAAGCAAGGACCCTTGGAGTCAGTGTCAGGAAGAAAGATGATTTTGTGGTCTCCTAAATTCCATCACTTCCTGTTCACCAAGCAGAGGACTTCTGGCTGGACAAGAATGTTCCCTCCCAGAGAGGCCAAAATCGATTGTTAGCCAAGGCGAGGCTTTTGTCTCCACTAAAGTACAGCGATCCCCAGGAGAGGCGACACACAAATCCACGTTAGTCATTGTACTGTCGTATGGAAGAGTATCATCATCAGATCGTCTCTTGGGTTTTTTTTTTCCCCAAAGAGGATGGGGAGAGGGGTTAAAAGAAGAAAGGGGAAATGAAAAGTCCCAAATGAAATCCAACTGCCTGACGCTTGCCAGGGGCTGAACCAGACTTGGACATAATGCTTTTCTGCTATGGTGAGCACATTTAAGTGAGCAGTAAAAACTGGCTGCTGAGGTTACAGTTCAGGCCATCTAAGAAACGTGGCCATTTTAGAGGGTCTCCAGTGTCCATGGGACGCCTGTAGAGAGAGAATGAACTGCCTCTGGCAGATGCCGAGCAGGCCATGGCCAGGAACTTCCAGAAGCTCCTGGGGCCAGGTGCTGTGCAGACACACAACTCTTACACGGCTGGGGGCTGCAGAAGACAGCTGGGTCCAGACTGCATAGAGGGTGGAGATCTCATGTGGTGCCAAAGGTATTTTTGATTTTTGGACCAGGCCAGCTGACCCTAGGTCCAGAATGACATCCTAGAACACAGGCTGAATCACATGCCCTGACCACTGACTGTCCTTGATTTGCACTCTCTGTAGAGAACAGAAGATTTCAGGATGGCCAAACTCATTCCCTCCCAACTCCATGAGGAGGGCAATGCAGGAGAGCAAGACCAAGAAATGCAAGGAGTGTGGGTTCCAGGAAGCCTAAGTGGGGTGGGAAACTGAAGCCTGGTCTGCAGGGCCTCTGGAAAAGATGATGTCATTCCCAAGAACAGGGGAGAAGGAGAGAGAGATTTACTTGGAATGGGCCCCCAGACTGTGGCAAGGGCCCTGCCTGAACCTTGACAAGCCAAACGAGGTTGGGTGACTTGGAGGTTTTGCAGAGCCTTGCTCAACACTTGCCTCCACGAGTTCATGACAGCATGTACCATGTTTGGCTAGATGTGCCTGCAGCTCTGAGCTCCTGTGCTCCTGAGCTCTGCTCTTTCCTGGAGCCCACAAACAAGAGTAGCATCTTTCACGGTCCTTGGCCCTAAGCCTGGCATCTCTGTGTGCCAAGAAGCAAGAGGCCCAATCCCACTGGGTTGTAATGGGGTGTCCCTGCATGTTCTGTAGTCCTGCTGTCATCAGGGGCTGGAGTGACCAGAAGGTGAGGGAAGGGTAGCAGAGATGTCCCAGATGAGTTTGGCTGCTAAGTAGGGAGGATTATGGACATGTCGTCTGCTTGGTGGGTGGAATCATGACCTGCCATTGACATGAGGAGGGTAGTGAGGAGCAGGTGATAAAGAGAACAATGAGGGGGACACAGTATGCAAGTCCAGAGTGGTCCAGATGAGACAGGGCCCTTGGAGCCACTGGGTCCCACACAGCCCACCCAGCGTCAGGATGACAGACACTGCTGCCAAGGGATTGTGCTTGGGGGCTTGCCCTGTCTACTGGGGGTGCTTGTCTGGCCTCCTGCACACATGCAGGCTGGGGTGGGGGCATCCACCAAGTGCACCAAGGAAGTGGTCCAAGTGCCTCATTGTCCTCTCCTATAAGGAGTGCTGGTCCCTCCTGACCCCAATGCAGGCAACTTCATTCCTGAGGAAGAATCTATCTTATGGTTTTATGTTCATGTTTTATGTTTATGGCTTTTCAGGTTCATGTTCTGAGTGAAGAGGGATTGAGCACACATTTAAGGTGATCAACTAGCCAACACGTTCCAGGAAGCAGCTAACTCTCTGTGGCCAGAAGCGCAGGTGAAATTAGAATCCTGGGAAGGGGCTTGCAGGATCATCTGACGGAAGTGTCCTCTGACGGAAGGGTCCTCCGATGGAAGGGTCCTCTGATGGAAGGGTCATCTGACCACTGTCTCAGCTGCCCTGCAGATCCCCATAAAGCCACCACTCTTGCCCCAACTCCAGAAGAAAAATGTTGGGACCAATAATCACCATCATATTCTTTCCACTTTGAGGTATTAATTACTCAAGTGGGGATTACAGTCCAGGTCTCACTGCCATATCTGTGGGCCTGCTATCTGGTCCCAGGTGATATAGGGGAAGCTATTCTGTTTTACCTGGGAGTGTTAGACCTCAGCCCAGTACTTTGCCCACTTGTGGATGCCCAGTGGCCAGCCCACGGGTCTTCCTGCCCTAGCCCCAATCCAGCCCCAGGGAGGCAGTGGTGCCAGCCTCCTGCCCGCACCTGCTTAGAGACTTTGAGCCACGTCTTTTTGAGCCGGAAGATTGCACTGCGGTTCATGGACGAGGTGATCTCCAGTACGGCATTGTAGTTGTGGAGGCAGCGGCATATGTCAGCTACGGCCACCCACTTCTCGATGGCGCTCACCCTGGCGTTGATGTCCTCATTGCGGATGATTTCTGAAGCAATCAAGTTACTGATCTTTAAGCCGATGCAATAAGACAGGGAAAAAGAGGAGTAAGTATTGCAAAGATGATAAATGGTCACTATTTGCAGATATGATTGCCTGCTTGAAAATACAAGAAGGAATTGGAAAACTACGAGAACAACTAACAGAGCTTGCTAGGGTTGCTGGCTAAAGGTTCAATATACAAAAATGAAAAGTTTATATATACATTAGCAATAATCAATTAGAAAATACAACAAAAATACAACCTTCCAAATAACAATGGGAATCTGTAAATACCTAGGAACTTAATGAGAACTATGTAGGATGGAAAAAACAGGTCACCAAAGGATATAAAAGGCTTGAATAACAGAGAAAGAGATCAAATTCCCAAATGGGAATGTAAATATGTCATTTTTCTGACAACTAATACATGTGTTTAATGTAATCCAATAAAACACTCAGGCCAGGCGCGGTGGCTCACACCTGTAATCCCAGCACTTTGGGAGGCCGAGGCAGGCGAATCATTTGAAGTCAGGAGTTCAAGACCAGCCTGACCAACATGGTGAAACCCTGTCTCTACAAAAAATACACACACAAAAAAAATTAGCTGGGCGTGATGGCGCATGCCTGTAATCTCAGCTACTTGAAAAACTGAGGCAGGAAAATCACTTGAACCCAGGAGGTGGATGTTTCAGTGAGCCAAGATTGCGCTGCTGCACTCCAGCCTGGGTGACAGAGCGAGACTCCATCTCAGAAAAAAAAAAAAAAAAAAAAAAAAATCTGAAAACAAACAAACATACAAAAAACCAAATACCAACGAGAGCTTTCTCTAGAAAAGTAATTATAGACAAAGTAATTCCAAAGTTCATCTGGAAAAATAAACAGTTAAAAGGTGCCAAATTCTGAGGGAATCTACCATCATACAACTAGAGCTTGGACAGGACACACTTTGAAGCACTGCTGGTCTCACATACACAGTAGAAGATATCTTCAAGGACTCCATCACCTGGCCAAACATGACACACACATGAACAAATCAAATGTAGGTTGGATCTGGAGCAGCTGGGGATGGGGGTGGGAAGCTGGGGCTAGAACATCAGGGAATTAGAATTGCAAGGAGCTGAAACAGCAGGAAGCAGTGGGCTTTCTGGTACATTCTTTTGCAACTTTCTAAGACTCTTTTTTTTTTTTTGAGACAGAGTCTTGTTCTGTCGCCCAGGTTGGAGTGCAGTGGTGTCATCTCGGCTCACTTCAACTTGCACTTCCTGGGTTCAAGCGATTCTCCTACCACAACCTCCCAAGTAGCTGGGATTACAGGCACACACCACCATGCCTGACTAAGTTTTGTATTTTTAGTAGAGATGGGGTTTTACCATGTTGGCCACGCTGGTCTCGAACTCCTGACCTCAAGTGATCTGCCGGCCTTGACCTCCCAAAGTGTTGGGATTACAGGTGTGAGCCACCGCGCCCGGCCTTTGTGACTGTTTAATTATTTTAAAATAAAAAGTTAAAAAAAAGACTACTACTTTAAAAAAGGCGATAAAAGGACATTTACAGATGAATTAAAAATTACAGGGCTTTATCGCTAAGAAATCTTCTCAAAAACAATTTCTAAAGGATGCTCATCAAGAAAAATGAATTGTAAAACTACTTAAGAATGGAACTACTACTTAAGAGAATCAGGAAGGATAATAACACAAAGTAGTACATGTATTATACCTCTTAATTAAATTGAAGTAGTAGTTAAAATTTTTTTCCATCAAGAGAACATGGAACTTAAAAAGAATTTTATATAAAAGTTATACTAATTTTTGAAAGAAATAGATCAGTCAAATCTTCCAGAGAAGAAGGATAAAAGGAATATCTTCCAGTTTATTCTATGAAGCCAGTATTACCTTGATACTGAGACCAGAGATGGATAATATAAGAAAGGAAAATTACACACCCATTTGTTTAATATACCATGACCACATTGGGTTTGTCCCTGGAATGCAAGGATGATTGAATATTAGAAAAAAAGTATAATTGTCATTTACTATATCAACAGAGCAAGGGAGAAAAACCATATGACCATCTCTATGGATGCAGAAAGAAATATTTGATAAAATTCTGTATTTATTCATGGTTAAATCCATTAGCACCCAAGGAATAAAAGATAATTAAAAAAAAAAACCTGGTAAAGGAGCAAACATCATTCCACATGGGGAAATATTAGAAATATCTCCTTTAAAACCAAGAAGGTGGCCGAGTGCAGTGGCTCACACCTGTAATTCCAGTACTTTGGGAGCTGAGGCGGGTGGATCACCTGAGGTCCGGAGTTTGAGACCAGCCTGGGCAACATGGTGAAACCCTGTCTCTACTAAAAATACAAAAATTACCTGGGTGCAGTGGCATGCACCTGTAATCCCAGCTACTCAGGAGGCTGAGGCATGATAATCACTTGAACCCAGGAGGTGGAGGTTGCAGTGAGCTGAGATTGTACTACTGCACTCCAGCCTGGGCGACAGAGGGAGACTGTGTCTTAAACAAAACAAAACAAAACAAAAAAAACCAAAAAACCCCACAAAAAACCCAAGAAGGAGACACATGATCACCATGTCCATTCCATGCTGTTGTGGAGAGAGACGGGACTAGGGTGAGGCAGTTGAGGTGTGGGGTACAAGTGCAGAAGGGCGAGTAGCTCCTTCGATTTTGCTCTCTGGGAACCTTGCTTGCCTTACACCAGTACCCCAGCTTGGCCATGGTCCTGAAGATCCTGGCCAGTACCAGTTAAGAGGACAAAGAAATTAAAGGCAAAAGGACCAGAAAACAGCAAATAGAACTGTGCCAGGGAGAGACGAGGAAAATCATTGTTGTGCCAGCACACATCCTGTGTATCAGAACCAAATGGTGGATTTGAACAGAGATGGCCAAATGCCAGGTCGTTACAAGGGCAGCTTCTGAAGTAGACCGTGTGCGTTCAAAATTGTACTCTGCTGTGTAATGTTGGGGATGAAATTTCCCCTCCTCAAGCCTCAGTTTCTTCATCCACAAAGTGGGCATGGCAGGATTAAATGAGATGATGCTTTTGAAGCACAGCGTCTAGCATGGGGTGAACACTCAGTGAATGCTCACTTCATATTCTTGTCTTTCACTTGCTCGACTCCTGGGCACACAGTGGGACAGGGAAGGGAGGGGACAGTGATTTGTTGCCTGGTGCTGTAAGGTGTGGTTGGATCAGGCCTCTGTCAGGTTATGTTTCCCGAGGCTTGGTCTCTGTCCCTCTTTCTCTCCTGAGAGGCACACGAGTCTCCTTTCTGCTGCTGTGCTCACTGCAGGAACCACTGGGTGCCCAGGCCTAGGAGGCCCCAAAGGGCTCCTCCCCTGAGCTGCAATCTCTGGGTCTTTCTTGTTTCTTCTAGGCTGCTGAGGATCCTCCCAGGATATGGTGTGCTGGCGGCTGGGGTTGGTAGGATGTGGCCCTGGCCAAGGTGGTCAGGGCAAGTGGAATCATGTGCTCCCACCACCGGCCCTCAAAGGCTCTTTCCTCGTGTTGATGATTAAACTCAGAAGAATGAGGATGCTGAGTGCAACTGTTCTCAGGGCTGTCACGAGGCTGGGAGTGGACCCGGCTCTGTGGTTCAGGGGTTGGAACTTGCACACATGTGGGGAAGTTGCTGGGAGGGAGTTTTTTTTTTTTTTTTTTCCTCACACAGCTGATTTGCACTGTGTAGCAATGGAAGCCATGAGCTACCACACACCAGTTAGGAGACCTCAGCATTTGCCCTTCCAGAGTCTTGGTTTCTTTGTACCTAAAAATGTGAGGACAGCCCCCATCTTTTAGTTGATGTGAGCTTTCAATGAGATTACTATGCACAAAAAGCTCAGTGCTAGGCACAAGGTAGGCACCCGGTTAGGGGGCAGTGGATATTCTTATTAAAGAACATTGCAAATGCTCCCTGTGGATGTGAATTGTGCCTCAGAAGGCTCTGGGACCTGTCTGCCCCCCAGTTCTCTGCTGCTCCCATGTTTCTCTGAGGAGGGATTCTGGGAGCTGGGGGTGTGTGATGCACCCATCTGAACTTAGTGTGCCAATCAGAGTCAGTCCAGGCCCTTTGAGCTGCTTATGCCAGGCCAGTTTGCAGGTCCAGTGCTTGGTCCCATCTCAACAGTTCTTCCCCAGGAAAGCTGGGGCTGGGAGGTCTAGAGAAGGGGGCTGGAGGAGCTGGATATTGGGCCATCCTGATCCTAGCCAGGGAGATTCAGGAGCCTTAGTCTCGCCCAGCACTGTGGCCTCCTAACATTAAAGAGAATGTTTAATTAAACATTCGCTCAGCACTGTGGCCTTCTAACATTAAAGAGAATGTTTAATTAAACATTCGCTCAGCACTGTGGCCTCCTAACATTAAAGAGAATTAAACATTCTCTTTAGTGTTATCCCAAAAGACCATCTTACCACAAGAAAGGCAAGAAGAGGGGCAGCGAGTGGGACATCATTGCCAGAGTAGCTGAAACAGCCAAAACCTTAGGAGATTCCGAGGGTTCTGGATAATGTATGAATTAGAGGGAAGCTGTCTGCCATTGTCCAGCCAAATATTGCTTGTTGCTAATACTGAGATGAGGTTTAAAAATAGGAAGCATAGCAAGGTCTTCATTCCTTTCCTTCTAATCCTTCATTCCCTTCTGTTCTCTTTGCCACAGACTCCGCAAAAACCCTGCTCCGAGGAGTAACCCCCACTTAGGAATCACAAGTTCTGGGTGAGGGCTCACAGCGAGCCAATGCTGGGCTGAATGTCTTTAGATGACCACGCAGTTAATCCTCCTATGACTGTTCCATGGTCAGCCCCACTTAATAGGAGAAGAGACTGAGACTGAGGTGAGGCAACCAGCCCGAGGCCACATGGCAAGGGGTGGCAGGGCTGGAGAGGACCCAGGAGTCTGGTTCCAGCCAGGTGTATAGCCCGTTCTCTACCCAGCCTCTTGAGCGTCTTGCCAAAGAAAAACCCCAGTGAGAGAGGCGCTCCCATCCATACTCACGTCATTGAAGTGCTTAGTGGTTTTCATGATATAAGGGGTCCTTTCATTCTTTTCCAGTTTCATCCATCCTTGTCCGAAGAACTCCCTGTAGGAAGTAAGGGGAGACCCAGGTGGAGGGGGTGAGGTTTGCCTTGCTGATTTCATTGCTCCATGCTTTTTATTTTATTTTTTGGCTTTTTGAGGCTGTCATTTCTGGGGGAACAACCTTCTGCAGAGCCCTGGAAGGAAGGAACCTTGGGCTCAAGTCCAGCTCTGCCTTGTCGCAGCTGTGTGGCCCCAGACAAACCCTTTATAGCTCAGGGCTTCAGTTTCCTTATCTGTAAAATGGGAATCAAGACAATCCTTTCCTCACAGGTTTACTGGGAGGCTGAAATAAGGTGTGGGAAGGCACACATGGTGGAAATAATTTGTTATGAATCTTGTTTTCTGACAGGGAGAATTCACATTTTAGTCACTGCAGCAGCTGGTCTGTAGGATGAGGGAATAGAAGGCCCTAAAAGGGGGCAGATAAAAGGCTTAAAAAGCCTGCAAGCCAAGCCACAGGCTCCTGACATCATAAAGTGACAGGGAGAGGGGACCTCGGCAGAGTCCTGTGGGCAGAAGGGGCCGGGGAGGTGATTTGTGTTTGAAAACACATCCCGCTTCTCCTCCTAGAGGGACATATCAGGAATATCATCTGTTTCTATGTCCAGGAGATGTGACAGGTTTCCAAAGTGCCGACCCTCTCTATTTACACGAGGCAGCACCCATGCTGGGGAGGGCTGCGAGAGTGCCAGGTGGGGCTGAGGCCAAAAGCCCCACAATGATTCAAATCCGGTGAGCCCAATTCTGGGAAACCATTCTGGGACCATTGTTAGGAATTCAGACATATTTGTTGCAAGGATGTTTACCGCAGGGATAAATATAAAAGTGAAGGCTGAAAACACTCTCGTGGCTTAGTAACACACTGTTAGAGAATGCTGTGTACTTATTAAAAATAGTGTTTACAAATGCCCTTTTGGCATAGCATCAGATGAAGGAAGAGGGATAGAAAATTACATAAGTAGAATAATTGCAGTGAACACCAGGGATGACTGAGGCCAGAACAGGTAACAGCAGGCCTTGGGGCTTCTTCAAAGTCCACGCCTGTCCCCTAAATCAGCTACTGGAGGTCACTGGACCTACACACGTGCCCACGCTCTTGCCTGTGTGCACAGTTTCTCACAGGTACATGTGCACACACACATGAACACATGCTCTTTTCTAGATACTCTCTTTCTAGGAGCTCTGAGTTAGAGATGATTCCAGAAAAGTGTGTGTGTGCAGCTGACAGGTAAGGAGAGAATTTGGTGGGCAGGAACGGGAACAGGCTTCTCTCCCTCATTCTGCTGACCCAGGCACTATTGTTTCAAGCTGTGGAGGGTCCGTGCAGCTCTGGAAATTCACTGCGTGTGCTTCCAGGGTGCTGTCCAAGACAGTGCCTGAGGAAGCGGGGGGAGGCGGGTGGTGCCTGCAACACTTACTCATAAGGAATCTTCTTGAAGACGAGGTGATCTAGCAGGGTCAGCTGCTCCGCGATCTCCAGGGCTGAGTGGTTTTCAAAGGGCTCAGCCTTCACGCCTTCAGCCTGGTTTTGAGTTGGGGGAGCAACATTTTGAGTTAGGCCCATGACGGACACCTCCTGGATTCCCAGCTGCCTCTGTGGGGGTATCTCGCCCTCGAATTGGGTGGGCGGGTGGACGGGGTATGACGCTGCCTCGAATCTGATGAGAGGGTGGATGGAGTATGATGAGGGGAGGTGGAGGGAAGGGGACGGAGGGAGATGGGCCCCGCCCTGTTGTGCCGGTGTGTGCAGCCCAGTGCTCGGACTGCCCTCACCCACCCTGCCAGGGAGCTCCCAGCACGTGCATGAGACAATGGAGGCTTCCAGAGGTGAGCCACTGGCCCAAGTTGCTAAGCTGGAAGTGGGCTGACTAGGACTGGAGCCCAGGTCGTCTGACTTCAGGCTGTGCCTGGCCACTCCCTTCAGCGTCCGCCTGAGCCCACAGCTGGCTCTATACAATTTCCTTTTGAAACTAGCAGGTGTGGACTCCCAGGCGTGATTAGCTCCTGGGATGGCCCTGTGCTCAGAAGACAGCTGTCCTGCCTTAGTCCTGGGCCTTAGTCCGTGTCCCTGGCCCCCAGGGGCCACCCTTGGACACCATCATTAAGGGATTCCACTATTTGGGCCCTTCGACCAGAGAAAATCTTCAGGGAAACGTTAGCCAGAGGACAGTGGTGGCCACGGCAGGAGATGGATGAGTGGTGGACATAGGGAGGCCAGTGTATTGGGCACAAAGGCCTCGTGGAAGGTCTGCTGGATCTGAGTGAGGGATGCTGGAAGGCGGTGGGTAAAGGGACAACTGTGTTGGTCTTGGGAGGAGCCTGTTAGGAACAAGAATCCTCCCCCATCACCACCTCAGGACCACCTGGGCCACACAGGAGGAGAGCGGTCAACCCCTCAGGCAGCAGGTGCTCTGAGAGATGACTGTCTCGTGTGCCTCATGCCTTCACTTTTCCATGCTCACTTTACCCTGTCCAGAAGTCCCGGCTGGGCTGAGCACCTGCAAGCAGCCCATCTGCCGGGTCCCAAGGGAAGTGGGGCCATCCCTCCTAGACTAAGTGTCTCCCTTCCTCCCATTTCCTCCACAGACGGGCACTGAGGTCTGCACCAAGGCCCTTGCTACACGCTGAGATAGAAAGGCAGGAAACACGGTTCCTGACGTCAGGGATCTCCAGCCTAAGTGGTTCCAAGTCATGTGAATGGAGCGAGGACCGTGGAGAAAAACAGCCTCTGTGTGTGTGCCATGTGGGTGGTGTGTGGGTGGTGTGTGTGTGCCATGTGGGTGGTGTGTGGGTGGTGTGTGTGGTGTGTGGGTGGTGTGTATGGGGTGTTTGTGGTGTGGGGTGTGTGCATGTGTATGTGGGGTGTGTGTGTGTGTGGTGTGCCTGTGGGTGATGTGTGTATGTGGTGTGTGTGGTGTGGCGTGTGTATGTGGTGTGTGTGCGTGTGCCTGTGTGGGTGATGTGTGTGTGTGTACGTGGTGTGTGTGGTGTGGTGTGTGTGGTGTGTGTGTGGTGTCTGTGTGTGTGGTCTGGTGTGTGTGTGGTATGTTTGCTGGGTGTGTGTAGTGTATGTGTGTGTGGTGTGTGTTTGGTGTGTGTAGTGTGTGTGTGTGGGTGTGTGTGTGTGTTTGTGTGGTGGCTGTCGGTGAGTTTTTCCTGGCAGAGCTGCCCTGGGCAGGGAAGGGTGTGTAGAGAAACCCAGGTGCAGGAACATGGGTGTTGGGGGACATGAAGCCTTTGGGGACACAGAAAGGAGAGTGGCAGGGCCACTGGGATGCCGGGTTGTAGTGAGAGAACCCAGGCAGGGGATCCCCTGTGTGCTCACAGGGAGGGGACCCTCAGCCTCTGAAGCAGCTGAGTGAATAAATACAGGTGGGCAGCCCAGCCACCTTCCCATCTGAGGGTCCTGCCTGGTGCCCTGGGGTTGGGCTGAACTGCCAGGGCCAAGGGTGAGCTCAAGGGGCTGGGTGGCTTATGGCCCAGAGGCCCAGGCGCTGTGGGGCCCAGAGGCCTGCACTGGTACCAGAGGCCAGAAGAGGCATTCTGGCCAAGGTGGGGTGGTTGGCTCCTTCCGCTCACTTCTGGGGTGGCCTGGGAAAGAGGGTGACCCTGGAAGCAGAGATCAAAACTGACAACTTCCTCCACCTTTTATAGGCTTTTGAAAATCCTCACTGTCTCTAGTGAGGCCGCGGGGCCCTCTCAACCCGGATCTGCCCCACACAGGCTCTGGGGACAAGAGAGGGCAGCTCAGCAGCTGTTTGTTCTGGAAGAACCTCAGGCTGTTCACGAAGGAACAAGGGGCCCTCATGCTGTTGAGGGGTAAACATTCCAGGTGAGCCCCTGTTGGGAAACAGGAGCAGAGTGCAGTCGGCTTCCTTTCAGCTGCCGAGAGGAGTACTTCCGTCTTGGGGTTTACCCAGCATTCTGGCCCCAAAGGGTCAGTCTGGAGGAAGTAGGGTCTGGGGACCGTCAACCTCCCTGCCTGTGGACCACGTGTGGGTTCCTGGGGGCCCAGCCCTGCAGCACTGCTCTGGGGGCAGAGTGTGGGCAGAGTGCTTACAGCTTCATAGGTGCCCTCACCACTTCCAGGAACCAGGAGGGGAACATGGGAGGGGCAGGGGCAGCAGGGGCCCAGAACCCAGAGTCCCAAGTCCTCACGCTGGCTACTTCCAACAGACTGAAGGTCACTCAACCAGCAAGGGGCTGAGCCAGCATGGCACAATCTCTGCCTCTGGTGGGGAAGGTGTGGTCAGAGTGAGCCTGTCTTGAGTATCCCCAGCCGCTGTGATGCAGGGGCCAAGGGCTCTGGGGTGGCTTGTGATGGCATTCTGGGGTGCACATCACTGACTTGGAAAAAAGTGGGCTGTAGCTGGACCCTGGAAGTGCACAAGACCATCATTCCCTTATTCCGTCTGGAATGCCACTATGAGCTTGGATTTGTTCATGGTGAGCACAGCTCTGTCTCTGGGGTCCCATCATTTCTGGGCAGGTGGTGAGCTGCACTCCAACTTCTGGGGATGAGGCAGTGTGGTAGACGGAATGAGGGAGAGTTGTCGCTCTGGAGTCAGCCAGACCTGGGTGTGAACACCAGCTCTTATACCACCACTGGGGCCTCCCCTTGAGGCTTCGGAGGGAGCACAACCCTTCCAGCACCTTTTTTTTTTTTTTTTTTGAGATGGGGGTCTCACTCTGTCACCCAGGCTGGAGGGCAATGGCTCGATCTCAGTTCACTGCAACCTCTCCCTCCTATGCTCAAGCAGTCCTCCCACTTCAACCTCCCAAGTAGCTGGGATCACAGGCATGCGCCACCATGCCCGGGTAATTTTTTGTATTTTTGGTAGAGACAGGGTTTCACCATGTTGCCCAGGCTGATCTTGAACTCCTGACCTTAAGTGATCTGCCCACCTCAGCCTCCCAAAGTGCTAGGATTACAGGTGTGAGCCACCACGCCTGGCCTCCCTCTCACATCTTAATTTCAGACTCCAGAACTATGAGAGAATACATTTCTTTTTTCTTTCTTTTTTTTTTTTTTTGAGATGGAGTCTCGCTCTGTTACCTAGGCTGGAGCGTGCAGTGGAGGATCTTGGCTCACTGCCACCTCCGCCTCCTGGGTTTAAGTGATTCTCCCGCCTCAGTCTCCTGAGAAGCTGGGGTTACAGGCACCTGCCACCACGCCTAGCTAATTTTTGTATTTTTAGTAGAAATGGGGTTTTACCATGTTGGCCAGGCTGGTCTCCACCTCCTGACCTCAGGTGATCTGCCCACCTTGGCCTCCCAAAGTGCTGGGATTACAGGCATGAGCCACTGCGCTCAGCCCATTCCTGTTGTTTTAAGCCGCCCAGTTTGTGGTATTTTTTCACAACAGCCACAGAAAATGAATACGGGTGATGCCTGTGATGGGTCAGGGGTCCTGGGCAGGAGGATGGGGAGGAAAGCCTTGGAAAGCAAGAGGGCAGGCCCAGCTCACCATCTGCGTGATCTCCTCCAGCGTGATCTGGTTGTCACCTGGGTCCTCCTGGGTCAGAGTCCTAGGCAGGAGCGAGAAGGCACGGTGAGCCCCACTTCACGTTGCAGCAGCCCCTCCCCAGCTCGGACAGCCCCACACGGCCTCTGCTCTTACGCCCCTCTGTCCTCGTCATCCCCATTGCCAGGAGCACCCTTTCCCCTTCCTCCTTCACTCTTCTTCCTGATGGTCCTGGCGCTCCTGGCTGTGGGAGGTCCCCTTCTGGGGCCCTCTCAGCCCCTGGGCTTCCTGCATCTGGCTGGGTGGGAATGGCCTTTCTGCCACCTCAGGCAGGGAGCCCTTGAGGGAGGGACGGTGTCTGATTCAGCCCCATAGCTCTGGTGCCAGCACAGGACTGGACATTCAGCAGGCGCTCCTGCGAGCACATGGATGACAGGATGCATGACAGGAAGGAAGCACAGGGAGTGGGGAGGCAGCAGCATGGCAGCCACAGGCCCAGAGGAGGGACTGCAAGGATGGAATTGGGAGAGCAGAGGAGAGTGGTACACACGGTGGGGAATGAGGGTAGAGCCTCAAAGTCAGGCCAAAGTGCCGCACGCTCACAGTGATGGGCTCAGAGCCACAGCTGGTGAGTACCAACGGAGGCTGCGGACACTGGAGAGCCAGGCCTGGGCTGCGTGGGGACAGCCAGGGGTCTGCAGGCCTGCCGGGGCTGCGGGGAGTGGCTCTCTGGATCAGCCTGGCAGAAGGCATTGTCGTGTATATCTTACAGCTGAGGAAACGGCCCCTCAGGGAACTGCCTCACCTGGGGTCCCGCAGCTGGAGCATGGTGGGCCCACGCTCCAAACCAGGGCTGCCAACTCCAGAGCCTGCTCTTTCATCACACCCAGGGAACAGGCTCCCCTCCGAGGGTGGCTTTGATCAATATGCTCGGTGGGGGGCTCCACACACTCCTAAGGCCTCCTGGGAGGACCACGAGTGGCGGCTGTGTGTGTGTGTGCGTGTGTGTGTGTGTGGGCATGTGTGCACACACTCTGGCCTCTGTACTGAAGATGTGGAGGCCTGAAAGAGATTTTAGGACTGTGAGCCTGAGGGAAGAATGGGCCCCAGCATGGGGCCTCCACGGCCTGGCTGGGGAGGATGTCTGGGCACTCTGGTCACAGGCAGGACTTGGGGGAAAGTCTGGGGAGGCTGGGGCCAGGCAAGAGGTGAGGAGGAAAGGCCAGGGCCCAAGCCCTCACACCTGGGCTGGGCTGGGAGCAGACAGGCTGAGTCGGTAGGTGCCCGCCACCCACTGAACAGCCTGTAAAAGTGACACCCGTGATCTCATCCCAGCCTTGAAGCGGGTATTGTTCACCCATTTTATGGATGAGGCTCAGAGCGGGGACTTGCCCAGGTCACATGAGTCACTGGCTGAGCATCTCAGACATCGGGCTGCCTGACCCTGACCTCCACCAGGAGAGGACAAGCATGGGTTTGGGGATAAACAACTTAACTGAATTCAATTCAACAGACACTCAAGCACCTACAAATCAGGCCTCGCCAGCACTGTTTAATAGATCTCTGCAGTGATGGCAGCATCCTACACCCTGTACTGTCCAATGCAGGGACTGCTAGCCACATGTCGGGGGTGAAGCTGAGGCTGCTGGGCTCATGTCACTGAGGAACTGAACTTTAAATTTTATTTAATTTTCATTAAGATTTAAATAGCCAAGGCCGGGCATAGTGGCTCATGCCTGTAATCCCAGCACTTTGGGAGGCCGAGGTGGGCAGATCGCCTGAGGTCAGGAGACTGAGACCAGCCTGGCCAACATGGTGAAACCCCGTCTCTACTAAAAATACAAAAAAAATTAGCTGGGCGTGGTGGCAGGTGCCTATAATCCCAGCTACTGGGGAGGCTGAGGCAGGAGAATCTCTTGAACCTGGGAGGTGGAGGTTACAGTGAGCCAAGATCACATCACTGCATTCTAGCCTGGGTGACAAGAGCGAGACTTCGCCTCAAAAAAAAAAAAAAAAAAGATTTAAATAGCCTTATGTAGCTAGTGCCTACCATATTGGATGGCACAGGCTAGACAGGGGTTAGCAGCTGTGGACACACATGGAGAAGTGTGCTGGGTTCTTGCTTTGAAGAGATCAAGGTCTGGCGCAGGGTGGGGAGAGAGGAAAGAAGGACAAATAGACTACCCAGCCCTGAGCCTGCCCCCAAGAGCTCACCTCTACCCCAGCACTCCTACTTGGGGCTGTCCTTGACAAGGGCGCTCTTCACCTCCCGGGCCTCTGACCAGCCCACATGGAGGCAGAAGGCAGGGCTCCTGTCCCAGCAGGCAGTTCTGAGCCAGGAACCAGGTACTGCCTTTACCTGATGATGTTGGCTGCAGCCTTCCGCTCCTGGGTCAGGAGCTCCGGGTCGTGCATGACTTCTTCCAGGAAGCCGATCACCTTGCATTTGAGCTCATCGTTGGTCTCAAAGTCCTGCCGGGAAGGTGTGATGGGTGGCTCTGGTTACTGTTTTTGAGCTGCTCTGCAGTGGTCTGGGCCCAGGCCAGAGGAAGGAGCTCCAGTTTCTATTCTGCCCAGGGCAGGCTGACCTGCCTCATTTCCTTTCTGTTGGCTTCCTGGCAGGGCATGAGAGGCTCTCCAGGCCTAGAGAATCTTAGATAAAGGCACTGGAACCAGATCAAAGCCCATCTTTCAGCTGGCTGCACCCCTGGGCCAGGGAGGCACAAACCTACCTGTACCCCTGCTACAGGCAGGGTGGATAGACAGAGACCCATTGTCCCTTCCATGTCCTTTGTTCCCTCCTAGGGAATCTGAGCAGTCCTCCGGGAACATCAGGGTGGCACATTTGAGCTCCCTCCCTTCTGCTGCCCCACTGCCAGCCATCAGCTCACTCTGCCCGCAGCTGCTTTTGGAAGGCAGCTGGTTCCTGGGGCCATTGCCTGGTGGTCCCCAGCAGCCTGCCCAGGGAGGGCTCCCACCCACCTGAGAGTGCTTGGACACCCAGTGGCGGAGCACGTTCAAGACACGATTGGTGGCTGCTCTGCGGATCACAAACTCCTTGTCTCCATTCCTCTGGTCTGGGGGAAACCCTGGCAGCATGCGTGGCAGAGGGGAGAGAGGACAGGTGAGGACAAGAAACAGAGCTTGACACTAGTCTGGATTTGCCTCTCGGATCTGGCTGAGCTGGGGTGAGTGAGGGGGTCATGGGCAGGGGGATAACAACATGTTTAACAACTAGTGTCTGACCAATAGCACAGATGTCATGGCTCCTCAGTCAACACGGTCCATGCATGCCCAGCCTCTTCCAGACCTCTCCATCTTTCAAGAGCTGCTGGAAGGTTCAGGCAGCCTCCCAAGACAGAGCCACGCAGGGCCTCCCCAGGGAACAGAGCTCAAAGGGGCCCCTATTCCAGTCTCTGCTGCAGGATCAAGGATGCAGAAGTGGGAGGTGGGAGCATGGCGGGACAGAGGTTCCCATGGGCAATGGGCTTTATGTCGAGTAGAAGCTGGCCAAGTAGCAAAGGGCGATGGGTGGGAAGGAAGGGGCCTCCAGGCAGGAGGGTCAGCACTAGCAAAGGCCTGCAGGATGGAAGTTTGGGGGAAGGATGGATGGCATTCAGCTGGCAGCTGGAAGAGGAGGGTGCAGGGCACGCTGTGCCCTAGATGTGCAGTGGCCCTGGCTCTAGGTGTGGGGTTCAGGCCCTGGGTGTGTGCAGAGCCCCAACCAGTGCAGAGAGGTGGGGGTTGTGACCCAGCACCTCCACAAGTGGAAGGCGGTGCCCAAGCCAAAATAATGATTCAGGAAGCTTCGTGTCCAGTGAGTGACTGTAGTCAATTGAAGCAGGGAGCTCCCCGAGGGTGGGTGCTTTAACAGGACCCACCTGTGCCATCCTTAGCACACCTTAAACACCCACAGCAGAGCAAGTCCCCGGGACCATGGCTGCTATCACCTGCCACTGGGGCTGACCATGGGGAGGACCCTGTGAGTGGAGAACACCCCACATACCTGCACTGGCTAAGGACATCCTCCGGTACTTCTCCTTGTTTGGGGTGCCCTCGTTGGCCCCGGCGGTTGCTATGGCAAAGGCAGAGGCGGCCGACAAGGCACTGCGGTTATTGTCCAGTTCACGACAGGAGGTCATGACGACTCCATTGTTATAGGAAAAGAGTGGGAACTCTGCAGAGAGGAGGGAACCAACCCTCAGCTGTCCCCAGTCCCAACTCCTCAGGCTGTTAGAAAACCAGGGGTCCCGAGGCTAGAGCAGCCTTAAGAGCCAGCAGGCTGTGTCTTCAGGGTACCAGGGCATGTCGGGTGGTGCTGGTGTGTGTGTGTGTCTCTCTCTGTGTTAGAAGCTCTGGGGAGAGTCACACCACAACACCCTCAGGGCTGTCCCAGGTTGGGGAGCACACTCCTGCTTCTGAAAAAGGTCTCCAGTCACCCCGTCCATCTTTCTGCAGCTCTCAACCCCTTCACCTCTCAGGTCCAGCAGGGCACAGGCCTGCCTGAGGGCAGCATCATGAGTTTTCTTACCCTCTCAGTCTACTTGGGATTAACACATAACCTGTCCAATGTCTGACATCCATAACAATTCATACTGATGGGCTCGTGGGCACAGTGGGATGGAGAGAGGATGGCTCTTGGAGTCCAGCCACCTGAGTTGAAATTCTCCCCTACCCCCTACTAGCTGTGTGACCTTGGGTAAGTCATTTAACCCCTCTGGGTTTCAGTAGTCTCCTTTGAATAATAGGGATAAAGCTTCAAAAGGTGGATATAAAGATTAAAGGCAATAACATAGATGAAAGTACTTTGTGTTAGGTGAAAAGCTATATAAATGCCATGGAATATCATTGCTATTAGTAATAATAATAATAATCATAATTTTTAGTAGTAATGATAGGAGAAACCTACTCTTGAAACCTTTGGTTTCATCTTGTCTCTGGAAAGCAATCCAGACTACTGAAGACAAAATAGCAGTATTTAATGCTGTGAGGCACATATGATTTATTTTAAGGACTCAAAGCTTATTTCTGAAATTTGGCTCTCCATGAGCTCTGTTTCTGTGTGTCTGAGCAGCTGTGGCAGGGCTGCAGTATGTCCAGGCAGTTTCTCTCTAAAGCTCGGTGACCCTGTTACCTATTGGGTTCCTTTTGAAAGCCTGGATAGTGGGGAGTTCAGGCTGCAGGCGGCCCTTTGCATGTGAGAGCAGGGACATTGGAGAAAGCTGTGTGGGGAGGGGCTGCCTGGGAGGTGGGTCCCCTGGGAGCTCTCTCTCACCATTGGGTATCTCACAGCCCCCTTGTATAGGGGAAAGGGCTTTATGAAAACCGGAGACCAAGACTGCTTCTCAAGGATCCTTCAGGATCAGGAGTCTGGGACTGCGGGTGAGCAATGTCACCGCCTCTTGGAGTCTTTCCCCTTATTTGAAACACCTAGCCTTTTTGCAAAGCTGTCAAGATGATGAAAGGGGTCTGTGCAGAGCCTGGCACTCAGTTCAGGAAGCACCTTCTGAACCAGGATCTTCCATGAATGAGCCCTAGATGCTGAGCCTCCCTGCCCACCTGTGCTGGGGTTCAGGAAGCACCTTCTGAATCAGGATCTTCCACGAATGAGCCCTAGATGCTGAGCCTCCCTGCCCACCTGTGCTGGGTGGGCTCAAGGCAGTCTTGTCTGAAGTTGGGAGAGTGACTTGGTTGAGTTGAAGAGCAGGATCTACCCAGCCAATGTTCCAGTGCCCACAGCCCCTTCCCTTGGGGTGGCGGGGGGCGGGTGGTGGTGGGTGGGTTATGAAATATCAGAAAAGTTACTGCTCTTAGGAGTCACTCATAAAGCATAAGGGATGACACCCACTTGCCTTGACTCGACTTGACCTACTGCCCTCTCCCAAACTGGAAATCTATTTGTGGTTTTGAATTGGTGCATTGTACCTGAAGAATTTTTGTTTTTGACTGATTTGGGTGTTGTTGGAGATTTAGTTGGTGATGTTTCAGTATCACCATCATCACTCTGGTTTTGATCAATATCTGACTCCTCTCTCATGGAGACTTCTGAGCCTGGGAGAAAAGAAATAAATAATTTTACTTTTCTTAATTTTAATTTTAAAATTTAAATATTTGATTTTAAAATTTATGTCTATAATTTACTGAGGCAAAACAGAGTAAACTTGGGATACAGCCACTGAAGAAAGTTTAACAGCTTTGTTTCCCGCAGGACTCATCAGAACCTTTCTCTTGCTAATGAGCACTGTCGATCTCCAAGGTGGCTTTTGCTCCACCAGGGCTTCTCAAACCTTACCAGACACACCTGGGGATCTTGTCAGAATGCAAATTCTGATTCAGGGGTCTCAGGCAGGGCCTGAGAGTCTGCATTTCTAACAGGTTCCAGGTGATGGCCATGTGGTTGGTCCACGGACCACACTTTGAGTTACACGATCTCTCTTTTTTTTTTTGGTGAAGCTTATTAGTTAAGGTGACCATCTGCTCCAGTTTTCCTCTGCTTTTAACCTATTGCCGCGTGCCCCTGGTCACTCTTAAAATGTCCTGTCTTGGATAATTAATTATAGAGGCTTCCTAATCTTGGGAGACTCCTGGTCCACACACCCTGGGGAGGCTGATGAATTATATTAAAAGCCTAGGTCTGGCACAGTGAGGTCTTGGTCAGAAACTCTTAACTGCTCTGGGCCTCAGTTTACCCACGTAGAAAGTGGATGTAGTTGCATCTGACCTTGAGAACACAAAGCCACAGGTCTTCTCTTTAGACAAGAATGTCCACAGGCACATGCACACGCACACACATTTATACATAACAAATACACATACACACACATATACACACACACACAGTTTGGCACATAATTAGATTCATGGGCTCCTGGATCACCAGTCAAGAAGCCTGGTACCAGATGACTTCTCAGGACTGCCTTGCGTTACATTTCAGAATGTGAAATTATGAAATTTCTGGCAGGCCATTTCCTTGGTGACTGACTTTCAGCTGCATGCATCACCCATTAACTGCATGTGCCACGGTGAGTGTTACTTGGTATGGAGCCTGGCGGAGGATTTATCTTGCCCCAGCTGTGCCCTCTGCTGGGGGTGCCCTCTGCCTTCCCTCTTGCCAGCTCAGAGGAGAGAAATCCTTCCCTCTTCAAAGGCCTCCTCCTCAAAGCCTGGGGCGTCTGACCAGCCCCTGGTTGCACGTGGGTGCGTGCGTGTGTGCACGTGCTCTCATGTGCTAACCGAGACAATGCTTGTGGCACCCAAGATGTGGCCTGTTCGGATCTAAATCAGAACCAGACCTGACACTTTTAGAACAGTCAGGAGAAACCCTGAGAGTAGGGAGGCTCCAGCCTGTCCTGGAATCATCTCCAGCCTGTCTCACACTCAGCATTCCAGGTCTGCCTGGCGTCCAGCTGTCCCCGAAACACACAAGGCCTTTTCTTGCTCCTCAGTCATTCCCATCCTGTTCCCATGGTCTAGAATGTTCTCCTTTCCTCTTGGTAAAAATTGAGATCGAACAGTTCTTCCGGGAAGCCTTCTATGACGCTCCTAATGGTGTTCCCACCCCAACCTCTGTGCCCCTGGAGCATCCTCCTGACACAAGCCATTCGTATCAGGTGTCCACATTTCAGTGTCTGGTCTGGGTCCTCAGCCAGACTGAATCCCAGGGGGCAGGAGCTGCTGACGACCTCTTCTCTCCCGGGCCCTGAATGGGCCTGGCCCAGGCCCTGTCCTCTGCAGACATGGACAAACACAGGGATGCCGTAGGATGCTGTGGTCAGGGCAGAGGGATGCCTAAATTGCTCGTGATGGGAACTGACTCATCTAAAGTGTGGCGATGCCCTGGGAATTTCTGCCTGCCTCCCCCCGCAGCCTGGGCTCCCACATACGGCTACCTCTCTGCACCGCCCAGACTCTGTGCTGCCTCCACTATCTGCCTGGTGGGACCCCCAAGCCTCTCCCTTCCTTCCCCATGGGAGCAGGAAGAGCAGCCCTGAGGCCTTGCTGGGCCAGGCTGAGCCTCAGTGGGGCTGGGAGGCTGGGGGGCAGCTCCGACGGCATGGCCACTCACTCTGCTTGCTGAGCGCTGAAGGGTCTTCGGGCTTCTCAGGGGTCGTATCGCCCTCATCTGGAATCTTGTTGGTGAAGCTGCTGGACACATAGAGCTTGCTGGTGTCCAGCGTGGCCTTGCTGAAGGGTGACATGGCCGAGTACATGCTGGTGTAGCCATTGGAGTTGCAGCTGAGGGCGGCCAGGTCCAGGGCCTTGCCGCCAGTGATGATGGGGATGTTCAGGGAGAGCTTCCGCCGGCGGCTCGGTGACGATGTCTTGGTGATGGACAGAGGTGGCGGCGAGGAGAACTTGCGGGTGGCGCGCGGGGACTTGGGGGGTTCACCGTACAGGAGCTTATTGTTCTGGCCACTGGCAAACAGGAGCTCCAGCGACCTGTGGGGAGGGCGGGGGTGAAAATGACAGTTAGCGTAGGCCTGCCTGCCCGCCTAGGCCTGGGGGCCGTCTCCGGTGGGGCTCGGAGTGGCAGCAACGGCTCCATCATTCTTAGGATCCCTGAAACCCATACTTGAGCTGATCCTCTGAGCAGGGACAATGCGATTAAATGGCCTGGGGCCAAGGGTCCTGCTCTGGATGGTTTGGGCAGAGGATCTGGGGCTTCTATGCTCCGCCCCCCCACCCCCTCAGGGCAGCAGCTGCAGCATCTGACCTGAAGTGCTAAGGGTCCCCTGAGCTGCGGACTGTGCAAAACCCCCCTCCATCCCACACAGGGCCTGCTCCCGCCTACACTCTCTGGCCTCATCCTTAGAGAGGTCCTCAGGCATGTTTTGTGGAATGAGGAAGCTGAGGCTCAGAGACAGGAAATGACTCATCTGATGCCTCCTACTCTAAACGCAGGGTCCTTTCCACCTGCTTTGGGGCTTGAGCGGCCCTATATGCAAACTTAGGGGGATGGGAAGCTGAAAGTGGCCCCTACCATCCTCATGACAGGGTTCCACCTCAGGCCAGGCTGGAAACAGGTTATACATCCAGAACATTGCAAACCATAGCTTGTCTCATCGAGGCTGTCTGCTCCACGTTGCACACAGGATAGGATTGATCTTTTAACCCTCACTGTTGCCCCAGGACGTAGGCACTCTTATTCCTACAGGATAACTGCAGGAATGTCACAGGTAGGAAACTGAGTCTCAGAAAGGTTAAGGGACTCAGCCAAGGCCATAGGGCTGAGAGCTGGCTCTGAACCAGCCTCTTTGTTCTGCAGGGCACTGCTGCTGGGAAAGGAAGGACACTGTCTGCTGGGCCCCTGGGAATGATCTCAGTGACTTTTAGGGGGTAAATCCATCCTGGATGGGATGTTTGCTTCTGTTTTCTCAGAGCCCTGGGAATCTGATCATTGAGGTTTCAGAAGTTCAGGGCAGAGAGGCAAGATGTACCCTGCCCCAGTGAGGCCTGAGGTGGGGGCAGGAGGAGGGAACAGAAGAGGGAACGGGTGTATTCTGGGTCGTTGCGTTGCTCTGGCAGCAGAGGTGTGGATTGGGGGAGGAATGGTGAGGTTCCTGGGGAGCCCTGGGGAGCCAGTGTGATTCAGGAGCTCTGCTCCAGGCAGCCCTAGAGCTGAGGCTCTGGCATAATGTCTTGCCTAGGGTGTTTTGGGGCAGGGCACTCAGAGAGCCTCTGAGCCTCTGAGGGCTGGGATGGGCTGTCCACAACTGGGATCTGGGTAGGTGGCCTCTCGGAAAAGATAATCACCTACCATTCCTGGATGCAGTGAAGTCCATTAGGGGCCTGAGCCAATCCCTGAACTTGGCCTACTGCTGGACAGCCTTGGCCAAGTCCTTCATTGCCCCATGACTTTTGAGAAGCAAAGGCTAAGGTGGCCTGCACTCCTTATGTTGACTCACCCCAAGTAGGCCAAAAAGGGCTCCATCATTTCTTAGAGTAGGAGGTGGTCTAAGCAAAGCAGGGGTAAGAGTCCTTTCTCCCTCCCTCCCTCCCTCCCTCCCTCCCTTCCTTCCTTCCTCTCTCCCTTTATTTTTCTTTCTCCCTCTCCCTCTCTCCTTCTGTCCTCCTTCCCCTCCTCATTTCCTTTCTCTTTTTTCACCAAAGGAAGCACTGTCCTTTGGTGACGGTGGGACCCTGTGCTTCCAGGAGCGGGGCTAAGAGGTGAGAGCACCCTCCACACCCCAGGATCCTGGCAGGTGGAGATGGAAGCAGCTGAGACTGAGCAGTAGCACCAGGCAGGTGAGCTGTCCCTGCCTCTCTGCAGAGGGAGGCTTGGTTCCTGGGGAGAGGGGGCAGTGGCGGTGTGTGTCCCGCAGCACCCCAACACGTTACTGCTGCTCCTCCAGGGACCTTCCAGGTCACCCCCCGGCCCCGTGCAAGCTCAGTTTTCCTCCAAGGCTTGGAAGCTCTCCGGGCATGGGAGGAGGAGGGCACCTCAGCCACCTGGCAGGAATGGCACTGATAGGCTTCTTGTAGATGGTAATGAGCTTGTCCAGGACCACGATGGCGGTGGTGAAGACGCGGTAGGAGTGCAGGAAGGTGTTGAGGAAGTCGATGCTCAGGAAGCGCAGGTCCGTCAGCCTCTCCAGCAGCCGCTCCACACTGGCGTAGCGGATCTGCAGCACTTTGCAGGAGTTCATGGTTTTGCTGAAGCGAATGTCAACATCATCACAATATAAGGAGGCGTCGGACCTGAGAGGGGAGGAAGGATGCAGAGGTGATGTGGGTCTAAAGGCATCTGAATGGCACCCACCAGGCCTGCTCATCACTGCTTCCCCCACACACTGACAACACAGGATGGTCTTATTAAGAGAACAAGCTTGGGAAGGATGACACTGAAGGAGGGCTACAACTTCTTTTTCCCAATATCCTAAAAACTCTCCATTATAAAACCCCTAGAAATACTGGAGAAGTATTACAAATTTAAAAACATTTGTTGTTGAGTTCACAAGACGTAAGGAACTCTGTTTACACAAATGTGTATGTGGATGGGGTGCAGTGGCTCACGCCTGTAATCCCAGCACTTTGGGAGGCTGAGGTGGGAGGATCACTTGAGGTCAGGAGCTCAAGACCAGCCTGGGCAACATGGCGAAACCCTGTCTCTCTTAAAAATACAAAAGTTAGCTAGGTGTGGTGGCCCATACCTGTAATACCAGTTACTAGGGAGGCTGAGGCACAAGAATCGCTTGAACCCTGGAGATGGAGGTTGCAGTGAGCCGAGACTGTGACACTGCCCTCCAGCCTGGGTGACACAGCGAGACTCTGCCTCAAAAAAAAATATGTGTACATGAATGTTCTTAGCAGCATTATTTGTAATAGCCCCAAAGTGGAAACTACCCAGGTGTCCATCAGCTGATACATGGAAAAACAAAATGTGGTCTATTTGATCTGCTAGCAGCTGTCAAGATGTAAGGACAGGTGTCCAGTGCAGTTAGCCAGAACAAAGGGGCTAAGATGGGGTGAACTTGCAGGGGTCTTGTTTCAGCTGCTTGTGAACTTGAGGTCAGCAGCCTCTACAGGGCATAGTGGGAACCAGTGGCCCTGAAGGCTGCTGTACCACACAGCGCCCTCTGGTGCTTACGCCACTGGAATCGTCTTTTATTGGTCATCCAATGGGAGCTATTAGGACTCTTGGGCAACTCTGGGTTTTCATTTTTTGGATGTTGTGAGTCTTTGTAATCATGTTTTACTTTTTGTTTTGACTACCAAGAATCTTAGAATCAAATATAGTGCTCATTTCTTTTTATTTACTTCTTTATTTTTTGTTTGTCCTTATTACTTACATGCTGATGGCCGTATCTAGTTTTTTTTTTTTTTTTTTTTAATGAGATAAGGTCTCATTTGCTCAGGCTGGAGTACAGTGCGGTGGTGTGATCATGGCTCACTGCAGCCTTGCTCTCCTGGGCTCAAGTGATCCTCCTGCCTTACCCTCCCCAGTAGCTGGGATTACAGGTACATGCCACTATGCCTCGCTAATTTTTGTATTTTTTGGTAGAGACACGGTTTCACCATGTTGCCCAGGCTGGTCTCGAATTCCAGGGCTCAAGCAATCCTCCTGCCTTGGCCTCCCAAAGTGCTGGGATGACAGGTGTGAGCCACTGTGCCCAGACTATCTAGTTTTTCTTTTTTTTTTTTTCTGTTTTTTGAGATGGAGTCTTGCTCTGTCACCCAAGCTGGAGTGCCTCTGCCTCCACGATTCAAGTGATTCTCCTGCCTCAGCCTCCCGAGTAGCTGGGATTACAGGCATGCGCCACCACGCCCAGCTAATTTTTGTATTCTTAGTAGAGATGGGGTTTCACCATGTTGGCCAGGCTGGTCTCAAACTCTTGACCTCTTGATCCACCTGCCTTGGCCTCCCAGAGTGCTGGGATTACAGGCGTGAGCCACCGCACCTGGCTCACCTGTTCTTTCGAGGGTATCTTCTACCTAGGAGTGCAGATAGTGCTCAGAGGAAGTGAGCAAATGGACATAGCATCCCTTTCACACTGTCTTTCTTAAATACTTTTCTTTGGAAGCATTCTTGGGATTTGAAATAAATAAACTTTATCGAGTGCCTTCAATGAGCAGGGCAGTGGGATTTCTTTTTAGGATGAGAACAATATGGGAAAAGCACAGGGCCCGTAAAGATACTGCAGTTCAAAAAGAGAGCATTCCAAAGAAACCGAGGAAATGCTGCCTTCTAAGTTAGCTTTGCTGCAAGACACAAAACATTTTAGAAAACTCCTGATTTGGTTTCCACCAAGATTCAGGAAAGTATACACTGCATCTATGGGACCTTGAGAAGCAACCATGAAGAGGGAGTAATCCAAGGTCAGAAGGATTTCCTGGACATGAAAAACAAGAGTGCTAAATTGAAGGCTGGGACGGATGCAGCAAATGGCAGATCGGACACTCAGAAAATCTGAGTGGTCTATTAAACACATTTGAGAAAGTCCCCTAGAACTCAGAGAAGGACAAAGAGGTTGAAATGACAGAAAATGGAAGCAACACAGAGTGGACAGAGAGGGGACCTCTCACTACCGTGAGACAAAGTAGCAAACGAGAGAAGCCACGCCTGCTCATTTCTGCTTGCTGGCATGACTCCACAAGGCCCCTGACTCCGTGACGATGTGCAGCGCTCCGGAAAGATGCTTTGAGGACAAAGCAGGCCAGAGCACATGGCCTCCCAGGTCTCTTGCCTGAGTCTCTATTCTCCCTACAAGATAAATGACCCTCGTCTTTGCCTTTCCCAAACATAATATGACGTCTGATAAGGTTAGTGATGACACCTCTGTCATCTCTAACCAGACGCACTCTCAGGCCCAAACCTTGATGTGATTCTGCTTCAGTGTCACTTCTCAGCAAGTCTGATGTGATTCTGCAGGTGCTGAGCCCCCCACCTGCATTTAAGCAGTGGGCTGAAACACTGTGCTGATATCTGATAGGACCTCACAGAAGGGTGGCTCCCGGGCTGCTGGCCTCCGTCTACAGTCCTCAGGAAGGCTTCTGAAGAAAACAAACCTGAATTCTTTAAAAGTTGATCATTTTTCCTTTAGTCAACACTAAAAGTCTCAAAAGGAAGGTGAGAAACTGTGAAGAAGCAATAATAAAAGAAATACTGGGCTGGAGGAAGTGCCTGGGACAGCAACATCGAGTAAGGGCTACGTCCAGCCCTGGAGGCTGAAGGGGCTCAGTAACTGTCTCTCAAATGAAGCCAAGTCATTCCCACTGGGCTGCATGTTTCAGAGGGAGAGTACAGCTACTCCCATGTCACGGATCCCAAAGCATCCAGCCCAGACCTGGCATCCAAATAGGGATCATCTGACCCCTCTGGCAAGGGTTTGCTTCTAGCACCTTCTCTGTGGGCTCCTGCCACCGGAAGGGGAAGAGAAAGTGAAGAAAAGCCCCTGCATTCTCTACTCCTTCCTTTTCCTTTCCTTTTCTGTTTTAAACCTCACAATCACTGTTGGTTCCAGTGCCTCTGGCAATTCCAATATTCTTTTTTTTTTTTCTTTTTAATTGAGATGGACTCCCGCTCTGTTGCCCAGGCTGGAGTGCAGTGGTGCGATCTTGGCTCACTGCAACCTCCGCCTCCCGGGTTCAAGTGATTCTCCTGCCTCAGCCTCCTGAGTAGCTGGGATTACAGGTGCCCACCACCACACCCAGCTAATTTTTTGTGTTTTAGTAGAGACGGGGTTTCACTGTGTTGCCCAGGCTGGTCTGGAACTCCTGACCTTGTGATCTGCCCACCTTGGCCTCCCAAAGTGCTGGGATTACAGGAGTGAGCCACTGCACCCAGCCTCTTTGTTTGTTTTTTTTTTTTTTTCTTTTGAGACAGAGTCTCACCCACTCTGTCGCCCAGTCTGGAGGGCAGTGGCGCAATGTCGGCTCATGGCAACCTCCACCTCGGGCTCAAGCGATTCTCCTGCCTCAGACTCCTGAGTAGCTGGGATTACAGGCATGCACCACAATGACCAGCTAATTTTTTGTATTTTTAGTAGAGATGGGGTTTCACTGTGTTGGCCAGGCTGGCCTCGACCTCCTGACCTCAATTGATCTGCCTGCCTCAGCCTCCCAAAGTGCCGGGATTACAGGCTTGAGTCACTGCACCCGGCAATATTTCCAATATTCTGTAGAACTATCCTGCACTTCAGCTTCCCTGTCTGCAAAATGGGAGAGTGCATTAAAGTAGGCAGACTGGTAGCAGTGGCCCAGAGCTGTGCTTCCAGACTCAACACAAGAGAGTGCTGTGATCCATTAGCAATGTCTGCCAGGGGCTCTGGATGGGAGATGACTGGCTTGAGTGCCAGATACTTGCTATCCCTGCTAGAAAGTGTATTCAGTGCCTTACAATGTGAACATTTTCTCAGTGGAAATTCAGATTTGCTTCTCTCTGATCTTTCAACACTTCTTGATGAATGCTCCAAGTGGTATTCCTATCTCCCAGGCATCAATGACAGGCCTTGCCTGAAGGGTAAAGGACTTTCTCTTTCTTTTTTCCCAGGGAGAGTGCCCCCACCTTGAGTCTACCTGCTCTTGAGGCCACATGTTGGGGCAGGGCCTCAGCCCCAGGAGCCTGGCAGGTGGAAGGAGACTTTTCAGTTTTGGGTTGCTGGTGGCTGACCTGAGACGCTGACCGCTACATCCATCCACAGAGCTGCTGCGGGAAGGCCTGGATGCATCATGTTAGGGGCTGGTGGGAGTACTCGGGACACGTGGGGCGTATACCTTTGTCTTGCAAACCCAAAATCAGGATGCTCTTGACTCAGTCTGAGAGCAGGGAACTGTGCCAGAAACTCAGCACGTTTTGGGAGACATATGGAAGGAATACCCCCCACTTCCCACCTATCACCCCTGCACCTTTCTCCAGCTAGGCTATCCGCTCCCCATTCTCCCCATAAGAGTGGCTGGCAGTGGGGAGCCTGCCACTCCCCTGGGTTTGGCCCTATCACCTACAGAATAAAGCCCCACTCCTTGCCGGTCGCGTTACCGTGATCTGACCCTTGCCCACCGCCAGCCCCATCTTTCACTATGTCATGTGGATCGCTGTATTATTTAAGAAAGTCAAATTGGGCCATAAAAATAAGAGAATTAAATAAGGAAGACAGATGAAGCTAAGTACAGAAGATTTATACTAGACACAGTATACCAAGGAGAGCACCTACATGCTGAACATAGGAAGGGACAGAGGGACCAATGGCACTAAATAGCCAAATATTGATGCTATGCTTAATATTCATGAGGCATATGGAACATTCAATATTTATTAGGTCTTAAGTCAGCCACCCATTGGCAATGGCTATTCTGACCCTCTGTGTCCCCTGCCCAAGAAATGCAGAGAAAGGTGTAGCTGTTCTCCAGGTGAACTGACGGCTACAGCTGTGGCCAGGCACTCGTCCCTATACCAGAGAGAGGGCAATTCTGTGCCATTGGCCCAAGTGCTTTCCATTGCATGGGCTCCTTGGTTCAAACTTCACTCCATCAGCAGTGAAGGCTGATGTGGCAGGGAGAGAGGTGGCACAAAGAAACACTGTGTCAGCAGGATGCAGGCAGTGTGGTCCTCCCATCTGCACACACACTAGCCTAACCAGCTATCTCATCGCCTTTCCCTGGTGTCTTGCTATGTGTTTGTAATTGATACACTATTAGCCAGGTGTGGTGGTGCACGCCTGTAGTCCCAGCTACTTGGGAGGCTGAGGTGGGAGGAACACTTGAGCCCAGGAAGTAGAGGCTGCAGTGAGCCGAGATCACACGACTGCACTCCAGCCTGGGTGACAGAGCGAGACCCTGTCTCAAAGAAAAAAAAAAAAAATTGATACATTAGATGCCGTAATGAAGCATCTTAACTTAGCCTATGAATCTGTTCCAAAGCCTCTAGAATAGTTTGTCTGGTAGTGTACCTGGAGGCCACAATTGCATCAAGGTCATTGCCTGCATGACATCACTCTCCTCGACCCTGCACTCTCCCCAAACACCGTGCACTTTTTTGCCTCCGAACCTATGTTCATGCTGTTCCCTCTTCCCAGAATGCCCTTCCCCCTCAGTCGTCTAGCAAACTCCAACTGGTCCTTCGAGGCCAGCTCTAATGTCCCATTCCATAAGAAACCATCCTCAACTGTGCCAGGTAGATCTATCACTCATCTTCTGGACCTCGCCTGGATTACACAGATTCCATTTTACAGCATGCACTACACTGCTTTCTAATAATCTCTCTATGTCTCTCTCTCTCTCACTAAACGATGAATTTCCCGAGGACGGAGACCCCACCTGCTCATTTCTGCTTCCCTGGTCCCCTCCCTGGTCCTCCTGTGAAGAAAACCAGGCTTTAGATTGGTAAGCAGATGGGTCCTTGAAGTTGTAAGTTTAATCTGGACATTCCATTCACTTTATCACCATCATTATTCAAAATTTTGTTATTTTTTTCTTTCATAGGTGATTTTAATTTTATTTTTGTTTCATCCGCACTCTCTCTTTTTTTTGAGACAGAGTTTCACTCTGTCACCCAGGCTGGAGTGCAGTGGTGAGGTCTCGGCTCACTGCAACCTCTGCCTCCTAGGCTCAAGTGATGCTCTCGCCTCAGCCTTCTGAGTAGCTGGGATTACAGGCGCATGCCACCAGGCCTGGCTAATTTTTGTATTTTTAGTAGAGACGAGGTTTCACCATGTTGGTCAGGCTGGTCTTGGACTCCTGACCTTAAGTGATCCACCCACCTCGGCCTCCCAAAGTTCATCTGCTCCTTTTGCTGTCTCAATGGGCACCCTTTCCAGAGCATGAGTGGGTACTCACTAAACATATAATGGTAATTGAGTGGGTACTCACTAAACATATAATGGTAATTCCAGCTGTGAGTTTTATTGGATTATTGAAACGGATCTAGGAAGTAGGTAGGTAGGTATTATCATGTCCCCCATTTACAACGTGAGAAACCCAAGCTCGGAAAGGTTAAGCGACTTGTCCATATTCACACACAAAGCTAGGGCTGGGGACCAGGTTTACATACAAAGCTGGGGCTGGGGACGAGGGTCACACACAAAGCTAGGGCTGGGGACCAGGGCTGTTGCCTTCAAGGCCAGACCTTTCTGCTGTACCCCACCACCTGTTCAGTGATGTAGTCATGAGGGGAATAATTCCTTATCAACTTGTGCAGAGGCTTAAAGACCTGGTGGACCTGAAACTGCCTCGGCTAGCTCCTGGCACACAGTAGGTTCATAAAGGACTCACTTCATCAGACTTGACTTCAGAGTGGTGGCGAGTGGAAACAAAGGATTTCACACATTAAATCATATTCTGCATTAAACGCATTACATCTGCAGTTCCCCAGAGCATGTATGTGAAGTAGCAAACAGGCCTGGGTTACCCAGATGATTGTTCTGGCAACAGCAACATGGCCCAGATGGGAGCAGAGTCCTAGCGTGCACCAGATGAGCAAGGCAGGCTCAGAATTCAGAGGTGGGAATGGAGGCCAGAGAGCCAGTGGGCTCCAGGGTTGGGGCAGGAAGGAGTGTGTGGTGAGGGGGTTAGGCGTGCAGGTGACTGCAAGAGAATTGTGCCTGGTGCAGGTGAGGGAGGCTGTATTACCCAGGGCTTGGAGAGCTGCGTTTAGTAGGACATTGTCTCTGGGGATTGTTCAAACAAACACAGTGGTCCTGGAGCCTGCGTTTTGGTTTTTCTGGTTTTTGAAATGTTCTATATATTCATTTTTTAATTAGGAAGAGAAAAATAGTTATTAAAAAAGAGTACATAAAGTTTCATTCCTAATGTTATATTTTAAACAACCTAATACAGAAATAATCCACATGTACAAAACAGATGAACCATAACAAAACTAAGCCAAAGCACCATAATAAAAAAAATTTTTAAAAATAGATGTTGGCATGGATGTGGTGAAAAGGTAAGACTTCTGTAACCCTTCTACACTGCTGGTGGGAATGAAAACTAGCACAACCACTATGGAAATCAGTGTGGAGATTCCTTAAAGAAGGAAAAGTGGAACTACCATTTGATCCAGCAACCCCACTACTGGGTATCTACTCAGAGTAAAAGAAGTCATTACGCAAAAAAGATCCTTGCTCATGCATGTTTATAGCAGCACAATTTGCAAAAATGTGGAACTAACCCAAATGTCCATCAATCAATGAGTGGATAAAGAAATTGTGTTATATTTATATGATGGAATACTACTTGGCCATAAAAGGGAATGAATTAATGGCATTCACAGAAACCTGGATAGGACCGGAGACTATTATTCTAAGTGAAATAACTCAGGGATGGAAAACCAAACATTGTATGTTCTCATTCATAAGTGGGACCTAAGATATGAGGATGCAAAGGCATAAGAATGACACAGTGGACTTTGGGGACTCAGGGGGAAAGGGTAGGAAGGCGGTGAGGGATAAAAGACTACAAATTGGAGCCGGAGGCGGTGGCTCACACCTGTAATCCCAGCACTTTGGGAGGCTGAGGCAGGCAGATCACGAGATGGTCAGGAGATCGAGACCATACTGGCTAACATGGTGAAACCCTGTCTCTACTAAAAATACAAAACATTAGCCAGGCATGGTGGCACACGCCTGTAGTTCCACCTACTCAGGAGGCTGAGGCAGGAGAATTATTTGAACCCGGGAGGCAGAGGTTGCAGTGAGCTGAGATTGCACCACTGTACTCCAGCCTGGGTGACAGAGCAAGACTTGGTCTCAAAAAAACAAAAAACAAAAAACAAAAAACAAAAAACAAACAAAACAAAACAAAACAAAAAAAGGCTACAAATTGGGGTTCAGTGTATACTGCTGGGGTGACGGGTGCACCAAAATCTCACAAACCACCACTAAAGAACTTACTCATGTAACCAAATATCACCTGTTCCACAAAACCTATGGAAATAAAAAATTTAAAAAAAAAACCCAAAAAACTAAGCCAAAGCAATCATCCAAATAGCAATCACCCAACTCAAAACAAACAAACAAGAAAACATCCAAAACACCCCCAAAGACAAAGCCCAGCATCTCTGAACCCCAGTAGCTGGCTCATCCCAGTGTCCTGGCTGTCACCTTGTGGTACTCAGTCTCTGGAATGCTGCCTGGTCAAGATGGGGTTAAGGGCACTTACTTGATCATCTGCGGCACAGTGACCTTGGAATTTTCTTCAAATGCGTTCATCATGAGCCCATTGCATCGGATGTTATCCACACACTGGAATCAGAGAGAGGACCCCAGGGTCAGAGCTCTCCATTCCTGGACCCAGGCCCACCAGGAGCTCTGCCAACTGTAAAGTTCACATGCCTCAGTCTGATACAGGGTCCTCAAGCTTCAAGGGCATTGTCCTGGCAAAGGCAGGGTCAGCGTGGCGCATCCTTTAGACTTTGGCCGGAAGTCAAGTCTCAGTTGAATGACCTTGGGGAACTTACTTGACCTCAAGTCTTAGTTTCATTATATGCAAAGTGGGGATAATGACTTCTACCTCACTGGGTTGATTACAAACAACCACTGGGATGCAAAATGAATGCATCTGACACTGACCATTCTGTTGCTGACCTCTGGGGTCCAGTGTCAAGGACAAGATCAGATCCATGGTGATGTGGGATCTCTCTCCTGGGAGGCCAGCCCAGCAGGGCCTCTGCGCCACTGCACGAGGGTGCTGAACTGTTCTCTCTGTCCTCTGACCACCACAGTGCCAACACTTGGATGCTGTGGATGGTTTTCCATATGAAGAGTCCATGGGTGTGGGGCCCTGGAGAAGGCAAGGCTGCTGGCGGGAGGGGCACAGATGATTGTACATTTCACTCGGCCTCCAAAAATATTCAAAATCCAAATTTTGCTTTGAATAGGAAGTACCCGCCCAAACAAAAATAAAAACTGCATCTCTTGGGGGAGCTGCCTCTTTTCCCCTGCACTGTCCCCTGCCCTGGGTCTTCACATTTCTGCCATGAGAGGGTTTCTTCTTGGCATAGCGATAGGGAAGGCTTGGTGGCACATCACAGAATCTTCTGGTTTTGAGAATGTGTGTGTTGCAGGGAGGAGGGTGTCAAAGTCATTGGGAAGTGGCAGCTGAGAGCTGGCACAGTGGGTGGTGGAGCTCCCAGGCCCAGACTTCTGGGCAAGGCCACGACCCCAAAGAGGGAGGCTTCTGTCATTTGCATTTCTCAGCCCCACTTCTCCCACCCATCTGACAATCTCTCTAGCTTTGGTTCTACCAGCAACTCCAAAACAAAGAAGACTTGGCCATGGGCTCAGAGTGTTATGGAGGCAGGAGGGCTTGGGGAAGGGGCCAGAGGACTCCCACCTTGACCCCTTCACTGGCATCCACAACGGCTGCCAGGAGGGCAGAGGCCTGGTGGGCACCCTCTGGGCAAGCAGCCCCAGGCCTTTGACGGCTGCGGCTCACTGGGGATGTGAAAGGGCAAAGCTCAGGGTCTGCAGTTTTCTCTAGGGCTTTCTGGGTGTTTTGAAGACATGTGGGAAGACTCAGAACAGGCACGTGCCATGCATCATCCCACCCGCCTTACTCCTCTGGGACTGCGAGATGGGCAGGTGGGCCAGAAGGAAGGCTGGGAGCGGCAGTCAGGGGAGCCTGGAAGGGGCACAAAACCAAGAAGGTGGGGAGCAAGCAAGGGAAGCCGTCCTAGGTCCCACGAAGATGCTGCCCTGCCCTTTCAGTTTCTACAGGCACAGGCCTCCTGCAACCCTCTAGACCATGGGGGGCCACCAACCTCCCTCCCCTTCTGCTGTTGGCTGCTCTCCTACCACCCCACCCCGCAGAGAGGATGGCCAAGGCTCCCAGCTGCTGGGATGGCACATCCCTGACCCATCACAGGCCCTTGCTGGGCTCAGGGAGGGGCCTGTCCTGGGGCCTAAACCCCGGTGCTGCTGACAGCCTCTTTATAGACTCAAGTCTCACCCCTTGTACTTTAGGCACCCATGGGCATTCTGGGTCTGCTCACTGGTGCCTGGAAAAGTCTGTGCTTCCTGCTTAATGCTCCAAATAGGGTGAATGACCCTAATGCTTACAGCAGGCCAAAGCAAAACTAAATCTTCCGTGTGCATAATTGAGGCTGGGTTTGATCTTAGGTAGCTGCCCCGACTCACTGAAGAAGCTACCCTTGGCTTTCAGGGACACCGTTCTCTCGCTGTGAACATTATTACATCTAATATGTTCAGACTTTTCTGTGCGTATCAATGACCTGGGGCATGTACTAAAATGCGGATTTACAGGTCACATGCCAACAATTTAGATCTGTAGGTCTGCAGGATAGTGGGGAAAGGGGAGAAGGGTCCAGGAAACTGAAGTTTTTAAAATCACCTTGCTAGGTGATACAGATGCAAGAGGGGTTTCCAGACCACACTTTCAAGGTGACCCAGGGGACTACAAACGGGATGGACTAGCTGAGCTCAGCTTTGGGTAGGGCTGTGGACTTGGAAGATTCTTGCATCTTTCTCTGTAGAACAGTGCAGCTACTCCACCACCCCCACCCCCTACCTGCCACCAGCCAAATCCCTGACCTGGTTAGGCATGAAGGGACCACTCGCTTTCAGGAACAGGTGACGCTACTCACCTGGCTGATGTCACTGGTCCACGCTGCCTTCTCCTGTCTGGACGAGGCCACTAGGATGACTGTAAAGGGCGGGGAATCCTTTGGCTCCACCCCGATTTTAAAATCCAAGTGATCTATGTCTTGGCCGGATCCTTTGGCTTCCAGTTGTAAAACATAAAGTTAGCAGCATGAATGTGGACGCCTTTTCAGGTGGAAAATGTTTTAGTGGTCCCTGTCGTACGTACCAGTGGAGGCTCTGCGTTGGTAAGGCACCAGGCCAATTGCTGCTACTTTCAGAATATTATTTTCCTAAGTGGGAAATCCCCATTTCAAAGATGGAAGAACTAAGACGTAGCTTACAACCACTCAGGGGCAGTTCCGGATTCAGAGCAGGAGAGCCTTTAGGAATCACAGTCTGCCCTCTGCCCTCATTACACCAATGGAGGTGAGGTCACGGGCGAGGACTTGCCCAAGGCTCCCAGCAGGGTGGTGGCCAAGCCAGGGCAGGGCTAGAATGGGCCTCTCAGCCAGGCCCTCCTGCTACCCCAAGGTGGTTCTGGGGCCAAATGAGGAACTTCAAGGTCTTAAACTTTTATGGATTGGGCTGGACATTTAGTTCAGTTTAGAGCTCCCCAAAGCAAAAGTGAATTCTAGGTATTTTTGTTACTGCTCTTAACCTGAAAGTCCCTTGAAGTCTTGAAAGCTGTTTATTTGGAAAAACTAAAACCACAGCTTCAAGATTCTTTTCAATGCACTCACATTAATTAGGGGTGCACTGAATGGGTTCATGGTGTAAAGGGCCTGCTTTGGTTCTGCTTTGCTCCAAAGCTCTATGGCTGTGTGATGTTGAGGTGGTTTCCTTCCCCCTCTGGGCTTCAGATGTCCTCCTGTGCAACAGGAGTGGGACTTGATTTCTCTGAGGTTCCTGTCCCTTCCAGTTCTGACACCTGAGAATTTTAGGAGTCCTTGCTGGGCACGAGGGAGCCCATTCTCCTGGGACTGTGCTGGAGTCTCTGAGAAGTGGGTGCCTGTGTGTGGGTGTGTTTCAGGTGGGGAACGCTTGTGGCCAGGATCCCACCTCCCTGGGCCTAGGAGGGTAAAGAGTTTTGGGGCCTGACAGTGCCACTTGAGCCTGGGTTTTCCTGTGGACCTGCTGTGGCCAAGATGAAAGAAGGCTGCACTGGTAGGAAGGCTCCAGGTAAGCTGCCTCCTCGTTTATTCTTCCCTTGGGGAACCACTTGATTTGGCCCTTATTGGAAGGGCATGAGGGGAGCAGAACCCAGTGGTAACAGGGGCTGAACAGGGTGTGTGCATGAGGGCGTGTGTGTGTGTGTGTTTGCCAAGCGTGTGTGTGGCAACCCCCAGGCCCATGCCCATCCCCATGCCATGCTGGGCCTGTGATGCTGAGGTGCTTCAGACACAGCCCACCCCAGGAGGCCCAGTCTGAGGAGGGAAAAGAGCACGGGTCCTGCTGGTGTCCCCACAGGGCAGGGCATCCAGAGACATCTCTGAGGGTCTTGGCTTGGGGTCAGTGAAGAAGGGAAATGAGTGCCAACTTTGGCCCAATCAAGAGAGAGTAGTGATCCCACCCCCTAATCTGAATAATGACCCCACCTCCAATTCTGATGCCTTGGGAGATAAATCCCATCAAACATCACAGCACCAAGGACTCTGCCCTCCGCACACTTCCCCATTCAGCCCCATTTGAGTTGTTCAGCCCCTTCTCACCGAGGTCTTGCCTCCCCTCCTGGCCCCTGCAAGGGCATGGTTCTCTCTCTCAGGACCCTCAGCCCTGCAATCCCTCTGTCAGTGGCCCCTGCACATTCTTTCCTTTTCCACTGCAGGACAGAGATAGGGCTGGGTGTGTCCCTGGCTTCCAGCACATGGCCCCAAGAGCCCTTGTGCATGTCACACACAGGTGTGTGAATGAGGGGTGCTCACTGAGATGCTGTGACCCCAAAACCTAACAGTGCCAACTGGTCCAGCAGCCCAGGGAGCTTGGAACGAACCAGGAAGGTGGATCAGGGTCATCACCTGCCGGGCTGGGAGCTCTTTCTTTAAAGCCTCAGGCTCTGGCCTCTCCACACCTTATTGGAAGTACAAGGGGAGCAAAGCCCAGCTGTAGCAGGGACTGAACAGGGTGTGTGCATGAGGGCATGTGTGGACCTCCCCTCCGCACTTCAGCATCCTCCATTCCTCCCAAAGAAACTAATGCCTGGCCCAACCTTTAGGAGTGAGCGTGTGTGTATCTGTGCAAGCACACACATGCGCACATGCAGCTTTCACACTCACCTTCCTCCTCCGTGCTTTCTGGCTCCTCCAATAAAGTGCAGTCAATGAGGGATATGACTCCATTCTGAAAAAGAGCAGCAGGGGCTGCTTTGGATTGAGGGGTAGATATGCTGGTTTAGGAGTCCCTGGATGATAGGGTTGGAGGGGACTTTAACAAGGAGCATCCATGTATACACACAGATGTATGGATGGATATATTATATGCCAAGTGGGTATTTTGCTTTTTCAGTGGAAGGACTTTATCTTCATATAAGAAGCTCAATGAAGTGGGTCAAAGGAGATTGTCTCAGAGAGGCCTTCCCCAAACCAAGGTTGAGTTCTGGCCATGGGTGGAGCGGACAGAACCTGGCCTGCTTGGCCCCTTCTTGCTTCCACAGCAGCTCCAGGGCATCGCTTCATAGCCCTAAATCTGCAGAGGTTTGAAATCCCCCGTTTTAGGCCAAAGCTATCAGGTTACCCACAGGAAGACAGAGGCTGGTCTTATGGGTATTGTAATTCTCATTTTACAGGTGAAGAAATGAAGACAGAGAAGTTGCATGTCTTGTTCAAGGTCCGCTGGCAAGTTAGCAGTGAGTCTGGAGAGAGCCTCAAGGGCCCGATCCCAGTCCTGGTCAGTTACTTATTTTAATTATTAGGAATACCTGGAAAAATGCCTCCCATCCATGAGTGTGGGAGCATCTCTTGGGTAGGAGGTCCCTTAACATTGTAGTGAGAAATAAGAGTGGCCACAGCTGTGGTGGTTGTAAGACATGTTCACAAATTCTTTCACATTTTTCTTTTCAAAAGGCAAAGCCTAATTCCCTTCCTCTTGAGTGTGAGCTGGACTTAGTGGCTTACATCTAATTAAAAGAATAAATCAGAAGTGATGGTGTGCCACTTTGGAGACCACATTCTCCTGCTTGCTCTCTTGCTGTCTCTTGCATCACCTGTTGTGGGGGACACCAACTGGCATGTTGTGGGGAGAGGTCTATGAATGAGGAACTGAGGCCTCCAGCCAACAGCCATGGAGGCATATCATCTTGGAAAAGGATACCCCGGCCCCAGTTGAACCTTCGGAACACTGCAGCCCCAGCTGACATCTTGACTGCAAACCCCTGAAATGCCCTGAGCCAAGACCACCCAGGTAAGTAGCTCCTGATTTCCTGACCCACAGAAATTGTGAGGTAATAAATGTTTGTTTTAAGCTACTACATTTGGAGGTAATTTGTTACACAGCAACAGATAAAGTAAAACAATAATGAATGATAATGGAGACCTGGCCATGTGACTAATCTATATATGAAAATGCTTGCAGAGCAGGCTGCCCCTTGGGAGGCAAAGTGGACCACCAAACCCTGTGTTTGACTTCTTGCTTTGCTCTTTGGTGGCCTTGGGTTAGCCCCCAGGACTAACCCACTGGGCCTCAAGCTTGCCCAGTGATGTCACTGAGCTTGATCATTTTGAAAGCCCCATCTAGCTCTGACATTCTCTTACTTCAGGGTCTCAAAAATTCTTACAGTCATTTTAAATCTTGCAGATCTGTAGTCTGCCCCCTTCAGAAAGGACTTAAGGCATTCTATTGCCACTTGGATATTTCAAGAGAAGTGATTTGAATTTTAGCTTATGGCTATTGGAGACTAGAGCATAGTGATTAAGAACACAGACTCTGGAGCCAGACTGGCTGGGTTCAAATCCCAGCCCTGCCACGTGCTGGCTTCTTCTGTCTCACTTCCCTTGTCTATATAAAATGGGGAAAATGGTAGTATCCGTCTCAGTGGGCTGTTCTGGGAATTAAATATACATAATGTATTTGAGCGAGTTCTTGCCCCATAGTAAGCATTATGCAAGGATTGATGTTATAAATACAAGTTCGTTATTCATAATTAAGAGTGACAATGTCTGTTATCCAGTGAGCACTGAGCGTGTACCTGACACGAGAACTCCCTCACTTACTCCTCACAGCACTCCTGTAAAGGAGGTATTTCTACACCCTTTATGCAGATAAGGAAACTGAAGCCTGATGAGGCCATGTGACTTGTCTGAGGTCACCTACTGGTGGGTGGCAGTGCTGGGATTTGAGTTGATTTCTGATTCCATGCTCTTTGCCAATGTGCTAAGAGACTTTTAAAACTAAAAACAGCTGGGTGCGGTGGCTCACGCCTGTAATCCCAGCACTTTGGGAGGCTGAGGCTGGTGGATCACCTGAGGTCAGGAGTTTGAGACCAGCCTGACCAACATGGTGAAACCCCGTCTCTACTAAAAATACAAAAATGAGCCAGGCATGGTAGCGGGTGCCTATAATTCCAGCTACTCGGGAGGCTGAGGCAGGAGAATCTCTTGAACCTGGGAGGCAGAGGTTGCAGTGAGCCGAGATTGCGCCATTACACTCCAGCCTGGGTGACAAGAGCGAAACTCCACCTCAAAAACAAACAAACAACCCCCCCCCAAAAACCCCCACAAAAAAACTAATCACAAACAAGCAAACAAACAGAAAACTCCAGATAAAATAAAACTAACATAAAAACATGCTTTTGGATTTTCAGAGCCTTCGTGTCTTCAGTTTAACCTGCCTCCACTGACCCCCGCCACACCCCCAGCCTAGACAGAGATCTTATCAGTAGAAACTCCAGAGCTAATAAATAATGAAAGCGTTCCTTGACACATAATTTGGTTAAAACAGAAGTATTCAATATTTGTAAATTAATTTCCCCTTGTGCAGCCAACCAGCTAATTTGTGGCCATGTGAACATAAGCAACATATTCCCTGAAGCCATTGCTGGGTATGTTAGCTCTGCAGGAGGTTATGGGCCAGGCATCCAGGGTCTGGAAGAATGGTTTATCTGATGCTGTGGCTTAATTAAGAGCACCCTCTGGGCCGGGCGCGGTGGCTCACGCCTGTAATCCCAGCACTTTGGGAGGCCGAGGCAGGCGGATCACAAGGTCAGGAGATCGAGACCATCCTGGCTAACACGGTGAAACCCCATCTCTACTAAAAATACAAAAAATTAGCCGGGCATGGTGGTGGGCTCCTGTAGTCCCAGCTACTTGGGAGGCTGAGGCAGGAGAATGGGGTGAACCCAGGAGGCAGAGTTCCCAGTGAGCCGAGATCACGCCACTGCACTCCAGTCTGGGCGATAGACTGAAACTCCGTCTTGGGGAAAAAAAAAAAAAGCACCTTCTGGCCCTTTCCAGGCCACAGTGTGTTCAGGCTTCCAAGGTGATGAATGCAGGGCTGGAGGGACTGTAGCTTACAGAGGCAAGTGCTTCCTAATTGACAGCAAATCCACATCCACTGTGAGCTCACTGCTAACTTATCTGTGCAATGTCTCTGTGAGGGTCAATGTCCTTATTTGATAGAGGAAGTGTGGACAGGGGCAGGAGTCTTTTCCAGGGTCACATGTGTGTGAGGGATGGAGCTGGGACTGATGCTGAGCTCACAGCAATGAGACAAGTAGTGGGCTGTGTCGGGGGACAGGAGATCCTGCCCAGGCCACAGGCTTTACAGCAGAGGTAGCACTTGAACAGGCCTTGAGGCATGTTAAGGTGGTCTGCCAGGGGAGAGGAGGCTGTGTGGCTGAACAGACAGCATGAGCAAAGGCCCTCGGCCTATGAGGAGTCAGGAGGGGGTCTGAGATGCTCATTCCCTCCCCCTTTAGGGATGAGCTGGTTAGCTGAGCATCAGGGTCTCATGCAGGGCCGCAAGGTCCTGAGGCTCTGTGTGGAGCAGCTCAGCAGCCTCCAGGTCTCCTGTGCTGGAGGAGGGGACACCTGAGAAGGTCACTGGAAGGGGCTCTGTCAGAGCTCCTTTGGGGTGGAGATGAAAGAAAAGCTCCAAGTGATGCCTTGGCCCTCAGCCAGTGGAGGCCCTCTACCCTGCCCTTCACACACACCACACACAGACACAGACACACACACCACACACACAGATACAAAAACACATACCACACACACAGACACACAAACACATATCTCACACATAGACACACACAGATACACACATCACACACACACACACATACAAACACACACACACACATACACATACACACACATATACACACCACACATACATCACACATACATACACAGAGACACATGTACACAAAAACATACACCACACACAGACACACACACATATACACATATACCACACCCACCCACCACATACATACATATAAACATACACGGATATACACATAGACACACAGACACATACCACACACATATCCACCACACCTGTACACAGAAAGACAATACATATACACACATACATATGCCATATACCATACACACACACACAATGAACACACACAAATGCACAGAGACACAACACACATAGAGGCAAACACATACACACACTATACACAAATACACACATCATATACACAAATATATACACACACATGCATACACACACCACACACACAGACACAAACACATATACACATACATACATACTGATATGGTTTGGCTGTGTCCCCACCCAAATCTCATCTTGAATTTTAGCTCCCATAATCCCCATGTGTCATGGGAGGGACCCAGTGGGAGGTAATTGAATCATGGGGGTAGATTTTTCCCATGCTATTCTTGTGATATTGAATAAGTAACACAAGATCTGATAGTTTTGTAAAGGGCAGTTCCCCTGCACATGGTCTCCTTCCTGCTGCCATGTAAGACATGCCTTTGCTCCTCCTTTGCCTTCCACCATGATTGTGAGGCCTTCTCAGCCATGTGGAACTGTGAACCCATTAAACCTCTTTTTCTTTGTAAATTACCCAGTCTCAGGTATTTCTTCATAGCAGTATGAAAATGGACTAATACACACAGAGAGATATAAACACATACAGACACACACACATATATATACACACCACGCACACATACACACACACGCATATACACATACACACACACCACATATACAAACACACAGACACAAAAACACCACACATACATACACACAAACACACACAGACACACACACATGCACACACACATGCCTTTTAGGGGTCTGTCCAGGCCCTCTGGCTCCTCTGCCCAGGTGCCCAGTGTGGGGAATCTGAAGCCCTCGATTCTCACCTTCCCATCTCCCAGGATTTCCCTAGTGGAAAATCGGTCAAGTTCTGCTCTCTCCAGCTGGCCAAACTATGGGTTGTGTGTATATCTGTGTGTGTGTGCATGCACACGTCTCTGACACCCCTGCCCACCACCTGGGCCCATAGACCCTCTGGCCAGGACAGCGCCTGCATGACCCTAGCTGGGCAGCCCCCAAGCCCCTCTCCCGTAGCCCTTACCTTGGTCAAGTGAAGCTTCCCTCCAGAGCCTCTGGTACAGATAATCAGATGCTTAGAAAACAGGAAGCACTGTCGCTCGCCCTCTTTCTTTAGGGAGAGAGACCCCAGGCGCCCCCTGGTGATCTTGCCCTTTTCAGACATGGGCACCTGAATGAGGGAACCTGTGGGTGGAGGAGAGAGACCCTGAGCCCATCTCCTGGGGTGACCTTTGCCTCTGACCCAGCCTTGAAGGTTGAGATGCTGGGGCAGCAGCAGTGGGACAAGTCCATTCTGTTTCCCAGTAGCAAATGTGCCCCTGGGATACTCCTTTAGGCCTCTCTGCAGGGCCAGATGGCTGAGGGATGAGAGGTGATCAGAGAAGCTCCATGCAGGGCCCACTGACATCCCAGCCAGGGGCTAGGGGCTAAGCAAGCAAAGGAACCCCAAAGGGCATGGCCCATGTGGTGAGAATGAAGGGCTGGGCTGAGGTCTGGGGATGGCAGGGAGCTGAACAAGTGGGGAGCTGGCTGCAGGCCCCGAGGGGTTAACAAGATACATTGCACTCCTGCTGGGAACTACTTAGGGCAAACCCTGCCTCCCATCCTACTTGTAAAAAAGATAGCTACTAAGATTTAAAAAAAAAAAAAAAAAAGATACATTGCACTCCTGTTGTCCACAGCCATGGCAGGCATCACCAATCAATCACTGCACCATACTGCAGAGCCCAGACAGAGCTTCTCAGTCCTCAGCACAGCACTCTAGGAAGCCATTACTGAGCAGAGTAGGTGCCTGTCATGAAAGCCATTGCTGCCCTACTCTGGTGTACCCACCCTAATACATACCCTTCAGGCCCCCTCCCCACTGAGGTCCACAGCTCCTCACTGTTCCCAGGATTCAGGCACTTGAGGCCTCCCAGTGGTCTGGCTTGGGCACACCTCCCAGCCTGCACTCTTACCATTGTCCCCTTCTTCTGCCTCACATGTAGTTCTGGGTCAAGTTAGCCTGAGTGTCACTCTTAGTTCTGAAAAGCCCTTCCTTCACTCTGTCTTCCCTGTGAATTCCTGCTTATCCTTGGGAAAGCCCTCGTGACTCTCTTGGTCCTGCTCCAGGCCACCACTCTGCCTCCTGCATCAGGGAGATCCACCTGGCACCTGGTGTTCCTGCGTTTGTCCCCTCATGACTCTCTTCCTCTGTACCATAGGCTTCCGGAGGGCAGGGCTGAGGCTGTTCTCTGAGTGTCCCCAGAACCCCCTGTACGTCTGGCATGAGCAGGGCAGGTATCAGTGCTGGCTGCATGACTGACAAGTGAGAAACGCCTTGCAGAATCCACTCATTTTGTCTCCAGGTCCAGCCCGGCTGGAGAGGGAGAAAATGCCTTGACTCAGGGTGATGGAGCAGATTTCTGGTCTGTGGGGATACTGCCCACCCCAGGAGGGGTCATTTCTTGGGCTACTTCCAAGCCAGGTCCACTTGGGGTTCCTTCAGAGGGGGCCTAAAATACTGTGTGAGAATATTTCTGGCACAGAGAATGCCCAACACAGCCCAAGGGGAGCTGAGAAACAGGCAGGGCTGGCTCTGAGCTCAGCAGGTCACAGGGTGGGCCTGGGGAAGGATGTAGGGGCCACCACACACAGGGGCTGGGACAAAACTCCGAAAAGGTGATACCCTTGTCCAAGGCAGCTGCACAGGCCAGCGGGAGGCGCTGGCAAGTATTTCGTTAGGCAGAGAATCCCAGGGCTACAGAGAAGGGACTCTGGAGGTCCGTTTGAGGTGGAGGTCACCTGTGAGGCATGCCAGCAGGAGCTGAGTCTCCCACAAAACATGGAAGTTGAATGTGATGAATTTCAAATGCATTGCAGTTCTGATGTCAGTCCCCTGAGCCACAGAGAGCCTTCACCCACCCCTCTCAACGGGGCCGTGCCTCTCAAACACTGCTCCCAAGGTAAGCGAGGCTGAAGCTTGGGAAAGACCTTCTACCCATGAGAACCACTGTGAAAATGGTCTCTCCAAAGCAGCAGAGGATGATGAGGAAAGGACAGGGGAATGGACCCAACACTGACCTCCTCCCAGACACTGAAAACGCTTCTGACTCACAGAGACAACTGTTAGCTCCTCATCCCCCGCCCCATACTTTCTCCCCAAAAAGGACATGTCGATGTTTACTATGACATACAATAGACAAACCAAGGCCATCTGGGTAGAATTCTGTTTACATCTGGAGAGAAGGAAACTGTGAAAACCAATAATATCTGCATCTATATGTATAGATACTGACATCTACATATAGCTGTTGCATTCCGCCAGCAGCCTGGGAATATTCTGCAATCACATTGGCAGGTCTTGGCATGTGGCAGCCAAACCAACTGGTGGCGTCCCCGAGTGCCGCCTCCCTCCCGCTGCTGGGGCCCACCTGGTGGGGGCAGGGGAGACAGGGTGCAGAGGCCATACCTTGTCTCACAAAGGTCTGGCTGGTGTCCAGGAGGATCTCACAGCCTTCGATGATCATGCGCTCGATGGCCAGGTTTTTCCGGATGTTCTCCGTCTCACTTACTTCATCGTGCATTATTCTGTGGGGATGGGAAACTGCACAGTCAGAGACAGGCTGCCCCTACTTCCCAGGGAGGCGAGAATGCCAGGCTTCTGGCCAGACCTAGGAAGAAAGCCTGGCACAAGGATTCTCAGGTGGAGTCTGTGGTCATGGAGGGGAAGGGAGTGTGCATTTACTGAGTGCCTGCTGCATGCCGGGCACTTCATAGGCACGACCTCATTTTATCCTTCTGACAGCTCAAGGAGGCAAGTGTTCTTATTTCAGAAAAAAGAAAACTGAAGTCAGCAGCTATGAAGCACATCTGTCAGATTTTACAGTCTGAACTATGTAGAACAGACAGCAGGTGCAGCTCAGCACTGGGAAGGATATGGGAGCACAGGAGACATCCTGTGTTCATGACCCTGACCCTCATCCTTCTACCAGCCTTATTCCCATCCCAAGAGCAAAGCTCATTACTCCCTCAGGGCCTTTGCACTTGCTGTCTCTTCTTCTTGAATGCTCTTTCTCCAAATATTTGCATAATTGTGTCCTTAATATCGCTTGGGCCCTGAAATGGCTTACCTTTTGGAGCACCTGGCAATCCCGCTGGCTCAGGGGATGACTGACCTTAGCCTACTTCTGTAGGCTCTGGCCCTTCTGGGAGGGAATATAGACAACTCCCCTATTTCGCTCTCCGACTGCTGTAATACCCCTCCTCTCCAAGAGATGGCGCCATCCAATAGCTTTTACAAAATGGCGTTGGTGGGAAAAGGTGGGTGTTAGCTGCCAATTTTGCCTTGGTGGGTTTCCAGGAGTCTTGGGAAGGTAGAGGGGAATTTGGCAGTGGCAGGGTCTGGGGAGTGGGGAAGGGGGGCTTCTGGCAAAAGTACCCCACCTACTCCAAGCAAAGTACAAAACCTTTTATCTGCTGCTGATGCCTGAATTTCCACAGTTAAGACCAACAAGAAGGCTGGTTAATATGTGCGGCTTACAAACTTCTCTCATAGACATTATTCAATTTAAACCCCAAAACAAAGATGACACTGCCTCTTCCGGAGCTGGATCTGTGCTTAACTGAATCAGCATGACATTGACCAGACTCCTCAATCCCTCTGATCCTTAGTTTCCTCATCTACAGAATGCTGGGGCAAAGGTGGAATAAAAGGGATTTCAGGTACCCGTGCATGCTATGCCATGCCTGGCATGTGACAGCTGCTTAAATAAAGGGTAGTGGTGATTGTTGTTGCTATTATCATTGGTTGCAAAAGAGTTATTATTATCTTTCCTGGTTGAGGACATGCATTTTAGGCTTAAATTCACTAGACTAGCCCTTTAATAAATGGACCAGGGCCTTTCGCTGGAGTCTCTTCCTTGGGAGCCTCAGTTTCCCCCTTTCTTCCCCAGCAATGCTCTTCTTGGAAGCCCAGACCCCTGCTTGATGTTTGAGAGGGAGGCACCTCTGGACACATGCTAGTTCCCTAGAGATGGATCCATTATGGAAATAGCCAATGGTAATTAAAACCACTTCTCTTGATGAGGGTGGGGTTTTGCGGGGGAAGCCTGTGTTTGGTAAAACACAAGGCGGGTAATTCCAAGGTAGCAAAACTAGTTTTCCTGAGCAGCTGCAGTTTACACATTCTAAGTTCCAGCCCCAGGTGGGGGTCTGTGTTTGGGACCCATATGCGCACACAGCTGGGGAGCTCTGGGAAGGCGGTGGGAGTTTCAAGGTCGCGAGGCTCCTGGGAGCCCTGGAAATGATGATTTGGGTTATCAGCGAGCAGAGAATATAGGGGTCAGGATAAAAAGGTGGGAGGAAGGCCCAGTCCCCAGAGGTGGGGAGTGTTTCTGAGCGCAGCCTAGGAGGGGTTTGGCTATCTAATGGCTTCCTGCTTGTGGGAGCGTGAAAGGAGAATTAAAGGGATGCTGTCATGGTGATAGGAAAACCTTCTGTGCCACTTGGGCTGGGTTCAGGGCCAGGTACAGGCAGTTGGGTGGGAGGAAGGAAGAGTAGGCCATACACCTAGGATCCCGGGGATAAGGGATCAGGGTCTTATGTCAAATACCTTGGCACCATGTGCCACCTGCAGCTCTGTTTGCAACAGGATAGGATATCCCTCAGCAAGGAGGAGCCTGCTGCCTTACCGGAGTCCCAAACCTTCTCCCTTGGGGAAGAGTGTGCGGGATTTGGATCCCTGGGCATGGGAGGACTGGAGTCCCTCCACCTTCCTGCTTGGTGGTTTCGTTACTCTGCAATCACACCCTGATGACATCCTTGCCCTGATTCTCCACTCAGGTGTGCAACTTGGCTGGGTCATGGAAGGATCGGGGGCAGCCTATACCCTGTGCTGTCCCTCCCTCCACCCAGCTGGGAGCTGTGGCCTGGTTGGCTGCCCCTTGCCGGCCTCAGGAAGACTTTTAGGGCACTGAGTGTTTGGCAGTGCCCTGGGTAGGGCCGGGGCTGGATCCCAGGCCCTGCAGACTGACCTTCTTTGTAGCCCTTGGCAGCCTAGTTCTGACCACAAGGCCCTCCCTCATCTCTTGGTCTTCACAGGGTGCATACCCCCGGGCTCAGCTTCTGGTTCTCATCTTTTTCCTGCCCAAGCTAATTCCCTTGGCGGTCTCACCAGTGCTGTCGCTTTAAACACCATCTGCAAGCTGATGATTGCCGGATTTCTCTTTCCCCTCTGCTCCAGACTCAAATTCCCCAGTCCCTTCTTGTCATCTACACTTGGACATTGAATTGGCACCTAAGTTCAACATGCTCCCAAGAAAGCTCCTGAACTCCCCTCCAGACCTGTCCCTCCTGCAGTTTTCTCCAGCTCGGTTGATGGCACCTCCGCCCTCTGGTGGCTCAGCCCCACATCCTGGAATCACCCTTGACTCTAGTCTTTCTCTTTCCACATCAAATCCATCAGAAAATCCTGTTGGTTCCACCTTCAAAATGCATCCAGGACCTGAACCTCTTCCTGGAACCTCTTCCTGGATGACCACAGTCATCTGCTGCCTGGGGTGCTGCAAGAGCCCCCTCCGTGCTCCCCTGTGTCTGCCCTTGCAGAGGAAGCTTCCCTCTGGGCTTCAGGGGCTGAAAGAGGGCCAGGTGAGGGGCCTTGACCAGAGGACAGGGGCACTAGATTGGACAAGCCATGTGCTTATCCAACCACTGCCACTACCTGCCTCTGGTTAACTAGAGCCTTGGGCACATGAGGGCCTGTCACCCAGGACCCCCTCTGGGCCTCCTATGGCCACAGGTTTTGACACATTGACACTGGAGAGCAGAGAGTGCCTGGGAGTCATGGACAGTCCCTCTCCTGGGAGGTGTTGAGTGCCCAGGGCCCTCCCTCGGGCCCTATCTGTGCCAGGGATAGCACAGCACCCACTATTCCTGCCTACCGGGGCTTGAGTTGTAACCCCCTCAGGACCACTCCAGGGGCCTCTGCTTTGAGCTGTGGCAAGCTGTGCCCCTCCCTTACAATCCCCATCTGAACTCAAGCTTTGTCAGGGGTTCAGCGAACTCCTGGTGAGGGGCACCCTCAGCCCTGCCCTGTCTGCCGGTCTGGTGCACTGAAGAGCCAGGCCTCACCTGGACAGCTCCTCCAGTTTGGACTTGGCGTAGTCCAGGCTGTTGCGCTCAACGTGCTCATGAGGCGTGTGGGCCAGGAGCTCATGGAGGGTCAGGATGTACCTGGGGATCTGCGGGCAGGTGGGAGAGGTGAGGGTGGAGAAAGAGCCAGGGAAGTATGGCCGGGGAGCAAGGCAGGGGCAGACAGGGAGTGAGCAAGAGAGAGAGAGAAAGAGGGAGAGGGAGAGGGAGAGGAAGGGAGGGAGGGAGGGAGAGAGGGAGGGAGAGAGAGGTGGCGAGGGCGGGGGAAAGGGGGAGAGAGAGAGAGAGAGCGCGTGAGCATGGGGTGCGGGCCAGGGGAGAGAGAGCACGAGGGGGTGGTGGGAGAGAGAAAATGGTTCTTTTAGCCCAGAGGACTTCCATGAGCAGAACTGAGGAAGGAGATAGGCTGCCCTTTGGTCACAGACTCTAACTTGGAGGCTCTTCCAGGGTCTTGTCTAGGGCTCTGCTCTGGCTGAGGGTGGGGTGGGGTGCTCAGGAGCCAGGAGAGAAAGGTGGCGTGGACAGGCCCACAGTCAGCTTGCCCTGCACCCAGCATTGTCGGCTGCTGGCCCTGACCACCTCCCCCGCCCCCTTTGGCAGCCCAGAGCTGGGGTGCGTTAAGCACTGTGCCCCCACCGCCATGGTCCATCCCCCACACCTGCCTCCCTGACTCTACCCCACCCAGGCAGGGCCGGACGCCACCTGGAACATGGGGTAGGTGAGGAAGGTCTCCAGCGTCCTCTCCTCGCAGTCAGGCTTGGCCTCGTAGTGCTTCAGCAGCTTGTCGAAGTCACGGTTCTGCTTGCAGTGGGCCAGGATCTGCAGGCTGTACTGGTGGTTGCGGACGAACTCTTGGTAGATGTTGAGCATGGGCAGCAGGATGTCAAATAGGTCAGCTGGAAGGACGAGGCAGTCAGCGGGTGGCTAGGGCAGCTTGGTGGGGACAGAATCCCCTAGGCCCTTGGCTCCCCCAGCTACACCCAGAGAGGCCAGGGGCCAGGTTCAAGTTCCCCACCCCAGAGACATCTCTGCTCTTGGGGATGACTCCAGTACCACTGCCCTATCCAGTGCTAGTAGGTGGGCCCCCATCATTGGGACCACATTAGAATCACAGACTCTTAGAGACGTGGGGCCCTGTCTAGTCGACACTTGTGATGGGAGTGTCAGAGAGAGGAGGTAGAGTGGGCGCTGTGGGGTGCCACCTGGATCCCCCCAGCTGCCAGGAGTGCTGGTGGCCGATGGCTGTCAGCTGGGTCCCTCTCCAGGCATTGCCCTCAGCTGGAGGAAGCTGCCTTGCCTGGTCTGTCCTCCTGCTTCAATTCAGGACACCAGTGTGAGGTCACCCCTTCTCCAGAGCTTCCTGTGGGGTCGGCTGAGGCTTCTGTTGCAGCTGGAAGGCTGCCCAGTTCCTCCCTCTGCCTGTCCCCGTGCCCTATGGTGCTATGGCCTAGGACACTCCCCAAGAGGCCACCCTCCCTCCTGCAGTCTCCGTCCTGAGACAGAAGTGGCCTATCTGAGGTCACAGGGCAAGTCAGCAGCCGGCCTGGGGCTGGGTCTCCTGACCTCCTGATTCCAGGGATTTCCTACCATATGACACATGAGTCTCTGCTCCTTCGTTCATCTGCCATTGTCCAAGCAGGGCTTCCAGGCTCTGCATTATCTAGTTCACCAGGTGGGGCCCTTTCTGCCTATAGTTCTGTCTCAAGCTTCCTGGGTATATACTTTGCCTTTCCAGTGCCCCCAAGTCCCAACCAATCTCCCCAAATCTGCCCTTCAACGATTTGATAGGCTGGGATGGGGTCATGTGAAACATCTTCCTTATCTTTATTTATTTATTTATTTGATGGAATCTTGCTCTGTTGCCCAGGCTGGAGTGCAGTGGTGCGGTCTCGGCTCACTGTAACCTCTGCCTCCCGTGTTCAAGTGATTCTCCCACCTCAGCCTCCCAAGTAGCTGGGACTACAGGTGTGCATCACCACACCCAGCTAATTTTTGAATTTTTGTGTTTTTTGTAGAGATAGAGTTTTACCACGTTGGCCAGGATGGTCTTGAACTCCTGCCCTCAAGTGATCTGCCTACCCTGGCCTCCCAAAGTGGTGGGATTAAAGGCGTGAGCCACTGTGCCTGGCCTTGAAACATCTTCTTCTTCTTTTTTCTTTTCTTTTTTTTTTTTTTTTTTTTTGAGATAGAGTCTCGTTCTGTTGCCCAGGCTGGAGTGGAGTGCAGTAGTGAGATCTCGGCTCACTGCGACTTCTGCTTCCTGGGTTCAAGCAATTCTCCTGCCTCAGCCTCCCGAGTAGCTGGAACTACAGGTGTGCACCACTACACCTGGCTAATTTTTGTAATTTTAGTAGAGACGGGGTTTCACCATGTTGGCCAGGCTGGTCTCGAACTCTTGACCTCAGGTGATCTGCCTGCCTCAGCCTCCCACAGTGCTGGGATTAAAGGCATGAGTCACCGTGCTCGGCCAAAACATCTTCTTATAAGTCCCATTTAAGAAAGGAAACATGGTTTCCTTGTAATCAACTTTAGAGGGTAGCTCATGTGATGGGTGTCTGACCACCTGACGGACAATGTCTTCAACAATGCAACTGCAGAATATGCGGACCCCATCTTTCTAAGGACACCTTATTTTGACCTTAGAGAAAAACACGGGTCTTTGACTTGAGAAAAATAATAGTGCCTACTTCCCCCTGGGAAGCCTCCATGCCTGAGGGCAAGGGAGCTCTGGAGAGCCAGGCCTGGGTCTGCTCTGTGCCCTCCACCTATGCAGCCTTTGCTATTCCTTTACTTCCCTAAGCCATTTTCTTTGCCTCCATCATGGAGATGACACCAACACTCACCTTTATCTACCAAATTAAGAAAGTGAAAAAAAAAAAGAAAGACATTTGGTGTAGGTTGAGGGTGAGATGCAGGAGGTTCTTCTGTCTGTTGCTTGTGGAACTAGAGCAGTGCAGCCATCTTGGAGAACAATGGGACAATATGTATGAAGCAAGAGCTTTTCACATGTTTGGATTCTTTGTTTTAGCAATTCTGCTCATTGGAAACCCATCCCAAGGAAATGATCTCTAATATGGAGAAAATTTCTTATGAAGAGATGATTACTTCTAACAATAAAAAATTGGAACAACTCTAAGAGCCAACCATAGCAGATGGTTAGATAAATGACAGTGCCTTCATGGGTACTGGAGTATTACACAGCGATCAAAAAGCATGCTTTTGGCATGAGAAAATGCTTATGGGATAATGCTAAGTAAAAGAAAAAAAAAACAACACACAGCAAGATACAAATTCTATATTCAGTATGTTTGCAATTATGTAAAGTGGAAAAAAACCCAAGATCTATGCACAGAAAAAAATTGGAAGAAAACACACCAAAGTGTTTGTAGTGGTTATCTTTGGGAAGCAGAACTATGCTTGATATTTTTAAACATTTTCTACTTTTATGGGTTCTCAATTTTTCTTAAATGGATGTGTATACATTCTTTATAAAAGGGGAAAGTGGATAGGAAACTAAAAATATATCATTTCCTCTTAGAAATACAGCATTTGCCAACTTGTCTTTTCTCTTCTGCCCCCTCTGAGGGATTCTGTGGGTTTTAAAAAGTGACACTCTATTATGCTCTAGAAGGACAAAACTGCCCCAGGCTTTTGGGGTGGCCCCTGGAGGGGGACTTCTCTGGGGGCCGCAGTGAGGGCTGACTACTCACCCAGGACCAGCGTGGGCCAGCTGGAGATGCGGGCCTTCAGGCCTTGGTAAAAGATCTGATGTAAAAACATGATGGTTTCGCTGAAAGAGAAAGCACAGGGTCAGCTCTGCCCCAGGGACTTCCTGCTGCTCCAGAGGTGACTGTCCCCAAACCTCCTGCGTGACTTCAGCAGCGAACCCTTTTCTCATGTGAGACCTTAACGTGAAAACTGCACCGGCAGGATGGATCATATAATCTGGGGGTGCCTGGTGGTGCTAAATGAGAATGCAGGCCCCTGGTTAAAGAATCACTAAGCATTCCCAGATGGTGACAGCACAGCATTAAATCAAGCCCAGGCTCGTCTATGCATGGGGTGGCACATCCACGGGCCGGCAGAGGGCAGGGAGCTGCTCTGGCCAGTGGCCTCTGTCTCCTCAAGTCCCGGCCTGCTGGGCCCCACACCCCCTCCCCCAAGGTATCTTGGAGGAAACCAGGGCTCTGGCAAACACGAGTAAAAGCCATGGATCAACGGAAGAGCTAGAGTTTGGGATTAGCACAGAGGGGGGCTGAAATCTGCCTGATGCCCCTTCCCGGCTGTGAGACCATGAATAAGTTATCTAAGGTCTCCCAGCCTCGAGTCCTTCTGTGTAAAATATGAAGGTGAAATGAGGAATCCCCTGGAAGCAATGGGACAATTCGAGTGCCCAGTGCACAGGAGACGCTCAGAAAACGCTAGTTTCCCAACACCCAGTGACCGCCCCCGCTGTTTGGAATCAAAGTCAGAGAAGCCAAAAGACCCAGAGTCCCGCTGCTTGCAAAGCCCCTGTTTTGTCGCCACGTAACGTGCTGAACTCGTATTCTCATTGGCAGCTTAGCGCGGGCTGGGTACAGGCAGCCACATTTGCCCGGCCTTCCCCCCAACCCGTTTTCCATCCACTGCTCCCCAAGCAGCTGGTCCCAGAACACAGTCCGGGCGTCTCCTCTCCCAGGACAAGCTGTGAGGACTGAGAGAACACCAGAGCGAGGCGGCTTCTGCTGCTTCCTGAAGGCACTCCTATTCCTTCCTGCCCAACCATTTTCCCTCTGCTCCTTAGCTCCTACCGCCTTGGAGACGTGGGGGTTTTCCCCAGATGCCCCCTAGGCTCTTTGTGGTACACTCCATTTATGGATAGGAAAACTGAGGCCCAGAGAGAGAAAGTGAGTACCTCAGGAGTCAGGGACAGCCCTGAGCCTTTGGGCCGGACCCTCTCTGTCCCTGGAATGTTCTCCTGTCTTTCTTTGGCGGCATTCTCCACTGTGTGCTCTGGGCTCCCTCCCGCCTCTGTTTCTCCACTGCTTTGTTTGGCTGTTTGAGGCACCTGGTGTTTCCCACCTTGGGGTGCTGGCCCTTCTCCCAGCAGTTTGTGCTCTGAGGCAGCCCTCCTCCATCTCACTGTCTTAGCACAATGAGAGCCAAGGGTGGAAGACATTTGGTGAGCACAGAGATGCTCCAGCATTGAGGCGGTGGGGGGCAGGGCACAGGGGCCAGTTGATGGAGGGGGCTCAGAGGTTAGAGGCTCAGGACCCCAGAGGGATGTGAAATGTCCTGCTCATGCCTGCTTTGCAGAGAAACAGGTAGGGTGGGGAGACAGAGGATGTGAGAGAGATAGCAAGAGAGAGAAAGGGGTGAGGGAGATAAGAGAGGAAGGGAGGAAGAAAGGGAGGGAGAGAGAACAGAACAGAACACAACACCTCCAGGCTAAAGGGCGAAACTAGCAACTGCATTCCAGAGAATATACAGAAAGAAAGGAAAACTGAGAAAGACCGAAACCAATGCGAACTTAAAAATCCAAGCAGAGAAGACTTTGAGCTCTCACTTCTGAGTGTGGATCCCACCAGTATTGTGAATTGTCTATCATCTCCCTAAAGTTCCAAGAGAGACAGTCCCTCCAGGTATAGCAACTTCTTATGACCCTTGGTAAGGCTGGTTTCTGTCTGGCTCTGACCCCCAAACGAGTTTGTTGAATGGATAAATGTTCCAATTTTAAGAATTTTGGGAGTCCACATGTGAAGACCCTTCAAAATGTCCAGTAGCAAGAGACCAACCCAGGGGTGCATGAGAGTGCAGAGAAGGAAGAATGTCTGACTTGAGGTGGGAGGCAAGGAGGTCAGGTCAGGGGACTCTCAGGGGTTCTTGAGGGAGCCATATTTGGCAGCCATCCCCAATCTTTTTGGCACCAGGGACTGGTTTTGTCAAAGACAATCTTCTCACAGACGGATGGTGGGGTGGGGGAGGTGCGGTGGGGAGATGGTTTCAGGACGATTCAAGTGTATTACATTTATTGTGCACTTTATTTCTATTATTATTATTATTATTATTATATTTTTGAGGTGGAGTCTTGCTCTGTTGCCTAGGCTGCAATGCCATGGCGCGATCTCGGCTCACTGCAATCTCCTCCTTCCGGTTTCAAGCGATTCTCCTGACTCAGCCTCCTGAGTGGCTGGGATTACAGGTGCGCCCCAGCATGCCAGGCTAATTTTTGTATTTTTAGTAGAGATGGGGTTTCACCATGTTGGCCAGGCTGGTTTCAAACTCCTGACCTCAGGTAATCCACCTGCCTCGGCCTCTCAAAGTGCTGGGATTACAGGCGTGAGCCACCATGCCTGGCCTATTTCTTTTATTATTACATTGTAATATATAATGAAATAATTATGCAAGTCACCATAATTTAGAATCAATGGGAGCCCTCAGCTTGTTTTCCTGCAACTAGATGGTCCCATCTGGGGGTAATGGGAGACAGTGACAGATCATCAGGCATTAGATTGTCATAAGGAGCACGCAACTTAGATCCCTCACATGTGCAGTTCATGATAGGGTTTGTGCTCCTTTGAGAATCTAATGCTGCTACTCATCTGACAGGAGGTGGAGCTCAGGTGGTAATGTGAGCAATGGGGAGTGGCTATAAATACAGATGAATCTTTGCTTGCTCATCCACTGCTCACCTCCTGCTGTGGGGTCCAGATTCTAACAGGTCACAGACCAGTGTTAGTCTGTGGCCCAGGGATTGGGGACCCCTGATATATAGGATCTTGACATATGTCTAGATCCTTTTAGATAACCCTGAGTACTGCCATGGCAAGAGTTAGGCTAGCCATTCCCAGACAGCTTCAGCACAGCAGACAACTGTTCAGGATGGACCAGGGAGGAAATGAACCTTCTTATATCCCAATACTGCACATGCCTGTGTAGCAGCATATCAGGAACATCATAAGCTAGAATTATAAAAATTTAGTTGATGAAGCCTCCATTTCTAAGGTTAAATTTAAAGAATTTCACTTGTAATCCTACTACTCAGAAATTACTATCATTGCCCAGCCAACTAAAAAAATTATCTCATATTGACTTGATTTGCTTAAAAAAATCAAATTATTAATGGGTTGGTTGAACATTTTTCTTATATATTGGCCATTTGTATTTCTTTTTAAAAAATTGCCTAGTCATGTTCATTGCTATTTTCTCTCTTATTAATCTTCTCTCTTATTAATTTTAAATAACTATATTAAGTGTATAGTCTGACATCTATGTTGTAGACATCTTTGCTCAGCTATTTGCCTGTTGATTTTGTGTCTGGTGTTATTCTGAAGTTTTTCCATTTTTCCTTGTAAGGCAGACCATTTTCTTTCTGCTTGGCTTGGGGAATCATATCTTTCCCCACTCCCAAACTGCTTACATACTCACATATATATTATTTTATTGTTTCATTTTTACATGTAAATACTTAACTATTGTTTGCTTTGGTGTACGATATGAATAAGGGAGATAGACATAGCCTTTCCCTCAGTTTGGTTAGCCAGTTGTCAATTCTGGCTAACCAATTAGCCAGATTAACCAATTAATCAAATATACCAGCTTTTTACTAGGCTGGTTTTTCATAGTTACCAAATTCTTGCCAGGTGAGGTGGCTCACGCCTGTAATGTCAGCACTTTGGGAGGCTGAGGCAGGAGGATCGCTTGAGTCTGGGCACTATAGGGAGACCCCGTCTCTACAAAAAATAAAAAAAATTAGCCAGGAATGGTGGTGCACACTGGTGGTCCCAGCTACTAAGGAGGTTGAGAGGGTGGCTTGAGCCCAGGAGGCAGAGGCTGGCAGTGAGCCAAGATCACATCACTGCACTCCAGCCTGGGCAACAGAGTGAGACCCTGTCTCAAAAAAAAAAAAAAAAAAAAAAAAAAGAAAAATTCTAATATATGCTTAAGTCTCTTTCTGGACTTTCTATTTTATTTTGTTGATCTTGGATTAGTCTTAGGTTGTTTTTGTTATTTTACAATATATTTATAAGCCTTTATAATATATTTTAATTACAGGTGGGGAATTCTTTCATTGTTGTTTTTTAAGAACATTATCTGTTTGTATGCATTCATTCTTCCAATTGAATGTTAAAATCATTTTGCTAGGCTGCACTTTGATTGGTATTACATTAAATTTACAGAATATTTTGGGTGAAATGACATCTTTACGACACACATCTTTTCATCCAGGTGCATCTCTCTACTTTACTGTGTCTTTGTTTATGCGTCATCACATAGGTCCTGTGTTTCTTCCTAGACAGTTTATGTTCTTGTTGCTATTTCTCATAGTATATTTTCTAAGTGGTTGCTGTAGATATAGGGAAAAACTACTGATTTTTCTTTTTTTTTGAGACAGGGTCTTGCTCTGTCCCCCAGACTGGAGTATGGTGGTGTGATCTCGGCTCACTGTAGCCTCGGCCTCCTGGGCTCAAGTGATCTTCCCACCTTAGCCTCCTGAGAAGCTGGGACTACAGGTGTGTACCACCATGACATTCTAATTTTAAGTTTTCTGTAGAGATGGGATCTCCCTATGTTGCCCGGGCTGGCCTTGAATTCCTGGCTAAAGCAATCCTTCTGCCTCGAAAGTGCAGGGATTAGAGGCATGAGTCACTGTGCCCAGCCTGATTTTGCTTATATTTTAACAACATGAACTCCTAATAGTTTTTAGGACTTTTTTTTTATTGACCCTGACCTCGGGTCTACCCCACAGAGCTGCTTCTCCTCCTTCTCTTCTCATTAAATAGCAGCCCTTCCCACCAGCCTCTCAGACGGAACCTGGGAATCACCTATCACCCCCTCCCCCCTTCATCCCTATATCTACTCCATCAAAGTTGCTGATTCTGCTGTCTTCTGTCTGTTGCATCTGCCACCCCTGTCACCTCTGCCTAGACTGTTGTCAGTGGGCCCCTAACTGGTCTTTTGCTTCCACTCTTGCCCCTGGTCCACCCATTCTCTACATAGTGGATTCATCTCTTAAAAATTGAATCTAATCAGGGGGAGTGGCCTTAACTTGGCCTTCAACACCCTGTAGGAACTGCCTCTGTCTGTCTCATGGGCTACTCCCTCTTCCCTATGCCCTCTTACCATTCTGGCCTTCTGTTCCCTGGATTTGCTTTCTTCTGCCTTAGGGCCTTTGCACAGGCCATTCCCTTTGCTCTCACCACCCCCTTTGTTCACATAGCTCTTCTACTTATCAGAGCGAGAGCGAGAGCTAGAGAGAGAGAGAGAGTCTGTACACACACAAATGTGCTATTTTTAAAATCAAGTTTTGGTAAAAAAAAATTGGGAAGTTTTCCACTTTTATCATATGTTCTATAACAGTTTAAATAAAAATGATTGATTCTTTTAAAATGCCAAGTTCATTGCAACTCTTTAAGGGGAATATACCATGCACCTTTCTCAAATCTACATGACCCCTTGAAGATGGAATACCTGATAACATCTTGCAGAGCTAGTGTTCCATTCACTCATTCAACACATAGTGATTGAGTACCTACTAGGTTTCAGGCACTTGCTCAGACAGTGGTCTCCCTGTGTCTAACTCCAGCAATGATAAAAACAGAAATAGTCCCCATCAAGGCTGCTGGATGCACAATTCTAGTAGGCACCATTCACAGTCTAGTGTATGCCAGGGGTTGGCAAAGTACAGCTCATGGGCCAAATCTAGCATAGCTGCTGTTTTTGCGTGGCCTGAGAGCTTAGAATAATTTTTACATTTTTAAATGGTTGAAAACAAAAGAAAAGTTTTATTGTAATATAGCCACACTCATTTGTTTTTGGATTATCTGTGACTGCTTGGTTGTAACAGAAATGGTATGTCCCACAAAGTCTAAATCATTTGCTATCTGGCTCTTTACAGAATAAAGTCCACCCACCCCTGTGCAATGCGAATGGTGCTCCCAGAATTGTGCAGTGCACAGCTGGTGCAGCTGTAATCTATGGCCTTGTCCCCATTCATATTGAACAGTTAATATAGTGAGAGACCTAGACACAAAAAGAAATCTTTATTTAAGTGTGATGCATGCAACAAAGAGAAGCATAGGGGCTCTGGGACAGCACGACAAGGGGACATAAGCCAATGGCAGCAAGGGATGTGGGGGTGGTCAGGGACATGGCATCCAAGGAAAGACATGAACAAAGAGTAGGACTGCTGTTGGAAGGAGAGTAGGGTAGGAAGAATGTTCCAGCCAGAGAAGTGGCCTGACTGCAGGACATGTTCATTTTGCCTGGTTCCCTCCCTGAGCCCAGAAAGGGGCATGACATACCCAAGGCCAGTCCAAGGCAGATAGGACTGGGCAGGAGCAGGACAGAACCAGGCCCCCTCACTCTTGCCCCCACACCCTGCCTGTTGCATTGCACCAGTCACTCATCATGGGTTCCAGGGCCTGCCCCTCGTCACCCTCCAGCCCATGCAGACAGGATGAATTGATTGTGGCATGCTCCCCTGCTGAACCTCATCATTCCCTCAGCTCAGGGCTCCAGGCAGCCACTGCCAATCAGTCAGCGCAGGAAGCAAGATACAAACCATCTGCCACTGGGACAGGATGCCTCTTGTCATGGGCAACACCTGTGGTTCCCTGCACATGGTGCTGGGCATGGTTTTTATTAAAGGGAAATAGCCCGTCTCTAAGCTTATTGTCTTGGCTGAACAAAGCCTGCTGCAAATGTTTCGTTCAAAGATCTTTTCCCCCCTATTTGAGAAGTACACAATTAACACCCTCCCCAGCTCTGCAACATCCTCAATGAATCTGCCAAGCTGGAGAGAGGCTTCTCTCTTCCCAAGGACCTTTTAAAATGAGCTTCAGTAAATTAAATCATCAAATTAGCACCAGGTTTCTAATGTGGCTGTATATTTCAGCCTAAAAGCAAATCTAGGGGACAGCTACATATGAAAAAGCTTTCCAGCAAGTGAGCTAGCAGCTCCACCGTGGCTTATGACACACAGACCTCTGTGCTGTGGTCTGAGGCAGGGAGAGCAGTGAGGTTCACATCCTGGATCAGCCCCCACAGCGTGGACAGCAAGTGAAAAGGTGGGGCTCACACACAAGGGGGAGTTCTCCAACAGAGGGTGCATGCCCAGACCTGTGCTGTAATGACCCACACTCATTAGCAGTGGGGGCAAGGAAAATGGGTTGCTGGAGAGAATTCCAACCCATTATTTAACAAGGCAGCAGGGGGAAGCTGGGGCCTTACCATGAAACAGATCTAGGTTACAATCCCAGCCTGCCCCCACTCTCTGTGTGCTATTGAGCATTTCCTGCCACCTCTCTGATCCTGGCTCCAGCCTCATGGGTGCCTCTGAGGATCAGAAAGCATGCAGGCCAAGTGCTGGCAGAGAGCCCAGCACAATGCAGGTCCCACAAAGCCCTGCTGTAGTGTGGGAAGTATAGTCCAGAAGCTTCAATCCTGCAAAGTGCTGAGTGGGGGCTGTTTTAAGGTCACAAAAAATAGTTCCTTATGTTTGCAAAAAAGCATAGAGCTTAAGAGAGTGAAGCTTGTGCTGTCCCTAAGTGATCAGGTATAAAGCGAGGATGATCTGGAGGCAGTCATGTTCCAGCTCTTCCTTCCCATCCTGACCCCTGGGGAAGGAAAGATTTCTGGCTTGCACCTGTTTGAGAACAGGGACCAGGGTAGAGGAGAGGAACCAGCCTCGTCAGACTTGCAACCATTGATATAACCACCAGGTCTTCTCACTTAATCTAGGAAGACAATAGAGTAAATTACATTGACTGATTTTCAATGTTGAACCAGCCTTGCATTCCTGGGATGGATCCTGCTTGATCAGGATGTATTACTCTTTTTATATATTGCTAGATTCACTTTGCTATTTTGTATATATGCACATGAGGGATATTGGGCTGTAGTTTTCTTGTGATGTATTTGGTTGTGATATAAGGGTAATGCTGACTTTGTAAAATGAGTCAGAAGTGTTCCTTCCATGTTATATTTGATTTTGATTTCTTGCAGGGTGCATTATTATGGAGCACCTGGGCTACGCTGGGCTCTGTGCTAAACACTTTACACCAAGTCTCTTCTTTGATCCTTCAGTGCCTGTAAGAGGCAGGTACCATTCCTGGGGAAGCCTTTTCTGATGACCTCTAGAGTCCATATTCTAGAGGTCTTGAGAATTCACCAGGCTGCTGCTATTTTTTCCTGGGATCAATAAGATTGCTAAAGTAGGCAACAGTTGGCCTTGGACCCATTGTAAAGAAGGTGAAATGGGCAGCATCCTTGGGATGAAGAAGTGGCTACCTGGGGAGATGGGGATGGGTAAGGGAGCTTCTCAGGCTGAAGCCTGTGGAGGATGCCACTCATCTTTGTTCTAGGCAGGCATGCACACTGCCCAGGAGGCCCTGAAAGCATCACAGTCATAGTGTCACTATTCAGAGCTGGAGGATCTTAAAGGGCATCTAATTCAACTTCTAAACCTCTTTGATGTTTCTGACAAAGGGTTACTCTTCTGAATTCTTAGTGTGATAGGGAGCTCATTACTCTTCCGAACTTTTGCCTCTGGGTCCACCAGCCTTCAGTTATCCAGCCCCCTACAAGGCACCAGGGAAGTGCACTCAGATGCACATTTGCCTCTGCTGGCAGGATGCAAACATGTGCTGGGCAGTCATGCCTGCTCAGGCCCTGGAATCCCTCCATGCTCACTTAGCCTGTCTACCAGCCTCCCATACTCCACTCTCCCCAAGGAGTGCCCCTCCACATGGCAGAGGGGCTGAGTTTCCTGCGACAGACCTGACCATGACATTCTCTGCCTGAAATGTGTGATGGCTCCTTCTTGCCTCCAGAATCAAGTCCCACTCTCATCTTTGGGCCTTTGCACATGCTGTTCTCTCTATCTGGAAAGTTCTTTCCTCCTCCTCCTCCTCCTGTAAACTCTCTCATGTCCTTAAAGACTAAGCTCAGACACCACCTCCTCCAGGGAGCCTCTTTGGTGGTTCTCACCACATTTCATGGTAAACATCTGCTGGATCATTTGACCTGATGGTGGGGTTTGCATGGCTCACTCTGTATATGTGAACCCAGCACGCAGGGAGGCACTCTGTGTTGCTTGTCTGTTGAATGAGTGAGTGGATGAGTGTCCTTGCCTTTGGTGGGGCTGCTGGCTACCAACCCATTCCTTCCATCCCTAATCATTGCTGGGGCCCAACCCTATGGACTGCCTTGTATTGACAACAGAAAGGGAAAAACAGATTTAGGTAAATCTTTCCAGTTGCCCTGCTGAAGGATTCCTGGGTCTATCTTGAGGTCTATCGTGTTTCTTTTTGAGGTCATTGTTGAAAATATCAGCTTCATGAGAAGGCAAAATCCCCCTTTCCTCTTTCTCATTTGTTCTCCATTAAAGGTATCTGACCTGATCCATTCAGTTCTTTGAAGATAAAAATATAAAACCATGTTGTGATTTTTTTTTCTGAACAACTTTTGAACAAATGCTGTGAGCTGGCATGAATATTCTCTACCAAAGATTCCAGGTCAAAAGAATTCTATTTCAGATGAATCAATGAAGTATAATAAAATTACGAAAAGGTAACAAACACAAAAGGACACCTCTTAGTGATGATGATAAATGGTCACCAAAAGTTTGCAATGGTGGCCTAAAATGCAAAAAAAGCACAAACAACATAGAACTACACTACTGCCTCCTGAAGTAAACCTCAAATAAGGAGTCATGGTGGAGATAAACACAGACAGCCACCTCTGTTTATCTCAAGCCTCCCATTTTGGTGCCATCTGGGACCAGTAGCATCAGCAGCACCTGCAAGCTTGTTGGAAATGCAGTCCCCTGGGCTCCACCCAGACCTACAGATGGGCTTGTGTTTGAGAATATGTGAAGTCAGCTGAGCTATCCAGGGTTTGCTCAGCAAGGAACACGTTCTTCACATTTTTCATTCAAATTCCAGGTCACTGAATCTAAACAACCCACTTTCTGGGTTAAATGTTACCTGATTTCACACACACCTAATTCTCTTTTTTGTTGTTGTTTTAGTCAATGCATAAAAGCATTTATTGAATGTCTAAGAACTGTGATCAACATGTCTATTAAAAAGCAGCCTTGTGGGGCCCTGTGATTTGGTCTCGAAAGGTCTCATGAGGCCAAAAGCTATTTTCCTCCTCCTGCCTGCTTCTCTCTCTTTCCTTCTCTCTCTGTCCCCCATATTCTGATGGCTTGCCCACATCTATGGTGTCAACCTGTCCCACCCCAGTGACTTTCAGTTTCTTCAGCCCAATCTCTCACCTGAGCCTCAGACTCATGTCTGACTCACAACCTCATACATCCCCACGCTGGGGTGTTCCACAGTCCCCTCAAACTCAGCACATCACACTGTTAGGGAAAGGGGGAAGAGAAGGACACAGGGAAGGTGGCCCTGGGTCCCAAATATTCATGCAGAGGGCTTGGAGAAAAGGCTGGTTGAGATTAGTGAAAGGACTGAATGCTGAATATTTGAAAAGAAATGTAGTTGAATGATAGGGGAACATAATGATTTACTTGAATTCTTAGATGACATTCCATTGTAAATAGCATGCTGTTTTGTTGCTTTTATCTAGTTTATACAATTTTATCACCAACCAGAAAGCTCATTTAAACCATTTCCTTTTAAAAAGAAGTTGACAGCAGAAGAGCAGCCGTCAGCACAGCCTTCTGAAGAACCACAAGCCCCATATTAATGCCAGGGTCACCATCTGGGAGAAGTGACTTCTTTGTAAGACATGTGGGTAGCGTGGTCCACAGCAGAACTCTAAGGCACCTGAGAATTCTAAGTTTCAACCTGGCCTCCAGGTCATTATGATGGTATCAAGGTCAAAGAATAAGGTACTTTAGTTTACGTTTTGTAGCTTGATTTATAACTCTTAAACATTTAAACCAGGGTTCCTTAACCGTGGCACTACTGACATTGTAGTTGGAATAATTCTTTGTTGATGGGGAACTGTCCTGCATATTGTAGGATATTTAGCAGCACCTCTGGCCTCTACCCATTAGATGCCAACAGCAACCTCCCTCAAGTGGTGACAATCAACAATGTTTCCAAACATTCCTAAGTGTTCCCCACGGAGCAAAACTGCCCCAGTTGAGGCCCACTGGTTTGGACCTATACTTTGTGAGCCTACATTTGTGCCCCTGCCCCAGACCCCACAATTATTGGGGTTGGTGGTTTCTAGCCACGTGATCTTGGGCACTTCTGTCCTCTCTGGGCCTCATCTGCACTCGGTGGGAACCACGTGAGAGAGTGTGTCAAAGCTTAGCTGCGGCCAATGCTCACTAGTCTCCTTCCTGCCTTGGCCAACCTTTAGGGGTGCTCACCTGTTCAGGAAGATGCTGCTGACGTCGTCGTGTGTGATGGGAGGCTTCTTGGAGCTGGCGGCCATCCGCAGCGGGCGCAGGAAATTGTTGACAAGGATGTGCAGCTGCTGCACGTACTCAGCCTCAGCCTCCAGCATGCTGAACACCACCTGGTTCCTCTTGCGCATGCTGTCAGCATGGGGTGACCGGATGTAGTCCTGGATGATGGTCTTCCACTTCCGCCGGCACAGCCAGCCCCGCAGGAAGCTCTGCACCTGAGCAGCAAGACCGGTGGGGAGAGGCTCCTGTCAGGGAGTCTGGACCACTCCTGTCCTTCCAGGCTGTGAGCTCCCCAAGGGTAGGAACCAAGGCTTTGTTATTCCTACGCCGGGCATGTAGCAAAAAGAGCTCAGATGTAGACCAGGCATAGCTCTGTTGCCCACATGATACAGGGCAAGTTGTTTGGTTGCCCTGAGTCAGTTTTCCCATCTGTAAAATGGGGCTAAAGAGATGATGGCTAGACTGAAAGTGTGGTCCACAAATTGGATCGGCATCTCTGAAGAGCTTATTGGAAATGCAGATTCTCAAGCCCCACCCCAGACCTCTGCAGTTTAACAAGACCCCTGGGTTGCTTTGGAAGCATTCGCTGGAGGAGGAAAAATGTGGCTCTATGTCTCCATAATGGGAGGTCGCCCGAGGATAAAGGGTTGCAGGGCCTTGCTGGGCACAGCTCATGCCTTGTCTTGTCTAATGACTTGCCTGAGAGCCCAGAAGTTTAAATTAAAGCTCTTTTGGATAGAAGGGTGATTATCAAATTGAACGGAACATGGAAAATTAGTTAATCTCATACTTAGCCCTCATCAGCGGCTTCTGAGTCCTAGTGCCTGCCTGGAGCCTCTCCTCCTGACTCAGTAGGGAAATGAACAGAGACACTTAACTCAGTTGCCTTGGAGCTGGGCTGCTTGGAGTGGCCTCATGTTGGCAAGAACTTGGGAAAGGGCCTTGATTGACACACACACACAGAGTTGTTTTAAGCTGTACAGGCTTCCAATCAAGGGGCCTCTGAGCTGTGTGCAAGCTCACGGTCCACACTGGGAGGAAGGGTACTGGGATCAGGCAGAGGTGCTCATACAGTATTCTTCACTGAAAGGACCGCTGTCTCCAAACAGCAGGTACAGTTGTCCAGGGGCAGACCTGCTGGCTAGAGATGGGTGCCGTAGACAGAAGAGGCCTGCCCGAGGCCCAAGAGCTATCTCTGAAGATAGGAAGGGCTTTCTCAAAGAGGGAGGGGCTTACTCTGAGGCTCCAGGAGGGTGAAAATAGAGCGATGGGAGGTGGATTTCAGCTAGCCTTTAACAAAATGTTCCAACCAGAATGCTCCAAATACAGGGGTGAGCTGGGAAGCTCACTGGGGCTGTAGTAGAGAACACCGGTCAGGGCGTCTCTGCCCAGGTGGGACTTGACTCAGACCTGGGTGGCAAGTCCCAATGCCTGTGGGGCCCTGGCAGTTCCTAGAGGTGCGTGAGGCTAGCTGGGGGTGGGGGATGTCATAAGGTGGCACCTCTTGCCTGGGCTGGCTGCTGTTATGTGCAGGAGGTGGCCTGGGGCTGCTGGGCCTTCTGCTTTTTAAGGAGATGTTGTGTCCCGGCAGCATAGCCTCTGGAGCTTGGCCGCCAGGGTTTGAATGTTACTCTGTAAATACTTAGCTGTGTGACCTTGGGCAAGTTCCTTTGCCTCTCTGTGTCTCAGCTTCCCCATATGTAAAATGAAAATAATAAATAAACCTCAGAGGATTTTAGTGAGGATAGAATTAATCTGCATAAAGCTCTTAAAATAATGTCTGGCACATAAAAAGTAGTTAATTAATGTTAGCTATTTCTATTCTTGAGAAACCAGAAATCCAGATTTTTGTGTGATGTGTTTAGCTTTTAAAGCACTGGCAACAAATTTTTAAAAATGTAAACCAAAAAAAGCCCACTGTGTGGGATGAAAATCTCAAAATCTCAAACACACTGGTACGCTGAACTTGGCCCATGGGATGCCAGTTTGCAGTTTCTAGGGATGGCGTTGGGGTCCTTTCATGCACTCAACAAATAGGATTCCGTGGTTTCACCTGTTTTTCTTAGGGTGAGTCAGGCTCCCCTGTCTTGAGTCTGGCAAGCTACAAACACAGCCCACGCTCCTTCCCTCTGCCACACCACCACAGGGTGGCCCATGGTATGTCACTACCTGGCCACTGGGCAGATCCTTGGTAGCTTCTGAGATGTCTGTCCCTCCTGAACTCTAATAGGGTAAAAGCAGTGAGGTCTGAAAAAGGCTGGACTACCGTGCTGGGTCTGCTGGGGACTCAGGAGGTACTTGTGAGAGGTGGCGTGTACATGGCAGTGGGGGTGGCATGCCAGGGAGTGGCAGTGGAGAGGTGGCCCTGGGGGTCTTGGCAAGGTGAATGGCAATGCGAGGAAAGCAGTCAGCTGAGAGTCCCAGGCCTGGGTTTCTGTCCTGGCTTTCCCCACTCCTTCCTCTTGTGGAACCTGTTTTCTTATCTATAAAATGGGCTGAAGCACTCTGCCCCATAGGGACAACCAGAAGAAATGACTTGACAGGGTACCCTTCAGGGATAAGGGAGTGTGGGCTCTGTCTTTGGAGCTGAGGTTGGGGGATGGGGGGCACGCTCTGAGGACAGTGGGGCTGTGGTGTGGATACTGCCAACCCTGGGCTGGCTCTCTAAAGAGAGAGCTCCAAAGAAGGCCACCCAGAGGGATAGCACTGACCTTCTTAATTTTCTTGATGTCGCTGTCTTCATCGTTGGGGGCGACAGTCTGGGTGGACTGGATGCGCTCATTGTCCTTGAGCAGGGATGTGATCTGCAACAGCAACACAGGTCAGCCTGTGAGGGGCGCTGGCTCACAGAGGCCCCAGGTCTTTGGCCGGTGGGTGGCAGGAACAGGGTGGCAGCCGAGTGCCCTGCCTCTTCTTCCCCAAGAGCCATGATGCCACAGCTTGTGATTCTGACTCTGTGCATCCAGGTCATGGAACCAGACAGGCCCCAGACATCTGTGAGAAGCGCTGCACGGGGGATGGGTAGACACCTGGGTTCCAGGCCAGCTGGGCTGCCCAACCAGAGTGACCTTGGACGAAGCCCTTCTGCTCTCGGGGCTGTAGCCACCTCATTTGTAATCTCAGAATTTGGCCTAAATCTGTGGTTCTCCTCCCTACTCCCCAAACAACCGGTCCCTTTTTTTAAAAATAATTTTTGCTGTGATAAAACACATGTAACATATTAAAATTTACCATTTTAACAATTTTTAAGGGTATGGTTCAGTGGCATTAAGGACATTCACATTGTTGTGCAACCATCACCACCATTTACCTCCAGAACTCTTCATTTTGTAAAACTGAAACTCTGTACTCATCAAACAATAACTCTCCATTCCCCTTCCTCCCAGTCCCTGGCAACCACATTCCACCTTCTATGCCTCTGAATTGGACTCCTCTAGGTACCTCATCTAAGCGGAATCATGCACTATTTGTCTTTCTGTGACCGGCTTATTTCATGGTGCATAATGTCCTCAAGTTTCTTCCATGTTGCAGCGTGGGTCAATTTCCTTCCCTTTCAAGGCCAAGCAATATTCCCTTGTGTGTGTAGACCACATTTTATTTATCCATTCCCCCTTTGATGGGCATCTAGGTAATCCCTTTATTTTTCAAACAAAATTGTATCTGGATATAAATCAGATAGAGCAGGTGGCTCCGGGTGAAGTCCTGCTGGCTTGGCGCTTTCCTTCCTGGGCAGCCCCAAAGCACCTCTTAGAATCAGAGGCCTATTTCAATCATAACCTGGAAACTGCTGGCCTAGAAAAGTGGAGCAGCTCTTCAAATATCTAGCTGCTCTAAACATCTCCATTTGCATAATTTGGGGATCACAGATGTCGACATAGCTGCAAGAACAAAACCAAGGCATGGTGCCTAGGAGAAGGTACACCTTAAGCTGCACTGTGGCCAGGGGCCTCTGGGACTCATCCCATAGACAGGCCAGTGGTGTATCCTCCTGCGCAGGGCTCGTCCAACCACTCCAATTCTGTGAGTCCTTGTTTTGTGTCCTGTAGCAGGGTTCCCACAGCACCATGGACTTTCCTGTGAAAATGCTGGAATTGCTTGTCTACTCTTCTATCTTTGCCGTGAGCTCTAAGGGAGAAGGGATTGCAGCTGTTTCATTTATTGTGCTCCTGGTGCCTAGCGCAAGGTTGGGCACTCAACACATTCTTGTTGTCTACACAAATAAGTGAATTAAAAAAAATCAGAGCAACAGCAGCAACAAAAACATTAACCAAGGGAAAACACTGCAGTAATGAAGCCCCACATGTCTAAAGATAGTAGCTCAGGGGATTCTACGAACAAAGCCGCAAAGCCCAGTGCTGTTCTCTCTTGGGAACACATGGCTTTTGTCCCCTCAAGGCCACTTGCTGAACCACAGGATGAATGGGCGCTCATAATTGAGTGAATCAAGCACTTTGAAAGCAAAATGGAACAGTTACCCGCTCTCCACTCCCTGGTTGCTAAAATTACCGCAGCCTGTGATTGAAGAGTGGCTGAAAATATCTAACTGAGAAATAGTCAGTGTGGAGATGGGCTTTTCTCCCCACCCCCTCCCCCTTTTCGATCCTTTGAGAACATTTGCACATTGAAATGATGACTGATTCTTTGATCTGGACTCTAAAGGGCTAAGGAACACGCAAGCGTACACACACACACACCGCCTTTGGAGCCTGTTCAGTCAACACTTTTACCTTCGGCTTCTTCTCACCTCTGTGCCAGGATGCTTTCTTTGCCAGTTTTGGGATTTGCACATAGCACCCCTTTTCACTTTAGGATGGTGATATGTGTGTGTATGTGTGCTGGGCTTGGGGAAGTGGTCTGTGTTTAAAACTGATGGTGCTCTTCTCAGAGAGAGGCATTCCGGGACATCTACTCAACAGGGACTAGGGCAGAAAATAGATGCAATTAGGTCAGGCACCATCCTACATGCGCAGGCAACAAAAACTTTGGAGGCTTTATTTAAGGATCAAGCTAAGTGGGCAAAGCTCTGGAGGGTTGCAAGCCTGGGGACTGCAAAAGTCTTGAACTATGTCTAGTCTTGGCCCATTGCAACTAGGAGCCAATATCGGGATGGTGGTGGGAGCCCCAGGCCTAAAGGGCTCATGGAGGGCTCATGGAGGCAGCCTTTCCCTGACACTGGCAGGTGCCTCCTGGAAGTAGATTTTGCTTTGCACCCTGCTTTGTTTGGTTACATCCTGCCCCTACTTAGTTGACCCTCGTGAATTACAGCCATGGGGAACTGGACCTCTGGCTCACACCCTGACTCTGGCTGGCCGACTCCACACCTGGCTCCATGCCTGGTGTCTTGGCTGGCTCCTGCCCACCCACCACCCTCAGACTGGCTTTCTTTGCCCCCTAGAGGCAAACTGTCACTTGCTACACCTGCTTTGGGCACGGTGCAATGGCTCCTGCTCCACCCTACTCCCCTCTCTGGAGACACTTTCTTTAACCTGGAATGTGTTTAGTCAGTGCAGTAATGGGTGATGGAATTAATCCAGATCTTTTTCTCTTTGTTAGCAGCCAATGGTTTACTAAAGATTGCTGCATTGCTTGCTTTTCAAGCAGGTGCCACACAGCTCAGCTCTCTCTCCTGCCTCCCTGCTTCCCTCTGCCCCCATCCAAGCCCAACAGGTGCCCCCCATCTCTGTTTCCCTTTGTGCCAACCTTATCAGCATGCTCTGATGGTGTCTGTGTTGAGCACCATGCCAAGTGCCCCTTCCTTGGAGGAGCTCCCAGCCTAAGAAGGAGGTCAGGCATTCATAGAGGTGGCTTGCAATCCAACAAGGCCAGGCCAGAACAGAGCTGTGTACCCACTGCCATGGGAGAGCCTTGGCCAGGAAGTGGCAAGGCTCCCCAGGAAAGGTTTTGAAGGGCAAACAGGAGTCCAACAGTTGGTATATGTGGGGGAAGGAATTCAAATAGAAGGAATGATATGAACAAAGGCATGGGTGTGATAGAGTGTTGTGTGCCAGGGCAGCAGGTCTTGGGAATGGGGGATGGCAGGAGAGATGGGGAGCAGGGCCACAGCAGGGAGGGTGGCCATGGAGAGGGGGTGCTGGTGGGGAAGGACCAAGGCCACCCTCCCCTCCTTTCCCCAGAGCAGTCTTCTATCTATTTTGTATATTGGGGTTCCACATCAAAGTGTGTTTGCAAAACTGATTCTAGGCCAGTTGCAATGGCTCACACTTGTAATCCCAGGACTTTGGGAGGCTGAGGCAGGTGATCACCTGAGGTCTGGAGTTTGAGACCAGCCTGGCCAACATGGTGAAACCCCATCTTACTAATAACACAAAAATTAGCTGGGTGTGGTGGCGCACACCTGTAATACCAGCTAGTTGGGAGGCTGAGGCAGGAGAATTGCTTGAACCTGGGAGGCAGAGGTTGCAGTGAGCCGAGATTGTGCCATTGCGCTCCAGCCTGGGCGACAAGATCGAAAAAAAAAGAAAAACCAACCCAAAACTGATTCCAAGGCTAAGTCTTCATTTTGAACCTTAGGGTAAAGATCTCTGCAGTTCCCTCCACTGTCAGCCTTCTAGGATATGTGTGTTCCCGTTCCAATAAAATATTACAGCCACCTGCAAACTCCTATGCTGCCCTTTAGGGCCTGTCTTAGCTCTCCAAATTTACTTCCAATTGCAAATGGGAGAGAAATAGCTATTAAGAAAATGAAATCATGCCAAACTGAGCATTCTAGAGGAGGGGAGGAGTCTTCTCATAGGTAGATGTTCCCTTGTTTTAGATGGTTCCTTCATGGGGCTTTCTGGTAATGAAAGAGAAGTCCTGATAGGATTGTTTAGAAGGGAGAGAAGAGACTAAGTCAGCAGTGGATTGATTGTTTTACTTAGTAAAGTTACACGTGTGTCGGCATGATCTCCTGTTAACAGAGATGGCTGGGGTGGGTGCCACAGGATGGAGGGCACAGAGGGAGAAGAGACGGGCTGGCTTCATGGATGTGTGGCCTGCGCACTCGCACAGAGCCCCAGGCTTACAAGGGCCCAATGGTTGGTTTAAGCTTCTGCAGTTGCTGTCTCGAAGTTTTTAAAGGCCTCACATTTTCTTTTGTGCTTAGCCCTGCAAATTACAGAGCTGGTCATGAAAAAAGTTGCAGACAATGATATGATGGTACATTATAAACAGTAAAGCTCTCTGAAAGGAAAACTGACTTGTAGCATTTGCCAATTCCCATGATGTCAGCCCATTTCTAGCTCAGCCCATTTCAAGCTACCAAAGGTCAAATACCCAGCTAGCGAAATTCTTGAAAATCTAACAGTTGGCTCTTGCAAGCTGGCATGATAGAGTGTTGTGCAGATGGCCAATGGCCAATGGTAGAAGCAGGCTCTGGCACATCACTGGATGCAGGGGGAAGATCTTGGTAGGGAAAGAGGTTATGGACAACAACAAAAGTGGCACGTGGGAGTGTGAGGAGAGAAGTCAGTGTTTAAAGGGGAGGTTGGTGAAGGATGGTTGTGGCAGGAAAGGCTGAGTGACATGAGGGCAGAGGTGTTTTCTATTCATTTTTGAGCTGTTTTCTGTTTTAATAGTGGAGTGCCCCTCCATTCTGTTACATACAACAGCCTGTGTCGTGGGTTGTAGGGACTGAAGGAGGAGCCTCCTCTGAGTCGTTGTTGGGACTTTTGCAGATACTCTGGTTCTCTCTCTTCTTGGAAATGGTGGGATTGTATTTCCCAGATCCTCTGAAGTTGGGCACAGTCACGTGACTTGCTTTGTCCAATGTGATGTGAGCAGTGTGCCATGTGCCTTTCCCCAGCCCAGCCATATGACTGGTGAATTTCTTGATGGCAGAAGCCTCCTTGGCTTGTGTCTCAATCACTGGAGGATTTTGGGGAGCAGAGTCTTCAGCAGAACTCTCAATGGACACACAGAGTCAGTAATCAACCTCTGTTGTTTTAAGACATTCAGATTTGGAGGGTGTTACTGCAGCATAATCTAGCCTATTCTGACAGATACAGGTAGTGACCACACAAGGGGAAAGCAGCAGTGAAGACTGAGTGGAGGAAGCCATGAGAAGTGCAGTGATAGATCAGGAGAGTGGAGTTTGAAAGCAAGAGGTGGCCAGGGAAACCCCTGGGAATCCTCAGGAATATGTGGGATGGGGCCTGAGGAAGCTTATTTGGCCATCAGAAGAGAGGTGGACTATGAGAGTGTAGGGCCATCCAGGCAACACTGTCATTCCTGAATATGTACTCTGTTATCAAGGTCCTCTCCTCAGCAGGGAGGAGAAGGCTGTGGTGGGGCAGGCTCAGGCCAAGGATTTCAGCCAGGAGATCCAGTGGTGGAGGCGAGAGACTTTGGGTAAGTCGCTTCCTCCCCATGGATCTTGGTGTCTTCAGAGTCCTGCTGGCTCCAATAGTCTAAGACCCTGGGCCTTCCTCACTGGTGGCACTCATCACTCACATGGCTTTTCAGTGTGTCCTGCCCACCTGGTGGCCACTCCTCAAGAATGAGCTCTGTTTCCATTCTCCTAGAGCCCACTCAGAGCCAGCAACTACCCTCTGACCTGCAGGACGTGTTTGTGCATATGTGTATGTGTGTGTGTATATCAGGGGGACAGAGAGAGAAACAGAGAGAGAGAGAGACAGAGAGAGACCAAGAGAGACACTATGGCCAGAAAGCTTTCCCAAGATGGTCCTTCTTTCAAAGTCTTCTTTAAAAATATCTTGCCCTAATACACTCAATTGGAAGCATTGCTCCGAAAATTCCCATCAAATGGGTCTCTGCTGCCATTTTGAGACACACACACACACACACACACTCTCTCACTCAGTCATGACTGACCTGCTTTCTGCTCCCCAACACCACAGGGGGCTCTGCCCTTTGCACCTACACCCCTTCTCTGACCTACAATGCCCTGACACCATTTAAGGCCACGTGCAACATAAACCCACACCTCCCAGGCTATCAAACAACCAATTTCCTGACTTGGGTTCACAGCGCAAGCCCTACTATGGCACTGAAGACACTCTACCACAATCAGACCCAAAGGCAGAAACTGTCATCTCTTTAATGCTTCCCACCGAGCCTGACAACCGTCCACTCATCAAGCCCTTGCTGAGTACCTACTGTGTGCCAGGCCAAAAGAAGGAGTGATAAGCGACACAGCCCGTCCTTATGGAGTTCCTGCCAGGCCTGTTGGGGTGACAGGCACACATGGAGCCTGCTCTCACATGGTGAGCTGAGTGTGGGAAAGCCATGGGAGCAGACAGCAGGGAGCACCCTCTGAGGCAGGGGTCCCCCAGGGTGAGGCGTTTGAGCTTGGTAGGATGTCACCAGGTAGGATGCGTGGGGATGAAAAGGGCATTCCAAACAGAAGCACCAGCATGTGCAAAGGCCAGGAGGCGGATAGTGCACTGGTGCCCACAGTGACTGAAGAGGTGGTGCTTGGGGAAAAGGATGAGGTCAGTGGTAGGTGATCTTCAGTGAGTGAGTAAGTGAATGAATGAATGACACTTGGACACTCTTGATCATGAAGCTAATAATCTGGTACTGGGGCTGGACTCCTTCCCTGATCCCATACAGGAGTTCAGTTTAGATTTAGCAATCTGTGTTGGGCGAGGATTGATCCCAGAATGAACTGGGTGGGCCGGAGTGGGGACATCCCTGAACTGAGCTCTGGTAGCCCTGTGGGAAGAGGCTACCAGAGTAGAGTGGAAAGACTGGCAAGCAGACAGGAGACCTGGGTTCCAGTCTCAGCTCTGCCACTTCCCAGCTGTGTGAGCTTGGGCAAGTGACTTGGGCTCTCTGAGTCTGGTTTCTCCTGTGAAATGCAGGTGACTGATCCTATCAGGATGGTTGTGGGGAATGAAAGTATGTCGTGAAGGTGCCTGTTATCAGGCTAGCAGAGATGTGTAGAATCTGGAATTTTTGTTGACCTTGAGGTTGCAAGTTGATATTACTCTTAGTTCAGGGCTTGGCTGCTGCGGAACAAGGTGAAATTGTTGGCTTTAGATCTTTGAACATTCCAGGCAGAGCTGGATTCGCAGGTGTGATGGGGCCCTATGCTCAGAAGGCTCTGCATTCGGGACTTTAAGCTCTTTTGTTGAAATTCTTAAGATAGTTTTCTCTTTGAATTGTGTTTAGTGAGTGGAATTTGATGGGACCATGAGCACACTGCAGGTTCTTGGAGCCTTGGTTCATGCATGTTCCTACCTCCCACCGCTTTTTCAGCTCCTTGGATGGGTCCTTGGCTGCTTATTCCCCACACTCTGGCATCCCAGACCCCAAGACCTCTGCTACCATCTGCTCAGGGAGCAACCGGTTGAGTCAGCTGAGGAGACTCACAGTCCACCATCACCCCCAACCCTCAGCAGATGCCTGGGCATAGGTGCAGGCTGGGGTCCAGTGTGCGCCCCATGGTGTCGCAGGGCAAGGCGACAGCCATCCCTGCTGCAGGCTGGCAGTGCCAGGGTGCATTACGTGGGTGACTCAGAAGGAGCTCCTTGCCCACCCCAGTCCAGCTACTGCGCACTTCCTGGCAGTCAGGGCAGGGGAGGCTACAGGTTGAGGTTGGGTGCTGCCTGTCTGCCATGAGTCAAGTCAGGAGGCTGTGGGACAGGAGAATGACTTCCCTGGCCTGGGCCTTGCATTTTCACCTCACATCAGACCCTGCAAATTAGATACCCAGCTGACTTCAGGAGTCTTTGTTTTCATTTTCCCCTCCTCAGTGCAAAATCTGTGGTCCTTGTATGATATGGCCAGATGGTTCTGAGCATGCTGGTGAGGTGATAAGGGGAAGAGATGATCAGATCATTCTGTGCCAGGGTTGATAGCTGGTGAGGGGCATCTAAGGGACTAAGAGCTAGTGCTTCCTAAGGTTTAATGTAAATGGAATCACCTGGGCTGTTAAACTGTAGATTCCAATTCAGAAGATCTGGGGTGGGGCCTGAGATTCTGCTCCAGGTGAAACCAATGCTGCTGCTTCATGGACCACACTTGGGGAAGCCAGGTGCAAAGAGGCTTAGTCTGGCAACAATGCCGCCTCCAGAATGCTGGCTGGTGGGCCGCTGCAGGAGCTTTCATCAAGATGGATGGAGGGAAGGGGCTGCCTTGGAGTTGAGCAGAAGCCCACACTCTAATGACCTACCAGTGACCCTGCGCTCTCCAGAGTCTTGGGCTAATAATGCAGAATGCTCAGTCAATACAGTGGCTGACACAGTAACTAGGAGCTTGCCCGTAGATAATCTCACTCAATCCTCACGACCTGGTCAGGTGTTTATAGAAAGCCCTGTTTTACAGCTGCAGAAACTGAGGCACAGGCACATTGAGGGACTTGTTCCAGGTTGCAGTCAATAAGTGACAGAGGTGAGATTTAAACCCAGTCTGACCACAGGACCTTCTCATTCTGCCAGTACCACCACGTCCTAAGTTTGGAGTCTGGAAGAACTGCATCTGGGAGCTGCTTTCCCTGCCTGTCATGTGGCTCCCCAATCCTGCAGGAGCCCAGGGTTTGAGATGTTGTGCCTAGGGCCTGGGCCCACCCCCCAGCCCGCAGTCACCTCTGCCTTCAGCCGCTCGATCTCGATCTCCCCATCCTCGATCTGCTGCCGAAGCTGCTTGGCCACGGTCTTCTCTGTCTCCACGATCTGCAGCAGGTGCAGGTATTTCTGCATTAATGCCTCATGCTCTGTGGCGAGGGTCCTGTAGCTGTGGACAGATGGACATGGCAGGTAAGATGCTGACTCCTTGTCCTCTGGCGAACCAAGCAGGGCACTGACCGGGAGAGGGGCTCACCCACCCACCTGCACTTAGCAGAAGGCCCTGACTCCCAGCACCCTGCAGAGTGAGAGGGCTTGGCAGGGTAGAGGTGGGGGCAGTCCAGGCAGGGAGAGAGCTGGAGCAAGGCGGGGCGGTGGGCCCGAGTGCGAGCCTGATCCAGAAAGCACATCTGTGTTCTTGTTCCCACCCACTTTTAAAGATAAATAACAGGGCTAGAAGAGAGAATCCTTTAGTTTATAATGCTATCCTATTAAAGTATAATAAGATTTTGTGCTTCTGTGATGAAAATGAATATCAGGTTTTTAAGTTTTTCCAACTTCTCAAGAGACTTGTTTTTCCTTGTAAAGGAAATTCAGTTGAGAGCATGAAGGAGTCTGTTTTTGTACCACCACAACTCCCCTCACCCCATGGGTGTGAAAATTCAGCTGCTTCGTTAGTCTCTTCTTACTAATGGACCCCGTCAGAGTGCTGTAAAATAGGCGTCCGCCTCATCTGCAGGCTGCTCTGCTAACCTCCCTCCCTCCTTCTGTCCCTCTTCCAACCCTCCCTCCATCCTCCTCTCCTTTCCTTTCCTCTCCTTCCTCCTTTCTTTTCCCTTCCCTATCCTTCCCTTCCCTTCCCTATCCTTCCCTTCCCTTTCCTTCCCTATCTTTCCCTTCCCTTCCCTATCCTTCCCTTCCCTTCCCTTCCCTTCCCTATCCTTCCCTTCCCTTCCCTTCCCTATCCTTCCCTTCCCTTCCCTATCCTTCCCTTCCCTTCCCTATCCTTCCCTTCCCTTCCCTATCCTTCCCTTCCTTTCCCTATCCTTCCCTTCCCAATCCTTCCCTTCCCTTCCCTTCCCTTCCCTTCCCTTCCCTTCCCTTCCCTTCCCTATCCTCCCTTATCCTTCCCTATCCTTCTATCCCCCCTCGTGCAGGTGCAATCTTTACAGACTCACAGACTCTCAGAGTGAGAAGGGAACTTGGGGATCACAAAAGACCAATTATCTCATTTCACAAATGAAGAAACTGAGGTCCAAATCACAGTCCATGAGCGTCAAAGCTGGAGCTAGAGTCGGGCTCCAGCCCCTGACCATGCATTTGTGCCCCCTTTAGTGGTTTTGTCTTCTGGTTTGGTATACAGTTCTCTCCCCTGAAACGTACACTGTAAAATGCACTTGATGTTGCATTTTATACCTTGCTGTATATAAACACACACCCCCCACAGAGGCATCCCATAATACCAGAATATTATACATACAGCGCGAGAGAACATTGTGTCTCTACATGATATTAATACACTCCAGTGCCTTTTTTCGTACATAGGAAGTATCTATTATGTATATGTAAATAAAAACTAAATTGGGAATATGTAAAAATACTTAATACTCAATATGGCTGTGGAAGACAGCCAGTGTCTCCACTGATACACTCACACACACACACACACAGACACACAGACACACACACACACACACACACACACACACACACACACACGGTGTCTGAGGTTCAGTGATGCTTACAGTTATAGTGTCCGCCTCTGGTCTTATGGCCAACTCCCTAGATAGTAGATAAGTGGTACAATGATAGCTCCTATTGTCCCAAGCACTGCTCAACAAGCCTCAGCTCAGCCAGGATGGCTGATGATGATGTTGACTATTCTAAGGAAGGTGCCTCGATTTCCCTTTCTGCGACCATCACTGTATCACTCCCCACCCCCCAGGTTGAATGGGAGACATTCCTGGGAGGCCAGTGGGCTGACCCAGACCCCAGGGCTTGACAAAGGAAGAAGGCAAACAATCAGCATGTCCCATCATTCCACCATTGTCCCATTGACACGTGCTGCTGGCTTCCAAAAGGATGATGCATATGGAGAGGTTTTTGTTCACAGGTAGGTGGTATTGATCACCAGCTGCTCCTTTATTGAGGAGGAAGGCTTCTAGTTTGTGTTGAATCTGCATTACCTGGCAGTTGCAGAGCCCTAAGCTGGGAGCCAGGATCTGGGACTCCACCACCCCCGCTCAGGCACCCATGTCCTGTGTGACATTGGGTCACACGTCTGTCAAATGGGCTGAAGGGACCCCTCCCTGGGTTATCATAAGCACATGATGAACTGTGAGAGCTGGACAGACTGTAGAGCAGACAGACACCCTCAGATGCAGAACATTCTGTCAGGCTCTGGAGGCCCAGACAGGCTTGGCAACATTGATGTCAATTGGATTATTATTATTTTATTGGCTTCTTAGAGCCAGTCTTTAATTTAGTGAATTGCTTGAAAAATTATCCTGTCCATGGTAGGCAGGAGAGGTGTGCATGGCCTGCCTGGCATGCACCGTTGCACAGTTGCCCTGCAGGGCTTCTTCTCCTGTCACCGGCTTGTGTCAATGTGGCTCAGTTGACCTTAAGGCAGGGAGATTGTCTTGGTGGTTGTGATCCAATTGAATGAGACTTTAAAAGCGGGGAGTTTTCTCTGCTGGTTGTAGAAGGGGCAGTGAGAAATCTGAGGCTGGAGAGTTACTAGCTTGAGGATGGAGGAGGCCATGTGGCAAGGAGTATGCAGCCTCTAGGAACTGCCCCCTCCTCCCCTTCTTAGCTGTCAGCAAGGAAACAGGGACTTCAGTCCCATGGCTACAAGGAACTAAATCCTGCCAACAACAAGAACGAGCCTGGAAGTGATGATTTCTCAGAGTCTTCAGAGAGGAGCTCAGCCCACTGACTCTTTAATTTTAGCCTGTGAGACCCTGGCAGAGAGAGACCTCAGCTAAGCCTGGACTTCTGACCCAAAGAACAGGGAGGTAAAATAATGGGTGTTGTTTCATGCTGCTGAGTTGGTGGTAACTTCTCATGCAGCAATAGAAAATTAGAACACTATCTTTAAAATATATATATATATATATCATTCATTTTTAAAATTTGAGGTTTAATGTACATATTGTAGAAAGCGTAGGTCTTAAGTGCAGTTTGATCAGTTTTGATAAACGCATGCACTCAAATCCAGATGATATTTCCATCACCCCAGGAAGTTCCCTTATGCCTCTTCCCTGTCAATCCCTACACCAGAAGCAACTACTATTCTGATTTCTATCACCACAGGCTTATTTTGCCTATTTTAGAATTTCATGTAACTGGAACCAAATATCATGTACTATTTTGTGTCTGGCTCTTCACTCAGCAAATTGATTTTGAGATTCTTCCACCAGGTTGCATGCATTTGTAGCTGGTTCCTTTTACTGCTGAGCAGCATACCAAGGTGACTTTAGACATTTGCCTGTTGATGGACACGCTGGCTATTCTTAGTTTTGGACTATCATGCATAAAGCTGCTAAGGGATATCTGCATATGAGACTTCTTATGGACATCTTTTCATTTCTCTTGGATAAGCACTAAGAAGTGGAACTGCTGGGTCACAGAGCAGATGTATGTTTAACTTTTTAAGCAACTGCCTTGCAATTTTCCAAAGTGGTTGTGCCATTTTATCTTCCTGCCAGCACTAGATGAGTTACGTTTGTTCCACTCATCTTCAACATTCACTATTGTCTGTCTTAAGCATTTTAGCCACTCTACTCTATAAGTATTGGTATTTCATTACCTTTATAAACTTTTTGTATTGATTGAGATTCTAAATCAATGTAGTCCTGGTTATCAGCACGTAAAAGTTAGAATTCTATAATACTTCTACATTTACAAAGCCCCTTCACATAAATAATTTCATTTGCTACTCAAAATAACTGGCTCTTGGTTCTACTTTAGTGCTTAGGAGACTGAGGTCCAATCGCTCCCCCTGCATCTGGGTTCTTCCTCACTCAGTTTTATCCTCTACATCATGAGCAATTTTCAATTCAGATCATAGTTCTGATCATGCTACTCCCCTTGTATAAAACCCTCAATGGCTTCCCACCGTTCACAGGGGAAAGGTCAAACACCTTAGCGGTATTCAAGATCCAGTTATGGTCTGGTTGCAGCCCATAGTCCAACCTCATCTACTTTCTGTCTTTTATTTTTATTTTTTTTATTTTTTGAGACTGAGCCTTGCTCTGTTGCCCAGGCTGGAGTGCAATGGCGCGATCTTGGCTCACTGCAACTTCCGCCTCCCTGGTTCAAGCAATTCTCCTGTCTCAGCCTCCTGAGTAGCTGGGACTACAGGCTTCCCTACCACCCCCCGCTATGCCCAGCTAATTTTTGTATTTTTAGTAGAGATGGGGCTTCACCATGTTGGCCAGGCTGGTCTCCAACTGCTGACCTCAAGCGATTTGCCCACTTTGGCCTCCTAAAGGGTTGGGATTACAGGCGTGAACCACTGCACCTGGCCAACCTCATCTACTTTATGACACCCAAACTTTGCCTCTTCATTATTCTTGGAATTCTCTTTCCTGTATCAGCACCTTTATTTAAGGCTTTTTTTTGTTGTTGTCGTAGGGGGGTGGGTGGGGAGAAATGAGCATTTCAATGCTACCAATCTAACCCATTAAGTCTGACTCCCAATCCCCTTACTCAGGCCAAATCTTACCCTATTTCCAGCTTCCCCAGATTCTCCCATTTCCCTGCAGATGGAAGTAATGTCTCTCTCTCATGTTGTTTTGTATTTAACTCAGCCTCTATACACCAGAGCTACCTGTGCATATGTCTAATGTCTACCTGATTAGACTGCGATATCCCTGGGGGAATACTTATGTTGCATCCATCTGTCTCCCAGCACTGTGCACTGGGCCTGACTATTGGTTCATATGTGACAACCTGGTCTCTGTAGCTAGAATGGATACCCCTTGAGGAAAGAACTAGAGATGGCCTTATCTCAGGGCCAATGTCATTGCTATAGTCATAATAAGGGCTTCTGGTTAACTAGTCTGACCCAAGGCTCAAGGACGGGCCCTAGGATCCATCTATCAAACCATATGTCCATCATCCACACATACTTTTAACTTGTCCATGTATCATCCATGTATCCTGCATTAATTCACCATTTATCTTCCATATATAAACTCAACAACCAGCTTTGCATCCATCCTCCAACCACCCATCCATCCTTGCATTCCTCTAACCCATATTTACTGGGCACTCTGTCTATGCCTTTATCAGGCCTTGGTAATGCAAAGAATCACATCTGGTCGCTGCCCTCAGGAGCTTCCATTTTTTTAGGCAGGAGACACAGAAACACTATTATCCACTAAGGTAGAAAAATCCACTGCCCAGAAACGTAAGTCTGGGTGCTGCTGCCCCTAACCATGTTCAGCTCTGCCAGGCGATTGTCAGCTCTGGGACCACATCCTGGCTCACAAACCCATCATTTCCTTAGGACCCAAAAGGGACTCAGTTCAGCTTGGAGCCCCTGTTGTCTCTGTGGCACCTATTGTCCTTTGGCTTTCCCCTCTCCTGGCCCAGGGAGTCTCCCTACAGGGGGCACTTACTGCTGGAGCAGAGGGGAGGAGCAGGCCTAGAATCCCTGAGTGTCAAAGTTCAGAGAGGCTTAGAATGTCAGCCTCTGGATGAGAAAACCAAGGTCCAGAGAGCAGAGAGGACTGGTCCATGGTAATGCAGCAAATGAGTGGCTGCATTTGGGTCAGAATGTTGGAGGCCTTAGGCTTCAGGAGCCACAAAATCCTTTAACCAAACCAAATCATACTTGGTTCTGCTAATATAAAAAAGGTAACTAGTGTGGGAGCAGGGTAGGAGCTGCAATACTCATGGCCTCTCATTCCCTGTGGCACTGAGAGGCTCATCCCAGAGGTGCAGGATGTAAGGGTGGACCCTGCCAAGAGATGCTTCTCCTCCTCCTTTCCCATGCCCTCCACTTCATGGGGCTTGGCTTTGTTCAAAGGCCCTTGGGTCTGGTCTTTTCTGCCTGGACTGTGGAGTAGGGGCTTCCTGCCCTGGGCAAGGAGACATACCTGGCATGTGCAATGGCTGCCACCCATTCGTCACAATCTTTTGCGTCCTCTGTCCTCAGCTCCAAGGCTTTCTGGTTCTCATGGCTGAAGTTCACCGTGAAGTAATGCTGTATCAAGAAGAAGACATCTCCAATTACCAGAGTGTCCATGGGACCAACAACGACTCTTGCAATCAATCTAGCTGTTTTGCAAAGTGCCTGCTGCCACATCAGCTAGGCACAGATTCCTTGTTTGTGATAATCAGAATGCCATTCTATTTAGCAGTTTCCAGTTCTCGATTAAAAGGGCTTTTGTATCGTGTAACAGAGCCTATGCTTAGGATATTGTAAGAAGGAAACAAAACACACAAAGCCCTGTTCAACAACAAATTGCAAAAAAGCCAGTTTGAAATCATCAGGCGCGCTGGAGGGAAGGCAGGGAAAGCACATCATTAGAACATCCTTTTGGGAACTGGGTACCAATTCAATGCAGCATGTATTTAACTCACTCCACAAAAATGGAATAAGTGCCCTTCTAGGTCCTGGGGTTAGAGCGATGAGTAAACAGACACGGTCCCTGTAAGAGCCCACTGAAAGCCACCTCTGTGTTGGGTGCAGGTGACTAACTTAGAACCATGCCAACCATGGGCCCTGCCCCTTAAGGACTCAGGGAAGCAGAAGAGCCAGACAATAGACACCCATCTGCAATACTGTTATATGAGTTAAATGCATGTAAAGCTCCTAGAAGAATGCTTGGCACCTAGTAAGCACTGTAATTGCTGTAATTAATGTGGTGTGATCACTACTGTCATGGAGGTAAGAACAAAGGGCTGTGGGGGCACAGAGAAAGTCACCCACTGACTTATCCCAGGGAGATCAGGAGGGCTTCCCAGAGGATGGGACATTGGTTCAGTTTTATTTCAGCTGAATGGAAGAGCATGGGGGCAGCTTGGTGTCCAGAGCTCATAGCATATTTGGGAGGGGGAGGGGGCTGTACAGGGATGCCAGTGGGCAGGTGGGCAGGGACCTGGGGTGCAGCTGAGAGGAGGAGCCGTGGGAGGAGAGAGCAGCAGGGACAAAGCCCAGGTTTCAGGTTTGAGCAACTGGGCATGTTGGGAGAGTCATAGACTGGGCTGGGGCATTGGCAGGAGGAAGGGGCAGGGGGCTCTGAGGGGCCAGCTCCGCATGCAGAGGGATTCGTCGGAGAGAGAGGGCAGACAAACGAAGTGCTGGGGGCCCAGCCTGGGCCTGGGCCTGGTGAAACTGGGAGGAGAGAGGCAGGGGGTGAGGTACAAAGAGGGGCCCTTAGGTCTGCTGTTCAGAGGATGCACCACGGGCCAGCCATGGTGTGACACTGAGCCAGAGAGGGTGCCCGTCCCTCCATCCCTCGGTGTCCAGGTGGCAGGGAGCAGCAGCACAAGGTGCAGTGTGTAAACTAATTTTAGCTTCTGCTGACATTTATGTATTTTTGTTAATTGTCAGTCTAGGTGGCAGCCGGGTGTATGTGAAGTGGGGGGCGGGGGGAATGAGTATGGCAGGAGAGAGAGAGAGAGAGGAGAGAGAGAGTGAGTTGTTACAGAGTCAATGTCTGTCTCTTGTTTCCTAGGAAACAGATAACTGGGGCTATAGAATGAAATGTCAGCTACAGCCTCAAATAACTGAATCTGAAAGGCTCCAGTGGGCACCCTGCCCCCCTAGAGGAGGAAGCAGGTGACACATAGTGGCAGGCAGCTACCTAGCACTTTCCCCATCTCTCGAGAGATGATGAACACACAAATGCTTGTCTCCCATGATCTCATTATTTCCACATTCACCAAGCAGAACAGGTATTCTCTGTGTTACAGCTGATGAACCTGAAGCTCAGAGAGGTTGAGCTGCTTGCCTAAGGCCAAACAGCGGGAAAGCAGAGAAGCTGGGATGACACACCTGCACTGGGCAACTGCCGCCTGCTCAGGCCCTGGGCTTGGCCCTGGGATGCAAAGACAAAAAGGCAAAGTCCCCACCTCAGGGAGCCTGTAGGTAGGTGAGACTCAGAGTCCCAAATCAGAAACAAGGCACTCAGCTACATACAGGCACAGTGGAGTTGCTGGGTCTCCTTAGAGCCCCAAGGGGAATGTCCCAGAGCTATAGGAGCCCATTGCTGGGACCACAGCAGGAGTGTTCTCCTTCCCTACTGGGTCACCAGGGGACTCAGAGCTGCATGGGGTGATGGGCTTGGCTGAGGCCTTTCACTCTTCACAGAGACTTCTTCCCAATCAGCCCTACTGGGTAGGGAAGCAGATGGCTCCCTGCTACCCATGTGTACTGGAATCCCCTACAGCCTCACCCCTGCTGGAAACCTAACTGTGAGGAAGGATGCCAGGAAGACCCTCCAGGCCTGAACCCAGTCATCAGAGACCTTGAGCTTCTGACAGGTTATGATGCCCAACTCTCCATCCTGCAGACCAGGCACGGGGTTCCTGGAGGCTTCAGGAAGCCGGCCGCAGGCTACCCAGAGGCTTTCCCCACTCCCTTCCTGTCACTCCAATAGTTGCCAGTTCATCTGCCCGTCTACTCCATCTGTGTGGCCTCGCTCTGACCCCATCACTGCTGCCCTAGGTTAGGCCCCACGACCTTTCTCCTGGGCTACTGTCACAGTCTCCTAACAAGCATCCTGCATCTGCTGTCCTCCTGGGATAGGAGACACTGCCTAGACCCTGAGTGACTGACAGGCTTAGCGTTCAAGTGAAGTGGCCAGTTTATGGAGGGGTGGCCTTCGGGACAAGCGTGACCCAGAAGCTTCCCTGTGAGGCATAACAGCCAGGCTCCAGGGGCCAGGGCGAGCTCTGGGAGTATCCAGAGCCACTTCAGGCTCCCAGCCAGAAGAACTGCAGTCCAGGCAGCTGTGAGGGCCTCCACCTTAAGAAGAAGGGGAAACTGGAGGATCTACCACGCCTCAGGCATGGTACTAGGTTCTTTGCACACACCACCTGACTAGAGACACAACTGCCCTAGAAATTAAGTCTGTTATCCCCATTTAGAGGGCATGTGGAGGCAAGACACATTCATTTGTCCAAGGTCACTGGGCTAGAAGCAGCATCACTGAAGCCAGAACCCTGGGCTGCCTTTGCCCAGTGGTGCTTTTGCTGCTGCAGGAGGCCTGAGCTGGAATATAAGTGCCTCGAATGACTTGAGAGCAGTTTGTTCCCTTTGTGCTCGTAAACCTGCCCCCTGACATCTGTTTTATGCAACCACATTGCCCGACTGACTTGTAGAAATTGTTTGCTAAGGGAAAGTCAGCTTCCACCCAGAGTTTCTGAATCAGCACAAATCTGGACTTTGGGTAGCAAGTAAATGAGACTTTGCTCTATGTAGGAATTGGTAGGGACAGAGATAGAGACAGAGACAGAGATAAGATAGAGATAGATGGGTGGGGGGCAGGTGGGAGAGGGAGAAGCCTACAGAGACACAGAGACAGAGTATAATCCACTGGGAAAGACCAAAGCCCACGTCTAGAGAGAGAGGATGAGCTCCAGGCTCCTGGAAGATGCTACAAAAAAGGGAGCTTAGAGAGGTGAAAGGGACTCAGTGAGAATGTCAGATTTCCAAACCTATGTGCAGGAAAACCTAAAACACAACCAGTGGTGTGGGGAAAAAAAAGGGAAAGTGACTGATTTTGTGAGGCCCTGCTGTGTGCCTGTCACCCTGCAGGCACTGTCCCTGTGTTCCTGAGGGAGCCCAGCCACGGTGGAGGTAGGTGGCACGACCCCACTTCACAGAGGGGGCTGAGGCTTGGAGGTGGGTGTGAGGTGTCTCTGGGATGGCTGTCTAGGGTGACAGTGGCTTGGCTCTTAGCCCAGGGTCCTTCTGTTCACGCTGTTTGTTCTCTTCACTGTAATGGAGAAGAGTTAATAGGGGGCAAGTGGCTTTCTGGGTAGGGAAAGAGCACTGGAAAGGGGGTCTTATCTGGTGTCAGTTCTGCAGTTGAGACAGTGTGGCTTGGGGGCAACTAAGTCTCTTCCTCCTTGTCATCCTTAGCTTCCTCATCTATGAAATGGGGAGTTAAATGAGCTGGGCTCAAGGTCTTTTTGAGCCTATATATATATATATATATATACACACACACACGTATATTTATATGTATAAGTATATATATACATACATATATATACACATGCTTTTATATCGATGTATCATATATATATACATACATATATATTTATATATATGTGTATATATACACACACACACACGCTTTTATATCTATCCATCTATCGATATATCTGGAGAATGTGAATGAGAGTGTGGATGTGTGTGGATGTGTTTTGGGTCTTTCCCTGCACTTCTGGATAGGCCTTGGGTTGTTCCCAATCTCTCCCATAGCTCTCAGAGGCTGTGTATGTTTCTGGCCCACCCCTCTTCTCTGTGAGGGTCAGGTGTGTGGCCTAAGTGTGGTCTGAGGGTCTAGGCATGGCACTGTGTCCTGGGGTCAGCCTGGCAGGCTGAACCCCAGCAGAGGCCAGGCGATGACCTCTCCCTGGGCCCCAGGGAACACACAGGCCAGAGATTCAGGTCTCAGGGAAAAGAGTTTGCCTGGACCACAGGCCTGGCCGGGCTTAGGCTTGGGGGTGGGGGGTGTCTGCACTCCATCCTTCCCCTCACCTACAGGACTTCTCCCTGAGGCCCCTCCTTCCTTGGAGCCTCACAACCTGGCTGACCCTTTGGTCTTGGACTGCTCAGGGCCAGGGCTTGTACCTGCTTAATTTGGAAACTCTAGAACCCTGCACAGAGCCTAGTACTGAGTGGATGCTGATGAATAGCTGAAGAATGAGTGAATGAACAGACACATGAATGCTTCACCTTGGGGTTCTGATGACATCCTGATGAGGCACCCAGGACCTCATGATGGTCCTCACTCCTCTTGCACTTGCTAATAATGATTTTGCAAGCAACCTTTGTGGGCACTTGTGACATCCCAGCCACACTGCTGTATCTCTCAGGGACACAGGCCCATGTGGGGATGGCAAGACCCCGTTTGCTGTCTTTGGTTAGTGAGGATCTGTAACCACTGTTTTTGTCCCAATGTAGACTCACCCCAAATAAGTGGAGCCCTGGGAGTGAGGAATATAAGTGATAGAATTTTCTCTGTGCCAACCAATTTCCCATCTTTATCCTGCTTTCCAGCCAGGATGGAGGGACTGGGCAGATTTCTCCAGGGGAAGCAGGTCTTGCTGCAGCAGTCGGACAGAAAGAGATATTTTGGTGATGGTATCAGAATAGTAAAGACTATAAATGCTGGTGTTTCTTAAGTAAGGGAAGTCAAAGATTTGGGGGAAACGGGGGCAGAAGAAGGGACTTCCTATTGCTTCTTCTTGGGTCCTTGAGGTGCCTGGGCTGAAAAGGCCTTGATCTTTGTCTGCCTTCCTCACCCACTGCCAACGTTTCATTATGAAAATTTTAAACATTCACAGACATTATAATTATTTTACAGTAAAAACCCATATCCCACAACCTAGCTTTCACCATTACACTTTATGGCACTTGCAGAAAACCTTGGCCCTTATGAGGCTCTTATGCACCATTCACCCAAATGGAAGTTTCCCTGCCATGAGCTGACACAGACACCTGAAGACAGTGGAAGCCCCCAACCCAGGATGTCCCCATGAGGTCCATGGATGGTGGCAGCAGGGGCTGGGGAGTAATGTTCGGGGTGCCTTGCTTCTGCCTGGGAAATGCACAGGTGCTAACATTCTGCTCAGGTCGCATTTGGTTCCACAGGTGTGAGGTTGGGTCTGGGATATGCTTGTGTGTCCCGTTGATCTTCTGGGACTTTGGAGATGGAGAGCACATGGAAGTCTCAGGGTTGCAATAGCCCAGCTTTGTGGTCCAGTTTGGGTCAAAGAGCCCACTCTCCACCTAGCCCCTACCTGGGCAGCTCCCCTGACGGGGACAGAGCATATAACTGGGAAAAAAGGGAGACAGATGCTTCAGTTCAGCCTTAGTTTCTGTCTGGGGTTTTTTAAATAAAGGGAGACTCTATTTGGGAAACTTGATTTCCTTTTGAGATAAAGAAGTGGCCTTAATAATTGGAGGAGGACTAAGCAGGTGGAGGTTCATATTCCTACATGTTTCAGATGACAACAAATGACAGGTGTAGGTGGCATTGTGTTATCTGGGAAATGCTATTGTTGGTAATACTTGCTAGCTGTGTAACCTGGGGCCAGTCACTGAGGTTCTCACCTCAGTTTCTTCATCTACAAAATGGGCATAAGAAGAGTCCCTTCCTTGCATGATTGTTGTGAGAGTCAAGTGAGATAATGCTGGTGCCTGCAAGCAAGCATCCAATGCATGTTCACTATACTTCTTTTTTTATTAATATTTTTAATAACTTTCTCCTTGGCAAGCTTGGGTGCCTACTTTGAAGCACAGGTGATTTCTTGGCTAGTATGGGCTTGGGGTAAAAATATGATGATCTTCTAGGCCCTACTCCATTTTAGAAGTTCAGGACAACTTCAGGGAAATAGACACAAAGTTGTTGAGGATCTGAATTGCCCATCTCGTGGGTGACTGGTGGCTGCATAGGAGCATGTCAAGGCTCAGGGCAACCCTCCCCAAGGGACACTCAGACCTCTTATCCTCTGCTGGTCTCCAGCCCCGGGAGAGCAGCTGCACCCTCAGGCTGGGCTGCCGATGCTCATGCTGTGTCCCCAAGGAGCAAATATGCAAGGGAGATGAATGTTGGCTTGGACATGCTTGAGCCTGAAGCCTTGTTTTCATGGCGGGTCTCAGGACCCACTGCAAGGCCATCTCCCCTTACTGCACCTTCAACAAGGAGCAGAGCTGCCTCTGGCATGGATAGGCCAAAGTTCTAGAAAAACTCCACCTCTTGGCTCTTTGAGCCTGGAAAGGGATCATTTCCTTTCCTCTCTGTTCTTTCCATTTCTCTCTCTCTCCTTTGCATTCTCTGAAGCTTTCTTTTTCTTTTTTCTTTTTTTTTTTTTGAGTCAGAGTCTCACTCTGTTGCCCAGGCTGGAGTACAGTGGCACAGTCTCTGCTCATTGCAACCTCCACCTTCCAGGTTCAAGTGATTCTCCTGCCTCAGCCTCCCGAATTGCTGGGACTACAGGTGTGCGCCGCCATGCCCGGCTAATTTTTTTTTTTTTTTGTATTTTTAGTAGAGACGGGGTTTTGCCATGTTGGCCAGGCTGGTCTCGAACACCTGTCCTCAAGTGATCCATCCTCCTTGGCCTCCCAAAGTACTGGGATCATAGTTGTGAGCCACTGTGCCTGGCCCTCTGCAGCTGTCTCCTTCTTTCTTTGTGTCTCTGTTCCTGCCTTTCTCCTCTGTGTCCCCTTCCCAGGTCTTCCCTCCCCACTCTTCCCAGCTTCTTTCCACATGGCAGGTGAAGTCAGCTGGTCAGGGTGGTACCAGCTGCAAAGTGGCACCCCATATTAGGGCCCCCTAGTTTTCCCTTTCTTGGCTCCCTCCTCTTCTCCAGGCTGTGACTGAGTGTACCAGGGCCAGGGGCTCCCATCTCCTTCCCACTGTCCTAGAAATCTGAACACATATCTTCTGGCCCTAAGACTTGCTCTCCTGTCCCTATGATCTTTTCTGGCTGGTTTGGGTGTGTTTTGGGAGAGGCTTTCTGGATTCTGGAGTAGTACCATCTGCTATTGGGAAATGAGCTTAGGGAGGAAGGAGGAGTCACAGGCCTGCTTTGGTTCAAGGCCCAAGCTCCAAAGCCTCAGTCAGGCCAGCTCAGCTCCCTGGAGCTCTGAGATAGCTGGAGAGAACTGAGGAGCATTATATTGCCAGCGACTGCCTGAGGACCTCACGAGGGTGGTGGTCTGGAGCAGTTAGGGGGTTTCTGGGAGTTCTTGATAAACAATCTTTTTTTTTTTTTTTTTTTTTTTTTTGAGACGCAGTCTCACTCTGTTGCCCAGGCTGGAGTGCAGTGGCATGATCTTAGCTCACTGCAAGCTCTGCCTCCCGGGTTCATGCCATTCTCCTGCCTCAGCCTCCCGAGGAGCTGGGACTACAGGCGTCTGCCACCACGCCCGGCTAATTTTTTGTATTTTTAGTAGAAACGGGGTTTCACCGTGTTAGCCAGGATGGTCTTGATCTCCTGACCTCGTGATCCGCCCGCCTCGGCCTCCCAAAGTGCTGGGACTACAGGCGTGAGCCACCGCGCCCGGCCAATAAATAATCTTAATATCAATTTCTTCCATGGAAAAACAATGACCCTGCATAGCACCAGAGCTCTTGAGACAGTCTCATAACCTCAGCTGGTATCGGTTCAGAGCTCTGGCTGACCTGAGTCACCTTTGAAAGCTGAACTCCCACCTGAGCTTCCTCAGAGTTACAAGGTTGGGCAGAGGCCAGAGACAGATCCCTCCAAAGCTGCAGAGTAAAAACCAGACTCACACTGGGGGCAACACTGGAGCTGCTGTGATGAGGCCAGGATCACAACTTGGACATCCCCAGAATGATGCTGAGACCAACCAGAGCTACCCAGAGCTTCTCAGACTCACAACACACGAGCCTCAGTGTGACCACAGGATAGGACCCAAATCACACCTGCCACAACAATGGGACCACATAGGCTTGCCTGGATCCCGGTTGGATTCCTCTGCGGAACAGCAGCATTGTTCTGGAGTCAGTCCCAGGGACATCCTAGAACTCTCCAATGCAACAGAGAGCCTCATGCCCACCTTCCCTGGGCCCTGGATGAGATCAGGACTCACTATATGTGATCAAGGATATAGGATACATTCAGATACAGGACCCGAGTCCAAGTTTCAATAACAAATCTTCACAGGCCTACTAGAGTTGCTGGAATAGATCTAGTATCCCCCGCAGTCCTCCACCAGACTGCCCAGATCCCAGAAGGGGAGTCATGATGCCTGATAAGCCCATGGCTCTTTCTAAGGGCAGCTGGTTCCTGTGGGGAAGCTGGGCTGGGGCTCTTCCCTTAACTGGACTGGAGCCAGGTAGAGCAAGGGCTCCCCAAACTGCCCCAACAGGGAAGTGAGGCGGGGAGTTTGCCTTAGGAAATAGGAGGAGAGGCAGTTGGTTGGCAGTATCATCCGAAGCTATAAGGAGACCACCTGGAGTCGGGGTTGTGAGAGACGAGAAGGGCAGGTGAGGAGGAGGTGTGAGGCCAAGCAGAGATAGCAGAGCACCGAGGGTGGCACTGGCAGACACGGGGTGCCGCTGAGTTGCACTGAGGGTGGGAAGCTAGAGGTGGCGTGTCAGGCTCTGGCTACAGGTGGTTGAGGATGGCATGGGGACAAGACTGGCTGCCCTGGAACACCTGGATTCCACCTCTTCTCAGTTACGTGTGCTGGGAATGCTGCCTGTACTGTGGTTCTTGTTCTTCCAAGAATGTCCCACCACCCTTACTGCCATGAGAGTCCTTAAAGTCACTGGAGCTGCAGCAGCACCCAAATCACCTTGGAATTTGTTAGGACTGTAAGTTCTTGGGCTCCACCCCAGACCTCTGTTTTGAAACAAGCCCCCCAGGTGATCCTGCTGCACCCTGTGGTATGAGAAGCATTGCTTAAGGCAAGCCACCATTACTTGAGATAAAACTACATGTGGGGCCAGGACTGTCTTCAGTCTTGCTGGGTGCCACCAGTTTTCTAGGTCCAGGCTCAGATCTACAGCTCTGCTGGGCAGGAGCTGCCCCAGAGGTAAGTAGATGTAAAAATACATTTCTCCTACTTCAGTATCCCAGTTTTCCACTCCAAATCCCTTGGGGCGCTTGCTAAAAATGTAGATCTCCAGGCACTAGCTGCCTTCTGAATCAGGATCCCTAGGGGTATGGCTGGAATTTATTTTAAAGAGCACCCTAGGTGATTCCGTACATGCTCATGCTTCAAGGGGAACTGATAAGCCCATGGCTCCTTCTAAGGGCAAGTGGCCCCTGTGGGGAAATTGGGCTGAGGCTCTTCCCTGAACTGGACTGGAGCCAGTTTAGGGTGAGGATAGGCAGTTGATGTGAGGGTCAATGATGGGAAGTCTTATAGTCCAGAGATACATCCGAACCTGGCTTAGCCCAGTATTGCAAGGACAGCCTCAGCACTACCAGAGCACTCACCAGGTTGTGAGGGCAGGGCCAGTACCCTATGTGGAGCTTCACCTGGGCGGGAGGCCCAGGTCCACTACCACACCTGGAAGGTGCCATGGGCTGTGTAGAAAGACCCTTATCGTGAGCCTCACTAGCCTGCATGGGCCAACTCAGAGCCACACCCAGGCCCCATAATGCATCCAGGGATTCACAGAACCATCGCTGGGGTCCAACTGCAGTTGTATGAACAGACCACAGCCTCATTCAGGGACTCCCCAGAAATGCAACAGAGGAAGAAACCACCAATGGGCCGCACCCGATTTTGCTACAGAAGAGGCAAGACTTGGTGAACCACTTCTAAAGCCCCTGCAGGGCTGCAGAGATGGGCCCAGAGCTCCACCTGGGGCCTCCACAGAGATCAAGGATGGACCTAGAGCTTTCCTAGACCTGAAGTAAGAGATGGATAACCTGATTTGAGATTCCACCAGGAGTCCTAAGATCGAGCGAGAAATACTCGCAGAATCAAAATCACTGTAACAGATCCACAATGATTCCAAGGCCTTCCCAAGTGCATGGATGGAGCCTGGACCTCCTGAGGCTTGACCTGGGTTGCTGAGTATCCCTAGACCTGCGAGTCTCAACCATGGCTGGACACTGGAGTTTGACGTAGCATCCCCGGGTGATTCCAATGGGCAGCCAAGGTTGAGAACAACTCACTAGTCTAGACTTTTGCCTGGGGCTTCAGTAGGAAAAGAGGGATTGATCCACAAACTATACCTGCGACCTACCAGGCTCACAGGCAGGGATTCAGAAATCACATCTGGGGTTGTGCCAGGACTAGACTCACATGTGGGCCCTTGTCTTTGCTGGAGGAAATGTTCTGGAACCACACCTGTGGCCTCAGTTGACCTGGCGGTGCCTGAGCTCCAGCGCATACCTGGCCCCAGTATGCCCTTCCTGTCCAGTATGTCCTTCCTGGCCCCAGTATGCCTCTCCTGTCCAACTGGGCTGCAAAATGGCCCCTGCTACCCCAGGTCAGTCTGGAGCTGGATCTACTTCCCCTCTGGAAGCTGGGGCTGGGGGCTTGAAGCCCCACCTACTTAGACTCTCTTTTGCCTCCTGCCTCTCCCAACTGACCAGCAGCCCCTACAGCCTCTCCACTGAACACAGAACATTGGACAACCACTGACAGTGGGGTGACCAACTGTCCTGGGTTTGCCTGAGACTAATGAGTTTCCTGGGGGTGTGGCACTTTCAGTACTAAAGCCAAGACAGTCCTGAGCAAACTGGGATGTTTGGTTCCCCTACAGACAGAGGAGCAGGTGGAACCCTCCATAGCTGAGTCTGGGTCTGGCAGTGAAGCTCAGAGCTGGGCACTCTGGGCAGCCTTGTCATCTCTCTGAGCCCTGGTTCCTTTCTGACAAACAGGCCCAACAACACTTGCCTTGGTCTATTCTATACACGTGGTATTAGAGTGAAGATTTCCCACACCTTTTACTCTCCAAGTCATTTCTCGTTCATTAATTCAACCAGTATTTAGCCCCCACTAGAAGCCAGACATAGTTCACTTTGCAGCCATCAATGACAACATGCATGTCAGCTGTATATGTGCTTTTGGAAAGGTATGGTGGTTCTTCCAAATGGGCAAGCTGCTGGGGGCTCCCAGATAGCGCCCCATCCTGTGCCATCAAGGCCATTCTCAACTCATATCATAATGATGTTCTGATTATCTTTCCAGCTACAGCCCATAGTCTCAATCCAGGCTACACATTAGCGATGTCTGGGAACTTAAAGAAGCCCTGTCGCTCAAGTCCCTTCTCAGATCCATTAAAACAGAGTGGTGGGTGGGGAGGGGAGGGGAGGGGAGGTTGCAGGCACTGGTCTTTTTGAAAGCCCCCCAGCTGGTTATAATCACCCAGAGTTTGGAACCCCTGAGGGAGGAGCAACGTGGTTGTTGTCATACTAGAAACCCAGGACTTCTCCCCTGCTCCTCATGCCCTCTCAGAGGCCCATGGTCCTGGATGCAGCTGACTGGAGCAGCAGTGGACATGCACCAGGGTTCACCCATCTGAGGCTCCTGGGAATGTGGCATAGTGGCACAGAGAGACCAGGCTGATGAGCTGCATGTGCTGAGCTCTAAGTGCAAGTAAGAAGCCAAGAAGGAAGCAGAAGGGTCTCAGAGAAAGTGGCAAGAGGTGGTGATGGAATCAAGTGGTGGGGGCAAGGCTAGGCGGAGGTGTTCAGGCCATGGAGACCCAGACGTGTATTTTCTCCCTGGGTTCCATTAACTACCGCTGTGTTTCTTCCAGGATAGTCCTCTCTTGCTCAAGCTGCTTTGAGCAAAAGGCTCCTGCTCCTTTCAAAGAAATGATTCCTGACCAAGAACTCTCCCTGGAGCCTGGCACCGTGCCTTGGCCAGAGCACAGGGTAGCCCTGGTTGACTGAATGGGTGACTGAATGCGTTTGTCACCACTGCCCAGGAGCCCAGCTTATTAATTGGCTAATAGCAAAAGCCACAAAGAGGGTGGTATTGAATATACCCCTCAGGCATGGGCAATGGAGCTGGCTGGAAGGGGTTGGGGGGACTGGTTTTTCATGAAAGCCATCCGTGCCTCTTCAGGGATAGCTGACAGGGCACAGGGCAGTCCTTCCATAAGGAGCCTTTTCTGGAACACCCATGGAATCTTGTTTTCATTTTTTGGGAAGATCTATTAATATTCCATAAAACCAGTGTTCCAGGGAGTCCATTTTGGGGCCCTGGGGTTGTGGGGTCTACCAGGGTTTGGAGTCATCAGACCTGGGTTCAAATTTATTATTTATTATTTGGCCTTGGGGTCTTCAACACACCTCTTCACTTCTGTGGACAGTTTCCTCTTTCACAAAATGGGGACAATATTACTCACCTCATGGGGTTGTTTAGGACAGCATTGTGGGAGCTCCTCGTTCATGAAAAGGCTCAAATAGTGTTTTGTAAACCACTGGATTCATTTACAAGGTCAAATGATGGGTCTAATCAACCTAGCAGTGGCACATTACTGGAAAACACACATGCATGAGCATTCATATGCCTGCACACATACACACAACGTAGGATCCAGCCACTGTCCTGAGGGCGTGGTGGGGAGGGGCTCATAACCAGAACGGTCACAGCCATGCAAGATCAGTGGGTTACAGGGAGATGGCGTTTGTGGCATCTTGCACATTATCTTCAGTTCCTGCTTCTCTCCTCTTCCCGCTGTGTAACTGGCTGCCAGTTGTATCCGTTTTTCCTCTCTAGTATTTCTGGAATCTGTGCCTTCCCCCATCCTCACTGCCATGCCTGCTTCAGGGATTCTTCATTACCCACCTGGACCATCAAACAGTCCCCTCTGATCTCCTTGCCCCCTCCAATTCATCCCGCCTTTTGGGAGTTCAGACCTGCTGCCTGGGCCTCTGCTCATTGCCTCCTCTGAGAGAAGGGGTGGGTGGGGTGGGCTCGGGGATAGATGCTACCACTCTTGGCTGATCCCACCCCTTACCAGGTCCCACTCTGCTGCTCTGGTTAGGGCCAGCTCTCCCCAGCTGGGTCCTGGCTCCTCCTCCCCGCCATCATTGACCTTTGGGGCTGAGGGCCCACAGGTGCTGTGCTTCTGCCACATGCTGCGTGATATCCCAGTGCAGGGAGTGGCTGTGCTACAGAGAACCTGGTGTGTGTGTGTGTGTGTGTGCATGCATGTGCGTATGTGTGCACTTGCCCTGGCCCAGGGTCCATCTTCTCTCCTTCCTTCCATCTATATGGGGACACCCATATAGGCCCCCCCGGCCCCACCCAGATCCTCCAGCTCCCTTTTCCATCTCCTTCCCAGGGGAAGTCACTGTCCCATGACCCTTGCAGGCCACCCCAAGAGCATCTTCCAACCTCTCTCACAGCTGCTGCAATGCAGTGCATGCTCACCAACGCTGGTTCCTTCCAGCCCTGGCTGCACGTGCTCATGCCGTGGTGTACAGTGGGGGATTCACTAAGCACATTATTCCCAAGTCAGGGAATACTTCCTGCACTTGTGGGGCCAGCAGAGGCTAATACTTCCATTGAGCAGGAAGGCAGTCCACGGAGCAGGAAGTATCAGCTTCTCCCATGCCCCACTAGATCCCCCACACCAATCCAGAAAGAACTCATCCACCCTGACTACTCATACCCCCTACCTCTCCTGATGTGGCTTCATGCAGGGTCAGGACCCCACTTTGTGACCTCCTTCCTAGCTCCAATTGGCTTCTTTCTGCCCAACTCTGCCTCTGAGTTCTCAAGTCTGAGTCTTCCTGGGCCGTGGTGGCCGCACCAGAACCTCTGCTTTGTCCCTGTTCTCAGTGCCTGTCTCAGGTCTCTGTCCAGATTCCCAGTCTTTAAGGCCTAAGACATACGTCACTCTGGGCCCCAAACCAGCCCAGGAAGAGGCCTGCGGCCAGAGACTGACCTCCTGGGTGCCATGCTATGTGCTCACTCATCCTCCCTGCCTGGCCTCGCTGGGAGTTGAGAGGAAGTAGGTGGGAGGAGATTCAGGAAGTGACTGCAACCTCAGGGCTTAGAAGCCCTTGAAAGCCCCCCTCTTTCAGAATCAGCCTCGAACGAGGCTGTGCTTGACCCAAGGCCTGGGGGCCCATGTCAGTGTAGGCCTCCAAGCTTCTGTCTGCGGAAGGGTCTCTGTTTTAATGTAAACTACTCCAGGGCCTGGGCGCCATGGCTACAGATGAAACGGGTCCTGGTGGCTGTTACACTTGGCTGGTCCTGCACAAACATCTTTCGATCTGTGATGACGCCTCAGCCAGCCTGCCCTCCCCTTTTCAACAGCCCCTTTTCTCATACTTGCTGAATGAAGGTACAAACTTCAGTATGGATATATCTGCCCTTCAGCTTCTGTCAAAAACTTGGTTGGAAATGGCCCATGTGCAGGGATATTTACTTATTAACTGCGGCTCCATTTGTAATAGCAAAATACTTTAAATTACCTAAATATCCCTCAAGAAGAGACTGGCCAAAAAAAAAAAAAAATGATAGCATGTCCACACCATGGAATACTATAGAGCCACAAAAAAGAATGGTGATCAATGTACTTGCAGAGAATCCTCTCCACAAAATAGTGAGAAAAACATGGTGCAGACTGTGTTACCATTTATATAATTATACATGCATGCATATAGACAGACAGATGTTTGCATGTACATGTATATATATATAATCCCTCTGGGAGAATGGATAAGAAACTGGTATAATGGCCACTAGGGAAGTGAACAGAGTCATTGAAGGAGCATTGTCACTGTATACTTTTTTTGTCTCTTGAATGTTGAGCTATGGACATGCATTACCAATCCTAAAATTTAAAATAAAAGAAAGCAATGGCTATTTAAGAGGGTCCAATTGACCTTCCATTCCCCAGGCTTCTCCAAGCTGCACCCTGTGTTATCTGGACACCAGGACACACCTCCCTGGGACCCCACCATTTAAGCCTCCTGGAATGTGGTCTTCACTGAGCATGCTCAGCCTCCCCTAAGAGCCAGCAGATGCGACTCATGGGGGCATGCCCTATACTGGCGGTGCCTCTGCCCTCGAGGTCATCATCATTTCCCTGCTGGTCCCCTGTATGTAAGCTTCTGGGACACAGGTACTCTTGCCTGAGCAACTGGACTTTGTCTTTCCATGAGGCAATGACTATCTCATAACTAGCCTGTTTCCCTCCTTGCTCAGGCTACCAGGAAACTCTAAGATGTAATTACTTGCTTCTCCTCACTGGTGCCCACCTGATATTGGCTTTCCTCCTGAAACACCAGCCCTTCCCTCCAACTCCAATTCCTTGCTGCCTGCAGATGTGACCAGAGATGAAGGGAGCTGGGGTGGCCACTAGTGCAGTGAGGGGGCAGGAAGGCCCATTGAGGGAGGAAAGGGGGTGGGAGGGCAGCAGCAGGCTTAGGGCACAGGGAAACTGGGCAGGCTGAGAACACTACATGTGAACAGGTTCTTCCAAATGATTTCACTAATTTCTTGAGTTTGGCTAAGAGCCCAAGAGGTATCTAAACAAAGTTGATTATATTTCACTCATATAGTCTCACAGGAAAAGTTCATCTTGATCACGTTTCTCTAAATTTCTACATGGAGTTTTGGAATACCAGCTAAGGTTACCAAAAATTCATTCATTCTTCTAAAACTGATTTTGAAAGGACTTTATTTTAAGATCTGAGTTGGATTTTCCAGTTTGAAAAAAAAAAGAAAGCTCAACTAGGAAGTATCTTTTGGAAAATAATTATCTCATGTTTCAGGGGAAAGAAATTGCATTAGCCCTGATGGATTAGTAAAATCTAGTCTTTAGAGTATAAATGACCTCATTTAACAACCAGCCTCAATGTCCACTAGACCTAGAACCTGGAGGCCTGGTGCAGATTCTGATTCTGACATTTAGCAGCGAGAGCTCAGGGCCTGGCACAAAATAGACACTCAATTGGTATTTGTGGAGAGAATGAACTCTGTCTATGCAAGCCTCGTCTGTCAAATGAGGATCGTGCCTCTCTTATGTAGAACCACAGTAACTGCAGGGTCACTGTGGTGGTTAAATGAAATGCTAATCGTGAAAAAGACTTTGTAATCTGAAAAGGTGCTTTATCTGAGTGGGTGGCTGACTTGGAAGGTGTGGAGACAACACTTGAAGCTTTCACGGGATGAGAATTTGACATTCCCACTGCCGCCCCAAACCCAGGATGTGGGAAGCCCCAGAGGGCATGGGGCAGAGGGCATGGGGCTGCAGAGTCTCAGAATCTTGAGCTCTGGGTGTTATTAATGGCCCACCACTAAAGCACAGGCTTCAGTGGCTGAGTCACGGCTGGGATGGGAGTGGAGGGGAGACCTTTAGTGCTCATGGTACTCCCCAAATTCAGGCCTTTGCTACTGCTCAGTTCTGCAGCCTCCTCTTAATTGGCTTCCTGCCTCCAGATGGGTTTTCTCCTGTTCATTCACACTCTGGTGATCTTCCTAACACACAGATCGGAGCAGCCCCTTTCCCACTCAGAGCCCTGCACTGGCTCTGCACTGGGCCTGGGAAGGCCTGAGCTTTGTGACATAGCACACAGGCTTTTAGGGCAGCTTTGGTGTCCCCTGCAACCTATATGCCCCTAATCACCCCCCACACCCCAGGGCTGGGGGAAGTGCCCTTACTGGACTCCCATAGTTCTCACCCCTCTTTGGCTCTCCTGTGTGCCAGCAGGGATCACACTGCATTGTCACTGTCTGTTCACAGGCTGTCCCCTCGCTGTATGGCAAGCCCCTCCAGGGAGGGCCCCTGCTGTTTGTCCCATCCTCCCAGTGCCAGGGAGGCATAGGCCTGGCCCCTCAGAGGTACTGGTAAATCTCTGTTGAGTGAAGGCTGTCAATGGAGTGTTAACATCTCAGGAGGACACTTTAGCCTTTAAAATCCTCTCCCTTGTTAATTCCAGGGAAGCCTAGTGGCCAAAATGCTTCTGTGACATTTGGTCAAGAATGACAGAGTCACCGAGCTTAATGAAAGGAGGGGAGGCCAGGCAAGGATCCTGCCCCTGTAAGCTCTGAGCTTACACTCACACCACATACTATCCGTGTCCTCATGAAACCACCATAAAACCTCTCTTCAGCTACTGTGTGTGTGCCCGATGATCAGATTTGCATTTTAGAAAGATTTTTCTGGCTGCAGAGAGGCCAGTGGACTGGGGGTGGGGGCACAGTGCATGTGTGGGGACAGTGGCTACCATTAGCACCATATTCTCCTCTCAGCCTTTCTGGCGCTCTGTGTCCAGGCACACAGTAAGTCTGTACTTCTGCACCTCTTCTGAAATAAAGCCAGGTGGCTCACCCTGTCTAGTGAACTGTGCTCAGAGTGGGTCCCTTCTGGGAAAAGCCAATGAGACATCTGTCACACTCCTTCCCCTCAGTGGAGGGGACCATGGAGGCTGGTGTCAGGACCAAGCCTCTACCAGCCCAGGTCCCTGAGTGATCATCATGAGCAGTGGCCTCCTGCCAGCTGCATGGGACATAAAGCACAAGCAAGAGATGAGTCTTAGTTGTGCTGATGGAGATCTGGGGGTTGGTTGTTATTGCAGCACAACCCAACCTACCCTGACCGACACACCAGTTAGGAGGCCACTGCGTAAGATGAGTCCAGGTGAGAGGTGATGCCAACCTGGACCACAGTGGTGGAGGAAGAGAGGGACAGAGGGCACAGCTCTGAGAGATATACCCAGGAGGAAAAACTAACAGGGCTTCGTGATGATTTGTCCACAGGGATGAAGAAAGCTCCTGCAGCAATCATCTGTCCTTTGGTAAGGGCTTGCTTGCTTGGACCTTTTCAGGAACTCACAGGTTCTTTGAGCTAAGATTTCCATCCTATTTTCATATGCAGGGTCAGGGCTCAGTGTTGGCTTGCTTCCAGCCTGCGAGAGACCCCAGGGACCTGGGTCACTGCTATAGTGAGGAACAGTCTTGTCATAAAGGTGGAAGCCAAAGCCCCAGCTGCTGCAATTTACTGATAACACCTATTGCGCTGTGCTAGGGCTTTCCAAACAGCGTGTAGTTTAACACAGAGATGGGGAAACTGAGACTCAGAGAACTTAAAAGCCTTCCCAAGCTAGGAGGTGGCAGAGCCGAGACTTAGAGCCAGGATCTAATGCCGGGTCGCCATGGCTGCGAATTCTCAATGCTGCCTCACTATCAGGGACAAAATAACTCCTCAGTGAAGGAGGCTGGAGGCTGGAAATGAAGGCTGCATGTGAGGGGCTGTACTCTCCTCTCTGAGTCGGGGACAGAGAGTGGGGGTGTCCACACCTCCCAGCTGCTCCCTGCACGACAGTCGCCCTCACGGAAGTGTTTGGGCGTTGGCAGTGTTCTGGACCTCTCTCAAGTCCACGCGTCACTAGTGCTCCTGCATAAACATCAGGGGGCTGAGTTCTGTTCTTGGCTGCACGCACACGGGCACCGGCTCCATGCTCCCACAGATTCCAGGGAAACCGGATTGTGGGGTGTGGATGCCTGCCTTGGTGCGCTTCCCATCAATGCTCAGGGGATTCAGAGTTGCGAGGTTCCCACCCAAGCAGAAACAAAAGCCGCCTTCACAAAAATCACTGGCGCGACTGTGACATATTTTCACCTGCTATTAATTCTCTTTCTTTCTCCATGTATTTTGGCAATAGACAGCAAGGAATAACAGTCCCCAGCCAGTCTTTATGATGTGTTTGTGGATGAAGAGCTCAGGTTTTAGAATCAGGAAGACCTCCTGGGTTCATGGCCCAGCTTCTGCATGTACTTGCTCTGTAACTTTGAACAACTTAACATCTCTGAGCCTCAGTTTTGTCATCTAGAAAATGGGCAATTAGTGATAACCTCACAGGGCTGTTGGAATAATTAAGGGAAGAGCTGTAGGTAAAACATGTACTCTGGTGCCTGGCACACAGCAGGTGCTCAATAAATGGTATTTATTGTCATTCAACATTTTTGATCTGGCGTTTTGAAACATCCTGCTACAAAATTATATACATTTAAATCTGCATTCATAGCATGGCAGAGTTGAAGGGCATTTAGTAATAACTCATGGTGAAGGTCAAGCTTTTTAAAGCACTAGGAAAGATAAAATCTCATGTGGAAACCTAACATATAAAACAGTTAAAAATGGGACTGCTCTGATTGATGTGGGAGTGTGGCCCCCAGGGCTCCTCAGAATGAGGCAGAAAATCATCGATGAAGGGAAGTTAAGGATTTGTCTATAGTGACCCAGTGGGAGAGAAGGTTCAAATCCTACTTCTCCTGTGCAGGTTTGGCAAATACTATGAAGGAGGAGTGATGGCACCTGCCTGGCAGTCTTGAAAACTGAAATCCTAGTGTAGACGAGCCGCCAAATTCAACTTCCCAGTGCTGGCTCGTTGCTCTTGAAGAAGTGCAAGCAAAGGCTGACCAGCCAGGCCAGGCTGTGAAAGCGTTGAGTGCAGGCAGACCCCAAAGTGACCTCATGAGGCTCTGCCCAGCTGGCACTATTCTCAGCCAGCCTGCACGTCCCCTGCGGTGCACCTGGCAGCCACATCACTTCATTCCCTGGGCTCTGGACAACAGGGCCGCCACCTGCTGAGCTTCTGCACATGCCGTTTTGTTCGGTCCACCCCTCTCAGCACACACCACCCACTGTCCTCCTCGTGGGGCTCCGCTGGTTTCTGTAATAAGTGTCCTTACCATACTAGAGGGTGGGGGCATTAAAGCCCTTTTCTGCCCTTGGGCTTCTCAAATGTGACCTCCCTGAGATTAAATGTGATGAGATCACTGCCACTCATCCTCTTCCACTGCCCATAAACCTGCTTGTCTTCAGCTCTCCCCTCTCTACTGGTGACATGCATCTGCCTGGTGGCCTCAGGCAGAACCATGGACTTCAGGTTTGATCCTGTCTTCTTTTCTGTTACAACCAATGGGATGGCAGGTCTTGCCAATTTTCCACGTGAGTGTCTCTTGGTGAAGTTTTTTTTAATCGTAAAGACCCCGTTCCTTCATCCTCTCAGGGCTTCCACCTCTCTCACCTGGACTCTGGGTTCCAGCAGCCCCTGATTAGTCTCCTGCCTCTGCCTGCCTCCTGCTCTCCTGGTGCTTACATTCCAGTGGGGAGAAGGATGGTTTGCAACTGGCCAAATACATGAGGTAATCACAGACTGTGATCAGCTGTATGAATGAAGAGTCCAGTGCTGTAAATGCACGTGATGACAGAGGTGACGTTTAGGCTAAGACCTGCAGGAGAAGAAGGAGCTGTTCATTCTAAGGGCATGGTTGGTGGGAGATCATTTCAGGTGGAGGGAATGGCTTCTGCCACAGCCTTGAGATAGGAAAGGGGAGGCACATGCAGCTCTGAAAAGTGGTGGCCTAAGCAGGATGAGGAAGGAGGAGAGTGGGATGGGTGGCTCTGGGTTAGAGGGGCCAGCAAAGGGTGGATCTTACTGGGTACTCCAGGTCATGGTTGGGAGTTTGAATATCTTTCTAAAGGCAATGGGAGCCACTGATGCTTTCACAACATCCCAGGGTTCTGTGTCTAAGGGCTGCTGCTTTTAGAGCAACCTTATTTTTCTACATTCAGCTTTTCATTTTTCTGATTGGCTGAGAGGTTGAATGTGCTATAACTCCAAGGAGTATGTGCTTTATGGTGACAACAGAATAGCTACAATAAGTCTCAGGCAGGGTTCCATGAGCTCCTGAACAAGGCAAGGCAGGGAGAAAGAGTCCCAGGCTCTTCAGGAGGGAAGAATTGCCATCACTTGGTGATTACTGTGGGAGTGAGTTTTGAGGAGAGAGGCGAGCTCCCTACTCAACTGTGAGTGTTTTGAAGACAAAGATTAAGTTTTCTTCTTCTCTGTGTCTGAAGGACCTACCACAGGCCTGACACCAAGGGCCAAAATGTTTGCTGCGTGAATAAACAATGTGGAATTTTAGTTCAGGCTTGTGGATGTACGATTTGTTTCTGATCCTCACCACACTGTCACCAAGCATAGGCGCAAGGAGCCGATATTCCCTTGTCCCACTCCAGGCATAATTACTGTGCCTCTTCAACTTCATTCCAACTCTAGGAACATTTGGGGGATGGGGTGGGTGATGAGTAGCCCACACAGTTGATCCTGGGGCCCCACACCTGCTAGGATTGGGCATGGTCTGGAACGGGTTGGGTAGTCTTGCTGGTTTCCTATAGGTGCAAGCATCTTACATTCTGCGTTGTTGGCACCATATGTATACCAGCGTCCCAGGGTTCTGTGTCTAAGGGCTGCTGCTTTTAGAGCAACCTTATTTTTCTACATTCAGCTTTTCATTTTTCTGATTGGCTGAGAGGTTGAATGTGTTATAACTCCAAGGAGGGTGTGCTTTGTGGTGACAACAGAATAGCTACAGAGTGAGAAAGCCAGAGAACGCATCTCATTTCTGCCATTGCCTTGCTGGGCAGCCACAGATGAAATTGTTTCCTCATCTGTAAAATGAGTGTACTCATTAACCTCGGGGCTGTTGTTGATCTGAATCTGCCAGGCCAACCAGTAATGTGTCCTGTGCATGAGGACTCAGGAGTGGGGCTTTGTCTTGTCTCTAGAGAAGGGAACTAAGTGGGTAGACAACAGGTTCTAAGACCCCCCCCCCCCAGCTTCTGGGACCTCCAACAACATCAGGTTCTGAGGTTCTGGCTGCCAGGATTTGTCTGAGTCTCTTCTGTCCTAAGAGAATCAGGAAGAGCCTGGTGCCCACATTTTGACCCTTCCTGGTTGGGAAGAGTGAAAGGAGTGCTGGAGTTGGTTTGGCTGGGTACCCTACTGAGAAGCTGGGGCTGGACATTTTATTTCAGGGAGCTTGGAATGAGAGTGGGAAAAGTCGGGGTTGGGGGACTCCATGCCAAAGAAGGGTATGGAACACCAAGGGCCAGCCTCTAGGGAAGATGAACCCAAGCTCTAAGTCAACAGCACTTGGGCTTTCAGTGTGTGGGCTACAGGGCTGGGAGCAGAAGAGGTCAGGACTGAGCAAAGGGCCCAGGCCAGGGAGGTGGCTTGCAGCTGCCAGATGGAATAGGGGGCATGGCTGTGCCAGTCTGACTTCATGAGGCCTTAGGATCCTAGGCTAGAGCTCCCTGGACACTGAGGCTGCAGCAGAGGCAGTCAGACTGGTCTGGATACAGCCAGATGAGACTGCACAATGTTAGGATGGGCTTGGTGTTTGGTGCCAGAGCGCCTTGCATATCCCGCTATTAGAGCATCTTCACGGGGTGAGGAGCTCACCCTTATCTATGTCTGTCTTCCTCAGGGGCTCACAGCCTGTGACAGTCAGCTTCTAGGTTGAGGACATAAAATATGGAATTAACATATGATAGGCTAACAAGTCCAGCTTAGTGTGCATTTCCTGTGCATCTACTATGTGCACGGTCCCTGATTCTGCCCCAGCCACTTAGGGGTTCCCAGCCAAGAGTTGGTTTCTATTCCTTCAAAAACCATCCCTGGCCCTTCAGGGAGGAAGCTGTCTGCTTGGACATTGGTAAAATGGCTTCCTGCTGAAACCAATTCTTCATCAGACACCAGCTAGTCTAGTTAAACAGATGGCTTCGTAGACGCCTCTCAACTCAGGCACTCTGTACATGCCCAGCAGATTGAGCCAAAGCTTCTCGTAGGCTCAAGCCTGGTCACAGAATGGCCTGGAGTTAGACCTATCATGCTAGGCTCTGTGGCTTATGCCATGGGGCACCCAAGTCAAAGAGAAACATGGAGCAGCTGCTGGCACCATCGATTTTACTCAAAGATTGAGAAAAGAAACAGCGATGAATTTTTGTACACATGTGTAGCCGGAAGGAGCAGGATCTAGTTTTCCACAGGAGTCAAAGTTGGTCTAGAGGCAAATGGAACCTATATAAACATATGTGATTTAAGTATGAGTCTTTAACAGAAATTTGCGCCAGACCATCATCTGCTACTTTTAACCCGGTTCTGTTCTCTTGTGCCAGGAGGGCTGCTCTCGTGAACAAACCTGAGGATCTCTGACTAGTAGTGTTCTGGGGAAACAGCTCTGAACATGAGTGCATCTCATCAATTAGTTTTGCACTGATGTTCCTCCCATGATCTACTGCTAGGATGATTCAATACCTGGGCCAAGAGTTGGATGATTTGAAATCAATGTAGGGTCTCATTTTCAGGAATTCTTAGGCATTGGATGAATTCTAGGTCTGATTCTGCCACTGATTTACCCCGTTGTTGGGTAACTCCCTTTCTTTGCCTCTCAGTTTCTTGGTCTGTAAAATGGGAAGGCTGTATCTCTGAGGTTCTGTTCGACTTTAACATCTGGTGACCTAAATAGCTCTGTCCAGGTGGGTATAATTCAGATTCAACTGTGATTCGTCTAGATCTAACTAAAATGTATTGGGCGCTTACTTTCATATACATTATTTAATGTAGGGCTCTCAAAACCCCAGAAAGGTAGGTGTTATTATCTTCATTTTGTAGATTACAAAATGGAAACTCAGAGAAGTTCAGCAAGTTAACTGAAGTCACACAGCCAGGAAGTCATACAGCTGAGATTCAGTCTCAGGCCTGTCTGCCTTCACGTCCAGGGGGCTGAGAACAGATAATATGAGCCCATGCCAACTTGGCTTCCCCCACCCCTCACTTCCTGCCTACCCAGGAGCTCAGCTCTGTGATCTAGTGTAGTGGGTTGAGGGATGGAGGGGGGATCTGGCTGGGGCTGGGGCTTGGGCTGCAGGCCCCGGGTAGGTATGGGTATATGGGTAGACACTGGCTGGAGAGGGGCAAGTTCTGAAGGGCTGAGAGCAAATTCTCTAGTCTGGCCTGGGACTGGCTCTTCCACATGAGTTCCCCAGGCTCCATTTGAGCTGAAGCTTAAGGAGCTGCCTGCTCTTTGCTCTTCTTTCCATCTGGGAGCCCCTGCTCACCACATGGCTTGTCATCCCCAGGGACCCACCCTCAAAAATTCCTGTCCACACTTCCCAGTCCTCAGAAACTATCTCCTAACACCCATTGGCTGAAGGTAGGGAAGGAAGAGATGTGCTAGAGAGACTGAGCTCGGATCTCTGTCCTGACAATTGGGAGGAAGACTTCAAGCGATGCTTTTATTTCAACCAATTCAATCACCACCAGTCTGTGTCTTCATGCAGCAGTGGCTTTTGAGATCTCGGTTGTCTTTTCAGAACATTGGGACGGCCTCAACAACTTGCATGACGCTGGGCAAGTGAATTTCTCTCTCTGGGCCTCAGTGTCCCCATCTAGGCAATCACCAGCCGTTAGGCCCTATGGATGGAAGGTTCCTGCCTGCAGTGGCATTTTAGGATCCACTATCATCTGCTTTATCTTCCTAGTGGCAAGGGACTGGACCAGATGCTTTTGGAAAGCGCACCAAGCTTAAAGGTGGCTCTCTCTGCAGGTGCCCCTCCTCCCTTCACGCCAGAGGCTCACCCCCACCCCGCCCGGGCTCCCTGTTAGAGCCAGGCCTGGCTCTTCAGCCTTGCAGCTCAGGAAACCAGAGCGCAGCGCTATAGCCGCGACTGCGGCGGCGGCGGCGGCGCAGGGGGCGGGGGAGGAGAGAAGCGCCCACTTCGTCCCGCTGCCTCCGCAGCAGCCCTGGCCCTAGCCCCGGCGCATCAGAGCGGTCCTTGGGAATCTTTGGGCTTGTTGCTCCGGCGGCCGCCAGCTGGGAGCCCACCACCGCTCGATGGTACCGAACCGACCCGTGTAGCCCCATAACCCCAGCCCAACTCCGAGGAGCTAGCGCAGACCGCTCTCCGCCCTCAGCTGCGGCGAGGCAAGGGCTGGCAGCGCTCGGACGCCTCCGTCTTGCCCTTCCCATGCCTAAGCGCGGGGAATTACACGTTCCCGGTGTAGAACAGACGATCGGGGCTATTAGGGCTGGGCGGTGGGAGTGGGGGTTGGGAGCACCATTTTTGGCTGGACGTGTGTCCAGACTCATCGTCTCTGGTCCTTAGGACCCCATCTTCCTCTGCATCTCCAGGTGTCGGCCCCTCTGTACCCGCCTCCCACGGGGCTCGTCCGGCGAAGGGCAGCCGCAGCCCACATCTACTCCCCGCCCTCAATCCCTGCCCCCTCTGCCCGCCGCAGTCACTCGCCTGGCTGGGAGCAAGCCTCCCCTCTCGCTGAGGGTGCAGAGAGCGCCTAGGGCGCCAAGAGTAGAGGGGCCAAAGTTCAAGCGCCATCAGCCAGCCGAAGGCCCTGAGCCCCCAGGGCCGCGGCCGGGACGCAGGGAGGTCAGGACGCGACGCTCGCCTCACCTGTTTCTCCAGCGGCTCCTTGGCCGACAGCGCCGGCTTGGGGGAGGGCGCGCGGTCGCAGACGCAGCCCTCCAGCAGGTAAAGCCCCGAGGGCCGCGAGCTCGAGTCGCTCTCGAAGTAGAAGAGCAGGTTCTGCAGCAGCGCGAACCACTTGGTTTGCCATTTTGTGTTGTCCGAACTCCGCTTGCTCAGGTAGCCTTTGCGCGTGCCGTCCTTGCGCGCCAGCAGTCCCAGGGACGCGACGTGGCCATCATTCAGCCGGATCCCCTTCTGCATGGTGCTCAGAGGCCAGCGAGACCCCACGCGCTTACATCTTCTCCGCGCAGCAGCCCCCCGTCCGTGCGCGCTGCGCGCTGCCTCTCTCTGGCGCTCGCTCGCTCGCTCCCTCTAGCTCTCCCCTCCCCCCAAATATCTACACTCCAGGATCTGGCGCCGAGCCGCGGCTTCTTGAATCCAGATATACCATTCCCCGCTGGAACCTCTTCTCCGCTCCGCAGAGCCCCAGTACCCGGAAGATGCCGCCCGACCCTCCTCCGGTGCCGGGCAAACTGAGGGACTGGCGATCTGCGCGCTGGCGAGGGGCAGGCGGAGTCATGTGACGCCGATCCCTCGAAGAGCCCGTTTCAGCAGCGCGGACAGGGACACACGCACGCAGCCCCGCCGAGGCGCAGAGCCGCGCGCAGGCTGCAACTTGGTGCCTCCTCCCCCTCCCCAGACACACACACACGCACACGCACACGCACACACTCAAACCCTGCCCTCCCTCCCCTCATCTCCCCTTCTCTCCCTCGGATGTTAAAAAGCAAATCAGATCAATTTTCGTTTAACCCAATGAAACCCCGAAGGCTCGCCATCCCGGGAGTTTGCGTCTTTGCGCCCCACCGCGGCGCACTGTAGACCTGGGGTTAAGTGCCAGTTGTCATTTTCTCCTCCAAAGGCTCGCCCCCCCCCCCCACTTTATTTCTAATACGAGGTGGAAGGAGGAAGGTGGGTGGCGAAATAGAGCTGCAAAAGCGTCCAGTCCTAGTCTTTGCATAGTCAGCCGGGTCACATTGAATTCCAGCATCCGGCTGCACTCCCGGCGGCTTCCCCAGCTACCTGAGGACAGTACAGGGGGTGAGATGGGGTGGTGGTTGGTGAACGTTGGTTACTTTATTTTATATTATTTTATTTTGAGAGTTGCCATAATTACCGGCGCCACCCCCCGTGCACCCTGAGGTCTGGTTGGCGAGCCGCTGCTGGGAGTTTTCTGCAAATACCCCCCAAAGCCTGAAGGCGGGCTTCAAACGCAGGCGCCGGGGACCATGGGAGCCTTCAAATAGCTGCGCTGGCGCAATGATACCTTAATGATAGATTTTCCGTTCTTATTTTTAGCTCTCATTCGCCTACACAGTTACACGGCATTTATCCGAGAACGTCACAGCGCCCGCATGCTGCACCGGGAGGGCGCGCGGGCCGCCGGGCGAGCCGGGAGCTGGGGCGGGGAGCGCGCATCGCTGTCTGCCGCAGAGGGCAGCGAGCTCGCCCCGACCCGGAGCAAGCCGCGCCTGGCCCGGGCGCTTTGCAGCGGGGATGGGTGCCCGCGCAGCCCTGTGAAGGAAAGACACCATCTTTCCGCACGGAAACTGCGTATACCCCTCCCCCGACACACACACACACACACACACACACACACACACACACACACACCCCACACTCACACACAGCACACACCACACACGCACAGATACACACCACACACCACACACCCACACACCACACACACCACACACACACACCACACACACCACACACACACACCGCACACACCACACACAAACCATACACCACACACACCACACACGCACACACACACGCCACACACACCGCATACACAAACACCACACACCACACACACACACCATACACCACACACCAACACACCACACACACACCACACACCCAAACACCACACACACCAAACACACACCACACACCCTACACACACACCACTCCCCACACCCCCCCACACCCCACCACACACACGCCACACACACCACACACAGACACCACACACATGCCACACACCACACACACACCACACACACACCACACACCACACACACACCACACACATGCCACACACCACACACATACCACATGCCACATACACACCCCCCACACTCCCCCACACCCCCCGCCACACACACACACAACCCACACCATACAAACACCACACACTACACACAACACCCCCACACTCCCCACACCACACACCACACACCACACACACTACACACACCACACCCACATACCACACACACCCCTACACACCCCTACACACCACACACACCCACACCCACACATACACCACACACCAGACCACACACCACACATACCACACACACCATGCACACCACACCACACACACCACACCACACACACACCACATAACACACCCCTCCCACAGACCAAACCTGGGCTGCACACACACACGCATCACACCTCACACAACACATGCAGCACACCACACACACATACACACACACATACACACACACACCCTAGTTTGGAGCCCTAGGGAAGGGCTTGGAAACCAGGCAGCCCTGTGTAGGTCACGGAAGAATCCACAGAGAAGCTCTGCTGTGGAGGAATGGAGCTGCCCCTGTCCTGAGCACAGTGAGGCAGGCCTGTGTTCCTGGAGTGGGAGCATTTTGGGGGAGGAACTGGCCTTGTTAACCTTAGTCCTCCCTCTAGTGCCATCGTTCCAGTCCTAGGGACCCCAAGGACTCAGTGGTGCTGATTTTTCTTCACAAATAATGAAAATAGGCTAGATGGCTAAGCCTTTTCATTCAGTCTTAATTTTCCCTACACTATCACCATCTTTTCTTCTCATTTGCTCTCTTCATGGAAGCAGAGTTTGCAGGATTGAGGTTCTTAATCTGGCCTTTCTTTATCTAAACTCTTTTATTCGGAAGTCTGTTACAGAAGCCAAGAAAACTTCAGGGAAGGGGCACTGTTCTAAGTGCTTTAGATCAATTAAGCCATTGAATCGTCATGCAACCCAATGTAGTAAGTTTATTTTTTTCCCCAATGAGCTCCATTGTACAGACGGGGAAACTGATGCATGGGAGAGTTGAATGACTTGCTCAGGGCCGCTCAGCTAGGAAGCAGCGGAGGTTGGATTTGAACGGGGCAGTCTGTCCCAGAGGTCTTTGTAGAGCTAAGTGGGTGGTCCCTGGGTTGCAGGGAGGTTGGCTTTTATCCCAAGAGGGGGTACGATGGTCAAGAGAGGGTCTCCCAGGTAGGCTGGAGTCAAGGCTGAGCCTGCACAGAGGCTGCTGTGGCAGAGGGACTTATGGTACATAGGTTCTGAACCTGGGCTGCACATCAGAATCACCTGGGAGCACTTAACAAGCACTTCCCAGAGATCATGGGTGGGCTAGCTACACTTTCATGGGTAGTTGTAATGTGCAGTGAAGGTGGAGAACCGCTCATATACGGGAGAACTCATGATATGGTCACGTGCACATGAATCACCTGGGGATCTTGTGAAAATGCAGATTCTCTTTCAGTGGATCTGGGACAGGACCTGATAATCTGCATTTCTAACAAGTTCCCTGGTCATGAAAAGCTGCTGGTTTGCAGACCACACTTTGAAAGTTCTAGGGCACTCGAGAGGTGGGAGGCAATGGGATTCATTCATTCATTCACTCATTCACACACATTTCATTCCACTAGTGTTCATTTAGCCCTTCATCTGTGCCAGGCATGGGTGGGCCACTGGGGATACAGTGATAAACAAAATACAGTCCCTGTCTTACAAGGGATGCCCAAGCATGCCTTCTCTGTCTGACCCTTAGTGTAGCAGGAAGAAAACCATCTTCCCTTGGATCTGGGGGAAAGATTCCGATGAGAGGTGGCAGGCGGATTGCCTGAGCTCAGGAGTTCGAGATGAGCCTGGGCAACACGGTAAAACCCTGTCTCTACTAAAATACAAAAAAATTAGCCAGGTGTGGTGGCACACACCTGTAGTCCCAGCTACTCAGGAGGCTGAGGCAGGAGAGTTGCTTGAACCCGGAAGGCGGGGGTTGCAGTGAGCTGAGATCGCACCACTGCAGTCCAGCCTGGGTGACAGAGCGAGACTCTGTCTCCAAAAAAAAAAAAAAAAAAAAAAAAAAATGAACCCACTTCAGTGAGTCTCAGCCCTGGTGCACTTTGGAACCACCTGGAGATGTTTTAAAAATCTCTGTGCTCAGGCTGAACCCCAGGCCAATTAAGTCAGAAACTTTGAGGGTGGGCCCTGGGCATCTGTGCTTTTAAAAGCTCCCCAGATGATTCCAATGCACAGCTGGGGTTGAGAACCACTGGTCTAAAGCCTGGGCCAAGAACATCTGCTCTCCACTCCCTCCTTCCCCTTGCTGGCATTGGGGAGTCTGAGCCACCTCCTTTTGCTGGTCTTGGAGTTACAGGAATTCCTCGTGGGCCAGTCCATGCAGGAGGGCTGGGCTTGGCTTAAAACCTCTCTGTGAGAAAGAGGGGGGTGGCATCAGCCCTGGCGCTTTGATTACTCCCATCTGAGCTGTGTGCATATTGATTTCTCTCCAGTCCCCACAGCTGGAAACCGGAGAAGAGCTGATTGGCCCCTCTGTGGTCGTTTGCCTCAATACTAGTCAGAGCTCAGAGCCCCTGGAAGGTGCTTAAGTTAGCTGGCTAAGAAGACAACGTTTACCAGGCCGGCCCTAGCTTGGGCTGGGGTGGGGAATGCCAAGAAGGGGGTAGGCATTCCCTGCCATAGCTGGTGGAAGTGGGCACACCTAGCTCTCATGTGTGCTGTCCACTAGTCCTGAGGTCAACCCTCCCTCAAAGGTGGAGAGGATGTCTACAGGAGCACCGTAGGTGCATCTGGGCTTTGCCATGCTTCATTCCATTCTCCCAAGAAGGATTTGCATAAGGGTTAATAATCCCATTCACAGATGGGAAAACTGAGGCCCAGACAGTGGAAACAACATGCACAGAGTCTTACAGGGAGGAGCTGGGATGAGGTACTCTGACTGCTCGTCCAGGCCTCATCCCAGAAGAACTGGCTTCCTGGATTTCCCACCTCCCAGCCCTGTGGGCTGAGGTCTCTGTAGATAAAGAATCAAGAAGGAGAATTAAGGAATATTTTGGTGGGTTTGGTCTCTGCATTTAGAAATGGCTAGCTAATGACAGGGACATTGCCCAGTTCAAAATCCTGCTAAGTCTTCATGTGGGATTTTGATTAGACTTTGGACTGGAGCTCAACTTAAGCATTTGTTGAGATGGGTGTCCTGTGGGTCTGACTGGATGGGAGGTGCCCGCTAGTGAGGATTTCTAGTGTGTGTGTGTGTGTGTGTGTGTGTGTGTGTGTATGTGTGTGTGTGATGTGTGTTGTCTATTGCATGTGTGGAAGTTTCTGAGTGGTATGGTGTGTATGTGTGTGGGGCATGCAGCGTGTGTGTGGATGGAATATCTAGAGAACCTCTGCTTCCTTGGCAACATATTCCATAAGAAAAATGTAGTTTCCATGTCATTTAAAGAAATGAAGACTTAAGCACAAGGGGTCAGAAGCAGACTTGGAAATGGAGGCTTTGCCCTTGGGGATTTACTACTCCAACTTTGGGCTCAATTGGTCAGCTTTGCCCAGACATCCAACTGCGGACACCAGCGATTTACGCTTTTACTTTCTAGCCAATGAAAATAGCCATAGTATTCCGTTTGATTAAAATTACTGCAGGCTCTTTGTAAAAAACTTAGACAATATAGAAAATAAACAGATAATTTCTCCAATGATCACTTTTTTCTATACAATCCTCTTTTCCTAAGTAAATATATCTACCAAAGTGTGTTTCTGGAATACAGAAACTATGCTATGCTATTTTATGATCTCAATCTCTTGCTGTCTCTTTACTTAACAGTATGTGGGGACATTTTAAATATTACTACAGATTTAATTAATGGATTCTTTCTGATTGGGGATTTAGGTTGTTTTCAATTCATAGTTTTTGGAAATAATGCAATTAATATCTTTTTATATACACTTCGCTCTCTTAGGCTGAATTTCTGAAAGTTGCACTTCGGGGTTAAAATGATGCACATTTGCAACATTGGTTTGTGTTACTTGATTTTCAGAGAGCTTTTACTCCTTACATGGCTACCAGCAGTGGATGAAACAGTTCATTTCTCCATTGACTTGTCAATCCTGGATATTAATATTGCCAGTTTCTTAAATATTTGCCCATTTTGAAAGGGCAAAAAATGATATTCCTTCTTGTATTAATTTTAATTTCTTTTTAAAGTTGTGAGGTTAGACATTTTAACATGTTTACAGTCATTCACATTTGTTCTTTTTGAATTTTTGTTTTATATCTTTATTTTGGCAGTCGTGTTTATATTTTTCTTGTAGATTTATCACAGTGTTTTATATATTAGGGATATTAACCATTGGCTATCATACATGCTGGAAATAGTGCTGTCTTTTTCTCATTGTGGTAAAATACACATAATGTTTACATGTTAGTCATTTTTAGGCGTACAGTTCAGTGGTATTAAATACACTCACCGTGTTGTGCAACCACCACCACCATCCATCTCCAGAACCCTTTTTATCTTGTAAAACTGGAACACTGTACCCCTTCAACAACAACTCCCCATTCCCCCTTCTCCCCAGTCCCTGGCAACCAACGTTCCACTTTCCATCTCTATGAATTTAGCTATTCTAAGTACCACATAAATGGAATTGTTAGGGAAGCAGAAGCCTAGGAGCGCCAGAGTAAAGCCGTTTTAAGTTCAGCTCCATCTTAGAACTAGCAAGGCACATTCTGTGCCAGTTGCAACCCATGGTCCAAAGATGTTTATAGTTGAAGAAAACCCACAAGGACACACACCTACAACATCAGAAAGCCAGATGTCTTAATACCCATAACAACGTGTGCTTTCAAGATAATAATAGTTAGGCTTCGGTGTACTCACACACTAAAATGTCAAGGACAGTTTTCTTTAAATCAATAGAATAATAAATTTTGTCATGCTGCCTGCTCACCCGCATATAGGCACAGCTTAGTTTCGTCTTTGCATAGACAAGACCCTATAAAATAAAATCTTAAAGATGGTGCATTTCTCTGCTTGCTTTCTGAGGACACCCCACTCTGTAATGCAATTGCTTTCAATAAACTATCTCTTCTCACTATACTCTGTGACCCACCTTGAATTCTTTCCCGCCTCAGATCCAAGAATGCTCCCTTGGGGTCTGCAGTGAGACCCCTTTTTCTGGTAACTGAATCATACAACAGTATTTGTCTTTTTGTGACTGGCTTATTTCACTTTGTTATTTGTATTTTAATCCTGTGTATCCATATCTATATGTTGTGTATGTTGTAACAAATTTTAAATGAATGTTGACAAATCTTTTTTTAATAGTTTCTGATTTTAGATCGCCCCCCCACCGTGCTAGCTCAAGATTGAAACGTATTTGCTGTATTTTCTTTTGTAGTTTTATTTTTTGCATTTATCATTTAATTCATTTGGATTTATTTTTGAGAAAGGATTAAGGTTAGGGTCTGGCTTTATTATTAATTTCCTCAAATGGCTGGCAAGTTGTCTACCACCACTTGTTTGAATAATTCAAACTCTACTACTGATAAGAAGTAGCGTTTTTATCATATACCAAATTCTTGTCCATGCTTGGGACTATTTCCAGATTTCACTTTTTGTCCCATTGTTCTGTCCATCTGTTCTTATGCCACTGACACATGATTTTATTTCTTATTGCTTTATTATTCATTTTGAAAGCTGCTGGTACAGACACATCTTCATCACTTTTCCTTTTTATACTGTTCCTGAATATTCTTTTGTATTTACTTTTCAAGATTAATTCATACTCTGTTTGTCTAGTTTCAAAAAAGTCTCATTGAGGTTTCAGCTGGAATTACATTGAAAATGTTTATTAGTTTAGGAAGAATGAATACTTTTACAAATGTTTTGTCTTCTTATTCAGGAAAAAGGTGTCATGCCAATTCTTTGTTTTTAAAAATCTTTTGGTGGAATTTTACACTTTTCTTTATACATGTCTTGAATATTTCTTATCTAATTTATTTCTAGATATGTTTTGCAGTTACTGTTGGAAATAAGATCTCCTTCCTATTTTTTTAAAAAACGGGGCTGTCTTAGTATATAAGAAAATGATTGCTATTTATATATTTATTTTTAAGCTGTTATTGGCCTGAATCCTGAATCATTCTTATTTCTAAAATTTTAATTCATCTGTTTGGATTTGCCAGTTAGGCAACTGAAGTACATTAATATATTTTCCAATATTTAGGCATGCTTGTATTTCTTAGATAAACCCCACTTAGCCATGGATAATTTTTACATTATCATTGATTTATTTAGTTTTTCCTGTCTCTTTTTGAGTCAATCTTGGTAATTTATAATTCCCAAGATAATTTATTTACATTTCCCAATTTATTAAATAGCCCTACCAAATATTATCTTACAGTTTTTCTAATTTTCTCCACGTGTTACTTCCCCTTTTTAAGGGCTGATTTTGTGTTTTTATATTACTTGTCTTTTCTTACAAGAGTTTAAATCATATTATTAAGACTTCCAATTTATTTGTCAATTCTATTGTTCTTCTAGCTCATTAATATATACCTATATGTTTATTTATTATATTATTTGTTCTGCTTGCTTTAGATTTGTTTTGTTGTCCCCTCAACTTCTTGAATGCTTAGTTTATTTTCATTATTTCTTGTTTAATAATAATAGTGTTTAAGACTACACCTTTTCTTGTAAGTGCAGATTTCTTCCAGATACAACAGGATTGCTATATAAATTTCTGATTACCACTATATTAAAATAGTATGAAACTGATTTATTCTTTAGGTGGATATTTATCAAAGTTTAACTGAGTACTTTCTGAATTTCCAAGTTGATTTTTTTTTGCTTGCTTTTGCTTATTTCTAGCTATATTGCATTGTGCTCAGAAAAATGGTCTGTATTATTTCTACAGTTCAAAATTTATTGCTGTTTTTGTTTTGTCCTGTATCTGGTCAATTTTGTGATTGTTCCATGGACTTTGGGAAAGGGAACACACACTCTTTTCACAGGGGGTAGAGTTGGACACATATCTAGGCACATATCAGTTTAATAAATTATATTATTCAGGAACAAATCTCTGATACTGATCTCTGTTTAGAGTAAGTGCAGCTGTGCACCGAAGTTGCAGATGTTTGTACTGTCAAGAGCACCAGGGCTGGAGAAAGCTGATATTTTTCTCCTCTAACACTGTCCAGTGTCCCTGAGGCTCAAGGACTTGCTAAAGTCTAGAGCTCAGCAGCAGGCCAGGAAACAAACATAAAGGGCCCCTGAGTAGCCAAAAGGAACACCACTAGTGTCCATGTACTCCCAAGCTCCGTTGTTACCAGAGTTAAGCCCCCTAGGTCATAGCTCATTGCCTCCGCGTTTACATTATACAGTGCCTTTTAGTGAATCTGGTGATGCGGCCTCCTAGTACATTTTGGATTGGGCACGAAAAACTCATAGGTGAGTGAGCCAAACATGTGGTTGACAGTAAGTGAAGAGAAACGTATCTAAGCCTTCAATGAGCCCAGAGGATAGAGTATCATGCACTAGTGCAATCATCAGTACAAATTTGTGCTGGACAGCTCCCATTTGCCACTCCAGACCTGCTCTCCACTCTTCTCCACTCTGCTGTGTCCCAGGAGGCTGGTATCAGTTGTGGGTCTCAACTGCATCAAGGGCTTCTGATGCGGGTTGGACCAAGATAATTGTTTTCCTGGAGGGAGAGAGGAGAATGAGGTTGGTGTTGCACCTCTCCTACCAGCCCTGTCCCTAGGCTCCTGTAACTGCTCCCTGCCTTTACTGCTCTAGGACTAGGGATGTTCTTATTCTAGGGCAGTGCACCGGCTCCTGTGGTTTCCCTACTCCCAGCTCAAACCTTTGCAGATAGTCCCTTTATTACAACCGCCTCTCAAATTACCCAATTTGAATGTTTCATCTGTTTCCTGCTGGACCCTAAACGATACAGAGCTGGTAGGAAACTTAGGAATAATTTAGCCGAAGTTCCTCATCTTTTGATTGGGAAAAAGGCATGCTAAAGGTCACAGGTTTATGGCTAGAACTAGAATTCCGGACACTGGAATCTTAGTTTGCTATTCTTGCTTCTCCAGTATTCTTTCAATCCAATTTTGTTAAATACAGAGAGCTAGAATTGACTTATAAACACAGAAGAATATGAAAAATAAGTCAAAGATTTACCACCCCCTTCATTGGAATCAGGCCCAGCTAATCTGATCTTTTGAATCATTTTAGGGGAGTGGGAGGGGAGGTAGGCATATGTGCTCAGTTTCTTATTTAGATTCAATATTCTTTCTTCTCTGATCTATATTTTCTACTTTTTGTAATAAAAAGTTACGATAGTAAAGAAATAAAACACTTTAAGAAATGTTTTCAGTCAAAAACTTCTGGTGCTTAAGAGAGTAGGCAAATCTTCAGCTATTTAGAGTGTTCATCCATCTACAATGGTACAGTTCTAGAGAGTTTCTAGAGTATTCTGGAGCAGAGATTTTTACTGCCTTACTAAATGAGGAACGGTTGGTCCAAAATCCCATACTGATTCTTTGGAGTAGGTTTGTTGCAGAGTCCAAAATAGGACAGGATTTTTAAAAAATGGAATTCAGAGAGTTTAAAAAATATATTATCATTAGGATTATTTCAATATTTCAAGTAAAAAAAAAAAAGGAAAAATCAATGAGGGGTTTCTTGTTGCAACTGTGGTGCCCAACATGGAGAATCACTTTATGAATAACTTTTCATGTCTTAGCTTATTTTGTGTTGCTATAACAGAATACCTGACACTGGCTAATTTATAATGAGAAGAGGTTAGGTAGCTTATGATTCTGGTGCTGGAAGGTCCTAGAGCCTGTTACTGGCATCTGCTTGGTTCTGGCAAGGGCTTCCATGCTGCATCATAACATGGTGGAAGGTCAAGGGGGATTGGACACTTGTGAAGGGACAAAACACAAGAGTGTCCTCACATTATAACAACTCATGCTCACAGGGATTAATCCAGTCCCATGAGAACTAATCTATTCCTGTGAGAACTAAGACATTAATCTATCATAACAAACTAATCACCTCTTAAATGCACCACCTCCCAACACCATTACATTGGCAATTAATCTTTTTTTCTTTTTTTTTTTTTTGAGATGGAGTCTCGCTTGGTCATCCAGGCTGGAGTGCAGTGGTGCAGTCTAGGCTTACTGCAACCTCTGCCTCCCAGGTTCAAGCGATTATCATGCCTCAGCCTCCCAAGTAGCTGGGGCCTTAGGTGTGTGCCATCACACTTGGCTAATTTTTGTATTTTCAGTAGAGACAGGGTTTCACCATGTTGGCCAGGCTGGTCTCGAACTCTTGATCTCAAGTGATCCTCCTGCCTCGGCCTCCCAAAGTGCTGGGATTACAGGCGTGAGCCGCTGTGTCTGGCTGGCAATTACATTTCAACAGGAGTTTTGGTGGGGACACTCAAACCATAGCAATGTCCCACCTTTCGAGCTCTTAGACTTTGCACAACTCCTTGAGACACATGGCCTAAATACACTGTAAATGAACTCCCAGGTCTGTTTCTGGGTCTTAGCTGACACAGGCTAGACTTTACAAATGAATCCAAAAGTTTATGGCTTAAACCCAGTGGAAGTTTATTCCTCTGATTTATTAATAGTCCAGGGTATTTGGGTGAGTGTCTCTCCACATGGCGATTCAGGGATCCAGGCTTCTTTCATCTTGCGGTTCTGCTACTCCCTAGGGCCTTGTTCTAGTCAGCATGTAACTTAGTCAGATTCTAACCGTGGGAGGGGAAATAGTGGGGCAGAGGCACAGCCTCTTTCTTAAAGCTCCATCTCAGAAGTGGCATATCTCACTTCTGTTCACATTCCATTGGTGAAAATTAGTCATTTGGCCACTCATTAAGTGCAAGGGAAGTTGGGAAATGTGGACTAGCCATGTGCCTGGGAGGAAGGGTATAACAGGTTTGGATGGAAACGAAATCTCAGAGAGATTAAAGAAACCGCCCAGAGTCACACAACTCACATGTGGCAGGGTTTAATTTATGGAATTCACATCCCACGCACTTTTCACGACGTCACACTGCCTCCTAAGATTCCAGATAACCAAGAGGGAGAAGACTGCCGCCTTCTGTCTGCAGAGTGTGTTATAGTTTTCAAAGTGCCTTCCAAGTCACCATTTCAGCTGCTTCTCGTAGCTGTTAACTTCTCTTCTCTTGTGCTTCACCTTCCTGGTCTACCATCCCAGCTCTCCGTAGCTGGGCACACAGATGCGCCATCTTCAGTTGTTGCTCTTCCCTAGTTCCTGAGTGATTCCCGAACGTGTTGGGTTCCGACTGTAAGGAAATGGGTGTTGAGCCTGCTTCTCATTTAGCCTAATTCTGGTCCCCTGCTTGGTTCCTCAAGTGGCTGCCTGCTTTACCCACTAACAGTTCTGATCCTGTGACAGGACTTTCCCGCCAGTTTCTGAGCTTGTGTCCTCCTTGCAGCCCCTGCCTAGGTGCCCCCGTCTTGATCCCAGTTCCAAGTTCCTCTCCTCGAAGAATGCCTAGGGTTTTGATACCTTTGGAGGCTCACAGTACAGCCTTGAACTGTCCTCTGTACTCTTGAGGATAACAAGCTCCTTCTCCTAGGAATGGAGCCAGGGAGTATCTTTCTTTCCAGATTCCTTGTCTCTGGCTGGACCCCACGGTGGGGACTCCATCACCTCCTGGGGAACTTTGGTGCTGAGAATGTGATCTCTGTGACCTATGTTATCCTTCTGCAGGTCACCTGGCCTGATTCTAGCCTGTTTGCCTTTAGTCTGCTGTGAGTTAGTGCCTGTTGAGCTCTGAGATACAATAGCCCTTTGAGATAGGCATGAACAATACAGTGAGATTGTTGTCATCTCTCCTATTTTTACTGATGAGGAAAAGATGGCTCAAAACATTAAGTGATTTCCCCAGTGACACAAACAAGACTTGAAACTGAGTCTCTTAATCCTGGAATCATTCACAGTAGCACAGGGAGTTATATTTGAAAAGGACTGTGGAAATCACTTAGTCTAACCACTCTACATGCCCTTCATTCATCCCAACCTGTAGGAAGGAAGAGAACCTGAGGTTGCCAGGTTAGCTAGAGGCACAGTACAACTGGAAGGCCAATTTCTTTAGCCCCTTTCTGTGATGTTTTGCTGCTTCGAAAACTGTTTTGGCTTCTGCCCTTGTCTCATTGCAGAATTTTCCTCTGAAAAGCTCCGGATACCTAAGATGTCAGAGGAATCCAGGGTGGTGTGTGCCAAAGACATTGCCTTATTTCTAGGGTGAGGAACAGGCAGCTTTCTTCTTATCCAAAGGGACCAAGTGCTCAAATACAGTCCTTGTGCTGAGAAGGAGGTGTATACACATGGGAGATAAGGAAGCATGTTCCAAATCATCTTGGGTATGTGAAGGCAAGGGAGTTACGGAGTTTGAGGTCCTTAGGTGGGCAGTTCAGCAAGCAAGAGTCTGCAGAATTGATTACATCGAACATCAGATCGACTTTAATTTACAAGTTGCTGAGAAATGCACTTAGTCCTGACTGGGGTCAAAAGACCTTGGTTCAGTGTGCCATAAGACTGCTGATTTTCTAGACGGCCTTGGGCAAGTTGCTCCACTTCTCTGGGTCTCAGTAAAATGCCTCCTTCACCCACTGCCAGATGGTCACCAAGTCTCAGATATACAATCTCTTGAGTTCTCTCTATTTCTCCTTTTTTCTCCATCCCTACTGCCAGATTCTCAATCCCAAACAGACTCTTCACTGGCCTTCCTCCCTGCAATCTGGCTTCTCTCTAGATCTGAGAATAAGAAGCCCCTGATTTGCTCTCCGTTACTGTTAGAATAAAATGTAAGCTCACCAGCATGCCATTCAAGGCTCCCCCTTTTCTGCCCTGCATCCTCTGCTGACGTTATGCTGAGTTGCATGAGGTTCCCTAGTCCTCCCAGGCTGCTTCATGCCTCTGGTGTTTGCACATGCCGTTCCTTCTTCTCTTGGCCTGCAGCACTCTTCCCTCTTAGCAGTCAATGTAAAGTCTTCCACCTGCACGTCGCTTAATCTCTTTTTGATTCTCATCTGTGCTGTTACCACCACTACTTTCTTATGACAAAGCCTCATTGTGAGGGTTGCCACTTAAGCTGATGCTCCTCTGCTGCAAGTTTTAAAGCCACAAGAGCAGGTTCCTTTCAGTTTTGATGCTCCGGAAGATACCTGGACTCTGCCTTGGGAAAGCCAAGGGGTCACATGGAATGGGCCATGGATTAGACAGGGTGTTGGCAGGAATCAGATGACACACTCTGAGTAACAGAGGACAGTTATTAGCAGAATTATTTGAAAAGGTGTGTCAGGGTTTATGAAAACCATAATGGACGGTGCAGTAGCCCCGGGCCAGTAACAGTGGGGAGCTGTCACCAACGAGGCTTGAAGGGGTAGTTGCTAGTCCCAAAGGGAGAGCCATGTTGGGAGGATCATGCAACAGGAGCTATGACCTTCATTAAGGGACAGAGACAACCCATGGTGACCTGGAAGGAATCGACATTCCAACTTCTCCCCACCCTCTCCCGATCTCCTATGGATGCTTCCCATTGAACAAACCTAACCAGGAGGCGGACGGCCAAGGAGCCTGTCAATGAAGTCCATAAAGATAAGCTTCTTAGAACATGGATCAAGGTGGAGAGTGAATCAGGAGAGGCGGATCTGGAAGAGATCCAGCATCATCCATAAACAGACCTATTGGAAACAAGTCTTGCTGGTGAGACCTCTACTGCATGGGGAGCTCAGGCTCTGTGTGGGTTTGGTTTTGGGGCCCAGGGGAAGCCATGTACACAATGGAATGGAGTTTGAGATGCACAGAGGTGATGTCCCTCTGGCCAGAGCTCAGGGATAAAGCTGCCGAATGTAGGCATCCTGATTTGCAGAGGGGCTCGAAAGGGTGCTGAGATTCTGGACTCTCTGATGCTGCTTTGTGTTCACTCTGTGGATCATCACCTCTTGTGGCCTTGCCTTGGGGCTGCTGTGGTGGGCAGGGAGGCAGGTGGGTACTTGCCAGCTAGCTGATGGGGAGGCATCACCAGACGCTTGCGTCCTCTTTGTAGCTAGGGACAGCAGGACTCACCACCCCATCTTCTCTGCCTTGGACCTCACACCCTGGATGGGCACCTCCAGGGCAGGCTAGAAACAGTGCTGCCCAGAGGGCCACAAAAATATCAGATGCTAGAATTCTAGATTGGGGACTTCATCTCATAGAAGAGCAAGAGCCAATGAAGTGGACTTTTTTTTTTGGCTGCTCAGCATTCATTCCCTCTTCTGGTGACAGTACCCTGGTTTCCTCTGGGGCTCCTCTTTCCCACTTTTCAGCCATATGGCCCAGATGAAAAGTGACTCTACCTGCAGCTCCACGCCTGACCAATCATCACGACACCCTCTGACTTTGGTGAATGGCTTAGGGATGATCATGTGACCCAAGCCAGGCCAATCAGAGCCAAAGAAATGAAATTCTAGGGGCATTCTGAAGCTCTCAGGGAATATGCATTTTCTTTTTTGCTGGGGATGCTGAAAAGCATATGATATGAGCCTAGAGCTGTTGGCAGCCAGTCTTGCCAGTATCAGTGAGACTGAAGCCAGCATGAGAAAAGCAGCAATAATGAATGAAGGAGACTGGTTCTTGATGGTTTTGTTTAACTGGATCCAGCTGTGCCTGCATCTACTTTTCAGTTAAATTAGTCAGTGAATTCCCCTTTTCTGCCTAAGCCAGTTTGGTTTTCTATCACTTGCATCCTACAGAACCCTGGCTAGTACAGCTAAAAGGGAAATGAACTGAATGGCTTTGCCTTCTGAATTTGCTGTGTGTGCTCAAACTGGAGCCACCAAGCATTGGGGTTGTAGACTCCTTTGGAAGGCCCTCTCCCTGACAACAACCCCACTTGACAGGTAAAGAAATGGAGGCTCAGGAAGGGGAAAATGTCCCATTGGAGTGGCCCACGTGCCACTCTGTGGCAGGTCATGTCCAAACATGGCAGCTTCAGGATGTCCACAGAGCTCCCGTGCCAGATGTTCATGGCTGTCCTGCTGAAGTCCTTCTCCACCTCTGGTGGGTGTGGCATCTCGTGGGGAAAAATGCTGTTGGTCCCTGGGGAGGGATTTCAGGGTTTCAAAGTGGTGCTTTGTTCTGCTGTTTGATGACAGAGATGACAGAGGTATGTGAGGGGTCATGGTGCGTAGGAACCTGTGTGTGGAACCCAGAGTTGTGTCAAACAAAGTCTAAGCTTTGGCCATCTCTGTATTTTTTCTGGGTCACTGGTTGCTATCTGCTATCTGTTAGGGAAGAAGTTTGAATCTGCCAGGGAACTTTTATTAACAGAGGTGAGCTGATACCTGGGGACCTCCTCATCTTTAGCTAGTTATGCCATCAGTCACAGGTCGGTGTAGGAGATGAGAGGCTTTTGCTTTCAATCCTGTTGAGGTTTCCTGGTAAGAATTTTGGTGCATGACCTTTTCAGTGAAAGCATGGACTTTCTCTTTCAGGGGCCTGAATTCCAGCATTTCTGAGTGCTGAGTGAGGAAAGGGTGGCCAGATGGGAGCTTTGCATTTCCTTTAGGGATCAACACCTTCTTCCAAGCATTATGGGACCCTATGACTCAAGTTGTACATATTTTGTTATGTTGGAATGTAAGAGTCTTTCCACCATTGTGATCCTTCTTTTAGCCACAGGGTCTACCCTTCTGTCATCCTTCCACCCACCCCCCAGGGGCACCTAAGTGGGTCAGAGGATTCCAATGTTTCAAAATTGAGCTCTCTGGGTTTTCTTTTATTGGTCATTTTACATCAGGTTGCCAAGTGATAATGGCAAATCTGCATTCAAATAAGTGCAGCAGCCACTCAGGCCATAAACTTACATGTGCAAGTCATGTATTTTTCTATAATTGAGCTTCGTTTCTATTTTGTGCCTGATTCTGATGGGAGGCAGACAGTAAATCCAGTCGGTTCACATTTTCCATTTAGTCAGGGTTTCACTTCCCTTTTCTTTGGTATTCTGTCTAAATTCTGGGTGGCGGTAGACTGTAGAATAGCAAGCACCCAGGAGTGGCGAGCTTTTGGTGTGTGTGTGTGTGTGTGTGTGTGTGTGTGTGTGTGATTACTGACAGGGGCCACTGGAGCATCTACGGAGATGCTCTTTATTCTATTTGGACCTTGGTCACACACAATACACAAGGTCACTGCTGTGCCCTCCTCACCCCTGACTTGCAGAATTTTCTAGGTACCACCCTCTCTCAGCTGTTTCAGGAGCACCTTGGGGCAAGGAACGTTTGGTTCCCCCACCCTGTTCGCTGAGGAGTGGAGACTCTGAAGCTAACTTGAGCCATTGCTGAGACAGCTTAAGAAGTCAGCTCTGCTCTACCACCCTAGCACCAAGCTGGGTGGGAGGGAAACCGGGAGATGATGCACAGGGCTTTTCTGCTGTATGATCCCTACATAGAGAGAGAGTTTCTGCTGTTCCCTTTCCATAGGGCTGAATCCAGGAGTGGTGGTGCAGGGCCCTTCTTGGGTACCCACTCTGTCTTCTAACTCTCCTCATTGCCATCTGACTTTTTTCCATCTTCCAGTGCAGGGATTATATAATAGGAAAAATAAAAATAAAAAATATATAGTTGTTTGAATAATAGTGGCAAGAGTACTTGTTCTTGCCTTATTCTTGATCTTAGGGAGAAAGCATTTAAGCTTTCACCTTTAAGTATGTTAGCTTCAGGTTTTTAAAAATAGATGTTCTTTATCAAACTGAGGAAGTTGTCTTGATTTGAGGTTTTCCAAGAGGTTTTATCATCAAGTGATAAAGTGTTGAATTTTGTCAAATGCTTTTTCTGCATCAGTTGATATTAAGATATGATTTTTTTCTTAGCTTGTTAATATGGTTGATTGACTTTTAAATATTGAACCAACCTTGTATTGCTGGAAGAAACTCCATTTGGTTCTGGTGTGTGTGAAAGGTCCTGGACCCTTTCATATATTGCTGAATTCTATTTGCTAAGATTTTATTAAGGAATTTTTGTATCTATATTCATGTAGGATATGGTCTGTAGTTTTCACATTTTGAAGTGTGTTTATCTGATTTTGCTATCAGGGTAATATTGGTTTCATAAAATGAATTGGGAAGTGTTCTTTATTAATATTTTCTGGGAGAGATTATGTACAGGTAGTGTTAATTCTCCTTTAAATAATTCAACATAGTGCTGGAAGTCCTGGATAGCTCAATAAGGGAAGAAAATGAAATAAAAAGCATACAAATCAGAAAGGAAAAAATAAAACTACCTATTTTCAGATGACATGATAGTCTATATAGAAAATTCCAAGGAATCAAGAAAGAAAAAAGTCCTAGAACTATAAGTGAGTTCAGCAAGGTTCTGAGATATAGAAGCAACACATGAAAATAAATTGTATTTCTATATAATAGCAATAATCACACAGAAACCAAAACTAAAAATACAATGCCATTTACCATTGCTAAAAAATAAATTCTTAGGTATAATTCTAACAAAATATGTATAGGACTTGTATGCTTAAAACTGCAGAAGCTGATGAAAGAAATAAAAAAATCTAAATAAATGGAGATATATGATATTCATGGATTGGAAGTCTCAACATAGCTAAGATGCCAATTCTCCCCAAATTGATATGCAGACTTAATACAACTCTATCAAAGTTCAAGCAACATTTTTTCTTTGTAGTATAGGCAGGATAATTCTAAAATTTATATAGAAATATGAAGGACCTAAAATAACTAAAACAATAATCAAGAAGTAGAAGAAAGTGGGAAGAATCAGTCTATCTGATTTCAAGATATTATATAACTGTGTGGTATTGGCAGAGGGGTAGCCACATAGAGCAATGGAACTGAAGAAAAGATCCAGAAATAGACCAAAACAATTATGACCAACTGATTTTTGACAAAGGTGCAAAAGCAATTCAATGGAAGAAGGATAATTCTTCAAGAAAGGTGCTGGAATAATCAGATATCTATAGTCAAAACTATGGACCTCAACTTAAGCCTTACACTGTATACAAAAAAAATTTAACTCAGAATGGATCATAAATATAAATATAACACATAAACTATAAAACTTTTAGAAGAAATTATAGAAGAAAATCATCAGGACATAGGACTTGATGAGAGTAATTTGATATGACAACAAAAATGATTTATTAAAGAAAAATATCAAAAACTTGACCTAATCAAAATTAGAAATGAGATCCAGCAATCCCATTTCTGGGTATTTACCCAAAAGATTTAAACCCAGTTAGTCAGAAATGTCTGCACTCCCATGTTCATTGTAGCACTATTTACAATAGCCAAGTTCCGGGATCAACCTACATGTCAATCCACCAGATGGCTGGATAAGGAAAATGTGGTATATACACACAATGAAATACTATTCAGCCTTAAAAAAGAAGACAATTCTGTCATTAGCAACCACATGGATGAAACTGGAGAACATCATGATAAGTGAAATAAGCCAGGCATAGAAAGACAAATACTGCACATTCTCATCTGTATGTGGAACCTAAGGCAATTAAACTCATAGAAGCAGAGAGTGGAATGGTAGTTACAGAGGCCAGGGGTTGTGGGGAGTGGAGAGATGCTGGTCAAAGAGTACAACATCTTAGATGGGAGGAGTAAGATTTTAAAAAAAAAAAAATCTATTGCATAGCATAGCATGGTGCATATAGTTAATAATAGAGTTTTGTACATTTCAAAATTGCTAAGACAGTAAATTTCAAATGTTCTAACCATAAAAAATGATAAGCATTTTGGGTGATGGATATGTTAATTAGCTTGATTTAATTATTCTCTAGTGTATTCATAAATCATAACATCAATTTGTGCCCCATAAATATGTACAATTATAAATTGTCAGTTTACAAGAAAATAAAATAAAGTAACCAAAAAGATTTAAAATGACCTTGCCAAGAGGATAAAAAGAGAGTAAGCTACAGACTGGGAGAAAACATTTGTAAACCACAAATATTTGACAAAAGATTCATATGTAGAATATATTAAAAAACTCTCAAAACTCAACAACAAAACAACAAACAATACAATTAGAAAATGAGCAAAAAACCATGAGGAGACAATTCACTGAAGAGGACACATGGATGGCAAATGTGCACATGAAAAGATGTTCAGAGTCATGAGGTGTTAGGGAAATGCAAATTAAGACCATGATAGCTATCACTTCACACCTACTAGAAGAGCTAAAATAAAAAACAGTCACAACACCAAATGCTGGTGAGGATGTGGAGAACCTGGGTCTCTCACCATTGCTAGTGAAATGTAAAAAGGGATGACTACCCTGGAAAAAAGAGATTGGCAGTTTCTTACAAAACTAAACATGAACTTGCCCTACAACCCAGAAATCCCACTCCTGGACATTTATCCCAGAAAAATAAAAATGTATGTCCACACAAAAACTTGTACAGAAATGCTTACAGCAGCTTAATTGCAGTAGCCAATAAGTAGAAACAACCAGGATGTCCTTCAATAGGTGAGTGGCTAAACTAACTGTGATACAGCCATACTATGGAATCATACTTGGCAATCAATAGAAATGGACTACTGAGACACATGGCAACCTGCATAGACTTCACGGGTACTATGCTGAATGAAAAAAGCCAGTCTCAAAAGCCAATCTTGTAGATACGATTCCATTTACATAACACTCTAACCATGACAAAATTTAGAGATGAAAAACAGATTAGTGATTGTCAGGGTTTAGAAACTGTGGGGACAGCAGGAGAGAAATCTTTGTAGTGATGAAACAGTTGATTGCAGAGGGGAATCACATGAATCTATACACATGCCAGGAGGGTATAGAATTGTACACACACATTGTACTAATGCCAGTTTCCTGGTTTTTTGTTTTGTTTTGTTTCTGAGATAGAATCTTGCTCTGTCACCCAGGCTGGAGTACAGTGGCATGATCTCAGCTCACTGCAACCTCTGCCCCCCAGGTTCAAGTGGTTCTCCTGCCTCAGCCTCCTGCCCCCCAGGTTCAAGTGGTTCTCCTGCCTCAGCCTCCCGCCTCCCAAGTAGCTGGGATTACAGGTGCCCAGCACCACACCCAGCTAATTTTTGTATTTTTAGTAGAGATAGGGTTTCACCATGTTGGCCAGGCTGGTCTTGAGCTCTTGACCTCAGGTGATCCACCCACTTCAGCCTCCCAAAGTGCTGGGATTACTGGCTTGAGCCACCACACCCAGCCAGTTTCCTGGTTTTGTTATTGTACTGCAGTCATGTAAATGAGACCCTTAGGGGAAGCTGGATGAAGGATATACTGACCCCTTTCTACTCTTATTGCAACTTCCTGTGAATCTATAATTATTTTAAAATAAAAAGTTAAAAATATACATATGTATTAGAAAAAACTGTTCTGATCTATCATAAATGTTTTGTAATCTACTGTTTGTGCCTTTAGTGCCTTGGCATTAAAAGATTGATTAAAATTTTATCTTATAAATTTAAATTTATAACATTTAAAAATTATGGATTACAGATAGATTATATTGCTGTTATCCAGTGTGTTAAAATTGGTTAACACATTGAAAAATTCATTACTTTTAAAAAAGTTATTTTATTTTTATTATTTATTTATTTAGTTTGAAACATTTTTATTTTAATTTTCATGGGTACATAGTAGCTGCATATATTTAATGGGGTACATGATATATTTTGATACAGACATAAAAAAATTCATTATTTTTAAAGGATAGTTTTCAAAGCTATTATTTGTATTTAGTGATATAATAAATGGACATAGTTTAAAAAGTTAGTATCTCACCTCTTCCTATGTCCTGAAATCCATTCACTAGAGGCAACTACCCTCAACTCCTCTGAATTTTCTTCCTTGTATTTACCATGTCCCTAAATGATATGTTTATATGGATATCGTTTTATTCATCAACAATTGATATTATTGGTTTATATTTTGTCATAGTAGATATGAACTTAACTCTCCCACAGCTTTCCCACTGCTAACCTCTGCCTACCATAGTTTTCTCACATTTTGGTCATTTTATTCACTGGTGTATACAGTATTATATGTGTTCAAATATTGCTTCACGATAAACGAAGAGTCCACTCATACAATGTTTTGACGCTGTTTAACTCTTTGTCCTGGAGTTCATAGCTGCCTTGCCTTTGATGTGTCTGCTTTTCTCTGCACCTGTGGCTACACGTTTTCCCATATGCTCCCTTCCTGGTTACTCTTTAGGCCAACTGTATGCATTTTCCTGAGATTCCCCTTCATGGCTGTCCTGTGTTGGAACCCCTGCTTCCTGGAAGCTGTGTCTTTCTCTTTCTTGTTTTACATTTGCTACCTAAAGAAAGGGTGTGTGGGAGACAGAACATTTGAATCTTTGGATGTCTGAGAGTGTCTTGGATCTGCTATCCCTCTTGATTGATAATTTGGCTGGGAATACGCTTTTAGGTTGAAAATGATTTTCTCGTGAAAATTTGAAGGCGCTGCTCCCTGTTTTCTAGCAACTGGCTGCTGAGAACTCAGAAGCCATTCTGGTTCTTCTTCCTTCTTGCATGTCATCTGTTTTTACTCTCTGGAAGTTTGTGGGGTCTTTTGTTGCTGGTATTTTGAAATTTCACAGGAATGTACAGTATCCTGGTTTTTGAAATTAGAAAAACCTTTCTCAAAATAATGTCTTTGCTGTGAGTTCCAACAGTTGATTTTGTAACTCAAAAGCCAAGCATTACCTCTTTTATTTCCTGCTTTTTTCCATGCACACTCATTCCCTGAGGTCATTAGTGCCATTGGCTGACTGGGTGAAAAGCTGGCAAGTAGTTGGAGGTACCAAGGGACAAAGGAAGATGTGATCCTGGGTCCCAGGAATCCATTACATTCTACTGTGAGTTGCCAGGAAGATGCCCATGGGTGAGAGTAGGGGAATAGATCCTAATGAAAATTAAAATCCAAAGAAACCACACCAAGGGATTACTCCACCCTGGGGAGTAATCAAGCAACCCCCAAAGCTGTGTGCATTCTTGCTTCAGTGCCTTTGCTTGAACTGTGCCCTTGCTGGAATGATAGTTGGCTGCCAGCAACACAGAATTCATTCCAGTGGTCTAAATACATGCAGGTTCATGCTCTCATGTAAAGGAAGTCTAGAAGTAGGTGGTCCTGGGTGGTTTGGTGGCTCCATGGTCATGAGGGACCCAACCTCTTTCTACCTTTTTGCTCCAACTTCATTAGCATGTTGCTTTCATCTTCAAGGTCACAAGATGGCTGCTGGCATTCTAGCCATCACACTCAGGTTCCAGGCAAGAAGAAAAATAGGAAGAGGCAAAAGGGCATTCTCTGGCTGGCTGATTTCTCTTAAGAAGCCTTTCTGGAAGTTTATCCAACAACTTCTACTTATATCTTATTGGCCATTGTGAAAGGGAGGCTGGAAATATATTCTTTTAGCTGGAGATATTGCTGGCCAGAGTGGGTTTCTGTTAACAAGAAAGAAGGGCAGAATGAATACTGGTAAGGGACTAGCAGTCTCTGTGACCATGTTCTGGACTCTTAACTACTCTTTAGCTACTGAGACCTTGTTCCTTCCAGAAAGTACAGGTGAAGTGGCACTTTGGTTTTCCTGATGCCCCAGGCAGAACCACAACTGCCAATGCCCTCATGCCCTCGGAGACCCCCTCTCTGTGTTTATGTCCTTTTTATTTCTGCCTGAAAAGTGTTCATCTCCTCACCCTAGCACATCCCCCGCCTTCCCATATGTTCAAATTCAGCCTTAGAGACCTAGCCAATGGAAACTTCCTCCAGAATTCCTTGATTTCAACTGCCCAGCCAAAAGTTCCTCCTTTTTCTCCTCTGAGTTCCATAGTAGGATGGGGGATTAGAGTGACTGTTCCTGTTTGCCCAAGATGAAGAGGTTCAAGGGACAAAGGACTTTTGTACTGAAACCAGTCCTGGACAAATCCTGGTTTGCTTGGGACTGAGGGGTTTCCCAGGATGCAGGACTTTCAGTGCCAAAACTGGAAAAGTTCTGGGCAAGCCAGGATGAGTTGATCACTTCACAGGGCTCAGAACACTGAACGTGGCAGTCAGAAGGCAGGAAGGAGAGTGCTGGTGCTGCACTGATGGACCATATAGTTTTGGGCCTCCCTGACTCTCAGCATCCAAATCTGTGAAATGGTACTATTATCAGCTTTTTAGGGTTGTGAGGAGGATGGCAGGATATCCTTTTTATTTTTTATTTTTGAGTCGGAGTCTTGCTCTGTCACCCAGGATAGAGTGCAGTGGTACGATCTTGGCTCTGCCTCCCGGGTTCAAGCAATTCTCCTGCCTCAGCCTCCCGATTAGCTAGGATTACAGGCAAGCACTACCATGCCCGACTAATTTTTGTATTTTTAGTAGAGACGGGGTTTTGCCATGTTGGCCAGGCTGGTCTCGAACTCCTGACCTCAGGTGATCCACCTGCCTCAGTCTCCAAAAGTGCTGGGATTACAGGTGTGAGCCACCGCGCCCGGCCTAGCAGGAGATCTTGTACATGAAAGCTCCTTGCAAATGTGGTAACATATAAATGGGTGACAGCATTTTTTTTTTTTTTTTTTTTTTTTTTTTTTTTTTTTTTTACTATATTGGTAATCCTTCTTATGGTCCATACCACATTCTGTTGGGCGTAATGGTTATTTGAATGTGTGTTTCATTTTCCCCTCCTAGACTGAGAAACATATGTCCCCATAAATCAGAGGAACCCAGCAATCTGCAGCAGGTATGAATTTGCATCCCAACAGTCATGTGCAAGAACCATGGCAGTATTTTATTTTTGTAAACCAAATTAAATCTGGCTGTGAGCTCCCAGTCACCATGGTTGAGTCATTGCCTGGAGCACCCCCTCCTTAGGGTGGGCAAGGATGGTTTACATAGTCCAGAAACTTCAGCAAAGCTTGTGTTCTTCAGCCCCATATGGTCACTGCTGGAGCCTCATGCTCAAGTCCAAATGGTTCATTCCAAAGAAGGGTGGCTCTTCTCTCTCCATGCCAAGCCGGGCTCTGAGATCTTTTTCAGCAGCTCCCAAGGTCTTAGAGCTTGATTGTCAGTCCCTGGCACCCAGGGGCCTCCCCGTCAAAGGTCCTGCCGCCTCCTGAGGTGCTGCATTTAGCTGGGTGCATGTTTCCATGTCAGTGGTGTGCTGGAGCCGGCTTGTACTGGCTCAGGAGGACCGACTGTGTGTGTCTCTTCCCAACTTCCTGCTCAATGACATAAAGTTGGTAGCTTGAAATTGACCATGGTGGAAATATTTACACCACAGAAACTAGTAAACACTATAAATCAGGAGCCCCGCCCTCCAGCCCACCACCCTGAGAACACGTTGTTAGCTTTCACCAGTACACCAACATATATCCCACCATGCCTTTGCTTGCTGTCTCTGGAAAACCTGGGTCTCCCCGTGGGTTCAACCTCTTCCTGTCCATCCCAGAGCCCCTGCCCATTCAAGACAAGCCAGCTCTTTGTGCCCAGTTCCTAGACTTCAGAAAATAAAAGCCTTTCATTTCTCCCGTGGAACAGATCTCAGGACACAGAACTCTCCGGGTTCTCTTCAGAGGAGAAGGATGAGGTTCCTTTAATTCTGTTTTCTGCAACTTTCTCTTTCAAATGAGTCTATAACATCATAAAGCACAATCAGTTTGCCCATTGGGCAATCCTGCCACATTCAAATTCCTCCTGGCAGTGTCTGGCATTATGCTTTTATTTCAGTAGAGCAGCTGGATAGATGGATAAAGGGAAGCTGGACATTCACCACTCCTGGTGAACTGGGCAATACTCTCAATGCCCCCCTCCCCCCATACGCACTGTCACTGCCTCCCACGCCTGCCGCCCAGGCCCATTGCCGGGCCTTGCTGTAGCTCTGCCCTGACCTCCTGGCTTCTGTAGCTCTTTATGTAACTGAGCACTAAGTGTTCCGTCTGGGAGGCTGGCTCCAAGGAATTTCTCATTTTCAGATATTTATGCCTTAAACTGAAGACCAAATACTGCTGGTTCTTTTCTCCTGTCTCCTCACGGCGTCATTAGTAGTTCTCAGGAGCTGCATTCTGTAAGTGAATTTGCCAGCTTGTCACTGGTGAGTTCTAAGTTACCAATGACACTTGAAGAAATGCCCAGAATAACTCCAGCCAGCCAGCAATGCATAACCAGGGAGACAGGAGCTCAGACACATGAATTTAGGGAGAACAGTGGGGATCTCATCTATAAAACCCTGGTAATGGCTTGTATCTTTTTACAAGGAGATAAGAAAACTATTGTTGCTTCCATCCACCTTCTCAACACTCCTGGGAGGTAGATAACAAGCAGATGTCAGTGTTTTCCTGTTGCAGATGGGTACACTGAGGTGCAGGAAAATTACAAAAATTAAATATAGGTAAAGGTTGCTTAAGTGAATATATGCAAAGGGAAGTAGTGAGGTTGCAAAGAGATACTTTCATTTCTACACACATTGATTCAGCTCTTTGCCCGGCATGCCTTTGGTATGGGTGACAGACCCAGGGATTAATGAAACAGGCTGCCCATTCGCAAAGAGCCGTAAGTCTGGTGGAAGGAGCAGACACACTTAGGCCAAGAATTTCACTGTTACATGTGCAGGGCTACCATGTACAGTTGTTCAGGTGCTCTACTGCACAAGGGTGCTCTGCTGAAGAGGCAGGTGGAAGGGGCAGGCTAGAAATCTAGCCCTTGCCCTGCTGGACGAGACTTTGCCCTGGTGTGGAGCTGGGACTCCCTGAGGAAGGGGCACATTTTTCTAGTGGTAAAAAACCTGTATTGGGGATTTCTGGACTGTCCAAAGGACCCTAGCCCTAGATTTTTATAGCATTATCTCCTGTAAACCATTCAAAATCCTAATCACAAATGGATAGCCTGATCATCAACAGCAGCCACCTGATTTGAGCTCTAGACTTTGCTTTGCCAATAAGACCCCGTGCCTCTTCCTTTCTCAGGGCTTCAGTCTCCCTGTGCACTGTGGGGATCAGCAAGATGGGTATGAAGGCCCTTCCTGCACCAGCAGTCCAGGTGAGTTTGCTTCTTGCAGAACGCTCGATGGGTGATGCTTCCCGCCTTTGTACTTGGGAGGCTGGTATGAGCAGAGAGAAATACCAGTAGAGGAAGGATATTCTAATGAGGGGATCTCAGATAAAAAGTCCAGGATTTTTATCAGGACAGAAGGGTGACCTGCACTCCACTGCCCAAAAGGCAGAGTTGGGCCAATGCTGGAGACCATTCTGGTGGGCAGGGCTGTAGGAAGTGTAGGCCAATTGGAAGGCCCAGGAAGCGGTGATTGGCATATAGAGATCAGCAGGGGGCCTAGGGGAGACTCCAGCTTGTGGGTTCCAGGCTCTTTTAGATTGTTCAGCAAGGCAAAGGTCAGGCTCAGAAGTAGGCATCAAGCAGAGGCATAGCGGGTGGAACACAGGGGCCTGGGGACACTGGCACAGCCTTTCTGGGTCTCTTTAACAACAATGGGTAAAGGGGTCAGGCACCAGCTGTGTCTGCCAGGAACCCAGATCCCAGCTTGGGGGCCCACAGATGAGGAATGCTGTGAACCCACCAGCTAAGAGGAGCCAAGGAAGGCAGAGGCCAAGAGCAAGTGGCAGGGATGGAAAATGTCCATGAGTGAGGCAGAGACAGTGTGGTACCCTGGACAGAGCTTGGGGTGGGGCACCTGAGCTCAAGGCTCGGCCCCAGCACTCTCCAGCTGGGTGACTTGGAACCAGTTACCCTCTCTGAAGTCTCAGTTTTCTCATCCATAAAATGGGCTAAAAAATCTTTGCTTTGCAAAGTGGTTGTGAGCATTAATGGTGTTGGATGTGAAGTCCCACCACAGGGCCTGGCTCATGGTAGACTTTAATAAACAATAGCTTCTATCAATCTGAATAAAAATCAGCTGGAGCGTAGTACAGGCATGAATAGGGAACAGCTTTCTAGCGCAGTGAAAGGGGATGTTCTGCCTGCCCCTCAGTTTATTAAAATGCCACCTCTGCCACACATCTGGATGAATGGACTTGATGTCTAGCTTCTGTGGCTCCTTCCTTTACTAGAAAGGATTCTAAGTGAACCCATCACCAAATTTATCTTCTAAAGACAGTGACAAGCTGTATCCAGGGTAGCTGGAGATGGGATTTCTATTTTGGTTGTCGACAGTGTCAAACAGATACTTGCAACATGCCGTCAAATTGGAATTGGACAGAAAGGACAGGAGATTCCAGCTTAGGCAAGAATCTCATACCTTTGTGAGGGGCATATAGAAAAAAACCCGATGTGTGTCGGCATGTCCATGGGATGATCAGGCCAAGAAGCTCTGGGAGTTTCAGAGAGTACCGTTGATGACAAGACAGGAACATGTGGCTGTCACAGTGTGGGAGGAATTAACCACAGTTCTGTACACTGTACCATTTAATAAGCATCTCTTGTTTGATCTTCCCACAACCCCATGGGGGAGATGCTGCCCCCATTCTACAGGCAGAGAAGCTGAGGCTCCAAGAGGATAATAGACTAGGCCAGGGTAATAATACACTGAGGAAAGGGTGATGCCTGGACTGGAACCCAGGAACCTGAGCCTAACAGCAGGATAATTTCTACACAGGCACACTACAAGGCCTGTGTCTTGCTAAAGGCAAGCTGTAGGGAGCAAAGCTAATGGTTCAGGTCTGGGTTTCCCCTCTCTGATTTATTTCTATTTATTGTATTTTCTACTTTTTGATTCCATATGGGAATATTAGACCAGAGTGTGCTGGCTCCTACTGAAAACTCTGCACAGCCTTCCCTGCCCCACCCAGATGGGTTGAGGCCCCTGGTTGTATTCTCACAGAATCCCTCGTGCTTCTCCTTTGAAGCCCATATCACAGGTGGAATTACTTAAGCCCTTGTGGCCTGATTTGTTTAGTGTCTTCCTCAGTATACTTTAAGCTCCCTGAAGACAATCATATCTTTCTGCTTTACCCCAGAGCTTAAAATGATCCCTGGTACATAGTAGCTGCTAAGCCAATGACGACAGCTTTCCCTTGGAGGGAGAGTAGAATTTGGTCCAGAAGAGATGGGTGGTGGCCACTCCAGATGGAGGGGCAGGCCTGGTTGGGAGAAAAGCCCCAACTGAACATCCACTTTGTCCACATCCTCTTCGTATGGAAAGTGCAGGGCCTGACACATAGTAGGTGACAAATAAAGATTGATTGATTTAATGAATGAATAAAAATCAGAAGTAAATTCTGTCCAGGGTTCTCTGTTCCTATTAGTTTCTTTGCATGGCCAGTTTGAGTGTAATTTGCTCAAGGATACATGGCTCAAGGGGCAAGAATGCAGGGAACTTATAGGGGGCTCTCAGGCGTCATATGTTTTATATACATGTTTCATTATCCTAAGAATAGGATAATGAAAGAATCCTACAGGATAACAGTAAGAACCTTCTGGGCTTATAATGATGGGTCACTTGGGATTCCAGGGGTTAAAGATTGGATACTGGCTTAGACTGATGGGAATGGTGACTGGATGTCTAACCTCACCCTGCAGGGTTCCTGACTGCTTGAAACTCCTTTGCCTCAAACCTGAATTGGTCCAGCACCTGGGCAGTGGGGGACTGGGCTGAATAGACTGACATAAGCCTTCTTGTACACAATCCGTTAGGGCAGGATGCCTTAAGGTGTGGGCAGCAGGGGAAGCAGACACTTACTCATGGTAAGGACAGAGATGCGGTGGATCAGTGCAATAAAGTATGCATAGTTCTGTGGTATATTTGTATCCAACTCCTTTCCTGCCACAGGACCTTTGCGTGTGTTATTCCCAATTCTTAGCCTCCCTTTCACCCCTTTGCAAGACTAGCTCCTTTTTGTCCTACAGGCCTCAGCCTATTTTTTGTTCCTCAGAGGAGACTTTTATGACTGCTGTATTATAAATAGATCTCCCAGTTTCTCTTATTCTCTTTCTTAGTCTTTTATTTGTTGCTTTCATTATACATATTAGAATTTGTAATCATTTTACTTATTTCTGTTTACTTGTATACTTAAAAATCTATTTTCCCCACTAGAATGTAAACTCCATGAGGTCAGGGCCATGTCTATTTTGTCACCATTGATTCCCTGTGCCTAACAGTGCCTGGCAGAGCAGGCAGCCATCAGCCTGGCAGGATGTTTGATTGATTGAATGAAGAATTACGTAACTGATCAAGGTTCCCTTTGAACTTTGGCTGCCTAGAAATTCAGAGCTAAAATTTTAATGCAGCTTTAATAACTGTCTAGGTCATTAAGATGTGCATTTCTGAGTGCTGACCTTTTATCTGACTTTCCTTGCTCAGTGGACCTTGGTTTAATTCGCCTATGTAACTGATGCTTATAATTTATGGTAAGAATCACACTTTCCCTCATGATTTCAAGCAAACATGTCACTGCAGGCCAGACATGTTATCTTTTTGTACTTTCCAGAACACAGAACAGTGTAAATAGGTGCAACAGAGCTATGATCAATGATGTTTTCTCTTCATCAGGACTGCCTTTAGCAATAACTCTTTGGCTAGGCCCTGGTACCTTTGGGGTTCAGGCCTCCTAGGGGAGCCCTGTGATGGGTCATGGTTCTGCCACAAGTGGACAAGGGCCACAGCTATTCTACATAGAACTTTTGTGCAAATTAGAAAAAGGTGCCCCTTTTTGTAGCACTGTGCAAAAGCAAAAGGTTTGGGAAATAGGGTGTTGGCTGGATTTCAGTCCCTCCTTGCTGCCTTGGCTGGATATCTTTGTGAAGTAAACAACCTGAATCACTGTACATGGTGGTCTTGACTGGAAAGGTCTCTAAGGCTGGGGAGGACCCTACTTGGCTTGGTATTTGGAGCGCTCTCTGTAGGGGCTGCCCAGCAGACAGGGCTTCCTGTCGTCAGTCATTGCCTCCCCCAATCATGTCAGAGTCTGCTCAACCCTTTGGAAAATATGGCTGGGAGGGGACAAGGGGGTTGGGGAGAGATGAGCATTTGTCAGGTGTCTAGCACTAGGCCAAGTGCTGGGCATATAGCGGTGAGTATGACCTGGTCTTTTTCTCACTGTCTGATGAAAGGATAGATGGGCAAATAAAGTGGGAACAAATTCTTACAAGTAAATGAGTGCAGAGATATGGGAACGGAGAGAGGAGCAGCCTACCTCAGGAGTCATGAATGGCTTCTCAGATGATACGCTTTATGACTTCGGTCCTTAGAGGAGTTCCCAGGCCAATCAACAAAGGAAAGGGCATTCCAGGCAGGAGAAACAGCAAGTACAAAGGCACAGAGCTCTGAGACTGCATGGTTAGGTCTAGGAACAGAGGCTGCCCAAGATGCACGAATGTCCTCCGCCCACACACCCAACTCCTATCCACCTGACGAGGTCTAATGTTACCTCTTCTGTGACGCCTTCCTTTGCTCACCCAGGCCCCTTCCCCTTAGTCTCCGTGGTGCACACCTCATAGCACCTGACACCACATACTACCGTCATTTACTCCTCTGGGCTCTCACTAGAGCCTGAGCTCCCTGAGGGCTGGGGCCGCCCCAGCCTCACCTTTGTGTCCTTTTTTTCTCACACAGTGCCAGGCACATGTCAAGGGATAGAAAATGACTTACATGAATGAATGATCAGTGTGTTTGAAGCAGAGTGTAGCAAAGCCAGTTTGGAAGCCAACCAGGAGAGGAATTCTGGGTCTTGTAATGCCATGCAAGGGATTCTGGACTACAGGCATTGGCATCAAAAGTTTGGGGCAGAGGATGTCAAGGTCACACCTGTTCTGTGGCAGGTATCAGGGTGTTCAATCTGGAAGGCAGATCCCAGCTGTAAGATGCACAAGCCTGTGACCCTCTGGGTCATGCAGGTGCCTTAGTGCACAGAGCAGAGTCCAGGGAGGAGACCTCAAAAGATGGGAGAAGCACAGGGCTGTCTCGACCAGGGCATCTTTGACTACAGATGACAAACAGTAATGCCTTGTGTTATCTCACCTGACACGAAGTCCAGAGATAGGAGAGTTTCCAGGGAAACAGGGCTCAATAGTATCATAATCTCATGGAGGTTCCCTCCATCTCCCTGCCTTGTGACTTCACTTTCAGCTTCATTGCAAGATGGTGGCAGCAGCTCTAGGAATCACACCCAGATCCATCACCGTCCAATGGTTTAAGAGTTATTCCTTCTGCCGTCTCCTTCCTAAGAGCAAGGAATCTTTCCCCAGAAGTCCCCTGACAGACCTCCCCTGACATCTCATTGGCCAGAGTTGGGTCACATGTTCACCCTTGCACCAATTACTACTAAGAGCCTCATGATCGACTTAGACTTATCAGATGCCAGGCCTGGGGCTGCCTTTCCCTATAGTAATTGGTGTGGCCTGGCAGAGGAGAGGATGCTGAGCTGCAGAGGACCCCGACCCAACCTCTAGACCCTGAGCTGGGGGTGTGTGCGTGAGGATGAGCAGTGAATCCCTCCAGGGGGTGCAGGGGAAGGACATCCTCAGCAAAGCCACCACTCAGGTGGAAGGGGAGAGGGAAGGAGTTTGTTTGCCAGGGCACGGGGATTTAGGGGCATGGCTGATGGGAAGGCTGGGGAGGGAAGTTGCAGAGGGCGAATGGGTGAGATGGGGAGGCTGGGAGGCAAGCATTAGAGGAGAGGCTAGCACGCTAGGATGGTCCCACAGGCGGGTGAGAAAGGCTTTCCCGTCGGCCTCAAGCGCTACATTATGTGCTGGCTGGGAGTGAGGTCCTGCGGTCACGCTGGGGGCTTGATGACTTAGCAGTCTGGGCTGGGCCTCGAGGGGACAGGTGTGGCTGAGGCTTGGTCTGTAGGAGGGAGGCTGTGAGGGGCGGGAGACTGCACAGCCTGTTTCAAACACTCCGCCCACAAACCACACACTCGCATACTCATACACACGCAGCCTTGCCATTTACAATGGTAAACTCCTCAAATGGCACAACGCAGCTCTTTGCCCAAGCAACAGAGGAAAGGCCCTGGTTGTTATTGAGAGACATATAGGGGAATTATTTGTATCTAACTGTCCTCTTGACATCTTCACTTGGACATCTCAAAAGCTCTCAGAGCCCATGCCTCTCAGCCAGGACGGCTAGAACAGCTGGGGACTGGCTGGAGGCTCTTTATGTCCATGGTGTCTCTTCAGCAGTGTGTCAGAGATTTTTACAAGGTGGCTGGCTTCCAAGAGGGCAAAAGAGTGGAAGCTGCAAGCTTTTCAAAGCCTGGACTGAGAAGTCCTAAAATATCACTTTTATTTTTCTGATCAAAGCAAGGCATATGGCTGGGCAAGCCCAAGGCCAGCCAGAATCAAGGAGAAGGGAAATAGACTCCATCTCTTGAGGAGAGGAGTGGCAGGTGTAACCAAGAATGAGAAGGATAGTAGGTGGCTCTCTCTGGAAACAAAAGTGCCACAAAACTGGTGAGCAGCAGAGTTGAGGCTCCAGCCCATGCCTGTCTAGTGCCAACTGCACACCACCACACCATTGATCAGATCATGGACTTCTCAAGCTTTGGATTTGGACCACTGAATAACTCTTGAAATCATCCAGTGGTCCAAATCCATCACTGTCTTAACCTGGGTTTTCTTAGAAGCAGGACATGAGGCCCAATTTGAGTATAAGTGGTTTATTTGAAAGGTGACCCCAGGAAGCCCTAATAGGGAAGAATTATGACAGGGATGGAGGGATGGAAACCATTAAAGAGTGCCAATGAGAAGGTTATGTTGTAGGCACCTGGACTTCAGTCTTGCTGGGATTCTGGGAGGTGGTCCAGAACACACCTGAGGGGCCAGGAAGCTGGGGTGTTTATTCTTCCGCTTCCCACTCTGGGGCCAAGATCCCATCCTAGACCCATAGAACTTCTGTTTGAGCTGATACTTCTTTTCATGCTTGTTCAGGATACCTTCATTCACTGGCTCCCAGTTATGGAGGCTTCTTATTGTCATGGCCCCTGGGCTGGAGAGGCTGTATTGCACCATGGAGTCACATGCAACAACCCAGTCAGGCTCTTTAGCTGCTAATAAGACTCCAGACTCTCCCAGAGCCAAACGTATTTCCTCTGCTTGGATCTCTGGGCTGTCCCTGCATCTAAAAACCCAACAGTGTCTTCTGGCTGCAAGAGCTGGAATTAGAAATTGTGATAGACTGTTACTTTGCAGCTGTTGGAGAATTATGCCTCCCAGTATTTCTGTTCTTGTGTAGTCTCCTTCCACATAGACTTGAGCTTGGCCATGTGATTTGCTTTAGCCAATGGGACATTAGCAAATGTGATGCAGGCAGAGGCTCCATAAGTGCTTGCACATTGGGCCTTTTCCTCTTGCTCCCCAGCCACCATACTGTGAGGAAGTCCAGGCCATCCTGCTGGAAAGAGAGATCATACGAAGAAAATACACCGTGAGAGAGATAAGCCACAGGGAGGAGCCCTCAGCAATCAGACATGCGATCTGTATCTTCCAACCCAGCCCAGTCACCAGTCACCAGTCAAATGCAGTGAAGAGACAATACATGAACTGCAATACAGAGCAATACAGAAGAACCGCCCAGCTGGGTCTTGTCTGCATTTCTGACCTTCAGAATCTCCAGCAAACAAGATGGTTCTTGTTTTAGGCCACTGTGTTTTCTAGAAATAGATAACTGAAACAGCACTGCGGGCCTTGCTACCCATATGCATCTTTGTAGCTTCTGCTTCCTAAGTTTACTGACACCACACTTCTTTCCCTCTGTAGGTTGAGAAAATGCTTATTGAAAGACACTCAGCACCCAGTTTGAGGAAGCAGGGAATTAGGACAATGAGTGCTGAGTGCTGCCTCTTTGGTTCCGGGCAAGATGGGAGTGGTAGAGAGGTAATTGCACGTGTTTGATGGTGCTACCCAGCAGAGATGCCCACTGATGCCACTGAAATTCTCAACAAGGAGTGTGGTGAGTTCTCTGCCTCACTGTGGGGTTCTGACTTCTCACTCAAAAGCAAGAATTGAATGCTCAACTCTAGGCATGGCCTAGGAAGGCCACAAGGAGCTCTGAGTAATAGGCCAGCTTAAGATCCCTTTACCAACTGGTGAGAGCTGGAAGACCTGCCTCAACAGGGGGCTCAATTGGACCCAGGTGCTGCTGACAATCTTGTCTTGGCTGCTAAAAATCAACTGAGAAGACACAGATACAGCTGAAATCCCAGGGCTACATAAAAACAAAAGCAGAAAACAGTATTAGGGACTAATCATCCTGTAGGGTTTCTCAGTGAGTTCCATTGCTATTTGTGTCCAAAAAGCATTACTGAATGAAAATGTCACGTCTGAGCACTGAGTTTTGCATCCAGTGGTGAATGCGTACCCAAACTACAGGGGAAAATTTTTAATTCCCATAAAAATATGCAAAGTTACTAATTAAAAATCTTCCCCATCCACATTAAGATCACCAAGTGAGTAAATCTCACAAGCTGATGATTGTACCCAGTTCAGATTTTATTAATAAAATCTAATTTGTTTTCCCAGTTTTATGGATTAGATTCCCTCGTTATGTTATTTATTCCTACCACCTTTTCTTCTTGAATCACAAAATAAATGTCAATTTCAGAAGTTAGATGGTGAATATTCATCTCTCTCCCTAGAATATTGTGGGTGGGAGGCTTTTTTTCCTGATTTAGAAGGGGAAAAAAATCACAATTTAAATATGAAGTACGCATAAAAGAATTGAAAAGGTATTATAAAATGTTCTTTTTTAATTCTCTTTTTATCTCCATTCCCTGCTCTCATTATTCTTCTCCCTGTAGAAGACCATTCTAATATATTTAATGAGTATTGTTTTGTTCCTATGTCTTCCTGGAAATGTGCACTGTTGTTTTGTAGGCATGTGTTTAAAATTGTTGTTACTAGTATTATGTTACAGATCCCATTGTTTCTTCCTTTTTTTAAAATTCAGCACTGTGTTTCTAAGATCTATCTATGTTGCTATATGAACATCTGATCTACTGATTGTAACTGCTGTAGGGTACTCCAGGAAGTTCATTCTCCACATTTCACCTATTAATTCTGCCGGGGATGGACACTCTAATGGCTTCCAACCTTGGCCACATTAAGAAACATTATACTGAACATCCTTGTTCATGTTCCCTAACAAGCCCAATAAAATAAATGTCCATGCATTTACTCATGGATCATAGTGTAAGTTCATACGCCTTTATGTGGTACCAAAAAATCCAGTAAACACACTGATTTATAAAGCTGAATTTAGATTTCTTAAATTCTGTCTTCATTGTCATAATGAAAATGTCCAAACAGCTCAAAGAGTTAACATTGTGACTTTGAAAGTGCAGATAATAATTTTAGAAAAAAGTTATCTCCGAATTAATCAATACATACCCTGCGAGGGAAAAAAATGTTAAAAAACCAAATGTGTTGTATTCATTCAAAACAAACATGCATTCACAGTAAAAATTTCCTAAGATTTGTGTAATTACAGTGCATTTTCCCAGTTGAGCAATATTATGATTTGTTGGAGGGGGCTACAAAGCCACTGAGCAAATGGATCACATGTGCCCACATTTGCTAGTACATGGTCTGTTCACACAGCCTGCTTCTAAAACAACAGCATTCTTGCTTTTCTTTTCAGTTTTAGCTCCTACTTGAAAAAGTCAGATACAACTATAGACATAGGGTGGCTCTTAACCTGCCTTCTTTCTCCATGGGAGGTTACAATTTTATGCAGTGAATCGCTCTTGCTTGTCAAAATGTCCAACAGATTCAAAAGAAGTATTTTTCAATGTATTATTTTATTCTTTTTCCAGGATCTGACATTCTTGGTTCATATTGCCATTTGCATCTGACAGCTCCCTGTTAAGCTCCCAGCTCAAACTATAGAGACCTGCTTGCTTGGGAGTCTGTGGCCATTCCATGGTCATCTCAGCAAAGTCTTTCCCCTTAAGTTTAGCAGGTCTTTATTTCTTTTGTGACCTAGCTCCAGCACTCTCAAAGGATTCAAATGGGGCAACAGACTTTCATATTTTCAATCTCTCTCTTCGAATGACTCCTTCTCCAGTCTCCATTTTGTCATGTAAGCCTCCATTTTGACTCTTGCCATTATAGATGTAGGAAAAAAGAGTTTTTTCAGAGATTCCTGAGCCCTCCCAAATTGTTGGGAGAGTGAATCATCTGAGCTTTGGTTTGGCCAACCCTCTGCCCCTCAATGTGCACGTGGGGAGAGTTTTCCTGGAGCTGGCTAAGCCCCCAGCACAACAAGGACCATCTGGGTACACTTGGATCACAGTTTCTCAGGCCTTACCCCTCATATCCTTCCTACTAAATCTGAAGCCTTGAAACATTTCCCCCTTTCTTCCATCTCTTATGATTTAGAATAGCTCTCCCCAATTCGTATAGAAGCTTCCTTTAAAAAATATGTGCAACAATAGCTGGAAAATTTTTAGAGATGGTTAATAAAGAAAGGGAGCTTTCCCAACCAGATGTGAAAGTGCCTTGAGCTATGGTAACTGATACAGTTTAAGACTGCCACATGAATTGATACATAAGTGGAAAAGAGGAGAAAATCTTAACAAAGACCAAGAAACTAGAAGGATTCAGCATACGGAGATGACAGCATCTCAAATCAGTGATGAAAAGTTGTGTGATACAATATACAATGTTAGGAGTACTGGTTAATCATTTAGGGAAAAAAGAATTAGATCCCTACCTCACACCAGATAGGTGAAACATCTAAATGTTAAGAAAAGAAGAATGAGAGAAAGAAGTCATCAGTATACTAGAGAATATTGGTGAATATATATACAACCTCAGAATGAGAAAAGCCTTCTAAAAGCACAGGAACAGAGGCAAAAAGCCATACAGGAATATCAACAGATTTCACTAAAAACAAAAGCTAGGCACTTCTATATCTATAAACCCCCCATCATAATAAAGACTTAAAGGTAAAATAAAATGGGGAAAAATGTAGCATAGATGGCAAATTATTAATATAATTAGTATATTAAGACTTGCCACCAATCAATAAGCATAAAGTTGAGACAGATGTTGAGCCCTATGTTAAGGCATTATTGCTCAAGGAAGGCTGCCAGCTACTTGACTACAGGTTAATTACATCAGACCCTTCTTCTAATGGGGCAGCAATTTGTTCATTTTAGATTTTTACCTCCTGTAGATATGAGTTTGCCTTCTCTATCTATATTGTTTCTGCCAACACTTCTATCTGTGGACAGACAGAACTGGCATGGTATTCTGAATAACATGGTCCCAGCTTGAGGGACCTATTTTATGGAAAAGGGAGGGCTGACAATGGCACACTGCAAAGGGTTCCCTTGGTATACCCATCAGCTGGAAGGAGCAAGCTCAACGCAACAATGACACGACCTGTTGGCTTAGCTAAGGGACTGGCTCTGGGACAACAATCTGCAGGGTTGGCATGCTGAGCTCCAGGATGCCATATGCACACTGAACTGGTGAGCAAACTGTGTCACCAGAAGCTAGAATACACAGGTCTGGCAAACGAAAGGGGAAGCAAGTTTGGTCCCCTTCACTATTGCTCCCAGTGACACTTAGGAAAGCTGTATTTCCTTGTCCTGAATCCTTAGATTCTGTTGTATTAGGGGTCCTATTTCCTAAGTGGTGAATGCTCCTATCAGGAATTCCTTTCAATTGGAAGCTATGACTGAGCTATGACTGTCATCTTGTTGGTCACTTTGGCTCCTTATGCCCATGGTCCAGGAGGCAAAGAAAGTTATGGTGGATTCTTAGAATAGATTCTCCCAGAGGCAGGTCCTGGAATCAGGATTTGAGTGCAAATAGTTTATTTGGAAGACGATTGCAGGAAATACCAGAAGGGGAGTAGAGAAGTAAGATGGATTGAAGAAGGAAGCCAACATAAGATTGCTGTTGAGGAAAGAGGCACTCAACTCTGCTGAGGACATCTGGGAGAAATGTGGAACATGCCTTAGAGTTGTCTCACCAGAAAGGCAGAGAAACTGGGGTATTTATACACTAATTTCTGCTGTTCCCAGAAGCTTCAACTCTGGGGCACCCTGTCCTGCACTGAATGGCAGTTAGGCATGCTCTGAAGGCTGGAGAAAGCCCACAGTCAGGGAGCAGTGGTGTTCACAGCAGGAAGTTGCTGAGTGCCCAACCACAGCAAATACTTAAATGATATGGGTGGGCTCTGTGTTGGAGCTTGATTTTCAGTACAGTCATCCCTCCAGCTTTTCAAGATAAGGGCCTTTTTAAATGCCTCATGGAACCCTCTGGCTTTTACACTGTGCCCTGAGTTGATATCTGGCTGGCCCGTGGTTGTTATTTTCTTTCTTCGTCGTTCTTATGGCCATTAACAATAGCTAGTCAGTGCCATAATCCTTATGATCACCATCACCCCCTGATTTTTCCATATGTCAGAGCCATTGTTTAAGCCTTTACATCTCCTTCCCCTATGCCCCTCCAAACCCACTGCACATGAGTGATGCTGCAGCATGGCAGGGGTGATGACCACTGCACTTACCACCAGAATTTCAATTCTTCTTGCCTTCTGGCCAGTGAGACATTCAATTCCAGGATCCCAGACTGATGATCTGCTTCCTGGGGCCACTTCCAGTACCAAATGTCTTAGTTTAGGTTCCCCTTGAAGCAGACTCTGAGACTAGACTTTCTGGATGAGTAGTTTGTTAGGGAGTGAAACACCAGTAGGGGCATGAGAGAGTGGGATAGGGCAGGGAAGGAAGCCCATGTGGTGCAAGGGGTGGACTGTATACAATGCCCATTGTGTATCTTCATATCCTTTCAGCCTCACTTTCTATCCCACTGTCCTTGTGGTTGCCAGTTCCACATAGGATTTGACCAGCTTCATGGAGGAGCAGCATGATGTCTCCTTTTTTCAGGCCTGTGCCAGTGCTTCTCACTTCCTGCCCCAAGCATACCAAACCCCAGGAACCTGCATTCAACTCACACATGTGCAACCTGGATGTTCAAGCCAAGTTCAATCCTATGACCAGTGGATGGGAGTGGGGGGCAGAACCAATGGATACATGCTTTCTCTTAAGGAACAGGTCACCACTGTGGGTAACTGGGGCTCAGTCCTGCCAAGGATCTCCAAAAGACCATGTGGACATGCCCCAGAGTTGTCCCAGTCCCATCAGAGGGGCCACATAGCTGGGGTATTTATCTACCAACTCCTAGTCATCATTAGTTGTGACTGTCCCCAAAGTGTGCCCTTCTCAGTACCTCTGACCTGCTCTGAGGGCAGGCTGAGTGTGTTCCCACAGCCAGAGGGAGGCTTCATCATGGAGTCTCTAGAGCTTGAGGTACGAAGCTCATGTGCATGTGACAGTGATTGTCAAGGGGATATGAATGGAGCACTGACAGCTTTAATATGAGAGGTGGGACATGTAATTTACCCTAATGACCACAAGGTGCTGGGGCTGTGCTATACAATGGGGTCAGAAAGGAGCAGGTCTGGAGCCCAGAGGATTTACTGGAGTTTTATGGCATTTCCATGCCTGGTGATCATGGTGAGTGGGCTGTTTCGGCAACCAAAATCCCACAACCACCAAGGTGATTAAGGGCTCACACCGTTCAGTGTAAAAGAACTGGGTCACCTTGCCCAGTGAGCAGCAGAGATCAGCATGCTGGCAAAGGAAACCAAAATATTTCGTCCCAAAATATGCTTTGGCATATTTTGAGTTGGCTGTTCAGAAGGTCTACAAACAGAAGCTGTCTTTTGTAGGGGGAGATTTGCATCTGTAGAAAATCTGCATTGATGCTGCCAGGCATTTTCTGAAGCTTCCCTTTGTCTGGATCTAGGAAAGATGAACTGAGTCTGACACCTTTAAAGAAACATTTACCATCTATTCTCTCTGAGGGCTGCTACCTTTGAGATTTCATCTACATAACAAGATTACCTTTGCCAGTCAGGCCCACTCTTCTCTCTCTCCCATAGCCTGTCTTGCCACTATAACCTGATTCACCACCAAACTTGCTTTGCCATGGTCCTAGCCCCTATTCTTTCTATAGCCTTAAGATGGTATATAAACTTGTGAATCCCACTGGGAGGTTGGAATAATTATTCTGTGGTTCTCCCTTGTCTGCACGTTAATTCATTTTTATGCCTTTTCTCCAAATAATCTGCCTTTTGTCAGTTGACTCTTCAGCAAACCTTCAGAGGACAAACTGGAAGTTTTCCCTTGTGTCCTACACTGGCTGTGGGTGAGGCAAAGCTAGGGTGAGTGGCAGAGGGGAAGGATAATGGTTACTTACGGCTTCGGGGCCAGCTGCATTCTATCTTTGAAGATATTGTCGCTGACCATCACCTTGACCACCACCTTGAAGGGAACACTGTATGCACTGACCTTAATGAAGGACATGTGTAGAACTGAGTGGTGCAAGGGGTGGACTGTATACAATGCCCGTTGTGTATCTTCATATCCTTTCAGCCTCACTTTCTATCCCACTGTCCTTGGGGTGGCCAGTTCCACATAGGCTTTGACCAGCTTCATGTGGGGGCAGCATGATGTCTCCTTTTTTCAGGCCTGTACCAGTACCTCTCACTTCCTGCCCCAAGCACACAGAACCCCAGGAACCTGCTTGCAACTCACACATGTGCAACCTGGATGTTCAAGCCAAGTTCAATCCTATGACCAGTGGATGGGAGTGGGGGGCAGAACCAATGGATACATGCTTTCCTTTCATTTTCTTTTCTTTTCTTTCTTTTCTTTTCTCTTTTCTTTTCTTGTCAGCAGCAAACCCTGGGGTCTTTACTAACACTGTAGGGGCATTTAAAGTCTTTGGTCCTTCATTAGCAGCAAGTTAGTAACCCAAGAATGTAAAAATCCCATTTCTCCACATCCAGCTGATCAATATGCACTCAACAGATACATGCTTTTTCTTTTATCTCTGGGGAAGGCAGTTCTGGATAGATTTCCTTTGCCTCCTCAGAAGCCATGGGATTGAGCACTGTTGTCCACAGAGGTAGCCAACTTGTGAACACATCCTTGGATCACCTTTTCCTTCTTGAGTGTCTTACTCCCCCTGTTCCTCACTTCTGCTTCTTGGGATTACTTTTAGAAAAGACTGACTTCAAGCAAGCTTTGGGGGAATTTAGACTAAGGTACTTAAGGTCTCATGTGTTATGGAATTAAGCTTCTGTGAGGTCACTTCAGTGTCACTTCCTTTTATTCCCTGTAAATCTGATTGCTGAAGCTCTATAATATCAAAAGTCAACACCTTTCTGAACTTCTCCCCAGACCTCAGGGAGGCTGGTGCTGTCTGCTTTGAGGATCTAACACTTTTTACCCTTTACTTCATCTGCATGTGGTTTTCTCAATGTCATTGCTGTTGAGGGGTGATCCTCTGGCCAGGGAACATAGTACTAGTTTATTGTTGGGACATAACTCTCCATGGGGCTGTCATGTTTCTGCATGCCTTACAAATAGAGGCCTTTGTTCCAGACTACTTCTTTCAATGGTGTATATATCCAAATAGCCACGGAAGATAGAGTTAGTGTCTCCCTCTGGAGCAAAGGGCAGGCTTGCTTACTGCCCATTAGAAAATATTTAAGTTCCCTAACTTCAGTGTTCCTCTCCTGAAATGCAACTCACTGAGTATGCAGGTGTCACCTGGCCCTCTTTACATTATCCTGTGGGACAAAAAAATCTGCTGATACTCTGACTGTTGTTATTACAGTGAGTCACACAGTCCTTTTTCTCTGACCCAGGAGTCTTGTGTCTTCTGCCAGCATCCATGAAACTGGCAGCTTAACTCATCAGCTTGTAAAAGTGATAAAACCTCAGGCTCTTCACAGTTATTGATATGTACTATTTTAGTCTTTGCTGAAATTCTAAAGCCACTTTCTTAAGCTATGTTCTTCCCTCAGCCTATGTTATTGCAAGAATTGATTCAACAATCATTCAAAAAATTTTTTGAGGACTTCTTGTGTACCCAGTGCTATTATTGGGCCTGGAGATATGGTCGTAAATGAAATAGACAAACATCCTCACCCTCCTGGGCCTTATATCCTAGTGAAGCTTTAATCTGTATCATCAGCTTCCTCTCCTTGTTTTCTCTTTCTCTTTCTAGATAACTTGGACCTAAATTCACTGATGACACTTTTTCCATTCCCTCCTCTAACCCTGAGACCAAACACTTCCTCTCCCTGTGAAACTGATTTCCTTGAATTTCTGCTCAGATCAATATTGCCAACTCATCATACTTTGAGACGAAAAATCTAGATTCTGCTCCTGACATTGCCACCAACTCTATGGCCTTGAACATGTTGCTTTTGTTTTTATAAGCCTTCACTTCCTCATCTGTAAAATGGGTACAGTGATGTCTATCTTGCTGCTATTGGAGGGATTAGAGGGGATCACGTGTATAAAATCTCTAGATTTTTGTGCAGCACACAGTGACCGCTCAGTTGCCCTCCCTGATCCCAGCCCTAGCCCAATCCCCAGTGAGGATTGGTTGGAAAGGAGAAACCCAAGCACCTCTCATTTCCCATGTTCCTCTGATTTCTGACTCATGGCTGCTTAGATCTCATGTTGGGTCTGTGCCCTACTTTCACACCCTGATTTCCATACAGTAAGCTCAGCCGATTTCTGCTCATGATATGGCACAAAAACTAAAAATTCCACACGAAGAACATGGCTTCCTGCAGCCAGTAGCAGCAACTCCAGACAATTCATCACCAACTAGATTAGAATAACACTAACTTTTGCTACCATAGCAACTTCTATTGGTTGTGCAATCACTGACTTTGGAAGCTACTTAAAAATGTGCAAGGCCAGGCGCGATGGCTCACGCCTGTAATCCCAGCACTTTGGGAGGCCGAGGCGGGTGGATCACGAGGTCAGGAGATCGTAGCCATCCTGGCTAACATGGTGAAACCCTGTCTCTACTAAAAATACAAAAAGAAATTAGCCGGGTGCAGTGGCGGGCACCTGCAGTCCCAGCTACTCGGGAGGCTGAGGCAGGAGAATGGCGTGAATCTGGGAGGTGGAACTTAGTTAAAAGAACCATTTTAAAACCATTTTAAAAAACCATTTTAAAGTTTTGCAATGGTTCCCTCATGCCCATAAAAAAGCAAATAGAAATTAAAAATAAGTGGCTTAATTCTTCCTATCAAAAATAAGGGAAGAGACTTCCTCCTCCCTTTTTCTCAGAGCATTTGCTTTAGAAAACTTGTAAGATTTTTCTCTGTCTCTTTGATATATATGTAAACCTTTTAAAAAGTGAAATAAGCCTATGGCCAGCTTTGCAACCCAAAGATCCAGGAACATCCTTTTTAAGGACTTAAGAACCATTGCTTTGAATTGTAACTATCAGGGAAGATAGGGCCCTTATCTACCAGTTTCTGTGGGAAGGTAGGAGCCTCCAAGTTGTAAAACTACCTCCTGTCAAAAAGATAAAGAGAAGTTAATTTTCCCTTTGGGTAAAACCAATTAGCTAACATAGGGGGTCACCCAAACTATCAAGTGAATTTGAGATGAATTACATGAGACACATGATACTATCAAGTTCTTCTACTTGAGGACTAGTTATTGTTTATCTTGAGAACATGTATGCAGTGTGCTGTATCTGCTTGGTCAAATAAAAGGATGAGAGTTCTCTCTATCTTTACTGTCTCTCTGTGAATTGCCTGAGACATGCATCACGTTCTGGTTTAATGCTCATTCAGTAATAAAAGTGTTGTCTCTCTCTTCCTCTACCTTTGTGGAGAGGTTTTCTGGGTTGCAAGGAGATTTTCTTTTAATTGTATTTCCCTAACATCCACCAGAACCAGATATTTTGAAACAGCACTTATAGAAGTTATCATAATGAATTTGTGGAAAAAGCTGGAGGAAAGTACACCGGGGAATTATAGAAGGAGAAGGAAACTATGTCCAACTTCCCTCCATTTCCTATCACCAAAGAAGGTGGTGGAGCCCTCATTCAGAATGAGCCCTGAAAGTGGTCCTCTAACATTAGCCTTGGGACATGCTGGAATTCTTTACCAGATAATGCCATAGGATCATTGTCTTTGTCTTTTCAGAAAAAAAATCACTGGATATTTGCAGACTTAATTCTGTGCTAGACCTGAGTCTCTAATTCTGTGGTGCATCACCCAGGTTAGGGAGCACCTCGGCCTCTGTCACAATCCCAGGGGCCAGGGGCACCATTCACATTGTAGCTTGTGTGGGTGACACCCCTAGAGTTGTGCAGTGCCAGTGGTGCCTCTGTATATTATGGTCCTAACGCTATGCCCCCAAAAGAGCTTATTTCAGAAAACTGGTGTTCAGTTTACCTATAACCACCTACTGCTCCTGCCTGAAAAATATCTGGGGATAAGTCCAGACAGAAGGCTCTTGAATATCCTAAGAGTTGTTCCTGCTTCTTCATGTCTACTGCAGAATCAGAGCTAGCTATGGAAGTAGAAGGAGTCTTGGGCTGATTTTGTTCCTTAGTAGCTGGGTGACCATGAATAAGTTATTTTTAAACGTTATATACCCTTGTCTGTTCATCTAGGAACTGGTGACAGCACATATATCATAGGATAGGCAGAGATGTTTCTACATGACTGTCTTCTTGTCATTCAAATTGCATTTCAGAGAGGCTTTCCTTGAACATGCAAAATGAAGTAGCTCCTAGCCACTTGCTGCTTAATCCCTCTATTTTAATTCTTTGCATATTTTTATCATCAGCTGACATTTCTTTCCTTCCCACCTTTCCTTTCTTCTTTCCCTTCATCCATTCCTCCCTTCTCTTCCCTACTCTTCCCTTCCCCTCCCTCCCTCCCTCCGTTCCTCCAACTTCCTAACTTCCTTCCTTTTCTCAATCTCCCCCATTAGAATGCAAGATCCATAAGTGCTTGGGATGTAGCCCTCAACAGAGGAGGCTAGTACACTTGTTTAGTTCATTCCTTGGCTGGGATTTCATACTATCATCTCGAAATTTTGAAAGAGACTTTCGTGTCTCTAACCTTGCAAAGCACAGCTTCCTGCCTGACCTTAACACTCCTCAGATATTTCAGATGAAGCCTTTTCACATTGAGCTTTTGGCCCATCCTGTCTTTTATAAACAAAGAACTGAGTTATGTCTCTGAAAAACAATCTGATCGAATAGAGTCTCATGTTTCAAGTTTCCCAAGTTTCCCATTTTCAAGTGTCTCCTGGTGGGATCATCTTTCCTCTGTCTTTGGGAAGCATGATCATGTGTGTGACACTGGAGGGCCCACACCTCTGCAGGGAACCAGGGGCTCAAGCCAAAGAGGCCCTTGCCTGAAGGATATAGTAAGAACCAAACCGCCCCTTGCTATTGTCATTCAGACAGAAGGCAGAGAAGGGCCGCAAGGGGATTCCAGAAGCAGGGGTCAGACTGAATTCTGCTGAAATTTAACTGGGACTAAAGTGAGCACCAGGATCAAGGTAATGTAATGTAAAAACAACTCTAGCCAGAGCCACAGGCATTTGACAGCTCCTCAGTGCACAATAAATACCAGCAGAAATATGAAGCACCTGGGCTGATAGCAAAGGTGGGCCCAGACCCTGAGTTACAGAACTGCCTGCCCAAAGACTGAGCAGAGGGTGCAGAGGTGTTGCGGACATGAAGGATCACATTCCAAATTCATCCCTGAGCAGAAGCCTGTTGTCAGAAACTCACAGTAGGGAGCAAGAGGACTTCACAAAGCTGTAATACTGTGGGGAATTTTAAATATTCACATTTCTTAAACTAGCCTTTCTTCTAAGACATGAAGTGTCTTTCAAAACCATATGGCAGGAGCACACTCAATGTATAATAAAATCCTTGGTTTTGGTAATCATGACGAAGCTGTTGCAGTGTTAAATGATGCCACTTGATGGATTGTGAACACGAAAGTGCCACAGTCAACAAGAGCTGGGAGTTTAATATTTTTAACAATCTCTGAAGGCCTGAGAAAGAATGAAGCAAAATGCCAACAGGTGCTCTTGGCCAGCTTACGGGTTGCCCAAGAAAGAAGAAGGAATGACGGGGACAAAGAGGAGGAGGAATGGAATAAAGAAAAGAAAATAACTTGCAGAGGGAGTAGAATAGAATCTAGTTTTTCTTTTGATAAGTCATTATACTGATAACAGGCAACTTCAAAGCGAAGACTTAGGTTTTTTTTTTTGAGATGGAGTTTTGCTCTTGTTGCCCAGGCTGGAGGGCTGGAGTGCAGTGGCCCAATCTCGGTTCACTGCAACCTCTGTCTCCCAGGTTCAAGTGATTCTCCTGCCTCAGCCTCCCAAGTAGCTGGGATTACAGGCACCTGCCTCCACACCCAGCTAATTTTTTATTTTTTTTTTTTTTTTGTATTTTTAGTGGAAGCAGGGTTTCACCATGTTGACCAGGCTGGTCTTGAACTCCTGACCTCAGGTGATCCACCTGCCTCTGCCTCCCAAAGTTTTGGAATTACAGGCATGAGCCACCGTGCCCGGCGGAAGACAGGTTTTTAGTGGAGCAGAGATATTCTGCTTGGAGGAGATGGCCGCCGGTTGGAACACCACCTCCTGGTCTAATCTCCTATTGGAGTGGGAGGTGCGAACATCAAGTGTGTAGGGAGCCGAGGAAGGCAGGAAACGGGCTGTGAGTTGGCCTCGGCTTCCCTGGGTGAATAGTTTTATTTGCGGTGATGGACTCTCCATTCCTCAGCCCCCTAGACACACACCCAAAAGTCTGTCCTACAGGAAAAAAGAAATACACCGGAGGGCTCTCTCTAAAGAAATGGCATGGTCCTGAGCCAGAACATCCCACCTGGGTATTTGGGAGTCACCCTGCTAGACCCCTCAGCTGGTTCCCTGCTTGTCGCCCTAAGCAAACGAGGCCATCTGCATGCACAGATCTCTCTCTGCTCTCTTGTTGTCTCACTCTTGCACATGAAGGGAAATCAAGAATCACTAAACATTTGAAGAAATCCTCCAGCATGAAAGACAGAGACCAAGGGAACTGAAAAAAGACCCTAAAAATAGATTAATTTTGGGGAACAAAAGGGAACTTACAACACAAAGCACCTCTATTTAGTATCCACAGAAATTCTAGAAGATATATTCATTAACCAGCAAGAGGATGCTGTGAAAAGGTAGCAATTAGGGGCAAGAAAGTGCTTAGACATTGAGAATGACATTGCCAAAGAAGGTTCAAAAGAAGAGTTGGAAGACAAATGTGAAGAAATATCTTTGGAAGTGAATGAAAATACAATAAATAGAAAAGATGTAAGAGAAAAAAAAAAGAGTCACAGATAATCCATTAAGGAGGGTCAACATCTAAATAATTGGAAGCCCAGAAAGCTAGAATAGGGAAAACAGAGGGAAAGAAATTATGTAAATATATAAAAAGGGCGATTTTCCTGACAGGCACAAATCTTTTGATTAAGTGGGTATACCAAGTGCAGAGAATAAGGAATGAAGAAGACCATCACCTGACCTTTTCCTGTGAAATGTCAGGTCACCAAGAAGAGATTAAAAGACTCCAGAGATAACATAGGTCATCTCTAGAACAAAGGTCAATTAGCAATGGTTTTCTCATCTGCAGAACTGGATGCTAGATTGTAATAGAGCAATGTCTTCAAAGTTTTAAGAAAAAAATTATTTAAAAAATAAAAAATTTATGAATCCATTAAAAGATAATAAACCCATTATATGTTAACATAAATAACATTTATTTATTAGTATTTTTTTTAGAGACAGGGTCTTGCTCCATTGTCAGGCTAGAGTGCAGTGGTGTGATCACAGCTCACTGCAGCCTTGACCTCCTGGGATCAGGTGATCCTTCCATCTCAGCCTCCTGAGTAGCTGGGACTAGAGGCCCATGCCACCACATCCAGCTAATTTTTAAATTTTTATTTTATGGAGACAGGGTCTTGCTGTGTTGACCAGCCTGGTTTTGAGCTCCTGGTCTCAAGCAATCCTCCCACCTTGGCCTCCCAAAGTGCTGAAATTACAGACATGAGCCACCATGCCTGGCCATAAATAACATTTTTGGCAACCTTTTAAATGTTTGGCTTAGGAAAAGACAGCTGGAGTCCCATATCTGCTTCTGCATCAAGCTGTTGTGATTTGTTGTTGTTGTCAAGGGAAAAATTAGTAACCTAGAGTTCTATACCCAGCCAAACTGAAATTAGAAGGAAGGAGTACTTTGTTTCCGGACATGCTGGAACTCTGAAATGTTACCTCCTACATTCACTTTGCTGGGGAAGCTGTTTGAAAATGTGCTGCAAAGTAAAAGAGTAAACCAAGGAAAATGAAGATGTGGGATTCAGGAAACTGAGGAATCAACTCTGAAAATCAGTGAGGAGAACTAGAGGGACTTTTGTGCAGGCCAATTCCTAATCCTTGAAAGGGGTCCTTGGGGGATAAAAGGGACTTGAGAAAATAGGTGATATTATGGACTATGGGGGAAAAATGGAGATGCTGATAATAGAAATAGAACATAATTATAAACTTCAGGAAAAGTAAATAGCTATGCAAGAAAGAAGGAGTAGTAATCCTACACTAGTTGGCTCTGCAGTGAAGGATTGCTTCATAATCACAATCACGCAAACACTGCTTATTGAATTTTAGCATTTAGTTTTAACCTCTACACAAAGCAAAGACAACTTAATTTTCGTTACAGAACAGAATGCAAATTTTTTCAGTGTTAAAAATGCAAAGGTAAGAGTTCAGCTGACAGAAATAGAAATATAGAAGGAAGGAGAAATAGCTGAAGGGAAGCCAGGATTACAAGCTTCTCATCTTGGAAAGGGGAAACCGATGGAACAAAAAATACTGTGTTAGTTTATTGTTCATGTTGACAAAGGTAACCAAAAAAGGAGCTCTACCTAGTGCTATAATTGTATTGGGACACTGGGGAAGGTTGGAGGGAAGGGAACGGTTTTAGATAGCGACATTCTCATCCAATACAGCAAAAAGTCAATCTTGCAATAAATTGATACATCAAGAAATAGTGGTGGAAGCCTCTTATTTTGTGGTAGGGACGTAGATGCCGTATTAGCTAAAAATATGGAGGTAGAAGAGGAAAGACAGTAGATTACTGTTTTTATTAGCTGGGTGTTTTAAAATTAATTAATATAAAATAAAAATAAAGAAATAGATTTGTGTGGCCCAGGCCACCAGTATACATTATCAAATCCACTTAGTTCATCATTGTCTTGTGTCTGTGATACTGAGAGGTAGGAATCAGAATCTGGCCTGTTCTTTTTCAACCTACATATCAAATGTGAATCCAAATGCTCCAGGAGAGTCTTCAGGGATCATGGTATGCAAATGAAGACCCACTGTTTTTCAAATAACATGGTTCTTTCATATTGAATCCTATCTCTGTAGGAGGATTGACAAATGTTCTCTATTATCAACCACGACTTAATATACTTTCAGTGGAGGGCTATGGAGGGTGCTGGTAGTCAGGGGAGGGATGGGATAGAAGACAATGTTCCCTTTTACAGTAGTCTTAGTGGTGACCCTAACTCCTAGAGAGACTCCTAGAAAGGTCTTCATCTGTCACCTGCCACCATCCTGGTGCATTTTGGAGAATGCATTAGAAGATCAGTCCAGATACTAAAGAAAAAAATCAGTTCATCAAAACAAGCATGGGAATCAAAACTGATATTTGGCTGCAGCTTCTGACATTCAGAAGGAGAAAAAGGCACAAAGAAGGCAGCCATTAAGAGACTTCATCTAACCAGAAGAGGCAGTTCCTAAGTCAGATGACTGATAACATTGAAGACAAACAACTGGGTGTGCCAGATATACACAGGAGGCCCAGTAGTGGCGAATGATGAGGTAAGTTTTATAATTATCTGCCTGGAAGAGATGTCTCATTATCACCTTTTAGAGAGCATGAATCCATGTGAGCCAGATTTGTTCATTATGTAGCTTTCTCAACAATGGTTTATTTAGGGTCAACTTAATAAGAGTTTGGGAAAGAAGGTAGAGAAAGATTTCCTTGTTCCAATTATATTTCTCCATGTGATAGTCTGTAGGCTTCTGGGGGTTGCTGTCTACAACTCCTAAATGTATGGAATTTTGGCAATTATCCAATTCAAATGTTTGAATGTAGATTTCATGGCTGAAAAATCTAGTTTGACAATTGAAATGGGCATTGACCACATTTTATGGATGTTTAGAATTTTTTGAGCCACATTGCTACATTCAGAGAACATCTACCCTTACAAGTCTGATCTTCCTTAAGGGAGAACCTTGAAAACTTTCTCTAGCTTTCCTGGTGTCTAGGATGTAGGGATATGACCTCATTTCTACTAATCAGTCTTACCTACTTGAGATGTTAATTTGAATGACAGTAACATGAGGAGGGGGCTCTGGGTGGAATCATGTTGCTAATGTGGTTGCTGCTGAGGTTTCTGGCTTTCAGAGATGGAGCATCTGTGTATTAGTCCATTTTCATATGACTATAAATAATGCCTGAGACTCAGTAATTTATAAAGGAAAGAGGTTTAATTGATTCACAGTTCTGCATGGCTGGGGAGGCCTCAGGAAAATTACAATCATAGTGGAAAGTGAAGGGGAAGCAAGGCACATCTTACATTGTGGCAGGAGAGAAAGAGAGAGAGAGAGAGAGTGAAAGCAAGGAAGTGCCACACTTAAAACCATCAGCTCTCTGAGAACTCCATCACTATCATGAGAATAGCATGGGGGAAACCACCCAGTCACCTCCCACCAGGTCCCTCCTCAGCAGGTGGAGATTACAATTCAGATTACAATTTGATATGAAATTTGGGTGGGGATACAACCAAATCATGTCAATCTGCAAGGTGGAGTGGAACCAGGGGGACAGTGGTGGTGGAAGAAGTGAAGGAGGACTCATCAGTAGGACAGTTCTATGGTGTGGTTTGGTCATTGATGTGTAAATCTTAGACTCAAGCTTCAGCTTTTCCAAAAGTTTAGGGAGCAATGCACTCTCCTTTAATGAACTAATTTTCTGTGTCATCAGCTAGACTTGGTCTTTGTTGCTTGCAGCCCAGAATTCTAATCAATGCAGTGATCTGTGCTAATAAAAATAACCAGATAACTCCCAGACTGCTTTGTCAAATGAAAATATAACCATCCAAAAGAAGGATGGTTAATTTATATACTCACAAACTTATTTATTTTGTACAGACACTGCTATACGATTAAGGAAGAGTGGGGAAATTGTTCTACAGACATGAATGAGTTTCAACTCCAGCTTTAGAGACAGAACCCCAAAAGTTTGATAGATTGACATTTCATTTGGTTTTCAAACAAAGTTAACTTGGCTAGCTAACTTTGACTCTGAATATAGTGGCAAAAATGCCTGACAATATAGTTATGATTGTGCCTATCAGTCATCTTATATTATACAAAAAGTCGATGTTTATTCCCCACTGAACTTCTGGAGAGTGGGTGGGTTTTTTCTGCTTGCATGTGATTATAACAGAACTAAGGTTTGGATAGCTTAGAAAATGTTTTCATTGTGTTATTTTCAAGTGCACTTAAATCAGGTTGTTCTTAAACAATTTTAGAGGAAATACAGATTCAATATGAAAATGCACCAGAATTTTATTTACCAAAAGTCAATTCAGTCCAAATTTTCTGAGAAGATTATTTCTGAATGACAGAAATGACAATAGATGTGTTCAGATTCAAAGACTATAACTTAGCAGGATTTCTCTTGTGGGTATTTCAGCTCAAAGGAGATACCAGAAAACAATTTTCAGGTAAAAGACCAGAATTTTAAAGGAGTTAGATGGCCTAATATAACTAAACTGGAAAATTGGATCTGTGATTACTCAAACCAAAAGACAACCCCCAGACCCCCTTAATTATGCCACCAGAAAATAGAATTCTAGGGCAGTGTATCCTCTAGAAGGGGAATCCCTCCCAAAACCTATCTAATACATGGGCATGTAGAACATTAATCAAGGGAGATTTCCTCAGTGTGCAGAATTTGGGGCACCCATAGTGTATTAGTCTGTTCTTGTGCTGCTGATAAAGACATACCTGAGATTGGGTAATTTATAAAGGAAAAGACGTTTAATGGAAGTACAATTCCACATGGCTGGGGAGGCCTCACAGTCATGGCAGAAGGCAAAAGACATGTGTTACTTGGTGGCAGGGAAGAGAGAACTTGTGCAGGGAAACCCCCCCTTATAAAACCATCAGACCTCATGAGACTTATTTGTTATCATGAGAATGGCACGAAAAAGACCCGCCCCAGTGATTCAATTATCTCCCACCAGGTCCCTCTCATGACATGTGGGAATTGTGAGAGCTACAATTCAAGATGAGATTTGGGTGGGGACACAGCCAAACCATATCGTTCCACCTCGGCCCCTCCCATATCTCATGTCCTCACATTTCAAACCAATCATGTCTTCTCAACAGTCCCCCAAAGTCTTAACTCATTTCAGCATTAACTCAAAAGTCCACAGTCCAAAGCTTCATCTGAGACAAGGCAAGTTACTTCTGCCTATGAACCTGTAAAATAAAAAACAAGTTAGTTACTTTCTAGATACAATGGGGGTACAGACATTGGGTAAATACATCCATTCCAAATGGAGAAATTGGCCAAAATTGCATGAGGGCTAAAGGCCTCATGCAAGTTCAAAATCCAGCAGGCTGTCAAATTTTAAAGCTCCAAAATGTCTCCATGAGACATGTTGACTCCATGTCTCACATCCAGGTCACACTGATGCAAGAGATAGGATTCCATGGGCAGCTCCATGCCTGTGGCTTTGCAGGCTACAGCCTCCCTCCCAGCTGCTTTAATGGGCTGGTATTGAGTGTCTGCAACTTTTCCAGGTGCATGGTGCAAGCTGTTGGTGGATCTACCATTCTGGGGTCTGGAGGACAGTAGCCCTCTTCTCACAGGTCCACTAGGCAGTGTCCCAGTGGAAACTCTGTGTAGGGTCTTAAACCCCACATTTCTCTTCTGCACTGCCCTTAGCAGAGGTTGTCCATGAGGGCCCCACCCCTGGATCAAAATTCTGCCTGGACATCCAGGCATTGCCATATATCCTCTGAAATCTAGGTGGAGGTTTCCAAACCTCAATTCTTGACTTCTGTGCACCCATGGCCTCAACACCATGTGGAAGCTGCCAAGGCTTGGGGCTTGCACCCTCTGAAGCCACAGCCTAAGCTGTACCTTGGCCCCTTTTAGCCATAGACACAGGACACCAAGTCCCTAGGCTGCACACAGCAGGGGGCCCTAGGCCCAGACTATGAAACCATTTTTTCCTCCTCAGCCTCCAAGCCTGTGATGAGAGGGACTACCATAAAGGTCTTTAATATACGCTGGAGACATTTTCCCCATTATCTTGTCAATTGACATTTGGCTCCTCATTACTCATGCAAATTTCTGCAGCCAGCTTGAATGTTTCCTCAGAAAATGGGGTTTTCTTTTCTATTGCATTGTCAGGCTGCAAATTTTCCAAACCTTTGTGCTCTGTTTCTCTTTTAAAGCTGAATGCTTTTAATAGCACCCAAGCCACCTCGTGAGTACTTTGCTGCTTAGAAATTTCTTCCACCAGATAACCAAAATCATCTCCCTCAAGTTCAAAGTTCCACAAATCTCTAGGGCAGGGACAAAACCAATCTCTTTGCTAAAGCATAGCAAGAGTCACATTTGCTTTAGTTCCCAACAAGTTCCTCATCTCCATCTGAGACCACCTCAGCCTAGATTTCATTGTTCATATCATTTTCAGCATTTTGGTCAAAACCATTCAATAAGTCTCTAGGAAGTTCCAAACTTTCCCACATTTTCCTGTCTTATTCTGAGCCCTCCAGACTGTTCCAACCTCTTCCTGTTACCCAGTTCCAAATTCACTCCCGCATTTTTGGGTATCTTAACAGCAGCACCCCACTCTACTGGTACCAGTTTACTGTATTAGTTTGTTCTCACACTTCTGATAAAGACATATCTGAGACTGGATAATTTATAAAGAAAAAGAGGTTTAATGGGCTTACAGTTCCATGTGGCTGGGAAGGCCTCACAATTATGGTGGAAGGCAAAAGGCATGTTTTACATGGCAACAGGAAAGAGAGAATTTGTGCAGGGAAACTCCCCCTTATAAAACCATCAGACCTCATGATTCACTGTCTTCACTATCACTCTTCACATATTCACTATCATGAGAACAGCATGGGAAAGAAACACCCCCACGATTCAATTACCTCCTACCAGGTCCCTCCCATGACATGTGGGAATTGTTGGAGCTACAATTCAAAATGAGATTTGGCTGGGGATACAGCCAAACCATATCACATAGTGACTGACCAAGGAATTCAACCCATGGCCAGATAATGGAGTCTTTTTTATTCTTGTATAGTGGGATGTGGCTTACACTAATGATTTAAGACCACACTTACTCTTTTCTTATTTTCCATTTTCTCAATAAGGTGTGTGTGTGTGTGTGTGTGTGCATGCACTTGCACTTATAGCATCATCTATTTGCCATTGTATATTTGGTGTGCTTGGGGGTGGTTAAATGCATCATTTAGTCAGGGTGGGTGCATGATCATTGGGAATACATAATACTTAGGGATTCTGGACTTGGAGATAGACACAGTAATTGGGTGTAACTTTGGAGTTGTCTTCTGTTGACAAGTGTTTACATATTTTTGCTGTATGTAAGATAGTTGCGTTATGTTAGTGGGCATTTAGAAATTATATGCCAGGAAAGCAGTGTGTGTGCACATGTTAGGTATTCAAAGGGTGGAATGTAATAGACTGTTTGCTATCGTTTCTGACTACTCAACACTCTTTTCCATATCCTTCCTCTGGCAAAAGTAACCCACTTTTTCTTTGGAAAACTATATCTGTCTGAAACTTTGTTGTTTTGATGCAGTTGTTAATTACAATGGCTAATCTTACTTTGGCCACAGAAGTGGGGCATGGGACCCAGGCCTGGACAGTCAAGAGTAACCAATGATCTGGACCACAGTGATTGTTTAAAGATGAGTATTTGGCCCAAATTGGGTTAGAGTTCTAACAGATTTTTCAGCTAATAGAGAAGGCTCACACTTTTCTACTGGGAATGCTAGGCTCGGACAATGTGAGACTGTAGCTGCCAGTGGCCAAATAGCCTGCCACATAGAACATACTTTACTAATATAACAGGTAGTCTTTGTTGAACACTTACTATATGTCAGGTGCTATTCTAAGTGTTGTATATGCTTTATCTCATTTAATCTGTGCAACAACTCTATAAGGTTTTTATTGTATCCCAATTTTACAAATGAGAACACTGAAACATACAGAGGTTAAGTAATAAATTGCTGACATTTATGGTGGAACAAGGATTCAAAGTCAGAGAGTCTGATTTTGTAGCTCAAGGTTTTCACTGCCATGCCACACACTGGTAAGCTGAGCAAAGAAAAGTCAAATAGAAAGAAGGATAACTGAGACAAGGAGAGGGAGAAAAAACCCTGATGTGATTTGAGGAAGCCAAGACAAGCAGAACCAAAAGATGAAGAGAAACGAAGCAGTAAATCCAGCTGTGCTGAAACCAGCTGTACTCCAGGGCTTTGCAGGCACTGAATTCATGGTTTCCCTCTAGGACTTAATTGAGTTTTAGCTGGGTTTTTGTACTTGTAACTATAGAAATTTGAACGAATACAACTATATATTATATTCTGTAGCATTGGGGTCTAATAGAATAAAATGTTTGACATCTGTGTAGTCCAATACAGTAGCCACAAGCCACATATGGCTATAAGATTATTAAAATATGCCTAATTTGATAGGGAACATAATTTTTAGTTTTATCTCATTTAAATTAATTAAAATGAATTTCAATAGTCACATGTGGCTAGTGGGTACTGCATTAGAGAGCACAGATCTAGAGGCCACAGCTGGAGCTATCGTCAGATTCTTATATTACTGTCTTTGTTTATTCAGGCTGCTAGAACAAAGTGCCATAGACTTGAGAGCCCAAACATTTGTTAATTGATACATAATAATTATACAAATTATAGAGTACATGTGAGATTTTTGATACATGCATAGAATGTGTAATGATCACATCAGGGTATTTAGGATATCCATTAACTTGAACATTTGTCATTTATTTGTGTTGGGACATTTCAAATTTTCTCTTCTAGCTATTTTGAAATATACAATATATTGTTGTTAACTGTAGTCACCCTACTGTGCTATTGAACACTAAAACTTATTTTTTTTCTATCTAACTGTATGTTTGGACCCATCAGCCAAACTCTCTTCATTCTCTTCTCACTTTCCAGCCTCTGGTAACTATCATTCTACTCTCTACCTCCATGAGATCAACTTTTTTAACTCCCATATATAGGAGAATATGTAATATTTGTCTTTTTGTGCCTGGCTATTTTACTTAACATAGTGACCTCCAGTTACATCCATGTTGCTGTGAATAACAGGATTTTATTCTTATTTATGGCTGAATAGTATTCCATTGTGTATATTCAACATTTTATCAATTTATCCATTGATGGACACTTAGGTTGATTCTATGTCTTGACTATTGTGAATAGTGCTGCAATAAACACTGGGGTGCTGGTATCTCTTTGATATACTGATTTCCTTTCCATTGGATAAATACCCAATAGTAGGATTGCTGGATCATATGGTAGTTCTATTTTTAGTTTTTTGAGATGCCTCCATATTGTTTTCCATAATGGCTGTACTAATTTACATTCCTGGCAGCAGTGTATAAGAGTTTCCTTTTCTCTGCATCCTCACCAACATTTGTGTTTTTTTTTCTTTTTTGATAATAGCCATCCTAACTGGGGTGAGATGATACCTCATTGTGATTTTGATTTGCATTCCCTGGTGACTAGTGATGTTGAACATTTTTCATATACCTGCTGGCCATTTGTATGTCTTCTTTTGAGAAATATCTATTCAGATCATTTGCCCACTTTTTAATGAGACTATTTATGGGTTATTACTTTTTGCTGTTGTTGTTGAGTTGTTTAAATTTCTTGTAGATTCTGGATATTAGTCCCTTGTTGGGTGAATAGTTTTCAAATTACACAGGTTGTCTCTTCACTCTGCTGATTATTTCCGTTGTTGTGGGCATCTTTTAAACAGCAGAAATTTATTTCTCACAGTTCTGGTGGATGGGAAGTCCAAGATCAAGGCAGCGACAGACTCAACGTCTGGTGAGGTCCTGTTTCCTGGTTCATACATAGTGCTTTCTCATTTCTTCACATGGAGGAAGGGTAAGGGGTCTCTCTGGGGCCTCTTCCGTAAGGGCAGTATTCCAAGTGCCCTTATAGAAGATCTGCCATTGTGAGCTAATCTTCCCCAAACCCCATCTCCTAATACCATCATCTTGGGGTGAGGATTTCAACATATGATCTTTTTTTAACTTTAGGAAATTGTGTTAGTTCGTTCTCACTCTGCTATGAAGAAATACCCAGACTGGGTAATTTATAACAGAAAGAGGTATAATTGACTCACAGTTCCACATGGTTGGGGATGCCACAGGAAACTTACAATCATGGTGGAAGGAGAAGCAAACACGTACTTTTTCACATGGCAGCAGGAGAGAGAAATCCAGTGCCAGCAGGGGAAATGCTGGATGCTTATAAAACCATTGGATCTCATGAGAACTCACCCACTATCATGGAAACCACATGGGGGATACCACCCCCATGATTCAATTACCTCCACCTGGTCTGGCCATTGACACATGGGGATTATTACAATTCAAGGTGAGATTTGAATGGGGACACAGAGCCAAACCATACCATTTCTCCCCTGGCCCCTCACAAATATCGTGTCCTCACATTTCAAAACACAATTATGCCTTTTCAACCATCCCCCAAAGTCTTAATTCACTCCGGGATTAACCCAAAAGTCCACGTTCAAAGTCACATCTGAGATAAGGCAAGTCTCTTCTGTTTATGAGCCTGTGAAATCAAAATCAAGTTAGTTACTACCTAGATACAATGGAGATACAGGCATTGGGTAAATACACCCATTGCAAATGGGAGAAATTGGCCAAAACATATGGACTACAGGCCTCATGCAAGTCCCAAGTCCAATAAGGCAGTCATCAAACCTTAAAGTTTCAAAATGATCTCCTTTGATGCCATGTCTCACATCCAGGTCATGCTGATGCAAGAGATGGGCTTTGATGGCCTTGGGCAGCTCCACCTCTGTGGCTTTGCAGGGTACAGCCCCCCTCCTGGCTGCTTTCATGTGCTGGCATTCAGTGCCTGTGGCTTTTCCAGGCACATGGTGCAAGCTGTCAGTGGATTTACCATTCTGAGGTCTGGAGTACAGTGGCCCCCTTCTCACAGCTCCACCAAGCAGTGCCCCAGTGGGGACTCTATGTGGGGGCTCCAACCCCACATTTCCCTCCCACACTGCCCTAGCAGAGATTTTCCATGAGGGCTCCACCCCTGCAGCAAACTTCTGCCTGGACATTCAGGCATTTCCACACATCCTCTGAAATCTAGGTGGAGGTTTCCAAACCTCAATTCTTGACTTCTGTGCACCCGCAGGCCCAACACCGTGTGTAAACCATCGAGGCTTGGGGCTTGCACCCTCTGAAGCAACAGCCCAAGCTGTACCTTGGCTCCTTTTAGCCATGGCTGGAACCAAAGCAGCTGGGACACAGGGCACCATGTCTTGAGGATGCCCTAGGTGGGGTGGGGTGGTGGGGGAGGGGAGGTAGTCTGGGCCTAACCTCTGAAACCACTCTTTTCCCTCCTGGCTTCTGGGCCTGCAATGGGAGGGGCTGCTCTAGAGGTCTCTGGCATACGCTAGAGACATTTTCCCCATTGTCTTGGTGATTACCATTCAGTTCCTTGTTACTTATGCAAATTTCTGCAGCTGGCTTGAATTTCTCCCCAGAAAATGGGATTTTCTTTCCTATTGCATTGTTAGGCTGCAAATTTTCCAAACTCTTATGTTCTGCTTCCTCTTGAATGCCTTGATGCCTAGAAATTTCTTCCACCAGATACCCTGAATCATCTCTCTCAAGTTCAAAATTCCACAGATTTCTAGGGCAGGGCAAAATCACACCAGTCTCTTTGCTAAAACATAGCAAGAGTCACTTTTGCTCCAGTTCCCAATAAGTTCCTCATCTCCATCTGAGACCACCTCAGCCTGGACCTCACTGTCCATATCACTATCAGCATTTTGGTCAAAACCATTCAATAAGTCTCTGGGAAGTTCCCAACTTTCCCACATTTTCCTGTCTTCTTCTGAGCCCTCCAAACTGTTCCAACTTCTGTGTGTTACCCATTTCCAAAGTTGCATCCACATTTTCAGGTATCTTTATAGCAGCACCCTACTCTCTGCAGTACCAATTTACTGTATTAGTTTGTTTTCACACTGCTATGAAGAAATACTCAAGACTGGGTAATTTATAAGGGAAAGAGGTTTAACTGACTCAGTTCCGCAGGGCTGGGGAGGCCTTAGGAAACTTATAATCATGGTGGAAGGAGCAGCAAATACATCCTTCTTTACATGGAGGCAGCAAGGAGAAGTTATATATTATAAACATAATATATAATGAGATTAGTCACTCACTAGTTAAGATATACAAGACAAAAAGGGAGAAAACAAAAATATATAAAATATAAAAAATTTGAAATGAGAATGGAAAAATAATCATAGAAACAAAGAAAATTAAGATTTAAGAAAATACTTATTTCTATGTAAAAAATTTTGAAGAAACTGGATTACTTTCTTGGAAAATATAAAGTTCCCAAATTAATTGTGTTACAGACAGAAGACCTAAATCCACCTGATGGATTGTTGTGGAATAAAATGAGAAATTTGCCAAAGAGTTACCCCCTTCCTTTAAACAGCTATGTAGTATTTCATTCCAAATATATTTAATCATTTCCCCATTGCTGGGCTATTTTTGACTTTACAAGTCTTTTTTTTTCAAACAAAAATTGAATTCTGTATGACTATAGTTAACAATAATGTATTGTTTATTTCAAAATAGCTAGAAGAGAAGATTTTGAATGTTCTTACCAAAAAGAAATAATAGACATTTAAGATGACAGATTTGCTAACTACCCTGATTTGATGATTCACAATGTTTATAAGCATCACAACATCAAATTGTTTCCCATAAATATGTACAATTATTATGTCAATTAAAAATGAAATGAAATTTAGAAAAAGAAAAAAATGAAATTCTATAAAATGTGAAGGAAAACAGAGTTGCAAAACCCCTTAAATTGCATTAGAGGACTGCAAAAGAAACACTACAAGTTTTGCCTTAAACCAGTGTGATATGGATTTCAAATCCAGCAAAGCATAAAAGAGAATAATAGCGATGAACTTCACTTATGATGATCAATACAAAATCCTAATAAAATAATAGTGAATGAAAACCAGTAGCACGCTAAAAGAAAGAGAAAGGCCTATAACCAAATGGGGCTCAATCCAGGAGTTACAGATGGTTCAATATTAGAAAATTTTTTTACACTTCATTTGCTATCATTCGTATTTTATTAAACATTACAAATGTTTAATGGAATAATAATAAATCTGATGAAAATAAATGGAATAAAAAATAAATAACGGAATAAAATAATACATGGAATAATAATAAATTGAATAAAATGGAATAATAAATGGAATAAAAATAAAATGTTTAATGTTTAGTAAAATATGAATTAGGGAAACTCATAACAAAACAGGTATTTTCTTAATAAAACAAGAATATATATATATATGTTGTACTGCTATACAAAATTGTGCTTGTAGTCAAATATATATGTGCGTGTGTGTATATATACATATATATGTGTATATATATGTGTGTGTATATATATGTATGTGTATATATATATATATATTTTTTTTTTTTTAGACAGGATCTCTCTCTCTCTCTCACCCAGGCTGTAGTTCAGTGGTGCAATCATAGCTCACTGCCCTCCTGGGATAAAGGGATTCTCCTGCCTAGGCCTTCCGAGCAGCTGGGACTACAGGCATGCACCACCGTGCCTGGTTCAAAAAACATATCTTAAACCAAAAGTAAGCACTATTCTTCATGATGAAAACCTATTAATACTGTTAAAATCAAGAAGATAAGGATGCTCACTCTCACCACTGTTATCTGATAGTTTTTCTAGAGCACTAAACAATAAGAGAAAGAAATACAGGTATAAAAATTGTAAGCCAAGAGTGAGAAGCAACCTAAATGTCCATCAATGGATGAATGGATAAAGAAGATGTGGTGTACATGGGCATGTTATTTGGTCTTAGAAGAAGGAAATCCTGTCATATTCGACAACATGGATGAACCTGGAGGGCATTATGCTAAGTGAAACAAGCCAGTTGTGGAAGAGTAATACTGCATGATTCCACCTCTATGACATATCTAAAGTAGTCAACCATAGAAGCAGAAAGTAGAATGGTGAGTTTAGAGGAGAGGGAAATTGGGACTTGCTATTCAATGGGCATAAAAAGTTTTGGTTATGCAGGATAAAAAGTTCTAGAGATCTCCTGTACAAAATTATGCTTGTAGTTAAATATACTTTACTGTACACGTTTATTAAGAGCGTTGATCTCATGTGTCTTTTTACTATAATACATTTTTTAAAAAGAATAAAAATCATAAAGGAAAAGACAAAATTATTATTTCCAAATGCTGTGATTGTATAACTGGAAAACCCAACAAATAAACTGAAAAAACACTATTAGAAACAGTAGGAGAGGCCAGGCACAGTGGCTCATGCCTGTATTCCCAGCATTTTGGGAGGTCAAGGCAAGTGAATCACTGGAGGCCAGGAGTTTGAGAACAGCCTGGCCAACATAGCGAAACCCCATCTCTACTAAAAATACAACAACAACAAAAGTTAGCCAGGCATGGTGGCATGTGCCTGTAGTCCCAGCTACTTAGGCGGCTGAGGCACAAGAATCGCTTGAGCCTGGGAGGTGGAGGTAGTGGTGAGCCGAGACCTCACTACTGCACTCCAGCCTGAGTGACAGAGTGAAACTGTCTCAAACAAACAAACAAACAAACAAACAAAACAGTAAGAGAATTCAGGCTTCTGGTTCCCAAATCAATGTGCAACATTGATAATGTTCCTAAATAACACTTTACTAGTTAATACGACGGTATAGAAACGTGTGAAAAGATATCCAATTTCATTCATATTTAATAAGATCAAATGAAAACAAGGACTCCTTTTCACTTATCAAGTTGATTAGGTTAAAAACCGACAGTATATAGAATTTAAACAGAACCAGACATTCTTATAAAATGTTAATGAGTCTGCAAAATTGGTGCAACTTCTTTGGTAGGCAATTAAACATTATCTAGCATCATAAAAAGTACAGGCACCCTTTGACTCAGGAACTTATTCAACAGATTGCTTTCATGTGCACAAAGATATATATACAAGGGTGTTTATTGTAGCATAGTTTGAAACAGCAAAAGACTTGTAAAATGGGAAATGTCCAGCAAAAGGGGAATGAGTAAAGGCATTTGGAATAGACTCCTATATGGCTGTTTAAAGGAATGAAGTAAATCTATATGTGCAGATATGGAACAATCTCTGTTTTAGTCCCTTTGGGCCACTATAACAAAATATCTGAGATGGGGGAATTAATAAACAGCAGAAATTTATCGCTCACAGTTCCAGAGGCTGGGAAGTCCAATATCAAGAGGCCAGCAAGTTCAGTGTCTGTTGAGGGCCTGTTCCTCAGAGATGGTGCTTTCTTTGTGTCCTCATACGGCTGGAAAGGTGAAAGGGCTAACAAGCTCCCTCAGGACTCTTTTTTAAGGGCACTAGCCTCATTCATGAGGGCTCCACCCCATGACCCAATCACCTCCCGAAGCCTTGCGTCTTAACACTGTCACCTTGGAGGTTAGGTTTCAACATCTAAACTTTGGGGCAGACACAAAGATTCAGACTCCGCAATCCCCAGTATAGATATTATGAAAAAAGCCACAAGACGTGGAGTAATGCCTGTAATATATTGCTATTTGTGTCAGGAAAAAAGATGTATATTAACAATAATTTCTGAAAGGATAAAACAAAATAAGTGAAGACCTGTCAAAAGGTGTCCAGAAGCCCAGAGAGGAGGGAAGGCTTGCTTTTCATGATGTTACCTTGGACATGCATCACTTTTCTGGTTAAAAAGGCCAGTATAAGCATGTGAATGGATCCAATATTCATTATTCATTCACTCATTTATTCATACAGCATATATTGAGCCTCCTTGCCCTCCCCCTCCACACTTCTGTATCAGGTACCATGCTAGACCTGGAGGATAGAGCAGAGAACAAGACATGCCTGTTCCAGTACCTTCCTTCATAAAAGTTTAGCAGTCTAGACTAGGGCTTTTCTACTCCAAGTGTGGTTTGTGGACCAGCAGCATCCACATCACCTGAGAGCTTGCAAGTCAGATTCCGCATTTTAACAAAGTCCCCAGGGGATTCATTTGCACAGTGTGATTTGAAATCTCCATTCTAGGGATCATCCTCAAATAACTCTAGTCTCGCTGGTTCAGATATGGTTTCTGGCCTAGAAGAGAGAGAGAGCACAGCTTTAGCTAGTTGGGAACATGCTGAATATACTCACAGGAGCATTGGGGGGAAGGAGGTTAAATACCTGCAGTCCAAATTGTGCTATAACTTTACACTAATTTTTCTCCTGCTTTTTCTCTCAGGAGTTAACAACTAAATAGCTTTGCTATGCTGTTGCTATAGCAACAGGGTTCAGTAGCGCTTTGACTGTTTCCTATTGCCAGAGCCTCGCGACTAGTCTCTCTGCCTCCAACCGAGCCTGTTTTCAGTTAATCAAAGTTGAAATCAAACACGTGGCGATTGGGACAATCACAGTCCCTGGATGATACAGCTGGTATAATAACCGCCTAACTTTGCCTTAATTTAGGACTGTTTAGGATTATGTGCAACTGATTCCTGAAATCTGACCGTAGTCACCCCTTGCCACGGAGAGAAAAATAACTTCTTTGACAGTTGCATATTTTTCAATTTCTAATTTCTATAGGTTTTTTTTGCTGTATAAATATAGTAAAAAATTAGGAAATGCAAATGAATGAAGAATATACAATCTAAGTTCACACATATCTGTTGTTTTTTTGTGACTGCACATTAAGCCACTGTTGGGTAAAATGGGACAGTGTGTGTGTGCATCACCTGGTGCTGAGCCCAGCACATAGTGGGTCTATAGGCATGAGCATTTCATCCTTCCTTCTCCAGGTGACAAGGTCTCGGGCATACGCCTTCCCTTGCCATTCCCCAGTGACTGCTACCAAACCCAGGCATTCAGATCTACTGTGGATCCACAGCATCTCTGGCATTCCGAAGCATCTTCATATAGGTGTTTCCTGTGTAGACACAAAGCGACAACTGTCTTTGTCCAAAGGACAGTGCCTAGAAATGCAAGTACTAGGCACCCCATAAAGGGTAGCCCAGTTCCTGTTGACTGGTTGTGCCTCAATTCTTCAGGGGCCTCCTCTTTAGCTACTTCTTCTCTTCTGTTTATTTTGAAACAAATCCAGAGAATTTGGAGACAAGGAGATCATGTGGACCAGTTTCCTGACCTCTGATAAGGCTTATGCATTTTATGGATGTGATAACTGTGATCCAAAGAAGTTACATGAGGTCATACAGCAAATTGATGGCAGAGGGGAATGAGTTCTCCTGGTTTATCCACTACAACATTATTTTTAAATTTAATGTTTTGTTGGGTTATAACATATTGCAGTGAAGTGTGCACATCTTACAAGTATAGCTCAGTGAAGCTTCGTATATGTGTACACCATGTAACCACCACCACCATCAAGGCAGAACTTGGCCAGCACCCCAGCAGGTTCTCTGATGCACCTCCCAGTTAACATCTTTGCCAAAGTCAAGTGCTATAATCCTAGATTAGTTTCACCTACAATCTATGGCTCTGAGGATCAGCTACTGCTACTGCCATCTTACACATGAGCAATTTGTGACCTTCATTAAGTGGCAAAGGCTACATAACAACAATAACATCTAATATGGGTGGACTGCTACCTCTGTGCCAGGCACTGTGCATGTGTGTATCTCATTTAACGCTGACAGCTCCATGAGGCAAACACTGTTACCACCTGATAACTCTCTCCTCTTTCTCTCCCCTCATCTCTCTGTCTCCCCTCCTCTCTATCTTATCTATCAGGATTTATCATAGAAGTTTGACCTTCACAATGTGGGGGCTGGTTAAGCAATCTCTGTGAGGCAGGTTCATTGCATCTAATGTGGAACCTTGAATTCCACAGGGCAGGCAGCTGGGAAGGGAGATGAATGAGCAGGAGAGAGCAAGAACCAGCTGGATCCCATGAGCACAAACTGGAACAAGGGGACCAACTCTCCTGTATTTCCAGGACTAAAGGGGTTTCCAGAGATTCAAGACTTTCAGTTTTAAAATTGGGAAAGACCCAGGCAAACTAGGGGGAGGTGGAAACCACGAGGACAGCCTGCGAGCCACATCAGTTCTTGCACCTCCAGCCTTGGCAGTTTGGGCATCCTTAGGGGAGGCTGGTGCCCTGTCATAGAGCTGAATACACAGGCCTGACTCAGAGGTTGAAGAGGCTGAACAGAGATCTCAGGGAAGGTAGAAAAGTCGCAGGCCCCACACCAAAGACGTAGGCCAGCAGGTAAGCAACAAGCCGTGTGAGCTACAAAATGGCTGCCAGCTTCACTTCCACCCTGCAAAGCTGTTGCCCGAAGGTTTCCTGTAAGCCATCCTAGCCAGAAATACACAGGGAAGGGAATTCTGTAAAATGGAGCTCAGCCTAGCCAACTGAACAGATTACGAAGCCACCCCTCCTTTACAGATGTGGAAACAGCCTCAGAGAGGCTAATTAACACACCCAGACCCACACAGCTAGCAAGGGACTCTAGCTGTAGAGTCTCATCCTAACCCAGGCTCTATTTCACATGCTCTGGGAGGTCAGTGATACCAACAGCTGGGCAAAGTTCCAGGACAAAGTTTAGGGCAGGTTCCCAGGCACAGAAGCAAGTGGAGTTGAGGCCATTAAAAGCAGGGGTCTGGTATTGAATTGGCCAAGCTGTATAATGTCCCGCAAGTTAGTGAACCTCTGCAAGCCTGAGTTTTCCACTATGTGAAATGAGTTCATCATAGTCCCTATCTCACAGGGGTTTTAGTGAGGTTGAAGGGAGATGACCCAAGGATTCAGAGAGCCCAGTTGCAACCTGTAATTCAAGAGCTGTGTAAAAGCTCTTAGGACTGGATGACAGAGCAGGAGCTATCATTGCCTAACCCTAGGAGACTCCCCTCAGCTCCAAAGTACAGAAGAAGAGTAGGACAGAGACCCGAGGCCCCCCTGCATAGAGCTAGTTGGGACTAGGCCCAGCTCAGGCTGTGGAGTGAGGCATTAGGAGGGCTGCAGAGGCAGATACTGATGGAGTCAGTGGGGTGGAGGGGTGGGGGGGCACCTGTAAGGCCTTTGAAACTGAGAGCTCCCTGAAGGTTTCACCTGTACCCACTTCCCCCAGCTGAACAGCAGCCTTTCAGAGGAGGTGGGTAAGGTGTGCTTCCTGCCACCCTGGCAGCTCCGGGTGAGTCAGCGGGACTCCCGGGCTGCAGGACAGCCCAGGTGGAGTGGGAGGAATGAAGCAGAGCCCTCGCAGCCTGCTTTGCCGCAGGCAGTGGGGGCAAATGCACCAGTTTCCCAGAGTTTGGTGCTAAATTTAGAACCCATCGTCCTAGTGAGCTCAATCACTGTTTAGTCAGAAGCGAAATCCAGGGCTGATGAAACTCACCTGCCTGTCACTGCCCGGCTGGCATGTGCCACCACCCATGGAGGGTGGCATAGGAAGCTGACAGCATCCAAGTCTGTGCCTCTGACCCTTGCCACTCCTGCTCTGCCCCAAGGCCAGGCTGTGCGACCACCAGGGCAGGTCCCTGACCCTGGCCCTTGGGACCAGAGAGCCTCACACGGTTCTGCTGCCTTGGACCTGCTGACTAGCCGCGTTCTCCTAGCTAGGCTAAATCTCCAGCTGTTCTTCTGAAAGCTTCTGCTGCATTCTGAATTTAACACTGGGAGAAATGGATTCAGCACCAAGGTTGTGAGGCCCCAGGGATCTTGCCTATTTGGCTTTCAGGGATCAGTTATTTCCCAAGGCCAGGGCAGAGGGCTGGCTCAATGGAAGTCAGGCTTGGGGACTGAGTGAGTACTTATTGTATGCCAAGCCCTGTGCGAGGCCTGTAAATGCAGGAGCTGGCAATCCACAGCAGTATTTTAAAACTGGGAATCCCACCCCATCACAAAATCAATTTAGTGGATCATGACCAGCATATAAGAAAATGAAACAAAATAGAGAAGATCAGAGGGACTGAAAGTAGAAAGGGTAGATATTATTTTCTGAAAATGTATGTGTGTAGGTGAGTACTAGATTGTAATATACAATGTATTTGTTAATAAGGGCCAAAGTCTAGAAGAGTTTAAGAAACCCTGGCCCAGAGTGGGAGGGAAGTATCCCAACACAATGTAATTGTAGGTGTGGAAAGAGAAGAGACCTGGATTTAAATCCTGGATCCACAGCTAGCCATGTGATCCTGGTCTAGACAGTATCTCTGTCTATTCTCACTGACTGCTTTTATTTTTAAGGATGATAATGCCTTCTACAAAGAGTTCTTAATGAAAGCTAGAGCTGAGGCATGCCCAGGTGCTAGCGCAGTGCCTGGTACCCTGTTAGGTGTTCAGGCCATGGAAGCTATTTACGTTGTTATAAGCACTGCAAGAGACCTGGAGGCAAGGGAGGGATTAACTCCTGGGGGGCTGGCAGAGACTTCACGGAAGAGCTGACCACTGAACTGAGGCTCAGACAATGCATAAGGGCATGCGAAGAAGAGTGAAGGGGATGGGGCAGTCTGGGAGGGGGAGCCATCATCTCTCAAGGTGGGGAGTGCAAAAGGGTCTTGTTTTCAGGGAGCAGCTGCACGGTTGGGCTGGTGGGAGTGTAGAGTGAGTAGGAAGCAGGGCATGGCAGGCAATGGGCCTGGGTTGTCATGTTGGGGCCCTTTGAAGGTGAAGGTCTTTGTATGACACACGGGAGAGATTGAGCACTGTCCTGGGGGTGCAGGGACTGCTATGGCTTGAGTGTGTCCCCCCCAAAATTCAGGTGTTAAAACTTAGTGGTCAATGTGATGGTATCAAGAACTGGGGTCATTAAGAGGTGATTAGGCCATGAAGGTTCCTGTGTTGTGAATGGGATTCAGACCCTTATAAAAAAGGCCCCACGCAGCATTCATTCACTTGATCTCCTGCCTCCTGCCATGTGAAGAGGCGTCAAGAAGGCCCTTACCAAACACTAGACGCCGATGCCTTGATTTTGGGCTTTGCAGACTCCAGAGCTGTGGGCGATCAATTTCTGTTCTTTATAAATTACCCAGTCTCAGGTATTCTGTTATAGCAGCACAGAATGGACAAAGACAGGTACCCATGAGGGGAGGGGGGTAATCAGATTTGTCTTGGGGTTTAGCTTCTCATTCCGTAATGCTTTTTTCCCCATAATTAGTTTTTTTTAAATTTTATTTTATTTTAGGTTCTGGAGTACATGCGCAGGATATGCAGGCCTGTTCCCATAGTTTTTTAAAAAAATCTCTCCACCTGAAAGTGCCTTCCAGTGTCTTAACTTCATGAGAGGTCCCCTCATTGGCTGGGCCATTAAATTCAGCCCTTTAGGGAGGAGACCTGGGTTTGTTTGGCATGGACTATCTGAGCCCAATAGTGAACTCACCATCACATCATTGGAGGAGTGCAAGCAGAAGCTGATATATCTCTGGGGGGATATGATGGAGAAGTAGTTAAGCACTGAAAGACACATGTGGAGCGAATGACTTTGGAGGGCCTGTCAGCTCCGGATCTGATGCTGCTGCCTTATGTGGCAGGAGAGGGGAGTCCTAAGGGTGTCCCAGAAATAGTTTTTCTCTTCCCATATGGTGGGGTGAGGAGAGGAGGCCTGAGTGCCTGGATCAGCTGCTGAAGAGTCTCTTAAATACGGTAGAGAAGGGGGCTCTGAGCTTTGAGCACAGGACATTCCCAGGCCTCTCTGCAGAGTTGCCAGAAGGAAGTCAGTGAAGGGTTGTCTTCCCATGGGAGTGAGAGGCCCCATCCAAGGAGTCCAAGACCCTGTGAGTCACTGCATGGTGGCTGCACTGAAATGCTGACTGCATGACCTGGAGTTATTGAGCAACGAGCAGCCACATGGAGAGGAAGAAAAGGGACTTTCAGTCCCACAGGCTTGGGTTTGAATCTGCCTCTTCATTCATGAGCCAAGTGGCCTCAGGCAATCCAAAACTCTCTGGGTCTGAGGTTACACATGTACCAAGTGGGAATTCACAACACTAATCTAGCAGGACTATAGCCCAGAGACATGTAACAGTCAATACATAGTAGCTATGATGATGACACTCGTGACACATTAAGGTACGTGTTACTCTTTTGCTCTTTTTTTTTTTTTTTTTGAGACGAAGTCTCAAAGTCTCGTTCTTGTCCCCCAAGCTGGAGTGCAAATGGCATGATCTCGGCTCACTGCAACCTCCGCCTCCTGGGTTCAAGTGATTCTCCTGCCTCAGCCTCCTGAGTAGCTGGGATTACAGGCACCTGCCACCATGCCTGGCTAATTTTTGTATTTTTAGTAGAGACGGGGTTTCACCATGTTGGCCAGGCTGGTCTCGAACTCCTGATGTCAGATGATCCCCCAACCTTGGCTTCCCAAAGTGCTGGGATTACAGGAGTGAGCCACCGCACCCAGCCACATTAAGGCACATGTTACTCTTGTAAGTCTAGTATGAAATGCGTAGGCCCGGAGCTACCCAAGGAACTTCTGTCACAAAACTTTAATTACAAAGGGGCCTGGGAGAAAATGCATGACTGATCTTCTGAGTAGGGACCTTGGAAATGACAGGTGTGGCCAGAGGAGACAGGAGGTCATGGTGGGTTCAACCAGATTGGCCTTGCTTGGAGGACCCCTAAGGGTGCTGGTCAAAAGAAGCTCTCATTTCTTAGTGTGGGGAAAACTCTGACCCAGGGTAAGAAACCCCAGTAGTAAGAGGGCTCCCAGGACAAAGATGGTGCTTTGGAGGGGATTGGCCAAAAAGAACTTGGAGTGTCTGAAGACCCCTCCCCTCCCCAGTCTCAGTAGGCCCTAGATGCCTGTCACCTTCACAGTGAGCATCTCCCATAGCCAACTGGAGGCTGGTGGTAGCAGTGGGGAACACTGACAGCTCAGCAGCCCGTGTGTGTTACTGGTTGTCTATATCTTTCCTTCGCAATCCTTAGCACAACACACATTAGGTTTTGCATTTTTCTCAATGTTGGCTCTTCCCTTGAGCTTTTTAACTGGACCTCTCCACCCTGATTCCTCAGAGGAGCAGGGGACAGACAGGATTAGTTCAGAATGCGCCTCCAAAACCTTGAGTTCGGAGGCAGGAGGGGAGAGAGACAAGTCTGGGAACACATATAGCCTATTTATATTATTTCCTGCTGCCACTTTACTGCCAAATATGGTCCTTGGTATATAGGAATTGCACAAAAAATATCCATTAAGAAAAACATGTAAGCACACAGAGTTTTTTCCTCAAAAATCCTATCTGCAGCAAACAGACTCTAAGGTGTTCCCCAGCAATCTCCACCTCCTGGTGTTTGCACTTTGTGTAATCCCTGTCCTTGAATGTGAGTGGAAACTGCAACTTGCTTCTCACCAATGGAGTGTGGCAAAGGTGATGAGACCTCACTCTGTGATTATGTTTTGTCATGTAAGACTTCATCTTAGCAGACGGGGGGAGAGATGCCCTTTTTGGGTTTGATGAAGTGAGCAGCCATGCTGGAGAGTCCCACATGGCAGGGAAGTGCAAGAAGCCTCTAGACTCTAAGAGAGGTGTCCTGTCAGTAGCCAGCAAAGAGCCAGGACCCTCAGCCATGTAGCTACATGGAAATGAATTCTGCCAACAACCTGAACAACCTTGAATTGAATTCTTCCTCAATCAAACTTCCAGAGGAGACTGCAGCCCAGCTGATACATTGATTGTACCCTTGATTGACCCTGAGCACATGACCCAGCTAGGCTGTGTCTGGACTTCTGACCCATGGAAACTGTGAAATGATAAATATGTGTTGTTTTAAACTGCTAAGTTTGTGATAACTCATTATGAAGCATAGAGAACTAATACAATATCCATTTCTAACACTCTAAACCAGCACATGCTAATTAAAGTTTTTATCCTTTCAGTATGCTTTTCATTTCAATTTTGTTTTGTATCTAATTTATTCAGAGATAATAAATTCATATGGTACCAAAATTTAAAACTATGAAAGCATTTATAGTAAAAAGTCTTCTCTTGTTTTCCTGTTCCCAGTTACTCAGTTTCCTTCCCCAGGGGCAACTTGTGTAACCAGTTTCTCGTTTATCCTTCCAGGGATGTTCCACACTTGTATGTGCAATTACCACTAAATAAATACACTAATTTTGCATGAATGGCACTATACTATATATATACTGCACTTTGTTTTTCAGTTAATATTTCTTAAAGATTATTCTGTATCAGTCCAATCAAAGTTCTTGATTTTTAAGATGACATGTCATAATTTAATAACCAGTCTGCAATTCATAGACTTTTAGGTAGTGTTCAATGTTTTGTTTTTACAAACAATATTGTCACATAGTTTGTACATTTGTAATATGGTACAAGTGCAAGTATTTCTAGACAAGAAATTTCTAGAAGTGGAATTTCAGGGTGAAAGGACATATATCTTCATAATAATGATAGATATTGCTTCTGTTCCATAAAATTCATAATAGTTCATTCTTCTGCCACAATGTGTGAGAATCCCTGTTTCTCTTACACCTCACAAAGACAGGTTCAATCTTTTTGCTTCTTGATAAACTGTCAGGTGGAAAATGATTTATCAGTGCATTTAATTTGCAGCTGAGTATATTTTCATAGGTTCAACAAATATATGTATTTCTTTTCTGAATTCTGTTCATTTCCTTTACCACTTTCTTATTTGTTTGTTGGTCTTTTTTCTTTTTTAAAGATTGATATGTAGAGCTCTTTATTATCTATTTAATTAGATAGTTTAGATAATGAGAGCTAATTATCTATTAGGATAATTAGCCCTTCGTAATATTATTTGCAAATACTGTATTTTCCTAGGTTGCATTTTGATTTTATTCATTATGGTCTTTGCAATGTTTATTTCTAAAAATTTAAATTTATTAGTCTTTTCCTTTTTTATCTTCTTTTTCTCTCTCTATTCTCTCTCCTTCCTTCTCTCTCCCTCCCTTCCTTCTTTCCTCTCTTCCCCTCTCTCCTCCCTACTTTCCTCTTTCCCCCTTTCTCCTCTCTCCTTCCTTACTTCCTTCTCTTCTTTCCTTCCTTCCTTCCTTCCTTCCTTCCTTCCTTCCTTCCTTCCTTCTTTCCTTCCTTCCTTCCTTTTCTCTCTCTCCTTCCTTCCTTCCTTTTCTCTCTCTCTCTCTCTTTCTCTTTCTCAGCTTCTGGGTTTAAGTAATATTTGAAAAGTCCTTCCCTAGTCTGATATAATAATATAAACATCCAATTATGATGCTTTAAAAATATCAGTTAAATAGAGTACAAGGAAGTTGATCCCTTTGAGACTGACCAATAAAAGGACTTCTGGTATGAACCACAGAGAAAGACGAAATTTCAACTTTTCAAGCCAGAAAATGGAGGCAGATGCAGTTTCTCCTGGGCAAAGACTGAACGAATGCAGCAATTAAGGAGACCCCAACTCAGATTGGCCTGATGCCGGGTCCTGGTGCCCAATTGTGTCCTAGCTCCAGGCTGTGTCACCCCGAGGGCCTGAGACCCATGCCAACAAGCCAATTTCCCTCACCTGTAAAATGGGAATGCCATTACCTGTCCCACCTTGCCTGCCTTGCAAAAGTTGCTGTGAGGGACCAATGAGGCCAGTGAGAATGGAAAAGCCTTGACAACTGTCAAGTTTTGTACACATGCACGTTGCCCTTCCCAGTGAGCCAGAGTAAATATGTCCAGCCCAATCAATACCAATGCCTACACCATCCTCAAAATTACCCTGGTTGGAAAACTCCAAGTCATTTTTTGCCCCTTCTTCCCGTATCCTCCATATCTAGGGAGTTGCCACAATTCACTGATTCTAATGCTAATATTTTTCTTGCGTCTGTCTTCTCTTTTCTACTTTCACCACCACTGCCATTGTTCTGCATCCATCTTTTCTTGGTTGGACCATTGCAGAAATGTCCTCAGTGTCCGTCTGCCACTGGTCCTTTGCTTTCCCAAATCTTCTGCTCCCAGGCCCAGGCCTGGGCCTGTCCTTGAAGAGGGACTGGCCATAACTGGTTGGAGCCAGTTAAGTATGAATATCTAGGCAGACCAGCTGATCGTTTGTCTCCTCAGCAGCCAGCCCAGTTTAGTTCAGTATCAGGTGAATAAGACCCTGCTCTAGCCCAAGGCGGTGTGACTCTATTATTTTAAGCTAATCATGGGAGTTCCATTCCCCTTGCCAGTGACTGGCATAGGAATGGACGTGGGGCACAGTTCTGGCCAAGGAGATGTGATGTGAAGACTATCAGGGGAATTCTGGGAAATATTTTTCTTGTTTTTTTTTTTTTTTTTTTTCCATTTTTTTAGAAATGGGGGTCTTGCTGTGTTGCCCAGACTAACCTGAAACTTCTGGGCTCAAGTGATTCTCCTGCCTCAGTCTCCCAAGTAGCTGGGATGACAGGAATGAGCCACTGCACCCAGCATTTTGGGAAAGATTATCTGGCTCTGAAGTAATTTCATACTGCTGCTTCCTGTTGGTCTGCATGTGATGCCTGAAACTGTGAACATTTTGAGACCATGTAGGGGAAATGAGGCTTCTTAATCTGATGATGGTAGAAAGGGCAAATGGAAAGAACCCTAATAATGCTGACCTGCGGAACCGATCAAACCTGGAATTGCCCTGCTCTGGGCTTCTTACAGGGCAGAATCAATGTGTGGAATGCTGTGCTGGGTTTCTGTTACTTGCAGCTGTGAGTAGTCCTATAGCTGAAAATACTACTACCACATCTATGGACATAACAGGGCATCCTGACTGGAGCAGAGCTGCCATGTGCGTACATCTGGCATGGAGGACACCTTGTTCTCCAGGGATCTGGTTGCTTGTGTTAATATGTGTGAGGCTTTTGTTTTGGTCTAGGGAAGGAGGGAGGGTTAGGGGTATATGCAAAGATGGGGAAATGAGGAGAATGGGGGGATGTCAGTGATTGTCCTTTCTTCCCCGCAAGACCGTTACCATTGGTCTGCCCTGAGGATCAATGATTAGTCTGTTCTCATGCTGCTATAAAGAATTTATGAAGAAAAGAGGTTTAATTGACTTACAGTTCTGCAGGCTGTACAGGAAGCACGGCTGGGGAGGTCGCAGGAAACTTACAGTCATGGTGGGAGGCAAAGGAGAAGCAGGCGAGTCTCACATGGCTGAGCAGAAGGAAGAGAGAGAGCGAAGGGGGTATTGATGTACACTTTCAAACAACCAGATCTCGTGAGAACTCTATCAGGAGATAGCACTAGAAGGTTTGACAAGAGATTTGGGTGGAGACACAGAGACAAACCATGTGAATCAGCTTTGAGCCCTGATGGAGAGAGGTTTGGGCCAGGAGTCAGAAGAGTGGCATTCATAAAAATGTTGTGAGATCCTGAGTCCACATCACTTCAGGGCCCAGCAGGCAGGGAAGAGTAACAGCAGGGGATGGTTTAGGAGGCTGATGCAATGGCCCAAGTAAAGAGGAAGAAGGGTCCTGGTCCAGGAAGGTGGTATGGCATGGTGAAGAGTGACCAGCAGCTTTCTCTGGGGGATGGATAAGGAGAGAAGAGCTCCCTAAAGGCCTCAGCAGTGAGAGTGATCACAGAATCTGGAGCCCTGGCCTGGCAATCTAGGACTGACACATCTTGGCATGCCTTATGTCTCCTTGGAGATACCACTGCTGCTGGGGACAGAGTAGGTTGTGGGGAGAGGGTCACATGGGTAAGCAGGGACCAACAGATAGGAGAACAGGATGGAGCCTGGACTCCCACCCTTGGTTTGGAGGTGAACATGGGAACAAGTAACAGATATGGGGGATGAGCCTCAGGTATAAGCAGATTAAGAATTTCTGGTGGAAGCAGGAATTATGGTGACCGCCTCTTCTGAATTTTGAACCCACCAGTGCTTGCCTACAGGAGTTGAGGTACCTAGTATGGTCACAGCTGGCCTGCCACAGAAAGAGGGCGCCTTGGGATTTTGTGCACACACCAAGGGGACTCAGGCAACCAGCTGAGAAAGTCAAGAGATCTGCATCCCAGACTTGCTTCCTAACTACCACCTACAATTTCCTGGGTCTATATAAGGCCTTTTCACATTTGCTTCCTCCTTTCCCACACTGATAGGCATGTTCAGATGCAATCAGAGTCTGGCCCTGGTGTTGGTGACAGGTGGGCACCTGCAGCTGGGTTCCGTATTGCCATGGTAACAAGGTAGGGAAAACTGCCCCAGAGCTCAGGGGCTGATTAGACCTCAAGGCCAGCCCATTGTCGCCTGACACCATGTCTTCTGGGGCACTGCTGTGTGTAAGCGTCCAGGATGAGATGGGAATTTTCTGAGACAGAAAATTTAAGTGGATGGAAAATTAGATGCTCAACCAAAGATATTGTCCCCTTCCCCTCCCTATATATACTTGTCACTACCAGCTACAAATATACAGTTTCCTGTCTCCTTGTCAACTAGTAGCAGCTGCAAGAAAGGTGGTCCTACTTCCTGCTGACAGTTGAAGTTATGTAGAATAAGACATGATTATTTCGGAACATTACTTGGAGTGTTCCGAAAACTTACTGATAAGTGTTACCTAACGTTGAACTTAGGGTGTCTTAGTCAGCTTAGACTGCTATAATAAAATACATACTACAGACCAGGTGGCTTAAATAACAGACATTTATTTCTCACTGTTCTGGAGGTGGGAAGGTCCAAGATCAAGGAGCTGGCTGATTTGGTTCCTGTTAAGGACTCTCTTCCTGGCTTGCTGGTGGCTGCCTTCTTGCCGTGTGCTCCTATGGCCTTTCCTCTGTTCATGGAGAGAGAGAGAGCAAACACTCTGGTCTATTCTTAGAAGGGCACTAATTCCATCATGAGGGCCCACCCTCATGATCTCATCTGGCTTTAATTACCTCCCAAAGGCCCTATCTCCAAATATCATCACATTGGGAGTTCGGGCTTCAGCATATGAATTTTAAGAGGACACAAATATTCAGCCTATAACATGGGGTTTATACAGTTTGAAAGTGGCCCTTCAGCACTTATCAGGAAACATTTCTTATTTTATCCATTTATGTGTTCATTCATTCATTTAGCCATTTTTTATTTTGAGTGCCAGAGACTATTCAATGTCCTAGGATATAGCAGAGAACGAAACAGACAAAAATTTCTGCTGCCATGAGGCAAGTAAGCAAGTAATTACATAATCAGTGGTGATAAGAGCAATTAAAAAGCATAAAGCAGGGAAGAATGAAAGGGCACTGAGGGGGACTTGGTCTTTCATATGGAGTGGTCAGGGAAGACTGGGGCATCTCAGCAGAGGTCTTATGGTGGCCATGATAAAGTGTCTTGTGAGACCTTCTACTACAGGGAGCATAACTGACAGAAGGCCACGGCTATTTCATTTTGAAATTCATTGCTGCTTTTGTATGAAGGCTATGTCTCCTGGGAGACTTGGGACTTCCTCATCAGCACACTTTAGCTCAGGGACTCCCTGAAGGTTTTGTCAAAACTTTCCTAGCCTGCCCAGCACTAGAGGAGGCTTCCAGTCTACCTTCTCTCTTTTCTCCTTCCCCTGGGGTCAGACTTGTACCATGATCCCACTACAACCCCCGCCTTCCTCTGCTCCATCCCTAATTCCTTTTGCAAGGCATTTCCCCTAATAAAAGCCTTGCATGATTAATCCATTGCAGCATCTGCTTCTCAGAGGAAGGACTAATGCAGATTTGAAGGAAGTTAGAGAGTAAGCCATGTGGATTGGTGAGGGAAATGTATTCCATGCTGAGGGAACAGAGACTGCGATTGTCTTAGGGCAAGAGCATGGCTGGTTGGTATTAGATCTGAGTTTTGATTTTTACCCTATTCATATGCTAATAGGTTAGTGTGTAACTGTTTCATAGATTCTGGCAGAAGACATGAGACTCCTGGGTCAGAGACAAAGAACTCAGTACTTATAGCACAGCCACACATCCTGTTGGTCAAAGTGAGTTAATAGGACAGTCCAGAGTCAAGAGGAGGGGAAATGGACTCTTTCTCTTCATGGGGGAAGCAGCAAAGTCACATTGCAAAGAGGTGTGGATATAATGGGGAGAAGAACTGCAGCCAGTTTTTCAAACCACCACAGGTAAGGACTGGAGCCAGGTGCCTCAGGAGCTTGAGGACAAAGAGGAAATTCACTGAGTGATCAAGCAAGGCTTATGGAAGACTTAAGTGTTTAGCCTTGCCAAATTCCTTTTTGCTGTTGTTATTTTGAGACAGGTACTTGCTCTGTCTGCTAGGCTGGAATGCAAAGACATGATCATGGCTCACTGCTGCAGCCTCAACTTCCTGGACTCAAGCAATCCTCCCAACTCAGCCTCTTTAGTAGCTGAGAATACAGGCACATGCTACCATGCCAGGCTAATTTTTAAAATTATTTTTGGTAGTGATAGGGTCTCACTATGTTGCCTAGGCTGGTCTCGAACTCCTGAGCTCAAGTGCTAACCTCCCATCCTGCCAAGAGCCAGCGGCTGCCTCCCTGTGGGTCTCAGAGGGAACACAACCACCGCCTCTCCTGACAGCCTGGGAGGCAAGGCTGAAACAGATCATGTGAGTCTTCCATTGTTCACATTCTGTTTGGTGACAGAGGGAGGGGGGAAGGCGGAGACAGGCCATGAATAACATGCTATGCCTGCTCTCACCTCCACCGTAATTACTCTCCTGCTCACCACAGACACTTGCCCTGCCACTGGGGTCCAGCCTGCCACTGAATCAGGAAAGCAGTTTGTTCATGCAGAACGTGTCACTGTTGGAAGTTTCTCTCTCATCATTAACTAATTTGCTGTGCTTTGCCACAGCCCTTGTTATCTATAACCATGGTAACAATGCAAAGAGCTGTACATGCATTTATTTTGGACTCTAAAAGCCCAAGCATGGTTTATTTCTGTCTCTTGGCTCCAAGGAGCTGGGTGGGTCTGGAGGCAGGGGCTGGAGCTAGGGGACTGGCCCTTAGTCCTGAGCCTATCAGGGAGTGACTTCAAACACACAGCTTCTCTTATGGGACCTCAGTTTCCCTAAGTGTAAGGTGAGGGGATTGGGGTTGATGGTCTTTGTGGAGTCTTCCAGTGATATCTTTCTATCAGTTAAAGAGTCATGTGTATTTAGGATCTAGAGGGAGAGTTCCCCAGCCCACCCCAGAGGCTGTGAGCCGGCTGTGAACATGGGGATGTAGGCAGTGGTGTGTGGCTGCTGCATCTGGCAGTCCCTTCTTTCTGCTAATTTGGTGTCCTCACTATATAATTATACTGTGAAATTCCCTGACTGAAGATAATTTTTTAAAATATCTTTCCCTGACTCCCACTACTCATTGCCCAGATTCGTGAATGGGGTAAGTGGGTGTTTGCAGCTTTTGGCGGAGAACAAGGATGTTATGCAACCTGCCCTTCTCAGAATTTCCCAGCACCACCTCCACGCTGGGCCCCAGAAGGGAAGAATAGGGCTTTTCTGATTGGAAGGATACAGATTTTGACTTCTCTCAGTCTCAATTTCCTCCTCTGTCAAGTGGGGAGAAAATTTTCTTTCATGTGGGGTAACATGAAGAGTATGAGACCATGAACTGCTCCTCTGACCATAGGGAATGTGATGAAAATGTGGGCTTTCTCCCTCCTCCTGTGATCTTGGGCTGGTAACTTCACTCCTCTGAGCCTCGGTTTCCTCATTTACAAGTGGAGTCAATCAAAGCTATCTTTCAGGAGTGTTGTGAGGGGGTTAAATAGGAATACCAGCAAAAACACCCTGTGTTGTCATTACTCAGCAATTGGTATTTATTATGACTGCCAGCAAAGGCACGATGTCCTGTTACACCCTGCAGGATCGTGTTATCTGGGCGTGTCTTCCAGCTGGCTGTGGGCTGCATTGCCAGTCCAGTAAGATATGGCCAGAACTGACAACTAATGGACCTGTCAGCTCCATGCAGAGCACTTCTTGAAGCTCCCCAGAGGCAGGTGCCGATGCCACATCGATAAGCCCCATTCCCCTGATGGGCGCCTGACATTTCCTGCCTGCATTCCCCTGTCTGCCTGGGTCAGTGGTCAGACTGAGTCACAGCCACTCCCTGCAGCCCTGGCTGCCCACTGACCCAGGGCACAGGGCAGGAGGCAGCTGTGCAGGGTCAGTCCACTGATAGGGTGCCCTATCTTTTATATTTTAAAACATTATAATTTTTTCTTCTTATTTAACATGCTTATTATTCTTTCTTACATAAGGAAGATACTTAGAATGCCTTTGATCATTATTTATCTATTGCATATGTCAACATGTATTTATTTAAACAGAGATAAAGACCTGGAAGGAACCACAAGAGAGTTAATAGTTGTTGCCAGTGGGGAGAGGGGTTGGGAGAGGGGTGAAGCATTCACTTCTTTATAGACTAAACAAAATGGTGGGATTACAAAGGTGCTTAATTTTGGTTTGAATGAATGCTGCTCAGCATATTTTATGTTAAAAATTTGTTTTTATGTTTAAAAATTTTTAGAAAAGGTAAATAATATGGATTGCTTTAGAATTAGACATAAAATCTCAAAATGTAAAGAGACAAATGATAAAAACACTTTTTAGCAGAAGAAACATCATCATTTTTTTTGTTTGTTTAAATTGGGCTAATCTGTACTGGGCACCTATGCCCAGGGATTAATGTGTCTATTCAAACTCCCCATGGAGGTGAATGTTTTTCTTGTTTATTCTTCTCATTTCACAGATGAGATGGTACAGCCTCTGACCTGGGTTCTTTACACGAATCCTCTTAGTTCATGCACGTTTCAGTTCTGGAAGGGGGGGCATTCTTTTGTTATTGTACACTCTGCATGAGATTTGTACTGTGGCTCTGTGGACCTGTCTCCTTGCGAAGGCCAGGCTGAACGCAGGCTTCATGAAGACTTAAGCACCTGCAATATCTGTAGCTCCCTTGGGGAAAGATGCTCTGCAACGCAGACCCCTGCGCTGGCCACCCCCATCCCTGTTCCAGAGAAAACACGAGGACTGGTCTGGTGGGAGGCAATGCTTCCTGTTTCAGGGGATGATCTCATCTTGAACCTGAGGGAGGTCTAGCCGGTGTTGATTCGTTTTAGCAGGGGGCCTCCTGCGATTTTCAGCCTTCCCTTGGGTCAGCATAAGGGCATTTGTCTTTTAAGACTAAGGTGAGCAAATTTTAAAAGGAGAAATTGAAAGCCTGTTCTCTGGTTGTCTACATGTCTAGGAGGGGGCCAGAGAGGAGCAGACAGCCATAGACTGTCAGAGGTGGGTAAAAGTGTGTGGACATGCTGACTCGCTCTGGTAGGGTTTCGGCAAAGGGTCTGAATCCAGGCTCTGCCACTAATTAGTTGTGTGACCTTGAGTAAGTTACCTAGCCTATCTGAACCTCAGTTTCCTTATTTGCAAAAGGGGAATTCAGAAGACCTTGCAGAATCAGAAGAGGGCTCCGTTACATGAGATTGAGTATGTTGGATGCCCTCCAAAGTTAAAATTAATAGTAATGATTACAAGACAAATCTCCAGCCATGTGACAGGAAAACGTTCTGCGCAGGGCAGCCCAGGGCACGTGGGTGCTTAGGAATGCTGCTGCGCATGTGTGAGAGAAAAAACAGCACTCTCAATTCTGTGTTGTTATAGGGGAGGCCACCAGGGGCTGTGGAGGCACCATGTGATCTGGCATCTGCTCCTGCCTCCGCTGCCTACCTGCAGGGTGACCTTGGGTGAGCCTTTCCCTTTTCCAGACTCCAGAGCTGAACTGGGCCAAAACCATGCTCCTTTTCAACCCCAAAGGAGATGCTGACCCTGCAGGGTCCCCACATCCATGGTGTTACAAGGTCTTCCTCATCAGGCCCATCCCTGCTGACCCTTCTCTCCTTGTGCAGAACGAACGTTGTGTCCAGAGGGTTAGTCAGTGGTTGGCAGGGGGCAGTTGCTGCCACTCTTTCTCCTCCACTCCTTGAAGGGGCTGCCTGTCACACCAGACTGCTGCATTTCTGACCCAAACCTCTCATCCCATCGCCCTGCTTGTTGCCTTGCTGAGCTCCCTGGCTGCCCCAGACTTGAGTCTTCCCTGGGATCACAGGGACCTCAGATTCCCAGGTCCCGTGCCATGTGCACTCTCACAGGCTTTAGGCCCTGGTTAGAAGCCCCTGTTTCAGTTTGGATCATCATGCCTGGCTCTTCTGGGATTAGATCTGGCTCTGGACCCCAAAGCGCCCACCCTCTTCTACCAGCCCTCTGCTGGGCTCCTGGGGACATCCCAGCAATTTCTTCTGGAGCAAGGCAGAGATGATTATGCTTCCCCTGACACCACCCTGGACTGGCAGGTGGCCCCTCTCTAGGCACTGCCGTGGAGTGGATCAGCTGTTCCCTTTCTAAAGATGAGTCTCCCCTGCCCCCACATCCCACTGGCTCTGCGGTGCTATGGGCTTTACTTGCCTTTCCCCTAAGTTGCACCCTGACCCAGAGCCTGCAGTGCTGCACAGCACAGACGTGGCGACACAAGAATCCACTGGCCCCTCTCCTAGCCGCTGTCCTTGGCTTGGCTGCACTCACTCCAGGCTGGCCTTAGTCACACAGATTTGCCCTCCACATGCATCCCTGCAGCTCTTCAGGATTGAGAGCCACCCTCCAGGTCCAGCTCCGGTACCAAGAACGTACTTCCAACTGTCTACACCGCCAGTGCTTCTGCAGCTCCAGCTCATCCCCACATCAGGAGGTCAGCAGGAATGCGAGGTGGCTCAGAGGCCACATTTTCTGCTAGGGTTTGCATCCAAGCCCATATGGCATCACACAGCCTGGAGGCCAGGACACGGGATGGGGATGAGGACTGCTTCTTAGGGTGTGCTGAGGGCAGCATGACTGGCTCAAAGGTGAGCCCTTACATACCCAATAAAAAGGGTGTAAAACATCCCTTTGCCTGCTTTCCCCCCCACAAAGCTGCATTTGAGCATGTGGATGCTAAGCCCCAAGGTGGGCAGCACAGGGCAGTGGCAGGGGCTGAGAGTTAGTGGTGAGAACACAATGTCATCAGGAGCCTGCGGGGAGTCTGTGGTGAGAACACAGTGTCATCAGCAGTGGACAAAGGTCTCCTGACTCCCTGTCCAGGGCTCTCCCATACCCTGGGTCTCTAGGTGTTTCTAAGTGACTGACAGCTGGCTCTATGAATTGGGTGTCTCTTCGTCAAGTCACCCCAGGTGTGGCTGCTAGGAGATGCAGGCATTTAAACTCACTGAGCAGTCTTAGTGCCTGGCCTGGGTGGTTTCCTGTGACACCAGGTTGGACTGCTGGTGACTGTGCTGGGGCACACCTTTGCAGTGGGTTTAGCTGCCCCTTTTCAAAACTACAGGCTGCTCCAGGGCCAGCAATTGACATGAAAGAAGAAATGTAATGAGCTGGGTAATAGTGGAAATTAATAGTGGTAATTGATTGCTAAAAGCATGCAGAGACCATGGCAACAGTTGGATGACACAGGCAGAAACCTTACTTCCTTTTGTAGGAAGTGCTCCAAAAGGCTCCAAGTCTCTGTAAACAACTTGCACAAGCTTTGTGAAGATGCAAGGAGCTGCAGGTCTCCAGTGGCTTTGGAGTCAGGCTTCAGTCTGAACACCACTCTACTTGCCACTTCTTTGCTGGGTCATCTTGGGCAATTTGCTGTAACTTTCCTGAGCCTGTGTCCTCATCTGTAAAATGGGGAGAAGTCCCAATTTACAGAGCTTGTGAAGAGCCAATGAAGTGACAGATGTGAGAAGGAGATGGACTTTGGACCCAACTCAAATTCTGGCACTATCGCATATTAGCTGTGTGACCTTGGGGCAAGTCATCAACCACTCTGAGCTTCAATGCCATCCTCTGTAAAATAAGGATGATAATAACAGTTCCTATAATACATTATTATTACTGTGAGGATTAAATGAGATAATAAAGTGCTAAGCACATACAGCATATGGGACATTGCAATGTTCAATATAATTTACCTATACAACACTCTATTATGAAATGTTTATAAGGTCCCAGCTCTGTCCATGATACTAGCAACAATAGTGGCATTTATGGAATGTTTCTCATGTGCTAGGTGCCTTTCTAAGCTCTTAATGGGTATCAGCTCCTTTAATTCCCCTAACCACCCTATGAAGTAGATACCATAATTATCCCTGCTTTATGGATGAGGAGACTGAGGGCTAGTGTTTGGTGACCAAGTGAAGCCGAACTTGAAGAAATTATCTGGAAAACTAACCAAAGCAGGTAGCTTTTCTGGGGAGGTCTGGCCACCCAGAACTGTTTTGCTCCTCAGCACATTCTTCCTTGGGTGGAGGCCACTGTGGCATCTTGTCCTTTCTGGGCACATAAAGGCTCAGCATCCCTCCTGGCACTCTTGGAGGACTCAGTCCTGTCCTGCCCAGGAGTGCTCCCCATCCAAACCTCATCCCATATTTGGGTGCCAACCTAAACAGGGTAGGTGAGAGCATTCTGGGCAGAGGGAGCAGAATGTGGATAAGGACATGAAGGCATAAAATGGCATTAAATTCTTAGGAAAATGCAAATGACTGCACGGCTGGAGCTGGGCAGGAGGTATGTGTTGGGGGACCCTGGAGGTGTGTGGCTGGGAGGTAGGCAGGGTCTAGAGCAATGGTTCCCAACCTTACATGCACCAAAGAATCACCTGAGGAGCTTTAAAAATGCCACTGCCTGTGTGTCCCACCCCCAGAGGTGACTGAGTATTGGGATTTTTTAAAGCTTCCTAGTTGATTCAAATACCAGCTGAGACCCAATGTTCTAGAGATCATTTAAGGATATGTAGATTATATTAAGCAAGTAGACCTGCACTGTACAGTAAATTAATATACTTGAGGTAAAATAAAAAAAATTCAGGTCTTCAGTCACACAAGCCGCGTGTCAAACATTCAGTAATCACGAGCGGCCGCCATATTGGACAGCACAGATAGAAAGCATTTCTCTTCACCTCAGAAAGTTCTCTTGGGCCAGATTGATGTAGACTTTATCTGGTAGGCAGTGAGATGCCACTTAAGGGTTTTAAGAAGGGGAGTGATGTGGCCAAGGTTTTGCTTTAGAAAGAGGATTCAGGGGCCGTACAGAAATGGATCCAACGGATCTGATGCTAGCAAGACTAACAGCAGAGGGAATTATTAGGGAACTGTTCTGATAGTCCAGCTGGACAGCAAAGCCCTGAACTAGAGCCTCAATACTGGAACTGGAGAGGTTGAGATAGATTTAAGAAGGGTGAGAAGAAGAGGCACTGCAGGATAAACAGGCCCAATTGGATGGGGGTTGAAGAAGGAGGGTGAGTATAGGTTGCTGCTCATATTTTGGATCAGTTACCAGGAGATTCCTCTGTGGCAATGGTACCCAAACCAGGTGATTTCCCTCCCAGGGGACATTTGACCACACCTGGAGATATTTTTGATGATTGCCACTCAGGTGGTTGAGGGTTTACTGGCATCTCATGGGTAGAGACCAGGGATGAAGTAGAGGCTGGTAAATATCCCATAAATCACAGGACAGTCCCCTAGAATGAAGAGTTATCAAGCCTACAATGTCAATAGTGCAGAGGCTGAGAAACCCTCTTCTGTGGGATAAAGGCAGGAGATCAGTCTGGGCGCAAGTGATAAAGACAATGAATAAAAGTGGAATGAATTGTGCTTTCAGTTCTTCTGAGAGTGGTTGGTGGAGATCCCCAGTAGACAGCAAATGTCACATCTGGAGCTCAGGAAAGAGGAGTGGGGTAGTGATAAGCAACTTGGCATCCCCCCATCTCTGTATCCAGACCACCCAGTGGCTGCCCTGGACTCCTGTGGAGGGTGCTGAGTGAGAACTGGGGCTGAGAGTGGAGCCTCAGGGAGCAGCCACACTCCAGGGACAGGTGGAAAGGGAGGAGGCTGTGCTTTGGAAAGGTCTTTGTATGAAGCTAGGTACTGTCTTCCTTCAGCCCGTGCTTTTATAACATCTATAATGTCACAACCATCCTGCATCTCCAGGCATTGCAGACAGTAATGATTCATTCTTGCTGTCCAGCACTCAGACCTTACCCCTCAAGGCTGAATATCTCCTGAGCCTTGAGTTGTTTGTGAGTGACATCTTCCAGACTCCTGGTGCTCCAAGCTCTGCTCCTCTAGGTGTGGTCCTTTGGCATTGGAGGGAAGGATGGGAAGAAAGGCATGCTTCTCGCCCCCAAGTGCCCCTCTGTCCCGCACAGTCTACATATGTACATAAAGGGTGCGTACTGCAAGGTAGCTGAGAATGGGGCTTGGGGCATTTTCTGGTGATTGTCCCTGAAGTGGGTTGAATACTGTTCTTTCAAAATTCATGTCCACCCAGAACCTCAGAATGTGACCTGATTTGGAAATAGGGCTTTTGCAGATGTAGTTAGTGATCTTGAGATGAGATCATCCTAGGTTTAGGGTAGACTCTAAATCCAATGACTGGTGTTCTTATAAGAAGAGAGGACAGAGAGACACATAGAACTAAGTTGTTGTGAAGACAGAGTCTGGAGTTGTGCTGCCACAAGCCAAGGAATGCTCAGAGCCAGCAGAACCTGGAAGAGGGAAGGGAGGATCCTCCCCTAGAGCCTTCAGAGGAAGCATGGCCCTGCTGACAATTGATTTGAGACTTCTAGCCTCCAGAACTGAGAGAATAAGTTTCTATTGTTTTAAGCCACCTGGCTTTTAATAATTTGTTATGGCAGCCCTAGGATCTGATACAGCCCCCTGTGTTTAAAGCAGACATACCCTGACACAAATATCTAATCCTAGACTTGCTTGTCAAGCTTCCTGAGATTTATCATTTGGGTGACAAAAGTTGGAAATGGGAGACCTCCAGCGTCTCTCTCAAAGGACTATCTTCCATCATTTATCAATGGGTAAACACTCTTAGAGGAGAGGGAGATTTGGGGGATGCAATAAACCCTGGGCTCCAAGGCGGCTTCTGGTAGCTGGCCGATCAGTTTCATGGCAGATTGAGCTTTGGTATAGCTTCTAATTCTGAATAATAATAGATTATAATGCTGTTTATGGTAACTAACATTTATTAGGTACTTACTATGCACTAGCACTTTATAGCTAGTGCAATGAGAGGTCCGTACTCTTTACTTCAACCCTATTATTAGCCCCATTTTATTGATGAAGAAACTGAAGCTCTCTAAGGCCTTACAACTTATAAGAGGCAAAATCCAGATAAACCCCAAGAAGCCTGGCATGAATGCTGGTTTTGCTGGTTTTTAGCCATTGTACGTGCTGCCTGCAAAGCGATGAAGTTGTTGGGTGAGCAGCTCCTGTCGGATGATCGTGGCCATCTTCAGGAGCTCTCAGGTTACCTGGTTCTAATAGTGTGGGCACTAGGTGAGCAGAGGAAGGAAGACAGTAAGTGCTGATTAAATGCCTTCAGGGGATGCTGGAAAGATCAGACTATTTTGGGGACACCATGGGCCACCTTTCAATACTGGGATGGGAGGCTCTTTAAAGAGAAGGAGCCCCACTTGCTGCTGTCACTGATGCTGTGGCTGCACATGATACCTGTCTGTCCTGACCTCTGACCCTCCCACCTGCCTACTTGGCCTTGGGTGGAAACTAAATGAGGGCCTCGAGACCCAGAGTGTGGTCTGTGGACCAAAACAGCTTCAGCGTCACCTGGAAGCTTGTTAGAAATGCAGACTCTCGGGCTGCCCCGGATGTACTGAGTTAGAATCTGTCTTAAGAAGATCCCTAGGGGGATTTGTATGCACATTACCATGTGAGAAGCAGGGGGAAAAATGACCCAAAGAAGTCCATCACTTGCAATGAATTCTGTGCTCTCTTGGTGCAAATGGGCAGAGATCAGGGCAACAGGAACTTCACACAGGGACCTCGACTTCAAGGATCTTGGGCCCTGGATCAGACGGCCTCATTCAAGGCTATCTTTGGCCTCATCTGCCCTGTAATCTCACACACTCAGTTCTCTACTCCAGACCCCTAAGCTGGAGATGCCCTTCTTGGCTGAGCATCAAAGAGTGACCCTCCAGTGGTTACCAGGAAATTAATTGGTGTTACTTCTCTCTCTGTACCTTCTCGGGGGGAGGGATGGAAGCTTCTGGGATGAGGTCCCTGGCAGCTGAGCTCATGTGAGGCCGTGCACATCAGATTTCATGGCTGATACAGCTTTTGATGTGTACTTTCACAAGGAAATGCTAGCCCCATCCCCTACTCTTTTTCCAGCCCTGCACTCTGAAAGGCAGTTGCTCTCAAGCTCGGAGATGTCAGAGGGGATGGCCGCTACAGGTGAATTATGCTGCTCTGTTCACGGCCCTCAGATGATTGTGAATGCGGGGGCTGAATGGGCTAGATGTAAACGGTTTGAAGTGCCTTATCACTTTCCATTTTCTTTAACACTGAGTCCTTACTCGTTGTGCGACAATAGCAGTTTCTAGAAGGCGAGGTCTGCTTGGGTTTAGCAGAGAATTAGAGGTCAGGATATTTTTTGATCAGTCTCTCACAGTGTTCGGCCCTGCAGCCTGAAGGTCTGAGAACACCGGCGGGGAGTGGGTGGTGGGTGCATGGGAAGGACGATGGCTCCACGGTCCTGCCGTCAACGGTGGCTCTCAGAGACAATGTGGATCACCTCCGAGATGACTCTGAAGGCAGGTTGTCCTATGACAGCTGATAAGACAATCTAGATGGTGCTGGGGCCCAGCTGGCCTCGGCCTGGGAGGATGACTCACAGCAGCGGGGCCTTGTTAACCTGTTTACAGTGAGTCATCGGAGCCCCTCCGGGCCTTGTTCCCTCAGCTGTAAAATAGGAATAATAGTAACTGCCCCAGCCGCCTCACAGGGATGTGAAATCCACAGCAAAATGAGCCAAAGGTGGCCTCCCGTAAAGCACCTACCACGGGTTACGAGGCATCGCTCTGTGCAGCCAGCACATTCTCTGCTTCTCGCTCTTGGAGCCATTGCGGTTGAGAACAAAACTGTCCAAGGGGGGGATGGGCACAGTGGCTAAAGACAGGGAGAGGTGAAGTCACTTGAGATTGAGATGACATCGGACTCTGCACATTTCTAAAATTCTGCTATCAAATAGCAGCTACCCTCAAGTCCTCCTCGACCTCCCTCCTTGGACGTTTGATTAGAACGTAAAACACACAAACAAAAACTGTTACGAGGGAAAGAAAAAGTGTGTGTGTGTTTGGAGGAACCTCAGGAAGTGAAGAGGAAGGGAAGCAATGTCTGTAATCTGGGAACACTGTGCTGGCCTCTTAATCCAGTTGTGGTCTAACCTCCTTGGCTGGGAACATGGGCCTTTTGTCATCTGGCCAGGGTCTATCTCACCAGCCTCATGTCCCCCTAGTTGCTCAGGGCTTATTACTGGTTATATATTTTTGAATGAGTGGCCACTGTGTTTTTGCTCATGCTCGTTGCCTTTGCTTGGAATTCCCTTTTCTCTCTGTGGCTTACCCTTCTTACCTTCAGAGGTAAATATATAGGAAGCTAAGGAAATGTCAGTGCACAGCCCAAGGCCCAGGAGAGGCTTTAACAATGTGTTCATTTGGCATTAATTTTTTTTTGTTGTTTTGTTTTTTGAGATGGAGTTTCGCTCCGTCACCCAGGCTGGACTGCAATGGCCTGATCTCGGTTCACTGCAACCTCACACACTTCTGGGTCAAGCAATTCTCCTGCCTCAGCCTCCCAAGTAGCTGGGATTATAGGCATGTGCCACCATGCCCAGCTAATTTTGTATTTTTAATAGAGACAAGGTTGCGCCATCTTGGTCAGGCTGGTGTTGAACTCCTGACCTCAGGTGATCCTTCCACCTCAGCCTCCCAAAGACATTAATTTTTAAAATTTAAAAAAAAGTGCTAAAGTAAGATACTGTATTTTGACTACAGTTGGCTATGCCCACTGGCTCTTTCTACTCCATCGTCCCCTTCGTCACACCTGCTGTCATGTCTGTGGCACTGGAGGAGTCAGTAACATTCATACTGTGGTACAATGGCTGGCCTAGCCCTTCAGGGCCCTGGCACCAGCGGTCTGGCAAGGAGCAGGGTGTGGAGAGAGTATTCCTGGAAGCCCCTCCTACACTCGAAAAGGCTCACAATAACTTAACTCTAAATCGAATTGATGGTGAACCTCACTAACACAAGCTAAATGTTCCCCCAACTCAAGTTCTCCTTGGCTAGAACCCAAAATGCACAGGTCAAGCCTTGCCACGTGGGCTCATGGTATTTTAAGGAGCCTAAACACATTTTCTTTTTTTAAAGATAGAAGAGAAATTCAAGTACAAGATACAAAAACTTCATTTAAAAAAGGTGAATAAGCTCAAACATGTCATTATAACTACAGTTTGGGAAGACATGTTGGAATGTTTCTGTAAAACAAGAGAGAAATCACAGACTCCTGGTTAGGACATACTTGATGGAAACCTTTTTTTGGATATCTTTAGTTTATTAAAGAACTGAGAGAATATTCAAATACAAATTAATGAAATTTGAAACAAAAGCTATAAAGATAAGCAACAAAATTATTCTGTCATCAAGGAGTGAATTACACACATATTGTATATAATTTATTAAGAGGAGATGAACTTTAAATATAAGTAATGGGTTGGTTCTTGGATGGTTTGCTTATCCAATTAATGAAGAGGAGAAAATCATATGAATATATTTATAAAAGATTTATATTTCTTGCTGATTTGGAATGAATCAACATTGACAAAGATAACATGAAACCTACAATATGCTGCTACCACAAGTACATTGGTGACCAGGTGTTTAGTGAGTGCCATCAATTTAAAGAGAAATTATTGCAAAAGAAACCTGAAATGCCTTGAAATCTTGCAGTTTTTATATAAAAGATCCTTGATCCTTGATTTGAGGTTTTCCCAAATTGATAACAATCCTAAAAATTGTTTCTACAAATAATAAATTGTGAAATTATCAATAAATATTTTTTACTGATCTACCTGTGAAATGAAAGACTTATTTTAATGTTGTATTTACAAGAAAAGGTGGCATTACAAATTATTATCATATCAGAGGCTATCAAAGATTAAACAAACAAAAATACATATTGTAGAAAAGCATTTTAGAGGCAATTCAGGAATATTAATAAAAACGTTATTTTTCTGACTTTCTTGAGCTTGGTAATATTTTCAGTTTTAAAAATTGTAATTTGGGCCGGGCACAGTGGCTTACGCCTGTAATCCCAGCACTTTGGGAGGCCGAGGCAGGCGGATCACTTGAAGTCAGGAGTTCGAAGCCAGCTTGGCCAACATGGTGAAACCATGTGTCTACTAAAAATACAGAAAAATTACCTGGGCATGGTGGTCAGCACCTGTAATCCCAGCTCCTCAGAGGCTGGGGCAGGAGAATTGCTTGAACCCGAGAGGCGGAGGCTGCAGTGAGCCAAGATCACACCATTGCATTCCAGCCTGGGCGACAGAGTGAGACTCTGTCTCAAAAAAAAAAAAAAAGTAATTTGTTCTGATTTCTTTTCTCATTCTAAATTAATATTAGATTTTGTACTCGATTTTGGTTTTGTATCCTTTTGTTTAGAGAGGCTTCTACTTCCTCTTGCCAGCGCACGTGCACACACGCACACGTGCACACCACTGAGTAAGCTTCAGTTTCCAAAGAAACTGGAACTGCCCAAGCTCACCCTTTCTGATTCTAGGCCACTGTCACTTCCTTGGGTCTTCCCTGACTCCCTGGTAGAGGATAGTGTCCTCAGCTCTGGGCTCCCACACGACAACGAGGCAACTCTCTCATTGCTCGCTCACGTGGTATTGTGTGTATTCGTTTCTGCCTTCCCCAAGGGCAAGAACTTTACCTGGTGAATCTCTTTAGCTGTACCCAGCTTGGGGGCTGGCCTTGAACACACACATTTAAGAATGTGGGAGTCTTGGGGGAGAGAGCCCCATGGGTAAATGATGACAATCCTTGGTGCCCATGGCATCCGCACTGTGCACACTGCCTCCCTTCAGCCTCCGCCCCTCTGACTTCCGGGAATCTTCATGTAATTTTTCTTTGCTTTTCTTTTTCCCTCCCTCCCTCCCTCGCTCCCTCCATTCCTTCCTTCCTTCCTTCCTCCCTTCCTCCCTCCCTCCTTCCCTCCCTCCCTTCCTCTTTCTGTCTTTTCTTCCTTCCTTCCTTTCTTTCTCTTTCTTTCTTTCTTTCTTCCTTCCTTCCTTTCTTTCTCTTTCTTTCTTTCTTTCTTCCTTCCTTCCTTTCTTTCTCTTTCTTTCTTTCTTTCTTTCTTTCTTTCTTTCTTTCTTTTCCTCCCTCCCTCCCCTTCCTTCCTTTCTCTTTCTTTCTTCCCTTTCTTTCTCTCTTTCTTTTCTTTCTTTCTTTCTTTTTCTCCCTCCCTCCCTTCCTCCCTCTTCCTTTCTTTCCTTCCTTCCTTCCTTTCTCTCTCTCTCTTTCTTTCTTTTCTTTCTTTCCTTCCTTCTTTTTCAGAGACAAGGTCTTGCTCTGTTGTCCAGGCTGGAGTGCAGTAGCATGATTATAGCTCACTGCTACCTCAAATTCCTGGGCTCAGGTGATCCACCCACTTCAGCTTCCCGAGTGGCTGAGACTACAGGTGTAGGCCACCATGCCAGGATATTCTTCAAAAATTTTTTTGTAGAGATGGGGTCTCACTATGTTGCCCAGGCTGGTCTCAAGCTCCTGGGCTCAAGCAATCCTCCCACCTCATCTCCCAAAGTACTGGGATTGAAGGTGTAAGCCGCAATTCCCAGACTTTGTGTAATTTTTTTCTTCTCTCCTTGCTCTCTGGAAAAGATCAGATACTCACTCGCTCTGGGATTCAAATGTCTAATTTTAGATTAAAATATGTGGCTTCCCAGAGGTTTTAGTTTTACCATGGGAAAAGTCTTCAGCCCCAAATATTGACACTCTTAGTGGTGAGCTTGCAGACATGGTGAATTGGGGAGGGGTTTGGGTCCCAGGCAGCCTCCTGCCTAATCCAGGTGTCAGGCTTCCTGGGGTCTGTGGAAGGTTGACTGGTGTCAAGGAGATCAGGCTGGGGATGTCCAGGGAGTCTATAGTGGGAAAGAGGGAGGGAGGAGCTGAGTATGAATGAAGGGATGGAGATGTGTACCCAAGAGACAGAGGCAGTGAGTGGACCACAAGGAGAGGCCTGGGTCAGGGGTGCTCTGGGGGTACCCATAGTTTTCCTGCTTATTTCTAGATTCCCCTGGAGAGACTGGAAGACCAAGATAATCTTATCTGTGAGAAAATCTGGTTCATTTTTCTCTCTTAAACAGATCATTTGAGCCTCAGTTTTCTCATCTGTAAAATGGGGAGGTAATCCTTACACACAGTGACAAAGTTGGGAGAGGCAGATTAAATAACAGATGTGACTGCACTGAACATACACAGGGCTAATCCCTGGTGCAACGTAGGTGCTCCATTATTGTGCATGGCTGACGCTGTGAAGGAGCCCGCATCTGAAGTCAGATGTGCTTGAATCCCAGCTGGGCTTGAATCCCAGCTCTGCCCTCCTGGCTGGGGGTCTCTCCAGCCTCTCTCCTCTTATCAGCACCATGTGCCTTTGCCAGTTTGGAAACACTTGAGTGTTTGAAGCCACAAAGATACCTAGAGTAGAGTTGTGTGGAATTCCTGATCAGGGATTTTCAAAGTATTTTAGGCACATAACCCTTTGTTTGAATGAAATTATACATTGAAGCTTAGTGTGTCAAACAGGTAAAATGGGGCTGGGCTCGTGGCAGCACAGAGTGAGGGGCTCAGAGGCTCTGCTCACTCGGAGGCCTGAAGACAGCCTCTGTGTCTTCCCCAAGAAACCTCCCCAAGCAACTTCCGCTACACCCAAAGTTCCATTGTTGGAAACTGATTCTAGTCTAAATGCCTTACTTGTGGTTGGACAAGGGAAACAGGATCATGGACAAGGAAGATAATTGTCCAGGATAACTCAAGAAGTCCTTTGCTTTCTCTTGGACTCAGTTTCCCCATCTGTAATCAGGAGACGAACTGAGATCTCCCCTATTTTCAAGTGCTTTCTGGCTGTAACTCCAGTCTAATGCATGATGCAAGCGCCACCTGGTGGTGAGAAAGGGCCCTGGCAGCTGGAGAGAAACCCTGCTATTATTTCTCCAGGTTTAGGCAAATGTGAGCTTTTACGCAAATGATCCCACCTTCGGCCAGAGTGCTGCCTGTCAGGATTATAGGGCTTTCAGGCTCCTTCTCCTATTCCTCATGCTCTCACACTGAAAGGAGCATCAAGAAGCCCAAGAGAGGTATCAGAGGCAGCTTGAAAATATTCCCCTGGCTCTGCCACTAACTCCTGTGTGATCTTGGCCATCCAAGTCCTTTCCCCTCTCTGGGCCTCAGCTCCTACATCTGCAACCTGAGGGGGTTAGGTGAATCCAGGGTTCTTAACTTGAGATCTATGGATCCATGGCTGGGAATTCTGTGAAACACTTGAAATTTTAAGAATTTTGTGTGTGTGTGTGTTTGTACAAGGTATAATTATGCAGTTCTGGAGGGGAAGAGTGGAGCTTTAATTGCCTTCTTAGAGAGGGCTGTTCCTCTGAAAGCGTTCTCTGGTCTAGATGAGCTCTGAGGGCAACCAGGGCCCAGGAATTCTAGGAGCTTCCCCTTTGGAATGCTTGTTCACTCAGACAACCCGGAGGATTTACATTTGGCAGATGCATCCAGCTCGACAGTGGCGTGGAGACGTGCTAAGAGGGCCGGAGGAAAATGAAAAGCAAAAGCTCTCCAGGTACATGCATTCGACGGCCAAGGAGATGCTCCTCAGTCCCCAGCAGCCCTGAGTCAGGTAGGGACCAGAAGCTGGTAGCTGAGCCCTGGAACTCTGCAAACCTCCACCAGCTGAGGGCGCTGTCTGGGCCGGCCTTCCTTGCTTGCTTGCTTGCTTGCTTGCTTGCTTGCTTGCTTGCTTCCTTCCTTCCTTCCTTCCTTCCTTCTTCCTTCCTTCCTTCCTTCCTTCCTCTCTCTCTCCTTCTCTCTCTCTTTCTTTCTCTCTCTCCCTCTTTCTCTCCTTCTTTCTCTCCTTCCCTCCCTACCTGTTTCTCTCTTTCTTCTTTCTTTCTTTCGACAGGGCCTTGCTCTGTCGCCTAGGCTGGAGTATAGGGGCATGACCATGGCTCACTGCAGCCTCCACCTCCCAGGCTCAAATGATCCTCCCACTTCAGCCTCCCAAGTAGCTGGGACTACAGGCGTGTACCATCATGCCCAGCTAATTTTTTAATTTTTTTTTTTTTGTAGAGACAGCGGTCTCCCTATGTTGCCCAGGCTGGCCTCGAACTCCTGGGCTTCAGTGATCCCCCTGCCTTGGCCTTCCGAAACACTGGAATTACAAGTGTGAGCCACTGAGCCCAGTCTGCCTGGGCTTTCTTGCCTGGATAGGCTCACCGTGGTCCCTGGGGAACTTCAAAGACAGGAAGAACAACTGGCAGAACTGGGAGGACGCTAGTCCCCATGATGCGGCCTCTTCTAGGCCACAGAGATGGTCTTGTTGTCCCACCCTCACTCTTAAAGCCCCATTTGCTTTCGGAACCACTGCTTTCTGCAAAGCATCAAGCAGTAGGTGAAGGAGGAGGAGAAAGGCATTAGCCCTTGGGTCTCTAATCTGTGCCAGGTACTGTGCTAAGTATTTTACCATAACGAGTTCATCTGATCCTCACAATAACCCTGGGAAGTTGGATTACTCCCATTAGATATTTGCAGACTTTGAGGCTCAGAGACATTTACTGACTTGCCCCAAATCATAAAACCTGTAGATGGCTGGGCTGGGTTTTAATCATGTCTTGCAGCATGTGCAGGATTTGGAGAGGTTTCCCAAAAGTGGCTCTCAGGGCTTCAGGAGGCCTTCACACCTCAGACCTGGGCTGGAGGCACGGTAGCTCTCGGATGCTGATGCTGCTTCCAAGCAGGCAGATTTAGCGATTGCCCCAGCGATTGCCCCAGCGATTGCCCCAGCTGGCCTTCAGACTCGGTTTGGAGGTCTGAAGACAGCCTCTTTGTCTTCCCCCAAGAAACCTCCATTTGCCCCCCATCAGCTAAAATTGCCCATTTCTTCTTTATTTTTGCTATTTGGATTTCTCTTTTCCTGGGGTGGTGATGGTGACCCAGAATCTGACCCTGACACTCCCTGGACCACACCCTGCTCTGCTCTGTTGCTGGGCTTGGGAATCACCCATGCGGAAGTCCACACCTCCCCTCCAGGGCCTTCAGACTGACAGTTTTCAGGGACCCCTCCCTACACGGTACAACAGGATCACACCTGCCTGAGAGCTGGAGTTTGCACAAGCCTGGTGCCTGCCCTCCCTGTGCTCCGGGCCCACCGGCCATGGCAGCTGAGGGGAGACTGGCTGCCGCCACTCACCTGGCTTGACCTCCCTGCCAGCCTTCGCACTTGGGGCTTCCCTGGGCATTTGGGAAACCATCGAGCTTTTGGATGTCATGCTTCTTTTTGCACATGGGACCTGAGGGAGCCAGGGCCCTGGACATGCCCCGCATTTCTGTCTAGAAGAGAGTCTCCCAATCCCCTTACCACCACTTCAACAAGCATTGTGACTGGGTCTGATACTACCTGTCCCTGCCCTCCGCCTCCCCTCCCCTAGTCACTGCTGCCACCAAATCATCTTATGTCCATATTGGACTATGAAGACAGTCCATTACGATGAAGTTGATTCATTCACATGTTCCACATATATTCACTGAGCACCGACTGTATGCCAGTATGTCCTCTGCTCAGGATACATTCTTGTTCTGTTTATTTTTGTATTGTCATGCTTAGTGCAGGTCTGGACACACAGTGTGCATTCCCTGCATTTGCTGAGTAAATGAATGAATGGCTGAATATTGGACTTGTAGCCGACTGAACCCTTTTAATCATTGTTTCTAGATGCTGCTCTTAAATATCTGCCATCCTGAATATTGTTGTAGTCGCTTCATTGAAATGACAGGCAGGATTTTAACTTTGTCCCCAACAAATGTAACATGCTCGTACCAGGTGTCTTTCTGTCCCTCCAGACCCACTGTCACCTTTTTCCACCCCGCTTTCTGCCCCAGAAACTGACCTGTATGGCCAGGCTCACCCATTCTTGCGCTTCTTGTTGGGTTTGGCCAATGGGTGCTCCAGCTGGAATCAGAGAGAGGGTGGGGGTGTTTACTCCGCTCACTTCCTCCCAGGGTGGTCACCTGTGTCCTTCAACCAAAGGACACTGTTTCCCTTGGTGGCCTCCTTTCTATGCTTCTCTCTCCCTCTGGGTTTTAACAACTGCTTCCTCCCCTCGGCCCTTAGGCTTAGGAGTGGTAATGGCTTTGCAATTGCTACCCTGGGTTATAGCACTATCTTCAGATTCTTTAAATCTCAAGCACACCTTTGTAAATAGTCCCTTTAGAAAGCAATCCATCCTCACATTATCCCAATTTGAGTGTATTTTCTGTTATCACTGAGACCCTGACTGATATTACAGTCACCCAGTGACCAGCCTCAGCTAACAACACTGCTGACAGTTGTTGAACACTAACTCTGTTCCAGGCACTTTACAGATACTATCCTTTTTATTCTTTTCTTTATATTTTTACATTTTTTTGAGACAGAGTCTCACTCTGTTGCTCAGGCTGGAGTGCAGTGGTTGGATCTCAGCTCACTGCAACCTCCGTCTCCTGGGTTCAAGTGATTCTCCTGCCTCAGCCTTCCCAGTAGCTGTGCCACCACACCCAGCTAATTTTTTTGTATTTTTAGTAGAGACAGGGTTTCATCATGTTGGCCAGGCTGGTCTTGAACTCCTGACCTTAAATGATCTGCCCGCTTCAGCCTCCCAAAGTGTTGCGATTATAGGTGTGAACCACCATGCCCAGCCCTCTTTCTTATTTTTTTAAGAGATGTGGTCTTGCTCTGTCACTCATGCTGGAGTGCAGTGGCATGAACACGGCTCACTGCATCCTTGATCCTCCTCCCTCAGGCTCCTGAGTAGCTGGGACTATAAGGGTGTGCCATCATGCCTAGCTAATTACATTTTTATTTTATTTTTATTTTTACTAGAGACATGGTCTCACTATGTTTCCTAGGCTGGCATCAAACTCCTGGACTCCCGCGACTCTGCCACCTTGGCCCCCTAAAGTATTGGGATTACAGGTGTGAGCCACCTTACCTGGCCTATACAATCCCTTTAAATTCTCTTGTTGGTTTAATGAGGGAGAGGCTCAGTTGAGTGTTGGAACTAATACTCACAGCCTAAGTAATTTGCGAAACATAACTAGCTAGTAAGTGCTGGAGCTGGGATCCGATCCTGGGCAGATTCAGCTCAGAGTCTGTGTGCTTAATGACAAAGTGATGCTGCCGTACAGAGGAGTCTGTCGTCGACTTGTTCAGTATTGTACTCAACTTCATGACAGCTGCAAATTAGATAAGCTTCATCCAAGGCACAGCTACCGTCTAGTTAGTGGCTCTGACCTCCTTCTAGATGTCAGTTGTCTTTTATCAATAGCCTTTGGCTAGAGTTGTTGAACTGGTTTCCGATCTACCTGGATGTATAACTATCCATTGCTCCAATGTCTTCACAGGGTTACCATGCTATGTACCTCCCTGAAATCTGGATGAAAAGTATCTTCAACAAATTCCAAACTAATCTATTAAACTTATAAATAAAGGAAAGGGATTGAGTCTATAATGACCTTTTTTCAGTTAAGTCCTTTTCTTTCTTGGAATTTTCCCTTGGCTTCCAATTCACTTCCTTCAGTCAAAACCTTTGATGAATGACCCTTCCGTCGTCACAGTTTTAGAATCATGGGCTCCACTTGCTTTCTTCTAACCAATGCTACCTTGGGTGAAGTCTGCTGAGGTCAGATGCAGGTCAAGAGAGAAACTAGAAAGAGTTTCACAGTTTTATGACACTGATAGTCCTTTGGTGAGAACATGGCACACCAAGCTGGGCCACTGGAACACAAGGGTTGGCCATAAGGCAGACTGGCCCGCTATGTTTGGAGGTGGTGCCCCTGCAAAATCCCATCCATTGTGGCTGGTTTGGGGGCTATCTAAAGTCTCTGGATGTTTTCGGGTACTGCAGGGTTTACATGGGAGCAGCTAGTAGCCATCCTGTAGATGTTAAAGATCAATTTTCAGACAGTAAAAGTATGGTTCATACGGCACTCTACCTCAGAAGTCTACCAAGCCAGAGCCTGAATTTCTTGGTCTTGCTTCGAGCTGGTATCTGGCCTCAAACTTTCCCACATGGATGATCAGGGAGATGAATGATCATCATTTGGGATGAGGGAGTCAAACAAATCCATGCAGATGTTGTCTTAGAGGCCTCTCATGCCTTTGTTCCTTATAGTTAAGGCACCCCACCCCTCACTGTAAGGGTTTAAGCTACTTCTCTGTTGAGACAGCTAGAGCACAGCCATGGCCTCCTACTAGTTCTTGGCAACACACACGTTTGTGAGCCAGGAGAGAAGATGGAACCTGATTCCTAACCCAATCTCTGGGTCACACGGGCAAGTACTAACATTTACCAAACCCACCAGAGTTCCCCTTGAAGGCAGCGAGAGGGGCGCCTACGTGGTCGACTTACAGAGCTGGTGTTTTCACTTCAGGAGTGTGGGGAAATCACTGTTTAAAAACACGGGGAGGGTTTAGTCCCACGCTTTATGCGAATCCTGTGTTCTGAAGGGAGAGACAGCTTTGAAGCTGCTGCTGAGAGTGCCTTGTGATTATACAAGCAGCAGTTGGCTAAATCAATGCTTTTCATGTTAATTAGCTCTTCATTAGAGCAGGGGGCTGCCCCAGAGGAGTCAGGAGCCGAGGGGCCTGCTAGCCAACCCCGTCACCCCGGTAACTCCATCCTAATTGGAAGGCAGATGTTGCGGCTTCCAAGGCAGATGGAGAAGGTGAAACTGTGCCTTCTTTCATTCTCCCTCCACTGTTCCTGGGGAGGGGGCTTGAGGAGGTGGAAGAGAGGGAAGGGCTGTTAGCAACACCTGACCCTGGCATCGTCGTGCTCTAGGCCTGTGGAGGGTGAGCTTCCTTGGCACAACTCCCCGTAGCTTCGAAGACCAAGACCAGAGAACATGCTGTCTGGGAAGGCTTCTGACTCCAGGGAGGGAGTGAAAGCAAGTTTCCAAACCAAGGTTGAGTCAACTAAAGTATAGTCACCCCTGGAGTCAGCATGTGACATCCAGGATAATTAGGTTTTCCCATTCTCTTCTTTTTTAGTTTAGATAACAACTCTCGGGCTGTCTGCATTTCACTGTGTGAATAGGTTAAGAAACCCTATTTATAAGTTTAATGACAATCTTATTCTGGGAAAAAAAATACAAATTTGAGCATGCTTTGCTTCTAACTGGGGTTGGCAGGCTTTTCCTGTAAAGGGCCAGGTGGTCAATATCTTAGGCTTTGTGGGCCACACAGTCTCTGTCTCAACTGCTCAACTTGGCCTTTGCAGTATGAGCACAGCATAGGTGATACCCAAACAAATGGGTGTGGTTGACTTGGCCTCGGCCCCAGGGTCACAGTTGACCTGCACCTCTCTCTTGGATTTGAAGACAAGCGTCAGGTGGCTGTAACTAATGCTGACTGGCAGGCGGTGGCTGTGTGGACCGCTGTGATGGGAAGAAGCCCAAGGCCTCGGGCAGGTTTGGTGGGAAGGGTGGCTGGGTTTAGTGATGTTTGCCACTGGCCAGGTAGGGAGGACGGCAGCTTCGTGCCCTGTGTTTGTAGCCCTGCCTGGCAGCTCTGAGTGGGAGAGAGTGAGCTGGATTACAATGCACACAGGCAGCAGGTCAGTGGAAAGGGAGTTTTTGGAATGGGGGCGGCACTGTGCAAGGGCGGAAAGGACACTTTTTGTTTGGACACTGTCATTTACTCTCTGTGAATCTTTCAGATATCTATCTATCTATCATCTGTATCTATCTATATCTATCTATATCTTTTTTGAGACCGAGTTTCACTCTTGTCGCTCAGGCTGGAGTGCAGCGGTGTGATCTCAGCTCACTGCAGCCTCTGCGCAGGTTTAAGTGATTCTCCTGCCTCAGCCTCCTGAGTAGCTAGGATTACAGGCACCCTCCACCATGCCTGGCTAATTATTCCACTTCAATTCACATGGCTCCCAGAAGCACCACACTCCTCACTACCCTCTTCTGACCCTGCCAGTACCAGGATACTTCCCCCAGTAAAGCAACATCGTCGTCGAGGAACGCCACAGCACACCCTGCACCAGAGCCCCCCGAGCACCAGGGCTGCACATGCAGCTTTGACACTGATTTTGATGAGCAGCTCTCTGTCCCTGGGCCACCCCATAGCTCCTGAGCCCTCCTAACCCTGGTCCTTTTCAGTGAGATGCCACCTTTATCACATCACTGGGAGAACACAAGGAGGCACATTTCTAACAGTGCCCCAAGCAGCCATGACTTTGAGCTCTAGTCATGCCAGATTTTCAGGCTTCAGCCCTTCTTTAGACGTCGGCTCCTCCCAGGATGTGCACAAGGACGGTGTCCTGGTCACTTTGGGCCTCTGCATTTGCTGTTTCCTGCTGGCCTCTGCTCCTCTCCCTGGGCCTCTGTGTCCACTGGTGTCCCTCTGGCCACAGCTGCTGCCACTGTGCAGGCCTGGGGTGGGGACAAGAGAGGAGACATCCTTTATGATTCCATCGCAAGCACAGGGCCCCTTAATTTCCAAAGTGGCGCAGAAACCAGCTTGTAAATTTTGATGAGACTATACAAAACTTTCAGGATCAAGTTTCACAACAGAGAGTTGTGATTTGATGTGATGGTCTCCTTGCCTAGCACTGGGCCTCTCTCAGGCCGTGGGCCTCACTTCGCAGTGTGAGAGCCTCATAAGCCGTCTGCAGTCCCTAGAATCCAGACTCCATGCCTGACACCCTGGTCCCAGGCTGATGGTGACAGCAGAAACGGTCACTGTCTTCAACAGAAATCCCGCCCACAGTGTCGGCTCCTCTCCTGACCCCAGTAGGGACGTGGCATCAGAATACAGGAATGTGAGATCAGCCTGCCTCCAAAAGCCAAGAGGGTCTTAGTTTTGAATGCTTGGTGTGCAGGACATTGACTGCACATTCCAGGTTGAATTTCCCACCTGCAGGCTCTGCTTGCCTATTTATAGAAGTGCCTCTAACACAGGGCAAAGATGGCGTTTCCCCAGCCTCAGATTGCCTGTTATCTAAGCTTCGTAAAGGCACACACACAGCTTCTCAAGCACCAGCAACTGTATGCAAGCCCAGGACAGTGCCAATCCAGTGGAAAACACAGGAATGCTTCTTGGTGCCTGGGAAGAACCAAGTCTGCAGAGCAGATGCTCACTCAAACACGAACCACATGTAACATTACCCGACACGACACAGAGCTTCTTAAGAAAGGCAGCTGCGGTTTTTCAACTGCGGCTGCACAGTACAATTAATCACCTGGGGAACACTTGAAATGACTGATGTCCGAGCCACACTCAGAGCGACAGAGTCAGAAGCTCTTAAAGGGTTGGCCCAGGAACTGGCATTTTCAAAAAGCTCCCAGATGATTCTGTTGTGCAGCATGTGCTGGAACCTGTGCTCTGAAATGCCAACATCCAGATGACTGGTGGTGTTAGTCAGAATAAGCTGGGTTCTAGAATAAGCTGGGTTCTCCTACAGTCACTCATAAATCCCAGTATTTTAGTGGCCTATCACAACAAGGGTTCATTTTTCCTTCACACTGCCTGTCCATTAAGGGTCAGCAGGAGACTCCACTCCACACAGGGAGCGAGTCACGGAGGCTTTGTTACTGTGTGACGGACGGCATTCTCTTAAATACTTGCTTCCTTGGTTGCCATGGCAGGGGAAGAGACATCTGGAAGGTCACACCAGGCTCTTCTAGGTTTTAGGCTGAAAGTAGCACCTGTCACTCTCTGCCATAGCCCCGGCCAGAGCTGGTCACATGGCTCTGGCCGGCAATAAGGCAGCTGGCAAGGAGGTGGTGGTGGGGATGAGCAGGAGGCTGATGGATGTTTGATGGATGCCATTGTTTCTGCCACACTGGTGTTTTACACATCTTGTCCCCCAGTATTGACTTGGTGCTTACTTGACTGAAGGGTCATTTCAGGAAATTATGCCAGAAGGAAAAACCAGCCAGCCTTAACATAGTGGTCAGGTTTAAGTCTCCATCACTTGGAGCTGCCTGCCATTTTGGCATTTTTGTAGCTTCCAAAAATCCCACCAGAGTTTGACAGAAAATGTAGATATTTTGCTTTGTTACTTATGTGCACAGTCAGCCATTTCAGGACTTTCCATTGATTTGTCGTTTCTCACATTGACAGTGCACTGTTTTAAGTATTGAAGCTTTGCAGGGCATATTGATACATTATAAGCTCAGTTACCTCTCAGTGCTTTTGTATTTCGGATATTATCTTGTTTTTTTTCTTTACTCATTTTTCATTGTACAAACTTTAAAAATAAGTGTTATAAAATTTGGTTATGATTTCTATTGGGATTAGACATCTTTATAATATAATCTTCTGCCTCAAGGAAATGCCCTATATTTCTAATTATTAAAATCTTCTGGCTGGGCACAGTGGCTCATGCCTGTAATCCCAGCACTTTGGGAGGTTGAGGCAGGTGGATCATTTGAGGCCAGGAGTTTGAGGCTGCAGTGAGCTATGATGGTGCCACTGCACTCTAGCCTGGGTTACAGAGCGAGACCCTGTCTCTAAATAAATAAATAAAGTCTTCCCCTGACTTTCTCAATGAATGTTAGCATTTTTTTCTTATAGGACTTACATATTTCTTACTAAGTTTATTTTCATATATACACATTCACATACCTATATATACATATATTCATATGAAATGTGTATAGCATATTTTCCCATCATATTTTCTAATTATAGATGATATTTAGGAATGTTATTGATATTTATATATTCTTTATAGAACAATCAACTTTATTAAACTTGAATGGATTTTTTTTCCAGGTAGAAAATCATATTGCCTGAAAATGAGTATAGTTTTGTCATCTTCTCTCTTATAATTTTGCATCCGATTTGTTACCAGGCCTTATGGCATTGACCAAGCCCTTCAGAACAATGTTTCACAACAATAGGACCGGCTGTGTTCTTGTCTTAGTCCTTATTTTAATGGTAACAACTGCAGTGTTTCCTGTTGATTGCTATTTTTGGATAGATATTTTAGTATCTCACGAAAGCATTCTTCTAATCTTAGTCCCCACAGTATTTTTTTCATCATTAGTAGTAAATATTAGATTTTATGAAATACTTTTTGCCATCTATTGATATGATGTGTGCTTTTTTTTTGCCTTTTTCTTTTATATCCTTTTTATGGTCCGGTTGATGTAATAGTAAAAATTAAAAAAAAATCATTGTATTTAATCCTTGAGGAATAAAGACAACTCTTGGCTTCACATTCAAGACTTTTTAAAGATGGACTCCAAACTGACTTGTCCAGTCTCCCATCCCATCATCTCTCCAAACTCACATCAGCTGCACCTGATGACAGGCATGACCCAAAACCTGTAAAGTGTTTTGCAGCCCCTCATGCTGTTCACTTTGTCTGAATTGCAGTATCATTATCTTCCAAATGGGGACCCCCTGAACAATCTTCTAGGGTGATGCCCCTGTGAAATCACCACTCTCAAATGTGTCCTGAGCTGGACAATGAATGACAATATATGGTCACCCTCTCCTAGGATAAATTGTCCCTGCTCTCAACCCCCTAAAGGGTTGGATGTCTCCCTTCTGCACAGCATACCTTCCTGGACATATTTTCACCATAGCTTTCTGCTCCCCAGCAGCAGTGAGCTGGCACACAGTAGGCACTCTAAGCCCTAGCCAGGGGTGTTAGTGGAATGAAAGAATGTTACGACCTCATTTTTAAAATAAGAGGAGCTGTCCTTGCAGGGCACCTCCCTCCTCAGCATGTGCCCACAGAAGCTTTCCTGATGGGTAGCCCTAGGCCACGCTGCTAGCTGCTCAGCCAGCACCCACAGAGAAGTGAAGACAGGAAGGGACTCCTGCAGGGAAATTGCTGGGGCCGTTGGGAAATGTATGCTGTGGGCTTGGAGCCTGCGAAATGGGGAGAGAGGAGAGGAGAGGGTCTGGAAGGTGGAAGGAAGGGATGTAGGACAGAAAGAAGAAAAAAGAGGAATGGAGCAAGAGAAAAGAGAAGAAAATGGCAGATGAGGGAAAGAGGGAGAGAAGAAGACAGAAATGGAGGAGGAGGAAAGGAGGCAGCAAGGCTATGCCCTGCTCGTCGCTCTCACACAGCTATTTTGGGGGGTGCTAATTTCCTGGCTATTTGGGGAAACTTTGCAGGCATATTCACTTATCTTGAATGTTTTGGGCTTCACCAGCCTATGACTGCAAAATAAGGTCACATTCCTTTTAACTAGTCAAACGAAAATAGGATAAAAGCTCTACTGCCTGTGATGTTAGACTCCCCTGAAGAGGTCCGATGGCCCTATTTCTGGGGGTTCCTTGGGGTGCAGTTCCCTGTTTGCTCAGAGGGTGGTGCCGGTCAAGGCTTTGCACCCTGGTCCCTCTTCCTGTGCTCGGGGCTGCCTCTGGGGTTGTGACCCTGGGAGGTCCTCTTCTTGGAAGCCTCCACCATTCCAGTGATTCCCCTGCACCCGCCACCCTGAACTCAGGGGAGAGGGACTGTGTTCCCTTTTCACTCCTCAGGCTCTCCTCTCAACTTCCCAAACTGCACAGCTGGCTCCAGGCCCTAATTACTGATGAGGCTTTCCTGAGAGTTGAGTGAAAATGAATAAAAATTAGGAGATATACCTAATGTTAAATGACGAGTTAGTGGGTGCAGCACACCAACATGGCACATGTATACACATGTAACAAACCTGCACATTGTGCACATATACCCTAAAACTTAAAGTGTAATAATAATAAAATTTTAAAAAAATAAAATTAAAAAAATTAAAAAAAAATAGATGAATGGATAAAGAGAAAAAAATAAAATGAATGCATGAATGAAAAAAAAAAAAAAAAGAAGCACGGCCTAGGACGTCACTTACAAAGATGCTAATCTTTAAGGTCCTTCCCTGGGGACTTCCCAGCCTGGCCCCCACCCTGCAGGCATTCAGCAGGGCCCCCCTCTACTCCTCCCTTATTCCCCACAGCCATGTGGCCCCTGAGATGAGGCCATTTTTCCTCCTCTGAGACCCGCCGCTGGAGTCTGTATTCGTCTCCCATGACTGCCGTAACAAATGACCATAAATCTGGTGGCTTAAAACAATAGAAATTTATTCGCCCAGTTCTGGAGGCCAGACGTTCAGGATTGAAGGGTTGGCAGGATTGGTTCCCTCCGGAGGCTCTGAGGGAGAAACTGTCCCTTGTTTCTCTCCTAGCTTGTGGCAGCTGGGGCCATGCTTGGGGCTCCCTTGGCTTGTTGAGGCACCACTCCAACCTCTGCCTCCATCTTCACATGGTCCTTTTCTCTGTGTGTCTTAAATCTCCCTCTCCTTATTCTTGTAAGGACAACAGTTATTGGATTTAGGGCCTACCCTAAATAAAGGATGATCTCATCGCAAGAGCCTTAACTTACTTACATCTGCAAAGACTCTATTTCCAAATAAGGTCACATTCACAGGTACCAAGGGTCAAGACTTGGACATATTTATATTTTCTGAGGCCACAATTCAACTCACCACAGAGTCCTTTTTTCCTATTTCAGGGTGGGCATTTTCTAGGATGAAGGGCTGTTATTCCTATATCAGCTACAAGTACGTGGTCTTGCTCTTTGATCCCCAGAGACAACTAAATTACATTGAACACACGAGTCCGATATCCATTCTTGTTATACACATCCTTTTAAAGGACACTTGGAGTGGCTTGCAGGGTGAACTGGGTGGACAGGGGCGCCCTAACCATCAGAAGGATAGTTCATGTCATAAACAGAAGGGTATGAGACACTAAATCCTCATGGAAGAGGAGCAGCAGGGGTAACAGTGGTCGTTAACTCCCGCATTGTAAAGGCAGCAGACTGGGAGCTGGAAGGGGGCAGCCAGAGATTCCGCGAATGCCTTAGGATGGCTCTAGCTCACCAAAGCTTGAATCCGTTAATGACCAGGTGCTGATAGTAGAATTAGAAGAGGCTGCCATGGTCACACAGTCCAGCTTTTCCTAAACTGTGCCTGCCAAGGACTAAGAATGTTGCAGCAGGCATTAAATAGGAGAGGGGATGGGGGAAGAGTTAATTATGTGATCAAACCAGCAGAGAACACCAGAGTTAAGCAAAGATGAATGCATTTCCATCGTGAAGAACTTCTTGGTATCTTAAGCCAAGGGTTGCAAATGGAAATGTCTACAGGGGCCAGACAAGTAGTGGGGATGACAGGGACCATAGTGACCAGACAGGGACTGTGGGACACTGGGGAGTGTCAGCCCTGTCTTTGAGGGCAGGCATCATTGTACAGGCACTTCTGATCTGATGTTAGGAGGGGTTGAGGCTGCTGAGGTAAGGAGTCCAAGGCAAAATACACAAATGCCAGGGAGGATTAGGCAATAAAATTTCAAAAAGAGCCCATGTGGCAAACTGAGCCAAGAGAAAGTGATCACCATAATGGGCATTGCACACAGCCCTGCTTCCCTCTGCAGCCTGCAGCATTCGGCTGCTTTAGTGCATTTTGCAAACTTGTCGGTGCAAAACATCGATATGTCAGGAAAAGCTGAGTAGGAACCCGAGCTCTGCAACAGAGCAACAACTTTCTTCCACTCACTGGTTCTGCTCACCAGTTAGTATGAGCTATCTTACGTTGCAGCCGAGTAGACTATACTCTTGTCCCAGTTCCCCTGCTGAAGACCTGAGTTTAGATGCTGGCTCAGGCTTCCCCACTTATTAGTTATGTGACCTTGAGCATGATTCTAAACCTTTGTAAATCTCCATTTCTCTGTTTCAGCTATTCATTGGTGTGTAACAACCCATCCCCAAACAGTGTCTTAAATGAATAACAATAATTTATTTTTCTTCATCAGGAGTTAAGTGAGCTCAGCTCGGCGGTTCTCAGGATCTCGCAGGTGGTTGCAGTCACTCAGTGGCTGGGACTGGGCTGGGGTGTTCTCAATGTCATCTTCACCCACATGTCTGGCTCCTGAGCTGGGGAGATTCACACAGCTGGGGCTGGAATAGCTGGGGCTCCTCAAGCATCCCTTTTTCCACATGGTCTCTCCGCCTGGTGGCCTCCAGGCAGACTCCTGACGTGGCGGCCCAGGGTTCCCAGAGCAAGTGTCCCAAGAAAGCCTGGCAGAAGCTCTGTGGCCTTTTTTATCCCAGCCCTGGGAGTCACACAGTATGACTTCCACCTCATTTTATTCATTGAGGCATCCACAGAGGCTCATCCAGACTCAAGGAGAGGGGACATGGACTCCACCTCTTAATGGAGTGAGTGTCAAAGAATCTGTGGGCTCTTTTTTTTTTTAATTTTTAGTTTTTGAGGGTACATAGTAAGTGTATATATTTATGGGTTACATGAGATGTTTTTATAAGGCATGCAATGCGTAATAATGACATCATGGAGAATGGGGTATCCTTCTCCTCAAGCATTGATCCTTTGTGTTACAAACAGTCCAGTTATACTTTTTTAGTGATTTTAAAATGTACCATTAAATTATCGTTGGCTATGGTCACCCTGTTTTGCTATGGAATAGTAGATCTTATTCATTCTTTTAATTTTTTGTACCAATTCACCATCTCCAACTCCCCCCAGCCCCTTCACTACCCTTCCCAGCCTCTGGTAACCATTCTTCTACTGTCTATCTCCATGAGTTCAATTGTTTTGATTTTTAGCTCCCACAAATCAGAGAGAACATGTGATGTGCTTGTCTTCCTGTGCCTGGATTATTTCACTTAACATAGTGACCTCTACTTTCATCCACGGTATTGCAAATGACAGGATCTCATCGTTTTTGATGGCAGAATAGTACTCCATTGTGTGTACCTACCATGTTTTCTTTATCCACTCATCTGTTGATGGACACTTAGGTTGTTTCCAAGTGTACACATGTTTTAAAACCACTACATTATCCAGTAAATGGGGCCAATATTACCATTTCCCATAGAATGGAAGCACCACAGTTTATTTCACCTGATTTTTCTTTTCTTTCTTCTTTCTTTCTTTCTTTCTTTCTTTCTTTCTTTCTTTCTTTCTTTCTTCTTTCTTTCTTTCTTTCTTTCTTTCTTTCTTTCTTTCTTTCTTTCTTTCTTTCTTCCTTTCTCTCTGTCTCTCTCTTTCTTTCTCTCTTTCTCTCTTTCTTTTTTGATAGAGTTTCACTCTTGTTGCCCAGGCTGGAGTGCAATAAAAATATCTTGGCTCACAGCAACCTCCCAACCCCCCCGGGTTCAAGCAATTCTCCTGCCTCAGCCTCCCGACTAGCTGGGATTACAGGCGTGCACTACCATGCCCAGCTAATTTCTTTTGTATTTATTTATTTATTTGCACCACCACACCCAGCTAATTTCTTTTGTATTATTTATTTATTTATTTTTATTTTTATTTTTTAGTAGAGACGGGATTTCTCCATGTTGGTCAGGCTGGTCTCAAACTCCCGACCTCAGGTGATCCGCCTGCCTCAGCCTTCCAAAGTGCTGGGATTACAGCATGAGCCACCACGCCTGGCCTATTTCACCTGATTTCTAAAAGCAGCCATTTTCGTTATTCCAGTGTTTTGGCCATTATACATAATGGTGAAGGGAACATCTCTGTGCATAGTTTTTTCTTTTCTATCTTCTGCTATTTGCATGGGGCTTCCAAGAAGGGAGATTGCAGGATCAAAGGGTAGGAACGTTTTAATCCAGTCTTCAGTTTTCAAGCATCTTTGAAGATATGGTGAGAAGCCTCCCAGGCTGAATCACACTTTCCACACCTTGGCTGTGTGTGTACATGGGCTGTGTGCGTATTTTGGGGCCTGGACTGAATGTGATTTTTGCTTGCTTACTTTTCGCCTTCACAATGCATAATAAAAATGCTTTTGCTTGAACACAGATAGGTTCAAAACCTAAAAACAGCTCCTGTGTGCTGCAGGGGAAGGTTATCTTTTTGTGAAATTCTGATGTGTCCAACTGGGGACAGGACAAAGCAGAGGGGACATGGAGGGACCCTGATCTGTAGGCAGTTAGTGGAGTTACAGGCCCACACTCACTCTGAGTAATGTTCCTCAGCCTTTTAGAAATATAAGCCCACATTTCCTCTAAAGCTTTCTTCCTTGATCTTCTGGATGAGCCCAGAAGTTGCATTATTTTGTGTAGTGTGCTCTATGCAAGCATTTGAATAAGATCTTCTCAAGCCATATCTTTTTCTTCCCTCCAGGGCTCCTCAACTGGAGGTTGGGCTGCTCTCTGCTCATAAGCCCTGTGTCTCCTTGACGAAGACTAAGAAGAGATCTGGAGCTATGACTACCATTTCAATGATTATTATTAGGGCAAACCTCCTCTGGGGAGGGATCTAGATAATTGCTTCTAGAATTGGCTTCTCTTTACTGTCTATGGCTTTGAAGTCAAATGACACATGCTAGGTACTTTCTATTTTAAGTTTTTGCTGGGTTTATGGGAGAGAGTTGGAATGTTAGAACTTTGTTTTTGTTTGTTTGTTTGTTTGTTTAAAGTAAATTTAGCCAGTAACCTTAGGAGGGACTTGTCACTTGGTTAAATCCTTTCACAGCAACATGGCAGAGAGAGCCCAGCCCTGAACTTGAGAGTCACAAGACTAGCGTCTTAGCTCCAGCTCTGTCATTAACCTGGTGGGTGACTTTGGACAAATCACTTCCTTCATATCTTCAGATGCCCCACTTGAGAAGTATGGACTTGAACTTGGCCAACTCCTACAGTCATCACAAGTCTAAAATTTGATAATTTGTGAAAGCCAGCTCTGAGTGTCTTTACTCCGAGAATCCTTTTAGAATTCCTTCCATCTTCCTCTGGCCAGCTCCAGATAAACACAAGGGTTAGGGCCTGGAGGAGAAGCACGTACTATATTCTTGGCAAAAGGGGTTGTCTTGTCTGTTATAACAAAATACTATAAACTGGGTGGTTTATAAACAACAGAAGTTTATTTTTCAGAGTTTTGGAGGCTGGGAAGCCCAAGATCAAGATGCAAGCAGATTTGCTGTCTGGTGAGAGCCCACTTCCTCACAGACAGTGCCTTCTTGCTGCATCCTCCCATGGTAGAAGGGACAAAATAGCTTTCTGGGATCTTTTTTTATAAGGACACGAATCCCAATCATGTGGACTTTGCCTTCACGACCTAGTCACCTCCTAAAGGTCCTACCCATCTCCTAATACCATCATCTTGGAAGTTAGAATTTCAACATATGAAATGGAGGCAGGCAGGAGCACAAACATTCAGACCATAGGAGGAATTTAAAATGACAGAGAGATTGTCTTAAGCTGGGATCTCCCAGAAGCAGATCTGTAGACAAGGACTTGAAGTGGTTTATTCAGGAGATTGAGGTGGGGAGTGAGATGGGGCAGAGAAGGAGGCTAACACAGAGAGTGCTGGTGAGCAGGCCATCACTGTGGGCAGCTGGGCTGCAATCCTGCTGAAGGCTTCTGGAAAAACACCTCAGAGTTGTCCACCTGAGGATGAGATCGCTGGCGTATCTATCCCCCAAGGGGTGCTAACCACCCCCCGGCCCCGCCTTGCACAAGCCAAGGAAAAGCTCTTGGGTGGAGCATTGCTGATGTTTGCAGTGGGCATGCACAGCATGTGCAGAGGATATGGGTGGGGCTTTGACAACGTCTGCTACTGCTAATGCCATGTGGCACGTTGTTCCGATTTTCCTGGTTGCTCACTGTATTAAAGTGCATAAGAAATATACTTTGCATGAGATTCTGCATGGGTTTAACAAGTTTAGGAGTCTTTTGATGTCCCATTTTGTCAGGTAAACAGAGACTGTATTGAATTAGAAGGAAATATCTCATTCAGCAAGAGGCTGGAGACATGGGAAGGATATATAAAGGTCTATGTTGAAATCATATGACATTGAATAAACTTACAGAGTTTGTGGTGAGAACAATGATGGAAATCCTATAAGGAAGGGGTTCAGGTGTGGAAATCAGGGCATGCATGGAACTTAGATGCCAGGAGCATCATGTAGACATTGTGTAAATGAGGACGGCCTGATGCTTTTCCCACTGACATGCTGCTAGCCAGAGTAAATTAGCCAAGGATCCATTGGTTCACCTTTTCTCCTCCATTCTGCCTGCACCGTTGTTGTGGGGAAGGAAATCTTAAAAGGGTGCAAGGAAGAGGAACCAACACCACCCACTTTGATTAGTGTTTGTGAGCATCTACTATGGCAGACAGGACACTCAACATTCGGGGTACTCAGAGTGAGGCACTAGTCCCAGCTTCTCAGGAGGCTGAGGCGGGAGGATCGCTTGAGCCCAGGAGTTCAAGGCTGCAGTGAACTGTGATCACATTACTGCACTCCAGCCTGGGCAACACAGCAAGATCCTGTTTTGTTTTTTTGTTTAAAGTGGGACAGCCCTGTCCTTTAAGGGAAGACAGAGTGAAATATAATTACAGTGAGAGGCAGAGGAATAAGGATCAGGAGAGAGGTATGAATGCACTGCTAGGCAGAACAGAGTAGAGGGCCTTCTTTCTGACTGTCAAGATCCAGGCAGGTGTCTTAGAGGGCATGGCAACTGAGCAGTGCTTTGAATTTGAATGGAGCAGGCACCTTTATATGAATAGAACTGGAATAGTCAAAGGTATGGAGAAGGGAAAGTTGAGGGTGTATCTGGGTTTCACTGGATGGTCTGATGTGACTGAGGCCTCAGCTTCATGCAAGGATATCATGGACAACATATGGAAAAAGGAGGAGGGGCCAGGCTGTATAGAGCCCTGGGTTGGAAAGAGGAGACAGGAGGGGGCTGTGGGGGCAATGGGAGCCGCTGAGGTGTCCAGAGCAAGGCATGGAGGGGTGGGCCTTTAAAGAACAAGGCTATGAGAGTTACCCATGACTCAGAAGCACCCAGTGTAGAAGCAGAGTGTCTGGTATGGTGGAAGTGAGGTGGTTTCTTGTGCATGGAGGTTTCTGAAAAGAAATCTCTACCTTTGGTTTTCTTTCTTCTGGAGAATAAGGCACAGACCTGGGACTTGAACATTGGTCTTCTAACCCCTCAGTAACCACCTGCCTCCATCTTATGGGGTCTATTTTTCCTGGTGGGAGAGTCTACCTTTCTGGATTGCTTCTGTCTAATTTCCATACCCACTTCCATCTCACAAGCCAGCCCACTCTGGGTTTGCAGAGTGGGCCGGCTAAGGATTAATCTGAGAATTGAAATCCCAAGAACTGTGGACTGTCTGAGACAGAGGACAGAATCAGGTTTCTCCAGGATGACTGGCTCCTGTGGGGAGACCTACTTGCTGGCACGCTTTGGAAGAAAAGGATAGGAAACTGGATTTTGAGGGTTTTTTTTTTTTAAATTTAAGTGTATTTATTGGCACCAGGGCCAGTATTAACAAAAACTTAAATTCCCAAGCAGCCTCCTTCACTTCTTGACCCAGCAAGGAAATGATTTCCCTGCTTATTCACTCACTTACCAAATATTTGTTGAGCATCTACTATCTGCAGTCTTTGCTCTAGGCACTTTGAAAGCAGGAATGAACAGGCGGACAAGTTTCCCGCCCTCCCAGAGTTTGTGTTCTAGTGGAAGACACAGAGAATAAACAAAGGACAAGGAGGTGCAGGAGATGCTGTCTCACATCCTTCATCCTTCCAGGCTCATGGCTTCTAGGAGAGGAAACCTTTTCCTGTGCCTGGCCTTCAAGACCCTTCCAAATCGGTGCCCATCCACCTCTCCAGCCACTTCTGCCCAGCCTCCACTTCAAATGTAAGTATAAAGTAGAACAAGAGATCAGAGCCAGAGATGATAACTAGGTCCAGGTGGGGGCATAGTTATCTTCCCAAGCTCTGATCTCTTCTTCCACTTTATGCTTTACAACCCAGATTTTCTGGAACCATCCCAATATAAATTTTTTTTTCTTCTCTTATATACTTAAGCCTCAAGTTAGGCAAAAATCATAACCAGATCCCGAGTTTGTCTTAGAAATTATGTTCACATTTCCGTGCCTCTACTGTTTGTCCTATCACTTTTAGTGGGGACTGTGTAGTGAATGTGCCCACCTCCCTTGAGCTCGAGAGCTTTGGTCCAGCTCTGTGTCTGCAGGGACATAGCTCAGAGCTCAGCACATGCTGGTACTCAGAAAGTGCTTTCTAGACAAGTGTCAGACTGGCATGTGGGCTTCATGTGGAGGCAGATCTGCCCACGACCCTTGGAACCAAGCAATATCCAGAGAGGGGAGTGGCGGTTCTTGAGCTGTTGCCTCCAGCTCTGCAGTGAAGACAGTAGGGAAGGCTGATAGCTGAGCTGGAACCAACTTCAAAGAAATGTGCCTTCCCTGGCTTCCAATGTGGGTCTGTGGCATCTCTGCAGGCCAGGCCTGGTAGATGTTTATTATACTTAAGAATATATTAAATGCAGGCTCTGAGCTCCGTTCCTGGCATAGCTCGCCTCTTGCCACTGGCTCTCTGATGACTGAACTGTGCAATCCTGCAGGTGGATGAGCAGAGCCTGGGGCACGTTTCAGCTCAAAAGGGCCAAATCAAACACTGAGTGTCTCAACTGAGCACATTCCTGAGCTCATTAAACTGGGCGAAGTGAGCCCAGCCGGATGGAGACCAGGGAGGAGACAGACGGTCATAGCCCCTGAACACAGCTGGGGCCAGGCAGCAGCGTCTACTCTGGAAAGGGGCTCAGCACTCGGTCCTCTTCCCTCCCTCTCCCTGTCCTGAGTCAGTCCTTTCCACAGCCCGTTATATCCCCCAACCATGGGGAAGCAGGACTGCACCAGCTTTGGGGGACGGGGATTTGGAGGGTTGAGGTCACCCTCAGCGCTGCCCAGAAGGAACTTACCAGCGGGCAGGCAGACAGGCTGTGGTGGAACCAGTCAGTCGGCAGGAAAGGATTATGTGAGATGCAAAGCTAATGTGACAGACCACCCAGCCGGAGAACTGGAAGGGTGGGATTTCATAACCCACGCAGAGTCAATCAAGGCCAAAGGAGTTAGGGAAAGCACAGGGGATGATCCTCATGGTAACTCTTTGGACGAGGTGCCCATGAAAGATGGACAGGGTGTGGCTTAGCAATTATTTTGCTTCACCTTCAAGCCTGCCTCCTTTGACTGTCCTTTGGTTTTGGAGCTAATGAATAGTAAATTATTTTAAAAGGCATGCATGACTTGGAATCTTAGTGAGAGATGTTGAATGTTATGCTCATTCATTTGCTTGTGCATTTAGAGAGAGAGAGAGAGAAGATAATGCAAGAGAAATCAGATGGGTTCTAATTCAGATGAGCTGTAAAGCCTTGGACAAAGTTGCTGAACATCTCTGAATCTGTTTTCTATTCTGTAAAAAGAAGAGGATGGTGACACGCTGAGTAGAACTGGTCCCTAAAAAAAATATTGTGCTGGATGTGGGAAAATTCAGGTCAAATAATGTAACATATAAAGGTTTATTTTAGAGGGTTTTTAAGCTTCAATGATATATACGTGAGTCGTGTTAGAACATCCTTTAGTAAAAATCCATGAAGACATAACAAAAGGAGGAGAGGGACACTGGAGATTGTCACAGCTCTGGGACCACAGAGTGAGTGAGCTAAGGGAAAATCTGGTGCTTGACCACAGAGGGCAGAGGGTCCAGCTAGGATGAAACTATGTGGGCAGCCCCTCCAGACTGCCCTGGCCATGGGCCCCCCCCCTTGTGTTGATGACATTTTAGAAACAAAAGCCAGGTGCCCATGAATAGCCTGAATTAAGGTGGATCAGCACATTGTCTTATGACCCAGCCATGAAAGAGGGGTTGGAGTGAGTTTTGGAGGGAATGTTGGGGACAAAGTAAATGGGGTAAACGCTTAGGTGGTCAATCAGAGGGCTAGCCTGAGCTTGCAGCCCGTGGGTGTACTGGGTGTGGCACATGCTGTGCAAATGCCCCAAAGGTCGCCATTTGATTGACTGCCATCTGGATGATATGTTGGAATGCGGAATGATGGAGCTCATTCTCTTGGAGAAGCGTTACGAGTTGAAATCCTTCCTTTTGCTTTGATTGTTTCCATGACACCTGCTGCTCCTAAGAAGGGTCAAGACCACCCCAAATACACACTGCTCAGGGTTCCTGAGAGTATTAAATGAAATACTATAGAGAGACGAGCTGAGCCCAGCATGGGGCATGAAGATGCTACTCAAATAGAAGTATCATTACTTGCATTCTTTCATTATTTCCAGAATATATTGAATTTAAAATTAAATTAAAGATCACTGTCCCCATTGCCACAGCATTAATTCCAACTCTTACCACCTCCTACCTGCCTTGAGCAGCAGTTCCTCCACTGCCCATCTTTTTCCAAACCTTCCCGTGTCTTAGCAGCTCAAAATAGATGTGATTTTTCTCAGAACCCCAGAGCTTCCTCTTGCCTGCCAGGTAAGACCCAAATTAACCTGATGTCCATGGTGTGGTGCTTGGCCCTGACCTTATGTCTCCAGCCTCATTTCACAGCGTCACTCACCCTGGGCTGTTTGCTGCTCCCTGGTCAGGCCTCTTTCCCAGCTCCACACCTTTGCATAAGCTCCTCCCTCTGCCTTAGGGTTCCTTCCCTCCTCTCCACTCCAGGGCATGTGGGTCAGTATCAGCCAGGAGCTGCTCATTTCCTTGAGTGTGGAGACTGAATTCAGCCCTCTCCCCTCAATGTCTACAGCAGTCCCTGGCAATAAATGGTCTCTTCAATGCCTGTTGACTGAATTGAATCAAGTTTTTAAAAGCCCCATGCAAACGAATTCAATGGAATCGTTATAAGAAATATACAGATTAAGCAACTGACCATATTTAAAAACCTAAATATGAACATCATTTGGGCTAGGGAAGCAAGACGACAGGAAAGCAGCCTTTGAAATTGAGCTCCTTCTGCCTGCCAAAGCATTTGCTTTTAGATTGGACGTGGAGGACAGACACTCTGTAGGTTTGAACATCTCAGAGTACTTTTCCCACTTCCAAGCTCCTGTATGTATTTACAGAGAGTGAGGCCCATGTTGTAAAGATGAGGACTATAGGAGCCCTGAGATAGACAGTACAGTTGCTTTCATGGAAGAAGATATGAACCACTGCATTTTCTCTCTGGCGTAATTTGGGCCCCTGGGCCTGGCAGTCCAGCAGTTAGCCAGGCACCAGTTTCTCCTTGTCCCACTGTTCAGAGGCCTCCCATGTCCTCCTGAAAACACCTGACTTTTTGATCTGTATTATAAACGTGCTCTGGTCTAGGGTCAGAGACAGAGAGCTGCCTCCTTGGGACCTTGGCTGAGTTTCTACCAGGGCTCTGATTTCCCTTCAGTAAAACAAGGGGGCTGGGCTAAATGTACTGTCACTGTACAGCTCCAGCTTCCCCAAGAGGTCATCCTTAGGACTCTGAGGAGTTCAGACCACAGACTACAGACCAGGGTCTTCCCTTCTCCCACACAGCTGGACTCTTTGAACATCAAAGCACTCACTTCCTCATGATCTGCGATTGGCTTGACCGCTCCATGGGCCAGAGTTCCTGATTCCATTTGTCCTCCTGGGCCCTGGACACTTGGTCCCTTGACACTCCACTTTCAAGAAACAGAGGGCAGGAGCTGCATAAGCTCTTGGTCCTGATTGAGGAGCTGATTTCCAAAGTAATTAGTGCCTACCCTGTGAGTAATCAGTGCCTTCTGTACAGGATGCAGATGGAGTTGGAGCTCACTCACAAGACTTGACTGACCTGACCCTCGGGGATCCATCCACGTGGCCCACCCAAGTAATGCACCTTTTAGAATATTTGCTGAAATAACTGCCACCTGGTGGCATCTTCTGGGTCAATGTCACTGTCCATGGTGGTATTTTCTTGTTAATGATATCAGCTACACATCTTTTAAATTCTCCATGCTAAGGGCTTTTTATAGCTCATCTAATTGAACTTTTACCACAACCCTGTAAATTTGGGTGATCACAGCCATTTTGCAGATCTGGAAACGGATCTGAGAGGCTGAGTGATTCTCTGTCAATGAACCAGCAAATGACAAATTCAGGATTTAAATCCAGACCAGTTTTACTATAAAGACCAAGCCCTTAACCTTATATTGAATATTTTAATCCTCAAAACAACCCTTTGAGGTAGCTTTTATAACCCACATTTTGCCGAATAAATCACTGAGATTTGGAGAGTTTATAAGACCTGCTGAAGCTATGTAACCAGGAGGTGGCTGACCTGGGATTTAAACCTAGGGGTGAGCATAAGCTCTTTCCATCCGTTTTCTCGCTTACTTCCCACAGCAATCCTGGGAGTTAAGGAGGTACTATCTCTGTTTAGTATATCAGGAAATCAAGGCTCAGAGAGATTCAGTAATTTTCTCAGGGTTACACAACCAGGAAGTGGCAAGCAGATGGGATCCAAAGTTGGTGGTCGTCCCACAGTGTAATACTATACAGAAATCCATTTCTGAAATCTGGACGGGTTTTCTTTGGTTTCATTCCGATACACAGAATCATGTTAAGACCTCCACATTTGAAGCCATGTCAATAGTTTTTGGTTTTCAAAGACTCTGTATGAATCAGCGTGGAAGGTCAAACAGTTAAGACGGAAGAATCTGACATGATGGGGCAGAGAGCTTGGATACATGAGAACGCGCTTACCTTTGGAACCAAACTCCACCCTGGCCTAATCCCATCAAGGCCACGCAGCACAGTGGACACATCCAGCTCGCAGATTTGTGGCTGATGGGTCCTGGCCTGGGGCCAGCCTCTCTGGAGGACCAATCCTGGTTGGAGGAGGAGACTTGCTGTAGGGACTTTATGAATGGCATGTGGGTGTGGGCTTAGCCCAGAGCCCTGGGGAGGAGCAGGACCTGCTGGGCTGGGGCCTCAGACCTGCAAGAGCCACTGGGTAAAGACTTCACTAACTTCGGCTTATTTATTAATTTTAAAATTTAAATTAATTTCTATTTTTAATTGATTTTTTTTAATGCAAAGAACCTATTACTTTCCATAGCTGTCCAGAGCTGCATGTCTGAATTTCTGTGTGCAGAAACATAAGTGACTCTCCAGGTGTCAGAGGGAGAGACTGGGGCGAGAGGCCAGAGCAAAGTAGAAGGGCACAGAGGGGCTTTGAATTTGAGGCAGAGGAGGAACTGCAGAGAGGGGGCGGGGAGGGCTCGCCGGGAAATCAAACGTCCATTTACATCTTGTCCTGCAAAGCTTCATCAAAACTTCTTTGCCGGCCAGTCACGTCCCCTTATCACTTTTCCAGCCCAGCTTTGTGACTGTAAGTGTTGGACGGAGAACTGATAAGGGTAGGTGATTGACACTCACAGCCTCCGGAACCCCCGCGCCGCCTGCACTTGCGTGATGGGGAAAACCTGGCGTTCCCGCTCTGGGTGCCCGAGGACAGCAGGGGATTCCAGGAGGAGACCTTGGGCATAGGGGGCCCAGGTATGCGCCCCCTGCCTGAGGATGCTGGGGTAGCCTTTGTGTTTTGTCAGTGAGATCTCCACTTTGCTTATTCAAAATGTGCTCTCTGCGACTGGGTTTAGGGTCTCCCCTTGAGAAAAGCGGTTGGGTGGTTGGTGAGGGAAGGGGGCTTATTCCACAGACTTCTTTATAAGGTGAATAAAGGGGTATAGGACTTTTTGGAATTTTAGGTACTCTTGCTTAAAAAAAAAAAAAGGGAGAGCAGGAATTTCCGTCTGATTTGAGGGAAAGTCCCTTTCCAGACATTTTCTTCAGCTGACAGCTACTCACCAAATGCTTTTGTCTTTTTCGGTTTATAGGAACCATGTGCTGAGACAGAAGGTTTCATGACTCTAACTAAACTTATATTCTATTACATTAAAGATGGTTATTTATTACGTTGTTGATTCAGAATGATCTTTTATAACTCATAATTACTTATACCAAATCAAACTCAATAAATGTCTTAATTGGCACATTGCAGTAACGGACTGACACATAAGCAAGTCTATACACCTGTGTGTAAAGATGTAAAACCACAGATAAAAATTCCTGTAACTACAAATGCTTCTATTTCCTGGAATGTGAATACAGATTAACATGCAATGGATTGCATCTCAGCTGAACAGGTACTTTTTTCTTTTCTTTTCTGCAATTAAATATTATGATTTTACTTAAAGAGTAAATACAGTTTTAAAGTTAAATGAAGGTGGTAGATGAACACAGTGGTTCTCAGCCTTAGCTGCTTGTTGGAGTCACCTGGGAGTTTTGAAGGGTCCTGATGCATGGCAAATTACATCAGAATCTTCAGGATGTGGCTGGGCAAGAGTAGGTTTGAGAACCGTGCAAAAATAATGTGAATTAAGGCATTTAGTGTTCACATGGGGGCCTTCTCACTTTAATGCAGGAGTATATAAGCTTGGCTATCTGATACTGATGCCTGGATCTCATTCCCAGAGATTCTGATTTAATTGGTCCAGGGTGTGGCCTGGGCACTGTAGCTGTGCCAGGTGATTGCAAGATACAGTTGAGGCTTTGAATATACAGCTGTAATGCCCCCTGACAACTGTGAAAGTCCCAGCACTTAGATTGGCTGGGCTCTCAACTTCTGGTATGATCCTCCACATGTCTTTAACTTTTACGATGCCTCAGTTTCCTTTAAAGCAAACTGGAACCTGAGATGATGGGTGGAATGAATGTCCCCTCAGAGCCTTTCCTGCTCTTCAAGGTGACTGAGGCCCAAGAGTGCTTTCATGAGATTGCAGTTACTGATGAGACTCAGCACTTGTGTGTCTTGGCTCTGGGTTCAAGAGTGTGGAGAGCGGCTCAGGTGGCCATGGGATGGATAGGCAGAGGCGGCTGGGAGGAGCGGAGAGTCCGGCCCAGAGACTCAGCCACCTCCTTCAGACAGAAAGGGGCCAGTTAGGGGCTGGCTGGACAGTGAAGGTGTTGATAAAAAGGGGCTGAGTGTTCCCCACCCTCTGGTGGACATATGATGTTGGATATCTCAGGTAGTCACCTGGTGAGACACTGTTGGGCTCAGAACTATAATAAAAACAGAATACATGTCTTTGCAGTTGATTCTCCAAAGGTTTTATTTTGTTTTTATAGTTCCTCATAACTCTGTCTTTATGCGGCATAAGTGTGTTTCCAATTCTTTTTTGGACTGGTCCAAAAACATACATGTGGAAAGATTTAAAAAATCCTGCATCATCCTTTGGATTATAAGAATATTAATAATCAAAAGCATAGCTCTCATTTCTTCAGGGCTTACTAGGAGTGTCTCTGTGCAAAACACTTTACTTTTTAATTTTAATTAGCTCATTTAATTTTTACACCAACAGTCTGAGCTAGGTACTACTATGATTACTACTATTATCATCCTCATTTAATAGTTGAGAATACTGGGTTCCACAGAGGTTAAGTGACATGCACCAGGTTACACAGTAGAGGGCAGAGTCTGGATTTGAATCCAGGACTGTCAGACCCAAAGGCAAAGTGCTAAACCACCACAGTTTACTACCCAGAGCACACCGTGGGTACATGCTGGAGTAGAGCCTCATTTTATAGATAGAGTGCCAGGCCCAGAGACCAGATGGATCTTTTCACCTGCAAAACAACAGCTGACCTCCCAAATGGTCCTGGGTGACAGGTCTTAGGGCTACACACATTTTGCAGATGAGGAAACTGCCATCCAGAAGGACACATGGCTGGTAAGTGGAAGGGCTTGGCCAAGCCCACCTTTTGGGGGTATAACACGTGCTCCAACCACCACTCACACTACAGGGGTTGGCAGAGCCTGATGGACTTGGTTGACTGTCTCTTCATCTCTGGATCCCAAGCCCCAGGCATGATGCCTGGCACATGGTGGGCTTGCAATCAATATTTGCTGAATAAGAACTCCAAAGACCAGACGTGCACAGACACATAGCCCCGCCCTCCACCAGATGCAGCCTTTTAGAGATTCAAGCTTGTGAATTACCTCCCCAACATGAGGAGCAATTGGTATTTTATGCAAATGTCTGACACCTGAATCTACTCCTCTGACTGCATTCACCTTCTTTACCCAGACTGTAAGTCAGCGATAACACTGTCTCATAGTAAGGGTCCTCAGACACTCACAGGCACCTCAGCCTTAAGGCAGTGAGCTCTGGATGGGGATTCAGAGACCCAGTTCAAACCTAGGTTTCAACATGAGTGATCTGGTGCTAGGCCCAGCCTCAGTTTCCCCACTTACGTGGTAGAGATGTAGATGCCCTTTCTGTCACTACGCAGCTCCTCCCCTGGCCTGGGTGCCTCCTCCCAGGGCTCATCACACAGGGTCAAGGAGAGGGGAGGCCTCGCATGATCCACTGTCTACAGAGACCCAGCCGGGCATGCAGGTGCCCCCCTTCCCCTCTGTGCTCCAGGCTACTGCCTGATTGCCCATGAAAAGAAGGCTTACCTCTGGCTGGAAACGCCTGAGGCAGCGGATTTTGGTGTGAGTAAGCAATTCCAGGGGCATTAGGGGGAATGCAGGCTCGTCTGGAGCGCATAAAGCTGCACTGGGTTCGATTCAAAAGGAGGAGGAAGCTTGGGCTTTCTCAGGGGCCAGGCATGCAGCCCCAATATTAAATCCCTGCGAAAGAATGTCTTCATCTTTATGGATAGAGGAAGAGTCAGATGCTTACAAAAGGAGCAAGGGACAGCAAAGCCAGGTCCAGGAAATCCCTTTCATCCTGCAGAGAGATCCAAACAGCCCAGATCTGGGCCCTCCACCCCACGGCAACCTCTAGGTGAACTTGCTTGATTTGAATTTGGGTGCAGGATCCCTTTTCATTTCTGTAATAATTGATATTCATGGCTAGGAGAGAACATAATAGAAAGCAACATCTGTTACTTCCCCATTCACAGACTGTTTGCACATATTTTGCTTTATTCAGTCTTTAACCACTTTACAGATGAGGAAACCAAGGCTCACAGAGGTATCTGTCCCTGGCTCAGATCACAATCACACTGCTAGCAAAAGCCACCGCCAGACCTCTGGTCAAATAACGCCCATGCTAGGAAGCCCTCCTTGCCCTCGCAACCATGGCCACCTCTGCACTGCATACTACATCTGCTGCCACACTTACCTCCCTGCAGTGTAATTCACGTTTATTTGTCTGCCATGAGTAGGAGGATGTGAGCTTCTGGAGGGCAGGGGCTCCAATTTACTCATCTCCATAGACTTAGCTCTCAGCATAATGTAGGGCCCAGAGCAGGTTAACAGTAAACATCACAGAAAAAATGAATGGATCCTGTGCTCTTTCCACGGCCCCACAAGACCAGGAATTCTGATGACCAGACAGATAATCACAATGACAATCACAACAACCACAGCCAACATTTGCATCTTGCTTATCAGCACTTTGGCACCAGGGGCATATTTTGCAACAACCAAAGGTGCCGACTTTTATTTCCACTAAGTGGACCAGAAGACTGAAGCTCACATAAGCTACAAGCCTTGCTCAAGCCTCTTTTTCAAGGTCCACAAGGTGGAGAAAAACCTCAAACCCAACCCGTCTAACTCCAAATCCCAAATGCTCACATAACATTCATAAAGCATTCCTAATCAATAAAACACATACTCATATAGCTCATTATGTGCCAGACAGTGTTCCAAACTGAGTTGCAAACATTAACCTGTCTAATCTTTAAAATGACACAATGAAGAATGTACAACTAGCATCATCCCCGTGTCACTTCCTTGGAAACTGAGGCAGGCAGACATTCAGGAGTATGACTTAGGCTGAATACTGCTAAGTGCCAGAGCTGGGATTTTTCAGGCAGTGTATGCTGTTACCACTCGGCTACACTGCTCTCCTTAAAAGTGACTGTTCCGTGCCAGGCAGTGGGACTCACTTCAATTAATCCTCATGATGGTCTCATATTAGCATCTCTAAGTGACAGTCACATAGGTGGTGAGTAGTAGAGTGGAATTTAAACCCAAGTCTGTATGATTCCAGAGTACAGAATCTTTCCTTCCTACGGCCTTGAGCATACTTCTTGCTTGTTTCGCAGTAGTCCCGGGCTGTGTCCACCACTCCAGATCACACCCCTTGGCTGAGGCTCAGATGTGCTAGGGTGAAGATGGGGTGGGGCCTGAGGTCTTTGTGGAGCTGAAGTTTCTGAATTAGGAGAGTTAAGGCAGAGCCCTAATTCAGGGGCACAGTGGGAGTGGTGGGAGGCTGGGTTATCACTGAACCCTGCAGTCCAGGCTCTGAGGCTCTTTTGCCAGGAGGATGAAGTTGCCTCAATTTGAATACTGAAGGAGCTTTGGCGGGGTCCCAGTTCCCTGGGTCTGGTACCTCCAGAAGCAGGGATGGCTTCATGGCCTCATGTATAGGAAGGCCCTGGGCTTGGCTAAACTCTCTGCTGTTACCATCTTGAAACATGTAATAATTTTTAACAAGGGGACCTGCATTTTCATTTTGCACCAATTATGTAGCCTATCCTCCCTCTCAGGGAGGCCTCTTCACTGGATCTTTCATCTGAATCAGCTTCGTGGTTTCCTTATGCTAACCACATATTTGTTTTGTATCCAGGCTGGCTGTATTTGCAGAGGCTGAGCCCAGAGGATGGCCATGGAGAATGCCTGGGCACTAGGAATAGCACTAGGGTGGAGGCTTTGCCTGTGAGAAGGGATGCTGGTGAGGAAACTGGGGCTTCAAGTTTAAGACGAAACCACCTGTGTGCTTCTGTAGCTGATCCAGGTACTGAGCCAGGTACAAGAGCTACACAGCAGATGTACAGGAAATGGATATAGTGCTGTGGATACTGAGAGATCCTCCAGCCTGGAAGTTGGCTGCCCTCAAAATGCATCTCGTTACCATAGCCTTGTCCCTTTGTTCTTGTCATCTTACCAGTCCCAGGACTCAGTTTCCCCATCATTTTTGTTTGTTTTAGAGATGAGATCTTGCTATGTTACCCAGGCTGCTCTTCAACTTCTGGCTTCGGTTTCCCCATCTTTAATTGCAGAAGGAACGTTGGCACTCAGTACCTGGATGAAAATGTAACTGAGTGCTCACCTGACCAACAGTGGGGCAGAACTGTCTAAGCATAAGAGCAAAGCACAATTCACTAAAAAAACCAGTTTGATTACACAGACATTACCCATCTGAACATTAAATACAAACTACATAACTAAAAGAATGAGTTATTTAACAAATACACATGCTATACATCTGGAAGAAAATAAAGCTAGATGTATAGCCTTACCATATGCAAATATTAATTCTTTCTGGATTAAAGATCTAAATAAAAAAGTACTGTAAAAATATTAGAAGTAAAAACTAGAAGCCTTAAGAAATAATCTTGGGATAGTTTGGGTTTTTTTTTTTTTTTCTTTAGAAATAGAGTCTTGCTCTGTTGCCCAGGCTGGAGTTCAGTGGTGCGATCATAGCTCACTGCAGCCTCAAATTCCTGGGCTCAACTGATTTTCCTGCCTCAGCCTTCAGAGTAGCTGGGACTACAGGTGTGTGCCACTACATTTGGCTAATTATTATTTTTTTTTTTTTGTAGAGATAGGGATCTCCCTATGTTGCCCAGGCTGATCTCAAACTCCTGGACTCAAGAAATCCTCCTGCTTCGTCTTCCCAAAATGTTGTGATTACAGGTGCAAGTCTCTGCACCCAGCCAGGATTGGCCTTCTTAATGCAGAAAGACATACCTAGTAGCCATACAGAAAAGATTGTCGATTTAATTATTTAAAAATTTCAAATTAGGTATGGCCAAAGGTAACATAAACATAGAAGAAAGATGAATGGTAGTTGGAGTATAACTTTTCTATTCTGCACTGTCCAATACAGTAGCCATTAGCCATATGTAGCTACTGGATCCTTGCAGTGAAGCTAGTGTGACGGAGGAAAAGAATTTTAGATTTCATTTAATTTAAGTTAGTTTAGATGTGTATAGCCACAGGTGGTTGGTGGCTGCCATATTGGCCAACACAGGCCTGAGAGGAAATACCTAAAACCCATATGACTGACAAAGGGCAATATCCCTAATGATCAAACTCCTCCAAATTGGTAAGAAAAAGACAAACAGCCCAGAAAGAAAAAAAATGGATAAAGGACATAATGAGGCAACTTCTAGAAGAGGAAATGTAAGTGAAAAATAAACTTCTGCTCAACTCTACCAGTAATCAGGGAAGTGCAGATTAAGACAAAGCCATTGTTTGTACATCTCATTGATAAAATCTAAGAAGTCAGTCACACCCAGGGTTGGCGAGGGTGTGGAGAAATGGGAAGTCATATGAATTGAATATAAATTGCTATAGATTTAGTGGAAAATTATTACAATTGAAGTTGTGCCTACCTTTGATGCAGCTAGCCCACTTCTAGGAATGAGAATAAAAGCAACAGTACTTAAGAATAGAAGTATAATACATTACAAGACTGTAATAGCCCCAAACTGGAAACAGTCTTAATATTCATCAATAAAGTAACTCGAGGAGGGACTATTCATTTTCCTTTTCTTTAGAAAGATCCTCAAGTGATTCTGATGGTCAGGTTTTAGACCAACAGAATTAGGTGTACCATAATTAAATTACTCAATTCTCTATTGAACATTTAGGTTGTTTTTCAGCTTTTTGCTGTTTTGAAGTATACTTTTGTAGGGAAATCTTGGATGCATATCTTTAATTTATTCTTTAGGATTCAATTCCCAAAAGTGGAATAGTTGGGTATAAGGGCATGTATATCTTTGAGAGCTTTTCATAAGTATTGCTAATTTATCCTTCTCTGACCTATTTTAGCTGAGTTTTGTTTCTTCATTGTTCTCGCTGTTTCTGTGTAACTAACTGTTGTAAAATTTAGTGGCTTAAATGCCAATACTCATTTATTTTGTTCACAAAGCTGAAATTTCGGCAGGGCTTGGGAATAGCTTGTCTCTACTCTGTGCAGTGTCAGCTGGGGTGGCTCAACCTGGGACTAAAGGATGAATTTTCAAGATGTCTCATTCACATGGTTGACAAGTTGGTGCTGGCCATCAGCTGGAAATTCAGCTGGGACTGTTGGCTGGAACATTTAACATGACTTCCTCATGGGGCTACTTGGGCTTCCTCACAGCATGGTGGCTGAGTTCCAAAAAACCAGTGTACCGGGAGTACCAGCAAGAATATGTATTACTTTCTATCATGTAGGTTTGGAAGTCAAACAGCGCATCTTCCATTTTTGTCACAAATCCAGATTTAAGAGAAAGAAAACACAGACCCCATTTTATTATGGGAGGGATGCCAAAATCACAGAGTAAGAAGACCATGTGGGAGGGGAGATGTTGTTGCAGTCATCCTTGGAAAACATAATCTGCCATACATTAATCGTGGCAGCCAAGTTTTACAGCTTCTAAAGAGGCTGACCTCTTATTTTTTTCAGTTAAATGAGCTTTGAGTTATTAAAATCTAAGCCTATGCCAGAATTTTATACTTTTAACAAGGATTTTAAAGAATTTTAGCAGTTCTAAGTTAAAATAGGCAACCTCCATCCAAGTGCTTTCCAACATTCTTTCCTATCATGGCACACACAGAAAACATTTGCCTTGCACATAAAGGTAAACTGGAGGGAATTTTGGAACATTTAAGGGGCTAGGTGAATAAATTCGTTATATTTTCTCTATAATATATAATTAGGATGAGTGAAATAATAGAAAATATCACAAAAATACTAAATATTGAATTTATATGAAACTTATAAATAAAAATTATCAAATTTCTTAATGAGAAACTTGAGTTTGCATCTACCTTTTTTAAAAAAATTAGATTTTATACCTGAAATGTCTCTATGCAATCCCTGATTATGATTTTTAAATTCAATACATACTGACTAGAAATTTTCCCACCCCAGTAAATGATAAAAAATTAAGAACAATGTTCATCATTGGAAATTATGCTTGGGGAATCAGATGGCCCTTTCTTTTCTTTCTTTGGCACTTGCAACGTTGATATTTCTTTGGATATTGTGAATGACTTTTGAATCCAGTCAACTTTTCTTTATCAAGTTTTAGAAAATAATCGTAAGCCTCTACTTTGCACATGTGTATACCTTGGTAGAACAGTCACCCTGAAGATAGCGGGAATGCCACACAAGCCCCTTGCTGGGGACATAGGACGTGCAAATCAATGTCTTTTCCTCCAGGGACAGAAAAGTGGAACGACTCCAAGCAAATCCCTTGTGTCCCAAAAGCCCTGCGTCATCTTTCTGGAAAACAGCTGTGCTTATAAAAGTTAAAAAGCAGTGGTGCAGTCTAGCAATTGGACACTAGAGGGTGGACACTTGAAACTTTGATTTTGTGATATTCTGGAGGGCACAGTTTACTTTAGCCAGGCCTGTCATTAGCTCAGTCATATACTAAAGATCACAGATACTTCATACAAAGATGTCTCCTATTCTTCGAGGCCTCAGTTGAGAGCCTGGACACATTTGTATGGTAGGAATGTGATAGAGTAAAATACTTTTTATATTCTAAAGGGTTAATTCATCCATCCACTCATTCATTCATTCATCTGTTTGTTCAGTCATTCTATTACCTATCCAGACATTCATTCAAGAAACATTCACTGAACAGCTACTATAATCAGGGTCCTTGCTGGTGCTAGGAGAGAAAAATGATAAGAACCCTCCCTGTCACTGAGACTTTCACAGTTTGGGATAAGAGATGTCTCATAAGTATAACAGCAAGCACCATAGAGTGTGATGCCCACTGTGGGAAGACAGAAACTCTGGGATTGTGTGAACTCAGAGGAGGGCACTGGCCAAGGGCTGGTGGCTGCACCAAAGGTGTTATGATGTGTGGATGGCCCACCGTCTCCAGATCGTTCTGCCTGAATCCTACACAGTGGGACCCAATCCCTGGGGCACATGCAGGTGGTCAGGCAACCCTTGGGAATGAAATTCCACAGTGAGAATGCCCCTTCAATCTGTAGGCACCCGGTTCCTCTCCCTCCCTCTCCATTGCCTGGACTCAAATCTAGGCCCTCCGCCTGGCATTCCTGTCCCTCCCCAGTGTGACTCCAGCTGGCCTTAGCAGCAGGAACTCTCCCTGCTCTGCTCTGCAGCCTCATCTCTGGTCACATCTGGGGTCCCTGAGCGTGAGCCTCACCTTCCTGCCTCCAGGTTTTAGAAAACTGAGCCAACAAGTTGCTGTTAGCATAAGTGGTTTATTAAGCAGTTGCAACTTATTAGGATATGAACATGAAATGAGTTGTTCTGTCCCCTGCCCCATTCCCCACAACTGCCCTGACTGTTTGTTATGCTGTTTCTCTGGGTGGCAGCTGCCCTAATAATGGTACAGCCTACTTCCAGAAAGTCCAGTCACTTGCAATTCTGAAGTACTCAGCCCTGGTCATTTTTAAATGTTGATCTCATATCTATTTAAAGCTTTTCTCCTCGGAGCAGGTCAGATTGGGAGCACTCATTGTTTGGGTTGGAGTCTGGCAGCTGGATTGGGGTGAAGGGCAGGGGCATGGTTTGCTCTTACTGCCCCCTCCTCTCCCCATCCTGGCACTCTTTCTCTGGAGTAGATGCAGGAGGAGAGAGAGGAGGACAGGTTTTCTTCACATCCTGATTGCAGTTGATTCTTTCCTGGCCAGCACTGCCAAGCCACCAGCTACAGCCAGGTAGGATCCATTTTCTACCCTCTTAGAGATTGGTGGTTGGAGGTGGTGACCTTGACCTTCTGTCTTCCTGGCTGTAGTCCCCATGGCATCCCTTTTTCCAGAGAGTTCCTCCCAGCTCTGGTCATACAGGGGTAGATGAAAGTCTGGAGACCAAGCAGATACCTAACCAGGGAACCAAATCTAATCTTTGCATTTTGAAAGCACTCCCCCAGATTTAAATGTTTTCTTGGGAGAGACACCCTGTTTCCCACCCCCACAGGGAAGAGGAGGATGAAAGTCTCTCTTCTCACAAATATAGTGTTTCCTGAATAGTGCCTGTCCCCATGTCCTGTCCTCCTCTCTGTCCAGGGGGCAAGGTAGGGGGAATTATAGGGCTTAGTCTCCAAAATGGCATCTCTAAATTGACCCTCTTACCCAGTGGCTGACCCCATTGCTGGTGGTGCTCTGGACTTCCAAAGTGGGGTAGGTGCCACCATTTGTTCCCAAATGTCTCTTTTAGTTGACATTTCAGAGCGACAAGAAAACTCCAACCAGGCACCCTATTACACTGGAACATCCTTTTGTAAAGGGGTCCTCAGGGGCCATTTATGAAGAAGCCAGGACATCATCCCAGGCCTCCCGAGTCAAGGCACGGTGCTCTTGCTCCACGCCAACCATCTCTCTGGGATGTTTGTAACTCAACCACTGTGGTGCTGCAGGAACAAGGTGTGTGAGCAGGGCTGGACTGGGCATGTGGTCATTACCATTATGCTAACAATTTGGGCCCCTTTAAAACACTAGTCTTCGCTACTTTTCTCAAAGTTACTTAGAGGAGAGGCTGTGTTTTGACAAGGAAGGGCAGAGAAGAAGGATGGTCTGTGGCACAGCCTCATCTCTCTTGTATTTCATGCTTTAAATCTGCATAAGCCTCACTAGCAAAATGCACCTTGTCCTTGGAGGGCAATCTCCTGCTGTTGGAACACTCCCAGGTTCCTGACAGCCTGGGGTAAAAGTGGGGTATGCTTGAGTTCTGCTGTTTATTACAAGATGGCAAGGCACCCCAGCCCCACACTTTGCAGGGGCCTCTTGGACGTTCTGAAGGCTCCTGTCCATTGGAACCTTGGACTTTGGACTTGATCTGGGGCTAGAAGGGGCTCTTTGTGTGATCTCAGGGTCTCTGCTTCCCCATCTAAAAAACAGCTGGGTGATTCCTGAAAACTTACAGCCAAAGCCCTGAGGCCCTCAAACTCTGGGCCTCTCTCTTGGTTTCCCTGCCCTTAACTACAGCCTCCACGTCTGGGCCCCGGACCCTGCCCCAGACCTCGGTCCTCTCTCCCCTGGGGGCTGCTTCGGCCCCCATTTACCTCCAGAACCAGCTGCATTGAGTGCACCTGTGGCCTGGTGTCCCCCCTGTCTGTGGTACCCTCACCCCCCAGACATTCTGCCTAGAGTTACTTAGATGCCCTCTAAGACCAGGCTTAGCAGATCAGCCCCTTCTTCCTCTTCATGTGCTCCATGTCCAAGCCTGACTCTGGGACACCTTTAGCTGGTGACCTCTGGAGTTTTGTGGCCATCCAACCTCCAGGCCACTATCTGTGGCCCTAACCTCTAGCCCTGAAGCAGGTCTATTTTCCTGCAGAAGCCCATGATGGGGCAGGGCCACTCACAGCATTGCAGGGAGCTGTATTGGGTGCTCAGCTTGAGGCTAACACATGCAGTGGCTCTTTCAAACCGGTCCAGCAGCTTGGCCTGCATTCCCGTGCCCTTCTGTGTCTTGGGATTGTACATTTACCATTCTGTGATAGCTCACATTCTTGATGACATCCTGTAGAACCTCTCATTGCAGAATATCCTGTAGTTCCCTTTGTGATTAACTGCAGTTAGAGCTGAAATTCTTCAGCCTCCTCATTTGTGTTATTAAGGGCTATAGAGCATTGGAGTTTTCCTTATCTATTGATGTGCCTGCTCAATGGGCACCTGCCCTCTAGCAGAGTCCCTTGTACCAAGTTCGGGAGCCTTTGGTTCTGATTGCCTGGAGCTGGGACTCTCAGCAGCATGTCTGATTTTCTAGAAGAACCCAGACGACAAATCCTTCTGAACTGGGGGTAAATTACCTTTGCAGGCTGACTTTGTTCATCCCTCCTGATAAAGAGTCCTGCTGATTATTGAGATGTAGGTTGTTAGGGTGACAGGAAAGGCCCTGAATTGGGCAGGGGTGATGAATGGATGCTGAAATGTCTTGGGAAAGCTTTTGCCTCTGAGCTGGGTTCAAAATTTCTCTTTGACTCTGCTCATAATGCTGGCGACCGTTTTGAGGTCAACAAAGTCTTACGGAGCCACACTGGCCTGTGATTCTCCTGCATTTACCTGGGGGCTCCAGGCAGAGAGGGCTGTGTTCATTGTCTTAAGACCTCCCATCATCCTTTCCTCTTTCTATCACTTTTTTCCCCTCTTTCCTCAGCTCTCTCTAGGATGGGGTACCTACCCAGGAGAGTGTATATTCCAGCTTCCCATTCCCTGTTCTTTGGTTGCAGTTTCAGATATCCCGCAGCGTCCAGATGCGGGGAGCCTGCTAAGGGAGCCTCCCGAATCAGCCCTGAGTAAGGAGTGTTTTTCTCAACCCCTCTGCAAACATCACCAGTCCTGAGAGGTGGATTATTCTGTGTGAGTGTGCCACGTATATTTAGTCCTTTCCATTCTGCATCCTAGCAGGAGGATGGGGCACTTTGGCAACCTCTGCCTCTCTGACTAGTCTTCTCTCTGGTCCCCCTTCCCCCTGCCCCACGGACTGTGATTCCCACCAGCCCTAGGACCTGCAGGAGCCCAGCCAGCCCTAAATGCCTTCTCTTTAATGACCTGCAGTGTTGCCATGGCAACAAGAGATTGTTTTAACCCCAAAATTGTCTTCATTAAGCTTCATTTGGAAACTGCTTGAGCTGGAGTCTGCAAGCTGCATCTTTAGGCAAGTCCTATAACATCAAAGAGTCTCTTTGGGTGGGACTCAAAATTGAAAACCGTCAGCCAGAGCTTCTAAGAAAATCCACCTAGACAGAGGGCCCTTATTTTGGGGGAGGGAAATTTGGGAACATTTCTGTTGTCGAAGCAGCTTCTCTAGGCAACATTTCATGACTCTGCATACAGCAGGTGCCCTATTGATGCTGGTTGACTTGAGTGGGCTGGCCTTGAGCACTAGCCCGCCTTCTCCATTGATTTCCCAGAAGCGATTAGGGCGTCCCCACCCTTAATTAGTCAGCCAGCTAGATGCCAGTGACTACACCAGGCACTGAAGCGGGGCTGCAATAAAGCAGGCAGGAATCCCGCCCTCAAGGGGCTTAGGGCAGTGGGAGAGTGAGGGCATGACTCCATGGCCTGCACAGAAGGCCAAAAACTTCAAGAAGCTTCCAGAAAAAGCATAGCTCCTAGTGGGACCCTCCCCTGCTTAGAATATTCCATGACGTTCACTGATCATGAGACAGTCTAAACTCCTCATCTTGTCAATCAAGTTTCTTCAAGCACTGAGTTGTTTTTTTACCCTTTAGTTTCCATTTTTATTTTAGTATACCATTACACAGAAATTGCACTAATATATAAATGTTATAAGCTGTACACAGCTTATGAATTTGTTCTTTGTATAAACCCCAATTCTTACACACACACGTGCCCATATAGCTGCCGCCCAGGTCAAGATAAATTTTGAGGGACAGAGTGAAATGGCTCTAGATTATATGCTGTCCTTCCCCCTGCCTTTCAATTAAGTCTAAAAATGATGTGGTTAGGAACAGACGATGCTTATTCTGGATTCGTTTCACATTTTTTCCTGTAAAAAATGTGGTAAAGACATAACATGAAATCTACCCTCAGATTTTTAAGTGTACAGTGTAGTTAACTATAAGCCCAATGTTATATAGCAGATCTCTAGAACTTTGTCTTTTTTAAAATAATTGTTATTTTTTTTGAGACAGAGTCTTGCTCTGTCGCCCAGGCTGGAGTGCAATGGCCCAATCTCGGCTCACTGCAAACTCCACCTCCCGGGTTCAAGTGATTCTCGTGCCTCAGCTTCTCAAGTAGCTGTGATTACAGGCATGCGCCACCACGCCCAGCTAATTTTTGTATTTTTAGTAGAGGCGGGGTTTCACCATGTTGGCCAGGCTGGTCTCGACCTCCTGACCTCAAATGATCCACCCACCTCAGCCTCCCAAAGTGCTGGGATTACAGGCATGAACCATCATGTCTGGCCTGTTTTGTTTTTTAGAGACAAGCTCTCACTATATTGCCCAGGCTGGTCTCAAACTCCTGGGCTCAAGCAATCCTCCCGCCTCAGACTCCCAAAGTGTTGGGATTACAGGCATGAGCCACCATGCCTGGCCTCTAGAACTTTTTTTTCTTGCATAACTAAACTCTGCACTCACTGAGCAACAACTCCCATTCTGCTTCCCCTTTGGCAGTCACGACTCTACTTTCTGCTTCTATGTGTTTGCCTACTTTAGAGACCTCATGTAAGTGGAATCCTCCAGTATTATCTTTCTGTAACTGACTTGATTCATTTAGCATAATTCCTCCAGGTTCATCCATGTTGTCGCATGTGGCAGGATTTCCTTCTTTTAAGACTGAATAACATTCCATTGTATGTATATACCACATTTTGTTTATCTATTTATCCCTTGATGAACATTTAGGTAGTTTCCACCTCTTGGTTATAGTGAATAATGCTGCAGTGAACATGGGAGTGCAAATAGCTCTTTCAAGATCCTGTTTTCAATTCTTTAAATAAATACTCGGAAGTAGTATTGCTGGATCATATGGTAGTTCTATTTTCAACTCTTTGAGGGACCTCCATACTGTTTACCACCACGGCTGTACCAATTTACATTCCCACCAACAGTGCACAGGGACTCAAATTTCTCTACATTCTCAACAACACTCATTATTTTCTAATTATTCATTATTTGATCACTAATTATTTGATAATGACTGTCCTAATGGGTGTGAGATGATGTCTTACTGTGGTGTTGATTTGCATTTTCCTGATGCTTAGTGATAATTAGGTGAGTTCATATACCTGTTGGTCATTTGTATGTCTTCTTTGGAGAAATGTCTATTCAAGTCCTCTGCCCATTTTTTAAATCAGGTTATTTGGTTTTTGGCTGTTGAGCTGTAGGAGTTCCTTATATCCATGTTTGTACTTTACTGCTACCTCCCTGAAGCAACCTTTTCACTCCTGAGGGAAGTGAGAGATTGAGGTGATGGCCAAATCGCATGGCCAGCAGTAGGGGTGGAGTTCCACCTCCTTCTTATTAAAGCCCAGGCCATTGTGAGCAAACTTGTCCTTCTAATGGGCAAGCCGAGAAACCTAGAGGCTGGGCACAGGGTGAGGAGGGTGGGGTGAGGCTGTTCTGGTCCTAGGGCTCCAGTCGATATTGCTGTGCACGTGATCCCAGACAGCTGGGTTTCCTCTTTCCAAGTGCAGTCTACCCAAGGCTGAACTATTGGAAGCTGTGCAGGGACAGGGCAGCAGCTGTGGAGGAGGAATGACAGAGAAACTGCAATGACACCTTTGATTCCTTGAAAATAAATGCCTACGTAAAAGGCATGTGTGAAACTCTCAAAGGAGCATATGGCTGGAGGTTGTGCAGCAGGGTTGGGGGCGTGGGGCAGGATTTGGAATACATGGCCATTGATGAAGGGTGTTTTCAGGGATGCTGGGGTGGAATGAATAACGGGAAGAGAAACGAGGTTAAGCTAGCATGGCTTGTTCCTGACGAACATGCACTGGTTCCTAGTAATCACCAAAAGTGCCTAGTAGCTATTAATCTCACAGATAGGTCTGGAATCTTGCTGAAATGGGTATCACATTTGCAGGGCCATAGTGGTAGCACCCTCCTAAGTCTTTTTTTTTTTGACAAATGGGACGACCACTTAGTAGCAGGGTGGCTTTGCTAAAGTTTCTTTCTGTGTAAAATGGAGATGGTCATAACACCTACTTCATAGCGTTTTTGGAAGAACTAACTAAGAGAATCCATCAAAATCCCTTAGCAGTGTGCCTGGCCCATAGGAAGGGCCTAGTAAATGTTACCTATTATGATGATTATTGTTGTTATTACTGGTTACTGATAGTAGTTTCATGATCTCACTTGCAAGATTTTAAAATTCCATTTAACAGTTAATGAACTTGATCTCTGGGCCAGGGACTGTAATAGCCATGGTCAGGGTGGAGAATAGTATAGGACAAGCTTCTTGCTCTATGGGATCACAGGGTCTAGAGCAGGTGATAACTACACAGGTAAATATCTTGAATTCCAGGTGGATGGTAATAAACGTTCTGGGACAGAGGAATAAACAGAGAGCAAGGGCTGGGGGCAGAATCCCTGGCCCCACTCTGGGTGGGGCTGATACAGAGAGTCTACCTGTCTATCTTTTTTTTTTTTTTTTTTTTGGAGTGACAGTATTTCTGCGTCTCTGCTGATCAAGCTGACGTACAGCCAAGCTGCAGCTCACCAGTTTGGCTCAGTTATTTTTGGAATGGTCCTGTAATAGTTTTGCTTATATGAGTGCAGGGAAAGCTTAAAAAATGTCTTTCCTAACCTACAGTATGCCTCCTGATGTACCCAGAACCACTAATTGGATGCCAAGAGCTTGCTTTCCTGCTGAAGAAAATGTCAGGCTCTAATAATATTCCATTATTAGGCCCACATAATTTCCTGCCTGGACAATTCTAACAGCTTCCTCACTGGTCTTCCTGCTTCAGATACATTCCTTATGGCCTATCCTCAACATTACTGCAGTGCAATCGCCATTTCTCTACTCAGAGGACTTCAGTGGTTCTTTGTTACGTGGGTCTGGGAACTAAGAGGTGGAGGGAGAAGTGGTCCTACTTACATTACTCCCAGTTAGTGAATGTCTGCATCCTGTTCCCACAAGTTTGGAGTCTGTGAGTCTGGAGGTCTTGACCTCAGGTTGGGGAAATGATTCCATCAACGGCTATACAAGTCCCATTAAATTTCATATTATGGCTGCTGCATGGTCACTGTGGGCAATTTGTGCTGACAGAAAAAGAAAGGAGTCACCATTCTAGCTGTGGTAATTGACTTCGATTAGGCAAAACTAAGGCTGCTGTCATCCAAAGGGGAGCAGAGAAAAATGTGTTTGAGACCAAAGTGATCCACTGGGGCTTCTGTCAGTACTCCCCTGTCCAATCTTCATGGGAAATGGTCAAGTATTGCTGCCACAGCTTGAGAAAGACATAATGACTTGGGGTTTAGACCACAGGTAACCCACAAAAGGCAAAATGCCTAGATCAGAAGTGCTCACCAAGAGTAAGGGGACTCTCAGATGCATAATAGAGAAAGAAGATAATAAGGACCAGTCATGTCATGATCTTGAGGCCAGTGGCAATGGCAACGCTACAGTCCAGCCAATTACTTTATTTTTGTGCCTTTCCCCCAGGAAAAGAGGCCCACCAGAATCCTGAAGGAGCTGCTCTCAAGACTTTTACAAAACAAGTGGATCTGAGTGGCACAACGGGTAGACTGTAGTGGATGCTGTCATTTGCCACCCAGATTTCTTCCACCTTTGAGACTGAAGCACTTAAGTCTTCTGGCTACAGGGAATGTTGAATGTTAGCAGCTTTCAGCTAAGTCCCTCTTCCCAGTGATTGTCCTTGGCTAATCATAATTATGCCCTTGTCTATTTAGGGATCCCATTACAAATCCTTTTATTAGGCCATCACATGCATTTACCCATTTTACTTAAAATGCTAAATATATGAAATTTCTTTGCAAGCTGTAAGTTATCCGATGCTTTTAAAGGATGTCAACAAGGTCAGGATTAAGGAATGGCCATTGCTGGTCATCTCTGGGCTGGCTGTCACACCTACTTCTAAATTAATACTCCTGGCTCTCAGGGGACCTGCAGGTTCTTTTCTCATTCCTGTCCCAAGAGCATTTATGTTCCGTTTTTCTCACTCTTCCCACCTACACCTTTAAAACCTCTTCTTTGGAACAGCAGACTTTACCTCCCACTCCAGACAGGTTTCTGTGCTAATCTTAATTTGGCAATCATCACTACAAATTGGATGTCTATTCAGCACCTCCTACACCTCTCTATTAACTCCAGTACATTAACAAATACCAAAATATTCATGTAAAAATATTTCTCCATTTAGAGAACATTGTACTTTATTCCAGGTTCCTCTGTTTAATGCCATCTGATAAGAGCTGACTATAGATCTAATTATAATTTTACTGTAACCTGACATTTCTCTGTCAGACATGCAGTGAAAAGAACTCGGAGCTGGGACCGAGAGAGGAGACAGGTGTGGAAAGGTGGTGGAGTATAGAGGAACACGTAAATTCCCTCTCCATAAAATTAATAAAAAAATTGAAATAGAAGACACGCCAGCAAGGAATAAATTGGTAGCATTCAACTAAATAAAGGATTACAAGCTTTTACCATAAATTTGAAAGGTATCATCAGAGATAGAAGCTTCTAGAAGTCAAAGCAGAGGCTTTCTCCACTGTTACAAAGCAGCACTTCTGCCACACATCTCACTCTGAAACTTCTATTTGAAGGCAACTGATGGGAATAGGTGAGTGGGAAGCCTAGGAGAAAGGTGTGGAGTGTTTCTCCTAGGTCAATGCTTCTCAACAAGGGAAGACATTTGGCAATGTCTGGAGACATTCTTGGTTGTCACAACTGGAGGTATGGAGGGTGCTACTGGCATCTGGTGGATAGAGGACAGGGATGCTGCTAGACATCCTGCAATGCACAGGACAGACAGTGCTCCACAACAAAGAATTATTCAGTCCCAAATGTCAATAGTGTCAAGGTAAAGATCCTGCCTTAGATGTAGAAGCCCTTATCTTCATTCTGCAGATAAACTGTATTTACTAGGAGAGGAGGAACCATTTTGTTTTTCTATGACTATTTACTCTATGTTTAACTGGCTATTTAAACACTATATACCAACTGAGTCAAAACCCAGCTATTGGAAATTTTTCTTTGTCTTTGATTTTTGATAGTTTGGTTATTATATATCTCGGTGAACTCCTTTCTGGGTTGGATTTAATTGGAGATCTCTGTGCTTCCTGTACCTGGATGTTGGCGTCTTTTCCTATATTTGGAAAGTTTTCAGCTGTTATTTTTTAAAACATGCTTTCTGGCTCTTTTTCTCTCTTTTCTCCTTCAGCAACTTTTATTATGTGAATGTTGGGTCTCTTGATGGTATCCCATAATTCCTGGAGGCTTTCTTCATTCTTTTTTTATTATTTGACTGGATAATTTCAAATGTCCTATCTTCAAGCTCACTGGTTCTTTCTTCTATTTAATCAAAATTTCTGTTGAAGCTTTCTATTAAAATTTTCAGTTCAGTTATTATATTTTTTATCTCTATAATTTCTATTTTTTATTGTTTCAATTTCTCTGTTAAATTTCTCATTTTGTCTGTGTATTCTTTTCCAAATTTCATTTAATTTTCTCTGTATATATTCTTTTAGTTCCCTGACCTTCTTTAAGAGGGTTATTCTGAATTATTTTTCAGTCATTTTATAGATCTCCATTTCTTTGGGGTCCATTGTTGCAGCTTTAGTAGGGCTTTCTGGATGTGTCATGATTCCCCGATTCTTCATAATTCTTGTGTCCTGTTATGGTTTGAGCCCTCTAAAAGTCATACAGAAACTGAATTCCCAATACCAATAATATTAAGACCTGTGGCCTTTGGGAAGTGATTGAGTCATGAGGGCTTTGTCCTCATGAATGAGATTAGGACCCTTATAAAAGGGCTTGAGGTTGAAGGGAACATCCCCTTGCCTTTCTGCCTTCTGCCATATGAGGACACAGCAACAGGCGCCATCTTGGAAACAGACAGCAGCCCTCACCAGAAACCAATGCCAGCTTCTTGATCTTAAACGTCACAGCCTCCATATTTACAGCCTGCTAATTTTTGTATTTTTAGTAGGGACAGGCTTTCTCCATGTTGGCCAGGCTGGTCTTGAACTCCTGACCTCAAGTGATCCACCCCCATCAAGCCTCCCAAAGTACTGGGATCACAGGCATGAGCCACAGTACCAAGCTCTATGGTGCTTCTTAAACTGTTGCCAGAGATGGGAGAATCTTACACCACACTATACCAAACTCTGATACAAATGAAAGATAGAAAAAAGAAGGGAAAAAAGAAGAATTTACAGATTAATCTCAATTATGACAACCAATGCAAAAATCCTAAATAAAATATCAGCAGAGAGAAAGCATAAGACACTAAAAGAAAGATACACAAAGATAAATAAAGCCCAAGAATGTAAGCATGGCTCAATACTAGAAAATCTGATGCCAAAGAACTCATTTGCCATTGCTCAATCTTCATTTTAGGTTTTTAAAAAAATTAATAAAATAGATACTTCCTTAGCATTACAAAAATTTATAATCCTCCACCCCAAACAATCACAACTTAATGTAAAAAGCCAAAAGCATTCCCATTAAAGTCAGAAATAAGAACTCCTATTATCATACATGAGAAAGACATAAGAGGTAAAAAATTTAGAAAGGAAAAAGCACCTGGTTATAAATTTATATCAAAAATCAAACCTTCATTATTAGTAACCAGTTAGAAAATTTAACAAAAGATGTGTTAGTCCATTCTTGCATTACTATAAAGAAATACCGGAAGCTGGGAAGTTATAAAGAAAAGAGGTTTAATTGTCTCACAGTTCTGCAGGCTGTACAAGAAGCCTGGCACCAGCATCTGCTTGTCTTTTGGGCAGGCCTCAGGGAGCTTACATCATGGCTGATGGTGAAGGGGAGCCAGTGGTGTCACATGGTGAGAGCAGAAGCAAGAGAGAGAGAGAGGGGAGGGGCCACACACTTCTAAACAGCTGGATCTCGCATGAACTCAGAGGAAGAACTCACTCACTCATCGCCAAGGGGATGGTGGGTGCTAAGCCATTCGTGAGGATCTGCCCCCATAATACAATTACCTCTCACCAGGACCCTCCTCCAACACTTAGGTATTACATTTCAACATGAGATTCGGAGGGGACAAACACACAAACCATATCAGAAGAAAAGATGCCTTTTACAATAGAAACAAACTAAATATTTAGGGACAAATCTAATAATCAATGTTAGGGCCCTATGCTAAAAACTTTAAATTCCTATTAAAAGCCAGAAAAAATAATTCAGTCAGTGAAAACCTCCCTTGATTTTCTTTAGAAGAGTACTCAATAGAGCAGTTTCAATTTCTGAATGTAATCTCTAAATTCAGTGTGTTTCCAATCCAATTACCAAGAGAATTTTGTTTGAAATTTGGTAAGTTAAACTAAATTTTATCTGGTAGAATGAACACATAATTGGAATCAGAAAAAAAATTAAAAAATAAGAATAATGAACATGACTATGATACTATCAGGTATCAAAACATTGTCATAACCCACACAATAAAATACAAAAACAAAGACAAAACAAAAACATTGTTTAAAGCTACAGATATTTAATACAATATAATTTTAGGGCAGAAATAAACTAAGAGACCAGTGTAAGAAAATAGAGAGTCCAAAAATGAATTCAAGCACATATGGGAATTGAGTATTTGATTAAAATGGCATCGTTAAATTTATCAGCAAGGATGGGTTATTCCATAAACGGTGTTGAGAAAACTGGTTAGTTATTTGAAGGGGGAAAAATTGGATTTCTTACCTCATTCTTCATGTGCAAATAAATTCCATATGGATCCAAGAGTTAAATATAAAAATGAAACCATTAAAGCTAAATTAAAAGAATGATTACAGAGTAGTTCGCATAACTCTGCAAACAAATTTTAAAACTTGGATAAGAACAAAGGTGAATTTTTACAGCCTTAAGAGTATGATAAAAAACACTAGGAGACATATCCTCCCAGGGGACTGTGGGCCGAAAGAAGGCCTGCCAGGTGAATCATGAAGGCTGAGTTGAGGCCAGGTAGGTAGACAGGTGGGAATGTGTTCCAGCACAAGCTGGCCCCTAAAATGCCCTTCCCCATCATCCTTTGTTAAGCAAGATCCGCTTTCCCAGCTATTACCTGAAGCAGACATGCATGTAGTAAATAGTAGGCACAAATAGTTAGCAAGTACTAATACTGCTAAAAGACAACCTGAAAAGACAGACAAATCGGCTGTTAAAAATGACAAGAGGCCAGGCACAGTGGCTCATGCCTGTAATCCCAGTACTTTGGGAGGCCGAGGCGGGCGGATCACGAGGTCAGGAGATCAAGACCATCCTGGCTAACACAGTACAACACAGTGAAACCCCGTCTCTACTAAAAATACAAAAAAATAGCCAGGTGTGGTGGTGGGTGCCTGTAGTCCCAGCTACTCGGGAGTCTGAGGCAGGAGAATGGCGTGAACCTGGGAGGTGGAGCTGACAGTGAGCTGAGATCACGTCACTGCAGTCCATCCTGGGCAACAGAGCGAGACTCTGTCTCAAAAAAAAAAAAAGACAAGAAATAAAGAGGTTAGAAAAATGACTAATTGCCCACAAATGTCCAGGATACAGGATGAATACCAGGCATAATCAATTAGGAAATTTACAGCTAAAGAGATTGCATTCACAGTAACAAAGTGTATTAACTACTTTGGAATAAACCCAGTGCAGGATGTTTGTGACCCAGGTAGAGAAAGCCGTACTACTTTTGATTCCTAAAGGAGACCAAAATAAATAGAGAATTGCAGTCTCCTGGCAAGGGGGAACAATAGTGTTAAGATACTGATTCTCCTCACATCCATTTATAGGTCACGTGTGGTCCTATTGCCGTGTGTCTGGTTTTGCAGCACTGTTGTACATTTGCAGCACGGTTCCAAGTTGCTTCTATGCAGCTGACCAGACTACCAGGTCCGGTAATTCCAGGTGGAGGTAGCCTTTGAGTAAATCTCTGCTTGTTTAATCCAGTGGTTCTCAAATTTGAGCATGCACCAGAATCACCTGGAGGCTTGTTAAAACTCAGATTACTGAGCCGTATACCCAGAATTTCTGATTCAGTAGGCCTGAGTGGTACCCAATAAGTTGTAGTTCTAACAAGTTCCCAGGTGCTGTTAATGCTGCTGGTTGGCAAACTCGAGTTAGAGAACCACGGGATTAGTCAAATGTCAGTGTAATGCGGAATGGGCAGAGCAGTCTGGACTCCGAGGCTCTTGGGATCCCCTCTAAATCTAGACAAATTTCCAGCTTAATCGCAGTAACTTTCAATAGGAGCCAGGCCTGGCAGGTGACTGTCATTTTTTACTGCCTTCTTTCTATACTTTGTCAGTGGGGAAGTATTGGGAAAGCAAGAAGGCAGCAGAGGCGGCTGTGCGTGTGTGTGTGTGTGTGTGTGTGTGTGTGTATGTGTGTGTGTGGCCAAGCACTTGAGATTTCAAGGCTCATGGGATTTAGACACAAATTCCTGAAACTAAGTGCTAGCCTTTATATCCTCTATGTAGCCCAGTAAATCCTAATCTAAATCTCCAATACCTCTCTTGAAACTTGACAGAATAGTATGCCCGGGAGAATAAATGGCCAAGAATAAGAAACAATTCTGACAGGGGTTAGGGGAGGAGAGGTAGGGAAGATTTATCTGCCTTTCACAAAAACCTGTTTTAAAGCAATAGTGATAAAAACAGCTGAAGTGCAGTCATAAAGAGAAAACTGTATATAAATCATACAAAAAGGACACAGAATTAGATCAAATTATATGAAAGGTGGCTATAACGTGTGAAGAGCTGAACGTCAGTAAGCAATATGGAAGGAAAATTTAATAAATCATGTTGAAATACTGAGGATTGAATTTGAAAAAGGAATTAGATTCACCGAATCTAATTCTGCTCACCGAAATTAAAGATAAATAAAGATGATAAATCATAGGGAAAAAAGGTTACATAGTACACAATTTACCATTTGCCATACTTCTTTGGAAGTGTAGGAGAAGTGAAAGAGAGCGCTTGGGGAGTGACTCCCAGACGTCAAAAACGTTAGTATCTTTCTCATTTCATCCCTACAGCAGCCCTGTGAGACAGCCATTACTCTCTACTCTCAGATATGGAAACTGTGGCTTGAAAAATCAAGTTATTTTCTCAAATTCAAATAGGGAGCAATCAGAAGAGCCTCAATCTGTCTGACTCTCATCCTGGGCTGCCCAATGACTGCCAACGAGTCAGGGTGCAGGGGAGGCGTGGCTGCCCAGTTCAGAAGATGAAGCCCCAGTGCCAGTCCAGTCCTAGAGGGGCCTGGGATGGTGGGAAGAGGAACAAGATAGAACCAAGGTTGAGGGCGATGCAGCAACCCAGTGGTATGAACTTGGTGAGCCTAGCAAGGGTGAAAGGCAGTAAATACATTCCAGGGGCCATGGGGGCACCCAGGGAGCTGGCTGAAGCAGAGGGAGGATGAGCTGCTGGGTCCCAGGGAAGGCTGGATATTTGATGGAGAACTGGGGGACACATATGAGCCAGAATTTGTCATCCACCTGACTTGCTCCTTAAACATCCAATCTCATATGGTTTAACTGTGTCCCTACCCAAATCTCATCTTGAATTGTAATTCCCATAATCCCCATGTGTTGTGGGAGGGACCAGGTGGAAATAATTGAATCATGGGGACAGTTTTCCCCCATCCTGTTCTCGTGATAGTGAGTTAGTTCTCATAGATCTGATGGTTTTATAAGGGTTTTTTCCCCCCCTTTTGCCCAGCACTTCTTCTTGCTGCCACCATGTGAAGAAGAATGTGTTTTCTTCACCTTCCACCGTGATTGCAAGTTTCCTGAGGCCTCCCCAGCCCTGTGGAACTGTGAGTCAATTAAATCTCTTTCCTTTATAAATTACCCAGTCTCGGGTATGTCCTTATAGCAGCGGGAGAGTGAACTAATATACAATCCCATCTGCCCAGACATAACCCTGGCACCCCTTTTATGAGGGGCCTGCCGAAGTCATGTGGTGTCACAGAAGAGCAGGTTCACTGGGTCAAGGAAATGGGTTTCACTGTCTGTCTGCCACTTTCTAGGTGTATGGCTTTGATCCAATAATCGAATCCCTGTTAGTTTCCTCAGTTGTACATCAGGATAACAATGTCTACCTCACAGAATTCATGTGGAGATTACATGAGACAAGTCAGGAAAAACACCAAGCTTAATAAATGGTGCAGAGTAGACATTCAATCAATATTTGTTGAATAAGTGAATGTATTTATATATATATATTTCACTGTATATATTTACTCACTAGCTCTGGAGGGGGTTCATCTAGCTAGTTCTGCTTGGAAGACAAGAATTTTTCATCAGTTTTAGCTGAAACATTCCAATTTAGGAAACTGGGTCAAGCCATATCACTGTGCATTAATTATAAGTTGTGATTCCAGCAACCTGTAGAAAGATGAGAAAATGGTCCAGTACCTTCAGTTTTTCACAGCAACAAATGTACCTTTGACAGTTCCATGATCACCACCCCTTCCAATTGCTTGGGCCTTCATTGCTTACAAAGAGCTGCTCACACCCATGATCACATGTAACTCACCTTCAAGGATGATCGCGTTATTCCATTTTGTAGATGAGAAAATTAAGGCTCCAAGAGGTGAAAGAGCTTGCTTAGATCATGCCTGGTGGTTGGTGGCAGAGAAGCTGGAATCTGTGGGATGTGCCTAAATTGATTATCGCTAGAGCATGTGCTTGGTTACTTTGTTAAAGGCATAAAGGATGAATTCAAGGAGGATCCTGCCTGGTGTTACCTGCCTCTGGCTCCCCTGAACCCCTCAGGTAGAGGTTCTGAGGGTCCCATCTATATATTACAGCCTATCCCTGTTCCAGAGCCAATTTGGAAGGAGACAGAGGTGAGAAGCAGCCTCAATCCTGTAGACTTATGGGGCCACAGGAACTATTTCTGTAATATCATTGCATCCTGGGACCTGATAGCCCAGCCAGGATGCTGTCATCTACTTGGAAGCCATGGAGATGTGACCAGGGAACTTGGGTCAAGTCCAGCTCAGGGATGGTGGTGTTTATCTGGAGTGACAAGATGTTACACAGGTGAGGAAAAAAACCTACTATTGATTTTTTTGTGAAGAGACGAAGACTGAGTGGTTGTGGCCGTGTTGGTGACCTTGAGCAGCAGTTGGCTTCTCCATGTAGAACCCGGGAGTAGGAGACTCAGAATCGAATCTCTTCTCCCTCCCCCTCCTGTTTTCAGCTTTGTGAGAAACCTTATCAGCAAACACAATGGCCAGCAACGTTACCAACAAGACAAATCCTTGCTCCATGAACTCCCATGTGTTCATTGGGAATCTCAACACTCTTGTGGTCAAGAAATCTGATGTGGAGGCAATCTTTTCGAAGTATGGCAAAATGGGCTGTGCTGTTCATAAGGGCTTTGCCTTTGTTCAATATTTTAGTGAGAGAAATGCCCGGGCTGCTGGAGCAGGAGAGGATGATAGAATGATTGCTGGCCAGGTTTTAGATATTAACCTGGCTGCAGAGCCAAAAGTGAACCGTGGAAAAGCAGGCGTGAAACGATCTGCAGTGGAGATGTATAGCTCCTCTTTTCACTTGGGCTATGACTATCAAGGTGATTATGATGACACGATGTACAGTTACTCAGCACGTGTGCCTCCTCCTCCTCCTATTGCTTGGGCTGTAGTGCTCTCAAAACGTCAGCGTGTATCAGGAAACACCTCATGAAGGGGCAAAAGTGGCCTCAATTCTAAGAGTGGACAGCAGGGATCTTCCAAGTCTGGAAAGTTGAGAGGAGATGACCTTCAGGCCATTATGAAGGAGTTGACCCAGATAAAACAAAAAGTGGATTCTCTCCTGGAAAACCTGGAAAAAATTGAAAAGGAACAGAGCAAACACGCAGTAGAGATGAGGAATGATAAGTCAGAAGAGGAGCAGAGCAGCAGCTCCGTGAAAAAGATGAGACTAATGTGAAGATGGAGTCTGAGGGGCGTGCAGATGACTGTGCTGAGAAGGGGGACCTACTGGATGATGATGATAATGAGGATGGGGGGATGACCAGCTGGAGTTGATCAAGGATGATGAAAAAGAGGCTGAGGAAGGAGAGGATGACAGAGACAGCACCAATGGCATGGATGACTCTTAAGCACATAGTGGGGTTTAGAAATCTTATTCCATTATTTCTTTACCTAGGCACTTGTCTAAGATCAAATTTTTCACCAGAGCCTCTCACCTAGTATCTTTGGCACATGCTCACTGTCCTTCCCATCCTTGTCCTTCCCATGTTTATTAATTCATATTGCCCTGCGCCTAGTCCCATTTTCACTTCCTTTGGCACTCTTAGTAGTTTTGTTAAGTCTTACCTTGTAATATTTGCTTTTAATTTTGATACCTCTTTATGACTTAATAAAAAGGATGTATGGTTTTTATCAACTGTCTCCAAAATAATCTCTTGTTATGCAGGGAGGACAGTTCTTTTCATTCATACATAAGTTCAGTAGTTGCTTCCCTGACTGCAAAGGCAAGCTTATTTAGTTGAGTAGCTCCTGAAAGCAGCTTTGATTAGAAGTATGTGTGTTACACCCCCACATTAGTGTGCTGTGTGGGGCAGTTCAACACAAATGTAACAATGTATTTTTGTGAATGAGAGTTGGCATGTCAAATGCATCCTCTAGAAAAATAATGAGTGTTATAGTCTTAAGATTTGTTTTCTAAAGTTGATACTGTGTGTTATTTTTGTGAACAGCTTGATGTTTGGGAACTTTTTTTCCTCAAAATAAACAGGTCCTTATTAAACCAGGAATTTGGAGGAAAAAAAAACCCTGTTTTTTAAATTTTTGTATTTTATTATTGTTTACTTCAAACTCTTTGTTTTACAGAGTCCTCCACAAAACCCCCAGAACGTACTAGATATATTTTTCTTGAAGTCATAATCATTATGCATACCAACATAACACTACTCAAATTCTATTTCATTGAGATGCATGTTGCATTGAGGAGTCAAATAACTTGACAGAGAGTGGAGATTGTTTTTCAAAATGGCTTTTACATCCTAATGAAAGTTTGGGAAGTATAGCCTCTCTGCCTTTTCATCAGTGCTTTGTGGTCCAGCTGGCACCCTTTTTGAAGTTTTTGTTGTGTGCTAAATTGTTTTGTCTTTAAATAGGAGAGGCTCAAAAACATTAAGATTTCAGGAAAATTGCAACAGCTGGAAAATGGAACCCCTGCTTTCTTCTATTTTGTCTTTTTAATTACTATTTATAGCCACAGTTACCTTCTGAATTCTGAAGTGTTACCTCAATGTTACTGAAAACAAGAAAATTCTTATTTCCTGATATTCCATAGTCTGCCTTCCCAGGTGATTGAGAACATAGAGAATGTTACACATTTATTTTACCCTAAATAATCTTTTACTCATATTAGCTAATCTTTGTGTTTTCTCTCAACTTTATTAATTGCAGTGATTGCATTTTTAGCATCCAGTCTTCTTAAGATGAATACATTAAATAGCTACCAGTGTTGTGATACCTCATCCTTGAAAGGCCTAGTTCATTTGTGTTTTATGCTTCAGTTTTTCCAGCACAGCAGAAAATGGCATTTATAATTTTTGTGCACACAAACCTTGGATTCCCCTATAAAGTTTCTATTGTTTCATAGCATGCAGCACTGGTATTTTTTCATCCTACCGCGTTACAGGCAAAACTCATGTCTTATTTATAAGGATTTTATAGATCATTTTATATAACAGGTGAAAAAAGCAGAATAGAAAGAAGAGGCTGAACTATGGACTACCCTTGGAGCCCAGATACATGATATCAAGGCACTTTCTTTTGTATGTTAATCGGTTAATAATACTACCCACTTGATGTTTTCTGATCTGATGTGATCTCATGTTACACAAACTTTTAGTAAGTAACCCATGACTAGAATATAAACTGGTTACTTAGGAAAAACAAAAAACAAACAAACAAAAACCCTACTATTTATTCAGTGCCTCCTATGTGCTGCCCCTGCATTATCCATAATCCCCATGGCATCTTGCGATACTATTACTATTATTCCCTTTGTATTGATGATGGAACGGAAGATTGGAGAGTGACATCTTACACAGCATCTCAAAGCTGGCAGTGGTCCAACCGTTCAAATCCAGGTCTGTGTACTATGATCCCATACTTTTCTCATCAAGGGGACTAAGGGACTCCTGTAACAAGGCTAACTCTAGTGTCCTCTTCCTGGGGAGAGCTCAGTCACAGACTTTGATCACTACTGCTACTGGGAAGGTAGGAATTAAGCACAATGCTCTGTTTGGATCCAGTAATTGAATTATACTCAACTATTGGATTCCCACAGAGTGTCTGTGCAGATGGAACAGGGCCTTCCTCCCTGACCCTGTGCATGTGCAGGAGGAGAGGCCTGACAGGGGGAACCAGGCTGGAGTCTGGAGCACCAGTAGCTGTAAAGATCACCTGGGGACTCTGCATAAGACTCAGCACCTGCTGCCTCTGGAGCCGGGGATTATGGTCTTCTTCTTCCCTAAAGGCTGCCACACTTACCTGGCTCACTCCTTTCTCTTCCTCCCTGGGGGAAGGGAGGGTCTGATAAAATTGACGAGATTGAAAAAAGAGCCTGAAGTTGGACCCATCAGCCCCTCCCAAGTGCTTTCCCCTTTGGCCTTCATGCATGTGAGCACAAGTTTTCCTCCTGTCCTCTCCCTCTCTGATGCTGTGCCCTGTTAGGGAGAAGCCTGTAGTTTTGGGTGGGTAAACCCAATTCAGGGAAATGTATTGGGGAACCCGATTGCAGCTGCAGATCCAAGGTGCCTTTGCCAGTTTAGCTTTACCTGCTATGAGGAAGACTCTTTGGTGACTGCTTTGTCATATTGCTTGGAGCCCATTGGGGAAAGAGGATGGATTGATTTCCATCTCAGTGGTTGCCCTGAAATGCTAATGTGGGGAATATGGGTGAGGAGAGAAGTAACCAGAGGGGGCATACCAGCATGCCTTCACGATGTAGTTGTTTCTGCTGTCCCAGAAACTACTGAGATGTTGTTTCTCAACAGGATGGACACTCCTGAGATACTTTGCTACTTGCTCCCCTGCTCTCCAAGCCCTCAATGTTTATAGATCCCAGGGCACCTGGCACACCTGGATTGAGGCCCCAACCTACCTCTCTAGGCTCCTCTCCCCCATGCTCTGACCTGCCTAGTCCGCTCTTGCACAACACCCTGAATGCCCCACTCAATTCCAACATCTGTGGCACCCTTCTGCTGGCAATGCTGAGGGTTAAATTGGAGAACCTGGCAAGAGCCTTAGAGGCCGTGATGCTCAACTCTCCATCCAGAGAAGGGGCTATCTGGAGTTGGCTTTCTTGGAGCAACCACTCCTGGGACTTCGTATTTCTGGTTCTTCTAAAACATTTCTTTAGATTAGAAATCTGCCTCCTTGCTACTTATGTCTGGTGTAGGTGCTGTCTGTGCCACCTCCACATATCCAGGCAGCCCTCCCCAGGCACTTGGTCCCTCTCTGGTCCCCTGTGCCATAGTAATTAGGTGGTGTTTCATCATCTAGTGACATGAAACAAGTGTTGCTAACTTTTTCCTTCCCTCTCTTGACACCTGCCTTATCTTCTCAAGCAGTTCAGAACTCCTTGAGGCTGGGGCTTTGCTCCAGCCATCTCTTTACTCCTCCCACTTAGCACAGAGGAGGTTTCAAGAAAGCCTACACAATTGTCTGGGCCCAACATCTTGTCCATCTCCCAACATTTCAACATGGAACTGAAGGGGTGGGTTGTGAAAATGGCCCCATTTGCTCATTGCCCACTGAGTATCCATGGGTCAACCTGGACTTTAAGTTGCTCACCACCTAAAGGAGGAAACTGACATGCAAGCAGAAAATCAAAATACAGTGCAACCTCGCTAGAAAGGAGGCCTATAGAGAATGCTGCAGGAACATAGGAACAAACAATCAGCAGACCAGTGCTAGGGTGAGCTGGGCCCAGAAAAGCTGAGCCTGGAAGGAGGGGCAGGAGTAGCTCATCAACATGGCATACGAACCAGTAGCAGCAGGGAGCAGGCTGGAGAGCTCAGGCTTCCCATTCACCAAGTGCCTCAAAGGTGGCCTTTCATCTCCAACTGTTAGACAGCCACAGAGATACATGGACAGTTTTGAAAGAAGGTCATCATCATATGACTATAAACTACTGTTCCATACTTAGGGTGACCAGCTTGGCCTCATTCACTCAGAACTTTTCTGATTTTAGCACCAAAGTCCCTTCAATCCCAAGCAGATCAGGGTGGATGGTCACTTAGACCTAAGTCTGGAATGGTAGTATAAATTATTATATGCTATAAATCCTTTAATTGTCTTCAGACCAGCATAAATTGTATCATAATATTTTTGTGCCAATGGCATTAGTGGGTTAGTTGCAAACATTTAAAATTTTGGCCCCCCACCGCCCAGCCTTTTTTTTTTTTGAGACAGAATCTCTCTCTGTCACCCAGGCTGGAGTGCAGGGGCATGATCTCAGCTCACTGCAACCTCCACCTCCCAAGTTCAAGTGATTCTTGTGCCTCAGCCTCCCAGGTAGCTGGGACTATAGTTGTGCACCACCACGCCTGGCTAATTTTTGTATTTTTAGTAGAGACAGGATTTCACCATGTTGGTCAGGCTGGTCTTGATCTCCTGGCTTCAAGTGATCCACTCACCTTGGCCTCCCAAAGTGCTGGGATTACAGGCATGAGCCACTGTGCCTGGCCCCTGCTACCATTTTTGAAAACTTGTATGAGGATTTCTTTATATTTTAAAAGTACTGAATGCTTCAGTCTTTGAGAGGCTCTGGCTATGGGCAGAGGATGAGGTGAGAGATGGCAGGGTGTATTTGGGGGCCTGCAAATAGTGGGAATATCAAGGCCCAGGGGACATGCCTTTTTGCGGGAAGGGTTGTGGAGGGGACCCTGAAGGGGTGGGCAGTGGTCACAGGGCCCCATGGACCAGGCCAATGATTCCATCTCATAGCTTCAGGAAGCCAAAAAAGATGTCATGCAGAAAAATGTCGTGGTGGGACCAGAAATTCCATGTGGATGCAATTTTGGAGAACTGATTAGGGTAGGGGGTGTAGAGGCCAAGATCAGAGGCAGGGAACCATTATGAGGGCCGCTGTATCATGCAGGTACAGTTCTATAGATATGGAGAGAAAGGTACCTTTAGTAGGCGAAAATAGACAGGATTTGGTGATTGGTTCATTGGTTGAGGAGGTGACTCACTTGGGCTCTGGGTGGTGAGGCATTTTCAACCACCAAGACAGGAATTTAATCAGGAAAACAGCTTCAGAGGGAGATGCTGCAATTGATTTTGGATGTGTTGTTTGGGCCCTGGGACCACTGCAGATTTAAATGTCTGGAACTTAGGAGAGAAACATGGGCTGGAGATAAATATTTGGGTGTCATCCACCTTCCAAGTCCAAGGCAATTGAAATGGACAAGCAACAAATGGAGGATAGGAATGAAAATGTTAAGAGGCTTCAGCTCAAGGAGTGAGGGGAGGGTTGACGGTTGAACTGGCCTGACTAGGTTAGTGGCTTTTGCTAGTGTCTTCAAGGTACATGTGCAACGTCCAATCCTCCTGAACCATCTGGAAACTCTGTCCTTTCTTGCATGACCTAGATAATATGACACTAATAATACCCATTGACTTCTCAGGATTGTGAATGCACAGGGCTTATTATGCAAATAACCTGTTCTGTGGCACAGACAGGGCAGGCAGATCATTCCCACATTCCTGTCCTCTCCCAGTATTCTGGAATTGTCTGCAGCTGCCAACTCATAGCCCTTGTCTTCCTGCAGGTATATGAAAGCTTGTATGTGAGCATCTCTTTAAAGCAATGATCTTAATGATCAGAATTGTCTTAAAACCATTCTGGGTGTGAGGGTGTTCAATCAAGGTCAATTTCTATATCCAGATAGAAAAAGCTGGTAAGAAGAGCAATATCACTGGGACTCGGGAGACTTAGGACCAAGCTCCCTTTGAATTCCTGTAAAATGAGGGAGTTGAGCTAGCTGAGCCATCAAGACCCAGTTCAGACATGCTGAGTATGTGATTCTAGTCAACAAAAACAGATCATGGCTAGCCAGTGCATGAAGCAGAAATATTAAAATGTATTTCAAAACAGGGAGTTAAAATGGTAATTTTACCATCTTATTTATTCACTCAATAAATAAGTATGGAATACTCACTAAAGATCAGACATGCTGCTGGCTATGGGTAGAGCACTGGGGAGCAAACATTGGTCCCTCTTAAGAGTCCAGTGGGAGGAACCCACTGAAGCAGCAGCTACAGGTGTGAGAGAGGCCAAGGGAGAGGGAAGCCAGCGAGGAGGCAGCTGCACTAGTCCTGGCTCCCTAAACTTGCTCACAACCTTCCTGCAGGCTGGGCCTAGCCCATCTCTACTTCCATAAGAAAATCTATAATCCCAGCTATTTGGGAGGCTGAGGCAGGCAAATCGCTTGAGGTCAGGAGTTTGAGACCAGCCTGGCCAACAGGATGAAACCCCGTCTCTACTAAAAATACAAAAGGTAGCTGGGCATGGTGGCGGGCACCTGTAATACCAGCTAGGGTCGGGAGGCTGAGGCAGGAGAATCACTTGGACCCAGGAAGTGGAGGCTGCAGTGAGCCGAGATCGCGTAGCTGCACTCCAGCCTGGGCAAAATAGCAAGACTCCATCTCAGAAAAAAAAGAAAAAAAGGAAATCTGCAATCTGCACCCACCCGCCCTGTAAGGAGGACTCTATCTACCCTGGGATGGAATGCGGCCTGCCGCTCATCATTCCAGACCGCCGAGTGTCAGTGCACATTGACTCCTCATCTTGTGACTGAACTATTTTTAACTGACTGTCGCCATGGCAGCGTGAGAACCACTGGGAAAGATGTGGCCTTTCTGACAGCATTCAAGATGCTGGCTGCCCACTTATCTCACTTATCTGCACCAGGGCCAAAATAATCTGTATGAAATCCCCACCTTCTATTGACAGAGACGGAGTTAGGACTTCTCTATGTGCTTTCTCATCTGCAAAGTAGGAAAGTAGGGCTTTTAATTAAAACACACACACACACACACACACACACACACACACACACACACACACAGAAAACACAAAAACAACTCCCTTTGTGAGTCTGCTGTGGGGGTCCAAACTAAGTTATTAAGGAACAGGAAAGTATTCTGCATGTCCCAACGTTAGTTTCTGTTATCAATGTCTTAGCTCACACGGCAACATCAATCCCACACCCCACCTCTGCCCTTCTCCACCTCCAGTTTGTTTCCTATTAGCATTCCTTGGATGTCTACAAAGTCTGAAGACATAGACAATATCATTTACTTTTTTACAGATTGCTGATGTTCTTGATGGTATTACCCGCATGTGCCTATGTTTCCAGGAACCCCCAAGCACTAGCACTGGCTGCCCCTAGGAGGTGGGTGCTGACACATGTACAGGAGCTCTCTCAGATTTCTTACCACATGGCTGTTATGTCCTGCATCCCTGCCTTGCCTTTACATCCTTTAGGGTGGGGGCTGTGTGTCTTTTCACCTTTGTACCCCAGCATCTGGTACTGGGTCCTGAGGATAGATAGACACTTAGTTAATATTTGTTGAATGAAGGAGGAATGAATACAAGGCCAATGGCAAGTGTAAGCCAATGAGGCTATCTCAGAGGGTTGGAAAGAGTGAGGCTTCATGAGTGAGGATGGTCTTGAGTCAAGGCATGGGTGGCTGGAAAAGGCAGTGATGCTTCTAGAGCACCTCCGATTTAATCCTCACATTCGTTGTCCCTGCTTCATGGAAGAGGATGCTGAGGCACAGAGTGGATGAGCGAGGGGCCCTACAGCAGCTGGTTGGTGAGTGGCTGGGATGAGATGCACATGCCTTGAGGGCTGGCTCGGAAGCATTGGTTCTTTCCTCTCTGCTAGGCCCTCTGGGAAGAGGAACAGAGTCTGGGGTGTGTTTCCATTGAAAGAAGTGGCCTGGTGAATATAGCCTTGAGGGCAGGAACCCTCCCTGCTCACAGTACCACAAGTTGGCCTGGAAACCCCTGGCATGGGTGCAAAATCGTGGGTGTGCGTGCAGGGATTTGAATCTTCCAAGGGGAGAGATGTACCACATTACAACATCTGCCAGATTCTTTAAAGAATCCTTGGGCCTAGGGATGCTCCCTCACTGTGTGGGCGGGACCTCATGGGAAACCTACTAGAGGCCAGAGCAGAACAAGGGATAGAAAGGAGCGACGTGAACGTGCCCTGGCTCTCGCGTCCATCCACACAGCCACCCTGTGTTCAGGACATCCCTGCCCTGTGCCTCCGGTTTTTGCTTTTCCCATCTCCCTCACCCTTCACACTAAACTTTCTTTCCTTCAGACCTGGAACTCAACCCACCTCCTTTGGGTCACGGTCCCCATCCTGTGGTGCACGTGTCTGTGTGGATTGGTTTCTTCTACTCTCAGAAGACAAGCAAAATTTTCTTGTTTTCAATTTTTTTTTTGGTGTGGAATTATTCTCTTAGATGCTTTCATTAAGAAAAAAAGTATTTGAGCACAAGCAGAAGCTTACAGAATTCAGTAGCTGTAAGTAGCTCATACCAAACTTCACAGCTAAAAAAAATAATGGCCGCTGAGGTGATAGATGGGAAATGGAGGAAGCACTGCCTGGACATGGACTCTCTCCCACGGTGGTTCAAAGAGAATGCAGCAGACAGAGGAGGAAGTACGGCAGGGTGTCTGCCACCAGGGAGAAGTTGTACCTGTCTTAGTAGGTAGTGATGTCTTCCTGAGGAAAAGCTGCTGCCAAGGGGAGGGAATGGGGTCTCCTGAGATGGAGTCAGTGGAATGGCTGCTTGCATGGGTGTCATGGAGAACCTGTTCACCTGGAAGCCTGACCATGGGGCCTGAGCCTTGCAGAGGGGCCTGGGGAGGCCTTTGACCTGGTCTTGGTTCTTCAGAGAGCCAGGAAAGCATACCTTCAACCAAGGGAAGGAGCAGGTTCAGAGGGAATGCAGCTTAATGATTTCTTCCTGGGGAGGGCATGGGGACCAGTCTTACTGGAGAGGCTAAGATCCTGTGTGATGGTCCCCTCAGACCAGAGGAGTTTTGCTGGAGATGGGAGACAGCAATCCTCAGGGAAAATGCTCCAGGCTTTTGCAGATGCTAAGCAGTAGGGCCAACTTGCAGGAAAACCAAAGAGACATCCTGTTGGTCCTGTCTGTGCTGCTGAAAGACACTGGCTCATCCCTTCAGACTTTGACCTCCCTTCCCTGCAAGCTTTCACAAAAGAACAGACTTGAACAAAGGGGTCTGGTCCTGCCTTCATCCTAGTCTCCTCCCCAGGCTTGTTTTTAAAAATAACTTCTCTTTTTCTTCTACAACAGTAATTTACCCTTTATAGGAAATACAGAAATATAGAAAAGTGCAAAGAAAGTGAAAACCAGCTATAATCCAATTACCCAGAAATAACCACTCTTCATAATTTGGCATCTAGTCTTTTCTCCATGAACATTAATGTGTATTACACATGCACATATATGTATGTCTACATGTACTTATTTACACGTATTTATAGAAATGCATGATTAAGCAATGACTACTTTTAGAGAAAAGGCATAGTATCCTGGTTGAGAACTCAGGCTCAGGATCCAGACTGCCTGAGCTCTAATCCTGGCTCTGTTATTTGCTGCTGACGTGGTCTTGATCTTTAACCTATCTGTGCCTCAGTTTCCTTATCCATAAATAGCCAAATTGGCTGGTGCAAAATAGTATCTCATTGTTGCCTGAATTTGCAGTTCTTTATTGGTCATTTGTGTTTCTTGTAATCTGCTTCTTCTACCTCTCCATCCTTTGATAATTCACCATCTTTGTTGTCTCATCAACTTCTCTGTATGTATTGGCTTCCTTCTACCAATCAATAAGACTGATTACAATGTTGGTTTTAAACCTACTCAGATGTCTCCTATTTAAAAAATTAAGCAAAACTCCTTGCTGAATGTGGGGAGCTCCTCTCTTTGTTAAACTTTCCAACAGTAGTCTATACCTATCATTTACACTTCCTCATCTGCCCTTCTCAACCTTAGGCTGGTTGCTCCCCATTTGAAACTGCTTGGGACAAGGTTACCAATGGCTCCCTGTTGCCAACTCCACTAGGTGCCTATTAGTTTTCATTCTCACCTGACCGCTTGCAGTTGGCACTAACGTCTACTCCCTCCTTCCCTGAGCACACACTCTCCTTCTTCCTGGTATCCCTCTCCCTACTCTTTCCATTCCTTCCTTATCTCTTTCATACATTTCTTTCCCTGAGAGTGCTTTTTCTCAGTCTTGTCTCCTGGTTCCTTCTGTTTGCTGAGACCCTAGCTGAAGTCACCCACATCCATATCTCCATTGCCTTGTCAATGTGGACAGTCCCCAGGTCTCCGTCTTTCACTGGGACCACTCTTCTGAGCTCCAGACTGATACACCCAACTGGACACCTCCATTAAGACAACCTGCAGAGCCATCAAATCAGTGTGTCTCAAACTGAGTTCAGTGCCTTCCATACAGACCCACCCCTCTTTTTGGTCTCTATCTTTGGAAAGGGTCAGAATCACATCTTTATTAAGGTGTCAGTGATGACTCTGTCAAAAGGAATCAAGGCAGTAGTTACGTTAACGGTTGAATTTTTGGAATAAGAAGATGGGGCAGGGGTGTGGAGGGGCAGCTGGGCCTTCCTAATATCACAGAAGTCACAGATGCTGCTCTGCTTCATATTCTTCTCCTGAACAAGGCAGACCCTGTGCTTGACAGACAACAAACACTTAAAATTACTAAATGAATGAAAACTCATGAGGCCAAGAATAATTGCTTTGCACAAAATGCTTTAGCTGGAAGGGCTCTCAAAGATCATCTAGTCCAACTGTGGCCCACATAAGGGTTTGTGCTTCTTAGCACATTTCTCGTGGTGCAGAGAAAAGACCCCAGACCTCCCCACTTCCCAAACAGTGTCATTTTTCCTGGGGCCCTAGATGTGGACATCAGGGCCATCCCTGCCATTACCTGAGAGGCATGGGCCCAGGTGGGGGCTTTGACCTGACATTGCTTTCTTTTCACCACCCATGTCCCCCACCTTAGATGTCCTTAGAAAAGAGTGGGGTTCCGTATTTTTTGCAGAGAATTTTCTTAACTCTGACTGGGTTCCCAGGCCCTGAAGTCACATGCGGATGTAGTTATTAACATCCTATGAAGGAGATGCTCTCTCTGGAAAAGTTATTTATTACAGAAAATTCAAAACATACCAAGAAGGGAGAGAAGAGTGCAAGGAATCCCATGCATTCATTACTCAAATTCCATTCAATCCCATCAAATCTGTCCCATTCTCTCCACCACATTTTTTGTTTGGTTTTGTTTCATTTCATTTCTAGATAATTTTAAAGCAATATCTGTCAGATTCTTTGGTCTCAAAACTCCTTTACACTTTTAAAAAATATTGAGGACCCCAAACAGCTTTTGTCAGTCAAATTTTTTATATTTACATTAGATATTAAAACAAAGAAACTTTAAAATGTTTACTTATTAATTCATTTAAAAATAATAGTAATACTTATTACATGTTAATATAAATGACATATTTTAAGTGAAAAAATTATATTTTGCAAAACAAACAATAACTAGAAAGAAGAGTGGCATTATTTTACATTTTTACAAATCTCTTTTATGTCTGGCTTAATGGAAGATAACTGGATTCTCTATAGAGAAAATCTTTTTTTTTTTTTTTTTTTTTTTTGAGACAGAGACTTTCTCTGTCCCCAAGGACAGAGTACAGTGGTGCGATCTGGGCTCACTGCAACCTCTGCCTTTCAGGTTCAATCGATTCTCCTGCCTCAGCCTCCCAAGTAACTGGGATTACAGACGCCCACCACCACACGCCCAGCTACTTTTTGTATTTTTTGAAGAGATAGGGTTTTGCCATGTTGGCCAGGCTGGTCTCAAACTCCTGACCTGAAGTGATCCACCCACCTCTGCCTCCCAAAGTGGTGGGATTACAGGCATGAGCCACCGCGCCTGGCCAGAAGCTGGATTCTTGTGTCTGCTTCTACATTCAATCGGTTACAATTGTTGTTTGATTGAAATGTGTGAAGAAAATTTGGCCCCACATACAGCCATAGATGGAAAATGAAGGCACCTTTTAATAGTGCTTGATGAGTACTTCCCATTTTGTCACATGAAATACTTAACAGATGTATTCTGAAAGGTCAAGATTTAACAAAATTAATAATTTCTATTGCTTCATGTAGTACCTTTTTTATTTTTTTGAGACAAAGTTTTGCTCTTGTTGCCGAGGCTGGAGTGCAGTGGCATGATCTCGGCTCACTGCAACCTCCACCTCCCAGGTTCAAGCGATTCTCCTCCCTCAGCCTCCCAAGTAGCTGGGATTACAGGCCTGAGCCACCACACCCAGCTAATTTTTTGTATTTTTAGTAGAGACGGGGTTTCACTATGTTGGCCAGGCTGGTCTCCAACTCCTGACCTCAGGTGATCCACCCGCCTTGGCCTCCCAAAGTGCTAGGATTACAGGCATGAGCCACTGCTCCTGGCCCAGTACCTTCTTAAGTTAAATTAACCTTTTTAATTTTTATCTTTTTTTTCCTTGAATAGGTAGCTATAAAGAATACAGTGACTGAGGCCAGGTGCGGTGGCTCGGGCCTGTAATCCCAGCACTTCGGGAGGCAGAGGCTGGTGGATCATGAGGTCAAGAGTTCGAGACCAGCATGGCCAAGATGGTGAAACCCCATCTCTACCAAAAAAATACAAAAATTAGCAGGCGTGGTGGTGGGCACCTGTAATCTCAGCTACTCGGGAGGCTAAGGCAGGAGAATCACTTGAACCCAGGAGGCAGAGGTTGCAGCGAGCCAAGATTGTGTCACTGCATCTAGCCTGGGCGACAGAGCAAGACTCTGTCTCAAAAAAAAAAAAAAAAAAAAAAAAAAAGAATACAGTGACTGCTAGAACTGTTCTATACCACTGCCTTGATTCCTGCTGGAGCATCGGCAGTTTTATTCATTATCGCTTTTGCATCATCAGTGCAAATGTCAAGGCAGTCAAAAAGGTAAGGGACATTGTAATATCGTAATTAAAATAGTTTAGATTCTGAAGATCCCTGAAGTAATCTTGGGGATTCCCTCAGATATCTATGGCCTGCACTTTGAAAAGTGCTGTTTTTAAGCAAATCCCAGCCATCACATCACTCACCTATAAATAATTAATATGCCTCTCTAACAAGGGCTTACAAAACGTGACCACTCTACTAATATCACTTTGAACACAATTAATAACATGTTCTTTACATCATCTAATAACACAGCCTGTGTTTCCCCATACTGCCTCAGAATTTTTTTTTACGGTGGCTTTGTTTGAATTAGAATCCAAATTATGTCCACACATTGCATTTTTTTATGTCTCTAAGAAATCTATTTCAGTGCCCCCTCTTCTCCCCATTTTCATTCCATTTACTGTATTTGTTGGAGAAAGTGGATCATTTGTGCTATACCATTTCCAGTATTTTAGGTTTGGCTGATTTCATCCTTGTGGTGTTATTTAACATGTTTTTTGGTCTCCCATATATATGGGAGTTAGATCTGGAGGAGGGCTTCTCAACGCCACACTGTTGATACTTTGGGGATAATTGCTTGTCGTGGGGGCTGCCCTGTGCACAGAGGGATGTTTAGCAGCACGCCTGGCCTCCAGACACTGGATGTCAGTAGCACATTCCTGGCTGCGAGTTCTAACAGCCTAAAATGTCACCAGGCATTGCCAAATGTCTGGGAGGCAAAATCACCCCCAGTTGGTTGAGAACCACTGCTCTAGAAACTCCATTAGATTCTGGCTCAGCTTTCATTTTGGCAGGAACAAGTCATAGGTTGTGCTGAGTATTTCTTATGACATTGACCTGATGTCTGATTGCCCCAACTTTCATATGTTAAAATTGATCCCTGAGTTCAAGTGTTGTCAAATGAACCCATCAACTTTAAAGATCTCTTACAACCCTTCTGAAAGTTTTAGCATCCATTGATGATTGTAGCCTGGATCCGTTATATCATTAGGGGTTGCAAAGTGGTGATTTTTTTTTCTATTTAAATAATTTGCTTCTGTCTTAATTAGCTGGTCTACTTCTCTAAAGAATAACTTTCCCTGATCAACTACTTGATTACTTTGAAATCAGAACAAAGTAGGATAAGTACTTGGTTCTTTTTCTTTATTTACTAATTCTCAGAAAAATAAGTTTGTGCCCCGTTCATTCTTCCATTATTTTTTCTTTCTACTTTGAAATAATTTCAGACTTACAGAAAAACTATAGGAATAGTTCAAAAAGCTTTTCCCCGCTGAACCATCTTAGAGTGAGTTGCTGACATGATGCCCTTTCATTCCTCCATACTTTAGCGTGTATCTGCTATGCACAAGGACCATAGTGTGTATCTGCTATGAACAGCCATTGCCTGACACCCTGCACTGAGTAGCTACCACTGCCACCATCCCCCTCCACCCCCAAACACCCTCCTCACCGTGTTTAGCCTCAACTCCCATGTCAGGCTTGCTGTACTGCTTCTTCTGCTATGCATGGGTGTTTTAGCATCTATTTCACTGGACATGCATACTCCAAATAGTGAGTTTCAAAGTCAGTTGAAATACTCCTCTTATAGGTGTATAACAAACTTGATATATAGTTTGTTTCAGTTTGTTTCCAGTTTAGGAAATTGGAAATTTGCTTTATTTTGTATTTTTAATTACATGAAACATTTTCTTGTTTCCAAATTCAAAACTAAAACCAAGAGAAGTCTAGCTTTTAGAATTCAGAGGAATCTTGCTTCCTTCCATGTTTCTTCCATTCTGTTTCTTCTCTCTCCCTATAGATAAATAATTTTTATTATTTTTTGGTTTATACTTCAATTGTTTGCTCACTCAGTACACTGTTCTATGCCTTGTTTAATTTTTTTAAACTTGATATTATAGCCTGCAGATGACTCCATAGCTGAACTTCTACAGAAGTCTTCCTCAATCATTTTTGCTTAATAGCTTCACTGAGGCATAATTTATATATCATAAAATTTACCCATTGCAAGTGTATAATTCAATGATTTTAGTAGGTGTATAGAGTTATGCAATCACCACCACCGTCTGGTTTCAGAACATTTCCATCACTCCAAAAAGTCCCCTTGTGTCCATTTGCAGTCAATCCCCACTCCCAAATCAGCCCCAGGCAACCACTGATCTGCTTTCTGTCTCTAGACATTTGCTTTTTCTAAACATTTCAGGCAGTCATATGGTATTTTGTGGCTGGTTTCTCTCACTTACCACGTTCGTTAAGCTTCATTCATGTTGTCGCATGTATTCGTACTTTGTCAATTTTAATTGCCTAATTGTAATCCATTGTATGACAATACCACATTTTGTTTATCTGTTATTTGTTAACCAGTTGATGGCTATTTGGATTACTTCCAGTCTTTGATTATTATGAATAATGCTCCTATCAACATCCATACATATGTCATTTTTTTTTTTTTGACAGTTTCGCTCTGTCACTCAGGCTGGAGTACAGCAGTGTGATCATGGCTTACTATAATTTCCAACTCCTGGGCTCAAGTGATCCTCCCACCTCATCCTCTCAAGTAGCTGGGACTACAGGTGCATGCTATCATGCCTGGCCTTTTATTTTTTAAGTTTTTATAGAGATGAGGTCTCACCATGTTGCCCAGGCTGGTCTCAAACTCTTGGGCTCAAGCAATCATCCCACCTCAGCCTCCCAAAGTGCTGGGATTACAGGCATGAGCCACTGTGCCTGACCTATATGCCTTTGTATGAACACGTATTTTTATTTCTATTGGATGGATTCTTAGAAATGGAATTTCTGGTCACCCTCATTCATTTTACCACTGCGTAGAACTCTGTTGCATACTGTTTCACTTTTCCTTTAGGCTATTACAAATAGTGCTGCAATGGATAACTTATGCATATGTAATTTATTCCTTTTTTCAGAGTATCAGTTTGACAGATTCTTAGAAATGGGTTTGGTGGGTCAAATGGTAATCACATACACAGTTTAGCTAGATATTGCCAAATTCTCTCCATAGGGGTAACGTCATTCTGTATCTCCACCAGAAATCTATGAAAGTGGTTTTCCACAGTCTTGGCATCAGCATCTATCACGCAACTTTTATATTTTCATGAATAGGTAAGAAATGTCATCTCATGACTTTCTAATTAGAAATGCTTTCTTTTCTGATTTATACTTTTTTCACTCATTCATTCATCCATCCCATACCACCAAGAGGCAGCACCCCATAAGTTACTCTTATTGCTATTACTATTGTCATAAGTGCCAGGTTCAGTACCAGCTCTCAACAAGGCAGGACGCATTCCTGCCATGTTGGACCTTATGTTTCGGTAAGGAAAGACAAATAATACACTTGCTAAGTTAGAACGTGTTCACATGGTGGTAAGCACTATGATGAGAACTGAAAGAGGGTGATGGGGTAGATCAGTGGATGACATCCATTCATTTATTTACTGAGCCCGGGCTCTAGACAAAGGGTTAGGGTGCTCCTGGGTAAGACGTAGAAAGAGTCTTTGTTAAGATGACCAGAGAAAGTGTGTGGGTTCTGATAGGTCACACAGAGCAGAAGGCACAAGCTGGCACTCCTGTACTGGGTCCTGGGAACAGAGAGGAGCAGATGTGGTCTCTGTTCACGGTCCAGTGCGGGAGAAAGACATGGAATTAAGCCACACAGTAAGAAAAATGCCCTCATACTACAGTGAGAGCCTAGGAGAAGGCATTCCAGAGCTTTCCTCAGGTTGATGAGGGGTCAGGGAAGGATGCACAGGGCCTGGGAAGACGAGTCAGGGTAGCTGGCAGCCCCGCAGGGAGAGCAGCTCAGCCTGCCCCTGGGCACAGAGCACTGCCCTCCTGGTGGGACTGTGAAGTAGCGAGGGCCTCTTTGGAACAAGCCTCTTCTTGTCCTATTTTCTGTGTTTACACAGTTCCTGGGACCTGGTGGCTTGTGATCTTAGGCACTTTACTTCTCCTCTCCATAGGTGTATCATGGGCCCCCAAAGATGTCCACATCCTAATCCCTGAAACCTATGAAGATGTGACTTTACATGGCAAAAGGGACTTTGGAGATGTGGTTAAGGATCTTGAGCTGGAGAAATTATCTCGGGTTATTGGGGAATAGGACAGGGGCTGATGTAATTCACAGCATCCTTATAAGACAGCAGCAAGAGAGTCGGAGTTAGAGATGCAGAGGTCTGAGTGAGTAGCCAGGAGCCAAAGAATGTGGGTGGCCTGTGGGCGCTGGAAAAGGCCAGGAAAGGGCTTCTCCCATGGGGCCTCCAGAAGAATATGGCCCTGCTGTACTGTTGATTTTAGCCCAGTGAGGCCCATTGCTGACTTCTGACCTCTAGAATTCTAAGATAATAAATCTGTGTTGTTTTAAGCCACTAAATTTGTGATGATTTGTTATAGCAGTGTGTTAGTCTGTTCTTGCACTGCTATAAAGAAATACCTAACACTGGGTATTTTATAAAGAAAAGAGGCTTAATTCCCTCACAGTTCCACAGACTGAACAGGAAGCATGGCTGGGGAGGTCTCAGGAAACTTACAGTCATGGTGGAAGGCATAGTGGAAGCAGGAATGTCTTACATGGCTGGAAAGGAGGAAGAGAAGCGGGGAAGTGCCACACACTTTTAAACAACTAGATCTCCATCACAAGACAGCACTAGGGATATGTAAGCCATCAGAAACCACCCCCATGATACAATCACCTCCCACCAGGCCCCACCTCCAACGCTGGGGATTACAATTGAACATGAGATTTGGGTGGGGACACAGAGCCAAACCATATCAAGCAGCAATGGGTAATGAATACAATACTTTAGTTTCCTCATCCTTGAAATGGAAATAATAACAGCTCCCATTCCATAGGGTTTCTGTGAGGATTAAAAAGCAAATGCCTGTTGAAGAGCTTAGTAGGGTGCTCTGCTCCATCAAGGTGGATGCTGGTTGTTACTGCTCCTGCTCAACCCTAACAGAGGCCCCTGCTCTCGTCTTGTTGCCAACTAAAGTCCCAAGGCCTTCATCTTTCCCTCATCCCCCTCCTCATCCCTTAAATCTGGACAACATAGGTCACAAATAGCCTTCAGGTCAACTGAATCATTGAATTTTATATTTTGCTTATCCCTTGGGTAAAAATGTTCCTTTGTTGATTTGACACTCATTTCTCTGATTACTAATAGAATTAAGCATTTAGTTATACATTTATTGTCCATCTTTATTTCTTCTTTTGTGACTTGTCTACTTATGTCCTTTGTTTATTTTCCTACTAGAGTGTTCATCTTTTTTTAATTCAACCATTTGTCATATAAGTTGGGAATATTTCCCCCAGTACATCATCTGTCATTTCATTTTATTTATGGTGTCTTTAGTTGAAGATCTATCAATCATGTCTTTTATAGCATCTAACTTTTATTTTATGCTTTAAAAGTTCTTCCTGCTAGCAAGATTACAAAATTTTTTCTAATTTTTTTGGTAACACATTTATGATTTTATTTTACAGTGTAAACTTTAAACCATCTAGCATTTGGTGTCAGAAATGAAGAATTAATTCATTCCCCGAAGTGACTTATGCATGTCTTGAATATCCATTCTATCACCAATAGTTTATGATTACATATTCATCATGCATTGACTTTCTATATATACTTAGTTTTATTATTCATGAGTCTACTTCTTTGCCAGTAAGATATTACTTCTAATTATCTATGTAGCAAATTTCTAGTACAACAAAAATACTGGACCTCTTTCTTTTACATTATCTTCTTTTTCAATATTTTACGTATTTTTCTTAACAAAGCTTGGTGTCAAGTTTCAAAAAATTTATTTTTGAGATTTTGTAATTGTGTTAAATTTCTAGATTAATTCTTAGAGTATTGATGTGTTCATAGATTAAGGCTTTTAATCCAAGTACACAATGTGTTCTTTTATTTATTGAAGTCTTTTTAATGCACTTCAAATAGTGATTTGTGATTTGTTGTGGGATAGTAGAGTAATATTTGGTCTTTGTCCTTAGTTCCTGTCATAGAGCTTCTAAAATCTTTGGAATTTCCTGAATGATAAGGGTGATAGAAGCATCTTTTGTTCTAATGAGGTGACTCCTGGTGGGCTTCCAGATACCTTTAGGTTAGGGCTGATCTCCATAAAGAACTAGACTTGATTAGAAGCTTGGAACTTTCAATGCTCCTCCCCAACCTCCGAGGAGGAGAATAAGCAACTCCTCAATGGCTAATGATTTAATCAACATGCCTATGTCATGAAACCTCCATAAAAACTTCTAAACAATGTAGTTCGGAGAGCTTTGGGTTGGTGAATACATCAAAGTACTGAGAGGGTGGTGCACTCAGAGAGGTCAGGGAAGCTCCTCCCCAACCCCACCCACACCTTGCCCTGTGTAACTCTTCCAGAAATGGCACCTGTAACTTATGTGTTGTATAAGTCTGTTCTCACACTGCTAAAAAAGATATACCTGAAACTCGGTAATTTATAAAGACAAAGAGATTTAGTGGACTCACAGTTCCACATGGCTGGGGAGGCTTCACAATCATGGTGGAAGGTGAAGGAGGAGCAAAGGCACATCTTACATGGCGGCAGGCAAGAGAGCATGTGCAAGGGAACCGTTCTTTATAAAACCATCAGATCTCATGAGACTTATTCACTATCACAAGAACAGCATGGTAAAAACCCACCCGCATGATTCAATTAGCTCTCACTGCATCCCTCCCATGACACATAGGGATTATGGAAGCTACAATTCAAGATGAAATTTGGGTGGGGACATAGCCAAACCATATCACGTGTTTTTCCAAGTTTTGTGAGACATCCTAGCAAATTACTGAACCTGGAGTGGGGGCATAGGGAAGTGGGACTCCTTGACCTTGTAGCCAAGTCAGACAGAAGTGTGGGGACTCTGGGGACCTGATACTTGTGGCTGGCATCTGAAGTGAGAACGGTCTTGTGGGACTGAGCCTTTAAACCTGTGGAGTCTGGTACTAACTCTGGGTAGTTAGTGTCAGAACTGAATTCCATGTTAGACACCCAATTGGTGCTGGAACTGGTTGGTGTCAGGAGGGGAAAAAACCCACAAAAACCTGTCTATTCCTTTTAAAGTTTTTTTCTAACCATTGCTATTGTGAATAGGCTCCTTTTCTCATGCTAATTCTTACTGGTGGTGATATAGGAATTAAAAAGAAATTAGGAAGATAGTGAGGGTATGGGAGTCCTCGGTAAGGTTTTCCTTTTAATGAAAAGCAGCCCCCAAATCATTTTCTTTTTAAGAAAGAACAGCCTGTAAAATCAAGCTGCAGACATAGACAAGCAAGCTAGAAGCTTGCACAGGTGAATGCCCACAGTTGTGCCAATAGGAAGAAACTACCTGGGAATAGGCATGATGATCAAAATGGCGGCTCCATCTTCTCTTTTCCTTGCCAACCACGTGTACAGCAAGGAGCAGACAAGATGGCAGTTGACTAAGTAGAAAGTCCATTTGCATAATAAGATTGTGGGGGCGACCAGCCTTACCCACACACCATGTAAACGTCACACCTGGTCAAACCAATCTGTGGGCCCTATGTAAATCAGACACCGCCTTCTCAAGCCTGCCTATAAAATCTGCTGCAGTCTGCCGCTTTTCCCCCTTTCAGAAGTCTCTCTCTCTCTCGCACGAGATATAGCTGCTCTCCTCTCTCTTTTCTTTTGCCTATTAAACTTTCTGCTCTTTAACCCACTCCATGTGTGTGTTTCTGTGTCGTCTCGTTAATCTTCTCGGCATGAGATGACGAACTCCAGGTATTTACCCCAGACAATGATGCCACTTCAGTGGCATATGGAATAAGTACTCATTTTTGTGCATTTATTGTGTAAAATTATTGATATATCTTTTAGTTGCTTTTCCATGGAGTGTGTTGGGTTTTCAAGGTGGGTAATAACATTATCTGCAAATATTCATAATCTCTAACATTTTAATATTCATGTCTTTCCTTTTTCTTGCCTTGCTCATTCCATCTTAGTTTTCAGATCCAGATTACAGCATCTTGAAGGCAAGTAACTTCGGTGTCTTATGCATGCACTGTCATCTGTCAGGTCATGGGGACCACTGTAGGCAATGGTTCAGAAGCAGTGGGTCTTGTGTTTGGATCCCACGGGGAGGGCCACACCCAGGCTGGCCCAAGGCTACATCAGTCTCTATTACTGTTCAGTGAAGCCATATGTGAAGCCAGGAGACTGCTGTGTCAAATCTAAGAAACCCAAGTAAGGATGGAAACAGGAAAGTAAACAGCAAGGATGGAGACCAGAGGGCTTGTAAACAAGAAAGAATGGATGTGACCAGTGGGTAAACAGGTATACGTGAGGTGGGTAAGAACCTGATAATGTGAAAGGTGAGGGTTTCTCTCTTGTATGTGTGCCTGGCCACGCCTGGCTGAGACATCATGACTACACATGGGCCATTTTTGTGCCTGCCTTGACACTACTGTAAATGAAAGAAAGTGTGAGTAAAGGCCTTGGGAAATGAAGGTCAGTTATCAGTTAGGCAGTGTCCAGGGAGCAAAGCAGGAGGCAATGGGGACTGGCCATCAGGTCCTCTTCATTTAGTGTTCCAAGAGCTTCTTTAATTTTAGAGAGTTTGGCTTTGGTGCCTCCATGCTCGACCTGGTCCTGTGAACGTCCCCCGCCTTCACTAAATCTGTGAGAGAAGTTCTTGGGCCCTAGGCTCCTGCTGCAGAGATGGCTCTCCTAGTGCCCCAGCCTCAGCAGCACCCCCAACTGAGCCTGTTTCCAGAAAAAGGGCCTCATCCATCACACTGTTGTTGATCTTCTGTCTGACATGTTGCAGCATTTCCCAAAAGGGGTTTTCTAGAAACCCTGCATAGATTTGGTTTTTCTGTTATTTCAAAATAATCTGGGATATGACTTGTTAAGGTTAAAAAGTTAATTCCTGGACCCTACCCAGGATACACAGAATCAGAATATTTAGACACAGAAATGTACATTTTCAGTAAGCTATCCAGGTTATTCTTGTGGGCATTAAGTTTGCAAATCGCTTTTTTTTAAGGCAGTGGTTCTCAAAGTGTGGTCCCTGCATCAGCATCACCTGGGAACTTGTTAGAAATGGAAATTGTTAGGCCTCATCAACCTCCTGAGTTAACAACTCTGGGTTTGAGGCCCAGTATTCTGAGTTTTGAGAAGCCTCCAGGGGATTCCGACGCACATTCAAGTGTGAGAACCACTGGATTAAGGCAAGGGTTCTCAACCCAGTCTGCCCATGAGAATATTGTTAGAAAAAAAAAAAAAAGAAAAAAGAGAATATTGTTAGAAAAGTCCCTAGGACCTTTTAAAAATTGGCAATGCTCAAGAAATTCTGGTTTAATTGATCCAGTGGAGCCTAGGCATTTTTTTGCATATGTGTGTTTTATTTGTTTATGTATTTATTTTATGGACTCTAGTTTTTAGAGAAGTTTTAGGTTCACTGCAAAATTAAGCAGACGGTACAGAGATATCCTGTATACTCCCATCCTTACAAGTGTACAGCCTCCCCATTATCAATACCCCCTGCCCAGAGGGTAAATTTAAAATGATATTTTTAAAAATAAAGTGTATAAATGATAAAGCTGTAGTGACAAATCATTATCACCCAAGACCACAGTTTACATTAGAGTTCACTCTTGGTTTTGTGCATTCTGTGGGTTTAGACAAATGTAGAGTGACATGCATCTGCTGTTATTGTATCATATAGAGTGGTTTTCCGCCCTGAAAATCCTCTGTGCTATGTATGCCTAGTCATCCCTCCCTCCCCACTATTGCCTGAAACCACTGATCTTTTTGAGCCCGAGCGATGATTTTAATATGCAGCGGGAGATGAAAAGGATGGTTTAGGACAGTGGTTCTCAGGGAATGATTTTGTAGCCCAAGGGATGCTTGGCAAAATCTGGAGATGTTTTTAGTTATCACAATGGTTGGGGAAGAGGCGGTGGTGGCTGCTACAGGCATCTAGTGGGGAGAAGCCAAGGATGCTGCTAAACATACAGAATAGCCCCAACAACAAAGAGTTACCTACGTGGAGATGTCAGTAGTGCCAAAGTTGAGATACCCTTGCCCCGGGGAACAGTCATACTCAAGAATCTCAGCTTCTAGACTTAGTAAAACAAAGTATATATTTGCTGGTATCCTCTCATTCTCAGAAGCAAAAGACATTACATCTAGCTTAATCATCCCTGCCTACATGATAGCATATACAGATATGCTTACACAAAATAACATTTGCATTCATAAAAGGCATCCCCAATATACATGTAAACACACACATGCAGATGAGTGTACATGTTGCCCACACGTGCATACATGCTGATACTCATATTTACTAAACCACACATACATACACAGCCACACACCCCACCACAACTCACAATCATTAAAACATGCACATATACATACACATGCACACACTGTCTATCCCATTTATTAAATGACAAGCACCCCAGGGCCACCCAATGTTCTCCTGCCTTCTCTGGCCCCATTCTCCCTTCATCCTACCTGAATGACTGTCTTCAGAGGCCTGGATGTTGGGCTTGACACAGTGGAGGCTTCCCATGCCAAGGTCAAGGCTGCATGTCCATGGGGTGCTGACCAACCAAGCAGGGTGCAAGGGGGCTCTACTGGGCAAGGTGCTTGGGAGCTGCGTGAGAGAGCAGTGAGAAGGGACCTCAGGTCCAAGACATGCCAGGAACCTGGGAGGGATGAGGGCAGGGAGAGAAAAAGGAGCCAAACTGATGCTCAGCTAGCTCAGGGGAGGAGAGTGAGAAAGGGAGGACTAGGGAGAGGCTGGGGCTGTGCTGAGGCCCTCGACGGAGCACACTGTCATCTCTGTCTGTATCTGTTGTCTTCTCAGCTGTTAACGGTCCACTTGACGCTATTTTAGACACTTCCATGTACATCTTTAAAAACCGTACTGAAAAGAGTACTTGTTTTTGGAGACAGGTAGGTTAAGTTTGAATCGTGGATCTGCTACTTGCTGGCTGTGTAATCATGGGCAAATTTCCCAAGCTCTCTTATCTTTCGGTCTCTTATATGAGAATTGGGCATAGCAATACCTATTCTAAAAGATTTTGTAAGGATTAAGTAGGAGGAAATATATAAATTGCTGATAAATTACCAGGCATGGAATATGCCCCTAGCAGTACTAGATCCTTTCTCTTACCCTCTCTTTAGGTACTTTGCATGTATTAATGCATGTTTATTCCTAGAATAAAGCCTTTTTATGCTCTGTTGAATTGGAAAACACTTCCAGAAGCAGGATAACTGGGTCAAAGGATATGGTCACGTTGATGATCTTTCATATTTATTGTTAATTCGTTTTCAAATACTATTTCTGGATATTTTTTCCAATGGATGTCTCTCAAAACGTGACAAAACTTTATGTGTGAAGACATTATTTATAATTGCAGTGTTATTTATAAACAATTATACAATAGAAAGATACACTGATTTAACACTTTTAGGAATAAGGCAGCGTGGAGGCAAATAATTAATGGTCAAGCCACTTATGAGATCACCTCTTGATAGGTTATTAATCAGACATTCAAATAATAAGAACAACGACTAGGGGGTAAAATCGGAAATGCTATATGACCAAATGAAAAGAGAAAATTTGAAATAGATTCTCAACGCTTATTACAGGGCTATAATACACACACATTTGAATACAATTTTAGATAACACTTTAAAGTGAAGCTTGGCAAACTTTTCTGTAAAAGGGCAGAGAGTAAATATTTTAGGCTTTGCAGAGCAGATGGTCTTTGTTAACAACCAGTCAATTCTGCTGCTGTAGTGTGGAAGCAACCATAAAGAGTACATTAATGAATGTGTTTTAATAAAACTTTATTTACAAAAACAGGTTGCAGGCTGGATTTGGCCCTTGGGCCAGTTTGCCAATCCCTACTTTAAAGTGAAAGTATTATGAATAAATGAGAGTATTTTTCTTTCTAAGTTTCCTTTTGTAGCCTTGCTATGTGATCATCTTTTAAAAACTTAAGAAAAAGATGGGCATATAATATGACAATGGGCAAAAGTCCTGGCTTGATGATTCACAGTAGGAATACCAGAGTTCCATGAACATATGAAAAATTAAATATTCATCACTTTTCAAATACAAAATGAAAATTTTTTAAAACCGTAAAATATTTAGTACTTACAGAAGTGTAGCAATATAGGCACATTATTACAGTACCAGTTGGAAAGTAAATTAGCACCCCCGTCACTTGATTAGAAAATTGTTGATATGCCAAGACTTTTCCAATCATTCAAAGCCAATCACCCCAATTTCCTAGAACCTGTCGTTATATAATAATTGAGCTACAGAAAGAGTTCTGGATTTATTATGGCAAAAAATTCTAAACAACTTAAGTGTCCAACAAGAGGGAAATGGCTTGTGAATTATAACGAAATGACAGAATTATGATACCATATGATGGAATAATATATACCATTAAAATTATATTTTTAAGCAGGAATAGCCAGAAAACTTCTGAAAAAAATGAGGGCTGATTAATCCTACCAAATATTAAAATATAAAGTCAGAGTAATTAATGTAGAACATGTGTCTTGTTAGAAAAATGGAAAAGAATAGAAAGTTCAGCAATAAATCCCAAACCATGTGGTAATTTATTATGTCTTATAGGTAGCACTTCTCATCAGGGATAAAGATATATTTATTATTGAATAAACAGTGTTAGGACACCTGGGTAGCTATTTGAAAAGAAAAATGAATCCCTACCTCACACCTTTCTCCAAATTAATTCCTTATCAAAGATTTAAATGAAAAAATAAAACTATAACTTACTTTAAAAGATAGAGGAGTTAAACAATAAGCTCAGAGATTGGAAAGCCCTTTAAAGTATGATATAGAAGTCATAAACAATATGACTATAGGATAACATGCATTTTTAAGTTTTTCAATCTTACTATATCAGATAGAAAATTATCAAAAATGTGATTGCACCTCCTCCCCACAAGGAGGGTGTGAGAAAACATCATCTTATATATTGCCAAATTGAAATTTGCAATATCTAACTAAATAAAAATTCACATATTCTTGGACTCAACAAAAATTCACTTTTAAATACTTATTTTAGAAATGTAGTTGCACATTTAAATGAAATATAGACAAGGTCATTGTATATTTCAATATTGCTTATAATAGCAAAAGATTGGCAACAAAACTTGAAAGTCTATCAACAGGGCCTTGTTAAAATATTGTATATATTATACAATGAAAATCTAAAAATTATACAACTGTATAGATGTCAATGCTTTATCCTTATTGATACAGAAATACTGCAAAATATTTGACTAAGTGAAAAAAGCATGGTGGAAAATTGCGTGCATATTATGCTAAAAATTTTATGGGGGAGAAAAATAGGATGTATACCTATGAAATGTGTAGACTGTTTCTGGAAGGATATATGAGAAACTTGTAAGAGAGAATGCATCTGGGGAGGAGAAATGGGTGGTTGGATAGGGAAAGGGAAATAAGCTTAATTTTCATTATATACCCTTTCATACTTTTTGAATTTATAAGAAAAGCGTTACCTGTCTAAAAGTTAGATTTTTCAAATAATATTTAATGACATGCAGAAATATTTTTCTCAACTATATTTCCTACTTCTCCACTTGGATGACTAAGAGGCATCTAAAACTTAACCTGTCTAAAACTAAACTCCAGATACTTCCCCAAGAATCTGTTCCATCTGCCATTTTTCTCATATCAGTTAACGGCAACTCCGTTCTTGTAACTGTTCAGGCCAAAACACTTGGAGTTATCCTTAACTTCTGTCCTTCACCCAGTGCATCCAACTCTGGCCACACTGGCTTTCTTGTTATTCCTGGGAAATGCCAAGCACATTCTGGTCTTATTGCTTTGTACTGCCTGTGCTGTCCTGCCAAGAAGGCCCTTCCCCCGAATCTGCATGCTTCTCCCTCTTCTTGTCCAAGTCTCTGTCCATATTTCACCTTGCTGAGAACTAACCAGCCCTCTACCCAGCGCTTCTGACCCATTTTCACTTTACTTAAAAAAAATTACAGGGTATTCATTACCTTTTAGCATAATATCTAATTTCCTTCCTTTTATATTGTCTGTCTCTTTCCACTTAACCAAGCTTCATGAGGGCATTGATTTTTATTTTTTTTCCATTGTTGTTTTCCCAGTGAGAGTGTCTGGCACATAATAAGCCCACAATAAACGTTTTCTAAGTGAATTAATGAATGAATAAATGAAGGAATATAAAGTTTATAGACCACAACATAAAATAGCATCTACAGTATTAGTTTTGTAAAAAATGCACATAAAGTATTTATAGATTGTTTTTTATAAAACATGTTACATTATGAGCACTTGGTAATATTTTTTCCTTCCCTCACCCATGAAAGAATATTCTGTCATTAATTGCATGGCCTCTTCTCCTACAATTTCCAGGGGAAGGAATAGATCCCCAAGTTCAGACTCTTCCAAGCAAAATTGAGAAAATAGGTAGAAAGAAAAGATGAATTGCAAGGAGTGAAAGAAGTTAAAATAATTTAGTATTGGGAATGAGAACAGAGTCTCTTAGAGGAAGAAGAGAAGCTTGAAAAAAGGAAAGGAGGGGGGAAAAGAGAGAAACACCAAGGTGGCAGGATTTAGGATGGTTTTTGGTGGTAGTTGAGAGTGAAGTGTTATGAGCACTTTGGGGAAGCTGCAGGGAATGGGAGGTGGCAAGAGAATGAGAACGGGCAAAAAAAATCTGTAAGTGTTTCTATAGATTATAAATTGTATTCCCTTGGATTTTCTTTGAGAATCTCCAGTGAAGAGCTCAATTGCTTTTGATCACTTTTGGAGACAGATTTTTTTTTTTTCTAAACTGTTCCCGGACTGGACCACAGGGATTCCTGTCTTTTTTAGGGGAGAAATAAATATATAGCAATATTTAAAATGGTTTGTTCAGAGCAGTGGTTTTATGTGATATTTTAATTTTCTTCTATTTTTTTCCTATACTTTTCCCATTTTTTTCATTATGAATGTATTACTTTTAAAATAAAGGAGAACATGCTTTAACAGTTTTCATTCCCTTTAGTTGTTTAAGGAGCCTCTGCACAGCAGTCGGTAGGTAGGGGCCTGACTCATCCATGCGCAGCCAGCTGGGCCAGGAAGGTAAGCCGCAAGGTTGCAGTCACACCCAGCTCATGACCATGGCAAGGCTCCTTTCCCTTTCACCTCCACTCTCACTCAGGCTGGCTCTGTTCTGTGCCTGCTTCAACTCCCCAGTGCTCTCAATAGCTGGCTACCTTGTGTAGGGTCCCTCGCCCTAGCTCTGGCCCTTTGGTCTTGAAACAGCAGCTGGATCTACTCCCATCCCCTAATGGGGTTTGGTTAATAACTGTATCCATCTGATTCATGCACATGAAATCTTTGTTTTGTTTTTAATTTTAATTTTATAAAATTTCATCATGATACCTCAGCTGAGGCTACTCTTCCAGGCCTCAGGAGAGGTAGCTCTGGGCTGTCACCTCAGGTGACCGATTTTTGTGTTTACTCAGGACTGGGAGGGTTCTTGGGGAATGGTGCTTTTTGGTGCTAAAACTGTGAAAGTGCCCAGCAAATCGGGGTGAGTGGATCACTGCTGTCGCTCCAGGAGTTTTAGTCATCTGCTGAGTTCAGCCGCAAGAAGGACACTCTCCTCCCTCTGTTGCAAGGGTGCGCTTTCCACAACAGGTGAAAGACATGCCCGTTTCTTTCCTGGATCATGGCAGAAATCAGCCTAAAGTGCAGGAACTGTCTTCCACAGCTCTTGCTCTAAAGGGAGTGACAAGAATGCAGGGCAGGGACAAGGGTCCTTGGAGTACACTGGTACAGCTGACCCCATCCTGCCCATGCCGCCAGCAGAGACTCATAGCCCAAAGGAAGCATCCTGGAGGGGCTTCAGAGGGGCCTCTGTTCAGACACTGCCCCTGCTATAAGCTCACACAGCACTCCCACTGGGGCCTGCAAACAAGGCCTGTATCTACACAAACAGGGCCACTCTGTGCTCCCAGTTCTTGGAAATTTGCATATCCTGAACCTCCTTTGGGAGAAGAGAGGGTTTTTAGACAAGATTATTTTAAAAACACAAGGCTCTCACAGGACCCAAAAGCACAAGCTCACAGCTTCTAACTAGGTTAGCTAAACAAGGACGTTCCTTGGAGGGAACTGCGAGCATGGACTCTATTTTAGGCATTTTGGAGGAGCACTGGTGATGATGACTTATACTGGATAGAGTGGCTATTTAGGGACATTTATTTTTGCTGAAATATTTGCTGACTATTTTTATAAAGAAATTTAATTCTGAAAAGACAAAAGCAATTTCTGTAGGAGCCTTTAGCAGAGGGTGGGAAGAAGAGGGCAGTCATAATATTGTTGCGTTTATGTTGCAATGACACCTTCGATACAGTCTCTTTAGAGTGAAGAGATAAAGAGCCCAAGTGGAGATGGCAGCACACATTTGGCATAAAGAGAATATTGTCAGCTCTCTGCCTCTGCTGGTTTCCCATAGCTTTCATTTCCTCAACTGGAAGGGGTGATGGTAAAGAAGTTCCAAGGGGGTCATGCCCCATTCTGTTTGGGAGGAAAAGAGGCTTTTGGGAGCTGTGAATGCATTCAGATCTTGCAATCTGGTTTTCAGGCAGCTTGCCCAAGATGGTTTCCAGCCACCCAGACCATTGTCCCTGTACCACCTCTGGGTGTGGACACTTTCATCCTGCTCCTCTGGAAAAGTCGGCCTCAGCAGCTTCTAGCATTAGGGAGGAAATGCGGTACAGCCAAGATCTTTATTCCAGTCGCCACATGAAAGTCGTCTGGGGATCTTTTAACAACCATCCGTGCTTGGGCTCCACCCCATTCAATTAAACAGTTTCTGAGGGTGGGGCCCAGGTATGGATATTTTAAAAAATATCCTAAGTAATTCCAATGGGCAACCTGTATCAGAATCACTGCTTTGATATTCAGAGCCCTTCAAACTTTAATGTGCATATGAATTATCTGGAGATTATGTTATCCTGATTCCACAGGTCTGGGGTAGGACATAAGATTTTATGTTTCTGACAAGCTCACACTTTGAGTAGCAAGATGTAGAGTAGAGCATACTGACTAGTTGCTAGGAACCTGAGGGATCCTTTCATTGTCAATAACTGTAACTGCAATCTTAGGTAGGCCTATGGCTGCAGTTACTGCATCTATGCAAAATATAAATTGGGGCTGGGTGCAGTGGCCCACACCTATAATCCCAGCATTTTGAGTAGCTGAGGCAGGAAGGTCGCTTGAGGCCAGGAATTCGAGACTAGCCTGAGCAACAAAGTGATCCGTATCTCTAAAAAAAGAAAAAAAGGGAAAAAAAGGCCAGGTGTGGTGGGGTGTATGTGCAGTCCCAGCTACCCAGGAGGCTGAAGTGGGAGGATTGCTTGAGCCTGGGAGGGCGAGGCTGTAGTGAGATTTGATTGCACCACTGCACTCCAGCTTGTGCAACAGAGTGAGACCCTGTCTCAAATACATAAATAAATAAATAAATTGGACCCAGTCATTGCTAATGGCACTTCAAGCTTGGCCTTTCTGAGATTTGGGGGATTTTGGACAGCTGTATGTTGGACCTGGCTTGTAACAGCTTGTGAGAACTGATTGTTAAGTTTCCTGGAATTTTGCCTGCCTGTTGTAAAACACAGCCATTATTTACAGTTGATGCAAACTTACAACTAAATACATTTTATTAAAAACACAGTAATAAGTACTCAAAATTCACTCCTTCCACATCATTGAGTACATTTTACGATTGTATATGTTCTTGAAGCTCTTTAGGTGTGTTTTGTTCATATGGTGGAAATACTGTATAATGGTTTGCAACTCTTTCCAACTCTGCATTTACTAATATTCCATTGGTAGCTTGTAATCATCCATGACAGACGAATCTACGCTAGGGAATCAGCCTATCCTTAAGAAAGTAAGCAATGGAGAAAAATGTTAATAATGCAGATTAAGCTTAAAATTAATGCTAAAGCTGAAACAGGATTTAGTTAATGAGTATAATTTGCATGAGAGTGAGAAATAGTTTAACACCAGGTCATATATCGACTGTGATGACAGTAGATTTACTAGCAAAAGAGTTAGTGGATTGGGATGTAACTCCATTTGTCAAATTATGGTTGAATTGCTTCATAGGTTGACCAGAGATACAAGAGTTTGTCAACATTCAATGAAACCATTCCGTGATAATCAATTGATTATAGAGAATTTATGAAAAAGACAATTGCATATGTTCTTATTATTTATAAATAATGTACTATAATCCTTTATATTAGTAAAGTTTAAACTTAAATATATGGGTGTCTATATGTAGACACACAAACATAGATAGATAGATAGATAGATAGATAGATAGATAGATAGATAGTTGATAGATAGATAGACAGATACACATACACATATATGTATACACATATACATCCATTTTTCCCACCAGAGAACCAGTTGCATTTACCAGCATACCACTAGATGTGAACATTCCAATTTTCTAAAGTATCTTTTCAAATTGCTTCCCAGGTAACGATATGTTTGAACAGACAATTCAAGATACATTTTCAGAGGCAAAAATCCCTGCACATGGTAGTCTGTTCCCAAATTCACACTGTGGTGACTAGGGTTGATGCCAGAGCCTTTACATTGAGCCAGGTGATAGGTGACAGCACCAGGCTCCAGAGACTTGGGGGCCCAAATACAAAATGTCTTTCCAGAGGAAACTGCTCCTGAGTCTGGGATTGAGAAACATTGCCCAATCATTTGTAGAAATCAAAGGCAGAAAGACAGAGTTGATTTTAAATACCCTTCTGGAAAGAAATTCTACATATCTTCCCTTCCAGTGTTCTTGAAAATGGGCTGCACATCAGGCCTGAAGGTCTCTGATGTTATATCCTTCATCTGTCATCTAAGCTGTGGCGTCTGCAGTATTTGCACATCCATTCAACACACTCTCACTGAGTAGCTTCATAATGCCAAGGCTTTGGGGAGTTCTATTCATGAGTAACTTGCTACTCATGAGTAACCAGCAAGTAGCTGGTTAGGGAGATGCACAGATGAAAAGGAATTTTGGGTTCTGGCCACTCTGACCTGTTCTGTCTAAACCTAAAAAAAACATAATTTCCTTGTTGGCAAATTCTTACTCTCTGCTCACAATATTTATTATTGTTTGACATATGCTTCTATGAGAACTATCTTAAATCAATGTCATCACTTTACATAGGCTGATGCCCAAGGTATTGAGTGGTTTCAGGAAGTTCTCACTGCTTAGAAAACCATGTTCCATGATGCTACTCATGTTGGTTGCTTCAAAATGTAATGTTCATTGGGTAACTTACTCCCATTACTGGCTGAGTGAAACAGCATAGGTAATCCAACCAATCTTGCTAAATGTTTCCATCTTATAACATAGACTCAAAGAGATAAAAGGAGGCTAGTAGTTATTGTCAGAAAATATTTCTTGTACTCCTGGGGACCTCATCCAAATAAATAGACTAAGTACACATCATGGGGAGAGAGTCGTCTATGAATTGACTCAGATGATTGAGCTCAGAAGCCTTACTGTCAAGTGTTTGTAGATTGAGCCTTGGAGACTTGTGGTCAGGGAGACATAGGCTTTTCTGTGGAAATCTACAGTCTGTAGTCACCAATCACCTTGAGAAAGACTGAGGTTTTATGCCAGCCTGGAGCTGATAATTCTTTAAAACAATGTAAGATTTTTCACTGGAAATATAGACCTCAAATTGATCCTCAACAGTAAGAAGATTACTGAACAGTATCATGATGATTAGAAAGGAAAACACTATTAGATCAAAACTGTAATCTTTTACTTTAGGATAGTGACAGATGGTGTGTGTTATCAGATTTTTACTCCTGATATGAATCTTATATCTGTTTTGAGAACATCTGGCTTCATGCATAAAGTTGTCACATCACATATTAATCTTGCAGAACACCCTTAAAGGATCATGAACATCACCAGTAAATTCTAGGGGTGTCTTCCAGTCCAAGATGGCAATGTTAGAACATCTACGTAACCAATTTTCTCAGTAAAGTCAGAAATGGAGAATAGATTTGGACTATCATCTCCTTTATTTAATATAATTTCTGAAGTGCTAAGCAATGCTATTAGATAAGAAATGAAGTATGAAAATATACTCATTGTAAAGACAGGAAAAATAATTATTTGCGTATTACAAGATTGTATACCTAGAAAACAAAGGGGGCCAATTGAAACATTTAGGGAGCCCAGTAAATTGGCAAATTACAAAATGAGTATATAAAAATCAATAACTGTCTTATGTTTCAATTGTATTAAGTTAGAAAATAGAATAGAAGAAAAGTCATTTACATTTGGGAGAAAATTTAAAATATCACAGCAGAATCCATTTAGCAAGAAATATAAAGTTCTAATATGAAAAAAGATAACGTTATTAAGCAAGATGGCTTTATTAAGGGTGAACTGATATTTCATCAAATAAAAAATTCAACATAATCCCAGTAAAATCCCAATGTTGTCTTTTTATAACTTTACTTGATGATTCTAAAGTTAATCTGAAAGAATAAATCTGTGATAAAATTCAGATTGTTTGGAGAGGGAGTTTAAGGAGAAACTCTCCCACTACATATGAAGTGTATCATAAACTTATACTAATCAGAATGAGGTGACACAAATAGAGAGAAAAATAGATCAATAGAATAGGAAGGAATGTTCACAAATAAATTCCAGTTTTTCTGGCAATTTATTGTGTGATAAGAGTAACATTCAAAAACAGTAGGAAAATATTTTCCTAAAAAATTATATTGGGAAAAAATTGTATTGGGGAAATTACTTGTCTGTTGGAACACAACTGATCTCAGTGCATATGTAGTTAATTGCACAAAATAAATACCAGATGGAGCAAAATACTATCTGTAAAATATCAAATTATAAGAAAGTCAAAAGAAGGTTGGAATTTTCTCATAATCTTTAGGTTAAAAATTTCTAAAACTTATTTATGGCAAAAGACAAGATAATAAAACTAAAATACAAATAAAAACTGGGAAAATATTTTAAATATATATGACAGATTAAGGATAAAATGTAAAATATGGAGAAAGCTTTAAAAGTTAATAAGAGAAATAAAAATCGGAAAGGATATGGACAACCAATCCACACATATACATACACACACAATACAAACAATCTGTAAATAGATACAGATTTCATCAATATATTCATTTTTGAAGAAATGAAAGTAAAAATAAGATCCTTTTTCCCCCTTATCAGATTGTTAGGGATTAAAAAGCTTGATAACGTCCAGAATTGCTGAGGGTATATGAATATGTTTAGTACCATCTTTTGTTGGTGGAGTGTAAATTTTTATAACCATTCAGGAGGATGGGGTAAAAATATTTATTAAAATGTTAAATATTGTGGCCAGACACAGTGGCTCACGCCTGTAATCCCAGCACTTTGGGAGGCCAAGGCCAGTGGATCATTTGAGGTCAGGAGTTTGAGATCAGCCTGGCCAGCATGGTGAAATCCCATCTATTAAAATACAAAAATTAGCCAGGCGTGGTGGCGTGCACCTGTAATCCCAGCTACTCGGGAGGCTGAGGCAGGAGAATCACTTGAATCTGGGAGGCGGAGGTTGCAGTGAGCTGAGATCGTGCCACTGCACTTCAGCCTGGGTGACAGAGAGAGACTTCATCTCAAAAAAAAAAAAAGTTAAATATTGTTTCTATATTTACTTAGCCATTTCTTTTGTAGGTATTTACTCTAAGAGCATAGTTGGACAAATACAAGATATAATTCTTGTTTAAAATCGTGAAAAATTGGAAACAGCCAAAATGTACGTCTCTTGTGGATTGTTAAATAAACTATAATACATTTATACAATAGACTATAACTTAGCCATTAAAAACTATTATGTATACTATGTTCACTGGCAGGAAAAGGTTTTCAGTACACAGAATATTGTTAAAAGTATAGTATGACACCATTTTCACATAATTTTTAGGTACATTTATAAAATAGAAATTTCTGGAAAGATGATCCCCAAAATGACAATAGTAGTCAGCTCTGAATTATAGACTGTCAGGTGATTTTCCTTTATCTTTATATTTCTTTGACTTGTTTGAAATTTTTCTTATGATAGAGTACCATTTTGTTTTTTTTTTACAAAAAGTTATCTTTTGTTGGGGAAAAACAGCGGGGAGGGATGGATTTGGCAAAGCTGTACCTTGGGGATGATTTGAATCCTTAAAAGAATTCAACTGTATACAAGGAAGAGTAAAACTGAATTAAGTGTGTATTCAACTCAGAAAGCTAGGAAAGAAACAGCCAAGGAAGGAAAATGGGAATATGAAATTAATAGAGATAAAAGTAATACAAAATGAATTATAAATAGAAAAAGGATACCCAGGAATTGAACTCAGCTCTGCACCAAGCGGACCTAATAGATATCTACAGAACTCTCCACCCCAAATCAACAGAATATACATTTTTTTCAGCACCACACCACACCTATTCCAAAATTGACCACATAGTTGGAAGTAAAGCTCTCCTCAGCAAATGTAAAAGAACAGAAATTATAATAAACTGTCTCTCAGACCACAGTGCAATCAAACTAGAACTCAGGATTAAGAATCTCACTCAAAACCGCTCAACTACATGGAAACTGAACAACCTGCTCCTGAATGACTACTGGGTACATAACAAAATGAAGGCAGAAATAAATATGTTTTTTGAAACCCACGAGAACAAAGACACAACATACCAGAATCTCTGGGACGCATTCAAAGCAGTGTGTAGAGAGAAATTTATAGTACTAAATGCCCACAAGAGAAAGCAGGAAAGATCCAAAATTGACACCCTAACATCACAATTAAAAGAACTAGAAAAGCAAGAGCAAACACATTCAAAAGCTAGCAGAAGGCAAGAAATAACTAAAATCAGAGCAGAACTGAAGGAAATAGAGACACAAAAAACCCTTCAAAAAATTAATGAATCCAGGAGCTGGTTTTTTGAAAGGATCAACAAAATTGATAGACCGCTAGCAAGACTAATAACGAAAAAAAGAGAGAAGAATCAAATAGACGCAATAAAAAATGATAAAGGGGATATCACCACCGATCCCACAGAAATACAAACTACCATCAGAGAATACTACAAACACCTCTACGCAAATAAACTAGAAAATCTAGAAGAAATGGATAAATTCCTCGACACATACACTCTCCCAAGACTAAACCAGGAAGAAGTTGAATCTCTGAATAGACCAATAACAGGAGCTGAAATTGTGGCAATAATCAATAGCTTACCAACCAAAAAGAGTCCAGGACCAGATGGATTCACAGCCGAATTCTACCAGAGGTAAAAGGAGGAACCGGTACCATTCCTTCTGAAACTATTCCAATCAATAGAAAAAGAGGAAATCCTCCCTAACTCATTTTATGAGGCCAGCATCATTCTGATACCAAAGCCAGGCAGAGACACAACAAAAAAAGAGAATTTTAGACCAATATCCTTGATGAACATTGATGCAAAAATCCTCAATAAAATACTGGCAAAACGAATCCAGCAGCACATCAAAAAGCTTATCCACCATGATCAAGTGGGCTTCATCCCTGGGATGCAAGGCTGGTTCAATATACGCAAATCAATAAATGTAATCCAGCATATAAACAGAGCCAAAGACAAAAACCACATGATTATCTCAATAGATGCAGAAAAAGCCTTTGACAAAATTCAACAACCCTTCATGCTAAAAACTCTCAATAAATTAGGTATTGATGGGACGTATTTCAAAATAATAAGAGCTATCTATGACAAACCCACAGCCAATATCATACTGAATGGGCACAAACTGGAAGCATTCCCTTTGAAAACGGGCACAAGACAGGGATGCCCTCTCTCACCACTCCTATTCAACATAGTGTTGGAAGTTCTGGCCAGGGCAATTAGGCAGGAGAAGGAAATAAAGGGTATTCAATTAGGAAAAGAGGAAGTCAAATTGTCCCTGTTTGCAGATGACATGATTGTATATCTAGAAAACCCCATTGTCTCAGCCCAAAATCTCCTTAAGCTGATAAGCAACTTCAGCAAAGTCTCAGGATACAAAATCAATGTACAAAAATCACAAGCATTCTTATACACCAACCACAGACAAACAGAGAGCCAAATCATGAGTGAACTCCCATTCACAATTGCTTCAAAGAGAATAAAATACCTAGGAATCCAACTTGCAAGGGATGTGAAGGACCTCTTCAAGGAGAACTACAAACCACTGCTCAAGGAAATAAAAGAGGATACAAACAAATGGAAGAACACTCCATGCTCATGGGTAGGAATAATCAATATCATGAAAATGGCCATACTGCCCAAGGTAATTTACAGATTCAATGCCATCCCCATCAAACTACCAATGACTTTCTTCACAGAACTGGAAAAAACTACTTTAAAGTTCATATGGAACCAAAAAAGAGCCCGCATTGCCAAGTCAATCCTAAGCCAAAAGAACAAAGCTGGAGGCATCACACTACCTGACTTCAAACTATACTACAAGGCTACAGTAACCAAAACAGCATGGTACTGGTACCAAAACAGAGATATAGATCAAAGGAACAGAACAGAGCCCTCAGAAATAATGCCGCATATCTACAACTATCTGATCTTTGACAAACCTGAGAAAAACAAGCAATAGGGAAAGGATTCCCTATTTAATAAATGGTGCTGGGAAAACTGGCTAGCCATATGTAGAAAGCTGAAACTGGATCCCTTCCTTACACCTTATACAAAAATCAATTCAAGATGGATTAAAGACTTAAACGTTAGACCTAAAACCATAAAAACCCTAGAAGAAAACCTAGGCATTACCATTCAGGACATAGGCATGGGCAAGGACTTCATGTCTAAAACACCAAAAGCAATGGCAACAAAAGACAAAATTGACAAATGGGATCTAATTAAACTAAAGAGCTTCTGCACAGCAAAAGAAACTACCATCAGAGTGAACAGGCAACCTACAAAATGGGAGAAAATTTTCGCAACCTACTCATCTGACAAAGGGCTAATATCCAGAATCTACAATGAACTCAAACAAATTTACAAGAAAAAAACAACCCCATCAAAAAGTGGGCAAAGGACATGAACAGACACTTCTCAAAAGAAGACATTTATGCAGCCAAAAGACACATGAAAAAATGCTCATCATCACAGGCCATCAGAGAAAGGCAAATCAAAACCACAATGAGATACCATCTCACACCAGTTAGAATGGCAATCATTAAAAAGTCAGGAAACAACAGGTGCTGGAGAGGATGTGGAGAAATAGGAACACTTTTACACTGTTGGTGGGACTGTAAACTAGTTCCACCATTGTGGAAGTCAGTGTGGCGATTCCTCAGGGATCTAGAACTGGAAATACCATTTGACCCAGCCATCCCATTACTGGGTATATACCCAAAGGACTATGAATCATGCTGCTATAAAGACACATGCACACGTATGTTTATTGCGGCATTATTCACAATAGCAAAGACTTCGAACCAACCCAAATGTCCAACAATGATAGACTGGATTAAGAAAATGTGGCACATATACACCATGGAATACTATGCAGCCATAAAAAATGATGAGTTCATGTCCTTTGTAGGGACATGGATGAAATTGGAAATCATCATTCTCAGTAAACTATCTCAAGAACAAAAAACCAAACACCGCATATTCTCACTCATAGGTGGGAATTGAACAATGAGGTCACATGGACACAGGAAGGGGAACATCACACTCTGGGGACTGTTGTGGGGTGGGGGGAGGGGGGAGGGATAGCATTGGGAGATATACCTAATGCTAGATGACGAGTTAGTGGGTGCAGCGCACCAGCATGGCACATGTATACATATGTAACTAACCGGCACAATGTGCACATGTACCCTAAAACTTAAAGTATAATAAAAAAAAAAGAAAAATATTATAATTATCAAGCATGAAAGGTCTGTCTTGGAAAGAAAATAACAAAATAGATAAGCCCTGACCAAGTCTTATTAAGAGAAAAGAGACCCCAAATAGCCAACATTAGGAATAGCAAAATGAGGACATAATCACAGACAAGAAGACTTTCCAATTTGCCTCTCAAATTAGCAAATATTTTAAAACATAGTATTACCGTAGTGCTCATGAGAGTGTATCATGGTACATTTCAGAGAGCAATTTGACCATTCTTAACCAAAGCCTAAACATTTTGTTACCTGTTTTGGAAATCTAGCCAAAGGAAATAATTATAAGATAGATAGATAGATAGATAGATAGATAGATAGATAGATAGATAGACAGATAGATAGATAGACAGATAGATAGATATAGATAGGGGAGCAGGGGAGGAGAGAAAAAGAGAGAGAGAGATAGTGGGTGAGAGGGAGGGAATTTGCATGAATTATAGATGAGTAATAGTGATTATCATCTCTCTGGATAGGGAAATTATGAACATTATTATTTACTTTACATTTTATAATAAACTATTAATCACAAATACAAGCAGAAAAATAAGTAGAAGATAAGAATAGGCAATTTACAGAAAGAGAGCCAGTAAACATTTTAAAAATTGAATCTGACTAGTAATAAATAAAACAATGACCTGATACTTTTATTTTTATCTATCAAATTGCCAACTTTCTTTAATGATTAGATCAAGTGTGGCTGAGGATGCATTTCCAAATATGATAAAAAATTAATGAAAATTGGTACAATCTTTCTGGAGAGTAATTTTTCAATCTATATCAAAAGTATTAAGACTTTGTGTCTAAAACTTCAAATGTTTTGCTCTAAGGAAATAACTCAGAATTTTGAAAAAGATTAACTGAGATTTATTCATTGCCATGTTATTTAAAATAGAAACTATGTGAAACCCTAACATTAAACAGATAATTTGTTAAAGAAATTATGATTCATGCATACACTAAAATATAATGTAGCCATTAACAATAAAGTAGAAGCGACTGGGCTCAGTGGCCCAAGCCAGTAATCCTAGCACTTTGGGAGGCTGACGGGGGGGGCGGATCACCTGAAGTCAGGAGTTCAAGACCAGCCATGCCAAAATGGTGAAACCCCGTCTCTACTAAAAATACAACAATTTGATGTGCGTGGTGGCACGTGCCTGCAGTCCCAGCTGCTCAGGAGGCTGAGGCAGGAGAATCACTTGAACTCGGGAGAGAGAGATTGCAGTGAGCTGAGATCGCACCATTGCACTCCAGCCTGGGTGACAGAGCGAGACTCCATCTCAAACAAACAATCAAACAAACAAAAAACAATAAAGTAGAAGAATAGCACGTAATGACTGGAAAGATAGTAGAGTAAAAAATTATAATCTAAATTGATAGCTTTATAGCTTATTTTTAAGGAAGAAAAGGGAGATACAAATGAATAAAATGAATATAATGTGCTGCATTATTTAATTCTATTTGAGTAAATTAATGTTTATTGTATGTTATATATGTATATATATATAGTCTCTTTTTCTTGCTCATCAGTGTTTTCCAAATTTTTCATAAAAAGCACTGTGATGGTCACATTATCCATTTCCCATTTGTTGTCTTTCTGACAGAACTCTGTTTTATCTGAGATGGCATTAGACCAGACCAAAGATAGGAATCATTTCTTGGTCTCAGTCAATCATAACAAGCTTGCTCTCCATTTTCCCAACATCTCTTGCATCTGACCCCTCCCTTCCTTCCTTCCTCCCTTCCTTCCTTCCTTCCTTTCTTTCTTTCCTTCTTTCTTTCTTTCCTTCTTTCTTTCTTTCTTTTTCTTTCTTTCTTTCTTTCTTTTCTTTTCTTTTTCTTTTTTTTTTACCTTAAACTATTAAGGGTTAATGACCCATTTCTAATCAAAAGATTCAAGAAGAAGTCAACTGGGAGATGTACTGCTGGGAAAGTTTTGCTCTTCTGATAAAAGGGACTGCTGTGACTGTGTCCGCCCCTTCCATTCTTCCTATCTGGAAAGTGGATGCTACACTTGGAGCTATCAGCAGCCTTCTAGCAATCTCAAGGGGAAAGGCCATGAGCAGCACTGCTGGCCTTAAAGTTCTAAGCCTCTGAACCATCATCTCCAACTGCCTACCTTCAGACTTTTAGTTATGCAGAGAAAACAAGCCCTCTAGAGATCTGTTACATAACATTGTGTCTGTAGTTAACAATACTGTATTGTACACTTAATTTGTTAAGAGGGTAGATCTCAGGGTCAGTGTTTTTACTACAATTAAAAAAAGAAAAGAAAAGAAACACCTCTTTGTTTAAGATGTGGCTTTATGTTATTTGCATCAATTGTGAGCCAGTTTAAATGTGCAATACAAATATTTGGAACTAATTTTTAAAATTAAAAAGTGGAATAGAAGGATGGTAAAAAGAAGTCCATATTTTATGTGTGTTTTCTAGAACATACCTGTAATACATTGTGATAAAAATCTAGTAAAAGTTATGTTAAAATTTACAATATTCTGGCACACATCTAATCACACAATGCTGGTCTCAAGAGACCAGGCAGGCCTTGTATTGAATTTGCCATGTGATTCTAGGGACACACCTCCTCCTCCTGGAACTTAACCTCCCAATCTCTGTGAATTCAGTGAATCAGATGACTCTTGCTGACAGCTCTAAGGAGCTCAGTGCTCACCTCTGAATCTGACTTTCTCTTCCCTATGGATAATGACTGACTGGTAATATACTCTGGAGAGGGAAACTGCTCAAGAGGTCAATAAAGACTTTACTTTCACTGACTTAAAACAGAGTGCACAGGGAACCATGGCACCTGGGATCACATCATCATTTTCTTGTAGGTGGTAAAATAACATTTGATGTGATTCTCTTCTGATCCAACTGCCTGTGTAAGAGTGGGTCAACCCTCCCCCAAATCTCTCAACCACAGCCCAAATTCCATCACACATTCTTTCTAGCACCCTCTTAAGTGAGACACCCCACGATTACCCATGGTATGTGTCCTCCCTCACTGCAACAAGTGATACAGCCAATTTGTTCAACTATACTTGAGTCCCTGGTGGTCTTAAGCTGGAGGGCATTGATAGTAGTAGATATTCAAAGCTTTTATTACTATTATTAGCAATTTTTTTAAAAAAAAAGTACTATTGCTGTTGTTGTTTTTAATCAAGTAGGCCTAGCATGTAAGGTGCATCTCTGAGGAAGTAGCTGAGATATCCATAAGAAAGCAGACTTGGAATAGGTTGCAAAAGTCCTTTTGCTTCATGGAACAGTGTGAGTTGATTCACTTACACACATACATACACACACATCTCCAAAGAGATGCTGACAAGTCTTTAGAATGCTCCTTTGCAAAGGCAGAGAACGTGCCTGTCTTATTCTAAATCTACAGCACTCCAAAAGAAGGCAGATCAGGTCACATAGCACAGACTCAATAGTAGATTTTGGCTGAAAACCAAAATGAATTCAAGCCTCCTAGGAGACCTTAACAGTTTAATTTAAATACTGATAGATCAGGCAGATAAGCGTAGTTAACACATACAGGGTGCTTACTCCCTATCAGACACTGTGCTAAACATTTTACATATTTTACCTTAGCTGCCTCTCATCCCAGTTGTAGAAAGTAGATACTAATATTAACCCAATTTTATGGACACAAAGGCATTTGGTGTCTCATCGGAGACACAAAGGCATTTGGTGTCTCATCAGAGACTATGCAGCTGGTGAGTGCTGGAATTGGGATTTAAATACAGGCAGTCTGACCCCTGAGTCTGTGCTCTTAATCAATACACTATACTGCCTGTAGTCCAAAGTAAAGATGTAAAGGTTGCTGATATGGTTTAGCTGTGGTCCCACCCAAATCTCATGAATTGTAGCTCCCATAACCCCCACATGTCAAGGGCAGAGCCAGGTGGAGATAATTGAATCACAAAGGCGGTTTCCCCCATACTGTTCTCATGGTAGTGAATAAGTCTCATGAGATCTGACAGTTTTGTAAACGGGAGTTCCCCTGCACAAGCTCTCTTGCCTGCCACCATGTAAGATGTGACTTTCCTTCTCCTTTGACTTCCATCATTATTGTGAGGCCTCCCCAGCCATGTGGAACTGTGAATCCATTAAACTTCTTTCCTCTATGAATTACCCAGTCTCACGTATGTCTTTATTAGCAGTGTGAGAGAGGACTAATACAGGTACTAATGTACAATTAACTTTACAGGTGTACTTGTATTGTTTGTGCCCCAAAACACAGAATGTACATTTTTTTTCTACATTAAGTGTGAGGGAAAATGCTTGTGGAGTATTTTTTATTTGTCATATAAATAGACCACAACACGGAAATGATGTAAATCATATAATTCAACTACAGCAAAATAATATTAATGAAAAATAGTGGGGGAGAACACAACATCAGGAATAAAAAGGGGATATAGGAATAGATTTAAAGGAGATGAAAAATTATAAAGGAGCATAATATGTAACATTATGCCAATACATTAAAAAAGGTAGATGAAATGAACTTTTTTCCAGGTAAATATAAATTACCCAAAATTGACTCAAGATGGGTCAGATGATGAATATGCCAACAAGCATCAATGAATTTGAAAAGATAATCAAAGATCTATCCTTCTAAAATCCATCAAGTCCAGACAGTTTCATGGGTATGTTCTATTAAACCCTCAATGAACTGATAGTTAACTTGATAATTTAAATATTCCAGAGTGTAGGAAAAAACAGAATGCGTCCAAAATCATTCTATAAGGTTACCATAACCTTGCACCAAAGTTGAATGAGAACCCTCATCCCCTAAAAAGGAAAAAGAACACAATTTTTACTTATTAATATAGACGGAATAAACCTTATATTAACATAAGTAAATTATTGCAATCTAGCAGTGTATTTGTATAAAATAACATACATTAACCAAGTAGAGTTTGTTTTGAGAAATATAAAGTGTTATAAAGGTGGCATTCACATCAGTGAGCGAAGAATGGACTTTTTGAATTGGTGTTGGGACAATTGGGTTCTCATCTTTGTCAGTTCCTTACCTTACCCTGTGCACAAATACAGTTTCCAGATGAAATGGTAATCTAAACAACAGAGCTATACATTACTAGAACATTTAGGGAACTGTATGGTGATTCTGGGGTACGAAGCCTCCCTAGGCAAGATGGGAAATCTAGAAACCATGCAAGATAAGACATGTGTTTGACTACATAAACCTTGAAACTGCTTTAGAGAGAAAAACTCCACAAACAGTAGGCAGTCATTATAAATATTGGGTACTAGGAGGGTACATTTCTCTAAGTGATACTATAGACACACTAAGTGATAAAGGCAACTTATGGAATAATATTTTTGCCCTTAAAAGATAAAATTGATAATCCTCCAGCAAGCTTGATTTAAAAAATTGGGAATGGAGCAGTAGAAAACACAAATAAATAATATCAGCAATAAGGAGGCCCAGAACAGTTTTAGAGATGAAAATAAATATAAGGTGACACTATTTGTAACTTTGTGCCAGAAAATTTGAAAATGTAAATGAGATGGACAATATCCTAGGAAAATATAAATTACTAAAAATGACTGAAGAAGTAGGGATTTAAAAAACATAGGGCAAATAGAACCCCTGTGTGCATATACATGTATCTAGACGAAAATGCTGGTTACCTCTGGGGAACTGATTAGTGGGGGAAGGACACTGCAGGGTAGGGGAGGAGGGGGCACTCACTTTCTATTTTTTTTGGAAAGCATTTTAGTTTTTTTTTTTTTTGTAGAGACTTTTTTTTTTTTTTTTTTTTTTTTTTTTTTTTGGTAAGTCTCACTATGTTGCCTAGGCTGGTTTTGAACTCCTGGCCTCAAGCGGTCCTCCTACCTTGGCCTCCCAAAGCGCTAGGATTACAAGCATGAGCCACTTACTTCCTAAATACAATGCCTTATGCTTTCAATCATATGCAGCAACTATTAACTACTTTGTAAAAAGGAAACGAAGATTGTCCGCGAACGACTCCACAGGAGGCCCTGGGAATAGGTAGCGGGTGGGCTAAAACATTGATTTGGAATGAAATCCAACGGCCGTGGAACCAGCCCTGATCATCAAATTATTCCCAGTTTTGAGGATCGCACTGCACCCTCCTCTCTCCCTCTCTTTCCTACACCTTGGACAGACAGCCTGAGATTCCAGGGCGTGTGTGAAGGAAAGCCGAGGAGGGCAGGGCCGCAGAGAGAACAAAGGGGACACGAGTTCAAATTCCTGCCAGGGTCTGAGACCTGCAACGTCAGACTTTGGGAGCGTCCCCTCACTTCTCCGGACCCCAGGAGTGGCCGCGCCTGCTCCGCGCTCACCCTCGGGGAGTCTAGGAGCCCCCTGCTAAGTTGCTGAGCGAGTCGGAGCCCCAAGAGCTAGGGTCGAGGGGGTGGGGCAGCAGGCGCCTCTGCCGAGGCTGCAGGTAGGCACTTCCCCACCCCCGCGGCCCCCTCCTTCCTCCTTCCTCGCAGCTCGCACACCCACACAACCCTCGCCCGTCGCGGCTGGAGAGCTGCTCTCGGCGCCAGCGGGCAGCAGCGCGTCGTCAGCCAGCACAGCCGGCCGAAGACCAAGCCGGAGGTCTGGGGCTGCGCAGAGACCTGCACACCCGCAGCGCGGAACCGGGGGCGATTCCTATCTTTCTTTCATGCTTCTTTCTTTTTCTTAAAACCAAACCAAACCAAACCAAACCCAAAACTCCCCTGCTCCCACCGCAACTTGGAGGAGCGGTGGACCGATTTGAAGGAACTGACGCAGAGGTTTTATTCACGAACCTTGAAGAAGTTCTGGGCAAGTGACTCAACAGGACCCGCGGGGCCCGGGGTAGCCCCAGCTCCCGGCGCTGGTTCAGTCTGGCAGTGCCCTCTGGCAGCCAACCCGCAGCTGCAGGTAGGGGTGCTGGACGCCCCCTGATTTTGTTTTGGGAATAATAATGACACTACCTATAGCCTGGACCCAGGTGGCCTCGCTCGGCGATTGTCCCCACCAGGTAAGCGCACCCCCAGGGGTCTGCATTGGTCACCCGGGTGGGGACCTCGAGCTCCCGAGAAGTCGGTCCATGCTGTTTAGCCACAGGCAGGAGTGGGGAACTGGTAGGAGACAGCTTGCTTTTATCACAGGAAATTGTGGGAGACGGGAATGGAAGGCGGATTTAACATTTTTTATTTTTGCATTGACGCGTGGGGATGAGATGCGTAGGGGCCTGGATTCTTGTAGGAAATGGTTGCGGAGCGGGGCTGGGTGATAGGTGTCTGGATTTTTGCAGGGACTGAAGGGGAAGAAAGGTCGTCAGTTTTTGCAGAAACCTGTGAGGAACTGGCGGTGAGAGGTTATGATCCTGAAAATGTGCACGAAATTGTAAAAAGTAGGCACCTAAGCATTTCTGAGAAATGATGGGAGAAGCACTTACCGCCCTGGTTTCACCTGACCCCCATGCTCGGCCTTCTGGAAGATGCCCACAGACACTGGCAATAATGGACGCTGGCACACTCTGCCGGCGCGGCCGGAGCCCCGGAGTTCAGCACCTCGGACAGAGCCCGAGCCCCGCCGCCCGAGGCGCACAGTGAGCGTGGAACAGCCCGGCTCCCTAGCCCCCGGCCAACGCTGCTCTCAGTTCAGGGCAGCTACGTAACACCGCCCCTAGCTCCGCGCCAGAAAGGGCTCTCGAATCGCAAAAGCAAACGTGTTCGATTTCTGATCTGCTTCTAACTGCTTCCCGTGACTGCAGAAGGAAGAGGCGGAGTGTAAAGATATCTCCCAAGCTTCCGCGAAAACTACAGGCAAACTGTGTGGCCTCCCCGGATTTCGGAAGGTGTACCCAAACTTCTTTAAAAATCTAGCATTTATTAAGCGCTTACCATGTGCCAAGGCCCCGTGCTAAGCCAGTGCACCACAAATTTGTGTCCTATGAGTATCCCCATTTTACAGATGAGAAAACTGAAGCAAGAGAGGCCGAGTAACTTGTCCAGGTTTATGGAACTAGCAAATGGTATGGCTGCGCTCTTAAACGCTGCCAGATTGCAGTGGTGGGAGGATGTGCTTGAGTGGAATTCCCTGCGTGAAATAGCTCTGAACTTGGGATCAGAGGAACAGAGTTTAAATCAAAGCTGTAGCACTTAAAAACGTGTGCCCTTAGACAAAATTACTAAATGTGTCTGAACTTCAGATTTTAACTATCTGTAAATACTTGATAATGCTTTCCTTGCAAAAGTGTCAGGGGAGGGTGGCCAAGGAGATCATATGTGTGGAAAGACTGGCAAACTGGGAATTGTGGTTGGGTGTTAGGGGCTGAAAGGAAGGAGCAGGTAATTAGAAGAGAAGGAGAATTGGTGGTGAACACTTCCCTCAGCACACTCCAAAGGGACTGGGCACAGAGCGGGGCTCAGTGGGAGGAATTCTGGATGAGCTTAGTTCAGTGTGTAATAGCCTCTTAGATTTTTTAACAGGACTTTATAGAGAGTGTGGACATATTGCCTACCATTTGATCCTTATAACAATGTTGTTAAGTAGGCAGGACTGGGGTTATTCTACTTGTTTGGCAAAATGATGCTTGCCCAAAATTACTCAGGTACTTAGTAGCAGAGCTGGGATTAGAATCCAGATCTCCCGCCTCTCTAGCTTATAATCCTTCCACATGGACTGGCACATCCTCAGGAGCTTGAATTATGGGGCAGTTAAGCACTAAAGTGTATTTAGACAAGTACTATAAATATGTGACATTAATGGTTTTTAAAACCATTTTGAAACAGCAGTTTCATATGGATTAATCTCATAAATGTTTATTGATTATATTCTATTTTGTTCCACAAAGAATTTAAAGCAATTTAGAAGGCTCCACAAGATGTCAGGTTTGCACGTATTCGAAGTAGTCGAGAAAACAGAGGTGAAACAAGATTAAGGCTATAGCCACAGATAAAATGAATACAAAGTATGTATATTATAAAGTCCTAGAAACTTGCTCTGGTCTCTAAGTACTAGAAAGTGTATAACCAAGCACTTTCTTGGAGGTCTAGGAACTTTGAAAATGTTTGCAAAAGTCCGTAGACTCTTCTCTTTTGTATAATTCCATCCCTTGCCCTCTGTGAGATCTTCACTGTGCCAAACAAGGGATGTTTAACTGGAAATCCAATGTCAGTGTGACTTGAAGAAGGGGAAATAAAGTGTATGACATTGTATCTGCACTCAGGTAATTAAGTGTTAGTTACATAATTTATAATGGTTCACATGAGCAAACCATACTTTAAAGTTTATATAAAGGTTTACATCCGTTAGCTTATTTAGGCCTTCTAACAACTCTGAAGAGATAAGCAGCTACAAAATGACAGGAAGGACAAAATCCTAGCATCGCGATTTTATATATTATGTATTTTACTTTCATACACAAACCCGCATCCCTATACAGGCCAGTTAAGTAACCTGAATGTGTGAATCGGGCCAATTGTAAGACTACGGAGAATGACAGGGCCTTTTCAAACTGAAGAGTGAATAATCCATCTTAAAACATTCAAAGAAAATTTAAAGCACAGTGCCAGCCAAGCAAGACATGACTGTGGGCTACATCGGCTGTCAGACCTTTAATATGTAATCTTGGTCTAAACTACTCAGGCCAAGGATCTGAGAAGGCATGGGAGTGAAAGACCCTGGATTCAGAGAGAGAAAAGTTTCAATTCCTGTATTTAAGTTTCCTGTTTCTAAACATGGAAGATTGAACAAGATGGCTCCTCTCAGCTTAAAAAATATAAGACATCTTTACTTTTGGGGACAATAAAATAATCAAAGGACATCAGGACAATAATAGCAAACACTTGCATCTACTTATTGCCTCCATGAAAGAAGGCATCATTTTAATTTTCTGACACTGGTGATATTTTAATCTTCAGTATTTCCTCTCCAGCCCCTGTGCCATTGGAAGATATAGTGGCCACCATTATAGTGGAAATGAGTCCAACAGAAAACAGACCAGAGAGGTGAAAGTGATGGTGGGGGTGGAGTGGGGGTGGGGGGTTGGCGGGTAGAGACAGGGAGTACAGCAAGGGAGGAACCAGGCAAACTTTGCTCTCTTCTCAGTTTACTCTTCTTATGAAACACATGAAAAAAACCCACTTTATGGTTGCTAATTTTTAAAGACAAAAATATTCTGGCCAGAGCAGCCAAAGTGGATGGGATCTCAACATTCTAGGAATGCTTCAGCTTTTTTCAATCCAGATTGTTTCTTTTCTCTCCAACGAGCTTAGAGATCTTGTAAATCATTTAATATTTCCAGTATTAGGTGTTCTTAATATTTATTCACTGTGATGCACAATAGGAGATAAATTTTCAAATGAAGGTAAATTAGATTTTGGTTGACACTTTCATCAAATGGACCACTATTCAGTTCTAACTTTCAAACATCTCTCCAGCTTGAGTCTTTCTCTATCTCCCTGCTGTGCTGTTTCTGATCCTCTTCATCTCTCAGGGGCTCCGAGATGACCCCCAAGCCTCCCAATCCATCTCCCACACTGTGGCCAATGATCATGTCACTCTCTTCCTTAAAATTCTTTACTGGTTCCCTATGTCCACACAGCAAACATCAAACTTCAGGACAAGGCTACAAGGAACTTTGAATCTGATCTCTGTAGACCTCCCCTTATTTGCTTGCTCCGTCAGTGCACTTCCCACCACCACCATGCACTAACCATCAAGTTCTTGAAATGTCCATGTTCTGCTACCTTTTGCCTTTGAACTTGTACTTACTCCTAAGTGTAATGACTTCCTCCTTTTGGTTCAACAACTTTCCACTCATGTTTTTCAAGTACTAGCTCAATTTTATTCTCTTTGTGAGCCCTTTCCTAATCTGCACCCCGAGTCCCTCCTGGCACTCATGTCTCCTTGTTTTATATTTGTCTTCCATTCTGGGACTTATTAATTACTTTGCACTACAGTTATGTCATGTAGAGGCTAAGAATGTGGACTTTGGGGTCAGACTGCCTGGATCTGAATTCCAGCTCCACAGCATATTGCCTGGGTGATTTGAGGTAAGTGACTTTACCTTCCTGAGACTCAGTTTCATTTTTGATAAAATGGGGATAATAATAGTACCCACCTCATAGTATTACTATAAAGATTAAATGACACAATGCATATAAAGTGTTCAGCACATTGCTTGGCACATGGCAAGCATACCATAAATGTTTATTACTATCATTAAAATATACATCCACCTTCTTTCTAAATTGTAAATACTTAGCAGCCATTCCTGAATTTTATACATCTCTTTATCCTTAACACCTAGCCTGGAGTAGATAATCAATATATGTTTGATCATGAATGAATGAGCAAGTAGATAGTTAATATATGTTTGATCATGAATGAATGAGCAAGTAATGCCAGTGTTTAGTCAAGGTTTACTTGCTTATAAGTAACAGAAGTTAATTCAAGCCACCATAAACAAAAACATGCTGACTTATTGGAAGGCTTCTAAGTCGTTCATGGACTCCAAAGTCAGTTGAAACTTCAGAGGAAGGAGGAAAAGTACTCTCTCCCTGCCTCTCATCTCAGCTTCTCAGTGTGTTTACTTCATTCTTCTTCCTCTGCACGTCACCTTTTCTGCTTCTGTGCACTTATGGCTAATCCATGAACGCAGCTCTTACATCCAGAGTTCTCTACAAACAGCCCAGCATAACTGGTGTTTCTCAGCCTCAATTTCAAAATCCACCCAAGGTTGAGTCAGCCCTGCACATGGGGCCGGTCAAATAATATAAACCATCAGCCTCACTCTGTGTGCAGGGGAAGGCAGGAATAATATCAGAAAGAAAGACTCACTGTAGCTTGTGAGAGTCAGAGTCACTCATTGATCCCTAAATGACCATGGGCAAGCCACTTCTTCACTTTTGGCTTCAGTTCCCTCATCTGTGAAATGGTAGAAAAACCTTCCTGAAAGGGCATTTCATGGTTCATGGGAGGCAGTTATCATCAGTCTGGAGCAAAAACATACATATTAACAGTTTGTTGGGCTATAATCCCTGGGGAGTAGGAATGAAGGAAAATGAAAAGTGACGCAAGGGAGGAGGAAGAGCAAATATAGGGGATACGTTATTGAGCTAGCCACAGCTTCATGGCAAATGCACTGATTATTCTGTCATATGGAAATTGTATAATCTATTGCATCTTGGAACAGGAAATTGGGTGAGGAGAGGGAGAAGCATTTATGTAATATCTCTTTCCCATCCTCTATTTTCTATTGGTCAACATCTGTTCTACAAAGGGTTAACTCCCTCATACTTCTTGGTTGAGTAACCTGGAGAAAGTCAGGCCAGGGTCAGTTTCTTCTAGTCAGCAGAAACCAGGTGTGGGGGTTCACCATTTGTAGCAGACAACAGCAGTAGTGACCTGACACTAAGTCTGTGGGAAAGGTTTGAACTTTGTTAAGACCACTCAGGCAAGAAAGCAAGGTGAGTGTGTAACACCCAGAGACAGGGAAAGTAGGCATGGTGGCTATGCATATCTGGGATGGTGCATGAATTTAGTCTGTGGTAATTTGTAAGGCTATTGTCAACTGCGACCATGTAAACAGCAGTCTTTTAAGCCCAGTATTCTTTTTTTTTTTTTTTTTTTTTTTTTGAGTTGGAGTTTTGCTCTTGTTGCCCAGGCTGGAGTACAATGGTACGATCTCGGCTAACTGCAACCTCTGCCTCCTGGGTTCAAGTGATTCTCCTGCCTCAGTCTTCCGAGTAGCTGGGACTGCAAGCGTGTGCCACCACGCCTGGCTAATTTTTGTATTTTTAGTAGAGATGGGGTTTCACCATGTTGGCCAGCTGGTCTCGAACTCCTGACCTCAGGTGATCCACCCGCCTTGGCCTCCCAAAGTGCTGGGATTACAGGCGTGAGCCACCGTGCCTGGACAAGCCCCGTATTCTTAAAATGAAAAGTGTACGATTATTGCAGCATGCTAACAGTTAATGTTAGCCTGGCACATTTTATCTGGGCTACAAGAGTGAGGTAAGCACCTGATTCTGTCCTCAGACAAAACTGTTGCATTTCATCACTTAAGGAACTTCAGATGGGAGGCCCACAGTAAAAAAATGGCTATAGACAACTTGCAAAAGAACTGACCACACAGAATGTTATGCCTATTGGTGGGCTAGATATAAATATTCCAGACCACAGAAAAGAACCTGTATGCCTTATCTGCAACCTGCTGCCTCCTTAGGTGCTGAAGGGGAAGAGTTAAAATGGGGACAAGACCTGAGCATAGGGGAGGAGGAGGCCGCTGATTCCAACTGAAAGGAGAGAAGGATTCTCCTACATACGCCATCTTTCCTCCATTTCTTTCTTCTTTGCCTCCTTTCCTGCCTCTCTTCCTCCCTCTCTTGACTTTGAGCTAGACTAGAGGTACGTGATTTGCACTGCACACAACATAAAAGGTAACCCGATTATCCATCCACCCTCCTTCCCACCTTCTTTTCCTTCTCCTTTTTCTCTTTCCTCCATCTTTTCCTTTATCCTACTTTCTAATTATCACACAGCTGAGAAGGGAGCAAAGACAGTATTTCTAGCTTGAGGGGTGCAGGGCTCTGTGGAGGGGTCTGACCCAGGTGATTAACGAGACTGATACTCAAAGAAAGTTGCAAAGTATTAAGTAACACAGGGGATGTGGCATCTAGTTTTGTATATGTATGTGTGTGTTTTTGTATGTGTGTGTGTGCATGCACGTGTGCAAAAGAAAAAGATAGAGAATATACAAATATGATGTATGGTATTCCAGAGTATGAAGATACTGCATTTTCTTTATCTATTTCCTTCTTCTTCTTCTTTTTCTTTTTTAAGAGACGGAGTCTCACTCTCTCACCCAGGCTGGAGTGCAGTGGTGTGATCATAGCTCACTGCAGCCTTGAACTCCTGGGCTCAAGTGATCCACCTGCCTCAGCCTCCTCAGAAGCTAGGCCTATATGTGCAAGCCATGACACCCAGCTTTTTTTTTTTTTTTTTTTTGGTAGAGGCAGAGTCTCACTATTTTGCCTTGGCTGGTCTCAAACTCCTGGTCTCAAGTGATCCTCCTTGGCTTCCCAAATTGCTGGGATTGCAGTTGTGAGCCATCATGCCCAGCCTATTTTCTTCTTGATGGGTTGTTTCCAGTTTTTGTCTTTAATGAATAGTGCTGCCGATGTCTTTTGGTACACATATTAGTTTATTCTCTAATATTGCTACACTTGGCCCAGGCCCTGGGTGTTTCTTCCACTAGTCTCACCTGGGTTCTCTAATGCAATTGCAATCCTCTAGGGGCTGGCTGGGGCTGGCTGGGGCTGGCTGGGCTGAGATTGTCTCACTCACATTGTTGCAGTTAGTTGGGGCTACCAGCTAAAACTTCATGTGCCCTTCCTGGTAGGTATTCCAGACTTCTTTACACAGCAGCTGGGTTCTAAGACAGCAAACTTGGAAGCTGCAAGAACTACTTAGGCTTTGCCTTGGAAGTCACACAGTTACATTTTATGGCTGAAAGCGAGACACAAGGCTGACTCCTAGTGTACATACGAGGACGGGAGGACCTCAAGGCCATCATTTGCAAACTACCACAGGTATAAACCTAGGCATGGAATTACTGTGTCAGAGTGTGGGCTTTGGTTCAGTCTAGTTCAATTTATTTATACTACCAACAGGTTCCTGTTGCTTCCTGTCTGCACGCCTCTTGGTATTGTCAGTCTGTCTAATTTTAGCCATGCTAAAATGGTATTTTGTTTTGCTTTAATTTGATTTTCCTTGAGTACTAATAAGGCTGGGTATCTTTTTATGTGCTTATTGGTCATTTGTGTATCCTCTTTTGGAGGAAGTGATTTGTAGGAGTTCTTTATATAGTCTGATGATGAGTCACTGTAATTTCACTCAACCCTCCCTCTTTGATCTTGAGTGATTTTCCTCTTGAGTACAAAGGAAGTAACATTTGAACTGAAGTTTGGGGGATGATGAATAATTAAAGAAGAGCAAGGACGCCTTATAGTTAGAAACATGAACAGTGCCAAGAGGAAAAACACATGAAGAATCGTGCATTTGAGAAATGAGATTTGAAGATAGAATGTGAAGAAGACTGGAGTGGCAGGGAATGATTCTAGAGAGGTAGGCTGAGGCCAGGAGAAGAAGGACCCCTTCGATGAAATGGAAAGAAGCATGTTTTCTCCAGACATTCCACTCATTCATCTAGTCTTTGGAAATTCTGCTTCAAATCTCCAGAGTTCAGAGACTGAAAAGCTTATTGATGCATAGGGCTTTAACACAACAATGCTGTGTAGGACCACAGAGGAATAAAAATAATTAAAATTGACAGAAAGAGAGGAGAGAAAGACCATTCACACACACACACACACACACACACACACACACACACACACACAGAGAGAGAGAGAGAGAGAGAGAGAGAGAGATCAGTAGGAGAATTAAGGAGAAAAGAGGAAGGGGATGGAGAGACAGAAACGGAGACTTGTTGTCAATGTATTTAATAAACACACAGTGCCCTTGAATGGTGGTAGTTTTCCTGGAAATCTAGCAGAACACATAAACACAACAACATCAGACTCATGTAGTTATCAGAACAATGCATTTGAGGAAGCAGAAAGATACACACTAGACTCTTAACCATGGTTACTTCTGAAGAGGACAGTGTTTTCAAGGAGGAGTGGGGGATGAATAAAGGAGACCTCTTCCTCTTTATATACTTACATGTAGTTTGGTTTTTGTTTTAAATAACAAGTATCTATTCATGTATTAGTTTTTTCAAAGGGATATATATAGCCATTTCTCAATTTCAACCAAGAAAAGCTTTTGCCTTCCAACTAAATAGAGTAATATAAATAAATAAATAACTGCTCAGGCAAATAGCGTAAGAGAAAGAATGATGTGAATCAGATGAGGAGGAAACTCAGGCATTGTGGCAGGTAGGCCACATGAGCCATCTGCTCATTAGGAACCTGGAGGCACAAAAAGCCTGTGTGAAGGTGCTGTGCTGGCAGAGACATGGCCAATGTGGTACCCGTGGGCTGGCAGGGCATCAAGACTGGGACACCCATCTCTTCTTATTTGTGAAGGGCCTCTCAAGCAACACATACGTTGAAGATTTTGAGTCCGGGAATTAGGGAACTTACAAAAGAATCAAAACAGAAAACTCAGGTTTGACAAATCTCAGCTGAGAAAGCTTTGGTCTGAGCTTTATTTCCTAACATTTGTGAACAAAAATGCAATCCTCTTCTCCATTCTCTGCCTCCTATCAGTTCAACCAGAGGGAAGGGAATAGCATGGCTTTATTCTGAATACGGAGAATATGAATTCTGACATCTGCTGGAAAAGTGAAGACTACAACCTGGAAAGGGATAACTAGATTGATTTGGTTTTACAGTTGTTTTCACTGTCCCTCCCTCATCAACCCCCATTACAATAATCATACATATTTATTTTGGGAAAACTGCAAAAAGAAGAATACGGAACCACTCATAATCCCACTGCCCAGAATAAGGATTGACATTTTGGTGTGTTTCCTAATAGTCTTTTTGATGTGCACCAACAACAACACATTAAACAATTATTTATGAGGCCACCTATTCACTACATGTGAATCATTGCCAAATGCTGAAGATACAGCAGTGAAGAAAATAATCGCAAACCTTTTTCTAAGGAATGTAGAGTTCTACATTTGTGATAAGTGCTGCGCAGTCAACACAATAACATCTTGCATTTAAACAAATATTTACTCTATGTTAGGCTTTATGTTAACTGCTTTTCATGTGGATGTTTTATACACACTCTCTTATGCAGTCTTTACAATGACCCTATGAGGTAGGTTACTACTATCACCCCCCCTGCGTCATGACACACTATTACAGATGCAGAAACTAACTCAGCAATGTTAGATAAGTTGGCCAAGTCAATGTAAGTTGGGATCAGGTTGGGATATGACTGTACCCAGACCCCGTAATAACCATGCTGCACAGATCTGTTATAAAACATATAACATTTGTTCCCTCTTCTTCCTTTGCTAGGTTTGATTGCTACTGTGGCTCAGGTCCTCTAAACTGTAGCCAATATGATGGATGATGACACTGAATTAAGGACTGATGGAAACTCTTTGTTAAAGGCTGTGTGGCTGGGGAGGCTCAGGTTGACCAGGCTGCTCTTGGAAGGGGGAGCTTATATCAATGAAAGCAATGACAAAGGCGAAACAGCTCTCATGGTGGCGTGCATCACCAAACATGTGGACCAGCAAAGCATCAGCAAGTCCAAGATGGTGAAGTACCTGCTGGACAACAGGGCAGACCCCAATATCCAAGATAAGTCTGGCAAGACTGCCCTCATCCATGCCTGTATCAGAAGAGCTGGGGGAGAAGTGGTCTCCTTATTACTGGAGAATGGAGCAGACCCCAGCCTTGAAGATCGCACTGGGGCTTCAGCTCTGGTTTATGCAATAAATGCAGATGACAAGGATGCATTGAAGCATCTCCTTGATGCCTGCAAAGCCAAAGGGAAGGAGGTGATTATTATAACAACAGATAAATCGTCTTCAGGCACCAAAACCACCAAACAGTATCTTAATGTCCCTCCTTCACCCAAAGTAGAAGACAGGCATTCACCTCCACTGTGTGCGTCTCCCTCTGACATAGAGCTGAAGGCTCTAGGCCTGGACTCTCCACTCACTGAGAAGGAAGATGACTTCTTCAGCCTCCAAGCAGGGCATCCAAGCAGTTGTAACACCTCCAAGGCTGTTAATGAGCCTGGGTCACCCACCAGGAAAGTCAGTAATCTCAAAAGGGCCCGTTTGCCTCAACTGAAGAGGCTCCAGTCTGAACCTTGGGGCCTGATAGCGCCCTCGGTGCTGGCAGCCTCGACGCGTCAGGATGAGACCCATGGTGCCAGCACAGACAACGAGGTCATCAAGAGCATCAGTGATATATCCTTCCCTAAAAGGGGGCCCCTCTCCAGAACCAACAGTATCGATAGCAAAGACCCCACCCTCTTTCACACAGTCACAGAGCAGGTTCTGAAGATTCCAGTCTCTTCAGCACCGGCATCCTGGAAAGCAGCCTATGAGAAAGGTCAGGCTCCCCACCCACGTCTGGCCAGGAGAGGAACTCTCCCTGTTGACCAAGAGAAATGTGGTATGGGTCCATCAGGACCCTCTGCTCTCAAAGAGCCTGCATCCCTCAAATGGCTGGAAAATGACCTCTATGACTTAGATATACAGCCAGGGCCTGACCCTCCCAACTCCATTTCCCTTGAATCCGGCAAAGGACCTTTAGATAGAAAGAAGCTCAACAGCTCTCACTTGTCTCTTTTCCATGGCTCTCGGGAGTCCCTGGACACTGTACCTAGCACATCCCCCAGCTCAGCACGCCGCAGGCCGCCACATCTTCTAGAACGACGAGGTTCTGGAACTCTGCTCCTTGATCGCATTTCTCACACTAGGCCTGGCTTCCTGCCGCCTTTAAATGTGAATCTGAACCCGCCTATTCCAGATATTAGATCTAGCAGCAAACCTTCTTGCTCTCTTGCTAGTGGCTTAAAATCTATGGTTCCTGTTGCTCCAAGTTCACCAAAGAGAGTTGACTTAAGAAGTAAAAAGAAGCTCCTCAGAAGGCATTCTATGCAAATTGAACAAATGAAACAGCTGTCTGATTTTGAAGAAATCATGACCTAGAAGCTTTAGAAAGGCTTAAAATAGTCAATATAGTTTATGGAAGGGACTATGGATGAGACTGCTTCCTGATCATTCCTTAATGTTGAACTGTGGCCACTTCAGAAGATATAAAAGCAGGATGCTGCTTCACTTCTGAGAATAATCCCTGGGTTTTTATAGGCCTACTTGAAAAGAGCTCAGGATAATTGGGTTTTGAAGATAAATTTTTAAAAATTCTGCAAAGGAAGAAAGCCTTTGGAATTTGAAGGTAACACAGCAAGTACAATGATGTAAGCTGGGGACATCAGTAGTTTTCTATCAGACAAACAGAAAAGAATTTAAATCAGGAGGTAGTATTTGGAGTATGTCATTTGTAATAAATCTATAAAGTGCCTACATAGAAAACGAGGCTTTAACATTTGTTAGAATGTACAAAAGCCCCAAACCAAACCCTCAGTGACTAAATCTGGGTGTCTGGGTTCTATCTGATGGAGTAGAAGCAGAATTCCCCCCATGGAAGAGGCTCTGGCCTGTGGGTCCTGGCTCTGACTCTGTCAGGGCACTGTAAATCATGGTGTGGTTGAACTCGTTCAGTAATCCAGTAATATATTTTGTTCACATACTAATTTGTATGTGCTCTGAGTACCCAAATATCCCATCTATGTGGCCCCTGAATTATGATATGTCATAGTAGCTGATGCCTTAGAGATAAATCTTGCTCCAGAAATGAAACTTTCCCCAGACCCGTCCCCTGACACAGGCTCTTGTATTGAAATCTTGTGAAAAACAGTCAAGGTTAACTAACTTGGAGTTGAATGTGATACAATTATAGATTAAAAATATCAGAAGCATTTCCAGATTATTCTTAAAAGTTGATGAGATCTTCCCAAACCAGAATGACAACTGAGGATGAGATGTGCATAGATTAAATGGTAAAGTGGGTGGTTCTCAGGTGAGAAGCAGTGAGGACCATTCATTTTGCAGCCTAAAAATTTTAGGGGATGCAAACTGTCATTTCCCCTTCAGTTATGTAAATAATTGAAGAAAAATCTGGTTTCTTCTCTTCCTGATCTATCTAGGTGAGAAGAGATTTGTAGAAATAACCTGCACAACCCTTTTAGGCTGCTTTGAGCAAATCCAAGAAGGAAAGCAGAGACTTAGCACATTTGGTATAATGTAGCCACATCTTAGATGAATATATTTTTGGTTATTTCCATTTATGTTTCCTCTCGTGCTGCTGAGATCTATTTGCTCTATGGTTAAAAAGTTCAATAGTTCCTGAGGACAGCATCATATAGAGGAAAGAGGGCTTTGAGTCTGACATATTTGGGTTTGCATACCAGTCTTATCATTTACCAGCTGCGTGACCTTGAGGAGGCAGCTTAACTTCTCTTAGTCTCTGTTCCCTCATCTGTAAAATAGGATTAGTAGTGCTGCACCTTACAAGGTTGTGATGAGAATTAAATGACACAATGTATGAAAGTGCTGCCATTGTGCCTGGCACAGGTAGAAGTCACTGGATAAGAAGTAGCTAATTTTAATGTATTTCTTGAGACTGCTGAAGCAATATCTCAAATAATACATACGCTACACAAAATGGAATAAAGTTTCTCTGGAAAAGTTCAAGTATCTCTATGAGATCCCCAGTTATTTTTATAAGTACCGATCTCTAAACTCATGTGTAAAGTAAAAAATTCTGCCATATAAACTCTACATATTATATAATTTTTCTATAACTACCTTTGCTAGAAATTTATCTGAATATTCCAAACAAAAGTGTTAATGATGGTTAAACAAAAAAACTCGGTGTTGTTTGGAGGGCTGTCTGTCCTGTGTGTTGTAGGATGTTTAGCAGCATCTCTGGCCTCCACTCACTAGATGGCAGTAACACCCTCTCCCCAGTTGTGACAACCAAAAATGTCTCTAGACGTGGCCAGATGTCTCCTGGGTGCATCACCTTCGTTGATCTCTACTGCTAGACCTATCGTATATGTCAAGAACAACAAAGCTGTATGGAAATGTGAGTGCTGACTGGACAGCTATGCCCTCCTGTTAACTTAAGACAATTCAAATTGTGCTTTAGTAAGAGGACTAATCAATACTAGTGTTGGGCCTTCAGGATTCTTGGCAAACACACTCCAACATGTGTGCTAATGGTCTCATACTTTGTAGGAAGGGAAGAAAATAAGGAAAGCACATAAACTAGCAAAAATCTATAGCTCATGAACTTGGTTTAGTGTGGACAACCCTGTTCTTTTCAGAACTATTTAATCATTAATAGTTCTTACCAAGTAGAAGTGATCCCAGGCAAAGAAACAACTTTCCAATGCATTCAAGAGAGAATCATACGGACAACCATCATTCTCAGCAGCTCATTAAATGCAAATACACACACGCAAAGAGAGAGAGAGAACACATTTTACATAGTTTTCCAGCTGTTGTTAGTGTCACTTAAAACTGATCTCTGCTGGTAGTATTCAGTTGTGAGTATAGCAAGACACTGCATAGGAGCATTTTTTTTCTAAACCTTTAGCTAAGATTTGGAAACCCAATATTTCCTAAGTAGTGAATGTGGTCTATTTATAGTAATTAGCTTAGGTGACACACCAAACATGATGAGTTGCTCATTCAGGATAGCCGGTCCATTGCACAAATGTGTAATATCAGGTACTCTCATGCCACTCATTGCCTGCATCAGTCAGTCATGACCTTTGCATCAGCCTTTCAATAGACAGTCATCAGGCTAGTATCTTATCTCATCACTACTTGACGATGAGTTCGCCGAATTAGACTGTTCTATACCAGTACAACAACCAAAATACTTTCTCATAGATTATGCATAAATACGCAATTTTGTCCATGTCAATGAACCTAACAAGAATGCTTTTTAAAAGTATATTTTAGATTCAAACATGCTTTCTAGATCAGAGGTTAACTTGTCTTTTTGAAATCCTGGAGTCACTTATAAGTTAGCTGCAAACTGTAGTTTCGGTAATTCAACTGCTTAAGCATTTCTGGACTGTTTATCAAAATATATTACAGAATGTGAGACTAAAGTTTAAAGTCTGGACCTTTGGTTTAATTTCTAGACTTTCCAAAGCTTTTTTTTTTCTTTTTAAAAAGCCCATTGTCAACTCTCTTAGAACTTCATCAAGTAAATGGTACCTTGCAAATGTAGGTTGTGTCTGACCTTCTTTCTTTTTGTGTGTTGGTGCCTCAGATGTATCATGTGCTGCTTGAACTGATTCTCTACAGTGTTCCTTCCTAGTCTCAAGCTGATGATGTGCTCAAAGATGTATCAAAATCCATGTAATGACACCTTTTAGATGTTTCTAATATGTCAATAAATGATATATTGCAATCCTTCAGTAGTATTTTCCACTTTTTCTCAGTGAAATCTCAATTATAAGTATTACCTTTTCCTTAAGATGAATTGACGTGACTGCCTAGTAACATCAACCACACACCCAATATTTTAGGAACACATAATTTACAAAATTAGATTTTAATCACACAAGTATTATGGTATCTTTCCTGGTTAAAAAAAGAGCACAGCCCAATGAATGAGAAGGTGCATTGCCACTCTGAGGGGTGAGTTTCTTTACTTGGCCCCTGCTGCTCAACCGCCCCAGGGCTGCACCTGCCATCTGCTAATGGCAAGGACTTATCGTCAGTGGATATCCCTCCTTGGGCCCTATTTCTAATGTTCATAAGTGTTAATGTAAGCTGATTTCCATGAGCTCTTATTCAAGGGCAGGACAGCGAGTATAAAGTGAATTAGCTCAACAGTCTCTGTGGTCTCTTAAATTCTTGTACTCTGTACTTCAAATTTTATTCAGACTCGCTGATTCTCTGGACTGTTCCAATCCAGAACAGGTACTCTGGAGATTACCCTTAGGTTAGCTCCTAGACTACTGAAATAAACTAAGTTAAGTAAAAAAAGGGACTAGTTTTAGGATGTTTGTTCCCCTACTTCTAACTTTAGGCAAGAGACCCATATTGTTTCTAGATCCTTTGAGGAGAGATTATGAGGCACTGAACAGTCTAATTCAGATTATGCCCAAGATTGAATGCACTCCCTCCTCCAAGGTCAGCCACTTTGACCTTGTCACTCATTCTTTCTCAAGTATCTCCTTGAGATCCCCAGTTATTTTTATAAATATTGATCTCTAAACTCATTTGTAAAGTAAACAGTTCTGTCACATAAGCTCTACATATTATACCATTTCTATAATTACAATTGCTAGAAATTTATCTGAATATTCCAAACAAAAGTATTGATGATCAAACAAAACAAACTTGGAGTTGTCTGTCTAAAGGCTTAGAAGTTTGGGGTTTTTTGAGTGGAACTTGCTCCTTTTCAGAGGAAAACCTTAGAGAGGAGTGGCATATGGTGCATCTTCCTAGGCAGGGCTGTGTTAAGCATGGCAGGAAGGCATCTGAGTCACCTGCCTTGAAGAAACCCTGCTGCTTGGATAATGAACACATCAGCATGGTTATTAATGAGCATGAAGATCAACGGGCTCCCTGAAATTGAATGCTATGAACTGTTGAAGACTTCCACAGAACAGAGCGGGGAGAGGTCCACGATGACTGAGATGACTTTCTTGTCATCTTTGTTAGAAGGAGATGAACCTAGGATCAATTTTACTTTTACTAAGGAAAACTAAAAAAGTTGGGTATTTCTACATCCAAAGGTAATATACAGCGAAATTCATAGCATTCCGTGTCTTCTAGTCTGAGTTACAAAATGGCATGCGCATAGTGGGAAGGACAGGATCTGCCTCACATAATTTGCCTGGCAATGAATGCTAAAAATAGGGAATGGGCCTCAGGAAATCAAAAGAGGCCAGTGTTTTATAGCTATAACAATATCTGATTACTGCAACACAGGAAAATAGTCTGACAATTCTCACCCAGACTTCTAAACTAAAAGCGATTCTGTGGTCCATTCTAGCAGAGATTGTGCAAGGGTACCTTTTGAAATCATAGTACAAAAATCTAGTGGTCCTCAATGAAGGAAAATATAATCCTTATGCATGAGAATTGGAGGAAAGTGGAAGAGAAGGGAAAGAGGTGATTAAAAGATAGGAGAGGTCGAAGTCCTGACAATGTGAACCTATCCAAATATCAGCCTGATGAAATAAGACCACCTGGATCTCCCTTCTAGAGCCATCTGTCTCCTCTGGCAGCATCACAGACACTCCTGGTCTTAGACACAAAGGATGCCTGAAAGTTAAGGGTCTAAGTTAATTTTTCTTACTCTATTACAATTTAATAGTAGTTAATCCTGTTTTTGCTGCAGTAGGCACCATTGGTTGCCTCCCCAGTTTGATTCCTCCTTCTCCTTCCTATCAGATCCTGACTTTGTTCATGTAGCCACCCTCTATCTTTGCAGCCTTTTTGACTCAAGGGAAGCCGATCCCATCCTCAGCTCAAAGAGAAGACATGATTGTTCTAAATTAGTCATGGCAATTCCATTCTCCTTACCAGTGATTGGTTAAGGGCTCCAGTATAAGCCAGTTAGCACATGGCTTTCCCCTTATCAATGCCTTGGATCCAGAGATGGGTACAGGATCTAAGTCAGGCCAATTGAGGGAACAAAAGGACATTCATCCCATGACTGAAGGACATCCTTTTACTGGACATGACCAAACAGACACGTTATTTGTTTATTTGCTTGTTTGTTCAGCAGTTTGGTTTGACAATCTTCTTGTAACAATAGGAGAATAGAGTCTAAGGATAAAGAAAAAGAAAGCAGAGCCAAGAGGAGAGCAGCGAAAGGGATCCTGATGATGTAATGCCTGGAGCCCACACCACCTCTGAGCTTCCTGTTATGTGAGATAATATATTCTTGTATCATTTAATATAGCTGTAGTTGGTTTTTAGTTTACTTAAAGCCAAAAGCATCCTTATATCACTCACTGATTTGAAATGCCATCTTTATAATATGATATCATATGCTAAATTCTTTATTTTAAAATTTTTGAACTCACCCATCCCATTCTGTTTCATTCTGTGACATTCCATTGATGTATTTTTCTTTCTGTACCAGCATCACAGCACATCATTTAAATTATTGTAGAGTTTCAATTTGCTTTCACAAATTGTGGGTCAAGTCGACTCTCAATTCTCTTCACTGGACAAATTATTTCTTAAAATCATTTTATTAAGTATTAAAATTGTACTGGGATTATGATTGGGATTCTATGATATCATTTAGTTATTTGGTACTAATTAACATTTTTAAAAGATCAAATCTTCCAATCCAGAAACAGAAATTGTTACTCTAAAAAGTTCATCTTCATTTTTTAATCCCTCATTAAAGTGTTTAGTTTTCTTCATAGAGATCATATACATTTCTTTTTCATCCTATTACTAGGTAGCAAGCATTATTGTGAATATGATACTTTTCCCCACACCATCAGATATTGCTGGGATAGCATAACTTGGTTTCCCCTAATGTGATTACAGTGAAAATATCCATGAGATTTTTCATTAAAAATGACAAATGATTCTATAATTCATAGAGAAGAGCAAAGAACTGAAAATAGCTGAGACAATTTTGAAGAATAGTAATGATATTTGGAAGATGATGGTACTAGATGACAAGATTTAAAAAGTTACAGTAATTAAAATACTGTGATAAGACGCAGGAATAGATAAACTGACCCACAAAAACAGAACAGAGGGCCTAGAACACGACCTTGAATAGGTGGAAAATTTAGATATGATAGAGGTGGCACTGCAGGTCAATAAATGGTGATGAGACAATTTGTTTTCCATATGAAACAAAAATGAAATTGGGTCCTTATAGCATACACACAAAACCAAAATGAATAAAGCAAAACTAATCTTTTGATTATGATTTTTTGGATTTGTGCTTATAAATGAGATTAGCCTAGAGTTTTGCCATTTCATATTCATTGTCTGACTTGATATCAGGTTTATACCAGCCTCATAAAATGAACTGGGGGGTGATCCCTCATTTTATATTCTCTCAAAAAGTTTAAGTTTGGAATGAAATGTTTCTTGATTGCGTACGCACAGGTTTTTCTTGTAAGTAGATCTTGCTGGTAAAACCATCTGGACCAGGTGGGGGAGTGTGTGTGTGTGTGTGTGTGTGTGTGTGTGTGTGCATTCATCCATACACATTCATACATACATGTTCATAGTGTGTAGGTATGATTATTGTCTTCATTCACAAATGAGGAAACCAAGGCTTAGAGAGATTAGGTGACCCGCCCAAGGTCACACAGCTGGGAAGTGATAGTTTGGGACTGGAACTCCCCAGTCTGGCAATCTATGTCCAGAGCCCTCTCTTTTATCACGTACCTGAGCTTCCGATTTTAAATACTAATTGTATTTACTTAATGGTTGTAGGGGTTAAGTTGGGTTTGGTAAACCAACACCTGGGACAGTGATTTGGGCTGCTGTGTTGTATTGAGGGAGTGATCTTCAGGGAAAACCTCTAAGGAAGGTAGGGAAGCAGGATTGAGAAGAGGGAAAGGCCCAGAAAGAGGTGATCTCAGGTAAGGTCTAGCTTTGGCTGGATTCCCAGAGGAGGAGTGTAGAGAGAATGCATCTTGCTGCAGAATTGTCCTTCTTTAGTGCAAGGGGGCTCCCATTTTTATTCTTGCTTTAGTCAGTCATAGACTGTGGGCTGAGGAGAAGATGCTATTTTTTTCTGACCCAGATTTAGGGTAATTCTTGGGAGAAGGGGGAAGCTGTAAAAACTTAGCAGTTAACAGAGCAGCTGGGGATGAGTGAGCTATCTGGTAAAGGGAATCTGTACAGGGCACCCAAACAGCATCTACCACTCCTAGCTATTCGGGTGTTATATTTCTTCTTGAGTCAGATTTGGAGGGATACATTATTCTAAGAAATTATCCATTGTTTCTAAATTAATACGTGTTTTGGAATAAAATTATTTACATATTATTTTGAGCAGCATTGTTGAGGTATAATTGACATACAATAATGTGAATATAATGTACAATTTGATCCTTTTGACATATGTATACACTGTGAACCATCATCACAATTAAGATAATGAACATTTTCATATTTTTCTTTTTCTTTCGAATTTATTTTACTTTAAGTTTTGGGATACATGTGCAGAACATGGAGGTTTGTTACATAGGTATACATGTGCCAGTGTGGTTTGCTGCGCCTATTGACCCATCCTCTAAATTCACTCCCCTCATCCCCTACCCCCCAACAGACCCTGGTGTGTGTTGTTCCCTTCTCTGCGTCCATGTGTTCTCACTGATAATGAACATTTTCATTGCCACCAAAAGTCTGCACATCCCCTTTGAATCTTATCCCCAGCACCTACTGATTTGCTTCTTGTCACTTCATATTAACTTGCATTTTCTAGAGTCTTATATAAGTGAAAATCTATAGCATGTACTCTGTTGCATCTGGCCCTTTCACTTAACATAATCATTTAGAGATTCACCCATGTGGTTTCTTGTATCCCTAGTTCATTCCTTTTTATTGCTGAGCAGTATTACATTGTAATACAATTTGTTTATCCACTCACTTTCTGATGATCAGTTGGGTTGTTTCCAGTTTGGGGATTTTACAAATAAAGCTGCTACAATTCATATACAAGTTTCTGAACAGATATATGCTTCCTTTTTTTTTATTTTGTAAACACTTAGGAGTGGGATGGTTGAATCAAATGGTAGATAGATATTTAATTTTTAAGAAACTATAAAATTGTTTTCCAAAATGATTGTATCATTTTACATTCCTACCAGCAGTGTATGAGAGTTCCAGTTCCTTCATATCTTTACCAGCACTTGCTATAGTCATTTTAATTTGAACTATTCTTCTAGGTGTGTAGTAGTATCTCATTATGATTTTAATTTTGATTTCTTTAATGACTAATAATGTTGAGCATCTTTTCATGTGCTTCTTGATATCCATATATCTTTGAGGAAGTGTCTGTTCAAATCTTTTGCTCATTTAAACAATTATGCTATTTGTTTTCCTATTGTTGAGTTTTGGGCGTTCATTATATCTTTTGGATCATCCTTTAACAGTGTATGCTTTGCAAAGATTTTGTTCCAGTTTGTGGTTTGTCCTTTTATTCTCTTAACATAATCTTTTAAAAAGCAAAAATTTTGAATTTTTAAAAATCTAATTTATCAATTTTTTCTTTTACACAGATTGTGTTTTTGGTGTCTTATCTAAGAAATATTTGCCTAATTCAAGGTCATAAATATTTTGTCAATTTTTCTTCTAAAAGCTTTATATCTTTTGGTTTTACATTTAGGTCTACGATCCATTTGGATTGATTTTTGTATGTGGTGTGAGATATTGGTCCAAGTTCATCTTTTTTGCATATGTATATCTAATTTTGCTGGCACTATTTGTTGAATGAGTTGTCTTTTGTGCCTTTATGAAAAACCGGTTGTACATATATATGTTTGTTTTATTTATGCAGGTATTTTTCTATAAATTAAAAAATTGATTATAAAATTCACTTGGAAATGCAAAGGACCTACAATAGCCACTACAGCTTTAAAAAAGAATGAAGTTGGAGGACTAGCTCTACATGATTTCAACATTTATTATAAAGCTACAGTAATCAAGACAGTATGGTATTGACATAAAGATAGACAAACAGATCAATGGATAGATTAGAGAGACCAGAAGTAAACTCATACATATATGGACAATGGAATTTTACTCAGCAATAAAAAGGAATGAATTTTGGCATCTGCTACAACATGGATGAATCTTAAAATAACTAGGCAAAGATTAAAGAGTCATACTAAAAAAGTGCTATTTTATGATTCCATTTATGCAGAATTCTAGAACATGCTAACTATTGTATAGTGATAGAAAGCTGATCAATGGTTTCAGGAACAGAGGACAAGGATGCGGAGCAACAGAAGAAGGAATTACAAAAGAACGAGAAAGCCTTAGTGGGAAATAGATTTGTTTATTTCATGCTTGAGATGATGGCTGCACAGGTGTATGTGAAAACTTACGTAATTGTACACTTTAAATATATGCAAGGTATTGTATGTCAAGCCTCAATTTTTACCAAAGTACCATAAGGAATTCCCCTGAAACAGTAGGAAGAATCAAAGAATGATTATATAAAGGTAGAGGGGAGGGCATCATAGGCTCTAGGAGAGAGAGGTTTTGTAGAGAGTGTGAGTGGGATGGGGTTCCCAAATGGATCTGGCAGATCCTTCTGGACATATAAATAACACAAGCACAGCCACGGAGTTGGAGATGACCATGGTTGCCATAGCATGTGGGGCCCAAATGGAGACTGGACCTTGTAGAATAGAGATGATGGTTGGGATGAGTTGAAATGGTCAGGATGAGAGAGGATGTGCTGTTTCTGTGAAGGCAGGAGTTTGAATTTAATGTAGCAAGTGACGGTAACAGTTTCTGAGCAGGAAAGTGAAATGATGAGCCCTCAACTTCCTTAAGGCTCTGGTTTTTGTCCACTCTCCCTGTGAGACTGTAAAAAATGAAAATTCAAAAATGTTCAGGATTGGCCAATGCCCTCATGGGAAAAGTAACTTTTGAGAATGCTTCTCTTTCTAGATTATTGTTTTCCCTTCAATTTTGGCGGGGTAATTCTTTACTCTCTTGCCAGCTTTTTGATGCCTCCCAGAAAACATTTTTAAAGTTGTATTTTTAGTTGTTTTTAGGGGAAATTTATGTTCAAATAATCTAACTTGTCTTTACCAGAAACTGCAAGTCTTTTTTATGTCTTTATTATTACTCGTTTTACCGTGATGTGGCAAACAGAACCAGTATTCACCACCATTCAGTTTTCCTCTCCTTCTGGACACATGGAAGACAAATCTCATTCACCTTGGGATTTAGTAGGGCCATGAGATCAATTCAAGATGATAGGTTACGAGTGAAAGCAATGTGTGTGTCTCTTCTAAGCTGATGCATGTAATTGCTGATAAGAGATCTTCTCACATTCTCTTCCCCTGTTGCTGTGGCGGAGGAGAAGTGTGTTTCAGGTGAAACAATTTCAAGATTATGGGGATCTCTGTCAGTCAGGTTCCCTGAAGGACTACATGGAAGAGATCTCTGCCTTTGAACCTGTGAAAAACATAGAAGGGATAAGAAATAAACTTTTGCTGAGTCCTGATATTTGGGGGTTGATTTTTTTTTTTTTAGGAGTTTAGGAGTTTAGGAGTGGAGGTTTAATAGGGAAAAGAAAAAGAAAGAAAGAGAAAGGAAAACAGCTCTCTCTTTAATCTGGGGGTTGATTTTTACTGCAGAATATCTTATCCTCACTAATACATAGACTGTATGAGGCTACTCTTCCTTTCCTTGCCTTCCCTTCCTCCCTTCCATTCTTTCTCCCTCCCTTCTTCCCTTCCTCCCTTAATTTTTCTTATTTTCTTTATGTTTTTCTTTTAAATTGAAGAAAAGAAGCCCAAGCTCACTGTTTGAAATTATTAAAAGTCTTGATAATTGGAAGAAGAAAACCTTTGGCATCAACTCACCCAATCCCCAACCTCAACCTCTATTTTAAAGTTTCAGACGTGGACTCCCAGACAAGGACAGAATGTCAAAACATTAATGCCAGGGTTTTGGGTCTTGAATTTCATTATCTTTCCATTCCACCATGTTACAGCAAAGATAATAAGTTATATGATGTTTTTTTCTTTTTCTCTTTTTAAAAGCAGAATAAATTATACTTATTTATATAGAAACAAAGACCCAATGGGGTAAGAAGAAGTTTGAATTTTTAGCACTAGGAAAATATAATTCATGCATGGTGAGTGGGCACATGGATTATTCTCTTCCTATATTTAAGATATTAATGTTTCTTTACCTCACACTCAAGGGAGAATATGAGTCATTTCCATGAATCCAACATAATGTGTGAATTGCAAAAAGCTTTTCAATTTTTAAAGATCATTCTGTAGTCATTTAGTCACAATATTTTCCTGTCCAAAGCTTAAAGATTGAAGCATTCTTCTTCTTTTTCAAATTTAAATTTGTTTGTTTAATTCACATAAAAATTATGTATATTTGAAGTATACAACATAATGTTTTAAAATATGCATACATTGTAGAAAGGCTACATTGAGGTAATTAACATATATATTACTGCATATATCATTTTTTTTGTGGCAAGAACACTTAAAAGGTACTCTCAGTGATTTTCAAGTATAGACTACATTATTAACCATAGATGCCATGTTGTACAATAGATCTCTTGAATTTATTCCTCTTATCTAACTGAAATTTTGTAATCATTGGCCATTTCCCCAAGCCCCCCACCCCCTAGCCCCTGGTAACCACCATTATACTCTCTGCTTCTACCTCTCTAGACACCCGCCCCCCCGAGTCAGATACAAGGGCACCCAGTTGGCAGAGCCTGGATCCCATGCCCACATACCTTGGGACCCGGGAGCAGAGGGAGAGGGACTATCTGCCCCTCTTTTGCTCTGTGATGAGAGGGAGGCTGGTTTCTCACCTAGTTTGGGATTTACCCATAGGAAGGATAGTTAAATGCTTGACAGCCACAGAAACAGTTGTTCTGGGGAAGTTTGTGAGTCTCAGGAGGGCAGTGTGTGTCACCTGTCTCTGACTGGTTTGTTCAGGGAAAAGCTGGTATTGGTTATAGCTCCATGGCAACGTTAAGCGGTTTGCAAAGTTTCCATTTGCTTTAGTCAATCCACACAGCGATTGTGTTGCTTTTTTCCTTCACCATCAATTACCTGCATGAGGCATGGATAAACTTTGATTTTGTTTCAACATACTAATAGCATGCTAGGGAGTGCTCCTGTTGCATGAAGCAATGATAAAGTTCTGCTTTAGGGCACAGATGGGTCCACCTTATACTGCCCATCTCATCATAACACACGTAACTTACGATGTTTTCAATTCATGATAGGTTTATTCAGACATAACCCCATTGTAAGCCGAGGAGCATCTGTACATACTTAGAGAAGTAAAACCTAAGTGTTCAGTTAATGAAAGTCAGAATGTGAACATTCATGAGTCTCTCTTGGGTGCCCCTTCTGGACTTCTGCATTTTCCTTCCCCTTAGATATAAGCACTATTTGGATGTTTATATATCCAATTCTTGTCCTTTTATTTCTTTTTCTTGCCTAACCTTTCCTGCTAGAATTTCTGGGACAATGTTAAATAGCAGTTGTGATAGCAGGCATTTATGTCTTATTCCCAAATTTGAAGGAAAAGACATGTTTATCATTAATCATGATGTCTGCTCTAAATTTGTTACATTTTATGACATTAAGGAAGTTGTCTATTATTTCTGTTTTGCTAAGAGTTTTTATCATGAATGGATGTTGAATTTGTCACATGCTTTTTTTCCTGCATCTGTTAAGATCCTCATTTTTATTTACTGTTTTAATATTTATTATTTACTATTTTTATGTGTGTGTTTCTTTTATTTACTGTTTTAAAAGGACTTTACAGAAGTCACCCCAGGACTAAAGTGGATAGAAAACATTTTTGGTTTTTCTTTCAAGTTATCCTACCTTTAGTACCATATATCACGCAATATTTGCCATATATCATGCAATATCAAGGTTGGAAGGAACCGTAGAGGTCATACACCACTATTATCTGTCACCCAGGCTCATGAATCATCTCTGTTGTTGCTAAGTGGTTGGTTGTTCACCTGCATCTGTTCGAATATTTTCGGGTATGAAAAATGTACTATCCTTGTCCATTCTATTTTTGGAAATCTCTGGTTCCAGAAAATCATTTATTGTGTGAGCTGAAATGTGCCTCAGTGTCAGATTCATGCTTTGGTCCAAGGTTTGCCCTATGGAACATGTAGGACAAGTGTTCCCTGAGGTATGGGTAGAGGCAGTGTGTTTAGTGGGAAGCTGGTAGTCTTCAGAATTAAGCAGATCTGGGTTCACTTTCTGGCTTAGCCATTGACAAGCTGAGTGAGTCTGGATACTATAGAAGATGGCTTAACAGCCATAATTCCTTCCATCCCAGTATGACCCTCCTTTGCAATGTGACTTTGCAACTCCTCAAATCCAGAGGTAGATTCCATTTTTCCACCTCCTTGAATCTGGGCTGGCCTTTGAACTTGCTTTGGTCAACAGAATGTGGAGAAAGTCATACTGGAAAAGGTCTGAAGCTTAGGTCTCAGGGGCCTTGCTCCTTCTGCCTAGTTCCTCTTGGGATGCTGCCCTGAACCTGCCATATAAGGAAGTAATCTAGCCTATTAGATGTAAGAGGATGCTTGGAGGAGAACCGAGGTGTCCCAGCCAACAGCCTGCATGCTCTGACTAGAGCTTCTTCAATGTCAGCTCCTCCCCTGAACTTATGCAGGTGTTTTCTTGGAACTTAAATGTAAGACTTAACATTTAATCCGGAGGAATTTATTTTGATTTTTAGAGATGGGGTCTCCCTTTGTCATCCATGCTGGAGTGCAGTAGTGCAATCACAGTTCACTGTAGCCTCAGACACCTGGTGTCAAGCAATCCTCCCACCTCAGCATCCCAAGTAGCTGGGACTACAGACCCACACCACCATGCCTGGTTAATTTTTGTTTGTTTGTTTTTGTAGAAACGAGGTTTCACTATGTTGCCCAGGCTAGATTCGAACTCCTGGCTTCAAACAATCCTCCTGCCTCAGCCTCCCCAAATACTGGGATACAGGCATGAGCTATGGTGCCCAGCCCGAAATTTCTTTTTGTTAGTCTTAGCAGAGCACTCCACCTGTGCCAGGGCAATCGTGTTTTTTTTTTGTTTGTTTGTTTTGTTTTTTTGAGACGCAGTCTTGCTCTGTCGCCAGGTTGCAAACTCCACCTCCCAGGTTCAAGCAATACCCCTGCCTCCCTGCCTCAGCCTCCCGAGTAGCTGGGACTACAGGCACGCACCACCACCCCCAGCTAATTTTTGTATTTTTAGTCGAGAAGGGGTTTCACCACATTGGCCAGGATGATCTCGATCTCTTGACCTCGTGATCCACCCGCCTCAGCCTCCCAAAGTGCTGGGATTACAGGCGTGAGCCACCACTCCCGGCCAATTGTGGTTTTATATCTGTCATTTATTTCTCCACTTAGTTCATCTAGATCAGATGATTATTACTTCCATGTTTTCTATCAGTTCCTAAAAAAAAAAAAAACGTGAAATAGGACCGTGCCAGGGAAGGAAGCTTAAGGGACACTACTAAACACCTCTTCCATGCCTGTCACTGAGCCAGTCAATATTATTAACTATGTTATGCATGCATGTTATTTCCAAGCCTACAGATTGCTTTCACACATTAGCGTGTTCATCCATAGTGAATGTGGCCAGCGGAAATCTATATGGGCAGTAACATTCTTTCCTGAAGTCAAGATATACCACGTCTAGTAATGCTCTCCTGAATAAGTTATTTATTGAGTATCGACATCACAATCTACGTCTTTTCTCTTTGTTTATTGGATCACAGTGAATATAAAACTATACCTATAGTTACGATTATACAAAAGAATCTTAAGTCAGTGGTCATGGGTAAGACAGTAAACCAATTTATCTGCTTTCAGAGCTTTTAAGAAGTCAAAGTGCAAAAATGACAGTTTTGTGCAAAAAGAATTTTCAACGAGCCTGACAGCCAAAATATACCTGAAGTCGCTGCGAGACTTTACTTGGATTTTCATGAGATCGTTTGTGTGTGAGCACGCTCGTGTTTTTCCCAGAGCAGGTGTAATGATGGGTCTTTACTTACTCTCCCCACTCCCCACCCCCTTCGCACACTCTTTCACCTTGGGAAGGGTATGGGAATGAAGAAAGGAGTGTTAATCGGGTTCCCAGCGTTCCCTTATCTTTCACCTAGCTCCCTAACTACTGTGGATGTTAGGTTTGGGCACACCCATTTCAAGACAAGGAGACTGGTTCTCGAGGGAAGTGTGAGACTGAAGTTACAGAGCCTGTCAAAAGCGGAGCCTTATAGAGGGAGTAAAATCCCACGTGCTTCGTGCTGCAGCAGCTGGAGGGTGGACCTGGGTCGACCTGGGGGGATGCTCAGCCCTGCGGGTCCGGGAGCGCGCAGAACAGCGGGGAGGGCTTCTCCCTCTTCTGGGTAGGGGCGCGCTAGGTGGAGCCCCACCTCCCCTCCGCGGAGACCCACCCTCCGAGCCGGGAGAGGCGTTGCGGGGGGGTGGGGGGGGCGTGTCCCCTGGCGCAGCGCGGCCAGCGCGCACGCGCAGCGGGCGGAAGGTGCCCGGGCCCACTTTGAGCGCGCGGCTGCGCACTGAGCCGCCGGCCCTCCCGGAAGCGCAGAGCTCCGCTGGTGCCACGTCTATCCCCTTACATCCTCCTAGGACCCGGTCGGTAGTCGTCGCCCCAGCCCGCCGGGGGCGCAGCGCCCGAGCCGCGGCCCTCGAGACGGGACCGAGAGCATCATGGGCAGCACTGTCCCGCGCTCCGCCTCCGTGCTGCTTCTGCTGCTGCTCCTGCGCCGGGCCGAGCAGCCCTGCGGGGCCGAGCTCACCTTCGAGCTGCCGGACAACGCCAAGCAGTGCTTCCACGAGGAGGTGGAGCAGGGCGTGAAGTTCTCCCTGGATTACCAGGTGAGGCCGGGCGCCCGGCAGCGCTCCCTTCTCCCTCCACTCCCAGGTCTCACCTGGACACTGGCTAGCCCCTGACTGGAGGCGCTCGAATTAGCCACAGGCTACAGGGAGGCTGCATGGGGTGGGAGTCCCCGGAGACCAGTTGACTTCCCCGTGAGGAGGAAGGTTTGGGTCATCAGGGCCCACCCGAGACGAGCCTGGCCAGCGAGGAGGTAGTCAGCGCCGCAGGTGCGAGCCCGGGATGGGGACGCCAGGGCGGATCCCGCAGCCTGGGGAGCTGGCCAAAGAGATATCCGCAGGCCCCCGAGACACTAACCAACGGCAGTTCTGATCGGCTGGACACAGGCTCTCTAACCCCAGTCTCTTAGACCACCTTGTGCCTTCGAGTACTGAAAAATGGCAGCAAGAGGAAGTGGGCTCATAGTTTTAGTTTATTCCTCCCCTCTCCAGCGTTTAAAGTTGGAGTGAGGTGAGGGCAGCAGAAGTGAGAATGGGCACTTTGGAAAGGAGGGATCAGTGCAGCCATTGAGGCCTGGCGGTGTTTACAAGGAGCGGTGTGGCTGCAAGACTTGGCTCTTGCCATATGGCTTAGAAAAGCTCAGTTCCTGTATTCCTGTCTCCTTTGAGAGATCCCGTGGCCCACAGGTGACAGGAGCAGGTCTTGAGTGAGTAGTCTGCCCCGATATTTAGTGAGCAGGTCTAGGGTTGGGGGCCAAGTGGGCATCATACTCAGACAGCTATCTGCTTGTGGACGCATGCTGATAGGCACTTCAGAAATGAGGGGCCACGGGCAGCAGGAATGGGGGCAAGCTATTTGACCAGTTCCTCTGTGGTTAGAGGCACTGAAGGAAGCTTGCGCTTGGAGACAACTTCTATGTGGTAGTCTCAGTCACTGATTTGTCCACTTTCAGGTCTTTGTGGACAACATGCAAATTGTGACTGGGTTAACATGGGCAACCTAGGTGCAATGACAAAAAGAATGATAATTCTGTGGTTGCAGGGACCTCAGATGTCATCTGGTCACTGCCAGGGCGGAAATCCCTTGTCAAAGTGTGTCCAGCCTGGGTTTAAACACACTTAGCAACAGGATACTCACTGCTTTTTGCAAAGCTTGCTGAGCAGGACTAGTAACTTTTGTCCGGACAAAGAGGCCATTTAAATTTGGAAGCAGATGGAGGCCATTGACCGTGTCCTTTGATGGATCTTGGTTATAGCCATTGCCTACCTGTGAGATTTTGCTTTATGTGGGTCTTATTTTTCTTATGTTACAAGGAGAGTTTGAACTAAATGATTCCCAAAGACTCTTCCACCGCTGACACTCAGAAATTCCATGAATACTTCGATCAATATTTTTCTTCTCCTTGCATTCAGTCATTAATAATATATTGTTAATAGCTACTTGACCCATTCAGCAAGCCAAGAATGACCCTTGCTGGTGGGGGGAGGGGGAACACCTGTCTGTTATTGGAACGGAGAAGCAGGAGGTGCAGCATGCATGCTCTAGGGTGGCCCCCAAATCAGATCCCACATCTCCACTGCAACCCCAGGGGGTTAGTTTGCAGTCTGACGATTGTCCAGTAATTGGCTGGCACTTTTGGGGCCCTTGCTAAATTTATGTTGGACACCGTGCTAAACACTTTAGGTGTGATAACTTATTGACTCCTCACTTCATGGATAAAGACATATCCTCAGAGAATAAAGTAACTTGTCTAGGGTCACATGGCTAATGAGTGGCAGTGCCCTAAATCAGTGATTTGCTGTGTGTCTTGTGTTAAGTATTGAACAAAGATAAAGAATCGGTGGCATCTAGTTGCATTGGAATAGTTTCTTGGACATCCCTCCTCATCTTGCTCTTGATTTCGGGAAGCTTTATCAGCACCATCTCAGGAAGAGCAGTTATCCTGGGGTATGTTCATTCATGCTTCAGAATAGTGCAATAGGTAAATGTTTAGGCACTGGAACCAAAAGCTCTCAAGGCAGATCTCATCTCACCACTTTCTCTTGTGTAACCTTAGGGAATTTACTTAACCTTGGAACCTCAGTTTCTTCTTCTGTAAAATGGAAAGGATTAGGCTCATTGAAACCCTGCAGAGCAAACTTGGGAGTCAGGCAGGCATAGATTCAAATCTTAGCCCTTTCACTTTCAAGCAGTGTGACCACAGCCAATTTATTTAACCTTGCTCAGCCTTAGTAAAATGAGAAGTGGCGTAGCACCTGCCTTAGAAAGTTTTGAAGATGAAGTGACAGAAATGTTTGTAGAGTCTGATCACAGTGTCTGGTTGGCATTTGGTAAGTGGTGGTTGCTCCTTTGATAACAGCAATTTTTTTATGGTTGTCAGGTCATCACTGGAGGCCACTACGATGTTGACTGCTATGTAGAGGACCCCCAGGGGAACACCATCTACAGAGAAACGAAGAAGCAGTACGACAGCTTCACGTACCGGGCTGAAGTCAAGGGCGTTTATCAGTTTTGCTTCAGTAATGAGTTTTCCACCTTCTCTCACAAGACCGTCTACTTTGACTTTCAAGTGGGCGATGAGCCTCCCATTCTCCCAGACATGGGGAACAGGGTCACAGCTCTCACCCAGGTGAGTGAACATTAGCAGTTCGGGGCTGCTGAACCCCCTAGCGTGTTCCTCTTCATTGGCCTCTGTCTAGGCTGGTGGTGGGAGTCATCATCCATCCAGCTCCCAGTCTGGAAGTCTCAGGGTTGGTTTTGTCTCTTTCTTCATACCTAGTCCTAAAGGATGCCATGCTCTTCTTTCGATCTTCCTTTCCACTCTCTAACCAGGTCCCTGCAGTACTTTCCTCTGACATTCCTGTCTCTACTCTTTCATTCCCACTCAGTCTTTTGCACAGTACCACTTTCGAAGTACCTGTGTCATGTGTCTCTGCTTATATGATGTGCCTGTATCATAAAGACCAAAGTCCTACTTTGTGTGGTGTATTAGTTAAGGTAACACAAGGTGCTGTAACAAAATAAACACCAAACATCAATGGCTTAACAGAATAGAAGTTTATTCTCATGCATAATCTAGAAAAGGTTGGTGGGGAGCTTTCCTCCATGGTGTGACTCAGGAATCCAGGCTCATTCTTTCTTGTCATCTTTCTGTCTTCCCTTAGGGCTTCAGGGTCTTCTGCCTGTAGCTGCCAAAGGAAGAGAGAATGAGAAAAGCCCATCTACTTCTTAAAAGCCCAGGCCCAGTGGGAATACGTATCACCTGCTCATGTCCCATGGGTGAGAACTTAGTCATGTGGCAAAGCTGGATGAAAGGAAGGCTGGCAAGTAGAGCCTTAGCAACAGCTCCACACTATGGAGGAGAAACGGTGACATTTTGGGGGGATAGTCATGTCTGTCGCCCATGGCTGTCAAGGTTCATTATTCTCTGATCCCATCCTCCTTCGTCTGTCTTCCCTTCTGCTATTTAAGCCCCTCCTTCCCTTTCATATGCAGGCTGGGGGCTTCCTGAGGGCTAGGACCCTGAATGATTTACTTTTGTATCCTCAGTGCTTCAGTGCATAAGGTAGGGCACAGGAAGGAGCTCACCAAATACTTGTGAAATGACTGTCAGGGCCCAGGGAAACCTGTAAGACAGGAATAACCATCGATAGCAGCACGTGTGCCAGAACCAAAGCCACAGCGTCTTGAACTTTCAAGGAGGCCAGATGATCTTCTGGGCCGCCTTCCAAGGTGGCATCCTTCCTCTGTGGCTCTGGGCACACTCACGAGTGCCTGTGGATTCATTTGCCCAGTCTTCCACCTTCCCTAAGCAGTTGGAGGCTAGAGCTGCACTGTTCAGTACAGTAGCCAGTGTCTAAATTTGGCTATTTAAATTAATTAAAATTAAATTAAAAATTCACTTCCTCATCTGCACCATAGCAATACTCCAGGTACTCAATAGTCACAGGTGGCTAGTGGCCATGCATAGAAAGTTCCATTGTCCAAAACTGGGTTTGATCTTTGGGCTTTTGGCAACATGACTTCTGTTAGAAGATCCAGCCGAGGGTGTGTATTGTGTGTAAGATCTTTTGCAACCGATACTCATGAGAGTTCTGTTGGCCACTGTTGAGACAGCCTCTATTGGGAAGATTCTGTAAGTCTCCAAAAGCTGAGCTGAAGAACTTCCCCCTTAACCAGTAGAAAACAAATTGGTAGGAAAAGCCTTAAAGAATTAGGTCAACAGAGACATTCTTTCCTGGAGCCTGAGCAGTAGTTTGATTTTGTTGCAGGAAAGAGTGATTTATGCTTCCCTTTTCTTATATCTTAGAACCTCTTCTTTGCTCCTGCTTAGCCTCAAAAGAGCCGTTTCCTTCCACTTCTCTTACCCCGCCACCTTGAACCATCTGTGCCTGCCTTTGAGAGTACTTGCTTTTATGCCAGAATTCACTCAGTCTACACATTGTGCCAGCCGTGGATGGCTCTGTGCCTGGTACTGGGCACCCTGCAAGGAGCGCAGCCCTGCAAGCCAGTTGGCTATGGGGCACTGTGGTCAGAGCTGTAATTGAAGCGCCAGGAGTCTTGAGGAGGCACTGATGAATTCTTCCAGGAGTCAGGAAGGCTTCACTTGAAAATGTAGAAGCTTGGCCTTCTAGGTGAAGAGAACAGGTGAGATTTATGGAGTGTAACTTTCATTCTTCTCGCCAGCGCTTTTTATCTTGCTTGGCATGGGTCCCCCTTTACCCAGCAGCTGCTGTCTCGCCTCTCCCCAGACTTCTTGCAGCACAGTGGTGAGCCAGAGGCCATGGTTTCTGGCAAGAAAGTAAGTATTAGGTGAAAGAACAGGTTCCATAGTGACCAGGGCCCAGGCCAGGGATTCAGGTCCAAAGGACTTGTTTCAGGCCGGAGTTCAGGAAAACCAGGCTCCTAGGAGAGGACCTGGGCCAGGAGAATGCGACTTCAGGAAAGCCAAGCTCGAGGGGCTTCCAGGCTTCCTGAGAATCTGGGAAGATCCTGGTCAGAGCTGAAGGTTTCTGACAGAGGTCAAAGGCCAAGAGCTACCTCCCTGGTGATCTAGGAAGGATTAAAGGTTTTCTTAAGTGCTCTGATGCCAGCTTCTACTTCCCTGTCTTTGAGTTCTTGAAGAATTTGAAGAAGCAGATACTTGGGTCAGGGGAGGCCTGATGAGGTGAGGGCTGCAGGAATTTGTCAGTGGTTACAGACTGAAGACCTCGGCATCCGCTGGTGGCTGGGACAGGATGGGATGTCAGCGTGGAGATGGAGGAAAGGGATGGTGCCAGAGGTGGGATGGGTCAGGGTGTCCTAGAGACCGACAGTCACCATGAAGTGGCAACTATAATCCCTGTGAGGCTCCAGGACACTGGAAGCCAGCCAGGACTGGTGGTCTTAGCAGGGCGGAAGGTCACACACGAGGAGACCTGGGGACTCGTGGCCTGGAAAAACAGGACCCTGAAAACAGAGGGGTTCTGTTGGTTTTCTGCTGGGTGGGAAGCTGGCTGAGGGACTGCCTAACTGAAATTTTGTGGTAACAGGCTGAACAAGTTTGCTTTAGATGAGCACTAACTGAAGATCTCAGCGGATGGGGAAGTAGCATGTTTTTGTGGTGAGGGTGAGCATCCAGGTAGCTGTGATTCTTGGGGATGATTCTCGGGGATGTATTGCTCTGGGGTCTCTTGCAGCGTCTGTGCAAGGTCCTGAAGGCGTCTGCAGGTGTTAGTTGCCAAGAAAGCTGTAGAGTATCACCTGTTGCTCCGTTACCCTCTTGGAACTGGTCCCTTTGCTATCACTGATCTGATCTGAGATTGTTCCTTTAAAGGCCACGAGGCCTCTTCATGCAGTCTCCGTGCCGGTTTCTGGCCTGTGTCGCTGGATCTAGGCCTTTAAAGTGATGCTTCACATAAATATCTGACTCATCCTCTGTCTTGGTGTCTACACCTGTGATTTCTGTGTCCTCCCTCTTCTTTTTCCCTTCCTCCTTCCTCTCCAGTGACTCTGGGTCCTGGGAGAAGGCTGGAGATGCTGACCAGTACTGCTGAATTCCCAGGCCAGGGCCTACGGTCCAAGGAGTCCCCAGTCAAGTGAGTCTAGTTGTACACTTTGTTTCTGAATGAGTTTGTGACACATAAACTTGGAGAATGGAATTATAGCCTGGAAAATCAAATGAGCCCTTCCACAGTGTTCTCTGCGGATTTGTACATACAAACATGTATGCATATGTGTACATATGAATACATATGTGTGTGTGCCACACATACATATACACATATACTACCTATGACCATGATACATACATGTATACACTTATGTGTGTGTCTCCATCCCTCCCACTGATTTCAAGAATGATCCACTTTGTTATGAAGTCCTGTGATTTCAGTGCCATCAATTTCCCTCCAGTCCACTCTTCCCTGACATGGCGACCTTCTTAACCGAGGCCTGCATCTTCTCTTCCCAGTAGAATTGCAGCCACCTAAGTGGTTTCCCTGCCTCTAAACTGGTTCGCATACATCCCTTTCTGCATCATAGCTGCCAGAGGCAGATTCTCGTAAAGTGGGATTCCGATCTTGCCAATCTTCTGCTCACAGAGCCACACGATAAAGTCTTGGACCTCGAGGCCCTTTACTGTGAGCTTCCACCTCCCCACAGCTGCTTCTCCACGCATCCCCATCACCATGTCAGTCCCTGATCCCAGACCAGGCCCTGTACAGTTCTTTGCCTGTGCTTCTGCTGCTTGGGATGTGTTCTCAGCCTGGTGACGTCCTGCCCATCCATCAGGGCTCAGCTTGTCGTGTCCCATGTCAAGTACTCCATCTTCTCTGGCAGGCTCAGCATCTTTCTCCTGGGGTGTTCCTGCCGCTCTGCATACCCTTCTGTTGTTGGCTGTTTATACTGCATTCTAGTTGAGTAATTTTTTCTTTAAATTGGGAACTTTCTGAGACCCAGGACTGTGTCTGGCTCTGATTCTTAATTCCCTGGGCCTAGCACAGTGCCTGGAAGGAAAGTAAGCATTGAGTAAATGTTTGAATGAAGGAATTAGTGGAAGTGTGAGCTATTCAAACTCAGCCATGATTTGAAATCCTTGTAACCTCATCCTACAAGTGTCTATCCTGAGTCCCCCAGCCCCACCTTCAATCCTTTGTGATTTTCCAGGGATCACCAGGGTGATGTAAATACAGAACGGATTTGTGTTACCAAGTCTGCCTGTATAGGTAGTGCCTGGCAGGGAGCACTAGGGAGGCTTCTAGAAATGGCATATCTTGAGTTAGCTTTGACACAGGTTCACATAGGTTAAGCCCGACTCCACATTGACCTCTTTCCTGCTTCCTTCCCAGTTTAGTGTCCTGTTCCATCTGTGACAGCTGACATGCTTTAGTGAGCTTTGGAAGCATTCCCCGGAGAGCTAGGAGGAGCAACCACAAATGCGACCATTGTCCCCAGTGCAGAGGCCTACACCTGAGCTTTCTTTTCTGGTGGTTGGCCTTTGAAGCCAGTTGGCTTTGGAAGTTCCCTTTGGAGTCAACTTCCTGATGTCTGGAACCCTTCTTAGGATCATTTGTTCCTTTTTCAATATCAAATGTCTGCAGGTATAGCCCACCTACCAAATGCAGGGAAGTGAAGAAGTCCAATGCTGACTACACTCCAGTTGTGAAAGATGATATGTAGCCCAAAATAATAGAGGATAGAGGATGTCACTGAGAAAACAGGACAGAGGTACTCATGGGGGACAAATAGGCTTGTTCTTCACTTGCTATTGCTCCTTGAGCTGGTGTACCCAGTCTAACTCTATCAGTTCCATCTGATACACAGTGATCATGCCACCTTTCTACGTGTGACATTTCACCACTTCTTACACATGGACCTGGATGAGAGGGCCAGCCACTGTGTGCAGGAGAGTCCCATAGCCTTGGGAGGTAGACCTGTTGCCAGAAAGAGGGAAGCTGCTGCCCTGTAATGCAGAGGCAGAAGGGAAGCTTTTGTTCTTCCTTACATAGTCTAGTTCAGCTCCTAGAATGGCCCAGAATTAAGGATACCCAATGAGGCAAGTAAGGGTAACACCATTGTTTGGCAGTGGTTTCCTGTTTGTCTTCTGGAAGTGGTTTAATGTGAGAGAGAAACAAGGGTTTTGGGGAGGTGTAGGGTCCAGCCCCACAGGGTGGATGGGTTTTCTCCCTATGTGTGGAGACGAGAGATTGTAGAAATAAAGACATAAGACAAAGAGATTAAAAAGAAGACAGCTGGGCCCAGGGGACCACTACCACCAAGACGCAGAGACTGGTAGTGGCCCCGAATGCCAGGCTGCGCTGATACTTATTGGATACAAGACAAAGGGGCAGGCTAAGGAGTGTGAGCCATCTCCAATGATTGGTAAGGTCACGTGTCCACTGGACAGGGGGCCCTTCCCTGCCTGGCAGCCAAGGCAGAGAGAGAGAGAGAAGAGAGAGAGACAGCTTATGCCATTATTTCTGCATATCAGAGACTTTTAGTACTTTCACTAATTTGCTACTGCTATCTAAAAGCCCAGGTACACAGGATGGAACATGAAAGAAGACTAGGAGTGTGACCACTGAAGCACAGCATCACAGGGAGACAGTTAGGTCCCCGGATAACTGCGGGTGGGCCTGACTGATGTCAGGCCCTCCACAAGAGGTGGAGGAGTAGAGTCTTCTCTGAACTCCACTGGGAAAAGGGAGTCCCCCTTTCCCAGTCTGCTAAGTAGCGGGTGTTTTTCCTTGACACTGACGCTACCGCTAGACCACAGTCCACTTGGCAATGGGCGTCTTCCCAGACACTGGCATTACCGCTAGACCAAGGAGCCCTCTGGCGGCCCTGTCCAGGCATAACAGAAGGCTCGCACTCTTGTCTTCTGGTCACTTCTCACTATGTCCCCTCAGCTCCTATCTCTGTGTGGCCTGGTTTTTCCTAGGTTATGATTGTAGAGCAAGGATTATTATAATATTGGAATAAAGAGTAATTGCCACAAACTAATGATTAATGATATTCATATATAATCCTATCTATGATCTATATCTAGTATCACTATTCTTATTTTATATATTTTATTATACTGGAACAGCTCGTGCCCTCGGTCTCTTGCCTCGGCACCTGGGTGGCTTGCCGCCCACAGGAAGGGAGGTCACAGAGTGACTTGGTCTTTTCTAGTTTATTGTACTGTACTTTACAAATAGTTTGCCTTTGGAGTTTGGGAACTGAAGTGAGTGTCTGGTGCATGCTTTGTGAATTCCTCTAGCCTGAGAACTCACTGATAGGATAGAATTTTCTAGGTCTTGGATACATGGTGGTTTAGAGGCTGCCTCTGAATAAGAACTCAACGTTTTCCCACAGGCATAATGTGTTGTCTATTGCTGAGTAACTAATTACTACAAACATAGTGTCTTAATGCAATACTCACTTATTACCGCACAGCTCTGTATGCTGTGAGCCTGGGCAGGTTGGCCAGATTCTTTGGGGTCTCCCAAGCCTGATGTCGAGGTGGTGGCAGGTTGGGCTCCTACCTGGAAGCTCTGGGGAAGGATCTGCTTTCATGCTCATTCAGGTTGTTGGTGGAGTTCAGTTCTTTGTGGTTGTAGGACTGAGGTCCCCATTTCCTTGCTGACTGTTGTACCCTCAACGCCTGGAGGCCTTTTTCTGGTCCTGGCAAGTGGTCACCTCCACCTTCAAAGCCAGTGTGGCACATTGAATTTTTCTCATGCTTCAGAACTGTCTTGACTTCTTCTGCAACTAGCTGGAGAAAGCTCCTGGCGTCTGAGGGCTCCTGTGATGGGATCAGGCCTGAATAACCTCCCCATCTTCAGGTCAGCTGTGTCATATTAACGTGATGCAGTCACAGAGGTGACAGCTCATCATATTCACAGCTTTCTGGAATTAGGGCGGGGGACCTTGGTGGTGGTGGGAAGGACATTTTCAGACTTCTGCCTACCACACTGAATATTTTTGCAGGTAAAGAAAGTTATGATGTAGTATGTGTTACACATGAGCGTATGTGTCTATGTAGTGCCTGTTTATATATATGTGTCTTTGCATGTGTGTGCATGTGCTTACATACATGAAGCGTGTGTCTTCATGTGTTTGTGTTTATACATAAAACTATAGGCAGCAATTACATAATAGAATGAGCATGAGCAGTGGATTCAGAGTCCAAACACAACTGTGGTCTAGTTCACACTTTGCTGTTTATTAGTTGTATGACTTTGGGCAATTCGTGTAGCCTCTTGGAGCCTCAGTTTCCTCATCTGTGTGTGGGATAAGCCCTCGTTAACAGTGAGGGTAATGATCCGTGCCTATCAGGAGTATTGTAAGGATTGAATAAGAGAGTATAGGGCAGTGCTTGAAAGCATAGGCTCAGGACTCAGACTCTAACTCAGCCACATACTAACTGTGTGACTCTGGGCAAGTTACTTAACCTCTCTGAGCTTCAATTAGGCTTGTTGTGAGGATTAAATAAAACCACGTAAAACCCTTAGCACAGACTCTTAGTTAGCATTCAGTGGATATCACCTAGGATGTTGACAACAGCATTTGCTGTTTGCTGGATCCCACATTTGTCTATGGGTTAGCAGTGTGACTGCTTTTCTCTTCCTGCCCAGATGGAGTCCGCCTGCGTGACCATCCATGAGGCTCTGAAAACGGTGATTGACTCCCAGACGCATTACCGGCTGCGGGAGGCCCAGGACCGGGCCCGAGCAGAAGACCTTAATAGCCGAGTCTCTTACTGGTCTGTTGGCGAGACGATTGCCCTGTTCGTGGTCAGCTTCAGTCAGGTGCTACTGTTGAAAAGCTTCTTCACAGAAAAACGACCCATCAGCAGGGCAGTCCACTCCTAGCCCCGGCATCCTGCTCTAGGGCCCCTCATGCCCCAGGCTGGAGCAGCTCTCCTAGGTCACAGCCTGCTGGGCTGGGTCGCGTAGCCCAGGGTGGAGGCAGAACGATGCTGCTGTGGTAGCCCTTTGCCTTTCATGCCCATGCTTGATTCTTGCACCTCAGCAGCTGAAGGTCTCAGAGACCAGTAATCAGAAGGCATCCGACTGCATTAAGTGTGCAGCGCTGAAAAGACATTTACAACTAGGCCAGGGATTAGCCACTGTGGGAGGGTGGACAGGCAATGGTTCAGTGGCCTGGCTGTTGGCAGGAACTCCAAGTGCCCAGGCCTCTTGGGCAGCTTAGGGCCCTGCCTCTGTTTCATGATGCATGGGTCATTTGTCTTGGGTGTCCTATCCCATATGGAGAAGAAAGGGGCTCTAAGTTCTGGCTCTTCTTTCTTTGGGGTTCTCTGTACCTGAGGAAACCAGGCCCTGGGTGACTTTGCAGATCTGCTCACCCTCGGTGAGCAACAGTGTCAGCCATGCAAGCAGGACAGAATGGTGACTGGGTGCCCTTGGTGAGCTGTGTATTTCCTAGGAGGTAGAAAACTGTGGGAAACTGTGGCTAATAAAAACTAAGTGTGAGCGTCCTGGAGACTTGTGCCTTTATTTCTTTGCCCTAAAGGACTCCAGAGCTTACTGCAGAGCATGGGTGTGTGCATAAATAATTAGAATGTGACATAGAGTACCTAGAGAGGTGCATGGGGTGCTGTGCAGAGATGTATAGAGTGGGCAAGAAATGACTCCTCCCAGGTGACTGAAAACAAAATAGGAAGTCTCCTCGCATGCTCACACCATGTTGTACAACGGAACTTTGCAAATGCTGTTTCCTCTGATAATACCTTCTCCCGGATATCTGCATGCCCTGCTCCATCATTTCCTTCTGACCCAAAGGCACATTATCAGTGAAGTCCCTCCCAACCACTCTTCAAGATGGTACTGTCTCACTTGCCCTTAGTCCTCCTTGCCCATTAGTAAGAAATGAATGCATACCAATCAGATGTCTGTGCAGTAGGTCTGGAGGGAAGATACAGTGTCTCCGCTGAAGGAAACCTATCAAATCTGAAATCCTGCACCGTCTGACAGGCGTTAATGCATTGTAGGAAAGGAAGCAAAATAATCTCTTTAAAAGGATACCCCATAAGCCTCACTTATTTAGCTTGATTGAAGGATAAATGTTGCTTATCTTTCATATGTTTTTGCTATTTCTTTTCTCTTATTTTAGAATTAAGTACTGGGTATATATAAAAGGTTACTTATGAAATATGTCTAAGGTGAAATATGTCTAAAGTGAAAAACAATACAAAAATCCTATGCTCCTGCTACCTAGATTAAGCACTGCAACATGACCCATTGCTTCTGGAATGTTCTCTACCTGCCCTTCTCCTTCACCCTCTGAGGGAACCACCAGCCTGAATGTAATGCTTATCAAGCACTGAGAAAGGAGTTTAAAGAATTGAAGGACACAGCTTTACTAAAACTCACGTTGTCTTCCACTTTTTTATGGAAACTAGGTTCTTTCAACCTTAAAAAAAATAGGATTGCTGGTGATACCTGTTTTATTTATATAACCTTGTAATCATTTATCCATAAATATGTAGATTCATTGAGGGGGCAAAAACCCTGCCCCACTGGCTGATTTAGGAAATAATGTTGGCAATAAAATGTACTGCTTATGCAGTGTTTATGTTTTGATCAATTAGGTACTAATAACAGTTGAAATAACTTCCCAATCCAGAAGAAATTTTTTTTTCTTTTGAGACAGAGTCTCACTCTGTCGCCCAGGCTGGAGTGCAGTGGTGCAGTCTCGGCTCACAGCAACCTCCCCCTCCTGGGTTTACACCATTCTCCTGCTTCAGCCTCCCAAGTAGCTGGGACTACAGGCACCCGCCACCACGCCCGGCTAATTTTTTTGTATTTTTAGTAGAGACGGGGTTTCACCGTGTTAGCCAGGATGGTCTCGATCTCCTGACCTCGTGATCCGCCCGCCTCGGCCTCCCAAAGTGCTGGGATTACAGGCGTGAGCCACTGCACCCGGCCCCAGAAGAAATATTTTTAACACTTAAGCTTTACAGTTAAACAGCATATGAAACATTTTGAAATTGAAGATTTTTTGTTATAGAGAAATACAATAGGGTACTCTATATAATTTCAAACAGAGTAATACAGTTCCATAAGAAAGATGAAATGGAAGTATGACTCTAAGAAGGAAGGGGAAAGATGGAAAATTTCTGAGCATTTATTTATGGATGATGATGGGTATCAAATCGTCTTAGTAATTAGAATCCACTGAATATAATTAAAATAGTGATGTAATTTTTTAAAAAGTAATATTTAATATATGGTAGAAATTATCTCCCTTGTAACTATTTAAATTCATGATGAAATATTTTAGATGTCAGCTTTAAAAATGTATGAGGCTTTAGAGTTTCTCAAGTTCTTTTAGGGGATATTTAAGCAAAAGAAATAGGAGAGGCTATTTGCATCTGGATTTTCTGGAGAGACTCGTTGACATCTGGGCAGCATGGTGGAAAAGGGTGTCAGCATTGGCATTTTAGTAGAAAGAGGACTGGGTTGGGGCTGACCTTTCTGGATTTGAATCCAGGTCTGCTATGTGCTACTTGTGCCATCTTGGGTAAGGTACTGAACCTCTCTGAACCTTCATTTCCTCATCTGTAAAATGAGCAGAAGGGAGTATTTTTACTGGCCAGGAACTTCAGGCTTATGCATTGGTAAACAGAATTAGGATTCACCCTGTTTTCAGTAAAATCCCTTTAAATTTGAGGCCTGGGTGGAACTGACAGGTGGAGTTTGAAGGCACATCTGCTAGCTCACATAGGAAACAGAATCTCCCAGGGAAAAGACATAGGACCTCTGACTCTAACTGAGGTTCTGGATTATTATGAGAGATTTTCAGAAATGGTCTAATGGTGTTGGCTTGCTCCATACCATAGATTTTAAGAGACAGTAGAGCTTCTGCGATGAGATTCCCCCATAAAATAATTATGGATCTGCACTGGCAAGCTGGTCTTGGCTCCAAAGACCAAGAGTTGGTTTGTGGTGCTGATTCTGAACCCTTGCGATGCAACTGTCTGGTAGTAAAATGGCTTTGTATGGTAAGAAAGCTTTAATCCTCGAGGCCTAGACAACTTTACTGCAGGGCATTCTCTACAGGATGACTTTAGTGGGGAGGTGATGTTTTCTTTGTTGAAAGATAATTTTCCAAAAAAGGATAAAATCATTAAGTGTTATATAAAATGAACACGTGTATTAGGGTTCTCCAGAGGGACAGAACTAATAGGATATATGTATATATGAAAGGGAGTTTATTAAGGAGAATTGACTCACACGATCACAAGGTGAAGTCCCACGATAGGTCCTCTGCCAGCTGAGGAGCAAGGAAGCCAGTAGAGGCTCAGTCCGAGTCCAAAAACCTCAAATGTAGGGAGGCCAACAGTGCAGCCTTCAGTCTGTGGCCAGAAGCCCAAGAGCCCCCAGCAGACCACTGGTATAAGTCCAAGAATCCAAAGGCCAAAGAACCTGCAGTCTGATGTCCAAGGGCAGGAAACATCCAGCACGGGAGAAAGATGAAAGCCGGAAGACTCAGCAAGCCATCTTATCCCACCTTCTTCCACTTGCTTTGTTCTAGCGCTGCTGGCAGCCGATTGAATGGTGCCCACCCACATTGAGGGTAGGTGGGTCATCCTCTCCCAGTCCATTGAGTCAAATGTTAATCTCCTCTAGCAGCACCTTCACAGACACACCCAGAAACAATACTAGCTATCTAGGCATCTTTCAATCCAATCAAGTTGACACCTCATATTAACCATCATAGCACGTTAGAGGTTTTATTTTATGTACTAATCAATGAAGGAACCAGACAAACATCATAATGATTCAAAAGATAATTCAAAGAACAGACACATTTATACAGAGTTGTAAAACAGCTCGAAGACACTGAACCAGGCTAGAATCAGTAATCCAAAAGGATATGCTATGTGGAGAAAACACAAAGTTGCAAAAATAGCTCAAAGAGGAAACTTAGAATCAAATAGCCCGGAGGGGTGTCCAGAAATGCGTAGTTTATTTTATTAAAACCATTTTTTCCTATAACTTCAAAAGGGGCTCCTGAGCTGTCACAGCCCCTGGGGAGCGGCACTGATTTCTAGTTTAATTAATAGCAAGACCACCTGTTCCATGTTCTCTCTGGTTCTATAAGGACTCATCCCTTGGCCTCTTTATGTCTGGGATGGGAACAACTTTTAGCTATTGCTAGTCTTGGGGCTTTACCTTAACCCTGCCCAACCTTTGTAAATATTTCCTCCTTTAAACTCTCCTCAACTTAAAATAGGGAGGAGGGCGGGAAGAAGGAAGGAACAATCACTTGTTGCAGATTCTAGGTGCTATAGACAGAATATTCTGTTTCTCCCCAGTTAATATGTTGAAATTCTTCCCCACAAGGTGATGGTATTAGGAGGTGGGACATTTGGGAAGTGACAGAGTCCTGTGGGTGGAGCCCTCCTGAATGAGATTAGTGCTCTTATAAAAGAGGCCTGAGGGAAGGCCTCTTTAGTCTGCTTAGTGTTGCGATAAAGGAATACCCAAGTCTGAGTAACTTATAAAGAAAAAATGGTTTATTTGGCTCACTGTTTTGCAGGTGGGGGCATCTGGTGAGGGCCTCAGGGTGCTTCCACTCATGGCAGAAGGCAAAGGGAAGCCAGTGTACAGAGATCACAGGGTGAGACAGGTAGCAAGAGAGAGCGGTGAGGTGCCAGGCCTTGTTTAGCAACCAGCTCTTGTGGGAACTAATAGAGTAAGAGCTCACTCACTACAGCAAGGACAGCATCAAGCCATCCATGAGGGATCTGCCCCCATGGCCCAAACACCTTCCACTAGGCCCCATCTCCAACACTGGTATCAAATTTTAATATGAGGTTGGCAGGACAAACATCCAAACTATAGTGGGTCCCTAGCCCCTTCTGCCACGTGAGGATGCAGTGAGAAGACAGCCATTTATGAACCAGAAATGGGATCTCACCAAACACTAAATCTGCCAATGCCTTAATCTTGGACATCCCAGTCTCCAGAACTGTGAGAAATAAATTTCTGTTATTTATATGTCACCCAATCTGTGGTATTCTGTCATAGTAGCCTAAATGAACTAAAACTCTAGAAAACAGGGATGATTAGAACAAAACTGCAAATACACATATAATCACCCCTGGGTTGGAAAATTCTGGGAAAAGGCTGGATGTTCTTTTAAATGTACAAATGTTCGAGCACAGAGACCTGTGTATTCAGTATATTTCTTCCAGCCCTGCTGTTTGATCCTGTATGCGAATGTGCCTAGCACAATACTGGTCTGAGACAAATACTAATTTCCTTCTTTCTACTCACACGCACCCAAAAAAACACTACTAAATAAACTTGATGTGATGGTATCTGGGAGAGTCTGACCATCTAGATCTATCTATGAGAAAGTATTGTCAGACATTCTTGCTACTTCTTGTTGGAACTGGCAATTCGACAGCTTTTATTTGCTTCTCCCTGGAGTTTCAGTGTTATGTGCTATAGTCATTTGAGGGATGGTTCATTTTATCTGATCACAAGCCTTCTAAAATAAAATAGAAAATAGTTGCTTCCTTGGGGTTAGTTAGGGTGGCAGCACTCAGCCAATGGCCATATCTTTTTCTATGTGTTTGGGGGCTTGTGTAAGAATTCTAAGAGCTACAAAAGTAAATATAATATAGTTATCAACTCCTAAATGACATATAAGTGTTGGAGACTGTTCTGCTCTTCATAGAAAATGAAGCTGCTTCTGCTCAAGCTCTCTAGTGAATGCCAAAGCACGTTACTTTCTCTTGGACTTTGATTCAACAGTGGTTTAAAAAAGTCACCTTTCTTGGTAACTGTATTCATCGCAAAAGGAAAGAAGCACAAGGGAGCCAGTGGGTTGTATGATATAGGAGGAAGAAAAAGTCACGGCTGATCCTCTTAGGATCACCAAGCAGTCTTTTGATGATAATCTGGCTTCTCGTATCACTTGCCTTCGAAAAGAAAATATATTTGAGTTGCATTTTTAATTGTAAAAAAAAATTAAAAACCCCATTTTCCTTTAATTTATAAAGTAATCTTTCAGGCAATTAAAATATTAACTAAAATTTATCTATTCCCCTGACTTCTATGCAAAAAAACTGGGCCTTAAGCAGGTCTAAAGCCTGTGTGGGCTGCACCTGGGACGCGACCTTTGGTTTAGCCATGCTCACAGCCAGCCCCCCAAAATGGGCTGGGTTTGCATTGCACCTGGTGGACAGACATCTGGAAGCTGCAGAACAGTGGAGTAAGTGTATGTGTTGGATGGGGTTGGGGGCAAGGATAAGTTACAAAGACCCCATGTCACCTTCAGGTAGTGACCTGGCAAGGTGACCATCCTCCACATCAAGCCTGGAGAAACCACAGAAGCAAGAGAGAAGCCTGCATCTGAGGAACTCTCTCACACACACAGCTGTGAGAAACTGGAAGAGGGGTCTGTGGAGAGGGGTGGGAGGACACTGTAGCCTGGGGGCAGAGGCCCCTGGAGAGCACTGAGAAGCAAAGTTGGAGGAAAAACATTTCCATTCTGTGCCTGCCTCTCCCATGTGTTGCCTTAAGGCACCCACAGCCGACCCCTTTGCCATGAATTCAGTGGCACAGCCCAGGTTGCTGTTGGCCCTATGGGACAATAGCAGGTAGATCAAAGCCCCTGTCTGGGTGGAATCCAGTCCTCCTTGTCCTCCCCTTTTTAATACCTAGGGGTGGTGGATTAAAAACTAAGGCCACCATTTTATTCCAAAGTGGTTGTTTCTGAGAGTTTAAAGTGAACTTTGAATGAAGTTGTCAAGTATTAGCAAATGGGGATTTTCTTCTGTGATTTTCTCTGTCCAGGGGTTCCCTTCCTTCCCTTAAACTCTCTAAAGAGACAACAACCAGGGCCTGGCCTTTAGCCCTTCTCAATACACATCACCAGACCTCATGGGAGCATGACTCACAGCCCCAAACAGCTAGACTGCAGGGGATACAACAAATGGATACAAAATATCGTTATACCAGAATCACTGGAACATGTTGTAAGGTAAATGGATGTGCTTTGGTCAGGAATAGGCAGAGGCAGACATCCTGGCCAGAGTGACTCAGCAAGTTTAGCACACAGGCGCATAACTCCACTTGTTAAATAGCCTGTTTGTGTAAGCTTGTACTTGGCTCAGAGCCACTATTGTTTGTAAAAGGTATAACTGCCCTGCTGACATTGCACATACAGCTTGTGCCCAGAGAGGGAGAGAGTGTGAAGCTGTTGACCCTGTAAGGCAGAGGTGGCCTGGCAGGCCAGGGAATGCAGCTGTAAGTGTGGGAGCCACAGGAGCCGCAGGAGCCTCAGAGCCGGAGCAGGTAGCGGAGATAAAAGCAGACAGCATGAGAGAGCTGCTGAATAAAACCATATTTCACCTGTCTACAGCCCCCGAATGTTCTTCCTGCTGTCCGCCACCCATCCACCCACTCCCCTTGGACCTCAGCATGGGCTGGAACCTGACACTTGGTGTGACACATGTGGACCACAATTTTTTTAAGCAGCATGATAAATATACTCTACAAGAGAATATTTTAATAATATTTTGCTGTAACAAGAAGTCATAAAAAGAACCAAGTAGAAATGCTATATATGAAAAATATAAAAGTAGAATGTTAAAAATGACAGCAACAGGATGGCTATTTAGAGATGCCCGGTGGTCATTCCCCACCTCCTCGCCTCACCACACCCCAAGAAAGGCAATGACTAAACAGCTAAGGTTTAACTAACATCATATTGAACAGTGAAAAGCTGAACGCTTTTTCTCTAAGAACTGGAACAGGACAAGGATGCCCACTCTTAACCACTCTTATTCAACATAGTACTGGAAGTCCTAGCCAGAGCAATTAGGTAAGATAAAGAAATAAAGGTCATTCAAGGAGCAATTCAAATTGTCCTTGTTTGTAAATGACATGGTCTTATTCCTAGCAAAACCTAAAGACTCCACCAGAAAACTATTAAAATTGACAAATTCAGTAAAGTTGCGGGATGCAAAATCAACATACAAAACACAGTAACATTTATATATACAAACTACAACCTAGCTGAAAAAGAAGTCAAGAAGGCAATCCCATTTATAATATCTATAAAATAAATAAAATACCTAGGTATAAATTTAACCAAGGATGTGAAAAATCTCTACAAGGAAAACTGCAAATCACTGATGAAAGAAATTGAAGACGATACAGTAATTGGAAAAAATTCCCATGCTCATGGATCAAAAAATTAATATTGTTAAAAGGACCATACTACCCAAAGCAATCTGTGGATTAAAGGCAATCCCCATCAAAATACTCATTATATTTTTCTCAGAAATATTTTTAAAATCCTAAAATTTATATGGAACCATAAAAGACCCCAAATAGCCAACACAATCCTGAGCAAAAGGAACAAAGCCTGGAGGTATCACACTTCCAGACCTCAAAGTATACTGCAAAGCTGTAGTAACCAAAACAGCATGGTACTGGCATAAAAACAGACACATAGATCAAGAGAACAGAATAGAAAGCCCAGAAATTAATCTACATATCTATAGCTATATTAGTACATTCTCACATTGATACAAATAAATACCCAATACTTGGTAATTCATAAGAAAAAAGGTTTAATTGGCTCACAGTTCTGCAGGCTGTACAGGAAGCATAGTAGCATCTGTTTCTGGGGAGGCCTAAGGGAGCTTTTACTCATGAAGCCAACACTTCACATGGTGAAAGCAGGAGTATGAGACCAAGAGGGGAGGTGCCACACACTTTTAAACAACCAGATTGTGAGGACAGCACCAAGAGGTGCTAAACCATTCATGATAAATCTGCCCCCATGATCTAATCACTTCCCAGCAGGCCCCACCTCCAACATTGGGGATTACAGTTTGACATGAGATTTGGTGGGGACATAAACCCAAACCATAACACAGTGAACTGATTTTTGACAAAAATGCTGAGAACCTTCATTGGGAGGACAGTCTTTTCAATAAATGGTGCTGAAAAAACTGAAAATCCACATGCAGAAGAATGAAAGTAGACCCTTATCTTTCACCCAACACAAAAATCCACTCAAAATGATCAAAGACCTAAATGTAAGACCCCAAATGTTAAAACTATTAGAAGAAAACAAAGGAAAAACACTTCAGGACATTGGTCTGGGAAATGATTTTATAAATAAGACCTCAAAAGAACAGGCAAAAGAAGCAAAAAAAAAAAAAAAAAAAGGATAATATCAAACTAAAAAGTCTACACAGCAAAAGACACAGAGTGAAGAGACAATCTGAAGAACAGGAGAAAATATTTTCGAAGTATTCATCAGATAAAGGATTAATATCCAGACTGTACAAGGAACTCAAACATATCAAAGATAAAAAATAAATCCAATTAAACAATGGACAAACAATCTGAATGAATATTTCTCAAAAGAAGACATATAAATGGCCGACAAAATATATGAAAATATGCTCAACATCACTAATTATCAGAGAAATGCAAATCAAAACCACAACAAGGTATCATCTCACCCCAGTTAGGATGGCTATTTTGAAAAAGACAAAAAATAACAAATACTGGTGAGGATGCAGAGAAAAGGGAACTCTTATACACTGTGGAAGCTGAGGTGGGAGGATTGCTTGAACCTGGGAGACGGAGGCTGCTGTGTGCTATGATTGTACCACTGCACTCCAGCCTGGGTAAGAAAGCAAGACCTTGTCTCAAAAATAAATAAATACATAAATAAGAAAGAAAAGGATGAAAAAGACTTTCCAGGGAAATAACCAAATGAAAAGTGAGGCAATAGCCGTAGCATCTGACAAAATAGAATTCAAGGCAAACTATCGTACTGAACAGGAAGATTACATACTGATGTTAAAGGAACCAATGGAGGGAATGATAGAGCAGGTAGATACCGCCATCATCAATGGATAGAATTAATAACTGTATTAATTGAGAGCAGCAGACAGGATTGCCCATCAGGCTCCAAGGGAGACAATCCTGTACAGCTGCTTCAAAACTCTCAGATGTGGTGATGCCTCGCTCACACAGGCCATCTGGCCAATGCGAAACTCTTCAGCCTGGTGAGGTGGATGAGTTAAAAGTGGGAGTAGAGGGCAATTGGGGCACATTCAAGCTATTATTTTACCAGAATCTTCCTCCCACTAAGACATGTTAAAGACTTGGTTTTTCTCTTAAGGGCAACCCTCCAGCAATAGTCCCATAGTTTATTGCCATCAGGAAGATGTTGCCTTCTGAGAGGCTTGGCCAGTATGCTGGGGCAAGGCGGGCTGCTTTCCAGACAAGGTAAAACCGGCAGGCCCATTCTCGCTTATCATTCAGCTGTAAGTGTCTCATGGTGGCCTCCTTCCAGGCCCACGGACCTACCTGGTTGTGATTTCCCATGGATTAATATCTCCCTCCTGGAGCACAGCTGGGTGACATTCTGAACAAAAGTCATCTGATCTAGTGTTTATGATGTATTCTGGGCTTCCATATTGTATGATGTGGGACATGGAGTCTAGCAATTTAACTTCGTCATTTCCAAACTTTCAGGCTCACCTCCTCTCCAGCCTTAGGGAAAAACATAGCTGAGGTGAAGCCTGTGGCCACTTTATTCCCAGTCTGTGCAGGAATGAATGGCCCCTGACTGCCCAGTGTTCCATCTCGCCTGGTTTGCTTCCTCTGTGCTTTGACATTTGCATAAATCCTTCTCTTGCACTCCATTCTGACTGCCTGCTTGCAGTGGGACAGTCTTTAAACTCTGTGTATTCTAGGACATTCATCTCCAAAGAACCAAAAGTCGGAGTGCATCTGTGCTAGGACTTTACCTGGTACAGGTCTACTGGGGAGACCATTCCCCTGTGACATTTATTTAAGCAAAATTGTAAGAATGCTGATAGAACATTCTTGGTCAAACTCATAGGCAAGCAAAATCTAACACAGTTGAATGACAGGATATGGAGCAAGTTTGGGGAGAACCTGTTTTTCCAGCTCTGGTGGCAGTGACAGACTAGAATGTTGTTAACTCCTCCCTGCTCACCACCAAACTGCAAACTGGAACTTTTAGGTTATGTAGAAAGCAACTGTCTTTTTCCTAATATAACGCTAGACATAAGCGTTTGTATGCCCTCAAAACTACTGAGCCATTATAATTCTGGAGATGCTAACATAGTTTAAGGCTATTTTCCTTCTGCAGGTTTGTGTTTTTCAGTTCAATATTTGACCATAGGAAGAAATAGTCTTCAGATATGGCTTCTGCACCAGTAACTACTTTTACACTTTTGATCACATCCTGGAGAAATCGTTCAAGAACTTGATAAGACTTTCACATGTTTTGTTGGGCTATTTTCAGCTTTCAGTAGTGCACAGGAAACAGTAATGGCTTGGCTACCTTTTTTCAATATAGACTCCTGGTGGCTGAGGCCCCCACACCCTTTGTTTAAAGCTACTGTGAGAATTAGAATTAGTAGGAAAGAGTCCTCAAATGACAATATAATATTTCAAACTAAGTAAAACAGGGCTGTACTCAGGTAGATTCTCCTTCAAACATGGTTTGAATCAAAACCAACTTTATTAATATATATGCACTCACCTCAGCTCTAAGAAATTGGGGAAAACATATCCTCCTAAGCATTTGTGGTTTGATAAGATTATCACAAATCCAGAGTAGCCTCACAGACCATAGCAAATTAGTAGAACTTAATTTGCTATTAGCTAATAGCAAATTAATAGAACTAATAGCTTAAGAGTAACTGTTCTAAACTAATTATCTTGGGCTTCTGAAGTAAAAAGGAAGATCCCTGTCTTCCCCCGACATCCAGTTCCTTAAAATCAACCCAAGCAAATAAGAGTAAAATAGAATTTAAATTACTGAAACCAGGAAAGAGCCATAGTCAAAAATCACTAGCTATGAAGAGTGGCTGTCAAATGCAGTGATATTTGAACTAAAGGGAAGGAGAGGACTAGAACAGTCCTAGAGGGTTAAGACTTTCCTAAAAGAAGAAGGTTTTGGTCCTGAATGGCCAAATGGTGGAGCTTGGAATGGCAGCATCTAGGGGCCATGTGTGAGCAGCAGGGGTGACCCCTTCTCTTTTCCTCATTTCAGAGTGGCAGGGCAGGTGGGGTCAGAGGAGAAGCTTTTCAGGCAGGTGTGCAGGAGATGTGGCAGGTGAAGGAAGGGTCGGGGGGAGCTTTATAGCCCCAAATCTCAGGAGAACTGATGAGAAAGGATGTGGAGAAGGCACCTCTGACTCGCAGCTTGCTTCTGCCTCAACTTCTCCCCACACAGTGTGACTCTTCAGCAAATCAGTGACCTGGATCACAAAAGGAAAAGTGACAATTCAAGACCAGGATCACGGCAAAGTAACAAATAGAAGGCACGCAGGAAATGTATTTCGGAAGAATTACTCCAGGAAGTCAAACAGTGCACACATTTTTTCCCTCATAGTCTTAGAAAAAGGAAAAAAATTAAAAAAGGCAACAAGACTTCAGAGAAGGTTACAAGAAATTGTAGAAGGGGTTATAATACAACAAAAGAGATGAAAAGGAGCTGTCCAGTCTCAGGGAATATGTGGAAGAGGAAACATCATTTCAGAAATGATAGTTAACTTTAAGATGCCAAAATGAGAACAGGCACTGCACTGCTGAAATCAAGGGAGGGACACTAAAGAAAGGCTTGAGAAGACTGTCTGAAAAACAAATGGAAAACAAAAAGAACAAAAAGCTGAAAGTTATTAGGGAGAGCCAGACAGCTTTGTACAACAAGGATATCCATCATGCAGGTAATTGGTGTTCCTGAAGAAGAAAACAGAACAATTTCAAAGACGTAAAAAAAGAAAGCCTTAATAAAAGTCAAGGAAGACCTAAATCCTCAGTTTAAAAAGGTACCTTGCGTTTCAGGAAAAAATAAAGCAAAATGATTAACACAGACAGATTCTGGTGATATTCCTGGGCTTCTGGGAAAAATAAACAAACAACATTGAAGTTTCATCAAACAAACAAACAACAAAGACAAAAAAGCAAGTAACCTGTCAGAGGGAGAAATCATGTGACCCCAAACTATTTCTTGACATTTACTGGGATAAGACCCTGGAATACTGTCCTCAGGGAACTCTGGGAGAGACAGTGTGGACCCAGGGAAATGATACACTGCTAATTTGTCATTCAGTTACAAAGGCCACAGGTGGCCTTTCTAAAACTAGAAGGAATTCAGGGCACAGAGCACCTTTGAACCACTCTTGAATCAGCTACCCCAGGAAAAACTCTACTGAGTAAGGAAAGGAAAGGGGCCATCACAAAAAGGGCAGGTTTTCAAGCATTTCATCCATTAAAATATACAGCTGAGGCTAGACAACTATGAACAATCTAGGGACTATAAATGTTATGAAGTCTAATTATTTAAAAATTGCAATACAGCAAATTGAAATTGAGAATTAGGAGGTGAGGGAAGGTAAGAGAAAATGTAAACGCTAGCTTTCTAACTTTTCCTGATAGAACATTAATGACTACAAAAGAAATTACATTGAGTTCTTGCTAGGCACCAACCACAGTTCTTAGTGCTTTTTTGTGTGGCATTTCATTAATCTCTCACAACAGCTCAGCAGCATAGGAACCATTAATACTCCCATCTTACAGATGAGGAAACTGAGACACAGAGAATTTAATCTTTTCCCAAGGCTATGCAGCTAGTAAGGAAAATAAGGAAAGCCATTTGGTCATCTCAAGAGGCCCTGAAAACTAAGTTTGTAAGATCAATACAAGCCATTCCTGATGAAAAATTTTGATAAAGGAATAATTGGTCAGGGATAAGGGTGGCAGCTGAAGTGTGGCTGTGGAGTCTGGAGCTACAGATTCACTCCTTTCTTATTCTGGTGCCACGGAGGTGGGGCATTTCTTATACATGAGGTTGTAAATCTTCCCCTCTCTGAACCTCTGTGGCTCTGGCAGGCAGATATTAAAACATCAAAAAGCTAGGCCCCCACTGGCTGGCTAGTGGAGCTGGATCTGGGGGTGTCTTGATAGAGCCAAAAACAAACTACATTAGGGCTGGGCACAGTGGCTCATGCCTGTAATCCCAGCACTTTGGGAGGCCGAGGTGGGTGGATCATTTGAGGTCAGCAGTTCGAGACCAGCCTGGCCAACATGGTGAAACCCTGCCTCTACTAAAAATACAAAAATCAGCCAGGTGTGGTGGCAGGTGCTTGTAGTCCCAGCTACTTGGGAGGCTGAGGCCGGAGAATGACTTGAACCCAGGAGATGGAGGTTGCAGTGAGCAGAGGTTGCAGTGAGCAGAGGTTGCAGTGAGCCAAGATCACACCACTGTACTCCAGCCTGGGAGACAGAGCAAGACTCTGTCTCAAAACAAACAAACAAACAAACAAACACAAAAAACAAACAAAGAAAAAAACACATTAGCACCCTAGCTAATATTTTTACTCTAGGTGGATCCAACCCAGCAAACTCCACCCACTACACCCACTAGAGTTGATCGATTGACTTATAAAATAGAGGGACATAGATATTTCCAGTACATGAAACACTCAGGACACTTACCATGTCACAACTTCCAAGTGTCAAAGTAGTTATAATAATAACAGACAACAAATGCTTTGTGCATCTGTCACCAGAGCAAGGGGCTTGAAAGCTCTGGGCTGTGGTGGACCCTGGTGGAACAGGCCTCACTACTACCAAGCCTGTATGTGAACTGACCAGAATCTATTGGATCTATCTGCTTTAGCTGCTATCAGTTGCAAAGTGTCATAGTCCGCTGGGGCTGCCATAACAAAGTGTCCAACAGTCTGGGTGGCTTAGAACAGAAATTAATTTTCTCACCGTTCTGGAGGCAGGAAGTCAGAGATCAAGGTGTCAACAGGGTTGGTTTCTCCTGAGACCTCTCTCCTTGGCTTGCAGATGGCTGTCTTCTGTGTCCTCACACGGTCCCTTCCCTGTGCATGTCTGTGTCCTAATTTCCCCTTTATATAAGGACAACAGTTATGTTGGGTTAGGGCTCACTGTAGTTAATTTAATTACTTCTTTAAGCCTTATCTCCAAATATAGTAACATTCTGAGACACTGTGGGTTCAGAATTCAACATAAGAATTTGGGGGAAAAACAAAAAACAAAAATAGAATAATTTGGGAGAAAGGGGAGGACACAGTTCAGCCAATAACAGACAGTGTTAGATAAATTCCATCCAAGTCTTTCAACCTATGCTGCTTTTAAAAAATTAAATTATATTCTACTAGAACCACTATTTTGTCAAGACTAGGTGCATTTCGTAGCTTGAATTACTTCCCTTTTTCCTGATCTCTTTTATAAGATATCGATCACACACTCGCATCAGCAGGAACGTGCACAGAAGATTCCTGGAGTATGGAACAGTTCGGTAGTGATCAAATCCTGACTCTGCTCCTGGGAGCTGTGTGAGGATGAGCAGACCACATGGTCTCTCCCCTCTGACCCTCAGTTTCCTCGTTTGTAACAAAATGTGGTATTAAGGGAAATGTACAATGATATTCACTGCAGCATTGTGTTTGGTGATAAAACATTACAATATAACTCAAATGCACATGGATGGGAATGAATAAACAAAACGTTGCATGCTTGTATATGGGGATACTTTATAACAGTTGGAAATGAATAAAATAGCTCCCAATAAAGCAACATGAAATAATATTGAAGACACACCAGAGTGTACAGTGAAAAAGGAAAACCATCCAATGTGGTATCACTTATATATCAGTAAAAACACACATTAAACACTATTCTGTATAGCTCATGGGAAAAATAAATGTGTTCATGTATAATATATAGTAAAATTATAAAAACACAGATTGTAAAGAAAAGTTTACCTCTGGGAATTGAAGATAGAAATTGGGATGGGGTACAAAGGAGATTTCCATTTTATCTGTGCAGTATTTTTTTCTTTAAAAAATCTGAAGAATGTATAACAAAATATTAGCATTTGTTAGTCCTGAGTGGCAGATATGTGGGTGTTTGTTATGTTACCATTAGTATTTTCTGCATTAAACATCTCAAAGGCAAAGTAAATAGAAGGATGGTAATTGCCCTGGCTTCACCTCTTAGGGCTATTGCAAGGTTTCAATAATAAAATATTTGTGAAAGTTCCTTGTAAAATTAAAAGCTCTGTACTGTGGGCGGCAAGCCACCCAGGTGCCGAGGCAAGAGACCGAGGACACGAGCTGTTCCTGTATAGTAAAATATAAAATAAGAATAGTTATACCAGATATAGATCTTAGATATGATTATATATGAATATCATTAATCATTAGTTGGTAGCAATTACTCTTTATTCCAATATTATAATAATCCTTGCTCTATAATCATAACCTAGGAAAAACCAGGCCATACAGAGATAAGAGCTGAGGGGACATAGTGAGGAGTGACCAGAAGACAGAGTGCGAGCCTTCTGTTATGCCCAGACAGGGCCACCAGAGGGCTCCTTGGTCTAACGGTAATGCCAGCATCTGGGAAGACACCCGTTGCCAGGCGGACCGTGGTCTAGCGGTAGCGTAAGTGTCAAGGAAAAACACCCACTACTAAGCAGACCGGGAAAGGGAGTCTCCCTTTCCCCGGGGAATTTAGAGAAGACTGTACTCCTCCACCTCTTGTAGAGGGCCTGACATTAGTCAGGCTCACCCGCAGTTATCCAGGGGCCTGTCTCCCTGTGATGCTGTGCTTCAGTGGTCATGCTCCTAGTCTGCCTTCATGTTCCATCCTGTACTCCTGGCTCTGCCTTCTAGATAGCAGTAACAAATTAGTGAAAGTACTAAAAGTCTCTAATAATGGTGTAAGTTGTTTCTCTCTTTGTCTCCTCTCTCTCTCTCTGCCTCAGCTGCCAGGCAGGGAAGGGCCCCCTGTCCAGTGGACACGTGACCCACATGGCCTTACCTATCATTGGAGATGGCTCACTCTCCTTATCCTGCCCCTTTGTCTTGTATCCAATAAATATCAGTGCAGCCTGGCATTCGGGGCCTCTACCGGTCTCTGCAACTTAGTGGTAGTGGTCCCCCGGGCCCAGGTGTCTTTTCTTTTATGTCTTTGTCTTGTGTCTTTATTTCTACACTCTCTCATCTCCGCACACGGGGAGAGACCCACCGACCCTGTGGGGCTGGTCCCTACACTGTACAAATATTAAATTTTAAGCTAATCTGTTTCATTTGCTGTTGATTCTATTAACTTCCATTGCAAAAGTCCACAGTGTCGGATAGCTCCAAATTTGGGGTGGTGTTGGCAGTGATCATGGTAGTGGTCATGATGAGGGTGGCAGTGATGGTGGCGGCAGTGCAGCTGCTAGCGGGTGGTGATGACAGAGGAGTGGTAGTGATGGTGATGATGGTGGTGATGGTAGTAATGGTGGTGGCAATGGTGTTATGGTGGTGGTGATGACATGATGGTGATAGTGGTGATTATGGTGGTGTTGATGGTGGTGATGGCAGTGGTGGTGGTGATGGTGTGAATGTGATGGTAGTGGTGATGGTGGTGATGATGGTGGTGATTAGGATGATGGTGGTGATGATGGTAGTGGTGATGGTGGTGATGGTGGTGATTAGGATGGTGATGGTGGTGGAGATGATGTGTGTAGAGAGCAGTGTTAGACCTCTGATCTAGCTCTGAGCCACACCACACACACACTACTGCATAATATCATACACTTCTAGGGCTGTGTGTCTCACTGCTAGTAAGACTAAACCCTCCAAAGCCAAATTACATGAATGTGTATCTCCCATTGCTCCTAGTAAATACTGTTTAAAGTACTGTATTGAGCACGGTAATTAGCTTTTACTAGAAATACTTGAATTTCATCTTTTTGAAGAACTGCAGCAATATGAGAAATGACCACAAGAGGACAGTAGAGAAACATCAATAAAGTTCAACTTTACCTCAAGGATTGGGCAGGCACAAGCCATGGTCTCCACTCAAGAAGCTGCTCCTCAGCAGGGAGAAGTGTGGGTCTCTGCAAGAGATCAGGTTGTGGGAATTTCGGGGCCAGTCAACATATCACAGAGTGTCATGGACTTTGAGCTGTTGAAAACCATCTAGTTCAACCTCCTCAGCCCCAGCCAGCATCTATCTGGACTGCAATTTCTTGAGACACCCTGAGCCAGAATCACCCCGCTAAATCTCTCTTAAATTCCTGATCCATTGAGATGGTGATAAGCAGTGTTTGCAGTCGTGAAGTGCCAAAAAATTTTGAGATAATTCGTTATGCAGCAAAAGATCACTAATACACCTGGCGTGTAGTCAACAGTTAATGAATGTTAGCCATAATTGTTATTCAGGACTATTAAATGCAAGGAGGTTATTTTTCCGGCATTTTCTCATTATGTCAATTATGATGTAACTTGGAAGTGGTATCATGGATGCATTCATTCATTAATTTTCCAATAAGCCAAACTACTGCCCAGAATGACATCAATAAGAAAAATACATCATTCCTTCATGTATCCATTCACTAATTCATACATCCATTCACTTATCAAGTATGAATTGTGACAGAGGTACTAGCTTAAGGTAGAGTGTGGCCAATTGAGTGAGAGGGGTCAGATAAAAGGTAATTTGCTGGGCATAGTGATTCATGCCTGCAATCCCAGCACTTTGGGAGGCCAAGGCAGGAGGATCACTTGCATGCAGGCATTTGAGACCAGTCTGGGCAACATACTGAGGCCCCATCTCTACAAAATAATAGAAAATTAGCTGGGTGTGGTGCTGTGTACCTGTAGTCACAGCTACTTGGGAGGGTGAGGTGGGAGGATTGCTTCAGCCTGGGAGACAGGGGCTTCAGTGAGCTGCGATCATGCCACTGCATTCAGCCTGAGTGACACAGCAGCAAGACCCTGTCTCAAAAAAAAAAAAAAAAAAAAAAAGGTGAAGAAAGAAAGCCAGCAGGGGAAGAAAGACAGCAGATGATGGAAGGAAGCATGAGCAGAGGCACAGAGTTTCATGTGGTCTTGAGTACTCAGGGGAGGCAAGGACTTTGGCTGGGCTGGACCATAGGAAGAGAAGGTAAGATGGGAATAGGTATATGTAAAGATGGAGAGGATGCAAGGGCCAGCAAAGGAGCCTTACCATAATATAAAGATTGCCATAATATACTACAAATCCCATAAGAGGGAGCTTGAGCTTCATCCTTTGACAGGTTTTAGGTAGGCGAGCCCATGGCCAGGCGTAGGTTTTTAGATCACTGTGGCTGCTGTTAGCGAGGCAGATGGAGAAGAGAGACTGCTCTGCGAGTTGCTGAACAGCTGCCAAGCCCAGTAGGCTGCGGAACAGAAAAGTTTACAGGAATTCGTTTATTCCCCTTCCCTGTGCCATAAGAAAAATTCCTACTTCACTGGAGTGTGGGCTCATCCCCAAGCAGGAAGAATTCACTTCTTGCAGAGATGAGGGATCAAAAGGAAGGACCGCATGATCTCTTTCGGCGGTTTCAACTACCAGTGATTTTGCCCCTGAGGAGACATTTGACAATGTCTGGAGATATTTTTAGCTGTCACAACTGGGGAGGAGGAGGCGCTTACTGGGTAGAGTCCAGGGATGCTGCTGAACATCCTGCAAGGCACAGGACAGCCCTCCACTGATGAAGAAGTATACGACCCAGAGTGTCATCAGTGCTAGGCTGAGAAACCTTGGTTGGTACAAAAATGTGACAAAATAAAAATGACACATAAAAACACATTAAAGATGAGAAAAACTAAAAAACGTGGATGGGGGCAGATGAAAATTATGACTAAATATGTCATTATCAGTTTAAGAAATAAGTAATTGTCGTTACAAAACAAGAGTTTGAAGCAGAGATATAAGCAATAAAGATAGGATAAAAGATCTTACATCAACCATATCTGACATATAGATAAGGAAAATGATACTCATCTATCAGAAGAGAAAATGTTGGATCACAAAGCAAAACCCAATTTTATGTTGTATGCAACATAAACAAGATGTTGTATACAAGAAACACAATTAAGACCAAGTTGTCCAGCAAATTTGAAGAAGGGTTGGCAAAGATATACTATGTGAACAGAAAGAAAAATAAAGCAGTGTCACAACTTTTATATCAAAAAAGGTTAATCTCTGCTTCATACTTTATGCTAAAATAACTTCCAGGTAGATAAAAATTGTAAACATTACAAAGAAAAAAATTTAAATGCTAGAGGAAAATCTTTGAAAATAATATTATTTACCTTAAGGGAGTCCTTTGAAGTACAATATCATAAAAGAAGTTGATAAATCTAACTACCTAGAATCTAAAATTGTTGCATGGTAAAGCATGCACACAAACACACACATATACACTGTATAAACAAAACCAAAAGACAAAAGGCAAACTGAGGAAAAACTCATATTACAACTCATATCACAAAAGATTAGTCATCTTAATTAATTAAGTAGTTAATAACCATTTGTTAAGTGTCTGTGTTACACTGGGCCCTGCTTAGCACTGGGGAGATAATAACATAAAACACAAAGTTCCTGCCTTTGTGAAACTTACATCTCATGGAACAGCCAGACAATAAACAGATAAAGTAGTAAATGTATGTAATATTAGGTACTGATAAGTGCTATAAAGACAAAGTTAGGTGTGGGTATAAAGAGTGAGATGGAGTGAGAATAGGTATTACTGAGATTGGGTAGTAAGGAAGGTCTCATCGATGAGATTTTGTTTGAGCAGGGGACATTTCAGCTAGGAGAAAGAGCAATTGCAAAGGTCTGGAGATGGAAATATAAGGGTTTGTTTGAGGAACAGCATGGAGATAAGAATTGGTGTGGCAGTGAGAAAGGGGTATAGTGGTTAAAAAGTGAAGTTCAAGGTACCCAGGAGCCAGCTCACAGAAAGCTTTCAGGCCATGATGGGACGGTGCATACAACCTCCATCACCAAGACACTCTGTCCATCACTACAGAGATCTCTTCCATGCCAGTCCTTTATACTCATACACACTGCCCTCCCTTCTACCACCCTTGGTGCCTGTTAACAACTAATCTGTTCTCCATCTGCGTACCTTTGTCACTTTGAAGATGTCACGTAGATGGAATCATGCAACATGTGGCCTGTTGAGATCATCTGTCTTCGCTCAGCATAATATATGCTCTTTCATTTTATTTCTGAGTAGTATTTTATGCTATGGATGTATCACATTTTATTTAGACATCCATACACTGAAAGATATTTGGGTTGTTTCTGATTTTCACTATTACAAATCGGGCTTCTATGAATCTTCAAATTTGTGTTGATTTATATTTCAAAGGGTCACTATGGCTGCTTTGTGGGTAGTAGACTGCAGGGGTAAGAGTGGATGCAGGGAGTGAGGAGCTACTGCCATAGTCCAGGCAGACATGACAATGGATTCAACCAACTGGAGAGGTGAAGGATGTGGGACAGGCTCTTGGGTTGAATATGAGGCACAAAAGAAAGAAAGGAGTCAATGACAACTTTGTGAATTTGAACTACCAGGTGAAAGGTAGTCTCATTTACTGAGATGAGCCTGACTGTGGGAAGGAGAGTTTGGGGATGGAGTTTTGGTGGAGGCAGATCTAGCACTCTGTTTTGGCCATGTTAAGTTGGAGATCGCTATTAGAGGTCCTGCAGAGATAGCAATTCAACAGCCATATGAGTCTGGAATTCAGAGTGTAGGTTGGGCTGGAGAGAAAACTTTGAGATTCCATAAATATGTAGATAGAAGGTGAAATAAAAACACTCGGCCTACGTAGTTCACCAAGTAAATAAAGACAGAAAAGCAGGTCTAGATCCCATGGGCCTCCAACTTATAGAAGTTGAGAAGAAGAGAAGGTCAAATAGAAAGTGAGAGGGAGCAGCTGGAAAGACAGAAGGAACCCCCCAGAGTGTGGTGGCCCACAAGGCACCAGAAGATGCCTTTTCAGGAGTGAGGAGTGAGCCTCGGTGTCAAATGCTGCTGCTGAGAGCTGGTGTTGGCGTCCTAGGATTGCTGTAACAAATGACCACAAACTGGGAAGCTTAAAACAACATAATTTTTTCCTCTCACAGCTTTGGAAACCATAATTCTAAAGTCAAGGTATTGGCAGGGTTGGCTCCTTCCAGATGCTCTGGGGAAGAGCTCATTCCATGTCTCTCTCCAGGATTCTGGTGGCCCCAGGCTAGGATACATGACTAGGTTCCATGACACACCACCAAACCCCCAACTCCATTTCACATGGTGGTTTCTTGGTCTCTCTCTCTTTTCTCTTATAAGGATTTGTCATTGGATTTAGGGTCCTCTAATGCAGGATGACATTATTTTGAGATCCTTACTTTAATTACATCTGCAGAAAACCCTTTTTCTTTTAAGGTCACATTCCCAGGTTCCAGGAAGACATGAATTTGGGGGAACCTCATTCAACCCAGAGGGCCAGCAAGAAGAGAACTGGTAACTGAACTTTGGATCTGGCAAGGTCGAGATCGTTGGTGACTTAACAAGAGTAATTTGTACGAAACATTGGAGGCAAAGACTTCACTGTAGTGAGCCCAGTGAGATGAGGCAGTGTGAAAGGGAGACAATGTTTTATAGGAGTTTAACTTTAAAGCTTTGCTGTGTTTGAGCAGTAGCCGGAAGGAGATGTGGAAGAGACTGTTTTTGTTTTATAATTTGAGAGACAGAGCAGCATATGGGAATTTAATGGAAATGCTCACAGAAAGAGAGAAAACAGGGGGACAATGAAAGACATATAAATATAGAGAGCTACCAATCAGGAAGAAGAGGACCACCAACTCAATAGAAAGACTGGGCCAAAGATCCAGACAGGGAAGAAAAATAGAAAGCTCTTTTTAAAAATTTATTTACTTTATTTTTTATTAACTTTTAAGTTCAGGGGTACATGTGCAGGTTTGTTACATAGGTACACTGGTGTCATGGGGGTTTGTTGTACAGATTATTTCATCACCCAGATATTAAGCCTAGTACCCATTAGTTATTTTTCCTGATCCTCTCCCTTCCCACCCTTCACCCTCTGATAGGCCATAGTGTGTTGTTCCCCTTTATGTGTCCATGTGTTCTCATCATTTAGCTCTCACTTATAAGTGAGAACATGCAGTATTTGGTTTTCTGTTTCTGCATTAGTTTGCTAAGGATAATGACCTCCAGCTCCATCCGTGTTCCTGCAAATGACATGATCTTGTTCTTTTTCTGGCTGCATAGTATTCCATGGTTTATATGTACCACATTTTCTTTATCCAGTCTATTATTGGTGGGCATTTAGGTTGTTGATTCCATGTCTTTGCTATTGTGAGTAGTGCTGCAATGAATATACACATACATGTGTCTTTATAACGAAACAATTTATATTCCTTTGGGTATATGCCCAGTAGTGGGATTGCTGGGTCAAATAATATTTCTGCTTATAGGTCTTTGAGGAATCATCACACTGTCTTCCACAATGGTTGAACTAATTTACATTCCCACCACCAGTGTATAAGCATTCCTTTTTCTCCACAACCTCACTAGCATCTGTTATTTTTTCCCTTTTACTAATAGCCATTCTGACTGGTGTAAGATGACATCTTCTCATGGTTTTGATTTGCATTTCTGTAATCATCAGTGATGTTGAGCTCTTTTTTATAAGATTGTTGGCCACGTGTATGCCTTCTTTTGAAAAGTATCTGTTTATGTCATTTTCCCGCTTCTTAATGGAGTTGTTTGTATTTTTTCTTGTAAATTTGTTTAAGTTCTTTATAGATGCTGGAGTTAGACCTTTGTCAGATGCATAGTTTGCAAAAATTTTCTCCCATTCTGTAGGTTGGCTCTTCACTCTGTTGATAGTTTCCTCTGCTGTGCAGAAGCTCTTTAGTTTAATTAGATCCCATTTGTCAGTTTTTGCTTTTGTTACAATTGCTTTTGGTGTCTTTGTCATGAAGTTTTGCCTGTTCCTATGTCCAGAATGGTATTGCCTAGGTTGTCTTATAGGGTTTTGATATGGTTAGACTTTGTGTCCCCACCCAAATCTCATTTTAAATTGTAGATCCCATAATTCCCATGTGTCGTGGGAGGGACCAGGTGGACATAATTGAATCATGGGGGCTATTCCCACCATCCTGTTCTCATGATAGTGAATAAGTCTCACAAGATCTGATGGTTTTATAAAGGGCAGTACCCCTGCACATGCTCTCTTACCTGCCACCATATATATGTGCCTTTGCTCCTCTTTCACCTTCCACCATGATTGTGAGGCCTCCTGAGCCATGGGAACTGTGAGTTCATTAAACCTCTTTTTCTTTATAAATTACCCAGTCTTGAGTACATCCTTATTAGCAGCATGAGAACAAACTAATCAGGTTTTTATAGTTTTGGGTTTTCCATTTAAGTCTTTATTCCATCTTGAATTGATTTTTGTATATGGTGTAAGGAAGGGGTCCAGTTTCAATCTCCTGCCTATGGCTAGCGAATTCTCCCAGCACCATTTATTGAATGGGGAATCCTTTCCTCATTGCTTGTTTTTATCAGGTTTGTAGAAGACCTGATAGTTGTATGTGTGTGGCCTTACTTGAAACATCATCAATAATGAGCTCTGAAATTGAGCCAGTAATAAATAGCCTACTAACCAAAAAAGCCCAGGACCAGAAGTATTCCACAGCTGAATTCTACCAGATGTACAAAGACGATCTGGTAGCATTTCTGCTAAAACTACTCCAAAAATTTAAGGAGGAGGGACTCCTTCCTAATTCATTCTGAGGCCAACATCATCCTGATACCAAAACACGGCAGAGACACAACAGATAAAGAAAACTTCAGGTCAATTTCCTAGATGAACATCAGTGCAAAAATCCTCAACAAAATACTGGCAAACTGAATCCAGCAGCACATCAAAAAGCTTACCCACCATGATCAAGTAGGCTTTACCCCTAGGATGCAAGGTTTGTTCAACATATGCAAATCAATAAACATGATTCATTACATAAACAGAACTAAAGACAAAAAACCCACATGATTATCTCAAGAGATGCAGAAAAGGCTTTCAATAAAATTCAACACTGCTTCATGTTAAAAACTCTTAGTAAACTAGGTATTGAAGGAAAATACCTCAAAATAATAAGAGCCATCTATGACAAACCCACAGCCAACATTATACTTAATGGGCAGAAGATGGAAGGATTCTTTGTGAAAACTGGCACAAGACGAGGCTGCCCTCTGTCACCACTCCTATTCAACATTGTATTGGAAGTCACGGCCAGGGCAATCAGGCAAGGGAAAGAAATAAAGTGCATCCAAATAAGAAGGGAGGAAGTCAAACTATCCTTGTTTGCAGATGACATGATACTATATCTAAACATCCCCATAGTCTCACCTCAAAAGCCCCTTATACTAATAAAGAACTTCAGCGTAGTCTCAGCATACAAAATCAATGTGCAAAAATTACTAACATTCTTATACGCCAACAACAGTCAAGCTGAGAGGCAAATCCAGGAATGCAATCTCATTCACAGTTGCCACAAAAAGAATAAATACCTAGGAATACAGCTAGCCAGGGAGGTAAAAGATCTCTACAAGGATAACTACAAAACACTGCTCAAAGAAATCAGAGATGACACAGAAAAAGGGAAAAAACTCTTATACCCAAAAAAGCATATCATTTTGAAAGTTAACAAAAATAGCTGATTTTACCCAGATCAAAATGTTTGAAAAAACACTAGATTGTCCAAAGTGTGGAGAATGATGCCCAGTCATAGATTGCTTGTGGGAAATTAAGATGATAAGAGCTCTATAATAAAAATGAGACCTAACAATTATTAAGCACTTACCCTGTTGCCAGGCAATATTTTCAATAAGTTACATGCATTAAATCATTAACCCTCACTCTAACCCCTGAAGAGGGCACAGTGCCCTCTGAAGAAACTTGCCGGTTAAGTCACTTGCCTAACACAGATGACAGGTCACTTGTCACACAGATAGTGGCCTGCAGCACCCTTCAAAGGGCAAAATGGTGACACTTATCAATGTGAAAACATATATACTTTTTAAGCCAGCAATTCTAGGAATTTTTCTTATTGCTACATGTTCATGCTTGTCAAATATATGTATATAAATATAGTCACTACCCTGTTGTTTGCAATAGTAAAAAACCGAAAGTGAATTTACACATAAGAATGCTGATGGAAATGCTCATATAGGGAGACAAATCAATAGAAACCTCATTAGCAAACAATGGTATATTTCAACAATGAAATTTTAAGCAGCTATTACTAAAAATTAGATAGTGCTCTGTGTAATGGAAGAAATCAATCTCCAAAATACACTGTTAGGTGAAAAACAAGAGGTGCATACCATAATGTATGGAATTCTCCCTTTTGGGTAGAAAGTATACATGTACCCAGTAGTGTGATTGCTGAATCATACAGTAGTTCTGTTTTTAATTTTTTGAGGAACCTTTAAAATGGAACCTCTTTTCTATAATGGCTGCAGTAATTTACATTCCCAACAACAGGGTGTAAGGGTTCCTTTTTCTCCATATCCTCACAATACTTGTTGTGACTTGTGTTTTTGTTTTGTTTTGAGACAGGTTCTCACTCTGTCAGCCCAGCTGGAGTACAGTGGTGCTATCATGGCTTATTGAAGCCTAGAACTCCCAGGTGGGTGATCCTCCCACCTCGGGCCCTCCCCCACCCCCAGTAGATGGCACTACAGGTGCACACCACCATGCCCACTAGTTTTTTGATTTTTTGTAGAGACAGGGTCTCCCTATATTGCCCAGGGTGGTCTCGAACTCCTGGGCTCAAGTGATCCACCCACCTCTGCCTTCCAAAGTGCTGGGGTTACAGGTGTGAGCCACTGTGTCTGGCTTCATTTGTCTTTTTGATGATAGCCATTCTAACTGGAGTGAAGTGATACCTCATTATACTTTTGATTTATGTGTCCTCACGACAAAAATGATAACTGTGAGATAATACATTTGTTAATTAGTTAGATTTAATTATTCCACAATGCTTATATACTTCAAAACATCATATGGTGCATGATAAAAATGTAGAATGTTATCTGTCAACTTAATTTTTTTTTAAAGTATAAGATACTTTTTTATCATCTCTGGTAATGGAGATTGCATCTGGGAAGAGAAACTGGGTAGTTGGGAGACAGGCTGTGGGTGGAGATTTACATCTCATTCATGTCCCTCTTTTTCTTGTGAATTTTGAACCACCTGTGTGTTACATTATGCAGTAAAAAAACAAATAAAATTTAATTTAATTATCCTATTCGTCTCTCCCTAAAAACCTACCACTACTGCCATAACTGCAACCCTCCCTAGGCCTCTGTCATATTCAGAATGCTTCTTCTGGGCACACAAAAGGACATGCATGTATCACATGTTCTGATCCTTTTCTGCCTCATTGTCTCCTCCCAGCTCCCCAGCTGCCTCCCTGCTCCAGCCGCCTGGCTTCTTTCTGCTCCTAGAACAAGCCGCACTCATCCTTCCCTCAGGGCCAGGGCAACAGCTGTTCTTCCGCCTAGAAGGCTCTATCTGATTTTTCAGTGGCTCCATCTTTCAACATCCTCCTATTGGAGGACATTAATCCCTGTTTGAAACTCACCTTTCAGAAAGCTTCTCTGACCACTCATCCATAGATGCCACTCACTTACTCTGTATCCAGGATCCATTTTAATTCTCTGTTTTACATGTATCCCTCTCTATTTTCTTCCTGTTTGTTTTCTGTTTCCTTCCAGTAGAACATAAACTGCATCAGGATAAGTAGCTTGGCTATTGTGTTTGTGGCTGTATCCCAGTGCCTAGAGGAGTGGCCAGCACAGAGAAGGCTCAGTGAATATTTGTTGAAGGGCTGGGTTGAAGGATGAATAGATGGATAGATGGCTGTGCGGATGGATAGTTGGATAGATAAATGGATGAATAGCTGGACGGTTAGATGGATTATGAATGTGTTAGGGTTCTCCAAAGGAACAGAAGTAACAGGATATATGTATATATGAAAGCGAGTTTATTAGGAGAATTGACTCACATAATCACAAGGTGAAGTCTCATGATAAGCCGTCTGCAAGCTGAGGAACAAGGAAGCCAGTCCGAGTCCCAAAACCTCAAAAGTAGGGAAGCCAACAGTGCAGCCTTCAGTCTATGTCTGAAGGCCCAAGAGCCTCTGGCAAATCACTGGTGTAAGTTCAAGAGTCCAAAAGCTGAAGAACTTGGGGTTTAATGTTTGAGGGCAGGAAGCATCCAGCATGGGAGAAAAATGAAGGCTCAGCAAGTCTGCTCTCTGTCCACCTTCTTCTGTCTGCTTTATTCTAGCTGTGCTGGGAGCTGATTAAATGGTGCCTACCCAGGTTGAGGGTGGGTCTGCCTGTCCCAGTTCACAGACTCAAATGTTAATCTCCTTTGGCAACACCCTCACAGACACACCCAGGAACAATACTTTGCACCCTTCAATCCAGTCAAGTTGACACTCAATATTAACCATCACAATGAATGGGAGAATGGAGGACACTGCTGAGGGAGAGCATGGCTGGCCAAAAAGCAAGAAGTCTGGGGAGTCAAAGTCAGACTTCACTGATCTCAGGTTTTGCTGTACATCAGCTCCCTTTGCCACCACCTCTCACCAGAAAAGCAGAAGCTGTGTTTAGAAATGTTTGATGGCACAGCAGGCACCTGGTCAAATTAGAAGAGATATGGGTTATGGTCTCTTTTGTCCACTCTGGCTGCTAACTTGCTGTGTGACAAGTGTGCTGTAAGCCACGTTTATTCCTCAATAAAATGAGGAGTCATGGCTAAGTGACCTCAATGTTACTGTATTTATTGTCTAGTATTTAAAAAGTCCTATCATTCTTTAATAGTTGCCATCATGATAGGAGGCTCAATATTATTTTTAAGTCAAAATAACTTGACATAATGACTACTAACTGGTCAGGTGACCATGGGCAAGCCACTTGTCTATTCTGGGCTTCAGTTTACTAGGCTGTGCTATGAGGATGTTGAACCAGAACTGAATGATTTCCAAGAGTCTACGGCTCTGATATTCTGAGGCTTCTCAAGTTACTTTTGCCCAGATAAGTACATTCTCAGTTTATACACAAATCCATTACATGATCAGTTTTATAATTAGTTGGCAGTACTGTTTCTGCTTGTTGAAAAGATGAAAAAACCTTTAATTACCAGCACATCCAAGTCAGTTCTTTTCCTCTTCTTTCACAATAAAATACTTTGTAAAATAAAACGGGAAAACTGATTTTTAAAAACCCACCTTTTTATGGCCATAATACAAAAATACAAAAATAATAGATGTTGGCGTGGATGTGGTCAAAAGGGAACACTTTTACACTATTGGTGGAAACGTAAACTAGTGCAACCACTATGGAAAGCAGTGTGGAAATTCCTTAAAGAACTATAAGTAGCACTACCATTTGATCCAGTAATCCTACTCTGGGGCATCTACCCATAGGAAAAGAAGTCATTATATGAAAAAGATACTTGCACAAACATGTTTATAGCAGCACAATTCACAATTGCAAAAATTTAGAACCAGCCCAAGTGCCTCTCAATCAACAAGTGGATAATGTGATATACGTATATGATGGAATTCTACTCAGCCATAAAAGGAACAAAATAATGGCATTTGCAGTAACGTGGACTGAATTGGAGACCATTATTCAAAGTGAAGTAGCTCAGGAATGGAAAATCAAACATTATATGTTCTTATTCATAAGTGGGAGCTAAGCTATGAGGACTCAAAGGCATAAGAATGATACAATGGGCTTTGGGGACTCGGGGGGAAAGAGTAGGAGGGGGGTGAGGGGTAAAAACCTACCTATTGGGGACGGTGTACACTGCACGGGTGATGGGTGCACCAAAATATCAGAAATCACCACTAAAGAACTTATTCATGTAACCAAACACCACCTGTTCCCCAAAAAGCTATTGAAAAGAAACACCCACCTCTTTGCCACACAATTATTTGGCATAGACCATTGTTTCTGAACTTCCCTTGACCTGGCTTCATCCCCAGAAGGCACCCATGAAAGGTCAGCATTTGAATCATGCTCTGGTCCCTGGTGAACATTCAAGCCTCTGAGCTCATGTCATGAGTCCATGGCCATTTTTCAGAAGACAAACTGCCCAGCACCAGAATGTCAGGCGTCATGTGCTCAATCCCAAACAAGGATGTCAACAGGATTTCAGATGCATCAAAGCTGGGGAGAGCTAAGAGGATTTACTAATGTGACACATGCCTCTTAGAAACTGTGTTTTCTTCCTGCACTTAAGCCCCTAAAATAAAATAAAATAGAAGTCTTAATTTTGAAAGACACAAAATTATCTTTCTTTGTGACTAAGATTTCTCAAAGCGGAAAACACAAGGTCATTAACTAAGAAAAAAAAAATATATATATATATGTAACTGAATATATATATATATTTCACCCAACCTTTTATGGTACTCTTGCTAGTTCTAATAGATTTTTAGTTAATGATCTTGGGTTTTCCGCTTTGAGAAATCTTAGCCACAAATAAAGATAATTTTGTATCTTTCAAAATTTTATATATATATATATAAAATATACATATAAAATATACATATATAAAATATACATATAATATATATAAAATATACATATAATATATATAAAATATATATAATATATATACATATATAATATATGTAATATATAATATATAAAATATATATAAATTATATATTATGTTATATAAAATATATATTATATAAAATATATATATTTTATATATATTATATATATAAAAAATGTATATATAAAAATATATATTATATATAAAATATAAATGTATATAAAATATAAAATATATATATAATATATATAAAATATATAAAAAATATATAAAATATATATAAATATATATACATAATATATAAAATATATATAATATATAAAATATATATTATATATATTATACATAATATATAAAATATATATACTATATATAATATATATTATATATAATATATATAATATATATTATATGTATATTATATATATTATATATATAATATATATAATATATATTATGTATATAAAATATATGTTATATATAAAATATATATAATATATATAAAATTTTGTGTCTTTCAAAAAATATATATATATAAAAATCAATATTTTCTTACAAACCAACAATAGCTAGTTAGAAAATTTAATGGGGGAAAAAAGGTCCCAATGACTATGGCAACAAAATTTTATATATTTTCCCACTAGAGGGAAAAAGCTTTTTTAAATGTGCAGATTTTAACCACTGGGGGTTAAAAATACACACACACACACACACACACACACACACACAATTACCTAGATAACAATTCTAAAAGATAATCATCAAAATATCACCATGATTTTTTTCTCGATGGCAGAGCAAGTGTAATTGGTAGGTTTTGTGTTGTATTTTGCTTTTCTGTATTTTTCCACTGTTTTAAAAAATGAAGACATTATTGTGTTATTAAAAAAAACCTTAAAAAGAAAGAAGTAACACATCTCTGTAGCAAAGCCTAAGGATGCCACTCCTTCATTTTTGCCTGTTCCCAGATTCACACTTTGTCATATGCTTCTTCCCATTGTGTAGCTGTTGATCTCTCAGGGAGAACCAAGTGACCCCAGCTTCCCCTAGAATCCTTGTCTAGACAATTATGAGCCACATTTGGAAGCTTGTGTTTGGGATCACAAAGTCAGGACTGAAATGCAACAGATTGTGGACTGAACCCTTCATTGCCCTCACACAAGCCTAAAGAAAAGAACATAGTTGCAGGAAAAGGACTTTGCATGAGTAGTTGGGATGTATTCTTTGAAATTTTAAGAAGAATTGAGGTGTGTAGTTTCTGAGATTAACTAGGGATGTGTAAAACTTCATTTTGCCTGATGCAAAGTTCCCAGTATTCTTGTCACTAATTTCTTTCCAGAAAATGAAAGTTATAGGCTTGGCTGTTCTCTGTGGGGTGAGGAGGGGAGTATGGAGGGCAGAGGAGGAGACAGAAATGTCCAGGAGCCATAATCTAGAACATCCAAGTCCTTGACCAACAGTTTCCTTAAGTACAGTGAGCCTCAGCTAGACAGATCCTGGGGGAAGTTTTCTGCACAGAGAACAAGCTCAGGAAATTCTCCTTTCTTTACCACCCAAGGCTTTGCCGCAGCCAGAACCCTCAGCCATTGGGCTTGTGTGGTGCAGATCATGTAGTCTTCTTCTATGGATTCTGTCTGCTGATAACAGGTTCTTAGCCTTTGCTAAGAGCAAACAATTTGGACTCTTGGTCTCTTGTGCCTAAGTTCAGACTCCCTGTGAAAACACTCCAATGAATAGAAGAGGCAAAAAAAAAAAAAAAGAAAAATTCAAGGAAAGGTTCACTAAGGAAAAAAGGGGACTCTTTGCAGGAAGCCTCAGGCCCATCTTACCCCTCCCATCACATGGAGCAAGATAGAAGCAGAGCAAAGATACTGCCAATCCCAGGAGGCCGAAGCCACATAGGGTCATTCCCTGTGGGGGCCCAAGCTCTAAATTTCAACTGTTCCCCTTCAAGCTCTGCCCCCCCATTCCGTTTTTAGCTTGATTCTGATCTTTCTCTGGGGTGAAGATGTTGGGGTGGAGAAGCATCATCAGGCATGACCTTAGCCCCATAATGCCCTCTATGAGTTATTTCTCTTATTTAAGCAGCAAAGGCCAGGACGAATCAGGAGAGGGGATCAGTTGAGTATCAGAGGTCTTGCCTACCCTTGCCAATCCCTGCCACTGGGTTTACATACCCACTTGGTACCAGTAATACAGGAAGTAAGCCCTTTATTCCTCTTAATATCCCATTATTGAGAACCCCAGATGCTTCTGAAATGAGCTAGGATATTACACCAATTCACCAATTAAGTAACTCCAAAACACTGTGTACTAGACCAGGAAGTCAGCTGTGACATCCAAAAAGCCCACTCTGTAGAGTTATTCAGTGTGTATCCAAAAACAACATAGCTCACTTGTATGATCACAGCTGCCAGAAGGGGCCCTATAGACTCACTTCTAAACCTGGAGGTGGTGGGAGTGCCCAGCACAGGAGGGTCATTTGCAACAGTGGATCCAGCCCGTAGGTTAGGTGGCTGGGCTGATTGGAGGGAAGGAACTGTATGTGAAAGAAAGCCACACCAGCTCACCCAAAGGAGTGACTCAGCCAGAAAGAAGACTTCCAGAGTCTCAGAAAACCAGCTTGCTATCAAAAGCAGGGCTCCAGTCCTGGGGTGCTGCAATTTCAAGCCAGACATCCACAATAACCAGTTGTCCGACATGGCTTCACAATTTTAAGCATCCATCCTTGGCTTGGCAAATACACTGCAACCCTCAGCAAAAGGACAGATTTGAGGGTGGGAAAAGGGGCTCCAGTCCTCACCCCTTGGATCAGACTAGTCTCGGGATCTGGGGTGAGCACGCCAGCAGGTGTGAGCCATCAGGAAACCAAGCTCCAAGGAGCCGGCCTGACCCTCCACTGAATGGCTTGTCCTCCCTTTCTCTGAGCGCATCCATTGCCTTTTCCATTTGTGGTTTCCTGGGTGGCATCTACTGCCCACATTACAGCTAGTTTTTATGGATGAATTGACTGAAAGTTCGAGAAAATGTAATTTACCGTTTAAGTTTTAAGTGGGAGGTTTAATTTTAGATGTTTCAGCCCAAGTAAACATCATTATTATAAACTAAATGTCAGAGATGTCAGCAACATAACAGTCTTCTGGTCCAGCTTGTCCTCATTAGTTGGGGGAACTGAGCTTAATGGGACATTCTGATTGTCTGTTTGCCCAGCTCCCAGCACATGTCCTGGGTGGCAAAGTACATGGAAGAGACTGCCTCTGGACCCAGCATCAATATGTGTCCACGTGACACTTTCTGCAGGGATGAAGTGGTTCAACAGGATTTTGTTAGATTGGCGAGGAAAAGCTGTGTGCTTTGAAGAGTTTAAAGTGTTCCCCAGTCCCAAATGTCCCCCCATTAGAACAACCCCTTTCATTCATTTAGCGACAGGGTGGGGTTTGTGTCTGTTTTCTTTAGTGCTGTATCCTCAGAGTTTAGAACAATGTTGGCACATAAAAGGTGCTCAATATATATTTGGTGAATGAATGGAAGAATAAATGAATTTAAGAATGTTCCTTTGGCACCTACCACATGCTAGACACTGTCCTAGGACCTGGATGGCAGCAGTGAACAGCTCCAGTAGTGAAAAGACAGCCAAAGCCCCTGCTGTCATGAAATTTCCAGAAGAAGAAAATGAACAACAAACACATACATTCATATGCACTCTCTCAGATGGTGATGAGTGCAGTGCTGTGATGGAGATCCAAAGAGCAGGGCAAAAGGATGGAGAGTGTCAGGGGATGGGGGAGGTCTACGCAAGGGGGTCAGAGCAGCTCACTCTAAAAAATTCAGTTGAAAGCATTCATCCCCTTTAACTTGCATTTTTCTTTTCAGGAATTTATCCCACACATCTCAGCAGTGCTCTAAGATCTGTGTAGAGATATTCACTGCAGCATTATTTATAACCTCCCCAAACTGAAAACAATCCAAATATTCATCAGTAAGTTAAATAAGGTAAGATATGCAACACTGTGGAATATTATGTAGGCATTAAAATAAGAGGGACATTTACATGTGCAGACATAGACAAGTGTGCTTGATCTATTCCGGGAAACAAGGGAAAGCAAACTGAAAAACAGAATGTGTAGTATGAACCCATTTAAAATAAAAAGAATATACACATAAACACAGTTATGAACAAACATATAAACATATACAAATATGCATATGTTTATATGTGTATGAGCATTTGAAAAGATACACCAGCTTAATAGCTAATACTTCTGGAGAAGAGGATCCATTTTCTATGTTATACTCTTTCATATTTTAAAAAAACAAGCACACGGCTGGGCATGGTGGCTCGTGTGTATAATCCTGGCATTTTGGGAAACTGAGGTGGGAGGATCGCTTGATCCCAGGAATTCAAGACCAGCCTGGGCCACATAGTGAGACTCCCATTTCTACAGAAAAAAAAAAAATTGCCAAGCATGGCAGTGCATGCCTGTGGTCCTAGCTACTTGAGACGCTGAGGCAGTAGGATTGCTTAAGCCTGGGAGGTTGAGGCTGCAGTGAACTGTGATTGTGCCACTGCACTCCACCCTGCCTCAAAAAAAAAAAAAAAAAAAAAGCAAGCACATTATTACATTATTAATTTTAGAATTTAAACTTTTTTTTTTTTTAAAGCAGAACACGTCTTCTTGAACTAGTGTTATACCTCCTTCTCCTTGGGGTCCTATTGTCTGTGAATGTAGGCTCATCTCCTACTGGGAGGACTGCCGTGCTGGGGGCATTTGGAGTCTGGGCCACTGTAGAGGGAGCTGGCGGCCCTCCGCTCTGTGTATTGAGTCCACTCTGATTTCAGTTGATTGCAAAGGCAGTTGGAAGAACACTGGCTGGGAAATCAGGAAGCATGGCTGTACTTCTTAGTAGTTGCAAAGGACTGAAAAACTCACTTCCCTTTTCTGAGCCTCAGCTTTCCCATCTGGGAAGTTAATGCATTGGTTTATACCATTGTTTAAGTCCCTGCATGCCATCATACCCTAGGATTCTTTGGTCTTGTGAGTCTAAGTCTCCAATTGCTCTGTTTGAAAATTCTGTATCAACATCCTTCTTGGGAGATGTAACACACTATTAATGTACCCGTCTCGGCTTCTCTGTGAGCATACGTTCATTTATCAGATAAATCAGCAATCAGCAAGTTGACCCTAACGGGATGGGCCACTGAAGCATGCCTGTTTATGTCATGAGGGGAAGACCAGAGTATGGAGGTCAGTCCTACTCGTTGTCTTCCATCAGAGGCCCAAGGCACTGGATAGCGCAGTGAGCAGAGCCAGGCTGGGAGGAGGCTGTGTCCGAGGAATTTTCTGGGGGCCTGCTGTCTCACAACCCTGTGAACAGCCAGGAGAAGCAGACAGCTGCAAGGTCAGGACTTGAGGCCAGCACCTTCAAGTGTGACATCATTTTGCCACTTCAAAGCATAAAACTTTAAATGGCTCACTTTTTATTTCTGAGGTTTCAGACAACAACCCTACTGTGTGTGTCTAGGCAAATGGTTCAGGGATGCTGCTGACAGAAGAAAATTATGTTTGGCTGTGGATTGCAGTCTAGACTGAGCAGGTTGAGAGTGACTGGTACCTGGCTGGGATGGAAGCTGGGGATGGTGGGGGTGGAGTCTGTCTCTTGTGACAGCCATCTGTAGGATCCAACTTCAAGATTAGGAGGTTAACAGAAGCATCCCTCAGGCCCATCCCGAAGGAGATCACGGGTCCACCCTAGGACCTCTGACCACTGCCTTCCAGTTAACAGTATTTCCATCAGTGGATATTCAGCAAAGAAAAAATACTTTCTAAGACCCCAACATTTTCTTATTTGCCTGATGCTTAAAACGAAATTTCATAGAAAGCAGGCAGCTTCCATGCAGCTTTCCCTGGGGTGAAATGGCTGGGCCTATTTGCTCCTTGAAGGAAAAGTTTGCTGTGAACTTCTCAGATAAGTGGGTGGTGGATAGCAGGGACAGGAGAGCCGTGGCCTGGACAGGGTTCCTGATTCCTCCAGTCTGGATCAGTCTGAGGATAACTAAGAAAGGGAGTGGGGATGGGAAGGGGCTTTTTGCATGCCAAACCTGCATCTACTGGGAGTGCAGTGGCTGGAACAAGAGAGAGTGCAGCAGCACCTCATCTATCAGGAGTACAGCTCTGGCCATCCCAGGAGAGGCACTCAGACAAATTGGATTCTGCCCACGGGGGAAGACAAGGGAAGTGAGGAGGCTTATGTAGCTGGAAGGAACAAAATTGCAACTCAAAACAAAAGTGGACTGTGTGCTTATTTGCATACCAGAGGAGAGGTACAGTTTATTTGAAGGAGAAGGCTCAGTTTTTTTTTTTTTTTTTTTTGAGACGGAGTCTTGCTCTATTGCCCAGGCTGGAGTGCAGTGGCGCAATCTCAGCTCACTGCAACCTCCGCCTCCCAGGTTCAAGCCATTCTCCTGCCTCAGCCTCCCAAGTAGCTGGGATTACAGGCACCCACACCATGCCTGGCAAATTTTTGTATTTTTAGTAGAGACAGGGTTTCACCATTTTGACCAAGTCTCGAACTCCTGACCTCAAGTGATCTGCCCACCTCAGCCTCCCAAAGTGCTGGGATTACAGGCATGAGCCACTATACCCGGCCAATTTGAAGGGGAAGGCTCCTTATATAGAAAAATCAGCTGAGAGGTGAGTCTCCCTGTCCAGGGCATGACCTTTTTAAGGGTAAGGGGAAAAAAAGAGGAATAAACAGCTCCACAAATAAATGGTATAGAATTTGGGAGTTGTTTCTGACAGCTGAAGAGATTGAGAGATCAAGGTCTCAGAAAATGGAGAGAAAGCACGTATAGTATCAAAAAGTTAACAATCAGCTGATCACACCAAGCAAAAGGAATAAGTGAGTAAATACAAGTAAAGCCCTTATTATTATACATGCCTGGAATAGCGAAAGCCCTAGGTAGTAGCTATTATCTCCCTTCTTCTTCTGCCCGTGGGTCTACACAGAACAGGTCTTGCTCTTATGCTTCAAGAATGCCCTTGGGAGGAATGTCTGATAAATTTTTAGGACATTAAAGTCTAATGATGAATATAGTGTCTTGCCTGTACTTTACTATGTTATACTCTTCCACTGTTACCCAAAACCTTTAGCAAAACTGTAGTAAATCCAATCTCAATTGTTAGTGAGACTGCGGGAAGAAAAAGTTAGGATCTGGGGCCATGGACAGGCACAGCGGGTCAGTGAGAGGGCAGGTAGCCATGGGATCCGAGAACAATAGCCAGGAGCATGCCACAGAGTGCAGCAGGTGCAGGAGGACCCCCAAGATGTTGAATCCACCTAGAAATTCACACAACTGTTGAGGGTTGAGCTGGGTGTGGGGTGGGCTCCACACAGAATGTGGGATGGAATCTTGAGCCATCTTACATGGATATTAAAGTAGAGGGCCCAGGTTTCTGTGGGATAGACTTGGTCATGCCATCGAGGAACCAGGGGTGTTTAGGTGGGGAAGCACTCTTCAGGGGTCACATAGCTACTGTCTTCTATCAAAAGGACATTCCTGACGCATAAGAAAGACTTGTTTTGTGTAGACCCAAGGGCAGAAGAGAAAGGGCAATAATAGCTACTAACTGAGGACTTTTGCTATTGCAGGCATTGTTACAAATTTACTCATGTATTCCTTACAACAGTACACTGTAGTGTGTCACTGTAAAACAGACATCTTTACATATCGTTAGACCGCGACATCCCAACAGCAGTGCCTTAAGTGGATTATATATGTCCAGCGATGCAGGTGTCCAAAAGTGATCAGAGTCCCAGGCTGGCTGTCCACTCTACGTGTCGTGACAATGCTGATACTATCATTTTCTGTGTGTGCCATAAAACGAAAAACAATAGTGGAACATTGATTTAGACAGTATGCTACAGAATCACTTAAAACGAATACATAATATTCCATGTAATTTATTTTTTTAATTTTTATATTTTTAGAGACAGAGTCTCACGGTGTCACCCAGGCTGGAGTGCACTATTGTGATCATAACTACTGCAGCCTTGAACTCTTGGGTTCAAATGATCTGCCTGCCTCAGCCTCCCAAGCAGTTACAACTACAAGTGCACACTGCTCAGCCTGGCTAATTGTGTTTTATTTTTATTTTTATTTTTTGTAGAGAGAGAGTCTTGCTATATTGCCCAGGCTGGTCTTGTACTTCTGGCCTCAAGCCATCCTCACACCTTGGCCTCCCAAAGTACTGGGATTACAGGTGTGAGCCACTGGGCCTGCCCATATGTCACTGATATTTTTAACCAATTCCAAGTGTTGAAGTTCCAATTCTGCCATTTGCTGGTGGTGTGGATTACAGAAGACTTAGGTTTCGGTAGCCTAAGTTTCTTCGTTTGTAAAATAAGAATGATAAAACTTATCTCATATGATTTTTGTGAGGATTAAGTGAGGTAACTCAGGTAAAAGAATTTTATTTTACATTTTAAAACTATTTAAACATTCAATATATACGATGGAACACTACTCAGCCATAAAAAGGGATGAATTAATGGCATTCACAGCAACCCGGGTAACTCAGGAATGGAAAACCGAACGTCATATGTTCTCACTTATAAGTGGGAGCTAAGCTATGAGGACGCAAAGGCATAGAATGACACAGTGGACTTTTGGAACTCAGGAGGAAATGGTGAGAAGGGGATGAGGAATAAAAGATTACAAATTGGGTGCAGTGCTCAGGTGAGAGGTGCATCAAAATCTCACAAGTCACCACTAAAGAACTTACTCATGTAATCAAACACCACCTGTTCCCCAATAACTTATGGAAATAAAAAAATTAAAAAAAAAAAAATATTTAAACATTCAATATTATGACCAATACATATTTTGCCCAAATAATTACTAAATTAATGACCTGAAATTATGTCAAGAGAATCAAGTAAGCAACTTAGAATTAACAAGAGATTTCGGAATGTGTCCATTTATAAAATAAATGTAGAAAATTATTTTCCTTTTTTAAAAAAAGTATTAATCACTTGAACAGTAAAATAAAAGATCTAATTTATTATTGAAAAATAAAATATCACAGGAATTCCCAAAACTTTTTAGGGTCTATAAGAAGAATACAAAGCTTTGCTAAGGTCATGAACTATGACTTGAAAGACATTTTAGTTCCTGGATAACAAACTCAATGTTGTAAACCAGTCAGTTTATCAGAGTCAGTTAATACATTTAATATAATGCTAATGAAAATCCCACTGGGATTTTTTGCGGGGGTACTTAACCAAACTATGTATAAGTTAATATAGTTGGGTGCAGTGGCTGATGTCTACAATTCCAGCACTTTGGGAGGCCAAGGAGGGAGGATTGCTTGAATCAAGGAGTTTGAGAACAGCCTGGGGCATATAGTGTGATCTTGCCTCTATAAAAAAAAAAAAAAAAAATTAGCCAGGTGGTGGCATGCCTGTCCAGCTACTCAGTCTTCCTGAGTTCCAGCTACTCAGGAGGCTGAGGTGGTAGGATTTCTTGAGCCTGGGAGGTTGAGGCTGTATGAGCCTTCATCATGCCACTGCACTCCAGCCTGGGTGACAGAGTGGGACTCTGTCTCTAAAAAAAGTTTAAATAAAAATTAAAAGTTAATATAAAATATTTATTTATGTATAAGAATTGATATGGTTTGGCTCTGTGTCCTCACCCAAATCTCAGCTTGAATTGTAATAATCCCCAAGTGTCATGGGAGGGACCTGGTTGGAGGTAATTGAATCATGGGGGCAGGTTTTTCCTGTGCTGTCCTCATGATAGTGATTAAGTCTCATGAGATCTGATGGTTTTATAAATGGGAGTTCCCTGCACATGCACTCTTATCTCTGCCTGCTGCCATGTAAGATGTGACTTTGCTCTTCCTCTGTCTTCTGCCATGATTGTGAGGCCTCCCCAGCCATGTGGAACTGTGAGTCCATTAAATCTCTTTTCTTTTTAAATTACCCAGTCTCAGGTATATCTTTATTAGCAGCATGAGAACAGACTAATACAAGAATAATTGCAAACATTCTAAAAACAAAAAAGAGGGATAAGATAATGTGTGCTATCAGATAATGTAGCATTTCCAAGTTACAGTATGAAAATTGTTTGATTAGGGGTAGACTGACTGACAAAACACAGCAGTCCAGAATCAGATGCAGGTATACACAGTAATTCATTAGATGAGAAAAGTTTATGTCAGAGGGAAACAATGGACTAGTGAATAAATAGATTAGGAATAATTAGGTAACTATTTGAAAAAATAGTTTTATGTCTTGTATCATATATGAACACAAATTCCAGGTGGATTTGAATGTTTAAAAAACTGCACACAACAGAAAATATAGGTAATTGTTATTTACACATCCTTTATTTCAGAAAGAACTTTCTAATCATACAACAAAGGTAGAAATTATAAGAACAGATTAATAGACCAGACTAAAAACTTGTAAAACTTCTGTATATCAAATATAAAAAATGACAAACAGCAAACCAGGAAAAATCCTTGCATACTGTATCACAAAGAAATGGCCAGTGACTTTATATTTAAGGAATGCTTATAATTTGCTTTTTAAAACTCCAAGTGACAAAGAACTACAATGACTCAAAAAAAAAAAAAAAAAAATCTCCAAGTGAAAAATGACAGCCAAAGAGAGAAACAAGTCATTCACAAAGGAAACACAAATGGCTGATGAGTATATGAAAGTGACTTCACCCTATTTGATGATATATAATATTTTTACTAAAACAATTACAGTTTACAACTGAGCAGCAAAACAATACTTTTAAAAGGAAATTGTTAATTTTCTCCAGTTTTAACGTAAAGCAAAGGCAGATTTGATTATTTTTGTACTCTAAACTCCTTTCCATTGTTACCAAACCGAACTTGGGTCCACCCACCTGGTGCAGCAAAGCTCAACACTGACACCGGGATCGCAGCAAGACAAAGTACGGCCTTTACTACAGGGTGCCAAGCAAGGAGAATCGGGAGGCTCATGCTTAAGATCCAAACTCTCCGATGTCTTACAGGTAAGGGTTTTTTAAGTCGGAGAGGCAGAGATTACAGCCAAAGGCATAAATCAATATAATGCAGGATTTTTGCTCCTTTAGCTCAGCTAGGTCCAGGTTCTTGTCTCACAACCAGGAAAAATTAGGCATGCGGACACCATAGAGTGAGTGGAGTAGTATTTTTTAAGCAAAAGGAAAGCTCTCAGCAAAGAGAGGGGTCCTGAAAAGCAGGTTGCCGGTTGGCCCTTCACAGTTGAATACAAAGGCTTTTTATATAGAAGCTGATGGGACTGGGTTCCCTATTTGTATAAGGCACGAATTCCTGGTGGCTCCACCCCCATTCCCCCAGTGTGCATGTGGGCTCTTAGTCCCCTGCGGGCATGTTTAAGCAAGCCCCCTGTGCAAGTTCCCTTATATGCATAAAATATCTGGTGTAAGCACTTGTGGGCCAGGTCGGAGGTTCTCCGGGGGCTCTTTCTTTACTGTCTGCCTAAAGCAAGCTGGCTAACTCCTTTTGATACGGATAGGAGACAGAGAAATACTGGGTAGAAGAGGTCGGTTCCCCAGCAAAGGCCCCACCCCTCGAGCCTGGAGCCCCATGGCCCTAAGTGGGAACAGGCATTTCTGTTTTCATTCCCAAAAAGTTGTCTTTTGGCCTGCCATGCCCCGATCCTGCACCCATATAAACCCTGAACCCCAGGTTCCAGGAGCAGACAAGCAGATGAGGAGATGAAACACGCAGATGAATGGTGGAACGACACAGCAGAGAAAGAGAGAAGAGGAGGAATGTCTGAACACCGAGAGGAGTTCAGCTGGGGGCTGTCAGAGAGGAGTTTGGCCACTGGATGGCCAAACTCTAGGGGCAGATCATCCTCTCACTGCATCCTCCCAGCTCCCCATCCATCCCTCTGAGAGCCACCTCCACCACCCAGTAAAACCCCACATTCATCCTTCAAGCCCATGTGTGACTTGATTCTTCCAGGACACTGGGAAAGAGCTTGGGATACAGAAAGGTGTCACACCGGCCCTCTGCCCTTGCAAAAAGGCAGAGGGTCCATTGAACTGATTAACACTTAAGCTGTCTGCGGATGGCAGGGCTAAAAGGGCACACTGTAATGCATACCCACTTGGTCTCCTGCATCTGTCCCTCTGCATGCTCCCTCTCCCCTCAGGGGTTTGAGCAGCGGAGACGAGGGAACAGGCGATTCACACCCCTGCTGAATGTCCTGAGAGGGGGATCAGGGAACTCTCCTGTTTTGCTTTCAAATACATGGGGATTACACATTGGTTTGAACTAAAAAGACAGGACAGCTCAAAGCAGGGGCCCACAGGTCATAGGTGAATTCAGAGATTTTCTGATTTGTAACTGATTAAAGACGAGAAGCTTTGTCTAAAGACTTGGGGTCAGCAGAAAAGAATGTTAGGTCTGGCTTGTGGACATCACCTCCTCCAGGCCCCTCAGGAAGAAATTTAGAACAAAGAACGGCAGTGCAAACCAAAAAGTATCCGAGACAGGTCTCAATTAATTCAAAAGTTTATTTTGCCAAGGTTAAGGATGTACCCAGGAGACAAGTCTGTGCCTTTCTCCAAAGGTGATTTTGAGGGCTTCAATATTTAAAAGGGGAAAAGCAGACTGGAGGGGAAAGAAGGAGGGTATGGTCACATTACTGAATCCACGTGTTGCAAGAGAAAAGGAGCAGGTAGGGGAACAGTCAATTATGTGTCTGTCTGGTGCTCAGTAAATCAGCACTTTACGTAAGATAAGGTGAACGTAGAGTAGCTATCTGTGGAGATATTTAACCTTTTATCTGTAGCTCTCTGCTTAGGAGCAAAAGAAAAGGCAGCTTCTTGCATGACTCAGCTTTCAGCTTAATTTTTTCCTTTTGGCACAGAGATTTGGGGTTCCAAGTTTTTATTTTCCTTTCACAGCAGCAAGAATCCAGTCCTCTCGGTCCCTCCATATCTGAGGTCTGTGTGCCAGCAGATCCATTTGGTGGGGTCCGAGTTTCTGAAGAACAAGTCAGAGACATATGTTAAGATGTTATCTTGTGTGGAGTCCTAATTAGGGAAAAGGAGTCAGGCTGGCAGGACCAGAGGAAAGCAAAGAGATAAAGCAGACAAGCTATAGGTCTGCCTTTCTTCGTGGTTCAGGACATATAAACAAAAAGAGGGTGAGATAAGCTATAGGTCTGCCTTTCTTTATGACCCAGCACATAGGGCCCTCCTGTGTAGGTAATGTATATAGCTCACAATATCATCAAACACCTAGGTTGATGGAAGAATGCAAGTTACCTTCCTGCTACCTTGGCGTTATCAGTACTGTACACAGCACTCTGCAGCCCAAGAACTATCCTATAAAATCTCCGGGAAGCCTTTGTTTCTTTGCAGTCAGCTGCTCTCTTGCTGATTCTGCCCATTGCTCTCTTGCAACATTATTTTTATATGTTCCTAATGAATCTGCCTTTCTTTATCCACAACTGCCTTGGTAAATTCTTATACCCCTCAGCCACTGGCCCAGATAGTCACCGCTCATCCGCAACATTTAGTTTCTATAGAGAACCAAACATCTCATGATTAACTTCCATGGCTGTTGTTATAAGCTATTACCTTCTTGCTAATCAAATTGCTCCCTTACTTCTCAGGGCGAGCTAGGTGCCTGGAATTTCCCTTGAAGGAACTAAAGATTTTCCTTTATTTCCATGCTTGGTTCGGGGATAGTGCCCAGCAGGCTCCTAAGAGGGGTCCCTGCTCCATCTCACCATTATCCACATCTTTGGAAAAGCTGGCCATTTAGATCCTAAAGCTAAGCTCGTGGTGGCAGCTACTTGAATGTTAGGCACAGAGCCTGGGGATGGCTTCACAAATCTAAAGCTCCAAGGTGACGGTGAATGTCTTATTAGCTGTGTGACTTTGAGGAAGGAGTTGGACTCTTTTTCACTTTTCAGCATTCCAGCAGCCCTTTGTGTATTTAATGTGCTGCACTTTAAGGTGCATTTTTTTTTCTTTCATTAATATACAAGTGACTGGTTTTGACTCATCAGATGGAAACTTCCAAGTCAGTTGCAGAGAATAATGATGGCTAGGTCATTGTTTTCAAAAAGCACAGCACAATCTCAATTCATATTTACCTCAAGTGGAGCTGATTATAAACCAAGTTTCATTTTCTCCTGACCCCAGCTGCTGGGTCCTGAATTAGCTTTTTATTCTTCTTTCCGGGTGAAGGATTTAGGTGGAGACCTAAAGGCATCTTTAACCAAATGCATCTCATATGGTGCCTAACAAAGTCCAATATGATGCAGAACTAAAACAGAGTTGGTCAGCAGGTTACTGGATACTATAGAAAATTGGATTAGTGAAGTGGAAATCACTCCAGCACTCAGGTGGTGTTATCAAATCAAACTTGAAGTCTTCTCACCTGGTGCAGTAGGACCAGCGATCCACACTGGGTTTGCAGTGGGAGAAAGGGAGGTTTTTATTTGTAGGGCACAAAGCAAGGAAGATTGGGAAGCTAATGCTTCAGTCCTGACACCCAAATCCTGGCAGCATCTAACACCTCTTCCTTAAACTCTCCCCTAAAACACCTAATGCAAGCCCAAGTCCTATCATAGGTCTTTTCTAACACTCTCTTGCAGAGGTACCCCACAGTTCCCAGAGCGTGCAAGCTCCCTCAGAGCAAGAAGTAAACCCCACCTGTTCCACCACAGGTGTTCTGGATGGTCTTTGGCTGAGGTGTTGACACTTACATCTCCGAATATGCTGCCAGCAAAGGCTGTTGGACAACCCGATGGGTTGCAGGTACAGGATTTTTAAAGGCAGGGGTAAATTTCAGAAAAGTAGAAGTTACATGTAAAGTAATAAATCAATACGTGGAAATTGCACATTGGTTTTGCCCTAAAGGGTTAAATGTCTTGAAACAGGGTCTTACAGATCAAAGGTAGATTCAAAGATTTTCCGATTTGCAATTTGTTAAGGAAGAGAAGCTTTGTTGAAAAATTTGAGGTCAGTAGAAAAGAATTAGCTCTGTTTGTGAGTATACCTTTATCCAGGCCCCTCAGGAAGTAATTTAGAAGAAAGAATAGTGGTCAGAGCTCAGTCCTCAGCTCCCCATTGCCTGGGGTCTCAGTGCCAGTGGATCCATTTGGTGGGGACCCAGGTTTCTGAAAAACAACTCAGGGACGTATGTTAGGATGTTGTTTTTAGTTTCTATAGGAGAACCAAACATGTGATTCTGGCTTCTTTAGCTATTATTTTAAGTTACTATTACCTTCTTGCTTATCAAGTTCCTTATTTCTTTCTGAGGGCCAGCTAGGTGCCTGGAATTTCCCTTGAAGGAACTCAAGATTTTCCTTTACTTTCATGCTTAGAGCTTATTTTCAAGCTTTCATGCTTTTTTGATCATAATTCCCAATGGATGGTCAGAATCCAACATACTTTGCTGGCAGCAGATTGGAAGTTGGAAGTGTTAATGCTCCAGCCAAAGACCACTGAGAACTCCTTTAGTGAAAAAGGTGGGGTTTGCTTCTTGCTGTGAGGGAGCTTGCACACTGTGGGAATTATGGGGTACCTCTGTAAGATAGTGTTAGAAAGGACCTATGATAGGACTTGGGCTTGTATTCAGTGTTTTTGGGGAAAGTTTAATTAAGGAAGAGATGTTAGATGATGCCAGGAATTGGGGGTTAATTCTATGTTTGGGTATCTTAATAAATCTAATCTAGAAGGAGAGAAAACTAGGTGAGGCCAAAACTGTAATTGGTAAAGAAGCAGTAGTCAGTCATATTGTAACTGAGCACCTCCATTTTTTTAAGAGTTAGTTTAATTATTTTTAATCATTTTATTATTTTCTCTTCTTGTTCCCCTGATTTTCCACTTCCTACTTAACCCTTTAGAAATGCAAATATAAGGCTGGGCACAGTGGCTCACATCTGCAATCCCAGCACTTTGGGAGGCCAAGGTGGGCAGATCACATGAGGTCAGGAGTTTAAGGCCAGCTTGGCCAACTTGGTGAAACCCCATCTCTACTAAAAACACACGCAAAAAAAATTAGCTGGGCATGGTGGCACACGGCTGTAATCCCCGCTACTCGAGAGGCTGAGGCAGGAGAATCACTTGAACCTCGGAGGTCAGGTTGCAGTGAGCCGAGATCGCACCACTGTACTCCAGCCTGGGTGGCAGAGTGAGACTCTGTCTTAAAAAAAAAAAAAAAAAGAAATGCAAATATAGCCTTTTACCTCTTCTTCACCAGACATTCCCTACAGGGCAAGTTCGTCTAACTATGTTCTCCAAGACAGAACTTTCTTTGAGAATTAACAGTGGATTTATAAACAAAAGCATGCCCACTAGGAAACTCACCCACCAGGGGGTTGCCTCGAGAGATAATAGTTGAAAAACATGCCTGCTACTCTCTCCTACCTGGGTAGTTTTCAGCTTAGTCCTGCCCATGAAGATGCCAGCTATCACTAGCTTGACCGCCTGGTAAGTAAGGCACCAAGCTAACATGCAGACTGCCACCTTGCTGGCTTCCTCCCCTGCTTTTTAAAAGTGCCCACTTTCTGTTCCCAAAGCAAAGTGGTACATTTAAAGGTGGGATGCCTGTGCTTCTTCCCCTAAGCTGGCTTTGGAAATAAGTCCCTTTATACCAGACCTCGCTCTTGTTAATTGGACTCTGCAAGCGGTAAGCAACTAACCCGCATTTCAGTTACAATATTAGCCAGAATGGGGGAATGTTAGGTCATTTTTATGATTTGAACAGTGCTCATGTTTCGTCTGTGTTCACACATAATTATGGAGTAGTCTTGTTTTTGTCTTGGTCCATCATTGGCCCTGAGTAGCCCTGTTGGGTATTGATGTTCTGTGAAGTGGTTTATGTCTAACAGAACACCAAGGCCCTGCTGTGCCAGGCCAGCTCCTGGCTGTCAGGGGCCTCTTTGCTGTTTCTCAGAAGGAAGGGCGATCCTTTTTTTCCCCTTCTGCATCTGAAGTCACCTCCAGCAAGTGGCAATAGCAGGTCCCTGCTAGGGCAGCTTCCTGGATTCTGCTCAAGCAGGGCAGAAGTTGAGAGTTTCCTAGTGGGCATGCTTTGGTTTATAAATCCACTGTTAATTCTCAAGGAGAGTTCTGTCTTGGAGAACACAGTTAGACGAACTTGCCCTGTAGGGAATGTCTGGTGAAGAAGAGGTAAAAGGCTATATGTGCATTTTTTTTTTGAGACAGAGTCTCACTCTGTTGCCCAGGCTGGAGTGTAGTGGCGTGATCTCGGCTCACTGCAACCTCCACCTCCCAGATTCAAGTGATTCTCCTGCCTCAGCTCTCAAGTAGCTGGGATTACAGGCATGGGCCACCATGCCCAGCTAATTTTTTTTTTTTTTTTTTTTTTTTTGTATTTTTTTGCAATAGCAGCAGCAGCTCAAAGCTTGGACTCTGGCTCCAGCAGGAGCAGCCCCTGATGACTGTAGGTCCAGAGCTCCTGCAGCTTCCACAGGAGTGCAGACTCCTGGCATCCCATAGATTGGGGCAGGCAGGAGTAGGGGTTCCATCAGCCCCAGCGATGGGCTCCGGGGAATATCAATTTTCCTTTTGCTTCCCCGGTCACATGGGTTTCACCTCAACCATCCCCTTTTGCTCTTCCATCACTGCTAACACTCTGAAACACCTAGAGTGGTTTCTGTTTTCCTAACTGGGCACTGATTGATAATGTCTCTTCATAACTAGTTCTGCCATTCAGTGTCACATGTCTGTGTCTGATTTTATGACCTCCTAAGTGACAGAATTCGGTTATTAATGGGGTAGTTTTTACATGGAGACCTTGAAATCCAATGATATACTGCTGGAACCTGTGGATATAGTTTTGAGTCTGTGAGCTCTTAAATGGGAGGGAATGTTGTTGTAGTCCTTTGGCTTCTGATGGTTGTGTGAATGAAACAGTCATTCGCTGAGGATCTTCTGCTCATATTGCTTCACTTGTCATGTCTGGCATTTCTCCTTTGTGGTTGACTTTCATTGCCTGAATACACAAACAGCTCTGCACTGAGCTTATCTCAGTCACAGTTTGTGTGAAAGGCATCTGTAAAGTCTTCCCAGCCAACTTCTCCAGAGAGGCAGATGAACTGTTACTAATCTGACAGTGATCAAACTGAAAGAATAGTCATCTGCCCATGCTTGAAACTGCCTTAAGTTTTGAACTCTAACATACTCAAGAATGTATCTTTTAGTTTACCAAATAGTGTGCCAAGTAGGCCCTACTTCAAGAAAACCAAATACACAAAGATGTGTATTCTTAAAGGAATTGATTAGGATGCATATTTTAAAATTGAGGTCCCTAAGTAGGTTTAGATGACATGATGTATACCAATGAGTTTTATATCTAAATCTCTAAAGATGTGGCTATGTTAAGAAAATCCATATAAAATGTCTTTTGTTGATGAGGGTTGGGGCTGGTGACTTTTTGAGTGACAGTGAGACGTGATAGAACTGCAGCTTCCTGGGCCCCAGTGTCACAGCCCAACAGGTTCTTATTGCCTGCTGCCCTGAAAAAAAACCAATTCACTGAAAACAGTAGATGTTGCAGCAAAGAAAGAGTTTAATAATTGCTCTCTAGCCAAGTGAGGAGAATGGGAGAAATTTCTCAAATCTGACTCTCCAAGAATTCAGAGGCTAGAGTTTTTAAGGATACTTTGGTGGGCAGGGGGTTAGGGAACTGAAACCATCAAAGGGCCAGGGATGAAACCACAGGGGTATCTAAACTGTCTTCATGCAACTGAGTTAGTTCCTGGGAGGGGGGTCTTAGGACTAGAGGCATCTCTTGGTCTGCTGAAATGCCAACTCTGAAAAATATTTCCAAGACCAGTTCTTTAGGTTTTACAATAGTGATGTTATCTATAGGAGTAGTTGGGGAAGTTATAAATTTTGCAACCTCTGGTTATGCACCTCTGGGGACAGTAAGCAACTTACAGAAAAACAAGATAGGCAGTGGCAGGTCATTGTTTATGCCTATTCTTTAGCAAAGTTCAAGCCTCTACCATAATTCTACCTTTTCTTGTGAATGTGGCGTCAATCTCTGAACAAGAAGGGGTATCAGTTTTCCTTGTCTCAAAGTTTAACTATCAACTAAATTCTTCTCATAGTTTTCTTGGCCTCCATGCTAGAATAAGCAAAAACAAACAAACAAACAAACAGAAAAACCTTAGCCTGTGGGTTAAAAGCAAGATGGAGTCAGTCACGTTAGGTTTCTCTCATTACTTATAATTCTGCAGTGGCAGTTTCACCAAGATAGGTAGGGAAGTTGTAAAGTAAGTAGAAGGCTTATTGGTCCAAAGGAAATGGTGGAGATAGGCAGGGGTGGATGTCTTTGCCAGGGTGGAGAATTTGTAATGTGGGATGATGCAGGTAAAGAGGTTGAAGTACAGGTATGTTGAATTGAATGAAATTAACTTTTATTGTTCTAAGGTCCTCACCTTCTCTGCAGAATTTTCTGTAATCTTCCATATCTGAGACTTCTCCTCTCCTCTCCCTCCCTGTATTAGTCTGTTCTCACACTGCTAATAAAGACATATCTGAGGCTGGGTAATTTACAAAGAAAAGAGGTTTAATTGACTCACAGTTCAGCATGGCTGGGGAGTCCTCAAAATCATGGCCGGAGGCAAAGGAAGAACAAAGGCACATCTTATGTGGTGGCAGGCAGGAGAACATGCACAGGGGAACTTCCTTTTATAAAACCACCAGATCTTGTGAGACTCATTCACTATCAGCAGAACAGCATGGGAAAACTAGCCCCCATGATTCAATTACCTCCCACTGGGTTCCTCCCATGACACATGGGGATTATGGGAGCTACAATTCCTGATGGGATTTCAGTGAGGACACAGCCAAACCATATCACTCCCCAACCCTGACTCTACCGTTCAGTTCCCAGCTAGGTAGTTAGAATTGAACAGAATCCTTTAGAATTCTCCTTTCTTATCAGTGCCCCTTCTATACCCGTAATGTGTTCCTGTCTTTTCAAGTCAAATTTCAGGCAATGTCTGAAAAATGAGCTTTCTCCTTGTTTGTCTGATCAGCTTTAAATAACGGATCCACAATTTTTTGATTTATCTGTATGGGATTCTCCAGAGCCTAGCTCACTGGTAGCCTAGACTGATCAAATAAGTAGAGATAGAAGAGAATGGAGCCCTTGTGTTTCTGGTTTTAGCAGATTCTGTTTTATTTTTATACCTGCAAACAAGTCTGCAATAGTTATTCTCTTGCCATGCAATGAATTGGTGTTTTATAAACACCACTAATCATGCAGATAAGACCAGTCATAGGCTGTTATCTCTTTTATTCATAGAAACTTCTTGGTAATGGATAGAAAGGGCTGCATTTTCAACAGGATTATGCTAGTCTGGGAACTTTGTCAAGAATCTTCCATCAAGGCATCTTAAATCTTTTTGGTTTCCCTCTTGGGCTATTTTCTTTGGCTGTTCAATTGTCTTCAACTGCAAAAGGTTATAAATATGGTTTAATGTGAGCAAGCCCATCCTTCAGTGAATTTCCCTCGCCTCCCAACAGTAGTTTATCATCTATCCCTTTCATTCCTGCAAATGAACAGAAGATTAAGTACTGGTATGAGGACAGACTCAGCATACAAAGCAAGAGACAGCCTCAAGACAGACAGCCTCTCTGAGATGCTGCGGCTTTGGGTTTCATGGTCTATATAGTTGGTTTGTGTTGATGCAAAAGAGTCAAACCCTGTAAGCTATTTGAAGGGATTTATTCTGTGCCAAATATGAGTGACCAAGGCCTGAGGCACAGTCTTAAGAGGTCCTGAGAACATGCACGCCAGGTAGTTGGGTTACAGCTTGGTTTTATACAGGGGAAACATAATACATCAATCAATACATGTAAGGTACACATTGGTTTGGTCTGGAAAGACAGGACAACTCGAAGCAGGGGCTTACAGGTCATAGGTGGATTCAAAGATGTCCCGATTGGCAGTTGGTTGAAAGGATTAAGGTCTGCCTGAAGAGTTGAAATCAGCAGGAATAGATGTTTGTAGTTAAGTTAAGGGAGGTTGTGGAAGCCAAGGTTCTTGTTATGTAGATGAAGCCTCCAGGCAGCAAGGTTCAGTAAATGTCTCTTATCAGACTCTTAAAGGTTAAATCTCTTAGTTAAATCTCTCCTGGATCAAGGGGAAAGACCTGGAAAAAGAAGGGGACTCTCTTCAGAATGTAAATTTTCCCCAGTGGCCCTGTAACGTTGCAGGGCTATTTCAAAATATGTCAAATAAATATATTTTAGGGTAAAATACTTCAGTTTCTTCCGGGGACTGCTATCTGCCATGTGATGCTATGCTAGAGTCAGGTTGGAATTTGGTATCTTATTGCTACAAAGAGACTGTTTTGTCAGTCTTAGGATCTCTGTTTTAATTTTAATGCTAGTAAGTTGTGCCTGAATTCCAAAGGAAGGAAAGTATAATGAGGCATATTGGATGTCCCCTCTTCTTATCATGACCTGAACTAATTTTTTAGGTTTACTTTGGAATGCCCTTGGCCAAGAGGAGTCCATTCAGTCAGTTGGGGGGCTTAGAATTTTATTTTTTGGTTTATGTTTGAGACCTTTTCTGCCTGAGGCAAGATTATTTTTTAGGATCTGTTGGGCAGGAAATTGCTTAAACTTTAGGTGGATTCAGTTAAAAATTCCCACATGAAAAAAATGCATAAAGTCAAGATGGAAACTGACGAAATGCAAGTACATTCTCTCCCATCCCCAATGTCTCTCTGCCAAATGCCTGCCAAATTGTCTACCTGATTAACAAGGACTTGGGGGGTTAGGGATATTTCTGGATGAAGCATGGTTAATTATAAAGGCCTTCTTGTTCAAGCTAATTTGCAAATGGACCAGGGCAAACAGGTGGATCACATTAACTCTGCTTTGGGCCATAACTCCTTTTTCAAGTTGTCCCTTGGATTCTGGACCCCAAGAAACACAGTCTAGGAGATGCTTCAAATAGACTAGTGTACTTCATTCCTAGAGCAAGCTTTTTCTCTGATTCCCTATCCTGGGTTGCTGAGCAGATACATGAAGGTCTTTCTCCTCCCTAAAGACTTCACAACAAAGCCATCCTTAAATTGCTAATCTTATGTCTTCACAATGCTAGATACACTCGTAGCTTCTCATAACCTTCAGAATTCCATAAAGTCCTGAAAAAATGTCTCATCCCCAAAGCCTCAAAAGGCTCATATAAAGGGCCCTTATCAGCAGCATCCCTCTGGCCCTTTAATCCTTGTCATGCCAGGTGCAACTTCCCAGTTCTCTGATGCTGGGCCTTGACCAGGAAGGAGGAGAGGGTCTGGTCTGTCCCATGCTCCTCAGGCCACCAATTAGCACAATGTCCCACCTCTGCTTGGTCTCCTTCTGTCTGGATAACAACTAACATTCCTTGTGTTTACCTATCTCTTTCTTGGTTACTCCCAGGGACTTCCTCTGTGATGGTTGGGAAATGAGAGTATTGTGTGGGGCCAAATTCCACTGTCATCTGGAGAGGTTAGAGTTTACATTAATCCATTCTCACATTGCTATAAAGAAATACCTGAGTCTGAGTAATGTATAAGAAAATAGGTTTAATTGGCTCACGGTTCTGCAGGCTATAGAGTATCCACTTCTGGGGAGGCCTCAGGAAGTTACCATTCATGGTGGAAGGCAAAGTGGGAGCAAGCATGTCACATGGCGAAAGCAGAAGCAAGAGAGAGAGGGAGGAGGTGCCACATACTTTTAAATGACCAGATCTTGCAAGAACTCACTTACTATCGTAAGGACAGCACCAAGAGGATGGTGCTAAATCATTCATAAGAACTCCATCCGCATGAGCCAGTCACCTCCCACCAGGCCCCACCTCCACTCCACCACTGGGGATTACATTTCAGCATGAGACTTGGGCAGGGACACACATCTGAACTATTCAGGGTGCATGATTTTATGTGACATCAGAAGCCTTTCAGAGAAGGAAGGTGAGTGGTGATGGTCAGACCTGTTGTCCTGTCATCCTCTGCATCCAAGGTGAAGGGCAAAAATATGGCAGCCCTATGCTACATAGGGTTAGAGTTGGGATTATTTAACCTAGCGATTTACTCTTCTACTATGCCTCCTTTGCTTATCACTTCCAAGTCAGGTGACATACCGTATCAAAACTTACTTCATCTATTCTAGAGAAAGGTTTTTTTTTTTTTTTTTTTTTTTTTTTTTTTTTTTGAGACGAAGTCTCGCTCTGTCGCCCAGGCTGGAGTGCAGTGGCGCGATCTCGGCTCACTGCAAGCTCCGCCTCCCGGGTTCACGCAAGAGAAAGATTTCTTTAAGTTAAAGTATAACACTCTGTAATTTGTATAAACCATGCTATGAAGATCAGAACCCTGTTTGATAGCTTTTGGCATTCTTGGGTAACTTAAATAAGAGTAGAGGCAGAGGCCATTAGAGATAGATATTATTGGTCATTTTGCATATTGTATTTTAGGAGAGTTATGCAATGTCAGAAGATTTTGCAAACCCCAGAATTACAAAAACAACCCCAGTCCCACCCCACTTATTTCGCACTTTAATCCCATAACTACTCATTTCTTTGTGTGGAGGTGGTGGAGAGAATTTACGGGGAAGTGTTAATTTGTCAGGGCTGCTTGCAGAGTGTGTTACCCAGAGCAGAACACACTGTTGCAATTGTTATTTGACTAGCTCAGATAGATGAAAAACAACCCCTCCTTTGTTCTGGAACCTAGGCTTTCATTAATGTCTCTAAAATAGCATTAACCTTTTGGCAGTCTCACTGAATTGTTAACATTGGGTTACTATCCATCATAACCTCAAAATATCTTTTGTTTAGCATTTTTATTGTTGGCGTTTGTTTTATTGTTTTTTAGTTGGTGCTCAGAGTTTGTTCCCCCTTCCTGGAATCATCTAGCTGGTCTAGATTTGGGTCAGTTTGGTAGTTTTTGCAGACCTCCAAGACTTCCATTCAAATAGCCTCAGGTAACAAGGCCAGTTCAGGTACGTGATGTGCTCAGTGGCTCCTTCAGTCAGTGGGAGGTGGGGTCAAGACTGTGACTACTTACTGGTAGGTCTTCATGAAGCTGAGAAAACCTGGAATTAGCTGTTGGCATTGCCACTTTGGGAAGAACTAGAGGGATACCAGGGAGCAGAGATTACAGGTATTACAGGTGTCATAAAAAAGTACAGAATATCTAAATGAACAAGATCACTCTTTTATTTGCAATTTTAGGTTGAGCCATTTTCTTGCTCACGTGGGCCTATTTTCTTTTCTACAGTGGGCCTACTTTCTAGGGTGAGGTGGATATGTCATCCTAGGTATTCAAAATAGCAAACCCTAAGTGGAGAGTGTGTGCATGTGTGTGTGTGTGTGTGTGTGTGTGTGAGAGAGAGAGAGAGAGAGAATGTGGGGAGGGATTTTCAAGTGCAGGTGTGGGGAGGGAGTTTTGAGTGTAGGTGTGTCTTATTTTTGTACTTTTACAGTCTCTAATACAGTGTCTGAAGTATGGAGAGTATTCAATAAATGCACATGTAGTGAATGATTATAAAGATGTCTCTAACTTCAGATACAGATCTGTCACTTGCCAATTCATGCTTTAATAACTTTTTAAAATATCTACCATAGTGCATAGATTTTTAGTCTTAAATATTTTTAAAGAAGTAGTGAAGGACTCTGGTAGCAACTTAAGGCAAACGATCATCTTTAAAAATTGCATATGAACAAACCGTTCTTTTTTTTTTTTTTTTTTTTTGAGACGGAGTCTCGCTCTTTCGCCCAGGCCAGACTGCAGTGGCGCAATCTCGGCTCGCTGCAAGCTCCGCCTCCCGGGTTCACCCATTCGCCTGCCTCAGCCTCCCGAGTAGCTGGGACTACAGGCGCCCGCCACCGCGCCGGGCCAATTTTTTGTACTTTTAGTAGAGACGGGGTTTCACCGTGTTAGCCAGGATGGTCTCGATCTCCTGACCTCATGATCCGCCCGCCTTGGCCTCCCAAAGTGCTGGGATTACAGGCGTGAGCCACCGCGCCCGGCTGAACAAACTGTTCTATAATGTTAAAAAGTTTTATATCATCCTTTTATTTGCTTGAATTTATTTTGCCACATCCCTTCCAATACATAATTTTAGCTTATGCTATAATACATTTTAATATTTATTGGTCATGCCATCAAAATTCCCTGTATCAAAATTACGAATGGAAATTGAAATTAAACATCTAAACAATTTCCTATGACCATAAGGCTCTAAGTGTTAAAAATTCTTCCGGATTGAATTATTAATACAATTCATTACTAGCATATATTTATTAAAAGCAACAGAGATGTATTATAAATATTGATAAGTCATTATTGAGTATTGTGTTATTTACGGTAGGGATGGCTGTTTAAACAAATCCCCAATTCCAGTGGCCTAACACAATGGAAGTTTATCTCTGGCCCATTTTCCAGTCTTAGGTGGATGTTCTAGTTGGTATGTGGCTCTCTGTCCAGTGATTCGGAGACTCAAGCCTCTTTTGATTTTATGGCTTCTCCATCCTTGAGCGCCTTGTCATCTTAGCAGAATCCAGCTGGAGAAGGAAGAGGATTGTATAGGGAAGACCTTCTTAAGAGCCTTGGCCTGGAAGTTCCACCCACTGTGACTGCTTCCTTTCTATGGGTGAGAAGTAGTCACATGACCATATGACATGCCTAAGGTCACTGGGTGAGCAGCTGCTTTCTAGGGAGGACTTTCTACTATAGGATGAGGCATGGGAGCTCACAGGTGGGCAGGCAGCCAACTACAACATAAAAGGGGAAGGTTGTTGTAAATACATTCTTTTAATGAGATGAATGCTTGCAAAAACATTATCATATTCCATTGATTAATTTTACTTATGGCCAAAATGTAATATGATTTAGTATCTATTCTATTTTTTCATTTTTATAGATACAAATACTGAGAAACCTTGTTCTCAGAAATATGGAGGTGGGAATAGAAATTATGTTTTAGAATTGTGACTCAATTCTTGGAATTCTAAGTAATATGGCAAAAGTGATATACTTATCTATCATTATCAGTTGATGACGTAATTAGGTCTTTCTGCAATGTTGTTGAAATCAAATAGTTGGAAAACACCTTATTTTCAAATGATGTTTCCCATTCATAAAGTGATTTCTTATTTATATTCCTGGAACATATAACCAAAAAACTTTACCAACATGTATTAAGTGACTATTAATTATACTGTTGCCCCTTTACTCACAGGCACCATATTTAATCAATAAGAGTGGGGAAAATTAAAATTTTACTTTCAGTATGCCTTTGTCAGTCCAATATTATCAAATGTCTTAATTGTCTTGCCTGCTTTGTAAATAATTTTTATCATTATTGAAATCTTAGAACTGCAGATTTAGCTTATTCAGTTGATGGAAAATATCTTCTATATAACCTAATGAGCAAAGCCAATTTCTTGTTGGCAAAGTATTCAGTCACATTAGGTTTACTTTCTTTATTTAATAAAACTAGAAAGGATTGACTTTATTTTTCAATATGTGTTTCAAAAAATAGTATTTTCCAAAGAACAATTAAGGAATAACTTAAAAGCACATCTTGTAAGATATATTACTACGAGCAATCAATAATGAAGTGATATATATCTAATAATTACTCTAATATTACTGCGATGTAAAGTGTGGCTAAAATTTGTTCTTTAAGAAGCTAGGTATATGAGGCATTTATTTGAAAAATGTGTATGTATTTGTGTATTAAACAGTGGTGGCTAGCTTTTTGAAATAATTAACAAATAAGAACCATGTATAAAGTCAGAAATTATTAATCACATTAGATATACTGATCAAACTTTCCTTATGTATTTAATGAAAGTGTATAAATGAATCAGTCTGACAGCTAGCATATAATTTTGTTTTTTCTTAAAAAGAGAGAAAAATATTAAACATTTTATAAGCTGAAATAAGGTAATGGCAGAATAATTGGAATAAATATTTCATAATATGATGTGTTATGTGATAGGTTTTAACTATATTATTGAATGAAACACACCAAATCTGAAAGATCACAAAAGGTTTTTATCTGCAGGAATGAGTCAGTGTACACTGGAGAATTCTGGTAGCTCAGAAAACATTCTTATCATGCTTAAAAGTATCAGCATCACTAAGATGTGCAGGTCCTTGGTATATATATGTCTAAAAGCAATCACTTAAATATTGAGGGAGGGGCCGGATCACGAGGTCAGGAGTTCGAGACCAGCCTGACCAACATGGTGAAAACCTGTCTGTACTAAAAATACAAAAATTAGCTGGGCGTGGTGACACACACCTGTAATCCCAGCTACTCGGGAGGCTGAGGCAGGAGAATCGCTTGAACCTGGAGGTGGAGATTGCAGTGAGCCTAGATTGTGCCATTGTACTCCAGCCTGGGCGACAGAGCGAGACTCTGTCTCAACTATATATATATAGAGAGAGTTATACACATATATATATAAAGAGAGTCTCAAATATATATATAGTTATATATAGTTATATATATAGTTATATATAGTTATATATGTTATATATGGTTATATATAGTTATATATAGTTATAGTTATATATAGTTATATATATAGTTATATATAGTTATATATATGTAGTTATATATATAGTTGTATATATGTAGTTACATATATATAGTTTTATATATATATATATATATAGAGAGAGAGAGGGTATATTTTCTGGGGCTCATTTTTATGTTTTCAGAGGACTCTCCCTCAAGAGTGCTGCTCTACTTGGCAATATTTGGGGGATGGAAGAGGTGAAACCCTTCACTGCGGTACTCTACAATATATCCAAATTCAGAACACTCTAGCACAGGCCAACATAGGCTCCGATGTCTCACTTAGCCTCACAGAAATATCTCCCAGACCTGCAGACACAGACAAATCCTAGACAAGCCTATGATGCTTTGATTAATCACTAATGGAGTTGTCCTTGAAGACAGTATTTTAAATTGTCCCTTTGACATCCTGCAGTTTTTTTACAGCTCAGGGCAATGCACAATAGTAAGATTCAGGATGGATAAGGATGTGTCTTTCTTTTTTGTCCAAAAATGCCATTTTAAAGAGAAGATGGGCAAGGAGACTGTATCTGATCATTCCAATCTGTTTTCAGGCAGATTTTAAGAATGACAGTCGAGGCACCTGGAAATTGATTCCCTTCCAAGTCTCTGTGCAAGGGGTATTCTTGCAAAATCTTAGCTTTTTAGTGCAATTTGATGCTCACTGGTATAGAGTCCCATGCAAGGCGATTGCTACCACCAGGTGGCAGCATCCTCTAGTTGTTGGTGGGCTCTAAGGCAGGAAAGAAACCCAGTTAAGTCTGTAACCTTAACAGCCTTGAACAAATGAACCTGAGCCAAGGCAGAGTGCACACAGACCCCATGAACCAAAGGAGACAAACCCACAACAGACAGAAGCTAAGGTGAATGTCTCTTAGTCTCATTTTCTGCTCACTTCAGCATGAACAGCTTGAGAGATGCACACTTAGCAAAACAGGATGAAGGTTAAAAGGTCCTCTGGAGCGGTAAGGAGGTAGCAGGTGATCTGTAGTCAAACTCCTAATTGTTCCTCTGAACCATTAGCACTTTTGGGCAACTTTTGTCTAGAACAAGTGCTAAATGTCACAGAGGTTTGTTCCCCTGCCCAGTGGTGCCCAGGCTGAGAGGGCAGGTTTAACCTGGTATCTCATCAGAACAGGGACAAAAGAAGACAAATCATATTGGAGCCACTCTCACCTGGCTTGGTCTTATTAGAGCTACCTGCTCTCCCCTGGGGTGATAAACAGTTGCATTTGCCTGATTCTTTCACTGGTTTAAAAGGCTGTGTGTCCTGTGATTGCAAAGTCAACTCAGACTGTTGACTTAACAATGTCAGAGCTGCCCTTCCTGTCCTCAAAGCACCTTCCTTCTTCCTTCCAGAGCTCACTGGGGTCTTAATGCTGTCAGAAGTATCCATATGGACTTAAAAATATTGCATCACAGCCTAGAGGTGACCAGCTCTATCACTAATGAAGAAGCAATTTAAGCTTTTGGGGCCCCAGTTTCCCCATTAGTAAAATCATGTGCATTGTGTACAAAGTAGCTGCTTGAGCGGAGCTTCATTATTCAACAGGGCTTAGATTTTTCTGGACTTTGCAGGAAGAAGTCTCTGCCCTTCTGGGTTTTGTGCTCTGCAGCTATGGACATGAAGATCACCCCATCCTCTCGGCAGTCCTCAGCAACATGAATGGCAGGCCTGTCCTAGGAAGAGATAGACATCAAGGCCACAATGCAAGCCATGCGCAGGTCATGGGTTCATGGTACTGTTGAGTTTTGACTCTTTACTGAGGAACTGAACTGGAATGAACAGCTTAGCAGGCATTATTCCTGGAAGGAACTTTCTAGGGAGGCTATAAGCTGGCTGGACCCCCAGACTCTGCTCTGTGTTCTGCCTCACTGAAAAACAAAATAGTTGTGACTAGCCCTACCTTCTCTTGGCTGACAGTAGTACCTGCTTGGAGCTGCTACTTGCTGATACCCACATGAGCCCAATGCCAGAATGCATAGCTAAAGTTCTGTTGCAAAGGGAGAGGTCATTCTTCCAGTGATGCCTGGCCTGCACTGGCAGCACCTATCCCACAGTGGCCCTCTGGCCTTCCCCAGGCTACCAGAAGCTGTGTCTGCCCTTCACAATTCTTCTGGGTGCTCAGCTCCTTTGGCTCAGAAGTTCACTACCTCTACCCTCTAAACTCCTGGCTGGAAACCTTAATCCCTTTCTCTATGTCCTCCACTTCACTCTGAACTTCTACCAGTATGGCTAATGGCTTTTTCAGCCACCTATCCTTCCTGCCACTCCTCATCCTGAATTTCAATCAGATCATCTACTTGTGAAGTAGTGTTTTCAGATATAGGTGCAGGGAAGCTTCTTTTATATTATCTTTCATGGGTATCTCATACTATTGTTCTTACCAACACAATATAGTCTTTATTCCCATTGACAAAGTCAATTACAAGGGCATAAACACGATTTATTTCTTTTCCAAGGGTCCCAGTGCTTCACCAACACCAACGCCACCACTAAGGGTTCCAGTGTGATCACCATCTGGGATCTACCTGTTCCAACTGCTTGTTTACCTCCTGTGCATGCTCCACGGGACATGGCTCTTTGCCTGTAGATCGCCAGGTACCCACAGCTTTACTGCCATGGTGCACTTCACTTCCTGCCTTGTCCACTCTCACCTGCACCAGTTATTGCTTACGTGGTAATCAGTATAGTCATTGATCTTCAGGGACCATCCAGCTACCCGATTTCCAATGTGGCTGCCTTTGCTATCTTGTTTTGGAAAATGTCTTAAGGCTGTTGAAGATTATATCTATTTGATCCTTTGTGCCCTTAGATGGAGAAAAGAAATGTATTGAGTAGAAGCTCTGAAAGTTTGGAAGGTCCCTCACACCATCCTCAGGTTCAGAGTTTCACTAGATGAAGTCACAGAACTCAGCAAGCCAATTTACCCATGGTTACAGTTTGTTAGAGCAGAAGAATACATTTGAAAATCAACAATAAGAAAAGGTACAAAAGGTAAAGTCTAGGAGAGACCAGGAATGGAGCTTCCCACTTGTCGCTCCCCAGTGAAGTCATACAGACTGCACTTATCTCTCCCCGCAACGATGTGTGACAATATGCCTAGGGTATTGCCAACTAGGGAAGTTCACTTGAGTCTCAGTGTCCAGAGATTTTATTGAGGAATCAGTCACATAGATATGGCTAGCCACCATACGACTGACTTTGATCTCTAGCCCCTCCAGAGATAAAGCTGATGTTGTGTTGTCCAAGGACCTCACCATAAATCTTATGGTTAGTACAGACTATCTGGCATGGCCCAAGGTCCTAGGTTTATAAAGACACTTTTGAAAGCCAGGACATTCCAAGGGCTTAAATGTTACCTTCCAGAAACTGGGGGTAAAGAGCCAAAACTTTCTTTGGGTTAATCCTTTACTGCATAAGCTCTAAGACCCCAATAATTCATGGCCCTATTTCTGGGGCATGATTCAGCCCAGAGAAGAGATCGGAGAAACCTACCTCCCATCATCAAAGAGCTCCTGGATGTTCCATCAAGCAAAACTGTGGGAGGAAATTCAGTGTTCCTATGGAGATGGTGGTGTGACCTGAGCTGGCTCAGAGGTTCTAAAAGCTTCTTCTCAAACATTGGCAAGGTCACAGGTACCCAATAAGGTACATCTTCCCTTTCCTTCAACAGTCCAAAACCTCCAGAACTCTCTCGAGGCAGTGATTAATACTAAACAAAGGACTTGAAGGATAGGAGGGATTCTGAACAGGGTAGAAATAAATAGTAGTGTGGGATATTCGTATAGTTTTCTTGGAAGAGGTAATATTTGAGTAGGATCTTGAAAAATGAGTAGACGTGTAAATGCCACAAGTAAAGGCAAAGATATATACATCATTGTCGGAATAGGAAAGAGTGTGGCACATCTGGGAATGATGAGGGGCCTTATGCAGCTGGGGGAGTCTATTGGTCAGACATGAGGCTGGAAATGGTGCAAGGGCTAGATAGGGAAGGGCTTCATATGCGATGCCAAGAGGCACAGACTATGCTGTGATTCCCTGGCAGTATAGCTGGTGGGACAAAGAGAAATCAAACTCAAAAAGTTCCCCTCTTGTCTACCATGTGTATACTCAAGTAGGTGATGAGATTGTAGGAAGAAGGTAGGATATAATAGCAGATAATTGGGTAGCCATATAGAAAAATCAAATAAAATTTGACCTTTACCTTATAAAACATATTTTTAAAAACCCAGTCTGGGTGTGGTGGCTCATGCTTGTAATCCCAGCACTTTGGGTGGCCGAGGTGGGAGAATCGCTCGAGCCCAGGAGTTTGAGACCAACCTGGGTAACATAGTGAGACCTCATCTGTATAAGAAATGAACAGCAGAGGGGCGAAGATGGCCAATTAGAAGCAGCTGCAGTCCGTGGCATTCACGGAGAGGAATGAAAGGCGTGAGTGAATACAGCACCTTCAACTGAAATATCCAGGTTCTCACATTGGGACTGATTAGGGAAACAACTTAACCATGGAGAATGAAGAAGAGCAAGGTTGGGTGATGGCCCACCTGGGAGTGACACAGAGCTAAGGGAAGTGGTGAGTGATTGTGTGACCCTGGAAAAACATGCTTCTCCCACGGATCTTTGCAACCTGTGGATCAAGAGATGCCCTTGTGAGCCCACACCACCAGGCCCTGGGGCTGACACACAGAACTGTGTGGAGTCTTGGCAGAGTAACTGCTCAGGCATGCACAGAGACCCAGCAGCTTTATATACTCTGGCCCTGGGATCCCCATCAGATGTGTCTAACTCAGGCAAGGTGAGAGGTCCGCACCTACCCCTAGGAAGGGGGGCAGAATCCAGGGAGCTGATTCTGTGGGTCCCACTTCCACAGCACCTCACAAATTCTTGGGGCTCCATCCCATCTCAAGCAGGCTCCACCCAGTTGCCGGTGGCTGGCTGGAATGTCAAGCCAGTGGATCTTACTTTGTGAGGTGCTGCACCTGGGAAGGTGGCTGCAGCTGCACCTGGGGAGTTCCCATCCCACCCTGCTGGAAGGAGCAGGACTCCTGCTTGTCTCTGGCTCCTGCCTGCTCCCTGGAGTGGAAGGCCCAGGTCTGCAGTCACTGGTTGGGTGCCTGCAGCTGCACCCAAGAGGGCAGATCCTGCCTGTTCCTGGCAACCTCGAAGAGCACAGGTAGGCTCAGATCCACAGCCACAGTTTGGGCAGGGGTCCATTCTGCTCCCTAGAGCGGGAGGCCTGGGTCTGCAGCCACACTTTGGGTAGCTACAGTGGCACCTGGGGAGCTGAACCCCCAACTTAGAAGGGGCAGAGCTCCCACTGGCTTCATGGAGTGTGCAGTGCCAGCCGCAGCCAGTGTGATAGCAGCAGCCTCTGCCATCATTAGGTACTATTTATTATCTTGATTTTACAAATGATAAAACAACTGTTGGATTTCAGCCCAGGTCCACCAGAATCCACAGTCTTCATTTAACCCCCATGTTCTACAACACTAGACCAGGGGAGAAATTTGCACAGAAAGTAGTATGAATAATGGAGGCTGGGAATCAGAGAAAGTAGACAGAGAAAACAGGCTTAAAGGACTGAATGAATTACAGATAACCTGTATTTTCCAAGGGCTGGGGGCTGGAGGGAGGAGCAATTAGATTTTAATGGGTACGGAGTTTCAGTTTTGCAAGATGAAAAAGTTCTGAAGATCTATTGTCTAACAATGTGAATACATTTAATACCACTGAACTGTACACTTAAAAATGGTTATGAGGGTAAATTTAATGTTATGTGCTTTTGACCATAATAAACAAAACAAAATAACTTGTATTCACTCTCTGCAGGTGAGGGGCCACTTTTCAGAGCACTCTCCTCATCTCTACCTCACTAGGGCTTTGCAGCAAAAAGTTTGTCTGATCATTTTATGTTATTATATGCTACATTGTTCCTCATTGAGTATATGCTGCTGCTTCTTTGACTATATGTCCTCCTGCTTGGAGGTTTGGCTTTTCATTCTCTAAAAGGGGTATTTTGATGAATAACAGTTTTTAAATTTTTTTATTTTCAAGATGGAGTCTCACTGTTGCCCAGGCTGGAGTGCAGTGGTGCGATCTCAGCTCATTGCAACCTCCGCCTCCCAGGTTCAAGCAATTCTCTGCCTCAGCCTCCCGAGTAGCTGGGATTACAGGTGTGGGCCACCATGCCTGGCTATTTTTTTTTTTTTTTTGTATTTTTAGTAGAGACGGGGTTTCACCATGTTGGCCAGACTGGTCTTGATCTCCTGACCTCATGATCCACCCGTCTCAGCCTCCCAAAGTGCTGGGATTACAGCCGTGAGCCACTGTGCCTGGACTTTAAATTTTAATGTAATATAATTTATCAATCTTTTTTGTTTATGGCTAACACTTTTCTTTTCTTTCTTTCTTTTTAATCTTTTAATCTTTTTTTTTTTTTTTGAGACAATGTCTCGTTCTGTCACCCAGGCTGGAGCACAGTGGCACCCAGGCTCACTGCAGCCTTGAATCCTGGGCTCAAGCGATTCTCATGCCACAGCCCCCTGAGTAGCTGAGATGACAGTTGCATGCCACCATGCCTGGCTAATTATGGCTTCTACAAAATGCCAAACATTCTCTGCCCCCAAATTAGGAAGAGAGTCTCTTGCATTTCCACTAAAAGCTTTAGAATTTTGCCTTTTATATTTAAGTCTATAATCCCCCTGGATTGTTTTTAGTGTTTTAGAAAGTAAGGGTCCAATTTTATTTGATTTTTCCATATGACTACCCAATTATTTCAGTTTCTTATTGAAAAGATTATATGTCCCCCTCTGCTTTGCAGTCTTATATTTGTCATGAATCAAATATCTACATATGTGTCAATCTGTTTCTAGACTCTTTATTTCCATTCATTAGCCTATTTGTCAATCCCTGTGCAAATACTACAGTGACGTGATAATTGAACCTTTATAAGTGTTGACATTTTGTGGGACAAGTCCTCTCACTTTGTCACTTTCATGGGTGTCTTGGCTATTCTTAGCTGTTTGCATTTCCGTGAAAATGTTAGAAACATCTAATGAAATTAAAATACACACACACATGCACCTGCACACACACACACACACACACACACATACACACACACAAGTATTATAACCCTGTTCAGATTTTCCCTGGGATTACATTGAATCCATAGGTTGATTGGGGGAGAAATGACATCTTTGCAAGACAGTTTTCCAATCCATTCCTTTCCATTTACCTGAGTCTTCTTTCAGTTTCTCTCAATAAAGTTTTATATTTCTGTTCATGTGAGTTTATACATCTCTTCTTGTCTGGATTCCTACATACCTGATACTTCTTGATGCTATTATAAGTAGAATTTTTTAAATTTTCATTTTCTGTTTGTTGCTGGCATATAGAAGTAAAATTGATTTTGTTTTCTGACAATTTTGCTAATCTTTCTTAATTATTAAAAATATTAAAATTAACTTTTAATGATTCACCTACGGTACTTCTGGGCAGTCTGTGAGCACAATCATAATATCTGAAAATATAGGATTTTTTTCCATTCCAATCTTTATATATTTTATTTCTTATCTTACCATTTTAAACTGGCATGATGCCCAGTAAAGTGATGAATAGGACTGGTGATAGTGAGTGAATATTTTTGTCTTTTTCCCAATCTCAGAAGGAAAAACCTTCAGTATTTTACCATTAATTATGATGTTTTCGGTAGCCTTTTCTTTCTTTTTGGTCTATCTCTTTAGACAATAGGGAAGTAATAAAAGGGAAGTCTGCTTTTATTCCAAGTATACTAAGAGCTTATCTTTAACCATTAATGAATGATGAATTTTATAAATGTTTTATTCTATTTTTTGAGATGATCATATTATCATGTTATTTTTCTCCCTTAATCTGTTGACAAGGAGAATTATGTTTTTTTTTTTAAGACGGGCTGAGTAGTATTCAATTTTGTATATACATATACCACAGTTTCTTTATCCACTCGTTGATTGATGGGCATTTGGGTTGGTTTCATGATTTTGCAATTGCAAATTGTTCTGCTATTAATATGCATGTGCAAGTATCTTTTTTGTATAATGACTTCTTTTCCTCTGGGTAGATACTCAGTAGTAGGATTGCTGGATCAAATGTAATTCTAGTTTTAGTTCATGAAGTAATCTTCACTCTGTTTTCTATAGTGGCTGTACTAGTTCCTACCAGCAGTGTAAAAGTGTTCCCTGATCACCACATCCCCACCAACATATACTGTTTTTTGGTGTTTAGATTATGGCCATTCTTGCAGGAGTAAGGTGGTATCACATTGGGTTTCGATTTGCATTTCCCTGATCATTAGTGATGTTAAGTATTTTTTCTATGTTTGCAAGCCATTTGTATATCTTCTTTTGAGAATTATCTATTCATGTCCTTAGCCCACTTTTTGATGAGATTGTTTTTTTTCTTACTGATTTGTTTGAGTTTGTTGTAGATTCTGGATATTAGTCCTTCGTTAGATGTATAGATTGTGAAGAATTTCTCCCACTCTGTGGGTCGTCTATTTACTCTGCTGACTGTTCCTTTTGCTGTGCAAAAGCTATTTAGTTTAATTAAGTCCCAGCTATTTATCTTTGTTTTTATTGCATTTGCCTTTGGGTTCTTGGTCATAAAATCCTTGCCTAAGCCAATGTCTAGACGGGCTTTTCCAATGTTGTCTTCTAGAATTTTTATAGTTTCAGGTCTTAGATTTAAGTCCTTAATCCATCTGGAGTCGATTTTTGTATATGGTGAGAAGTGAGGATCCAGTTTCATTCTCCTACATGTGGCTAGCCAATTATTCCAGCACCATTTGTTGAAAAGGGTGTCCTTTCCCCACTTTAAGTTTTTGTTTGCTTTGTCGAAGATCAGTTGTCTGTAAGTATTTGGGTTTATTTCCGGGTTCTCTATTCTGTTCCATTGGCCTATGTGCCTGTTTTTATACCAGTACCATGTTATTTTTGGTGATTATGGGCTTATAGTATAGTTTGAAATCAGGTAGTGTGATGCCTCCAGACTTTTTCTTTTTGCTAAGTCTTGTGTTGGCTATGTGGGCTCTTGTTTGGTTCCATATGAATTTTAGAATTGTGTTCTCTAATTCTGTGAAGAATGATGGTGGTATTTTAATGGGGATTGTGTTGAATTTGTATATTGTTTTTGGCAGTATGGTCGTTTTCACAATATTGATTCCACCCATCCATGAGCATGGGATGTGTTTCCATTTTTTGATGTCATCTGTGGTGTCTTTCAGCAGTGTTTAGTTTTTCTTGTAGAGGTCTTTTGCCTCCTTAGTTGGGTATATTCCTAAGTTTTGTTTTGTTTTTGCAACTGTCATAAAAGGGGTTGAGTTCTTGATTCGATTCTCCACTTGGTTGCTGTTGGTGTATAGAAGAGCTACTGATCTGTGTACATTAATCTTGTATCCAGAACCTTTGTTGAATTCCTTTATCCATTCTAGGAACTTTCTGGAGGAGTCTTTAGGGTTTTCTAGGTAAACAATCATATAATCAGCAAACAGTGACAGTTTGACTTCCTCTTTACTGATTTGGGTGCCCTTTATTTCTTTCTCTTGTCTGATTGCTCTGGCTAGGACTTCCAGTACTACGTTAGGGAAGAATGGTGAGAGTGGGCTTCCCTATCTTGTTCCAGTTCTCAGAGGGAATGCTTTCAACTTTTCCCTATTCAGTATTATGTTGGCTGTGGATTTGTCATGGACGGCTTTTATTACATTGAGCTATGTCACTTGTATGCTGATTTTGCTGAGAGTTATAATCATGAAGCAATGATGGATTTTGTCAAATGCTTTTTTCTCCATCTGTTGAGATGATCATGTGATTTTTGTTTTTAATTCTGTTTATCTGGCGTATCACATTTATTGACTTGCGTATGTTAAACCATCCCTGCATCCCCAGTATGAAACCCACTTGATCATGGTGGATTATCTTTTTGATATGTTGTTGGATTCGTTAGCTAGTATTTTGTTAAGGATTTTAGCATCTATGTTCATCAGGGATATCAGTCTGTAGCTACCTTTTTTGGTTAAGTCCTTTCCTGGTTTGGCATTAGGGTGATACGGCTCCATAGAATGAATTAGGGAGGGTTCCCTGTTTCTCTGTGTTGTGGAAGAGTGTCAAAAGGATTGGTACCAATTCTTCTTTGAATGTCTGGTAGAATTCTGCGGTGAATCCATGTGGTTTTGGACTTTTTTTTTAATTTTTAAGTTACCATTTCAATCTCACTGCTTGTTATTGGTCTGTTCAGGGTATCTATTTCTTCCTAATTTAAATTAGGAGGGTTGTATTTTTCCAGGAATTTATCCATCTCTTCTAGGTTTTCTAGTTTATGTACATAAAGGTGTTCATAGTAGCCTTGAACCATCTTTTATATTTCTGTGGTGTCAGTTCTAATGTCTCCCATTTCATTTATTATTGAGGTTATTTGGATTTTCTCTCCTCTTTTCTTGGTTAATCTTGCTAATGGTCTATCAATTCTATTCATCTTTTCAAAGAACCAGCTTTTTGTTTCATTTATCTTTTGTATTTTTTTTTTCATTTCAATTTCATTTAGTTCTGCTCTGATCCTGGTTATTTCCTTTCTTCTGCTGGGTTTGAGTTTGGTTTGTTCTTGTTTCTCTAGTTTCTTCAGGTGTGGATGTCAGTTAGAATGTCAGTTTGTGCTCTTTCAGTCTTTTTGATGTAGGTGTTTAGGGCCACAGACTTTCTTCTTAGCCACACCTTTGATAGGTTTTGTCATTATTGTTGTTCAGTTTGAAGAATTTTTCAATTTCCATCTTGATTTTGTTTTTGACCCAGTGATCACTCAGGAGCAGGTTATCTGATTTATGTGTATTTTCATAATTTTGAAGGTTCCTTTTGGAGTTGATTTCCAGTTTTATTCCACTGTGGTCTGAGAGCATGCTTGATATAATTTCAATTTTCTTAAATTTATTGAGGCTCGTTTTGTGGCCTATCATATGGTCTATCTTGGAGAAAGTTCCATGCGCTATTGAATAGAATGTGTATTCTGTGATTGTTGGATGAAATGTTCTGCATATATTTGTCAAGCCCATTTGTTCAAGGGTATAATTTAAATCCATTGTTTCTTTGTTGACTTTCTGTCTCGATGACCTGTCTTGATGACATCTAGTGCTGTCAGTGGAGTATTGAAGCCCCCACTATTATTGTGTTGCTGCCTATCTCATTTCTTAGGTCTATTAGTAATTGTTTTATAAATTTCGGAGCGCCAGTGTTTGGTGCATATATGTTTAGAATTGTGATATTTTCCTGTTGGACAAGGCTTTTTACCATTATATAATGTCCCTTGTTGTCCTTTTTAACTGCTGTTGCTTTAAGGTTTGTTTTGTCTGTTGTAAGAATTGCTACCCCTGCTTACTTTTGGTGTCCATTTGCATGAAATGCCTTTTTCCACCCTTTCAGTTTAAGTTTATGTTTGTCCTTATGTGTTAGGTGTGTCTCTTGAAGGCAGAAGATAGTTTGTTGGTGAGTTCTTATCCATTCCGCAGTTCTGTATATTTTAAGTGGAGCATTTAGGCAATTTACATGCAATGTTAGTATTGAGATGTGAGGTACCATTCCACTCATCATGCTATTTGTTCCCTGTGTACCTTGTTTTTTTTGTTTTGTTTTTGCTTTTTAAATTGTATTTTTGTTTTATAGGTCCTGTGAGATTTATGCTTTAAAGAGGTTCTGTTTTGATGTGTTTCCAGGATTTGTTTCAAGACCTAGAGCTCCTTTTGGCAGTTCTTGTAGTGGTAGCCTGGGAGTGGCGAATTCTCTCAGCATTTGTTCATCTGAAAAAGACTGTATCTTTCCTTCATATATGATGCTTAGTTTTGTTGGATACAAAATTCTTGGCAGATAATTTTTTTGTTTCAAGAGGCTGAGGATAGGGCCCCAAATCCTTCTAGCTTGTAGGGTTTCTGCTGAGAAATCTGCTGTTATAGGTTTTCCCTTGTAGGTTACCTGGTGCTTTTGTCTCACAGCTCTTAAGATCCTTTCCTTCATCTTAATTTTAGATAACCTGATGACGATGTGCCCAGGCTTCTACTTTTTGAATACAGTAGGCTAGTGTTAATTCCAAAATTTCAAATAATTGTGCAACTCTTTCTACTGTTTATTATTTTAGCTGATTTTTTGTTCGTGTGGTCTTGTCTGATAATGTGCTTAGTTAATTTTTGTTCTGGACTTCATATTTGAAAAATTATTTGGAGAAGTAATTTGAGGCCTTCAGGTAACATTTTCTTTTCTTCTAAAAGGTACATGACACTACACATTCAGTACCACCCTTATCTGGCTGCAAAGCTTGAGCCTTCCAGTGACACAAAGCTAAAGGCTGTACAAGAGTTGGTTCACTTCTGATTCATCCTTCTCTGAGGTTGCAGACCTTTGGCATCCCAACTTAAATTGGAATCTTTATCCTTCTGGCTTCAGGGATCCCCAGAAGTGAAACTCAGTTTTGAAGCAATTTTCTCCCTTCTCTCTTATCACTAGCAAAAGAGCTAGACTTAGCTCTCTGGCTTTTCATTTTCACCCAAGGTTTTAGTTCAGTTATTTTCCATTTCTTCTTTATTCTTTGATCCTTTAAAGAGAAGCTATTTGGATTTTGAACAACTTTTTGGGAAGTTTTATCCAAAATTTTTGGAGGGTAAGGTCAAAAACATCTAGTCTGCAATTATTGGAACTGGAAGCTATTAGTATTTCTAGGCCTAGATTCCAGGAAATAAAACAGCATAACTGGTGATAGGCTTGCAGGAACTAGAGCCGAGTTTTGTTAATAAGACAATAAAAACTGAGTAGCTACTATCTGTAAGTACCTCTGCTAAATGCCAGGAGAGGATACAGAAATGAATCAACCAGAGTACCTCTCCTCAAGGCACTCGGGACTTGGTTTGAAAGACATTGTAGACACATGAGCACTATGCTGCCTATAAAAGCAAGATGTTATAAAAGATATATGTGAACAGAGTTCTGTGGAAGCTCACTTCTGCCTGGTGACACTTGGGAAAACTTCAAGTGGAAGTGTTCTTTAAACCAGATTTTTGAAGGGTAGTTATGATAGGTATATTATAGATTGGAGAAACAGAAAAGGCAATAGTCAGCAAATGATAAATGCCTAGAAGAAATACAGAGGAGTCCCATTTGGTTCATCTAAGCATTTTTAAAATTTTGTTTTTTATGACAGGGTCTTACTATGTTGCCCAGGCTGGAGTGCAGTGGTGTGATCTCAGCTCACTGCAACCTCTGCCTCCCGGGCTCAAGCCATACTCCCACCTCAGCCTCCTGAGTATCTGGGACCGCAGGTGCATGCCACCTTGCCCAACTAATTTTTTAAATTTTTTGTAGAGACAGGGTTTCACCATGTTGCCCAGGATGGTCTCAAACTCCTGAGCTCAAGCGATCCTCCCATCTCTACCTCCCCAAATGTTGGGATTACATGCATGAGACACAGTGCCCGGCCCATTTAGACATTTCATATTCTCCTTTCTACCTCTAATTTTTAAGTCATGGATGTAGGCCTCATTCTGAGGGAGAATTCACACCAAAATGTATATGACTGTGCTGTTAAAATGCTGAGAGCTGAAGAGGGTCTGCATAGTTGGGGAGTAGGGGGGTGGGTGGACTAGTGCACATTTAGGACCAAATGGCGTTTACATAATAAATTAATGAAGGTGTCCCAAGTCTCTAAAAAGCTCATTCGAAAAGGCATACTTTAAAAGGGTTTATTTTCCCCATAGACTGTCAGAAAATCAGCCTTGCCGATCTTTATAGAATGTTAACTTTGCAGAACGCCCACCATTCCCATGTGTTTACTGCGACAAGTTTCTTTTGGCTCTGGTTGTGTCTCTGGCTAGGAAGGCTGAGAGACTGACTCATCCTTCTGTTGGCAACCCAAGGTTTCCTAAAAAATACACATGGGGAGGGAAGTTTGCAAACAGATTTTGCATTTTGAAGTCTAATTGTTACTGGAGCAGCAGTTCTTAGATCCATAGGCTGGCATTCCAGTCTGAGTTTTCATTCTTGCTGTGAAATGCCCATGAAATGGGTTTTCCCCACTATTTATAGGTCCCATAGATTCAGCCTTCTCTGGGCTCAAAGAAGCAGCTACAAATGGAGAAGAGGTTCTTGCATTCTTTCTCCTGCTACGTTTATTTTTGAGAGACTATTTCAAACACACAACTAAGAATAGAGAATAATATCATACCTATGTTCTGACTACTCCAGTTTTATCCAGTTTTAACACAGTATCCTATTTTATTGAACTTTGTTTAAAGAAATTAAATATTCCAGAGAAATTGAGACCCCCTGTGTAATAGTACCTAACACTAGTACCCTCTCTTCTTCCCCAAAGGTAAGTACTGTCATGAATTAGAGCATCATTTCCATGCATGTTGTTTTATACTTTTGATACATGTTATTTATGTATCCATAAATATTATAAAGCACTGTGTTATAGGCTATCAAGCTATGTAAGTGGAAAAATGTTACTGATATAGTTGGACTTATTTCTCTCTATCTTTTCATTCTTTTCTACTCTCTTTTCTTCTTCTCTGCCTTCTGTTGGCCTGATAATATTTCCTGTTTTCGTTTTTTTACTCAACTCTCCTGATTTGGAAACTGTAGATGATGTCCCTGGTTTTTTTGTTTTGTTTGTTTGTTTGAGATGGAGTTCCACTCTTGTTGCCCAGGCTGGAGTGCAGTGGCACGATCTCGGCCCACTGAAACCTCCGCCTCCTGGATTCAAGCAATTCTAGTGCCTCAGCCTCCCGAGTAGCTGGGATTACAGGTGCTCACCACCACGCCTGGCTAATTTTTTGTATTTTTAGTAGAGACAGGGTTTCATCATATTGGCCAGGCTGGTCTCAAACTCCTGACCTCAGGTGATCCACCCGCATGGGCCTCCCAAAGTGTTGGGATTACACGCTTGAGCCACCGCGCCTGGCCAATGTTTCTGGTTTTTAAGTGGCCATACTTAATTTAAAAATATTTAACTACACTTTAAAAAAAAAGACATTTTTCTTCTTCCCCCAACCATGGATAAGGACTTTAGGCATTGAGATACTTATGCTATTTTTTGTTATTATTATTTAGAATTTTAGTTTGCCCTTTAACACGAAAATATCAGATTTTAAAGGGAGATGTTTAATTAAATTTACCAACATATTTTATGAATTCCTGTGTGTTTCATTATTGTTTCGTCTATTTCATATCTCACACTTATGTTTAAATACACCCTTTTATAGGCCTTTTAATGAAAGTCTGTGTGTAATAGACTCAGGGTTTGAACATTTTAAACGTTCTTATTTTGTTCTTTCTCCTAATTGATACTATGGCAAATAATAACATTTTGGATGGATACTTTGACTATATCACTCAGTTTTCATTTGGATCAGTTGTTGCTGATAAGTCATGGTCAGTCTAAATGACAATCTGGGAAATATTTTTTCTAGTGTTCCTTTGATAATGCTTCAATTCAGGCAACTCCTGAAGGAGACAAAAGTAAATTGTCTCTCCATCTTCTGACTTCCATGTTTAACATCTTTTTTATTGCTTCATCTCATTTTTCTTTGCCTCTGAATTCCAGAACAAATGCTAAAGTTTGCCCTCCGTAACAATTATCTTCTTTCTGGTTCCATCAGTTCTACTCTTTAACTCCTTCTAGTGAGGTGGTAACTTTTATTTTTATGTTATAACTGTCTAACAAATCGTGCCAACATTTGGTGGTATAAAGCAATGACCATTTAATTATGCTTGCAGATTCTGTGAGTCAGGAATTTATAAAGGGCACACGGAGAGTAACTTGTCATGACTCCACTATGTCTGGGGCCTCATCTTGAATGGCTAAGCCTGGTTTAAATGGCTGGGGGCTAGAATCTTCATTCACCTGTCCAGTACCTGGCAAGGATGGCTCAGTGGCCATCCTAAGTAGAAACATCAATCAGAACACCTGTTTGTAGCCTGTCCATGTGGCTTGAGTTTCCTCAACGCATGGTAATCTCAGGGTAGTTGGACTTTTTCCATCTTCCCTCTGGGCTCCAGTGTAAGTGTTCCTAATGCAAGGTGGACGCTGCACGGCGATTTATGATCTAGCTTTGGAAGTCACATAGCACCTCTTCCATCATACTCTGTTGGTCAAAACGTGCACTGCACAGAATGATTGGCACTGGTCACATGTGGCTGTGGTCACTGGAAATGTAGTTAGCCTGAAGTGAGACTTCAGGCAACTGAAGTAAATGCAAGACACATTCTGAGTTTCAAGGACTTAATATTCAAGAAAGAATGTAAAATATTTTATTCTTAACTTTTAAATTTATTACATGTTGAAATAATATTTTGGATATGTTCGGTTAAATAAAATATATTAACATTAATTTCACCTGTTTCTTTTTACTCTTTCTATGCAGCCACTAGAAAATTTAAAATGACACACGTGGCTTGCATTATGTTTGTGTTGGACAGTGCCGGCCAAAGCACCCGTTCAGATGTAAGAGGCGGGAATGCAGACTGCACTTCTTGAAAGCAGGAGTGTCAAAGAATTTGTGGTCAGGTTTTAAAACCATGACACTGTTTCTCATTTGCTGCTTAGCACCTCTCAACTCACTCATTTCTTTTTTACATTCATCTTCCTATTTCCTTTTCTTGTCTGTTTGCTTCATCCTTTTATCTTTTCATCTAAATCTGCTCTCTCCCTAGAACTTCGTTCCTGGTTCACAGAGGCTATCTCTTCAGTAATTTTTTGAGAAGGAAGAAAGAGTTTTCTTCTGAGAACCATGCCTTTCAGAAAGTATTGTGTACATAGCAGTCTGCTCACCTTTCTTTCATCTGCTTAGTTGTTTTGAGTTTTGCGCTCTCTGCCTGGACATGGAAAGACGACAAACAGATCTGAAGAGCCTCTTTCCCTCCTCATGGAGCAGCAGCACAGAATAAAGAACTGGCTACCATTTTCTGGTCAGCCCTAGGACTCAAGGCTGGAACAGATGAAAACAGACAGATTCAAAGTGCAAGCCAATCTTTGATGATTGTTGTCTGTTTCATGAAGGGTAGGTAAACAAGGTACACCAGGAGTTGACTCTGGATACATTTTTCCCTATTTAGTTAATCTGCTTTGCAATTTGCTTCAGCTTCTCTTCTCCCAGACTCTTGCATCAGATTATTACATTACTACAGTCAATATACATATGCATTTTTGCATTTGCCTGTATTTGAATAAGACGTCAGGAGAGGCAGCATTAAGAGTTCTATCCAGATGACATTTTGTACCAGAATTCAGGGTATAGTTTTTAATAGAGCCAATTTTTTAGAGCAGTTTTAGGTTCATGGCAAAATTGAATGAAAAATACAGTTTCCATATGCTCCCTCCCCACTAGCCCCATACCCAACCTCTCTGACTATCATCATCCTGCACCAGAGTGGTATATTTGTTATAACTGATGAATGTACATTAATACATCATTATCACCTAAAGTCCATAGTTTACGTTAGAGTTCACTCTTGGTGTTGTACATCCTTTGGTTTTGGACAAATGCATAATGACATGTATCCGTCATTATAGTATCATACAGAGTAGTTTCACTGCCCTAAAAACCTCTGCGCTCTACCTATTCATCCCTCCTCCTCCATCCAACCCCTGGCAACCACTGATTTCTTTACTGTCTCCATTGCTTTCTTTTTCCAGAATGCCATGTAGTTGGAATTACACAGTACGTAGCCTTTTCAGCTTGGCTTTTTCACTTAGTAATATGCATTCAAGATTCCTTCATGTCATTTATTTTATTGTATTTATTTTAGAGACAGGATCTTGCTTTGTTGCCCAGGCAGTGGCATAATCATAGCTCACTGTAGCCTTGAACTCCTGGACTCAAGTGATCTGCCTGCCCCAGCCTCCCTTGGAGAAGTCCTACAATCTGCTGCCTACAAGTTGGAGACTCAGGAAAGCCAGTGGTGTAGTTTGACGGCCTTAGAGCCAGAGAGACCGTGGTGTAGATTTCAATTCAAGGCTAAAGGCCTGAGAACGGGAAGCTGTGAGAATAGAAGAAGATCGATGTCCCAGCTTGATCAGTCATGCAGAGTTAGTCCCCTTACTCCACCCTTTTTTTCTGTTCAGGACCTCAAGGGATTGGATGAGGCCCACCCACAGTGGGGAAGGCCATCTGCTTTACTCAGTCCACCAATTCAAATGCCAGTCTCTTCCAGAAATGCCCTCACAGACACATCCAGAAATTGTGTTTATCCAGATGTCTGAGCATCCCATGGCCCAGGCAAGTTTCCACATAAAATTACCCATCACAAGCTGATGGAATTAGGCCCACCCACAATAGGGAAGGCTAGGGCCATCTGTTTTACTCAGTCTACCAATTTAAATGTTTTTTGTTTGTTTGTTTGTTTGTTTTTTGAGACAGAGTCTTGCTCTGTTGCCCAGGCCGGAGTGCAGTAGCATGATCTCAGCTCACTGCAACCTCCGCCTCCAGGGTTCAAGCGATTCTCATGCCTCAGCCTCCCGAGTAGCTGGAATTACAGGTGCATGCCACCACGCCCAACTAATTTTTGTAGTTTTAGTAGAGATGGGGTTTCACCATGTTGGCCAGGCTGGTCTCAAACTCCTGGCCTCAACTGATCCACCTGCCTCGGCCTCCCAAAGTGCTGGAATTACAGGCATGAGCCACCACACCCAGCAAAATCTTAATCTCATTCAAAAGCAGCCTCACAGAAACGCCCAAAATAACGTTTGACCAAATATCTGAGCTCCCCAAGGCCCACTCAAGTGGACATGTATAATTAACCATCACCTCAACTGTCTTGGTGTGCCCAGGACTGAAGGGTTTCCCAAACTGCAACTTCTAGTGCTAAAGCTGGGGACATCCTGGGACGAGTTGATCATTGTTTGTGTGAGTCCAAAAACGCAAAAAAGAGGAAAGAAAGGAGAAACTGAGGCATGGAGACACATAATGTGTCCAGGAGAATTGGGAGTTTTGGGTCTGGAGAAGTAGGATGGTGTGTAGCAACAGATGTGAGCTAGAATGGTGGTCAGGAGCCATGTGTGGAAGCAACTTGAATTCCATGCCAGGAAATGTGTCCTTTATCCGGCCTGTAATGAAAGGTTTTAAGCAAGGGAGAGACACAATCAGATTTGCATTTTAGAAAGGTTTCTGACCTGCCTTCCCATACTGGGCAGAACATTCCTCTGATTCATTACTCAAATGCCAACCTAAATGGGCTCTGGAAAGGCTAAATAAAAATTGCATCTGTGAGAATTGTCAAGTGTAATCCTGCTCTTATCTGCAGTGACAGCTGAAATCAGGGGGCGTGGATCTAAGCCAGCTAGACTGGTACATGCTTCAGTCTCCACGGAGGCAGGGCCTCTTCCTCTCCGTGAGGTCCACTGACAGCCAATGACCCTCTCTACTTTGCAAGTAGGGTAATTTACAAGGTATCCCAGGTCAGGAAATTGCTGTCCACAACCCCTGTCCTCAACATCAATGGCTTTCTATTGTACCGGGGATAAAGTCTAAACACTGCATAGCTTCTGCCTTTCTCTCCAGCCTTTCTCACTGAGGTCTAGCTAAAAGACCCGTCGAACTTGTCATGCTCCTCCCAACCTCAGGGCCTTTGCATCTGCTCTTTCCTTTGCCTGCACCATTCTGCTGTCACTCCTCACAGCACTGGTCCCTCCTAATGTTTTAGTTCTCAGCTTCAATGTCACTTCCACAAACAAGCCCTCCCTTATCCCTTATCCAAATCAGTCACTTCTGTTATTCTTTGTCATAGCACCTGTTTATTTTCTTCCTGGCTTCTTCGGTGATCTGTAATCACTTAATCTACTAATGTATTTAATTATCTCTTGTCCATCTCCCTTACTAAAATATAGGCACCATAGAGGCAGGGATATCAGCTGTCTTGTTCACCTTCACTTCCCCAATGCCTCGAACATTGACGGCTTAGCACACAATAGACATTTTGGTAAACATTTGCTGATTAAATGAACAATGCGAAAATGATACCTAGGGTCTAGAGTTGATTAGAGCCTTCTCGTTATCATTACTGTTAGAATGTTCACTATTACACCTACCTAAGAGACAGGAAAGTAGGAGAGTAAGTGATAATTACAATGCCATCATTTTAGTACAATTTTGTGTATATAACAATTATCTCATTTAATGAGAAATGAACAAGAGACCCATGTTATTTTCCTAACTTTGTCATCATTGTAAGTACTGGTATTTTCTTCTGAAAAATGAGGGGGTTGGATCACTTAATGTCAAGGGACCTTTCCACGTCTGATCTTCCACAACAACGTAACAAACTGTCAGAATGAATAATAATTCTCCTGTGGTGACAGCTATTATCATGAGAATGCGGCATACATTGCCTTCACTCTTTAAGCTGGCCTGCTAAGGTAGGCATTACAGCACCCTATTTTCTAGACCAGGAACTGGGTCTCAGAGAAACTAAGTACCATCCTAGGACCAAACATCCTGAAGATAACAAAAATAGGACTTAAACTCAGGTCTGTACTATTCCCAGACCCCATATATTTTACCATACCATGGGGAGTGACTACTATGCGCCTTAGGATTTTTATTTCCTTTCTTCAATAATAGATTTTCAGTGCCTAGAATATTTCCTGACACAGAATAGGCACTCAATAAATACTAGTTGAAGGACTGCATGTATGATTGAATGAATGAAATCAAAGACTTAAGTGCTAGTATTAATGTGTCATTTCTTAATGGCATAATGCCCAGGACGTACTCTGGCATGTAGCAGCTGCTTGACAAATATTTAATAATTTGTATTCTTATTTAGAAAAGAAGGAAAGATAAGTATTTTCTTTACAGGAGTGTGAGATAGATGACAGAGAGTGCATAGGAGGACGAGAAAGATTTCCTAGACCAGTGATTCTCAACCAGGAGTGGCTTTGCCCCCAGGGGACATTTGGCAATGTCTGGAGACATTCTTGGTTGCCACATTGGAGTTGCTACTAGCATCTGGTGGGTAGAGGGCAGGGATGTTGCTAAACATCCTGCAATGAACAGCACAGCTCCCCCAACTATGAATTATCTGTTCCCAAATGTCAATAGTGCCAAGATTGAGAAAACCTGTCCTCACCTGGTGAGGAAAAACGAAGAACAGTGACATGGGGTAGTGCGAAAGAGTTACTTCACCTTTCTGCCTCTGAGTGCCAGTAACTGCAAAAAGGACAAATGGAAAAGAGAAACGAGGGTGGAAGAATCAGAAAAGAAGATTTTCCTGTCAAATCACTTTTGCAATGGGGTATGTTGGGTGGGGATGTTTAATACCATTTTCAAATAGATGTGGTTAGCGATTGAAATCCCATCAATAGGTTTTTAGGCAGTTAGAAAGTCACTTTGGAGGAGGCATTCTTCATGAAGAGTATCCTCAGTGGCCTCTCTTGGTTGGCAAAGGAGCAGTGATGGAGGCGAGGGCAGGGAAAGGAGGTCATTGTCTTGGCCTGAGTCCCTCAGAAAGAAAAACCTGTGACAAAGGCTTTTGGGAAGATGGTTTATTTTGAGACCTCAGGGATCAGGAGGAAGGGAAAGGGAGCGTGCAGGGTGAAGAAGGAAAAGCTGATCAAGAATACATTCTGGAGGTGGTCGCTGCTGAGGATGGCTAAGGCTCAATTCTAATGAGACCTCAGGAGCAGAAGAGAATGTGCCCCATAGATGTCCACCCATATACCAAAGAGTGGAGCATTTATCTGCAGGCTCCTGTGCCCCATGGGTCCAGTTATCTTATGGTCATTAACTTTGTCCAGTCCCCAGGTTATACACGTGTGAGTGAATGCTGGGTGGGTTCCCACATGTGGCTCATGCTGAGGCTTTAGAGAAGCCCAGAAGCAAAAAGTGAGAGATTCATAATAGAGCCAAGGCTTGGCACTGCCAAGTTATACCTGCACAAAGCTGATTGTCCTAGCACTTGGTAGGGTAAAAGGTGGGCCAAGGAGGATGGGCACAGGGGCTCACACCTGTAACCCCAACATTTTGGGAGGCTGAGGCGGGTGGATCACGAGGTCAGGGGTTCAAGACCAAACTGGCCAAGATGGTGAAACCCCGTCTTTACTAAAACTACAAAAAAAGAAAAAATTAGCTGGGCATGGTGGCAGGTGCCCGTTATCCCAGCTACTTGGGAGGCTGAGGCAGGGAATTGCTTGAACCCAGGAGGTGGAAGTTGCAGTGAGCCGAGATCGTGCCACTGCACTCCAGCCTGGGCAACAGGGCAAGTCTCTGTCTCAAATAAAAATAAAAATAAAAAAATAAAAAGGGGGGCCAAGGAATAGGAGGTAAAGCATAAGAGATGTCTGACACTCAGATGACTGAGCCCAGTCCTCACACTGCTTGGGCCAGAGAGCCTTGTGAAGGAGTCTCATCAAGACTTGTTACAGGGCCAGGTGCAGTGGCTCATGCCTGTAATCCTAGCACTTTGGGAGGCTGAGGCGTGTGGATAACTTGAGGCTAGGAGTTGGAGACCAGCGCGGCCAACACAGAGAAACCCTGTCTCTATTCAAAAGAAAAAAAAAGTCAGCCAGGTGTGGTGGTGCATGCCTGTAATCCCAGCTACTTGGGAAGGCTGAGGCACAAGAATCATTTGAGCCCAGGAAACAGAGATTGCAGTGAGCTGAGATCACATCACTGCGCTCCAGCCTGGGTGACAGCGGGACTCTGTCTCAAAAAAAAAAAAAAAAAAAAAAAAAAAAAGACTTGATTTGATACAGGAGGGTCAGCAGAACAAGCTACAGTCCTTGCTGCTATAACTGGGCCTGAGGCAAAAATTGATGTTCTCTTTTATCTCCCCTTCCAGAATTCCCTACCAGTGATTTATCTAGTCTAGGTTGCTTGGCTGGTGGGGTAACCCAGACCTTAGGGACCCCTCCTTCCCTAAGGAACTCTAACTTTTCTTACCATTGTGTGGTGGTAGTTGCTACTTTTTCCCTTTTACCATTATCTCTTGGTGAAAAAGCACTAAGAGCCGCCCAGAGTGTCCCCTGCATTTTGTATATACTCCTTTCAGACCTCATTATATAGCAGCAATCCCAGTTTCTATGATAGGGACAATTATGTCTGCCAATCTGTTTACATTTTTCCTTGCCTACTAGTCCTGCTGGCATGAGAAACTCAAAATGACCAGGTGGTAGTCATAGCTGCAGTTCAGTGGAAACTTACTGTAATCTTGCTAGAACCTCTCCCTTGTTGGGAATCACAACCTATGATCCAACGGAATTTAGAGTAATGGAGGCAGGAAGCACATATTTTGCGAGAAAGTCATGGAGAATAATGGTGAGCGAGACCACTGCTACTTCTGTCTCTTGGTTCCTGAATATGTACATTCTAGATATTGGGGACACTATACCCGGCATGACCCTTGGTTCATTGTATATATTGCATTCTGGAGGAAAGAGCCCCAGTTCTGCAGGTGTTGTCCCCAATCTGGCACTTACTCTAAGTCTTTAAAAATGATTTCATTGTTCTGTATGTTGGTATCTTCCAGGTGATGTGGTATATGGTAGTTACATATTCACACACCTTCTTTGTCATAAAATGTATTCCTTGGTCTGAATCAATATTGTTCAAGATTCTATGCCATTAAACCTGGTATTCTTTAAGACTTTGCATGGAGAGCTGGAGGAAGCACAATGGGCAGGTTAGTCAAACCCCTATATGAATTAGGTGACAATTCCCTGTTAGGTGGAGGGGCCTATTGTAATCATCCTGCCACCACATGGCTGGTTGGTCTTCTTAAGGGCTGGTACCATATCAAAGACTCAGCATCAGCCTCTGCTGGTGACAGGACAAACATTTAGCTGCATCAGTAGTCAGATTCACACTGATGAGAGGGACCCCATGCCATGGGGCCCATTTGTAGCATCCTCCCTTGTTTCTGTAGCCTCTCCATTCATGGGTCCATTGCCCAAGCACCGAAATATCTAGAGAGAAGCTGGCTGCCTCAAACTAAAACATGGCAGGTGAATGCTTCCTTTGCCGTGCATATTCTTTGTGGGCATTCATGTGAAATACAAAGTTCTGCACACTTTTTCCTCCTCCCATCAGTCCTTCCTCAGGCCTTTCCTTTGTCCTTCTGACCTCTGATCTCCCAATCTTACTCCTTTAGGCCTCTTTACCAATCAGCCAAAACATTTGCCGCTACCCAGAAGTTTATGTGTGGTTTTACTTCATCCCACTTCTCCTTCCACTCAAACTTGACCATTTAGGGTGATGAGCTCTGCTCACTGGGAGGATTTACCTTCCCACATGTCCCTCATGACCACCCCTGAGTGGGGATGTGGGCAGCAGCATTCCTGCTTTGTTTAGCATCAACATAAGTGAGCCCATCCATCTATGAAGTAAGCCTCAGTTTTTCCTCCTCTATCTGTTAATCATAGGGACCCCTCTGTATTCTGCCATAGGCCACGGGTATAAGTTGAGGAGGTGGCACTGGTGTGTCAAAGGTAGCAGTCTTGCAGGTTTGGGCTTCCCATGGAGGCCACCTCTGAATCTTCTTGGACCCAATTCTGAATATACAATGTTCAGCATGACTTAGTGCATCTGAAAAATATCAGTTCATAATACTCAGCTCCAATCTCATAGTCACTTGCGATTCTGTGGTCAGGAACTCAGGCACACCCAGCAGCATGACAGAAGATACTCTCAAATGGCAAGCTATTCCCTGCTGCAGATGGTATAGCTTTGATCTAGAACTCTGGGGGTCTGAGCTGAAACTCCCCTGTGGTGATTGCCAGAGAATCCACAGAGCATCCTCACTCCCTTCAGATTCTTCTAGCTATATCAGATCTCCCAGTCACATGGCCTGAGTGGTGGGAGCTCAATATAAATTGGTGTGAATGCCAGCTTGGACCTATTAGAGAATCCTCTCTCACTCGTGTCCTGCTCAAAACTGGAAGCCTTCCAGCATGTCTGATAAATGAATTGGAGTAATATTCCTAAGGACTATACACGCTGCTTTCAAAATCCCAAGAACCCTACCAAACCTTAGTGGTAGAGATTGCAGGGTGCAGCAACCAATCTTACAGGGAATAACCTGGCAAGTCTCCGACCACTGAATGCCTGGAAGCATCACCAATGTGACCAGCCCCTGAATTTTCATGGCTTTTTTCTCCAATATTCTGGCAGTATGTATTTTCCTTGGGTATCTGAAATACTTTCCGCTTCTGGCTCATCAATCCAGTTAGCATGATGTCATTCATATAGTGGGCCATCATGATGCTTTGTAAATGTCAAGACAATCAGATCCCTGCATACTCTACTAAGACAGAGAGCAAAAGCATTAACATTGCCCTAGAGCAAGGCAGTCGATGTGTACTCCTGTCCTTCCCACAGAAAGGTGAGCTGCTTTTTATTCTCCTTACTGATGGGGGTTTGAAAAGAACTTATTTGCCAGCTCAATAGCCACAGTCCTAGAGCCTGAGGCTGTGTTTATTTCTTTCAGTAAAGATACTATATCTGGCATAGCGGTTGCAACTGAGGCTATCATTTGGCTTAGTTTAAGGTAGTTCACCATCATCTACTATATCTATTTCGTTTTTGCGGAAGCCATGTAGATGAATTGAATACAGAGATGTGATGAGGACCATCACACTTGCACTCTTTCCATCTTTGAGGAAGCCACTAGTATTTGCCATTTCACCCAGGAGGCAGAATGGATTCTAATTTGCTGTCTTCACCGGGGTGAGGGGCTGTTTCTTGGACTTCCACTCACCCTTTGTGCTTTAATAGCCCTTTCTCCATAGACCCGGAAATGAATGAGACGTCCTGTCAGCTGCTAGAAATAATTATATACTTGACAACTGACAGAATAACTAGAGGGTAGGTCTGTGGATACAATGGACCCACTGTGAGAGAATTTGGGCCAGGGCATCACATGACCTTCCCCATCCCCACTCTAACTGGGAGGGTGGGGGCCACAGTGGCATGCTGGGTCCCTTATCATCAGTTTTAGCCTAGAACTCATATCTAAGAGTGCACACATACAATTATTCTGGGAAGTAGCCACAGATCCCTTTGGGAAAGGACTGGAAGAATATTGATTTCTCTCAAGGAAGCAATAGGTCCTGGGTCTGTGAACTGACTTAACTCTGGAAACTGTAGGAGGAACAGTGATTTTCTGTTGCAGCAGTTAACATTGACCTTTGCTCATCAGAACTCCACTTTTTCTGTTTTGAAGTCAGATTACACCCTAGCCAGCTACCCATTTATCTTACCCCCCGCAGGAATACTATGGCCTAATGGGCATTACCGTCAATCTCTGAAGCCATGTGTGCCTGTTATGTTAACACATCTTTCTCGTCTCTGACCAAAGGGATTCTTGCTTTGTGGGAATCCTGTCACATCAATTTACTAGAGAGCCTAGTTCTATGCAGCATTTTCTAGTGTCAGTCCAGGCCAATGGAAGACAGTGGCCACTGAGCTTCTTAAAAGTGCTAATGCCTCTGTCATCAGTGGATTTTTATTGCCTTAGTAAAGAAGCCTCTTTCACGTGTTTCCAGGGATGCTGTCACACACGTGGTGGGCTCTCTGGTCTCAGTGAGTCCTTCTTACATTTCCACCTTCCTGGCTCTCCTGACTCTTCCTCTATATGCTGCCAAGGCAGACCCAGTGTCTCAACTTCATTTGCTGAAGGCTATCGTTGAGTGAAAGCTTGGAGGAGCCATTCCAGCAGTAAGTACAACTGGCTCTACCTGAGTTTAGCAGGATATTAAACCCCGAGTCAGGGGAGAGTGCCTCTACATCAATTAAACTCTCCCAACACAGCTTTATATTCTCCTTGTCACCTTTCCCTGCCCCAAACCTTTGAGATACTGGGGCATTTGCTCCCTAGTTTCTATAGGTACATATTAGCCTGTTCTTGAAATTCTTTGAGTTATGTGGACTATTTCTTCCCAAAGTAAGGACTCTATATCCCTGTTCTGTTCAAACTGAAGCCAGACCCTGGTTGTTGATCTGGAGGCAATGAGGGAAGACGGGGGCAGATCTTGGAGAGGACAAGAATCATCCTGCAAAGTTTTGTGTCAAGGGTTGGCCAACTATACAGCCCAAGGACCAAATCTGGCCCACCACCTGTTTTTCTAAATAAAGTTTTATTGGAACACTTCCATGCTCATTTGTTTATGTATTGCCTAGAGCTGCTTTCAGACTAAAACAACAAAGCTGACAAGTTGTGATAGGGGCTGTATGGTCTGCAAAGTCTAAAACATTTTTTACCTGACCCCTGACAGGAAACGTTTGCTCACGCCTGCTTTGCCCGAGAGCCAATGGGTAGTGGTCCATTGAGGATTTATGCTATCTGTCTAAGAAAACTTACAAAGAAGAGAGGAATTCGGTGGGCAAGGAAGTGGGGCATGCTCTGGTAGAGAACCAGATTGGTTTTTGTTCAGCCTTGCAGCGCAGCCATTTACTAACTGTGAGATTTTGCGCAAGTCATTCAGAGTACTAGTTCCTACCCTTCCTGCTTTACAAAGTCGTTGGAAAGATCAAATAAGACAATGGACATAAAACCACCTGGCAAACTGTAATGTGCTATAAAAATGGGAGGTATAATTGTTCAGTCCTCAATATCCTGACCTTCCAACCCACAGCAAGGAAAACATTCTTCATCTGTAAGAATGTAAGAATGTTTGTGTGTGAAATCCCTCTCTGCTCACATCACTCTACAGAGATCTTCCTTATGCAGGTTTGGTTTGCAGGCCCTGCTTAGAGGGCTGGAACACCCAGTTCCCTTTGCCAGGCTAGGTTGCACCTTCTGCTTCTGCCAGTCGCAGTTCCTCCCATCGGACGTATGAGTCACCCATAGGCTTTTCAGAGACCTATAGCATCTATGATCTGAGTGCTGAGTTGCAGTTTTGAGCTTAAGACACTGACTCCCGAGGTGGTCGGAGCCATAGGGCATCTGCAAGGAAGTGATATTTAAAGCTGTAAGAGGTATTTTAATGACATCATTTGAAGGAGAAAAGAGAAGTCAGCCCCAGAGAGAAACTTCAGGGATGCCTAAATGTGAGTGAGAGGAGGAAAGAATTGAGCCACGGAGACAGAGAAGGAGTGGGAAGAGAGGTGTGGGGAGAACTCAGAGAGAATGGCCCCTGGAAGCCAGAAACCCAGGGTCCAGATCTGGGATGGTCAATTCTGTGCTGTGTGGCTTTGCATAAATCACTTGACCTCTCTAGGGTTTCATTTTTCTCACCTTTAAAATGCAAGTGGTGAGAATTCCTGCCTCCCAGCCTTGTGCGATTCAAAAGAGGAAGGGCATAGAAGTACCACATGAAGTATTTTAAAGGTATAGCATCTTTCCCAGGGCAGAGAAGAAGGGCCCACGGCTTCTCTGTATTCACATTTTTATCTCACTGTGAATCTCTCTTTTGGTCTCTGTAATTACATTGTCCTAATACAACTTAAATTAGAAAGATACAAGAAAACTTGACTCAATATAGATTTCTTTGTTAATTTAAGTACAGAGCTTCTCTCAAAAGCTTGATTCCATGATTGCTTTTCTGAAGCCTAAAACCTGAAGCTTATATTCCTGAAGCCTATAACCTGCATTACTAAGAGGGCAACAAGAAGTCTTTAATGCCTGGCAACACATTTCCAACTGCAGGATGCATCCTATAAGGACAGGTCGAGGAGTTACAGTCTGCAAGTGCAGAGAGAGACTTTTCTTGATGAGCAAAGGTTCATTTGAGGCACTACTTTGGAACACTCCTTCTCAGTTCAATTTGGCACTTTCAGATATTCAGTGCCAATCTTCCAACCAAAGGATGTCCTCACAAATTTCTATAGATAAAACCATTATAGGAAATCAATGCGCTCCTGCATTTTCCAGTATAACACAGCCACAATGCCCCAGATATAGGCAGGGGAACCAAGAGGTAATGATTGGAGGTGGGGCAAGGGAGGACCCGTATTCCATTTGCAAAGTCACAAACACTGCTCAGAGTTCATGCAAATGGGCCCGCTAACATTAATTTGCTGGACAATTGTTTCCCAGTGTGAGCCTTAATTTCTTCATGTGTAAAATAAGGTCGTTGGAATAGATTTCTTATACATCTCTTTTAAAAAGAATATTCTGTGTTCTTTATTGACCATTCAACCAAATAAAAGCACTTTGTCTGAATGTTTTCCTCAGCCTTCTGCTCTTATTAGAAAGTTTTGGTTCGTATTGTAAGAAAAGAATGCCTTTGGTTTGCCTGGAGCCGAGTGACAGCTATGTATTATGGGTGAAATTTTGTTAATAGTGAAGAGGCCAAGGTTCTAGTTTGGCTGCAGCAAACAACTTGCCATGTGACTGTAGATTAATCATTTTGCTGTTCTGAGCCCAATTTTCCTGAACTGTAAAATAAGCTAGAGGATACAGAAGAAATTGGTAACCTTAGTTGCCCCTGTAGAGGGGTAAACTAATACCCGAAGATCCATTTTAGGAAATTTTGTGCTGAGTTTAGATAAGAGGTATACTAGATTGGATTGGTACTTTTCACTACACCCTATGCTCCTTTCATACCCGATGAATTTTACGCCGCACACATATGCCACCTATTCATTAAGTAAATAATTGTTTAAAATGAAAAATAAGTTCATAGGCCTGGGAGGTTTATATATTTCCTTCCAGAAACATAGCCCATAATTCTATATGCTTAGAATGGTTTATAGTGTTCCCTTTCTTTATCAGCCTCATGGTTAAATAAACAAGACATTAAATATTATAGATTCATAGAAAACTAGGTAAAATGACAAAGCAACCCATTCTAATTCAGGATATTAATAATTGTGAAAAGACCCAATTTTTCCCATCGGAATGAAGCATCTGTTCCTTATTACTGACAGTATAGGAGAGGGTGACGCTGTCATCTAATTGCATCTTCCTAATTGGGGAGAGCACTTGGAGGGGCAGCTGTGATGTGGCCAGCAAAAGAGCACAACTATCACAAAGGCAGCCAGCATGCCAGACAGGATGTTCACTGCAACTGGATGAAAATTGGTTTAGGTAATACAGTAAATTCCATCACCAGCTTAATTTAACAGGAAATGACTGCTATTGGGGACCTACAAAATATTCCTTGAAGATTTCCCATAGGTGTTTAAGCTTTAAATTGTGGAAAAAAATAAGATACATGTGAAATATATATATGTGTATATGTGTGTGTGTATATATATATATATATACATTCTCGTAGATGCATGTATATGAATAACAGCCCAGGATAAAGGAAAAATAAAATTATGAAAGTTGGCAGCAACCTCTCAGAAGCAATGATTTGCAAGTGCTTCAATCTAAATTATAATTTCCCAAGTCTATCACAATACATTTCCAGAAACATGTCCTGCCTTTTTAATGAAAATATATTGACAGGAATGTCACATCTATACGATAGTGTTTTATGTGTCTTTTGACCCCTGATGTCAAAGCATTCTCTTTATATTTGTCTTACTGATTTGTAACCCGAGAACAAGAAACATGCTGGTTGCTCATAATTAGCAATAGCAAAGAAATTTTCAGAATTCCAGAACTGATCATTTTATTTAATCACTTAAGGTATGCGGGAAGAAATAGTTGCAGAGATATTAGGTAACTCACCCGGGGTCACACAGGCATCCAGGGGAAAAACAGGAACTAGAGCCTGTTCAATTTATCTTGTGGTTCCCAAGAGCTCCCCATTTCTGGCAGGTGAATGTGTAAACTTTCTGGCTAGGGGAGGATAATTAGAGCCAGCAATAAAGGTAAATTCTTCCACAAAGGGGCTAGGCAATCAACAGAACTAGAGAATGCAAATGGAGGGCTTTATCCTGGGCAGTTCATGGTTCCACATTTCATCCTTTAAATCTTTTTATCTTTTTGAACAATGAAGAGATTCAGAGGAGCTTATTGGAAGGAGGTGGACAAGATGGTCGACTATATGCAGCCAGGCGGAACACCTGCCACCGAGGGACTGGGACGACTGGCACCCTCCTAACAGATTTTCAGCGGGGAGGCACTGAGAGTGGATGGAGGGAAGACACAGAAGCTACGCTGAAGTGGGAGGAAGCTGCTGCACAGAGCTACCATGCACTGGGACTAGCTCCTGGTCCCCAGTGACTCCAGGGGAACAGGTGAGTTAAACTGGCAAGGAACAACCTGCTCTCACCACAGGCCTCTGGAATCCCGGCAGGAGGAGACTCCTTGACCACCACAGACACTTGAGCTGGCAGGGAGAGTTGCTTGGAGAAGTGGTAGGGGCAGCACTTCAGCCTGGGTGGAGCCCAGAGGGTTTGGTGTGGGAGCATTTGCAATAAAGCATAGCCAGGGACAGCCATCCCTCTAGGCTCGACTTGCTCCCATGGCAGACTTTAACCCTAGGGGGACTGTTGAAACTAAATTCTTCAGGGTGGTCTTGCCTGTCAGATGAGGCCAGTTCAATAACCTGAGCACCCCTTGGTTTTCTGGTCTCTCCTGGAGCCCCAGACTGGCCGTGCCTGCTTGCAGTGCAGCCTTGGGTAGCCCTGGGGGCCCGCATCACAGCTCCTGTGCTGGCAAACCACACCATGTTTGCCAGTGCAGTAGCTGTGATGCGGGCCCCCAGGGCTACCCAAAGCAGAAAGCTCCAGCACAGCAGCCCCTATGGACATGCACCAGCCCAGCCACTTCCTTCCTCTACTGCAGTTTCCGCTGGGCCCATGGCCATCCCCCCCAATCACTGCTGGTGCACATGTGAGCAGGCAGATCTTGCCTTCTCTGCCCTGCCAGTGTGCATGTGTGCATGTGCCCTGCCCTGCCACTGCTGCTGGCATGAGTGAACTCAGCCTCCTCCTCCCCACACCATGCCATCATTGCAGTCAAAGCCTTGGCAGGCACAGAGTCCACCAGCCTCACCTTCACCAGTGCCTTGCCCCTGCACTAACACTGCTGCTGGAGTGAAACTAGGCAGGGAGAACAGTGGACTTACCACACCCTGAGCAGCCACCCTTGCCTGCAAAAACTCAGACAGAGGGTGCACGCAGACCAGCACCTGCCAGTCTCCCGCTCCCATGCTAACACCACTACCAGCGGGACAGCATGCGAAGTTGCCATTGGGCGTGAGGGGCCCACCTTCCCATGTCATGCTGCCTCCACTGCTGCTGCCAATGCCCACATGGAGGCTGGCACCTGGGCACCCCCTAGCACCCTGCCATAGCCAATGAGCATGCACCCTGCTGCGCTGCCACTGCCACTACCACTGGCACATGTGAATGAGGACAGATTCCACTGCCACTGCCCTACAAAATGCTTTGGCTGGCACCACCCATTGGAGTGTTGTGACCAGCAGTCAGGGAGCACCTTGGCTGCACCCAGCACAGTGGGTTCCTAACCTTGAGGAGCCAGAGAACGAAGTTGGGCCTGATACCAATCCCCTAGGGTTAGGGTATGCAGTCTAGGAGTTGGAAGCCTAGCTTTGGCTCCCTGAAATTTTCCAGAAATGAAGCCAGTCATTTGAACTCATCTTATAACACAAGCAAACCCTCAAGGTCATCAAATAGGATACAAGAGAAAAAAAAACCATCCCAAGGACAGCAACTTCAAAGACTGAAGGAACATCAGTCTGCAAACATGAGAAAGACCCAGAGCAAGAACTCTGAAAACACAAAAAACTAGAGTACCTTCTTTCTCCAAATGACCACACTAGCTCTCCAGCCAGGGTTCTGAACCCGCACATGTACCCCTAAACTTAAAAGATTTTTAAAAAAGAGATTCAGAGAAGGACTGTAGCTGTGGACCCAAGCTCCCTTCAAAGCACTGGCAGGTCAATCGTTTGCAACGCAGACAGCTGTATGTAGAGCTCTGTGATCCACCCAATTATTGGCTCATCAAGGAGTGTGCCACATGCCAGATGCTCTGCAGAACCCAACAGAGGGGTTGCTCCTCCATGGAAACAACAAGAAGCTTTGATCAAAGAGCCTGTATTGACTCCTTCAGTGAAATTCTTGACTGAAATAATCACCTTCTTAAAATACACACATGGTGAGGTTTGAAGAGGGGAAATTGCCATCCAGGTAAGAAACCTTGGCCTTGTCCCAATTTAGTAGTGCTGAAGGTGTGTTCATTTGAACATAGATCATGTGCTAGGTACTGGGAGGATACAGGAATGAGCATGGGAATAAACTTTACATAGCTCTTGTTCAAGCAGGAACTTTACAATCTAGTTAGAATAAAGAATTATCTGTGAGTCCTGGTTGGACAGTGTGTATCCCAGCACTATCTAGGGGTAAGGATGCCTTCATACCAACCTCGTCATGACTGTGCTAAGTGGCAGGTCTGATTTGGTTATAGAACTGGATACATCAGACAGTTTTAACTTTATGCTATTAAATATTTGAACATATCACTGTGCACTATGATGGATATTAATTGTTTATGGCTGTCTAGCACCTATTCCACCTTCTACTGAAAATGGCAGCCAGCTTTTACTTCTCTTCTATGGGATACTGTCTAGGGGGAGGTGGGGTATGTATTTAATTAGATCTTGCCTTTGTCTAGTTGTGAAATAGGACACACTAGGCTACTGATACACCCATTCCCTGAATGTTAATGATATGGAAAGAAGCAAAGGGACTGAAAATGTGGGATGCCTGCATTTGTTGCTGTCAGATATTTGTTATGTGCTGTGCTGGGGTTTCCTGCCTTTCTTTCTCTCCTGGAAGCAACACTACATCCTTCCTATAACTTCTCTTTCAATTCAAGATAGCCAGTTTCAGATTCTGTGAGTGCACACAAAGAGCCCTAATATATAGGTTAAGATCCCTGTGCACTGAATTCCTCCTACCAAGCAACCTTCTACTTACATGCATGTTTTCAATCTTTCTATTCCCATGAACATGGCACACAAAAAATTCTCAATGATTTTTGTGGAACAAATGAATGAGTAAACCACAAGTACAGAAAAGTAGTGATGTGTCAGGATATGTGATGTAGTCATGGTTGAAACTATGAAGAGGACAGAAAGCTGTAGGTAAGAGGCAAACCGGGGGAGAAGCTAAGGTGGAAGTGTAGCTGGAGCTGAGTTTTGATGGCTAAATATGGTTTGAATGGATGGACAGGGAGGTTGAGGTATGGAGATAAGAATGAGGATGGTATAGCTAAAAAGAAGGCAGTTTTAGCGTGGTTGGAGATGTAGGTGACCTCCTTGGAACAGTCACCTGAATTTCATAAATAATTATTGAGAAGGTATTGTGTGCTTGTAATGTGCCTAGAGGGGCACTTGGGTTCAGAGATGAGTAAGACCCGATCAAATTGGGGTGGGATGGGGGAATTAACCTGGAGCATGCAGATAATTATAGCTCAAGGCATAATGCAGTGAGCACTCCAAGACGGGTACAAACCAGCACCCTTAGGTCCTCAAGGGGTTTGGATCTTGAGCATGTCTAATCTGTGATAAAATGCAGAGCTTTCCAGCAAGGTTAAGAAAAGACAGTCACAAATTTTAACAATGGGCCTGTGTTCAGCGACCATAGGTTGAATCTTTGAGGTTGTCCATGTCAAGATAAGGAATAAACAGTGATGCTGTGTTGGGTTCCTCATGCAGATGTGGGAAACCCAGTGAGGTGTCAGGATAAGTTTCACATGGGGGAAAGCCCTACAGGCCTCCAGGGTGAGGGGCCCTGCCAAGTAGGACAGAGTGGGAAAGCACAGGGTGCTCATGGGGAACCAAGAGTTGCTGTTAGTCTGGAATAGGGACAGGCACACCCAGAGACTGATAGGCACCTACTGAAAGGTCGTGACTCCAGGGCTGAGGGGTCCTGCATTTAACAATGTCAGCCACAGGGAGCCACAGGTCAGTGGCTGGATGAGACCATATGTCATTTCTAATAAGTCAATAAATGTGCCTTCTCAATATCCTCCAAAGCACGAAGGAGCTACAGATTACCCAACTTGGGCCTTTTAATCTTATTTGCAATTTCTTGATCGTATCTGTTAATCTGATATCAGGAGGGTATTATTATTTTTCTGCCAAGGGTGGCTGAATTCTTTTGAAGTTGCAGACCAAAATCGGTAGTAGTTGCGGTAAAACCTTTGCACTGTGGACCTAGTTTTGGGAAATTACGTGATGAATTTGGATGAGGGCTCTACTTGATTGGATTGTGAACAGAGGCAACTTACAGAGGGTGCATTCAGGCCAGGTTCCTTAGGGCTGGCTGGATCTTTCCCTCTACATCACTCTAGGGGCTCACGTCTGAGTGTGTCAAAGCCATAACAAAAGCAGCACTCCCAGAAAAGGTCAAGAAGCATGAAACAGAAATTTTAATTACAGGCCTGTATGCTGAGAACATAGAGACCTGGAGATAGCTCAGGGGTTTAACAAACAAAATTCCCATGGTGTGGCAGGAAAACTTATTTGTGTGTGTTTAGTAAGGCAATACTTTTAAAAAATTATAGAAAAAATCATCAACTATTACTTTCCCTTCTGCTCCATACCTTCCAATTCTTGTTCATATGCCAAGGTAGATATTTTCTTTGTTGCAATGGTAATACACAGTATATGATTCCTTTGAAGTTTTTGTTCACATAGCGTATCTTAAATTTGTTTCTCTTTCAGATATTAATTTCATTTTAGTGGTCGAGGAACACATCATCTTAGTGAATATAGCATACTTTTCAAAATTCTTTTCTTAACACCGGAAACTTGTTTCTATCATAGCCAAAGCTGCCACAGACACCACTATGGACAGCTTTCAGAAAATGTCTCTCTTGGCTTCCTATTCTGCCTTTTTATAAATCAGTCTTAAAGTTATCAGTTCAGCCCTGAATTGGCAGCTGGTATGGAAATTTCTTGCCTGGCACATCTGGAAAGGAGGGGCTTGTTTGTGATCGAACAGATTTCTTGGCCAAAAATATTGGCCAGCCAGGATCCACTGCCCATTATGAGAAATTCCTAGCTTGCCAGCAATGTGATCTCTTTCCAGGGGTCGTAAGTCTCATCTTACCAGGACAGAACCACTTCATTAATAATGGCAATCCAGTCTGATGGGGCCATTTTCTTCAGCTTCATGGTAGTGTAGAGATCTTCAAACATCTTGTGGAGTTTGATCTCTTCAAGGCAAATACAGGGCTGAGGGGGAAACTCATTATGCAAATAATCTGAGCTATTGAAGGGCGTTAGAATAGCAAACGGGAAAAGTGAGACTAAATCTAACAATCGACCCCTGAATCTGAGTGCCACAAATTCACAGCAGTCAGCGAGGCAGGCCGAGATCATGGTGGCTGGCTGAGGAACACCGTGGTTCTACCTTCTTAGCTTGCAAGAATACCCAGTCTCTAGGACCATTGACTCCCAATCAGCATATGGTAAAAGAGGCCATTAGTGTCCATTGTGACCTCTGCTCCTCCTCTCAGCATCCTCACTACATCCATTTGGACACAGGGGAGGCCTTGACACCAGCTGACAATGAGCCCTTTCCTCAGGGCTCTGGAAAATCTCTACCTTCCCAGGGATTTGTGAAGTTTTCTTTTAGGCAGACAGCTGCCAGGCGTCACATGTGCAACACAGGTACCGTGAGCTCACCTGACTTTGTCCACCCACAGAGAGGGCCAGCAGGCTCCAACACAAGCAGGTACTCTGTCCAAGTTCACTTCTTGGCAGGAGGCTGCTTTCATCTTCTCTGCCCACTCAGACATAGGGATTTGAGTTGCAAATATTGCCAGGTTCACATAGTTCAATTACACCTCCTTAACAATCACAAGAATGTAGAATACACAGTTTAGGAAGCTGTTAATGTAAGCATCTGTCTATTAAATTGCAGATAGTTCCAGGCATCACTGCAGGATGAGTCTTATTAACCAAGGTTAATAATCCTTTCTAATCAGCACAGTATTTCTCCACTAGCGGTGGGCTTAGAAATCATCTATGGCACTTGTAAAATATGTGGATCCCGAAGACGGGCTTCTCCTCCAAAGCTGCAGGTCTTCCTGCTGAAATGGCTTGTTAGTGTCTGACTTTGTGTGGTAAATGGTACCTGAAAGGGCTTCCTCCTTCATTAATTGGAGATCTCCTCCCTGGCCATCTCCTGTGTCTTCCATCAGCTTCCCTGCATCCTTTTTATGAGGCTGCAGCAGCTGTGGTTAGAAATCATCTGTTTGCTGCTGCAGAACCAGAGTTTCTCTGTTTTACTGTTTGATCCCCTCTGCAGTGTGGGCTCTTCGCTCTTCCATCTTTAAAAGTATGGAGCAAACGCACACAGCAGGGCCAAAGGGAAAGCAGCCAGGCTTAGAGCCATCAAGAGGCCTGACCATCAGGCTATTTGGTTTAATGCTGTGGATTAAAAGTTGGTTCCTGGTAGATACAAAAGCACATGTTGGAAATGCCTGCAGAGACTTGAAAAATAGCTGCTTCTTAAGGATTTTGAACACGGGCTTGGCCGTGCTGTTGACACTGTTTATCTGCACTTTCCATGAAGCCACGATTTTACGAAGCGAAGATAAACTTTGGTCCAGTTACGGAATTATCATACATTCTAAATGAGTGTCATCCAAGTTAATGACAAGTAAAACTGTAATGCGGAGTGCAAATGCAAGGACTGGGAAAAGGTAGAATTAATCACGTGATTCTCCTTGGAGATAAAGGATGGGAAGGCTGTCAGTTGTTTATGGGAATCCCAGCAGAAAGCCCCACTCCTTTGATCACACACAGCTGCATTTAAGGCAGAAATGTGGAATTGCAGACTAGAGAGAAATTTAAAGATCATCTTGCCCAGATCTTCCATTTATAGGTAAAAAAATGAAATCAGAGAGGTGAAATGTTTGTTCAAAGTCACAGAGCAAAGCTATTAAGAGCTAAAAATAGAAGTTATTTAAGTAAGATGTTTAGGTGTAAACTGTCTTTTAAAAACACCGCTGTGAAGATTGATTTAGTGGCATTAGCATGGTTTCGCAGTCCCCTGCACCCACTCTGCCTATCCACAAACTCCATAGAAATGATATAAAATAATGTTTTGTAAGCTATTCACCCTTGGAAACCACATTGGGTACTCTCAGTGTTGAATCTGTGATGGGTCCTTGAAAGATGACAGCAGAAAGCCACCAAGGAAAGCCCTAAGATAGCAGAGGGAAGGACAGCTGGGGACACCATAAGTGAACAATTTGGGACAGAGAAATGGGGATAACATTGAGGATGCTCTTTGTCAAAAGGTGGCAAAAGCTGGGGGCAGGAGGGAGCCCGAGATTAGCAGCAGGAATGCTGTTTTCCTCCAGCCGGAAGAGTGGGTATAGATGCTTGGACTGGAAAGGACAGGCAGGGCCCTGGGAGAAAAGGGGACACTAATGCCCAGATGGACAGCTGCCCTAGGAGCCCAGCCAGCTGGCCTCACTCCATGAGCGCAGTGCATTCTGCAGGGGTGATTCCTTCATCTTCTCCCAGCCCAGCAGGAGATCCACTAACTGAGTCTTGGCTAAGAAAACGAGCCTGCAATTAAAGGCAGCAAACATTTGCAGAGAGCAAACCCCATGTAAATGAGTCAATTCATCCAAACAAAGGAAGAGTTTAATTCTAAAGGAACACATCGACCCTACTGGGACTTCAGATATAATGTGATGGGTGTTGGTTCATGCCTCGGCCATAGGCTACCCTTCTTAGCTATTGTGGGGATGGGGAGCGGTGGCATGGTGAGAGGGCAAGACCTCGCAGGAAAAGGGATAGCAGGGAAGCTGGGAGGCAGAGTATTTCCTGCCCCGGGATTATTCTCAGACTGAGCTGATAAGGTGGGAACTAACTAATCAGGGGAGCCCTGGAATAGTTTCTGGTGTCCTGGAACTCTCAGAAGCCTCATGACTCAAGATAGTCTCCACTGATATTTAAACTGAAGTGGACCACCACCAGTGTCAGATGGTGCCAGACTTCAAGTGGGATCTGAATGGGCTTGGACTTTGCAGTTGCTGCCTGTGACTGTCCACTGGCCAGCTGCGTGGGTGTCCCCCAGCATGCCCTCTAGAGATACCAGGTTTCTTTTTCTATCTAGAAATGACTGCAAGTGGAAGCTGGTAACATGTAACCCTTTATGAAGAGGGGACTTTGCTGTCTATGTGCAACAGCTTCATGTCCTCTCTCCCTCCCCCAGACAGCACATAGTTAGGACAGAAGAAAGATATTTTATAACTAAGAAGATCTTGGAAATGAAAACATGAATGCTAAAATAAAATGTTCAATAAACGAGCTGAATAGAATGACTAGAATCAAAGAGTAAATTAATAAAATATATGACTGAACTGAGGCATTCTCTCAAATCATGGTTTAAGAGAGAAAAAATACATAGCATAAAGGGAATGTTCGGAGACATGCAGGATGAATCCAAAGGCCCCCAAATCTACTTAATAACAATTTTAGAAGAAGAGAATAGAAAGAATGGTGGTGAGAAGAATACAAGATCTGAGAAAAAAAAGCTTAATTGTCTACAACCATAGAAAAGATTGAACAGGCCTACTGTTTACCAACTAGGGTGAATTAAAAAACAAACCAACAAACAACACCTGAACAAATTGTAGTGAAATTTTAAAACATCAAAGACAAAGAAAATTCTTTAAAATTCCAGAGAATAAAGATAGACTATTATGTATGAATGAAAATCAAATTTGTCTCAGTAACACTAGGTGGAAGAAGACAATGAGGAAAAATCTTTAAGATGCTGAGGGAGGGAAGAAGAAAACTTTTGATGCTTGAATGTTATATCCATTAGATTATCATTCTACAGGGAGAACTTAATATACACATTTTTAATAAGGACTCAGGTAATTTGCCTACATCATTAGGCAATGTGGGTGTTTTATCGAGCAGTGATTCTCAGACTAACTGATGTGAAATACCAGTATTTTAAAAAATGTCCAATTTACTCAAATCAATACTTTTATACAGTAAAATAAGAATAAATTTTTGGAAAAATAATTACAGGAATTACAAATTATCGCAAAAGTAATTCAGCTGTAGGCTTGGGGGAAACTTGGTGGTCCCTCTAGAGATACCAGGCTTCTTTTTTATCTAGAAATGACTGCAAGTGGAAGCTGGTAATATGTGGGCACTTTGTAAATTCATATTGAGTAAATGAATGAAATTGTGACTTCCTGAGAATTGAAACTTGGTTTCCTAACCCTAATTGATATGAGGCGAATTGCTCTATGGTGGTGTACAAACTCACCTGAAAAGGACTTTTATAGACAAATCTTCATGACCTGTTCTTGCCCCAGTTCATCACCTCTTTTACACCAAAAGGCCTACAGGGTGTGGTCACTGTTTCTTTTGGGTCATTTTGGGGTGGAAATGGTGGATGTAATGAAGCCAATAATTCAGGACTTAATTCCTTTCATGTTGTGGTTTTTTGCTCTTGCACTAGAGTACGAAATAGCTTCCAGGAGCTCCAGCTCTAAGCTTGAAAGAGTCTGTATGATTGTAATCACATGGTGACGATACTCAGAATCTACATTGGACTTCTGTTGTATTCTCATCACTCAGTTTATCTTTTAGCAGTTTAATAGGTACACTTCAGGGTCTTCCATTTTGTGTGGAATTAAATCCTCCTCTTCAAATGCTGTAAATAACATCAGTTAAAATAAAACTTGAATAAAATATTGGAAAAAAGTAATGCAGTAAAAAAATTACAGTAACAAAATAGACACACAAAAATATAAGCCAGCATTGTTTATTATTAAATTCAACATACATAAAATTACTCTGTCAAAGTGCTATGAAAGTTTCTGAATACTTACCCTGATTTGTGAATTTCTGCTATTGTGGGCAGGTAGCAGTTTGTGGGTCAGCACCAGCCTAGGATGATGATAGTGACCTCCTTATGGAGGGCACAGTGACCTGCCTGAAGATCTATCCAGAGTGAGCAGCAAAGGAAGGACTTGATCTCAGGTCTTCTCCCTCCAGGTCCAGGAGGTTTTTGATCCTCCTGCATCTTTGCCACTGCACCTACCTGAAACCTGTCTCTCTCCCTTCAGCCACAGCAGGAAGGTGTCCCTGAGGTGGGCAGTAGATCTCTCTAGACACAGCAGTCAAGCTCCAATTGAACACCTCTTGGATTTGAATGAAGTTCTAGGGTAAAGGGATGAAGAGGTCATGCCACCTCCCCCTACTCTTAGAAATGGTCTCCAAAGGGGCAAAAGCAGTTCAGAATCCATCTTTGATGAAACATGGAGTAAGTGAATGAGGGAGGGGCTTCCAAAGGCAGTGAAAGCCATATGAATGCTAGGGGTAAAGGAAGACACCAGAGGGGACACCTGCCCACCTGCCTGTACAAATCCCAGGCAAAGCGAGCACTTCTCCAGGGAAGGCAACATATCCTCAGGCCAAAACCCGGAAATGCCTTGTTTAGAGGAAAGGGAAAAGGGTGGGTCGCCTGGTGGTGGGAACTTGCCTGAAGCTAGTTTGACGTGGAGAGAAATAGTGGGAGTTTGAGTGGATGGAGACACATTGTATATGCAGTCAGCAGCCTGTTGTCAAGGTGGGGTAAGGAGAGAGACTGCACTATGAGCAGCCGGCAGGAGCTGGCCTCTGCAAAGGAAAGGAACTAAGTGAATGCTGAAACAGCCCCCATCCCCAGTGTCTCACCTCATATGACCTTGTGAACAGAGAGGGGGTCTGCCAACCTCCAGTGAGGCCCCAGCCCTCATCCCCAAACCTTCAGTGAATAACTTTTCTCAAGGAGTAAGTTCTTATTTGTTCACAGTCAGGAGGCACCACTGTAAAACATCCCTTCTGAGTTAAAGGCTTCAGATATGCAGGCCAGGCGTGGTGGCTCACGCCTGTAATCCCAGCACTTTGGGAGGCCGAGGTAGGTGGATCACCTGAGTTGGGAGTTCGAGACCAACCTGGCCAACGTGGTGAAACCCCGTCTCTACTAAAAATACAAAAAATTAGGCGTGGTGATGGGCACCTGTAATCCCAGCTACTAGGGAGGTTGAGGCAGGAGAATCACTTGAACCCGGGAGGTGGAGGTTGCAGTGAGTCAAGATTAAGCCACTGCACTCTAGCCTGGGCAACGAGAGTGAAACTCTGTCTCCAAAAAAAAAAAAAAGGGTTTCAGATATGCAGAGACAATATCACTCAGAAATGAATAACAAGATCAGAAAGAGAGGAATGGAAAAGAAAAAAAAACAAATGGCAAATGAAGAACATTCACTGGAAAAATGTTGCCACAAAATTGTGCCAAGTAGATGCCACAGTTCAAAAAGTGTAATGAAGCTGCCACTTGTATATAACTAAAGCTTAAAGGGCAGATAAGAGAGAAGGTGAGGGAAGTTTGGCCAGACCACAGAAGAAGGTAAAACATGGGCAGGTAGAACAAGAGGAAATAAAACCATTGCAGAACTGAAGTCTCAGTTGGAGGAGAGTGTATATTGGTGTAACCTCAAGGGAAGGTAAAATTTCAATATTGACAAATTAAAATTTCATATGCCCTTTGATTCAGCAGTTCCACTTTTAAGGATTTATCCTACAGGCATTTCCTTGCAAATGTGTGAAATAATATGTTCAAGTCTGTTAATTGTATTGACATTTATAACAGCAAAACTTTTGAAATGACCTATATATTCCCTTATAGAGACTCATTAAATAAATTATGGTTATCTCTACAATGGAGTATTATGCAACCATAAAACATAAGATAACTGCATGTGACTCTATATGTATCTCAAAATAAAAAGCTTAATTAAAAAATAATAAGGCAGCCTTATAAATACTGTTAGAGTAATCTCTAAAATATTATGTTGATGGTGAAACAAATTAACATGTAAGATAATGTGTATAGAATGTTAGCATTGTATAAAAAAATAACAGACTATGCTGACCTTCTTTTATTTCCTTAGTCTATCTCTGGAGGGACATATAAGAAACTGGTAAAGCAGTTGTCTCTGGACAAGGAAACTAGCTGGTTTCTTTTGAGTGTTGTAACATTTTATACCATTGTATTATTACCTATTCAAAACAATAAATTAAACAATTTATTTAACAATAACCGACACTCCTATGGCTCCTCTATGGCCCACCCTCTTCAGTGTCCCCACACCATCCTGCACTCCCTGGTCACCCTGAGTTATAAGGACTTTCTTGGCATCTGCCTTTCCCAGTGGACAGTGAGACTTTTGAGGGCAGGGACTATGTGTCACTCATCTCAGAATGGTATAAACATTCAACACGTAGGTTCTAGAATTAGGCTGCCTGGGCTGAAATCCCTGCTCCAGCTCTTCTTATCTTTGTAACCTTAGGGAAATAACTAAACCTTTCATTGCCTCAATTTTTCATCCATAAAGTGGGAATAATGGCATGACCTGCCTTATAGGATTTTTGTAAGGATTAAGTAAGATAAGTCTCAGAACACATACCTGGCATGTAACAAATTCTAGATAATTGTTAGCTTCTGTTGACATCTCTGCATTCAGATGCAGCTAACAGAGGGCCTGACATATTGGTAGCACTGGTGTTTTCACAGAATGAATAAAATGCATGCCACCCTGTGATCTGGTGCTAACAGAGCTATCTTTCTTCTGCTTAGCTGGTAGATAATTTTGGATGATTCAAGCTGTCTACCAACCTAACATCCCTGACATCATGAAGGAGGTGGTTATTTCAGTGGAAACCTGGAGGCATGCCCATCAATGCCGACCCTAAAAATATTTTTGTTTATCTCAGTGATCCAGATAACTCCATGGAAATAATGGGACTCTCAGAATGAGGCTTAGTTACCAGACATTCAGATAGAGAGACCAGGCTTTATCTGATCACAAAATAGCACCTGAAGCACCAGCAATCCCTTAAGTACCCTTTTCGATTGAGTTTCCTTTCGTTGAACTTTCCTTTTCAGGCAATATTATTTAGGTATGCTGAATTGAGATCTAATTCTTTTTGAAGTTCAGTCTAGTGGAGAAAATGTTAGAACAGCATTAGAGAACTCCCACTCTCTGAACGACGTGGTGAAGTCATTTCATTCACAGCACTGTGGCTTTCTTCTCCCATCTGTCAAGTCATGATAAAATAACAAATAAACCAAATCCCTGCTGCAGCGTGAGGATATTATAAGGTTAATGTTAAGCTTGGGCTGGGAAGTGCCCAGATAAAATTGCATGAAAGTACAGAGATGATTCTATAAACATGTGCTGAGCACCTATTATGTGCTGGGTCTTGCATTTAGTTGTGGGGACTTGAAAATGAAAGAGATTCATGCTCGGTAATTTTTACAAGAACATCGAACTCACTTGGCAAATATTTACTGAGCCCCTACTGTATTTCAGGCACTGTTTTAGTGCTTGGGATATATCAGCGACCCAAATCCACAAAAATTCATTCTTTTGCTTTCCAAGTCACTTGGATGTTATTGGATGCTTGGGTGCTGTGGAGAAGAAATAGAAGGAAGGCCTAGATACTTCTTCCCAGGATGCAAGTTTCAACACTCATGTTTCAACAAAAACAATGACATCTATAAATTATATAAGCATTAGTGTGCAATTATTGTCGTAAAAAGGAGGAGTCATGGTTCTTCTTTTGTTTGTTTGTGTTTTTTTTTTTATTTTTTTGAGACAGAGTCTCACTCTATCGTCCAGGTTAGAGTGCAGGGGCACCATCTTGGCTCACTGCAGCCTCTGCCTCTCAGGTTCAAGCTATTCCCCTACCTCCGTCCCCCAAGTAGCTGGGACTATAGTCATGCGCCAACACGCCCGACTAATTTTTGTATTTTTATTAGAGATGGGGTTTCACCATGTTGGCCAGGCTGGTCTTGAACTCCTGACTTCAGGTGATCTGCCCACCTGTCAAGGTGCTGGGATTACAGGCCTGAGCCACCGTGCCAGGCCCATGGTTCTTCTTTAACAATGTATATAACTGTCATCCCATTTGAACACTGCAAGTTAATAGGTGACTGTAAGTTAAATGGTAATGCCCAAAATATATTGATTTCCCCACTTACCCCTGTACCAGGACAGCATGTCTCATTCCTCCCTCACCTCACATGATGAAATTAGAATCTCAAACCATGGACAAAGCTCCTTTCCCCTCTCCACTGTTTCCTCCTTTATCTCTCATTCATGGCAGCTCAACCAACAAGCCTCACTCGTTTGGAGGTAAAAATTGGCAGCCAGGATGACTGGGGACTCTTCCCCAGACATCCAGGAATCCTTGAGCATTGGAGTGGCAAAGGTCTCTAGGAAACATATGGTGTAGCCTCTTCATTCGACAGCTGAGGAAACAGAAGTCCAGAGACTGCAGTGCCTTGGCCAAGGTACCAGAGCCAGACACGAGAGAGCCGGGCCTGGAACCCAAGCCTCCTGCCTCCTTGGTCAGTACACCACACTTTAGCCCCTGTGTTGTACAATAGGCCCTGTATCCTGCAGAGGAGAGGGAAGCATCAGGAAGCTCTTGTGGCCTGGTGAGTTCTGTTTCATCATGGCTGGACACTCGGAGCTGGATCTCAACGCAGCTGTCCTGTCTGGGACTTCCAGGGCATGATCATTTCCAAGAGTCAAAAGCCAATCTCTCATGCACCAGTCAGGACTCTGGGTTGCCAACATCAGACACTGACTCTGGCGTGCTTGGAGAGTGAAGGAATCTACTGAACGGATATCAGGAGCTGACAGAATCAGTGGTGGGGCCAGAGAATCAGTATCGGAAAATATGCATGCAGGAACTGAAGGAAACTGGGGGAGTTGGGGGGCTGGAATCACTGCCAAGGTCGTGCCACAGGAAGAGGCTGTTTAGGCTCTGTTGCTCCCACTACTGGACTCAGACCATTGTACCCTGGATGCCACTACCACTAGGGGTGGGACGATTTTCAGACTGTCACCAGATTCTTTCACATCGTCCCTGGCTTCAGATTCACAGCCTCAGGCAAAAGCATTGGGTTGGCCAAGCTCGGGCCACTTGCCCGTGCCCATGCTGTCAAGGTTCAGGAGAAGAGAGGCTCTTGAAATTTCACTATGGCAGCTTCCATTGAAATAGGGAGAGAATTTGGAATCTGGGCAGCCAAATAACAAAAAACGAATATCCTCTGCATCTGCCAAACAGGCCACCACAGCAGCCTCTGCTTGGAAAGGCCATTTGCAAAGCAGGAGAGTAGAATTCAGTGGAGCATGGATTAACTCAAGCTGTAGTATGCTCAGCCTGGCTCCCTGGGACCAGCCTTCTGAAGGGGACCATGGGTACTGCTATACTCACCTTCGTCTAGAGAGGCCCCTAGTCTCCAGCCTGACTCAAGGAAGCTCCTAGACAGCATAGAGATGCTCTGAACTCCAGGCCGTATTTTAGGAAATTTAGGAAGTAACCCTTTGTGAGCACTGGGCTGCATTCAGAAGAACTCAGTTCTAGTTTCAGATTCATTTATAATTCACAGCATCACTTAGAAGTTTATAATTCCTACCATTTGTCCCAGCAATCCATTATTGGGTATAGACCCAAAGGCAAATAAATAGTTCTACCATAAAGACACATGCACACGTATGTTCATTGCAGCACTATTCACAATAGCAAAGACATGAAATCAACCTAAATGCCCATCAATAGTAGACTGGATAAAAAAATGTGGTACATATGCACCATGGAATACTATGCAGCCATGAAAAAACAAGATCATGTCCTTTGCAGGGACATGGATGGAGCTGAAGGCCATTATCCTTAGCAAACTAATGTGGGAACAGAAAACCAAATAATGCATGTTCTCACTTATAAATGGGAGCTAAATGATGAGAACTCATGGACACGAAGAAGGGAACAATGGAGGCTGGGGCCTACTGGAGGGTGGAGGATGGGAGGAGGTAGAGGATCAGGAAAAATAATGAGTACTAGGCCTAATACCTGGATGACAAAATAATCTGTACAACAAACCCTCATGACACGAGTTTACCTATATAACAAACCTGCATATGTACCCCTGAACCTAAAATAAAAGTTAAAAAATCAGAAGTTTACCATTCCTTCTGGATCTCATTTTTATGATTGGCAATCTGCTACTATCAATCTCTACCCATTTAACTCACAACAAAGTGTTAAGAGCTGGGGAGTGGCTCTATATTCCACTTCACTCCAAATTTGTGTCTCATAAACCTATTGTTGTAGCTAAAGTCCTGCCACTCGTGGAATTCCTCTGGGAACAGATATTATATCAAAAAGTGTTTCCCTAGGAAGTGAAGTAGAGGTTAGAAGCTACTGTTCTACTGCCTGAAAATTATATCTTAAATGATCTCTGAGATTTATTTGTGCATGACATATATCCTTTTAAGTGCTTATATAAGATACAGGACAACTGAGGCTTAATAGAATGAGATCTAAAAAACTCTGGGTTCAGGGTGAAGTCACTAAGTGCTGTCCTGGCAGGTGACAACCCTGGAGTACCCAGGAGAAATACAGATACAGGATTCTTGGGCAGCTCAGAGGAGAATCAGAGAGGGAGCTGCTAAGCACTAATCACGGGGTACCCATGCCAATGACATGATTGTAAAAATGTGTACTGCTTGCCGTTTTGTCGGCCAGCAAAGCAACATCTTCTCTCAGGATCCAAAAGGAGATTACAGCTCAGCCTTTCAGCCCAGAGGAGGAAACAGTTTTCCCGTGCCCAATTCCTTGTTCACTGGTACATTCAAGCTTATGCCTAGATGCCAAGATGAAAGTCCTTCCTTCCTTCCTTCCTTCTCTCCCTCCTTCCTTCCTCCCTCCCTCCCCTCCCTCTCTTCTTCCCTTCTTTCCTTCCTTTATTCCCCCTCCCTCCCTCCTCTCCCTCCCTCCTTCCCTCCTTCCTTTCTTCTCCCTCTCTCCCTCCCTCCCTCCTTCCTTCTTCTCTCCCTTCCTTCCTCCCTCCCTCCTCTACCTCCCCCATCCCTCCTTGCCTCCTTTTCTTCTTTCTTCCCCTTCCCTCCCTCCTCTCCCTCTCTCCCTCCCTCCCTCCTTCCTTCATTCTTTCCTTCCTTTCTTCCCCTTTCCTCCCTCCCTCCTTCCCTCCCTCTTTCCCTCCTTTCTTCCCCCTCCCTCCCTCCTTCCTCCTTCCCTCCTTCCCTCCCTTTTCTTCCTTCCTTTTGTTTTTTCTTTCAGCCTGCCATTTTCAGTCACAAACTTTTGCGGAATACCTGTTATGAGGCTTCCACTTTCCATTTATCTCATCTTCCCAAAAACTCTATGAAATCTCTTATTACACTTTTATAGATGATAAAACTGAAGCTCAAGAGAGGTTAAGAAACTATCTCAAGTTTACCTAGATAGTAGGTGAGCTGGAGACAAAATCTTTATATAATGATGCTATATCCAGTGCCCTTTTCTAATAGTTCAATACATCTAAAATGTACCACAGGAGATCTGATTATGATGGATTAAAAAGTATTAATGTGTCAGTGGTCACAGTCTTCTCCCCTACCTCTATCACTAAAGAGAATTCTGATTTTGCCCACAGTTTTCCTTTCCCCTTCCCTCCCCTAAAGACAGGAGAGAGAAAATGCATAGCTCTACACAATGCAGAAAAGTAGAGAGGAGGTAGGAAAGGAGAGATGAAGAAAGATGTGTGTTATGTATTTAGAGAGAATTTGGGGGGCACTGGAGAAAGAGGAGCTTTAAAGCAGCTGAGATAAGAAGGGCTTAGAGAGAGAGGAGGATGTTAGTCTCTAAGAAGTTCAAATGAAGGATTTGATTAATGATACATTTCTCTTGGCTGCTGGACTATGTTTCATTGAATAGGACACTTATTGAGACTGGATCACATGGACCTCATCAATTTATTAGGTTTCATAATCAACCTCCGATCCTGTAAGATGGAAACCGTCCATGTTTCTGGGTTCAAATATTAAATTTAAGTAGAACCCTCCATTTAAATGCTAGAGGACCAAAACCAGGTCAAGTGATTTGTCCAAGTTCACATAGGTGGTTTATATCACTTATCAAATGTCTAAAACCATGTCTTCACATTCCAAACTCAAGGCTGTTTCTTTTACACCACATTGGGTTTTCACACCATTGCCAATGATATTATGAAGTGAAATTTCGGATCTGAGTGGGACACCACTAGAAACAGAGGAAAATGTGGAGGCTGGATAGTTTCTGGATGCTTATTCTATTCTTGTCTTCGTGATCTGGTGCACAGTCTCCCATCTCATCGTCAGTCTCTTTCTATTGCCCAGACCAAAACATTTTTTTAAACTACTTATCCTGGGAGGGTGGTGCCATGAATTCGCGTCATCCCCCAGCCCCTGCAAACTGAATGCCTTGGGTCCATAGATAAATGGTGAATATAATTTAGTATCACTCTGGTGCAGTGAGTAGTGCAGACAAATAACCTTCACTTTTCCCCAGGTGGGGAAGATGGGCTGTGCACAAAGATGTCCACTGTGCGTGTGTGCAACGGGAGAGGGAGTCCAAGTTCCAGCCTCTTCCCAGAGAGGGGGGCATAGGAGGAGACAGCACCTGGCTGAGGTGTTACTGTATCTGTGTCCACTTGGGGAGGGGTGAGTGGCCACAAGTGAGAGGAATACCTCCCAAGGCTTGAATGAGGGCTTCTGGGGCAGGCTTACAGAAATCAGTAGCCAGGAGGGGAAAAGGGCAACCACTTGAATCCTTTGTGTCTGTAAACACCACTAGCCAACTCTGGCTGGAACTGAGTAACTGTAGGATCAGAAAGCTCTAATCTGCATTTTCCTTTTATGCTGTTTCAAATTTTAAAAGTTGTTTTCCAAAAGGGTTATTTCAGAAAGAAATTAAATAAACCTCTAGCCGACCTCAGCTGAACTAAGGGAGGGAAAAGCAGATTTTTACTGAATCTGAGTTTCAGGAAGCTATGGTTTTTCCTTCTAGAATGTGGTCTCTGTGGTAGTATTTCATGAAGAAACAGGAGAAAAAACAGGAAAGAAGAACTCAAAGCAAAAGAAAAGGCAGATCCCACGCAGCTTCCTGTCCTAATTGTTCCATGTGGATTCAACTGTTCTCGGTTTTGGGAGAAATATATACTTGTTCAGGTCTCAAATAATCTGCCCCTGAACTCAAAGGACAATGAGGCCCCCAAACAGTCTTTAGCTATTACCAAACAGGCTTCTTACCCTGGGGACCCCCTTTACTCCTTAAGCTTATGCTCCCTTTTGCCACAAACAATATTGGGACCCAAAGACAGAGCCAGCACTACTTACAAATTTAAAATCACTAGGCAAGGTACAGTGAATCAAACAAACTTCACTCCTACTTTACATTTTCAAATCCGTTTGCCCTTACTAGAATAGGTTTGAACTTGCCTCACAATAAGGTAATAAAGGCAAATGGATTTTAAAAACTTGGGCAGAGAGGAGCTCTGGGAAAATCTAGTTGTCAACACGTATCACCCTGATAGGGCGTTATTTAAAGTATCCATTTATTAGCAAGTTCACTTTTGTTTGCTTGTTTTGTTTTTAAAAAACTTTTTATTAGGTAAAATTTGAACATGCACCAAAAAATAGAATCAGATAATGAATCTTGGGACTAGCTGCAAGTTCACTTTTAAAGCGTTGTTGCCACCCACATCCAGACAGCTGAGGGAGGCTGAGACTGAGATCTGCGTCCCCCCAGGGCCTTTGCTCCGATCACAGGTAGCAAATGTCAGGGAGAAGCTGGCCAGGGAAAAGCCGCCACAGCCCCCGAGAGGGCTCTGTCCCTGGGGAGGTATGCTCCTTAGCAGCTCTGTTCGGTAACTCGGTGGCAGGGAAGGAGGTGGGGTGGTGGGGGTGGGGGTGTTGCTTTCCTTTTGAAATGAGATTCCATGGCCCCGAAACTATGATTCCCTCCCTCACCCTTTTTGTTTGTGTTGTTCTTGTCTTGGGGATGCAAAGTGCTGTTAACGTGAGCTTCCCCAGCCACAGGGACAGGATCTGTCTAGATGGGGCCACCAGAGGCAGCTGCTGTGTTTCGGCTCCACTCCAGCACACAGGGTGACACGGAAGGCCTCCATTTCTGATCCATGTATCCAGTAAGCTTTTGGAAACCCATCCCAGTTTCGTGGGGTTTGGGGGTGTGTGAATGAGTGAGTATGTGTGTGTGTGTGGGGGGGGAGAGAAACAGGGAGGGGTGGTCACGTGACAGTCTTTCCAATCTGGATCCCAATTAAGCCGACACCAGCCAAAAGAAGAAATCAGTGAGTGAAGTGACCACTTGGCCCTGGCCTTGCAAACCACTGCAGAGTCCGAAGCCCCGAGTGCTCCCTGGGAAGAGGAGAGCCGAGGACACTCTTCGCCCCTGCTTGCCACTGGGGGCCGCAGTCACCTTCAGCATAGGGGAGTGGGGAGACGCGAACCCCGCGGGTGGCTCCGGGTGGTGGGCTCCCTCCAGCGCGCAGCTTCCGCTCGCTTTCCCCTCGGCGCTGCAGCCGCGACCTGGGACCGAACGGACACCGCCTTCCCGGGGCTCCGGCGGCGCTCTGACTCCCACTTTCCTCCGCCGCAGCCTCTGGCAGGGCACCCCCTTGGCGCGACGCCGCGCCCCTCCCCGGGACCGCCCCCTCGGTCCCCCAGGGTGCGCTCAGTTGCTGCCCGTGCGCCCCGCCAGCTTGAGCGCCCCGGGCGGGCGGCGGTGGAGAAGCCCAGCCCAGCTCTCCCCAGCCGCGTTCCCGGCCCGCGCTGCTCCCAGCCTGCAAGCCCATGACGTGGCGACGCCGACCGAGACACAAAGACCGAGGCTGAGACCGCCAGGGGTTGAGGGTGAGGCCGCGTCCCGGGGCCGCTGGAGCGCGGGCGTCATGCGAGACTGTCCCGGCTGCGCGCCGCCCCAGAGGAGTCCGAGCGCCCCCTTCAGCCGCGGCGCGCTGGCCCTGGCCGGGACTGCAGCCAGGTGGGCGCCGCGCGTGTGAGCGCCGCGCGTGTGAGCGCAGACCTGGACTCGGGCGGCGGAGGCGAAAGTCGCTCCATCCGCGGGGTGCAACCCTGGGCGCGGAATCCGGGCTGCCGGGTGACAGTGACCAGCTGACTCTGGAGCCTACCGGAGGCGCGGCATCGGAGGCCGTGCGGACCACTGCCGAACAGCCGCTGGAGACCCGCAGAGAAGGGCGGGCCCTGCGCCCGGGGCGCCTCGGAGGTAAGTTCGGAGAGCCCGGGCCGGGCGGAGGGCGGGAGCGCACGAGTGTGTGTGTGTGTGTGTGTGTTCGCGGTGTGCCCGCGGCTCGGTGCACACGCGCGCGGGTTGTAAAGTCAGGAGCTGCGGGAGCGCCTCCCTGCCTCGGCTTGGCCCCGGAGCATTGCGGGCCGCGGAGGTGTGGGGGCCCTTGTCGCTGCGCTCAGGGCAGCGGCGGAAAAGGTGTGTGCGGATGCGGGGCGGGGCCGCACCTGGTGGACAGAGCAGGGATTCGGGAAGAGAAGCCACGGAAGATGATCATGCAGTTTGGGGCAAGTTTTCCTGGTTGAGCATCGCTTCAGGAAACGGTGTTTTGAGGGTTAAATATGTGAGCTATCTGTGCAAAAAGCCTGACACATCAGAGGCGCGAAGTAAGATGGAAAGCTGGACAAGCCCCAGGTGGACCGACCGGTGCATCCAATTCTTAAATTGAGATTTCCAGTCACGTTGATGTGGAATGGGATCGTTGTTCTTCCCGAGGGTTTGATAAGGATGCTCAACTTCACCTGTCAGAAAGCACGGGAGCTGGGCCTGGCCCGCGGGGAGCGTAAGCTCGCTCACACGCGGTCCAACTCAGGCAAATGCAGCATGCCCGACCTGCTCTGCCGCCATCCCTCCGAAAGCGATAATTTCCTTGGGCTACCGAATCCATCAGAGTAGTCATTTGTCCCCTCGCCGGCGGTGCGGGGAGCGTAACATTTGAGTAGCCTAACTCTCACAGCGCGCACTCCAGCATTGTTTTGCTGGAAGATTGTTACTGTGGTAAGCGGCTGGTAGCCTGTGTTAAGCAGCAGGGAAGATAAGGTTGTGTTCAGGTGCGCTTAATTCAGCGGGAATTAAGTTATGTTTGGTGAAGATCTAAGGAGAGGAAAAATCCAGAGTTTCTGCTATAAACAATGTACATCTATCTTAAAGGCTTCTCACCCATTTCTCTTGTGGATGGAGCCATGTGGTTGGGAGGTGGTAGAACCATGCCGCCATCCCTGAGGCTGTGGTTGGAGGCCTCATTGCTGGGCTCTGCAATTTTATGCTCTGTGATATTATGCATGGCATGAAGAGTTGCTAGGAGGAGTGTGGAAGCAGCTTATGTGGCCAGTTATGCATCCTTTATTCCAGCAAACGAGCTGCCACTGCTACCTCTCTCTGATGGAGAGGGACGGTAAATGGCCCTTCCTTGTCATTTCTCAGACACCAGCATTACTGGGCCCGCCCTGCAGGTGGAAGCTAGCTCACTGCTGTGGCCACAGGATGTCTTTTGAATTGACCCTCATTGAGAGCCCGGCGGCAATATTTTGGGTATTGTTGAAATAAGAGAAGTGGATTAGAGAGAGTAGGATGCCTGGAGTTGTACAATACCCTTTAATGGGTTTTCCTCTTGTGTATCAGAGGAGGGTAGAGCAGGAGACGGTGGTGAGTCTGCAGAGAGGGCAAACTTAGAGATTTTCTCAGGCTACTGGAGCCTGGAGGGAAAAACCTTAAATGTCTGATAAATAAAGTCTGATTTTTATTGTGTGTGTCTGAGAGACTTGCATAGATCAGGGAGTATGTGAAAATAAATGTCAGTTGCCAGAGAAAGAATAGATCAAACAGTTTATTTGAATTTCTGATGAGTTTGGTGAGGAAGTGTATAGCACTTAACATTTGGAAGGCAGACAAAAGGTTTTGTTGTTGGTGTTATGTTCCTTTTGAATTTTAGATACATAATGCGATTTTTTTTCTGGCCAATGCTCCAGGCAAAATTGATGTCTTTCCACTTTCTAAAACCCATCATATTTATGAACTCTCTGATACTCTGTCTGAAACAGTCGTGCTCCTGTGAGGTTGAAATATCTCTCCTGCCTCTATTCACAGCAGACGCACAGAACTGATCTGGGAATTTTCTCACTCAGGATTCCCAAAATGAGCCCTTTCTCAAATCTTGACAAACGTGCAGCAGAAGCCATTGTTGCAGTTATGGCTCTGTGCCTGCTGGGCAGGGATTTAAAGGCCAGGAGAAGGCAGGGGAAGGCCCTGCTCTCTGCTCCAGCCAGGTGGTAATATGCATTCTCAAACTAGCTAGGAAAAGGTTCTAGATTCCTCAGTGAATCTATTGCTGAATCCCACTGATTAGCTTTTCCCACTGACAGACATTCAAATCTTTGTTTTTGGAGCTTCCTCTGCAGACTTGGTGTAAATTTCAAAAAAAGAAAAGAAGGCTATGAAGCTTAAGACAGGCAGAGACAGTTGGCTTCCTACCTAGGCATGCTTCAAACTCACTATATGACCTTGGTAAATTATGTAACTTTAATGCATGCTTGTTTTCACATGTGTAAAATGAGAGAGTATCAGACTAGATCATGGATTTGTTTCCCCTCTTTTTCCCCTTCTCTCTCGAAGAGTAGAACCCTTTAAATTAAATCTTTTATAAAAGGTAAGTGGCCGGGAGCTGTGGCCCATGCCTGTAATCCCAGCACTTTAGGAGGCCGAAGCGGGTGGATCACCTGAGGTCGGGAGTTCAAGACCAGCCTGACCAACATGGAGAAACCCTGTCTTTACTAAAAATACAAAAAATTAGCCAGGCATGGCGGTGCATGCCTGTAATCCCAGCTACTCGGGAGGCTGAGGTAGGAGAATCGCTTGAACCTGGGAGGCAGAGGTTGCGGTGAGCCGAGATCATGCCATTGCACTCCAGCCTGGGCAACAAGAACAAAAATCCGTCTCAAAAAAAAAAAAAAAATACGCAAAACAGATTAAGAGCAAGGGAGGGACATAGCAGCCAGTTCACTCTCAGTGTGGTGTCTGAAGAACCCTTTGGAACCCCTACAGGCTTTTCAGAATTCAGTTTGAGAATCACTGGAAGCTTCTCTCTGCAATATGGCATATTCCCTCTCTGAATGTTTCCAATGAAATGTTGTGGTCACCTAGCTCAGTGTTATAAATAGTCATGTACCTGTAACTGATCCTCCTGGATGGCTAGCTAAACCCCTACAATGTCAGCTCTGGGAGGACCATAACTTTTTCAGCCCTGGACCTTCTGAGTCTCACACAGTGCCTGGCATGTAAGTAGGTGCTTAGTGAATGCTTATTGAATGGATTAAGAAATGAAGAGGGAGTAAAGTTATTCTGGCAGACCAAAGACTGGTGGATGATACACTATGGTGGAAATCTTAGGAGAGCAGGGACTTTGATTTATTTGTTGCTATATCTCTAGTGCCTGGCACAGACAGATTTTGGCTTATTGTAGGAAGTCCTTTAAAATAATTAAAGTTAATACTGGGAATGGATTGCCCCAAGAGGGGATAGAAGCATATATATGGTGGCTATTAATTTTGTTCTTAAAGATTCTGGCTGTCTCTGCTTCTGGGCACATGGTAAGATTGCATTTTCCTGTTAATTTGAAATCAGGTATGGCCATGTGACTTGTTTGGCCAGAAAGTACATGAACCTTTAAGAGTCAGCAGGTGCCTCACCATGTTCTCCCTTTTCCTCTGTTTCAGTGGTAGTTAAGTCTCCAGAAAGTGGCTGCTCCTCCCTCAGCCTGGGTCTGGGATTGAGGATGATGTGGAGCAGAGCTTCTTGCTGACGCATAATGGACATGTAGCATTGATAATAAACAAACTGAAATCTGGGGATTATTTGTTGCTGCAGTGTAACCTAGCATACGTGACTGATGCAACATGTAAAGAACTTAGGATCATACTGGCTGCTGATCAGGATAGCAGTGTTATCCAGGAAGGCCAGTCCTTGCTGAGACAGGGCTTCATGGGGATCAGGACCTGTGTATGAGCACCACATCGTGGCATGCGGCTGTCATTTTGCCTGGTTGGAGAGCTTATTTGGTAATATACTCAGGTTAGTCTTTTAGAGAAGGAACATGAAAACCGAAAGTCTGATGCACTGGCTATAATATGCTGATTTCATAGTTTAGAGAGAAGCAAGTGAAGCTGATAAATGTGTTCAGTGATTGGACAGAATTGTCCATTAAAAGCCGGATAATAAACAGAAGGTGCTTTGTGAGCCAAGAATGAAAGCCAGGGGAGTTGGTGGAATGAATTGAATGACTGTGTCATAGGACTGTGACATGCCAATGTATCCTTCATTGTCCAAGTTAGAGAACTACCTGCTCAATAGACTCCATGCATACGCATGCATGTCATTTAATATTATCCTTAAAGCATGATTTATCGAACACAACTGTATGATTTTTCTGATGCTCTGAGCATTGTTCCATGCCCTTAGCCAATGGGAGCTCACATGACAGTTTTCTACTGACGTGGCCTGTGAGAACTTCATACTGCAAAAACTCTCAGCCAGTGAGCCCTCCACTGTCCCCAACTTCAGTGTCTTACTCAATATGTGTCCAATTCCCTGCACCCTTTCTTCCTGCCATTTACTTTGTGTCCTAGTGAACAATTTTGACCTTCAGTGGCTCATGTGATTACCCCATTGATCCCTCTTCAATAACACTGGGATCTTGAGGAGAGAAGTTTTATTCAGGAAGCTAAACATGCAAGTTTTAGGGTTACTAGAGGAGGCTTCAAGTAACTAACTAAGAAAACAAACAAACAAAGATCAACCAGTCACTAGGAACTGAAAGCTTTAGCATATCCTGGCAGCCTAAAAGACTGAACAGTGGTAAGGAGGCAAAATTTGGGAAACAACAAAAGGAGGCCTGTCTCAGCCATGGAAGTTGAAGAAGATGAAAGTCTTTTGGCTACGTGAGTGCAGAATGGGGAGGAGTGAGTAGGTGTGGGTATGGGTGGGTAGTGATTGGGTGTGAGTGAGTAGTGATTGAGTGTGGGTGGGATAGGTAGTGAGTGGATGTGGTGGGCAGTGATTGGGTGTGGGTGTGGGTGGATAGTGAGTGGGTGGGTAGTGAGTGAGTGTGGGTATAAGTGGTTGCTGAGTGGGTGTGGGTGGGTAGTGAGTAGGTGTGAGTGGGATAGGTTGTGAGTGGGTAGAGGTGTGGATAGGTAATGAGTGAATGTGGGTGGGGTGGTTAGTGAGTGGGTGTGGGTGTGGATGGGTAGTGAGTGCATGTGAATGTGGAGAGGTAATGAGTGAGTGTAGGTGTGAGTGGGTAGTGAGGGTGTGGGTGTGTGTAGGTAGTGTGTGGGGTGTGGGTGGCGTGGGTAGTGAGTGTGTGGGGTGTGGGTGTGGGTGGGTAGTGAGTGTGTGGGGTGTGGGTGTGTGTAGGTAGTGTGTGGGGTGTGAGTGGGGTGGGTAGTGTGTGGGGTGTGGGGTTGGCAGTGAGTGTGTGGGGCGTGGGTGTGTGTAGGGAGTGTGTGGGGTGTGGGTGGGTAGTGTGTGGGGTGTGGATGGGGTGGGTAGTGAGTGTGGAGTGTGGGGTGGGTAGTGAGTGTGTGGGGTGTGGATGGGGTGGTAGTGAGTGTGTGGGGTGTGGGTGGGGTGGGTAGTGAGTGGGGTGTGGATGGGGTGGGTAGTGAGTGTGTGGGGTGTGGGTGTGGGAGGGTAGTGTGTGGGGTGTGGATGGGGTGGGTAGTGAGTGTGTGGGGTGTGGATGGGGTGGGTAGTGAGTGTGTCGGGTGTGGGTGGGGTGGGTAGTGAGTGTGTGGGGTGTGGGGCTGGTAGTGTGTGGAGTGTGGGGTGGGTAGTGAGTGTGGGGTGTGGGTGTGTAGTGTGTGGGGTGTGGATGGGGTGGGTAGTGAGTGTGTGGGGTGTGGATGGGGTGGGTAGTGAGTGTGTGGGGTGTGGATGGGGTGGGTAGTGAGTGTGTGGGGTGTGGGGCTGGTAGTGTGTGGAGTGTGGGGTGGGTAGTGAGTGTGGGGTGTGGGTGTGTAGTGTGTGGGGTGTGGGTGTGAGTGGGTAGTGTGTGGGGTGTGGATGGGGTGGGTAGTGAGTGTGTGGAGTGTGGGGTGGGTAGTGAGTGTGTGGAGTGTGGGTGTGGGTGGGTAGTGTGTGGGGTGTGGGGTGGGTGGGTAGTGTGTGGGGTGTGGGGTGGGTGGGTAGTGTGTGGGGTGTGGGTGTGGGTGGGTAGTGAGTGTGTGGGGTGTGGATGGGGTGGGTAGTGAGTGTGTGGGGTGTGGGTGGGGTGGGTAGTGAGTGGGGTGTGGATGGGGTGGGTAGTGAGGGTGTGGGTGTGGGAGCATAGTGTGTGGGGTGTGGATGGGGTGGGTAGTGAGTGGGTTGTGGATGGGGTGGGTGGTGAGTGTGTGGGGTGTGGATGGGGTGGGTAGTGAGTGTGTGGGTTGTGGATGGGGTGGGTAGTGAGTGTGTCGGGTATGGGTGGGGTGGGTAGTGAGTGTGTGGGGTGTGGATGGGGTGGGTAGTGAGTGTGTGGGGTGTGGATGGGGTGGGTAGTGAGTGTGTCGGGTATGGGTGGGGTGGGTAGTGAGTGTGTGGGGTGTGGATGGGGTGGGTAGTGAGTGTGTGGGGTGTGGATGGGGTGGGTAGTGAGTGTGTCGGGTATGGGTGGGGTGGGTAGTGAGTGTGTGGGGTGTGGGTGTGGGAGAGTAGTGTATGGGGTGTGGATGGGGTGGGTAGTGAGTGTGTGGGGTGTTGATGGGGTGGGTAGTGTGTCGGGTATGGGTGGGGTGGGTAGTGAGTGTGTGGGGTGTGGATGGGGTGGGTAGTGAGTGTGTGGGGTGTGTGTGGGGTGGGTAGTGAGTGTGTGGAGTGTGGGGTGGGTAGTGAGTGTGTGGGGTGTGGGTGTGTGTAGGTTGTGGGGTGTGGGTGGGGTGGGTAGTGTGTGGGGTGTGGGGTGGATAGTGAGTGGGTGGGCGTGGGTGGGGTGGGTAGTGATGAGATGTGGGTGGGGTAGGCAGTGTGTGTGTGGGTAATGAGATGTGGGTGGGGTAGGCAGTGTGTGTGTGGGTGTGTGTGGGTAGTGATGAGATGTGGGTGGGGTAGGCAGTGTGTGTGGGTAGTGATGAGATGTGGGTGGAGTAGGCCATGAGTATGTGGGATATGGTGGCAGTCAGTCAGGGAATGTTCTCTGTGTTGTGTGGGACTGAGACGTGGGTAGATAGTGTCGGATGTGGGTTAAGGTAGGTAGTCTGTGGGCTGGGTGGTTGGCTGTGGGCTCCCACTGTTTGTGCCAATGACATCGGAGCGCTGACTGCCCTGTGCTATGACAGATGGTTTACTGCTGCTCCCCTTCCTCTAGCCTGTTGCCCCTGCAGGCATGGCCAGGGTCTCATTTATAGTTTTGTCCTGGTGAGGAGCACAGTGTCTGGCTCAGGTTGGGTGTTCCCTAGAGCTATTGGGTGAAAGACGGAAAGAACACGGTGATTCTGAAGACGCTCAGCAGGTACGGGAGAAGCCTGACTCTGTAGTCACAGCAGGAAGGAAAAAGTATTTGGTTATTTAGTTTTCCATAACCTCAGCCTGAGCCAACAGTATACTATGGCCACCAAAAAGATCCTTAGCTGAAATTATGGTGTCTAGAATGAGGAATGGAACTCCTGTTCTTTTCTGCACTTCAGGGGAAGGAGACACAATGTGAGAAATGCATGAGCCAATTGGAAATTATTTAAAGAACCATGGATCATTAGCCCCAAGGTGTGTCTAGTCCAGAATTTCCCAGTTAGCCGTCACTGCATCCACTATACCAGAACCTCCAGGGGACCTTATAAATGCATATTTCCAGGCCTCATCTGCTGAGTCAGAATCTCTGGGGTGAGGCCAGAGACTTGCTTTATCCCCCATATTTTACAAGGCTGTTGTGAGTTTCCCGCATAAGGAGAAGATCTGGGGTTTGGCTTGAGTTTTTGAGTCAAGAGACTGCACCTGGTAGCCTTCTCTCCATCAACCCAAAAGATGCAGGGAGCTGCAGCCAGGTCCTGAAGCAAATGGGAGAAATGGGATGTAAGACCCATCCTTAAATACTCGAAGAACTGCCCTTCGAAAGTGGATTTGGCTTCTGCATGTCCCTGGGGCAGGATGAGGACCAGTGGGTGCAATTGTGGAAGAGGCTGCCTTTGGGAAATTGTGAGTGTTCCCTGTCTTAGAAGCCATCATGCCCAGGCAGGCAAGAGCAAAGGCCCTGGGCTGGAAGCAGGACTGGCATGTTTGGTTGGTCATAAAAGTACTTCATAAAATCTGCTCTTCCGGTTCCCTCTGCCTGGGCTTTGCCTTCCCCTTCCCCCGCTCCTCCCCACCACCCAGGCAGGCACGTGGTTTGCTCCATTGCCTCCTTCAGGACCACATTCAAAGGTATCTTTCCCCTGCGCCTCCTCTGACCATCTTGTTTACAGTTGTAATACCTCCCCTTGTTCTTTCTAACCCCTTTTTCTGCTTTTCTCCATAGCACTTTCTACCATCTAATACACTCTAAATTTTACTTTTCTATTTCGCTTATTATCTGTCTCCCCCACTAGATTATAAGCTCATGAGGGCAGGGTTTTTGTTTTGTTCATTGTCTGCCTTACACCCTGCTGTATTGCCACCAGCTAAGACAGTGCCTGATGCATGCCAGTTACAAAAGAAACATTTTTGAATGAATAATATGGATGTCTCATTTGACCTTGTTAGTAACCTCAGGAAGAGGAATTGATATCTTCCTTTTATAGATAAGAAAATCAAAGATTAGAGATGATAATTTACTTTCTCAAATTCCCCTTGCCAGGATTTGCTTGCAAATCCTTTCTTCTTTATTTTTTATTATAAAATCACATATTTAGAACATTTAAATAAAACAGCCCTGAAATGAAAGGAAGAGAAAACCACCCAGAGACAATTATTATTAACATTTTAGTATTAATATATACAAAGAGTGAGTGTCTGTATAAAATTTTATGTCATAATACAACCAACCATTTAGTGGTATACTTTTTCACTTAAGAATACATCATTAAAAATTAAACATGCCAATAAATGTATTTCTGCACCATGACTTATTAATGGCTACATGGTATTCTATCATACGGATGCACTGCAATTTATAGAACCCAGTGTTGGCTACAAAGATTATTGCTAATTTTTTCTTATTTTAAGCAACATTAAAGAGAATATATTCATAAACTTTGTTTACATATATCTGATTATTTTCTTCAGATAAATACTTAGAAGTGTGGATTTGCTTCATTTCAAGGGTATGCGTATTTTTCAAGTTTTATTGTTGATTACTTCCTGTAAGTCACATACTTCTCCAGGAATACATGGGAGTGCCTATTTTCCCTCATTCTCCCCAACAGTGGTATGAGTATACTGATTATAGATACCATAACAAATATACTATATGCTGGTTATAAATAATATCAAAAACCCTTAATAATAGTCAGAACCCTTAGTCTTTAGTACTTTTCCACTTAGAAAGAAAACATTTTTATTTTCTTTAGATTTATAAATAAGTAATCAAACAAATTGCTGTTCTACTTTGCTTTATTTATGATGTTGCACATTTTTCTTTGCCTTCCTTTCTTTGTAAATTAACCATTTGTTTCTTTGAATTGTTCATTATTTCATATACATTTTTAAGAGCTTTCAATGAAATGCAAGAATTTTCTGCATTCTGTTTTTTCAAGGTTTTTTTACTTTTTTTTTTTACTGTTTTTTTTTTATGTTTACTGACATGGTAAGCAATTTTTATCTATCCAAACCTATCAGTTTTCATCTTAATTATTTCAATTTTGGGATCTTGTGTGGAAAACCCTTTCACTACCTCAAATTATCTAAATCTTGACTCGAATTTTCTGCTTTATATTTCATCTGTAATTTACTTTTGTCAATGGCAAGAAGTGGGGCTAACCTTTTACCAGTTGATTAACCAATTATTCCAGTAGTATTTTAACTAACAAAGTAACACATTTATGTTTATTGAATAAACCATTATTTTCTCATTGAGTTGAAAGGCCACCTTTAAAATATATTGACTGTTTATCTATATTTGGGTCTGCTACTTTCTATTCTGTTCCATTGATTTATCTGTCAAATTATAATAGGAACTTTGTATTAAGTTTTCATATTTGGCTATCCAAATAGATTTTTATTTTGACCAGAATTCTTAGATAATTAACTTAAAGCAAATAATTACTTAGTGTTACCTTTAACATGCATGGCCTTGCCCCATAAAAATGAAAAAAAAAAAAAAAAAACTTCCAACAAAACATAAACAATAGCAAAAAATCTGCCTGGTGAATTTTCTTTATGGTTACTGCCCATTTAGAGCCTTACTTATATAAATTTTCTTTTAGCTCTCTTTTTGGCAGGTCTCGGTAAAAGCAGATAAATTGGAACTTGTTTATCTAGTGTTTTTACCTTATTTAAAATTAGTACTTATTTTAAAAAATTAAGAAAAGTACATAAAATAACCCAGTAGACATCCATATACCAGTGAAATTAAACGGATGTTAAAGTTTTGTCATTTTTGCTTCAGTGTTTGTTTTTTGTTTGTTTTTAAAGAAAAGAATATGATATAGTTCAAGTCCCACCTGCCACTTGTTTTGTTTTAATCACCTGCTACTCCCTGCATTGGTGAGAGAGGATTTCCACTCTAAGGTTACCGAGATGACTGAACACTTGACACCAACACTGAGCAGATGAGATGGACAGTGATTTATTAATTGCCTGTACTCACAGGAGGGCAGGCGGAGGACACCACAGGCCACACAGGGCCACACGGGAGCTGCACTTAGAAACAGAGGGAACAAACGGGCTGTGGGAGGCAGGCTTTGCTGTATCAAAATGGTGAGGTGACCCCTGATTCCCACAAGAGGATGTGATTGGCTTGTTTGAATATTTCTGAGGGCTGGCAGGGAACCAGAAGCTGCCACTTGGGGTAAGTAGAATCTGTGCCTGGTCCCTTGATAAGAAGAGTGGTTTGACTAGGGTACCTTACCTGCAGGAGTAGAGAAACTTGCAGTTTGGCCATTCAAGGTCCTCCTGGTTTCACCAGGTGTCAGGGCAGCACATCATATTGGGCCTTAAATGTAGGCCTTATACCACATCTTTCCTGCCCCTCCCAGAAACCGCTATCCCAAACCTGGTATATTTCATTTCCATATAGATTTTTGCATTCTCCTTTTTATGTATACATCCCTAAATAATCTATTTGAGGTTTTTTTTCCAATTACATCAATGATATGATAGATCCATTCACAACTTTTTCCATGCATTCTTAAGTTTTTGAGGTTTATCTTCAAATTTATTGTAAGTAAATTCATTCATATTAGCTGTTGTATAATATAAACTATGTGGATAAACTCATTTATTCCCCCACATTATTTTACTATTCAAAAGTGTTTGATAACAGTTTTGTCTCCTTATGAACCTATGTGCATGCTTATCTAGGGTACCTCAAGGTAGATCTGGGGTGGCAATAGGTTTTGATTATCTTGAGCTTCAACTGTATTACCAAATTGCCCTCTAAAGTGATTCTGCCAATATTCATCCCCACCAGTAGCATATAAAAACTGTTGGCCTGCATATTCAGCAATCCTTGGTGTTATATTAAATAAAACTTCCAAAAAGTTGTCTATTGAATTTGTGGCTCTATCCCTGTTTTCATCCCTAATTTTGTGAAGTGCTGTATAATGTGATGTGTAACGTGAGCTCTAGACTTAGAGTGTATAGTTAAGGCCCGGGTTCACACATGCCTTAGGCTGTGTGGCCTTTGACAAGTTACGGACCTGCTCTGTGCTGGAGAAAATTCAGCCATAAAATTAGTATCATATTAGTTCCTATTTTGTAAGGTGATTTTGAGGATTAAATAAGTTAATCATTATAAAGTGTTTAAAACCTTTCTGGCACATAGTAAAGTTCTCCATAAATGTTACCTATGTTAATGTTGTTCCATTATTTATTCATGTCTCTTTTCTTTTTTTCTTTATCATTCTTGCCAGAGATTTCCAATTTTGTTATTTCAAAGAAATCATTTAGGTTTCATTGATGGTAATGTTTATTTGTTTTCTACTTCACTAATTTTTCTCGTAACATTAGTTGCTTCTTCCATTTTCCTTTGTATTTACTATACTGATTTTTTTCCCACTTCTAGAGTGGGATGCTTAGCTCATTGATTTTCAACCTTTTATTCCACTATTTGTATTTATTACTATAAACTTTCCTCTAATGATAGCTTTAACTATAGTTTATAGTTTTGATATGTAGTATTTTCATTACATTTAATTATAACCATATTCTAATTTTTACTATGATTAGTTTTTTGACCTATGGCTTATTGAGACCTGTATGTTTAAATTTCCGTGTGTTCAGGTGATATCTTTGGGTATACATTTGTTAATTTTATTACCTTATTGTAAAAAAAAAAATCACTGCAGGATATAAATTCATTTTTTTAAAAATTTGTATCATAATATGTGGCCAGCATTACTTGAAAAGAATGTGTATTCTTGGGTCCAGGTTCTCTATATGTATAGATCAAGTGTGTTAATTGTGTTGTTTTAGTATTTTGATATCAAATGTATTATTTTCTTTGATCACTCAGTTTCTTGAGAAAGATATGTTAAAATCTCTATGCATTATTGTGAATTTCATATATTTCCTAGAAATTTTGTTAATTTTTGCTTCATGTATTTTTAAGGCTATATTATTGAGTGTCGATATGTTCAGGATTATTTTCCTGGTGAGTTGTTTTTATTTATCATTTTTGCAATAATTATTTGTATCCCTAATGATTTTTAACCTTAATATCTTTATTATTTATGTTAATATAATAATAATGTTATAGCTCACACTTATTAGAGTGCTTATTGTATGCAAGGGACTATTACATAAAACAAATCATATAAAGTAGATACTATTATCATCCCCATTTTGCAGATAAGGAAACTAAAGTACAGAGAGACTATAATGTGCCCCAGGGTAATAACTAATAAGTGCTCCAACTAATAACTAATAAATCACATGGCTTATAAGTAGAACAGCTTGTATTTAAATTTGGGCAATTTGGCTCCAGAGTTTAGAATCTTTAACTGTGATGCCATTTTGCCTGTAACAAACACTAACAATACTCTGATTTAGTTTTGATTGATAAATCTTATTTCATCCTTATACTTTAAATCTTTCTGTGACAGTTATTTTTTTTTTTTTTTGAGACGGAGTTTTGCTCTTGTTGCCCAGGCTGGAGTGCAGTGGCATGATCTTGGCTCACCGCAACCTCCACCTCCCAGGTTCAAGTGGTTCTCCTGCCTCAGCCTCCCAAGTAGCTGGGATTACAGGCATGTACCACCACCCCTGGCTAATTTTGTATTTTTAGTAGAGATGGGGTTTCTCCATGTTGGTCAGGCTGGTCTTGAACTACCAACCTCAGGTGATCCACCCGCCTTGGCCTCCCAAAGTGCTGGGATTACAGGCGTGAGCCACCGTGCCCAGCCTGTGATAGTATTTTTAGGTATATCTCCTGTAGGTAGTCTTTGCATTTTATTTTAATTTTTAAAAATCCGGCTTGAGAGTCATAGTCTTGTAACTGGTAAGTTTAAGCTATTTACATTTATTGTAATATGATGTATTTTGAAATATTTCTGTCATTTTATTTGTGATATTAATTAGTTATACTTTGCTTCTTTATTTCTCTTATTTTCTACCTTCTCTTAATTGACTGGGTTTTATTTGTTCCCTTGTTTTTTCTACACTGGTTTAGAAGTCCTGCATTAAGTTGTACAGATTCTTCCTGCTCTTTTAATAATTACTCATAACTTTTTTCTAATATGCATATTTGACTTAAAATTTAAATTTATTTAACATCTCTTTCCTCTTCCAGATAACATAGTAATTTAAAAGTTTTAATTCTGATCACTTCCTCTCCCATTAAATTATTCATTAACAGTTTTATAGAGTTGATACATGATTAGAATTAACTATATATTTATCACCTTATTTCCTCTGGATTCACTTTCTTTCCCTCTGAAGGAGCTTCTTTATAGTTTTTACAATAAGGAATATGAGTTATAAACTCTGAAACTATTTCTTTATCTTTACTTCTGAATAATAGTTTACATGGTAATAAAATTATCTGTATATTATTTTTTTCAGTATTTTAATGATTTTATTTCTATTTTTTAGTCTATAATTGTGTTCTTAAAAATCTGCTTTTAAGTTTATTCTATTTTAGGTAATTCAATTTTTTAGGCAAGTTTTTCTTTTCATTTCTGGTATTCTTTAGTTTCAATATGATGTGTTTAGGTATCTAAGGGTGAGTTCATTATTTATATGTCTTATTTAGTATTTATATCACTCCTTGAGTTAGAAGATTCATGCTTTCAATTCTGGAACATTCTTATATATTATCACTTTTATCATCTTTCTGCCATTCTCTTTTCTCTCTCCTAGAATTCCAAATAGATATTTGCTGAAACTTATCCTTCTATGCTCATGTCTCTTAAGCTTGATTTAATGGTTTTTGTTGTTGTCATTGTTGCTGTTTTGTTTTTTGAGACAGAGTCTCACTCTGTCACTCAGGCTAGAGTGCTGTGATGCAGTCTCAACTCACTACAACCTTTGCCTCCTGGGTCCAAAAGCTTCTCATGCCTCAGCCTCCCGAGTAGCTGGGATTACAGGTGCATGCCACCATGCCCAGCTAACTTTTTGTATTTTTAGTAGAGACAGGGTTTCACCATGTTGGCCAGGCTGGTCTTGAACTCCTGACCTCAAATGATCCACCCACCTCAGCCTCCCAAAGCTCTGGGATTACAGGTGTGAGCCACTGCCCCCGGCCAGTTTCATGTCTTTTATCTTTGTATCTCTTTGTGCTGCATTCAGCTAAATTCCCTTAGACCTATCTTCCAGTTCATAGACTTTCTCTTTATTTAGATCTAATATGCTATTTAATGCCACTGTGTTTTGTATTTTAATGATTCTTTTTCTATTAGTATACTTCTTTTCCAGATCTGTATGTACTTTTTTCATAGTGTCTTCTTTTATTTGGATTTTCTATTAATTTTATGCCTTTACTTATTTTAAGTATATTTGTATCTTCTTTAAGATTGTGGATTCATTTATTTTAGGTTCTTGAAGTTCTAATCCTGCTGGTGATTTTGTGTCTGCTGATTCTTACTCATTGAGTAGTATTTTCTCTTGTGTGTTGTAATTTTTAAAAATATAATTCAACCTTAAGGTGGATTCTTTTCTCTGTGGTGCTCCTATGCACCTTTGATTGTCTTGAGTACTTTTGCTCTTGTTTCTGCTTGCAGCCATGGACATTAGCAGCATGGAACTGATTTTTTACATTAATTTCTTAGCTCAAGAGTTCTTGCACACCGTGACAACATAAATTTGGGCCCCAAAATATTTAAGACATTGGCCTTGTTTTCCATTTCTAAGGGGTAATTTTTTACTTTATTTAACCCAGAGCCCAGGCAGAGGCTGACAAGTGTCCTTGTTTACTGTGCACCAGATTTTTTTCATCCTTTCACATAAAGCTAGAGAATAGTCCTTCAAGGGTCCCAGCTTTATGCAGACATCTGTGTTTCTACTCTCCATCTCATGGAAGGCCTATCCTAATCTACCTTAGAAGGACCATCCCCTTTACTCTTAGGGCAGCCACAGTGCCAGCTCTCCTGTCTACCTCTGTGATTTTTCAATCTCTTCTCTATTTCTGGAATCTGGGCATTTAGCTTGCTCTCGCAAGTTTAGTTATGCCCGTTAAGAAAAAAATTTGCATCTTATCCAGCATTTTGAGGTGTTCATAATCAGAGTTTTTCACATTCTCTAAGCTTACTTTCTTGCCAGATCTGGAAATTGCTTCATAATCACTTGACTTCTTAACCAAGGGCTTTGCACTAGGGTTGAGCTCTGCAGGTATACGTCTTGAGAAACAGAAGTGTAACCCCTTCCCAACTCCTTGCTGCCCTCTTTAGCAATTTTTTTGTGGAAGATGGCTATCTCTGGGAGAGAAAGTGTTCCCCCTTAAGTTTGAAATTTTATTAGAGGTGACACAAACAATGTAGAAATTCTTAATCACAAATTTTATATTCCTAAATTGATAGCTTCCTTTTATAGTTTCACCAAATCACAGTAGCAACCACCATCCTAAAACCAGAAGCAAGACAAAATTCAAAACAAGCAGGCCAACACCGACGCAGGAATTACATGAATACTGCAGATGAATTCTCTTGCAGTGTGCTTTCGTGAGCGTGAAATGAGAACATTGTGGCTGTTATATCTCTGCACTTTATTTCAGTTTTTGAAAGATCAATATATTTTGGCGTATTGGAAAGGTTTGATAAGAATACTTTATAACTGAGTTTTGCTAATCCAGTTCAAGGTATATGTCATTCATTTTGGGGCTGTTGGTAGCAGAAGGGAAGATTAGATTTCTAATGGAGTTGTTGGAAATGAAATTCAGAGAGCTTGTCTTTTGTCCAAAGATTCAAGCAGCAATACTACAAACTATATCCCTAAATCATCTCTCTCTCTTTTTGCTCTGCTTTGATTAACATTAGATGCCAAGAGTGTGAGCAGTTGAATATGCGTAAGATTGTGAAAGGGTGGGTATTCATTTTAGCTCTGTAGACTGGACAGCAACAACATTTATCATGCCCAGAATGTGGCATGAGAAATGAACAAGGTGCCACAGGGTAATGGGAAAAAAAATCAGGCATCTGGTTCTGGCCTTTCCCAAACTACAGACTATTACCTAGTGGAAATACCTATGGGTTAGGAATTAGAGGAGCCTGGAGTTCTTCCCTTCGCTGTATACGGGTAGGAGGTTTTGAAAGGGGCTAAGACAATATGGATCCCCATCAGCGTATCCTGTAGGTTGCAGTGCTCATCTTAACCTCAGGCTTGCTCTGCTCTAACACCCACTTTGTCAGTTCCCAGCTCTCATTTACTACAGAATTGAGTTCAGACTCCCAGCCCAGAGTTTAGTGTACGCCCTATCTTAGTATGTTTGTGTTGCTATAACAGAATACATGAGACTAGGTAATTTATAAGGAACAGAAATTTACTTCTCATAGCTCTGGAGGCCGGGAAGTCCAAGATCAAGGTGCCAGTTTCTGATGTATCTGGTGGGGGCATTTTTGCTGCATCTTCACATAACAAAAGGGCAAAAGGGCAAGCTAGCAGAATGCTGCACAAAGCCTCATTTTATAAGGGCATGAAACCCATTCATTAGGGAGGAGCCCTTATGGCCTAATCACAATCACCTGGGATGGTTTTTAAAACCTATTGAGACCTGGCCTCCCCTACCCTAGACCAGTTAAATCAGAATTCCTGGGAAGGGGTCTTAAAGGTCCTACTTCTTAAAACTATCACACTGGCAACACCTGAATCTTGAAGGGACACAATCAAACCATAGCACTCCCTATCTAAATTGTTTGTCCAGCTCCACCTCCTTCTCTCCATCCCTACCAGACATACAGACTCTTCTCTGCTGCCCTGTACCGTCATGCCTTCTGCCCTCTGCCTAGAGTACCTACCCTGTCCCTTTTCTCCAGACCATCAAACACTCCCCTCCTCTTTAGTCTTTGCGGCCACTGCAGATGGCACCTTCTCTGTGAAGCCAGCTTTACCTTTTCCCCATGGCTGGAATTCATCTCCCCCTTAATCGGGTTCCCAGCTCCATGTTTATGCTCCTCTGGCACTTGACAGTCAGAACTGGCATTCTTGCAGACATTTATGAAAACAGCCTAGGGGTCAGGAACCCTGGGTGTTGGGGACAGTTCTGCCACTAGCTCTACATGTGCCTTTGAAAAGTCATGTTACTCTCTGGACCCCAGTTTTCTTGACCATAAAATGAAGGGTTAGGCTGGAGTTCACTGTGGTCCCATCCAGCCCGCTCTAAAGAGTGTTTTCTTCCCTTTACCTTTCTCAGCTGTGCCTAGCCCAGTCTCATGCACCTTCTGGGTGCTCAGAAACAAGTTTTAGTGGGGGCTGGACACCTACAGAATCTTCAAGGACACATAAGGCAGACGCACAAAGTAAGAGTCACATAGTGAGGAGGGTGTGCTGTAGTTTGGATTGGCGGGCGACGAGAGCACCCCCATTAATTCTGAGTGAGCAATTTCAACCTCTGGCTTTCAGAACTTTTCATGGAATCAGTTTTCTGAACTGTCTTCCTATTAAAAAAAAAAAAAAGCTGAATAATGAACCCCACAGCCAATTTGTTATTCCCCTCTGAGGTCATGTGCAGCCTAGAGAGAGGCAGTAAATCATTAGTCTACTGAAGGTCCATGGGAGCATGTGGTTGAGGATGAAGCTTTTTATAATGAGAAACTAAAAGTCTTTAAATAAGTTGAAAATGTAAAACTTGAGAGGCCAGAATCCCGCTTTAGGCAGGCGTCTCTTGCTCTTTGTACAGAATAGAGTCATTTTTCAAAAATACTCCTTTTTTATAACCTGCAGAGGGTGCTGTGAGGCATGAAGCCACTGAGACTGCTAGAATTCCCATTGCTACAGCTGTTCCATGAGTGACAGCTGTTATTTGTTGAATGCCTGTCACATGGGAAGCTCTTTATTATTAAGTGCTTTACATATGCTTGTTAATTAAACCCATTGTTACAGATGAAAAAACTGAGGCAGGGTGTGGGAGCTGTAAGTAACCTATCCAACGTCACATAGTGGGCAGGACTGGAGTCTGAGCCCAGGTCTGTGGGCCCCTGTCGCTCCTCTCTACCATTAGGCTTCAATGCCTTTCACAAACCTCATCCCTCCGACTTATTAAATGGGGCTTCTTGGTCCCAAAATCTGGAGGCCCATGGTTCAGAAATTTGGGGTGGCTTTTAAAACTCCTAAAGACCTGGACCCCTCCTAGGAATTCTGATTTAACTGGTCTAGGGTAGGGGAGGCCAGGTCTCAATGTTTTAAAACCATCCCAGGTGAATCTTACCTGGTTGAAAACTCCTGCGTGATAAGCGCTTTAGCCAAGGCACAGGCGGAGGGCTGTTGAGCACCACGGAGGGAACAGAGGAGACTCTGGGACCTGGCGAGGGACTGGGGCAGAAGGGCTGTTCCAGGAGCCGGCGTGGGTGAGCAGGACTGCGGGAGGATGTGGGCAGCCGAGGCAGCAGGCCTCCAAGCAGACGGGTCTGCGGGAGACACAGGGGAGGGGAGGCCTGGGCTACGGTGTTGGCTTGGGCAGTCAGTTGGGCCCGATGGGGGCCTGATGTGCTGCAGGCAATCCCCAGTCTGGCCTCATGATTTTCGGATCTCTGCTGCTCACCGGCTCCTCCTCCTGCCAGCTTCCCTGCCGCGCTGGGCATGGCTGTTCCTCAGCAAGGAGCTCTGAAGCCAGGTGGGATGGAAGTCCTGTGATTGGCCTCTCAGAGTCTTTGCGGAGCTTTTCCACATGGGGGTGGGGGTGACAGGGTGCTGCAGTGGCTGTGTTTGCAGGTCTTGTTGGCAGGCAATGTGCGGCATCATGGGGTCAGCTTCCCAAACGCCAGAGAGGGGTGGATTTGTTGGCTGCTTAGCCCCCAAAATATGCATGGAGATGTGCTGGGATGTTAAGAAAGTTTAAACCCTGAGGACAGAGCTAAGAGACACTTAGGAGAGAACAGAGCTAAGAGACACCTAGGAGAGAAAGAGTGTGGAGATTGTGAGTGAGCCTGTGTATGTGGTGTATACGTGTTTGTGAATGTGTGTGTGTGCAGAGGTGTGAATGTGTTTGTGGATGTGTGGGAGCTTGAGTACTTGTGTGAATTGTGTGTACACATGGGTGTGTGGAAGTGCGACAGCGTATGTGTGTGCAGCTGTGTATGAGTGTAGGTCTGTGTGAGTGTGTGTAGGTGAATGTGTGTGTGCTTGAGAGTGTGTATGAATGTGTTGTGTGTATGTGCATGAGCGTGAGTCTGTGTGTTTAGGTCTGTGTGAGTGTGAAGCTGGGAAGCTGTGCAAGTGTCTGGATGTGTGTGTCTGGATGAGTGTGACTGAAGCTGTGTGAGTGTGTCTGGGTATATGTATGTCCCTGAGTCTGCATGACTGAAGCTGTGCAAGTGTGAAGCTGTATGAGTGTGTGGGTGAGTCTGTGTGAGTGTGTGTGGGTGTGAGTCTGGGTGTGAAGCTGTGTGTGGATTTGAGTCTGAGTGTGAAGCTATATGAATGTATGGGTATGACTGGGTGAGTGTGTGGGTGTGTGTGGGTGAGTCTGTGTGTGTGAGTGTATGGGTGAGTCTGTGTAGGTGTGAGTCTGGGTTAGTCTGGGTGTCTGGATGAGTCTGTGTGTGTGTGGGTGTGTGTCTGGGTGAGTGTGGGTGTGGGTATGAGTCTGGGTGTGTGTGTGTGGGTGTCTGGATGAGTGTGTGGGTGTGGGTGAGTCTGTGTGGGTGTGTGGGGGGGGTGTGTGGGTGAGTGAAGCTGTGTGCGTGTCTGTGTCTAGGTGAGTCTAAGTGTGAAGCTCTGTGGGTGTGAAGCTGTCAGTGTGTCTGCATGTGAGTGTATGGGTGAGTCTGTGTGAGTGTGAAGCTGTGTGAGTGTGTGTAGGTGTGTCTGGGTGAATCTGAGTGAAGCTATGTGAATGTGTCTGCGTGTGAGTGTATGGGTGAGTCTGTGTGAATGTGAAGCTGCCCTGGGACATATGTGCATGCACATATGTCCCAGGGCAGTTTGCTCAGCCCCCAGAGATTCCAGGCGGCTATTTCTGCCTTGCTCTGACCAGATCCGGCTTCAGACTGTGATGCATTATGCTCTGAGTGGAGTTTCTCTAGCCTCCTTTTCCTCATTTCTCTTGAATAGCTGGGGAATGTCCGTGCCCCCCTCTCTGAGCTGTTGCTTAAAATCATGTAAGGCCTCAGCACATAGTAGGTGGTCAGTCCACAGTGGCTCTTCCACCCCTCATTCACTTCTGTCAGTAGGCGGTGGATGCTTGTCCTCCTGGCATGCGATTGAGCCTAGTGCCCCTTCAACAGCGTCAGAAGACCTGGGTTGGAGTCCACTTGGGCCCCTAACCCCATACAGGACCCCCAGCAACTCATGTCACCTCTCTGGATTATATAGTTACTTCCTCTCTGAGTTCCTCAGTTTCCTTATCTGTAACATGGGGGTACTCTTCCTGCCCTACACAGTTGTTTGTGTGGTCAAATAAGGTAGACTGCTGAGGGCTTCATGCTGGAGGCTGGATCCTGTTCCACTGCTACAGAGCCCGGAAACAGATTTTTCAATCCATCTCTGCTCTTGCTCTTCTTCCTCTCTGGTTCTCGTTGGTGCATTGTAGGAAATCTGGGTGCAGTTTCTCTATGATAACTGATCATTACATGCACCTGTGCTGCACGTGTGTCCATGCACCTGTTTCTATCCACAGACCTCCTACTTTCAGTTTTGATAAAACATAACTCAGGCTTACCATATTTGTTTGTACTTCTTTTATTCACTTCAGGAGACACTGGGCCTTGGTTTTCCAAATAGGGTTTTTGACCTGGGATTTCCTTTGCCATGCAAAGTAGGATAGAAAGTTGAGAAATCTTCCCAGAGAAGCAAAGTGTTGGGTTTTCCTGGGAGGTGCATGGTAGGACACACATGGGATTAGCTTGGAAGTCCTGAAAGGGCTTTGTCTCACCCAAACGATAAAATATATGCATGAGTTGTAGTTGCTGTTCCCAAAATTACATTCACTGGTCCTGTGCTCTGATATCTACACCCATTCATTTACTTGAGACCCCTTGTGACAGGCTGTCCCCACCTTTAACAAGCCAGAACATTTGGACACAGAATGCTTCCATCAGACGGATTGGAAGGCTGGGGCGGGGTGGGAAGAAATGGGTTTCCTGGTGACTTGTTCTGGGCAGGAACAGAACCTCTCAAGGGTTTGTTTCCTTTTCCTTGCAAGAAAATGCAAACCACTGGTCTCTGCATATCCCTCCAGACATTCATGGGAGAAACCAGGCTAATGTTTATAGAAGCCTATTGGGAGTGGCTGCCTTCAGGATGGAGAGAAAGCTCATTACCTCGAGCTGCTAAAATTTAATCCAAAGAAAATATACTATTCCCTTAGAAAATGGGTTGGGTACATGTGAACTGTGTTAACTTTAAAATCAACAAATCAGTTATCAAAATACTAATTTTCTAAGCAGTATGCGACCAGGGAAATGAACACATTGTGTAATTTGATGTGTGTCTGTAAGTCTTAGAACCCGCATCTATGTTTATCAACAAAGGGCTTCACCTTCTCTAATGAAGTTTTGTTAAATGTTTGGTTTGGTATTTTTAATTTTACCATCCAAGATCTGTTAATGTAGTGTTTTTGTTCAATTTCAAGGTAAAGTTTATTATTGTTTGGTGCTTACAAAATAACAAATGCTCATTGTAAGAATTTTAGAAAAGATGGGAAATAAAAAAAAACCTATAAAAATAACAGTGGTTGAACAGAAAAGGGCATGAGGAAACTTTCTGGGGCAATGGGAACATTCTAGTTCTTTATAGGGTCTTCGGTTTCTACACAGGCATACATAATTGTTGAAACATCAGCCAGTGCACCCTTAAGATTTGTGAACTTCATTGTACGTACATTTTACATTAAAATCTGTGAACAGTTTTTGAATTGGGTTAATGATATGTATGATGAAGTATTTGGAAGAAGTGTACAGATGTCTGCAATTTACTCTGAAGTGAATCAAAAAAATAAGAAAGCTTGATGATGAATATATGGATAGATATGTAATAAAGCAAATAAAGTAAAATATTAATGGAGAATCCAGATCTTGGGTATATTAGTGTTCATTATAAAATTCTTTCAACTTTGCTGTATATTTGAAAACTTACATAATAAAGTATTAGGGAAGAGAGATTACTAATTCAGAAAAAAATCCATATTTACAATCCGAACTTACCACTATTAGCATCTTAGTGCACATTATTTTCTTTCATTTTTGTTTTCAAGAATGCATAATTTTATACCATTATGATCTTATACAGATTTATTTTCATATTTTTTTCACTCAATATTATATCATAGTTTTGTTATGAAAAGTCTTCATTATGTAATTTCTAAATTGAGGTATTATTTATGTACAGTAAAACTTACACTTTCTAGTTTAGAGTCCTGTGAGTTTTGACAAATGCCTACAGTCATGTAACCACCACCACAACCAGGATGTAGAACAATGATATCATTTAGGAAAACTTCTCTGTGCCCCTTTGAGGTCAACCCTCCTCCTCACATCCAGGTCTTGGCAACCACTGATCTGTCTTCCAGAATGTCATTAAGATGGAATCATGCAGTGGAGGATGTACCTTCTGACTCTGGCTTCTTCCACCCACACACGATACATTCGAGATTCATCCACGTCCTTGCATGTACTAGTGGTTTGTTCTTTTTTGCTGATGCGTAGTAGTCCATTGTAAGAATGTACATTAATGTAGTTTCAATGTTTGTAAAAATTCATGTTATATCATAACATGTTTATGTATTCTCCTATTTGGATATTTAAGATGTTTTGCTTTTTCATTATTACAAGTGCCATCATAGTGAACACCTTTAAGCATAATTGTTATCAATCATTAAGGTAGATTCCCAGGAAGGGAATTACTAAATCGAATGTTATGAATATTTTTACTGTCCTTATTACATTTTTAATCATTAAAATGTTTTTCTCTGTATTTCTTTATATGGTTTATAAGGAGCTTGACTTCAAACTCCACTGGTGTTTATAATCCTCTTTTCCTCCTCTCTTTCTCAATATTGCCACCACAGAACTGACCTGAAGTTTCAGTGTAGTCAGAGAGCTCTTCAAGTAATAAATCATGGAGACCAGTCAGGAAACTTCCCTCTTCTTGGTGAAGATCTTGGAGGAACTGGACAGCAAGCAAAATACCGTTTCTTATCAGGACCTGTGCAAATCTCTCTGTGCCCGGTTCGACCTGTCGCAGCTTGCCAAACTGAGAAGTGTGCTCTTCTACACAGCTTGTCTCGATCCCAATTTTCCAGCCACGCTATTCAAAGACAAGATGAAATGCACTGTGAATAACCAGCAATCAAAGAAAATCATGGTGGCAGCAGATATTGTGACGATATTCAACCTGATCCAAATGAATGGCGGGGCTGCCAAGGAGAAGCTGCCCACGGGCCGCCAGAAGGTACGCAAGAAGGAGGCATCCTTTGAATCATGTAGGTCGGACACAGAGATCTGCAATGCAGCTGAGTGTGAGCCCCTGAACTGTGAGCTGAGTGAGAGGTCTTTCAGCCGGGGCTACCCCATCAGGCAGTCGTCCAAGTGCCGGAAGATGGACTGCAAGGACTGCCCACAGTTTGTCCCTGCCTCTGAGCCTAACTTCCTGTTGGGAGTTAGCAAAGAGGTGAAAAACCGCGCCGCTTCCCTGGACAGGTTGCAGGCCCTGGCTCCGTACTCTGTGACCAGCCCTCAGCCCTGTGAGATGCAGAGGACCTACTTCCCCATGAACATCGAAAACGAGTCCATTTCAGACCAGGACTCCCTGCCCATCAATCAGAGCATCAAGGAGACCTTCATTTCCAATGAGGAGCCATTTGTGGTCCAGTCCTGTGTCCAGAAAAGGAATATCTTCAAAGAGGATTTTCACAATTTGATGGCAGTGTCCCCCAGTTTGGTTGGCCCCATCAGCAAAGCAGAGAATGAGCACAGGGAACCCCAGAGTCGAAAGGAACCCCACAAGCCACCCTTCTTCAACCACAGCTTTGAAATGCCCTATAACAGCCAGTACCTGAATCCAGTGTATTCCCCGGTTCCTGACAAAAGGCGAGCAAAGCACGAAAGCTTAGATGACCTTCAAGCCTCTACATATTTTGGGCCCACTCCCGTGATGGGAACCCAAGAAGCCAGGCGCTGTCTAGGGAAGCCCAACAAGCAGACTCCCTGGCCAGCCAAAAGCTGGAGCCTAAACACAGAGGAAGTTCCTGACTTTGAACGGTCCTTTTTCAATAGAAATCCCTCCGAGGAGAAGCTACACTATCCAAATGCCAGTAGCCAGACCCCCAATTTCCCAGCCCCAGAAAGGCGCCCAACTTACCTTGTGCCAAAGGATCAACAGCCAATTCTCCCCATTGCTTATGCGGCAAAACAAAATGGGCTCAAATCTAAAGAGATCTCATCCCCTGTTGACCTGGAGAAGCATGAACCAGTCAAAAAGTTTAAAGACAAGAGCATTAACTGCACCAGTGGGCAGCTCAGCTCAGACACCAGTAGCGTGGGCACCCAGACTGAGCACGTGCTGGAGCCCAAGAAATGCAGAGACCTGTGCACCTCTGGTCAGGGCAAGTACAGTGACAGGCACACCATGAAGCACTCAGACGATGACTCAGAAATTGTCAGCGACGACATCAGTGACATTTTCCGATTTCTTGATGACATGAGCATCAGTGGCTCCACGGGAGTGATACAGTCGTCCTGCTACAACAGCACAGGATCCTTGTCTCAGCTCCATAAGTCAGACTGCGACAGTTCCCCTGAGCACAACTTAACCAAAATTGCCAATGGGGTCCCCAACAGCAAGGGAGACAAGGGCAACCGGCCTGAAAACACCCACCACTCGGAAGAAGAGCTGAAGACCAGTGTGTGCAAACTGGTGCTCAGGATTGGCGAAATTGAACGGAAGCTGGAATCCCTGTCGGGTGTCCGTGATGAAATCTCCCAGGTCTTGGGCAAACTAAATAAATTGGACCAGAAAATGCAACAGCCTGAGAAGGTGAGTGTGCAGATAGATCTGAACTCCTTGACAAGCGAGGGTCCGTCTGATGACAGTGCCTCTCCCCGGATGTTCCACGCACACAGTGGCTCCCACGGACCCAAACTAGAGAACAACCCTGACTGGTGCTGCTCTGATGCTAGCGGGAGCAACAGTGAAAGCCTGCGGGTCAAGGCCTTAAAAAAAAGCCTCTTCACCAGGCCATCCTCTAGGTCCCTAACAGAGGAGAACAGTGCCACAGAGTCCAAAATTGCCAGCATCTCCAACTCGCCCAGAGACTGGCGCACCATCACTTATACCAACCGTGTGGGCCTCAATGAGGAGGAGATAAAAGACACAGGCCCAGGAGATAATAAAGACTGGCATCGGAAATCTAAAGAGGTAATTTAAATTTAAGTTCACATAATCGGGCACCAGCTTCATCATAGCCCTGGTGTATTTCAAAGCCTTGAACATGGCGTTAAACAGGCAAGAGGCCTGGCCTCTGTGTGCCAGTCATCCTTCCAGGTTTGGCAGGGTTTTCACATTGGAATAGAGAGGACAACATAGGCAGGTCGTGTGTTCCACCAGGTTGTCCATCAGCTAGGAGGAGCACATGCTGCGATATTGCTGACAGCAGAACGTAGGGTTGGGATTCATTAGACAGGTGGTGTGAGAACAGATTTTCATAGAATGGGGAACGTATCAGAGCAGGCAAGCATCACCAAGGATATCTTCCTGTCCTTTCTGAAATAGGATGCAGGCCAGGTACACGAGGGAAAATACTGAAAAGGTGCTGGCTGATACATCTTTTTCATGGACTTCATTGTATGTGTGATGTTCCTTTTTAAGTATGAGGTTTTTTTCATTATAAAATAAATTGATGATTAGGAAGTAAAGAAGATAAATAGGATCATGAGGTCAGGAGTTTGAGACCAGCCTGGCCAATATGTTGAAACCCCATCTCTACTAAAAATGTAAAAAAAATTAGCCAGGTGTGGTAACACAAGCCTGTAGTCCCAGCTACTTGGGAGGCTGAGGCAGGAGAATTGCTTGAACCCAGGAGGCAGAGGTTGCAGTGAGCTGAGATCATGCACTGCACTCCAGCCTGGGTAACAGAGCAAGACTGTCTCAAGAAAAAAAAAGATAAGAAAGTCATTCATAGTTCCACCACACAAAGACGGCAACTCTTAATCTGGTGTCTTTCCTTTCCTTTTTAGTTTTTTTCTCTACACTGTTGTTCGTTGGAGGCTCTTTCACGTAAGCTCTGTGCTTTTGCATGTTTATAGCAGACTTCACTTCCTCAGTCCTAGAATCATTGTGCACACATACACTTGAATCCTTTCTTTCTCTCACCCCCTGCAGTAAGGGTGGTTTGTTTCTATGGGACCTGTGGCCCATCCTGTTCATTCTAACTGGGTTACAGTGACCCCTTTCTGGCCAAGGTGATGCAACTTCAGTTTGTTGCTTGTCTCCATTCCATGTCCTGCTTCTAAAAGGTCAGTGGACAGAGAAGGCCCTACTCCTGAGGTCTCCAAGGTCTGAGTTGTCAGAGAGTGACAGTGGTGTGGGCTACAGACATTCAAAGCCAGGGAGGAGGCCGAGCTCCTCAAATGGTGCTGAGAAGGAAAAGCTTGTAAAACTGGGTTTTAAGGAAATTTTCAGGGTCCAAAGAGGGGAGGGAGTATTTAAAATCCCCCTGATTTTAAATAAACCTCTAGTGTCTGCTGGTTACTGCTGTGTGCTTCTGGAGCGGCTTACTGCATGTGGTGTTGGAGAGGATCCAGAGTTTGATATATGCTGCCATGCTGGGCACAAGATGCCCAGATCCAGTCCTCCCCTTGGGTTCTATTGTCACTATCTCTTAGCTGCCAGGGTCTGGCCAGGTTTCTGGTGCTTTGGGTTTCAGATATCATTGAACAGTGGCCATTTAGAGAACTCAAATGGTTAGGTGCTTCTGTAGAAATATTAGGTTAAACTGAACCAGCCATGCCTCCCACCTATCAAATGTCAAAGCTTCACAAAGCCAGCAGGAATGAGCAGACACAAGCTTCAGTCAGATCCGCTCGATAGGTCTAACACAAAGTTGCTAACACTGGGGATGCATTCTCTTTATTTTGTCCCCTTCTGCAACCTCATTTCTCCTTCCTGGCTTGTGACTCTCACCACCTTGGGGATGGTGATTCCCATGGTAGTGACCAGACCCGGCCCACCTTTGGAGCTTTGGTTGCATATGTCAAACTGCTGAAGGCCAGTTTCCCCTAAATGTCTTGCCTACATGTCAAAATCTACAGTTCCCAAAGCAGGCTTTTCTGTTCCTTTAAAAACAGTGTTCCCTCTCACTATTTCCATTCTGGGAGGGGTGAGGATGGAGTCAGCATTCTAGCAATCCTCCAAACTGAAGAAGCCCCTCTGGTCCCTCCTCTTGGGCTCACTTTGTCCAGCGTAGCTACCAGACCCTATGGATTTGCCTTCTGTCGTGTCTTTTGCAACTCTGCCTTCTTTTCCATTTACACCTCTACGTTGAGTCAAGGCTCTTTCCCTACCGGGGATCCTTGGGCACATTCTCACCTTCCATCTCATCTCATGGGCCACTGCTGCATTCGCTTTCCTAAAATGCCACTCTCTGTGGTTGCGCAGGGCCCCCTATTCCCCACTCTTCTCTGACTCTCCTTTGCCTCTGCAAAGAGTTGCAAACGTCTTAGCCAGGCCTTCACAACCCTGTGAATGTACCTTTCCTCAACTAGAAGGCTCTGTTATACCTTGACTGGACCCTGCTCTACCTTGATGAGTCTTCCTGTTTTGCCTCAAAATAGCCATGCTCATTCATTTGGTCACCCATTCAGTAAACACTAATTGAGCACCTATGACGGCCAGGCCCTATTTCACTGTCAAACTTTTCTTTATGTGAATCCTCCACCAAGACTCTCTGGTCCACCTCCCCTGTACTGATCTAAGTCCTATGCTCCCGTCAAGGCCCCTTACTTCATAAGTCTCTGTAAGCTTTCCTAGGGCTTATTGCTGGTCTCCAGCCCTTAATCCCGTTTGTTCAGACATAGTGGATGGAAACTTTTATTGAAAATACGTATTATGTATATATATTGACTGCCCAGTGAGAACACAAACTCAGTGATACGAACAGGCATGGGCAGCAATGAAACTTTCCATCTTAGAAGTGAAAACAGTTTCAAATCCTGGCTCTGCCACTTACCAGCTGTCTGACATTGGGTCAGTCTCTTAACCTGAGTTTCCACATCCATACTAGGGATAATAGCTACAACCTCAGAATTTTAATGAGAAGATGAAATGAAGACAATGCATGTTTAGCACTGAGCAGAGTGGTGGACACATAGCCCTTGGTTAATTGCAATTATGCCTGCAGTGGCTACCGTCGTAGTTATTATCACCATCTCCCCTTCCTCCCAGCTTGGTGCAGACTCTGCATGCAATAGGAGCTCTCTGAGTGTTGGGCGGTGGTGATGAGCAAAAACTGGTGAAGTCTCTTAGAAGATACTTGGCTTTGATGAGTTAGAAAATAAGAGGGAACCTCATTTTCTTGTGTGGGTTTATCCTGTGTTCTCTGTGTCAGTGTCAGCAGTCTTGATGGTCTAGAATAGCCAAATGTTATGCTCTATTTGGGTAAGAGCCAATGGGTTGGGTTTGCTGGTAGGTGGAGATGTGTTTCCAGTCCCCATGCAGGTGTAGGACCCACACACTCACACATGTACACACATACACCACGTGTGCTTCCAACCCCTATGCAAGCATCTGATCCACGTACACACATACAAGTGTGCTTCCAGCCCCTATGCAAGCATATGATCCACACACTCACACACACTCCAGGTGTGCTTCCAGCCCCTATGCAAGTGTATAGGTCACACACATACACGTGTGCCCACGTTCTTGCACATCAACTCTCATTGCATCACACCTAAACATTCTCCTTCTCTTCCTTCTGTACACACACTTTGACTCACATTCTTCTTTTTTCCTTTTTCTCTTGCTATTACTGAGATACACAACTTCTTTGCTCTCTGTTCCATACACATGACTTCATATCGCCTCTAACCCTCTGATGAATATTCATGGAGTGTCTTCTACTTGGTGGTATTACGTTGCTGGAGAAGGGGATTAAAAGGTGAACAAAATGATCCCTTGCCTTTAAGGAACTCATAGTTTAGCAGAGGAGCCAGATGGGCAAACAGGCAGTTATAGTTCAAAGGCGCAAATGCTGGCTGAAGGGTCTGAACACAGTTCTAAGAGGTCACATAATGAGCACTAACCCAGTCTTATAACAGGTATACTGAGAGCAGAAACCCTTGGCTTGCATTTCAAGGACTGAGAATATTAATTATTGCCACCTGTTTTAGGCACCTTCCTACCTCCACACTGCTGCCCAGACTTCTTTCTTATCCTGAAGGCCATATCCCCTCTGACCAGGGGCCCATCTGCTGCCTGGGAAAATCACTAGAGGCTCCCAACATGTGCTTTCTGACTCAGCTTCTTCCCTCCAAAGAAGCAGTGTAGCATCAGGGTTTTCAGCGAGTTCCTTGAGGAAAGGACCCGTATCTTTTACTCATCTGTACCCCGTGCAAAATGGTGAAAGAAAGAGGGGGCATTAATATCAGTAGTTAAACAACGACTCTAAAGCCAGATGATCAGGTTTAAATCCTAGCTCCACCCCTTACTAGCTGTGTGCCTCGGGGCAAGTTACTGAGTCTGGGCTCCATTTTCCTACCTGTACAATGGGGATTCACAATGGTAGTGATGGCCTAAAGATTACATTAAATAACCTTTTTCTGGCACAGAAATGTTAGTTTATATTAGTAACATTATGATCATAAGCTTTTCCTAGAGAATTTCCCTCAATATGGTTATGCTTTCATACTTTTGATTTGGCTGGAAGTAACTGCACTTTGCTACCTGAATGTCTACAGGAAAGCTGCTGGCTGCTCAATTGCACTGTGAAATCCAAGGGCAACTGTGCCACTTGTCTGGACTTCTTTGTGCCCCTCTGCAGGCAGACAGGCAGTACGACATTCCCCCACAGCACCGACTGCCCAAGCAGCCCAAAGATGGCTTCCTGGTGGAGCAGGTGTTCAGCCCTCACCCCTACCCTGCCTCCCTCAAGGCCCACATGAAGAGCAACCCCCTGTACACAGACATGCGGCTGACCGAGTTGGCCGAGGTGAAGCGGGGCCAACCTTCTTGGACCATTGAGGAGTATGCACGGAATGCGGGCGACAAGGGCAAGCTGACAGCCCTGGACCTGCAGGTGAGCCTCTCACTGTCCCTGGGTGGGGGAAGCCCAGCTGTGCCCTGGCAAATGCCCTGGAATGGATCACGGACGGCTTAGACCGGCCAGCCCACTTCCACACCCTTCAACTCCCTGGGCCCCCAACATGGAATTCAGAACTTTAATAAATCATAGAGCAGAAGAGACTTTTAACAAGGGGATCGTTGTTTTGCTTATTTGTAAACATTTAGCAGTAGGAATGCTTGATTGATTTATGTATTTTTTATCGGCCATCTGATTTGCTAACAATGCATTTACGACTCTGTACCAAGTGCAGATTCTAATATTTGCTCACAAGACCTGAGCCAAACTGTTTAATGAAATACAAGCTGATTTCTCCTTCCATATGTAGCACGTGGGATAAGCATATTTGTGGGAGCCAAGCTATGGATTATGTTTCCATACGGAGCAGCCCCAGGTAAGAGCCATCCCCGGAAGCTCTGTGAATGCAGTTGTGGCTGGAGGGCATGTTTTTTGTTCACCCACAAGCAGGGCTGGGTTTTGGCCACACTTTTATTTTGGTGGGCAGCTCTGCCTGGTTCCATTCACACTGGGTTGATCTGTGTCTCCAGATCACCACAGGAGCAAAGGAAGCACCCTGTCCCCCTACCTGTGCACTTAGCTTTGTAGGCAGTGAGGCCATAGCACCAGGAGTGCCCGTTCCGTCCAGGCTCTGGAATGACCATGCACTTGAAGCACAGTTGGTGAGAGCTGCCTGTGGAGATCGGGTATGGCAAGGCTTCCCTGAAATGGCCTTGCTCTAAAAGAGGGCTGTGGGAGGTACAGTGTGGTGGAGAGAAGAGACTGCCTTCTGGTAGCACTGGGTTTTCATCCAGGACTCTTTCGCTGTGTGACCTGAAGCATTCACTCCATCTGATTGAGGTTCAGTCCCTCCACCTGTTAAATGGACATAATAATATCAAGCTTGTGAGTCATTGTAAGAATTAATATATTTAAAGTACCTGGCATCAAGTAGGCACTGAAAAAGAAGGCCCTTGGGGGCTGGTCAATGATGCTGAAATCAATCAACTTTGCATGGTGCTTTTTACAGTCTCTCAGTTCCAGGCACAGTGGCCTGTGAGGCCGGAATTGCTATGACCATCTTCAGTTTACAAATGAGGAAATCGAGGCCCCAGGAAGCTCGATAATTTGCCCCAGGTCAGACAAGTCTAAATTCATACTGGACCATCTGGCAATAAGTCTCATGGTCTTTCTCTTCTGCAATTTTCTTGCCATTTCATTTTTCTCTTGTTAAGGGTTTAGTGGAGTTTTATGTTACAAAAGAAAATGATTGCAATGACATTTCTTTATCTTGGGCCTTAAATGACAGCAATTATGGGAAGGGGCAGCTCTGTCCAGACCCTGACAGTGAGGGTTGTGGGGGCATCAGTAGCAACCCTAAGCCCTTCCTCACCCCCTTACCTCATGCATGTTACATTCCCACTTGGACTGCATACCCCTTGATCCTTCAGGTCAATCCCTCTTCTGTCAACTTCCTGCGGGCAAGGAGGCTAGACAGGGATTTGATTCTCCCTCCGGTGGAATATTTCATGATTCTCCCTCCGGTGGAATATTTCATCAGTATCACTGGATGACCTTGAAAGAGTTAGATTAATTAAGTGAGCCATAGGCTGAGAAACATCTTTGCAAAGTTTGCAGGGAGGGAGCTGGAAGATTTACCCCCTACAGATATGTGAGCTTTTACTGCACCAGTGTTTATAAGCATAAAGATAAAATTATAAAAATTAAAAATAGATATTGGGGTTACAGAGCTTTAGGTGACATTACTTAAAAATCCAAAGGAGAGAGTATCCAGTTGCATAAAATATGAGGAAGTAGAGAGTTCAATAGCCGTGTGAGGGTGTTTACAGCAAAAAAGAGCCAACCTTGAGAGCTTGGTGAAGGCAGTAAGCACAACCTTTTTTCTTTTCATCTCTTTGCAGACTCGAGTACAGTCTTAGGGCAGTGTTGGTGTCTGGACAATCTTCCCGGAGTTCCTTTGTGTTGAGATATACATTCACCATCAGTGGTGCCCACTTGAGGGCGTAGGCAAAGGTGCAGACCCCGTTCTTCTTTCCAGTGTTTGCCAGGGCTAATTAATAACTGCATACACTCACCTGTGTCCCTTGAAACCTCAGTATTACCTCTTTTCTACTTGGTGCGATTACAGCTTACAGTTATTGAAAAAACTAATTAAAAATAGTTTATTTCACACACTGAATCCCAGCCCGTAATAGTGTATATAGCTATGAAAGAAAGCCAATTTCCTTCTGTCTGAGCCGGAGGGAATAAAGTACAAAATCTGATGTGTCATTTAGACACTGTTTGGCTTCTGGGCCAGCCCTAGGATGACTGAGAAGAAGAGCAGGTTGTTCTACCCATAGTGTGCTGAGCCTGACTTCCAGGTGCCAGGGTAGGGAGGGCTGCTGGTCTGACCCCCACCAGCACCCAGCCTTTAGGGGTGCCTCAGCCACTTCTGCAGACCAGTCTTCCAGCAAAATATGCCCTTTAGTGCCTATTAAACTGCTGAAGGGTGTTCATGTTTTCATGCCAAGGAGAGCAGACTGGCCCCAAGGGCCTGTGGCAAGCAGAGCTTTGGTGGCTCAAGCAGGAGGAAGAGGCGGTCCAACAGTCAGGGTTCAGCAGCAGTGGAACTGCTCTGGGAAGCTCAGGGAAGAGGCTTCTGGGGCTCTAGCAGAGGATGCAGGAGTTTCTTGCAAAGGCTGAAGGGTTGGACAGAGCACTCTGCACAATAGGGACTTTTCCCCACATTGAGAGTGTCTTGGTTTCTATTTTGGGTGCCCTGAGTGTCCAGGACCACCTCCCACCCTTCCATGTAACTTGAGAAATTAAACAGCAGTCTCTAAACATTATGCCTCGGCGAGGGAAGGGACCAGGAAGATTTTCTGTGATGCCTAGATCCCCTTCTCTTTCCATTGTAGTGTCGCATAGCATGTTCTAGAACGGGGGCTGGCAAACTTTCTCTGTAAAGGACCAGATAGTAAATCCTTTAGGCCTTGTGGGCCTTATAATCTCCCATTGTACAATCTGCCATTGTAGTGTGAAAGCAGCTATAGACAATTTGGAAACAAATAGGAGTGGCTGTGTTCCCATAAATCTTTATTTTTGGACACTGAGATTTGCATTTCATATAATTTTCATATGTCATAAAATATTCTTTTGATTTTTTTTCAACCATTTAAAAATGGAAAAAAATCACTAAAAATCACTCGTAGTTCAAGGGTTGTACAAAGACAGGTGGCAGGTCAGATACGGCCTGCAGGCCATAGTGTGTCTACCCCTGTGCTAGACAACTATGAGCAACAGGTAGATAATAAAGCCTGAGGGGTGCAGGGCCTGCGGGTTGTCAGTGTCCTGGCAGCAGGCAGGTGACATTCTCAAAGGGGTAGCTAAGGAGGGGACTCTTTACAATAGCTGGTGAAGCACCCAGAGACCAGCACCAGTAGGAAGCTGTTGCCACCCTTGGATCTGAAGGGCCAAGGGAAAGGGGCTGTTTCTGAAACCCACTGAGACCCACAGCTCTGAGAGCAGGTGTCCAATAGGAGCTGGGCCACTGCCAAACTACAGCCCAGCCAGGAGGGAGCTGGGGGAATAAATACCTCAATCTCTCTTTCTTCTTGTCTTCATTGGCTGAACCCCCATGGGAGCTTGAGGGCAGGGGAGCCCCCATGACGTGTCCATGTACGTTATATTCCTAGGGGCACAGAGCAAGATGAAAAAAGAGAATGAATCTAGAAGGTCAGGCAGAGAATTACTAGCATGCATTAGAATCATCACTGTTCCATCAATAAATGGTACAACTGAGTTTTTTAAAACTTTGAAAGGTTTGTTTTTTGAGCCTGTGTTTGTATATGTGTATGAATAATTTTTAATGTGCCCATGTTTATGAGCATTAAACAATCTAAGAAAATCTTAAAAATGGATATTTTGTTTGCATTTCAAAGACTTAAATGACCTCACTTCGAATTGCAATGTGCTGTTGCTTTTATGTGACACTCATATTATTAAATGCTTGCCATAAAATGAGAACACTGCCTTTCTTCATGGAAATAGATTATAACTGTCAACGTGGAATAGGATTCACGGAAAATACAAGTTAAATATGGTATTTCTCCTGATGACAGTTGATTAACCTCAGGGAGATCAGCAGACAAATGTCAGTGGGGGCTCTCTCTTTGGGGAAGCTGCACCGAGTCTGAAACTATTGCCAAGGCAGGTCTAGGGTGGGAACAGTCTGCCATGGGGTTGGTAGACCTTGACTTTGAGCAGTGGCATGACCTGCTCAGATAAATGGCTGAATTTGAAATAGTCTATGTTTTGTTTAAACTGCTCATCTTGGAGGTTCCTTTGATTTTTCAGTAGAAGCTTTTCTGAGAAAGAAGAACTGACTCAGAGTGCTATGATGGTCTTGTTTCAAGCAGATCTGTTCTTAGAGCCTGTTGGAAGAAAGCATTTTTCAGTGACTTTCCTTGTTTCCTTTGCAGTGAGGCCAGCCCCTCCTTGGTTGCATGCCCTTGAAGTTTGGAGTCTTGCTCGTCTCAGCCCCATTTTGCTTGCTTACAGATAAAAGACCCTTGGGTTTCTCTGTGTCAAAACCAACATGATATTTTTAGTGAGGGAGGGGCCTATGCAATCTGTGATATGTGGGATGAGCCTGTAGTAGCCTGCCTCAGGCATGGGGCTGGTGGGGCAGTGTTATGCAATACAGTCTCTAACTCCCAGCTGCAGACAACTTAAGTGCTTCAGGAGTGATGACTGTCGGGACGTCTTTGACCTGATTTCAAGTATTCACTGTATTTCTAACATCTTCTCTTCGCTTTTAGACGCAAGAATCTTTAAACCCAAATAATTTAGAGTACTGGATGGAAGACATTTATACTCCAGGATACGATTCATTACTAAAACGTAAAGAAGCCGAATTCAGACGAGCCAAGGTCTGCAAGATAGCTGCTCTGATCGCTGCTGCGGCATGCACCGTCATCCTCGTTATTGTCGTGCCCATCTGCACAATGAAATCATGAGCTAAGAATGCAACCTTACGTACAGCTTATGACTACCAATGTCGTCGTCTGTATCTTAGAATCTTGCAGCAGTGAGGCAACAATTTGTTGAAATGGAGATGAAATCATGGAGGCATTTCTACAAATGTTGAATGAAGGTGGTTTTCAGAAAGTATACATTCTAGTGAGAAATCTACCTACCTATTAGCTTTGACTCAATTACACTCTGACGCATTTTTAGAAGTGCAATATCTTTTCCTACCAAAAGAACATCATGGACTATCAATAAATACAAATTGAATATTCCAAGCCAAAAAAGGAAGATTAATTGGGTTCTTTCCATTTTGATGATGTTTCATGGTGGGGAATAAGTTATACAGAAGATATTTAATACACGCCTCTTTAGAAGAAACTAAGGGAAATAGCAACATAAGAAGAAAAGAGGTGGCTTCTCTTTTCCATAATGTTCTTAGACCATTGCTGGTGAAGTAACAGGGTGTGTGTCCCTAAAGGGTATTACTTCTCTGTCGACTTTTATCAAGGGCTACTGACGTTTCATTCTTGCCCTTTTGTCATCAACACGACAGAGTGTCTGCATCACTGCAGATCTTCATGGAAACATTCTGGACCTTCTTCCTTGCACTTGGAGTGAGAAGGAGCTGGACTACCAAGTCAGGCGTGGAATGAAGTATGCTCAGACTGCATGATGGGCCAAGGTATTCAGGCCAGGAGACCTCGTCCTCAATCCAAAGTGTAGGGGAGCTGCCTGCTAACGATGTAAGGTCAGTATTTGAAAATCATGGCCACTCCAAAGGATCTCCTGTTCTTGCTTTGGTGTGTGGCTCCATTCCTTGATTTTCTATCTCCTGGTGGTACCAGATGCTCTGCCTCTCATACATGAGTTGAAGAGTTTGGAACTTGTCCTTGTGCCTTGAAGAGTAGAGACAATGGCTAAACGTTGACATTCTATCTGTAAACCATGGTTTTCACGCACCACTAATATCTGCCATTTTCAATGGCTTTAAAAAGATTTTGAAAGCTTGCTCAATAATGTTCAATAATATAATAATAATAAAGGCACTGAGGTCTTCTCAGTTACCCCAACACCTACTCCAGAGTTTTGAATACTTGTCAGCAGTGCAAAAAATATTATCTGTTTAACCACTTATCTATATGTCTATCTATCTATCTATATGTCTATCTATCTATCTAAATACTTGATTTTTATTTATTGTCTTCTCTGTTAAATAACTTGAGAGCAAGGTTTCTTTCGTGTAAAAGAAGCTGTTGTAATTTCATCCAAATTTGATCTGTTTCCACCTGCTGAATGGTGCTCTGACAATAATGGAACAGAAAGAATCCTTATCAGCATCTGATTCCAATGTCTTGTTACAGGTCAAAGAAAAAAGGATTGACAGAAACTAGCTACCTTATATATATTTTTTGATAATAAGGTGGGATATAAATAGATTTTGGTAGCAAGTGTAATCACTCCGTATGATATAATAAATTTCTAAAAGATTTGAGAGCATCTCAATTTTTAAAGCAATAGGAGTCTAGCATCCATTCTGAAAAATCGCAAATAATGCTTAGCTTGCTGTGTCTGATTCTGTTGTTCACCATTAAGGGGTAGACAGTTAATTTTATTATGTTAACAAGTGAGGGATGAATGTTTTCATCTGTGGTGAACCTTTATTTTTAGAAGTCTTCATGTTATCTATTTGTATTATCATGTTTATGTATGGATTTTCAATTTCAGTAACCGAAAACTTAAGCCTTAGTATGAAAAACTGAGGATTTATAATTGAAAATGAAAAAAATATGTTACTCTCTATCATCAGAATTATAGTCTTTGGTGCTCTGTTTTCAATGGGGCATATTACATAAGGTTGTTTCTTTCACCCCAAAGAGACTACTAGGTTACCACTCTGGGCATTGCCTTTCCACCTAACCCCTCAACCAGTAAGACTCTACACCATATTGTAGCCCCACTATTCTCCTCTTTATCACAGATGAAGTGCCAGAGCATCAGAGATAGGTAGCTCCCAACCTCTTGCTCTGGATTTGCAGAAGAGGGGGAGATGTACTTACCCAGGATAAGAAAAATCTAGTCAAATCCACCCCAAATCTTCCATTTAACAGGTAGGACCATCGAGGCTGGACCAAACCACTTTTTCCACTGCCCTTGGTGAATCTATTCCTAGTGGACCCCATTTGGGCATGTGCCTAGCTACCTTGGGAAGGCATGACTATAAGTCACACCTCAGGCTTGGAAATGAAAGGATTCTATAGAATATTCTATACTTTCCATAGCTGGAGAGGTAGTCAGAAATTCAGTCTTGCTCTGAGTCCACAGTAGCTTTAAAATTCAACTCAACATTGTTGTCACGTAACGGAAACATCTAGACCTGGTAATAATCCAGGAAATTGCAAAATGGAGGCCAAAAGTAAGGTGGGTTTCTCTGGAAAGGGGTCATCCTCAGTCTGATAATACCAAGTCTGACGCTGAGGTTATGAATCATTACCATGGCTTGGAGCTATTGGATGCTTGGGGTCTTGGGATAGATAGAAGGTGAGGTTCACAGTTGGAGCTTTTCTTGCCATTGACCCCAAGCTCACCCCAGCCTTCCTTCCCTGACCCTGAGACTCACCCTATCTATCTCCCCTATTCCCTCAGTTTGCAGAATGAGCAAGATAGAGTCTGGCTAGGAGGGAAACATCTATCCATCTCTCTAATCTTTGCCCATCACCTCCTGTTGCAATGAGTTCCCGCAGGTGACATACGGACTGGCCTCTCTACTGTACTGGGTGCCATCTCCCACCATACTCTGGCATTTTTATGTAAAGGATAATTTCTTGTACCTGAGTCTAAAATTACAACGTTATCAAAATTCACTTCGTTTTTCCTGCATTTTAAAAGTAATAAAATATTATTTGAGATTATTTTGAAATTAAATATCCTTAACCAATGATTAAATTCATAATCATTTCATCTTCTTTCATAATCATTTCATCTTCTAATCTGAATTTGTTTTGAACACAGCCTTGCAGAAAAGCAAAAAATATTTCCCCGCTCAAATTTTGCCGACATTTTATACCAGTATCCCCTTCATTACAGTAAACTAAATCATAACTTACATCATCCATTACTAGCTGATCATAAATTGTTAGTATTTTAAGGTATGCAACTATGTGATTGACATCTGTAAGGCTAGTTTAATAGACGTGCTAAATATCACTGTTCTGAATATCTGTGCCATAGTTCTGATACCCTTATTGGAATCAAGGCAGTGCTGTTTCTGTTTACAAGTTATCAAGATAAGAGCAGTGGCATCACATTTGTTGTTGTTGTTTTTTTTTTTGAAATAGAAAAAAACAGAAGAAGCTCTGCCAACAATAAAAGATTTTGTTAAGTGGTATAAAAATTTGTGAATGTTGAAATTCAACATGCTTCATATTATAACCAACCTGCAAGAATATTGTGGTCAATTGTGTGAATACCAAATCAGTATATACTGTATACTGTACTATGAAAATTTGTATTTAAAGGCAAAGATACAAGTAATTGTTGGTATAATTGGGGAAAAGGGTATTCAATATTTATTAAGTAACAATGAGAAATGCAACAAACTTCCTTATTTATGCCTTATGAATAAAAGAGTGTGGAATGTAAGGTGAAATTTTATGTGCAAGATCCTGAAGGAATGGGTATTCTTGAAGGCAGGGACTGTCTTTTCTATGTTTGTTCTGTACAGCTCTCAGCACACTCTTGGTGCTTGATAAATGTTATGTTATATAATACCAATAACTAAGCACATTTTTAGATCTTTTTTCAAATGGCTTGTGTAAAATTTGGTTAATGTACAATGGTTGGTTTGAAGCTATCATGTAAAATTGGCCTCTCCAAATATAATCAGAAATAAACCGAAAAAAATATAAAATGTCTTGCAGTGAGAGTTGATTTTATGCATAAATTATAAGTGTTCAGTTTTATGCAAGGATCATGTGTCCAGCTTGATGACTTCTCACAAATTGAACAATTTCACAAATTGAACATGTAATCAGCACTTAGAGCAAAAATGTCTCAGAACATTTAAACATCCCAGAAGCCTCCCTCGTGCCCCTTCCAGTTAAAACGCTGAAAAGACAAACCACCATCCTGACTTCTGAGGCCCCAGATTAGTTGTGCCTGTTTTTGAGCTTTATGTAAGAGTAATTGTGCAGTATCTACTCTTTTGTGTCTGTCTGCACTCTTTCAGCAGGATGTTTGTGAGAGATGTTCATGTTATGTGTGGTTGCAGTTTTCTCATTCTTATTTCACTAACTCATTGTGAATGTACCACAGTTTATTTTTCCATTCTACCATTGAATGGACAGGTAGCTTCCACTTTGGGCTATGAATATTCTTGTATATATCTATCTTTTTTTTTTGTTTGAGACAGAGTCTCGCTCTGTCCCCTGGCTGGAGTGCAGTGGTGTGATCTTGGCTCACTGCAACCCCCACCTCCCGGGTTCAAGTGATTCTCCTGCCTCAGCCTCCCGAGCAGCTGGGACTACAAGTGCGTGCCACCATGCCCAGCTAATTTTTGTATTTTTAGTAGAGACAGGGTTTCACCATGTTGGCCAAGATGGTCTCGATCTCTTGACCTCGTGATCCGCCTGCCTCGGCCTCCCAAAGTGCTGGGATTACAGGCATGAGCCACCATACCCAGCCTCTTGTATATGTCTTTTAGGGAACATATGCATGCATTTCTGTAATGTGTATCCCTAGGAGTAAAACTGCTGGGTCATGAGATATGCCTACACACTGCTTTAGTAGATACTGCCAGCAACTTTTTAAATATGGTGCTACCAATATACACGCTCAACAGAAGCATTTATGGGGGTTCCAGCTTCTTTACATCCTACTCAATAATTGGCATCATCTGTCTTTCATTTTAGCCATTCCACTCACTGTGTGTATGGTATTATCTCATTGTGTTTTTGATTTGTATTTCCCTGATGACTAGTGAGATTTGCTGTCTTTTAGTATGTTTATTGGCCATTTGGATATTCTATTTTGTGAAGTACTTGTTTATGTTTTTGCGCAGTTTCCTATTGGATTTGTGTCTTTTTCTTACTGATTTGTGGACATTCTTTATTTATTATGGAAATGTGTTCTCTGTTAGATAAACATTGGAAATACTACTTTCCATTCTGTGAGCTGTAGTTTTTGCTTTCTTGATGTTGGTGTCTTTTTGATGAATGAAAGTTATTTATTTAGTTAGTTAGTTTAGTTTGTTTTTTGAGACAGGGTCTCACTTGGTCACTCAGGCTGGAGTGCAGTGGTGTGATCTTGGCCCACTGCAACTTCTGCCTCCCAGGCTCAAGCCATACTCCCGCCTCAGCCTCCTAAGTAGCTGGGAGTACAAGTGTGGGCTACCATGTGCGCCTAATTTTGTTTGTTTGTTTTGTATTTTTTGTAGAGACAAGGTCTCACTATGTTGCCCAGGCTGGTCTTGAATTCCTGAGTTCAAGGGATCCACCCACCTTGGCCTCTCAACGTGCTGGGATTACAGCACGTTGAGAGGCTACTGTGAGCCACTGCATCTGGCTAATGAATGGAAGTTCTTAATTTAATATAGAAATTTATTATTTTTCCCAATATGATTGGGAATTTGGGATCTATTTAAGAAATCTTTACATACTACAACGTCATGAAGATGCTCTACGTTTCTTCTAGAAACTTTATTATTTTTCATAGTTAAACCTGTACTTCTAGAATTGATAGTTGTAGCTTATGTGAAGTAGGGGGTGAAGGCATGTTTATTTTCCTGTTTGGATATCCACTGATCAGCACCATTCATTACAAAGATCATTTTTTCCCCTTTGGCATAAAGCTGCTTAAAGTCTTTGTGGTTTCCTGGGCTTTTTATTCTCCTCCTTTGGTCTGTTCATTTTTTTTCTTGTATAAGCACATCAACATAATTTTTCTATCCTAGTCATATTAAGGCATTCCTCAACAATGAAATAAATGAATAATAGCTTACTTGGGTAGAAGCCTTGGCACATTTCTTGCTTGTGAAATCATATCATGGCAGATGTTGAAGAAAGAGTGTGTCCAGCTCCTTTTATCCCGTCTACTATTCACAAATGTCACTGGTTTCCCTGCTTGAGTCATTAAAGAAAAGTGATTACTTTAAGCATGAGTCACAGCACATTGTAAAAAGCAATTAATAAATATCTTGACACCTAAAAACAGCAAGAAGTCTCTGATAAAATTTTGAAGAATGTTAGAGTAACTCTACAATGGTGGATATAAGAATGCTTTTAAGTTTTACAATAAAAAAATTTAGACCCACAAATCCAAAGTTTGCATTTAGCTGGACTAGGCCTAGATTGCATTTTGCCTGAAATTCAATTGAAAGTGCTCTGAAAAAGTGAATTAAGAAAATAATGTATAAGTAATCTTATAGGAAAAATTGTTTATCTTCCTTATGAGGACAAATCAATATGCAATATGCGACTGTAAGGCATTTTAATATATCATTAATTTAGCTTCCTCCCCACCAACTATGAGCAAAAGTCAATACTTGGTTGACTTACTTTATATTATTGAATGTACTTTTTTAAAAAACACATACACCATACCCTAGTGCTCTAGAATTCAGGCTTCGCAATGGCTCCCACTGGCTTTCTCCAAAGCCTGAATTATTGAGACTTTTCTGTACCTGGATTTGGTTTACATCTTCAGTAGTTCTCATGATGGAAAGGAGGGGGACAAGTTACACGTGGCTTCATACAGAAGTGATACTGCATTACATGAAGAATATTCCAATATCTGAAAAGAAGAAGAGAACTTCAGAGTTTCTGGCCAGAACCAGGTATAGCATTTAAACCTTTGAAACACTGCTTCTTGCAAACACTGTCTCTTGACTTTGACTTGTAGCAGTTTATAAAAATTCCTGAAAGATTCATTAAATCCTGGACACAAAATTATTCATAGAAATTGGCAGCACAAGTTTGAAAATGAAACCGTATTTGCAGTTTCCTTCGCAAATACGGTTTCCTTTCATTTGTCAAGGAAAGCCCTCAATAAATTATACCACATAAGTTACTGGGTAGTCATTCTGTGAATAGAAGAAATGCACTTGGTATTTTCATGCTGGTTACTCATAGTCATGTTCTACATTTTAATGATTCTTGCATAATTTCAGAAATCCCAATGAGGCAGCCTTTCCTAGCTCATTTTCTCTGGACCAATGTTGTTTGATCTGGATGTCCCAGCCAGTCTAATTTAGCAGTTTTGTTGCTTTGTTATTAAAGTTTAGTTTTACTGTTAGCAATGTACTTGTGATCAATATCCTTTCTGATTCAACCTTTTTCCTACCTTTTGGTTTACTCATTTATTTATTTAGTCAACTAATATTTATTGAGCAACTGTAATGTGTAAGGCAGTGGTTTATTGCTGAAGTAGTATTGCCTGCTGTGTCCCCAGAACAACTGACAATGTCTTGTACATACTAGATGCTTAATAAATATTTGTTGAATGAAGGAGTGAATGCATGAATGAATGAAAATCTTTGATCTTCTATCTGTCTTGGAACGTCCATTCTAATGAGTGTGCAGATAACAATCAAATAGGCAAATAAATAACTGTAATCAGCAATGAGGGCAATGACGGAAAGGAAAGGAAACATTGGGAGAGATCAACTTGGAGAGCAACAGAGGAACTTCTTGAGTTAGGGTAGCCAAGGCAGGCTTTCAGGAGGAGGTGGCATGTGAGCAACTGAGGAAGAGGCAACTTGCAGTGAAAAGGTCCTGAGGTGGGAATGAAGATTAGAAAGAAGCCCAATGTGTCTTGAACTTACTGAAGTGGACTAGGGAACATGGTGTGAGGAGAGATTAGTGAAGTAGACAGGGACTAGATTATGTAGGGCTTTGCAGGCCACAATAAGGAGGTGAGGTTTTATTTTAAATATAATTGGAAGCCTTTGGAGACTGCAAGGACTGAAATGAGCTAATCTGTACTCTGATTTATATTTTTATCACATTGCTCTGGCTACAGTGTGGAGAATGGAGTAAAGAGAAGCAAGGGTGGAAACAGGCAGACCAGCAAGTGGGTAATTGCAAACAACACAGGGGAGAGATGGTGGCGGCTTAAACTAGGATGAGACCCTGGAGTTGACCTTGTATCTGTAGGTGCAGCCAGCTGGACTTGCTGATGAGGGCAGTGGGGGAATTAGACAAGTTGATTAAGGAGGGCTTCCTGATTTTTTGCCTTTAGAAACAGGGTAGGTGATGGTGCTATTTAATGTCTTGGAGAAGACTTTGGAAGGAACAATTTGGGGATGGGAAATGGCATCTAAGCCTTTGTTTTAGACATGTCACATTTGAGGTTTATCAGGTCCCTACAGGATGAAGTTTGACATAGCCTTGCCTCTTCTTCTCTGTCTAGATAATTCACCTTTAAGACTCTGTTCGGCATCATTTTCTCTAGGAAGTCTTCTATATCAGTCACTTTAAGCCATGGTATGCTTCCCTAACAAGCAGTTCCCCAAATCTCAGTTACTTATGACAACGGTTTGCTTATTTCCCATGTCACATGTTCATCATGGGTCAGGTGCAGCTGGATTTCATGTCTTCTTAATTATAAGACCCAGGCTGAATGAGCAGCCCTACATCTGGGACATGCGGGTCTCCTGACAGAGACGAAAAGAGACACGGCAAAAGTCCACAATAGTTCTTGGCACACAATCCCTGCATTCACATTTCATTGCCAAGCCATGTCATAAAACCAAGCCCGATGTCTTCAGGTACGAAAATAGACTCCTTGCTCAAGGAAGGTCCTAAGAACATGGTGCCTGGTATGGAAGGGAAGCAGTTATTTTTGAAAAATATTAACTAGCATAGTGCTGGCTAGTGTAGGAGCATGTTAGGTATGCAAATTCTCAGGCCCCACCCTAGACCTGAATCAGAAACTTGCAGGAGATTGGGGCTGGAGGCCCAGTACTTTGTGATTTATACAGCCCTGTAGGTGATTCTAAGTCATGCTCAAATTTGAGAATCACTGATCTCACATACCTGCTGTGACCCTCTTCCTCCACCAACTAGGTCAACAGCATTTCCCTAACATTCACATCCTATCACCGTTGTTACTACATTATGCTATAGTTTGATGCACCGGAACAATTATGCAGAGCCTTGCAGGTTACATTTGCCAACCTAGCTCAGCTCTAGGGGTGCAGTCCATATGCGCTTGGGACCTCTCTTTTGGGGAGGATCAAGTGGTATCTGGGTTCCTAGAAGTCACTATCCTCTGTCTATATATCCTCACCCCAGCCATTGCTCCACCTGCTAGACCGGTCCAGTTGCCGCAGCACACCCAGGTAAAGAATGGTCCTGTGAAACCCCATCTCTACTAAAAATACAAAAACAAAAAAACTTAGCCAGGCTTGGTGGCAGGTGCCTGTAGTCCCAGTTACTCAGGAGGCTGAGGCGGGAGAATGGCATGAACCTGGGAGGCAGAGCTTGCAGTGAGCTGAGATCATGCCACTGCATTCCAGCCTGGGCGACAGAGCGAGACTCCGTCTCAAAAACAAAAAAACAAAAACAAAAAAAAAGAATGGTCCTGGTAACACGGTCTCTGCATACAGGTTGATGCTCCTATAATTTAGCTTTGACCAATCACCTTCTCCTGACTCCTAGCCATCAACCTGGCTCACCGTGTTCTCACTTGACCTCTACTCTGACACCAAGTTAGCAGTGCCATCCGCTTGTCCATCCAGCCTCCTGCCATCCACGTGGCAAGCAACGCTCTGTGGCCAATGCAGGTCTGCTGCTCACCAGTCAGAATAACTGTTCCTTCAGGTCCTAAGACTGGCCAGGTTCCACTCCCGGCCTCTCCTGAACAGATGTATAATTCTTCAGAATACTAGGGGCCCCAATTTGTATTTGGATGGTCAGGAAATACACAGAGAAGGGGTCTTAACTGCTCGTCCTCGTCCAAATCAGGGCTGCACTGTGTCCACCCCAGACTGTGCATTGCACCATGGTGGGTGTTTGGTGAGTACAGAATGCACAGCAGTGATCATCACACTAACGGCATTAACCCTGGTTGAGCACTTAGCATGTGTCAGGTGATCCATTAGTTAATCCTCATAACCATCTTAAGAAATAGAAATGGTGGGCCAGGCGTGGTGGCTCACGCCTGTAATCCCAGCACTTTGGAAGGCCAAGGTGGGCAGGTCACCTGAGGTCAGGAGTTTGAGACCAGCCTGGCCAACATGGTGAAACCTTGTCTCTACTGAAAACAAAATTACCAAAATTGGCCGGGCATGGTGGTGCATGCCTGTATCCCAGCTACTTGAGAGGCTGAGGCAGGAGAATCACTTGAACCTGGGAAGCGGAGGTTACAGTGAGCTGAGATCGCGCCACTGCACTCCAGCATGGGCGACGGAGCGAGACTCTGTTTCAAAAAAAAGAAGAAAGAAAAAAAAGGAGGAGGAGGAGGAGAAACAGTGACTGCCCCTATTTTATAGTTGAGAAAATGGAGGCTCAGAGAGGAATGCCTGAGATTACACAGCTGGTGTCTTGAATCTTGGATTCAAAGCCTGTTTTAAAGTATAGTATATTAATAGAAAATGTAAGATATAAGGCCAATAGCTAGGAAGGTGATTGCCATTAAAAATATAGTTTCCAAGAGAAGGGGGCAGACCATGCCACGAGGTCCACATAGGAAGTACTGGAGTGGGTCAGGAGGCAGAGAGAGAGAGGGAGTTGTGGGTAGGAGCCTTTGTTGTGGTTTTTGAGGGTGGAAGGGGCAAGGTAGTGTAAGCAGACTTAAGACTGACCAGTTCAAACAATTTCATATGGGCTGTCGCTAGTTGTGGCCAAGCCAACAGTGGCCCAGAGTGTAAGAGCCTGATACAAAGGGTGACTGGAGTGTGGCCTCTGGATTGGTTGGTTTGCATTTAAAAAGTGCAGTCACAGGTGAGTTGTTCACTATCACTAAGAACTAGCTAACTCTGGAAGAGGCAGTCCATCCAGGGTCAGAAGGCCCCAGATATCAAAGCATCAGAACACAGAAAATAAAAGACATGGTTAATACAAAGCCAGGCAATCGATTCCAGAGTTGATCCTGCCCTTTGCAACCATTTTTGCCCTGGGGGTGGGTATGCCGGTGTCTGGGAGGGGGTGCGATGCGTGGACCACATTCATCTGTGCTTGTTTCTGTTAGACATTTCCCTGTGGGTTATTCATTAGCTCCCCACTTTAGCCTGGTAAGTGGGGATTATTATTTCAGGCCAAAGAAACCAAAGACATGAGTCTTGCACCAGATCTTCTAACCTGTAAGCAACACAGCTGGGACTTGGACTCAGATTTGAGTGAGGCCAGGTGCTGTACCTCAAAATCCCAAGTGGTGTTTGGCTTGGAGTTTGCACTGGAGGAGGACCTACTGCTCCATGAGCCTAGACAGAACCACTCCCATGGGTTTACACCAGAAGTCTAAATAAATTGGCCCAAACCAGCACATCCCAGCTCAGAGATGACCATGTGACAACGAATACCCAGGAAACTGAAATCAGACAGTTCACAAGAAGATGTGGAAGGGACACAGTCTTTAGAATCAGACAGACACGGGCTTGATTACTGAATCAGCCACTTTCTAAGCTTGAGCAAGCTTCAGCCTCTCTGGGTTTCTGTAAATGGAAACAATAACCTTAAGCTCACAAGTTTTCGAGAGGATTAAATGTAAATCCATATACAAAGCACCCAGCTCATGATAATCACTCAGTAAATGTTAGTTGCCTTCCTCTAATTCAAGGGGCTGTGCCAGGCAGTTGGTCAGCCCAGGAGGACAGACAGGTGGGAAGTAAGGGCCAGGTTGGAAGCCAGTGGTCACAACCACCAGGTAGCCACAGTTCCAAAGGCTGGCAGGCCAGTTGGGACTGCTCAGTGGCTCACCTGAGGGTTTAATGTGAATGTCCTGAGGTTACAAAAACCCTGAATTAGGAGCCCAGAGCCCACAGAGAAAACAGGGAGCAAAGGGACTGCTGGGAAAGAGGTGAACATTGGCTGGAGGAACTCTACATAGGCTTCCAGGGATTTGGCACAAGGGTTCAGGAGTCCCACAAGAGGGAGAAGAGCTCTGACATCATGTTCTGTCATCTGGAAGCAGAAAAGACTGTAGAGAACTGCGCCACAAAGGCAAACACCTTGTCCGGAGTGTGCTTACCAAGGGCAGAATGGAACAGCCAATCTGATGAGCCACTCACTCAGCCCTGCAGCTGTGTATCCATTCATTCACCAGTTCATTCAGCCATTGCCCACTGAGCACCTCTTGTTAATTCTGATGATCAGAGAATGTTAAGAAAAATACAACTTCTATTGCCAGGGAGTTTGAAGTCAGCCACAAGAGACAGATGTGTAAATAAATAATTATAGCACAATGAGATGTGGGTGCAGGCTGTTGGGAGTAAGAGGGTTAAGTAGCTGGAGAATCTAGCACCAGAGACGAGATGGCATATCTATTTATTGCAAGGTGAATAAGAGTTCACCACCAAAAAAAGAAAATAAGAAAGCTGTTTCAAATAGAGATAACAATGTGGGCCAGGACATGGAGACGTATAAAAGGAAGGTATCTTAGGAATACGGAGAAGTTCTGTCCTGCTGGAATACAGAGCTTTTAAGTGAAGTGGAAATAATGGAATGTCAATTTTCCCATCTTACTACTGAAGAAACTGATGCTCGTGGGTTGAGCGTTACACAGAGAATATGTAGTAGAACAGAGAGTCGAGTCAATATTCTTTGCCTCTACATCCCATATTATTTGCATTTCAGCACATTTTCTTTCTGTGGAGTGTGCTTTAACAATTAGTTTGTAAGTCAGTATTTCGGAACTCAGAGTAATTTTCCTATACTACTTCAGCAATGGAAAATTTATCTGAAAAAAAAAGAGTCAAGATATAGATGCAATTACATGTAAATTCAGTATATAAAGGAGGCATTTTATACCTCTAAGGAAAGGATAGATTATTTAGAAAATTGGGTTAGCACAATTGGCTAACCATTTGTGAAAAGCTAGACTAATGCCTTACATCTCTCACCAAAATAAATTCTACATGGCCTAAAGAATTTAATATTAATAAATATAAAGCCATTAAGGTACTGGCAGAAAATATAAGTTAATATAAAGACTTTTTCTATGCATGACACCAAGGAAATTGTACAGAAAGCTTTGATAAATACACCCGCATACGTAAATGAGTCAACTTCTGCTTCTGGCCGTGACAGAGAAACTGACACTGGACTTGTTCTCCCACAGTAAAAATTTAGAAAACTGAATATATAAAATGAATGAAATAATTGTCTTCACGCATGATACAATAGGCAGCACAGGACTGTGATATCTGAATAACAAACAAGGCCATCACTCAGGTCCCCTGGCTATCTGTCTAGGGCACTTTCTGGACCATGATGCGGGGAGACCAGCAGAGCACAGTGATCTTGCTGAGTTGAGAAACAGAGATCGTAGTTTGTGGAGACCTATACAGCTGGACATCAGACCCAGGTACTGGAGGGGAGGGAGCTATTCAATAAGAGAAGCTCCATAAATCTGCATATGCACCCTCTTGAGTCTTCAGTCGAATACTAAATAGCGCATGCTTCAGTGATACTCCACGAGGCTGGACAAAGAACTACTACTGGGTAACTGTAAACTGCACAATTCTCAGAGCTCACAGAGACACGGGAAACATTTGAATTCTGACCAGCCATAATGGGATGAAATAACCGAACTCCCAGTACATTCAGAAGAGACAATGTCAAGGTCATGCTTTAGCAATAGGGCTAAGGTAAACCTAGAGAAAGACTGCTCTAGAATTGTCCTGAACAAGTCTCCAGAAAGCCACGCTGCTCCACAGTACCTTAGCTACCTGACAAGGCACACTTCAGCACATTTTTTTTTTTTTTGAGATGGAGTCTTGCTCTGTTGCCCAGGTTGGAGTGCAGTGGCGTGATCTCAGCTCACTGCAACCTCCACCTGCGTTCAAGCGATTCTCCTGTCTCAGCCTCCCCAGTACCTGGGATTACAGGTGCCTGCCATCATGCCCAGCTAATTTTTTGTATTTTTAGTAAAGATGAGGTTTCACCACTTTGGCCAGGTTGGTCTCGAACTCCTGACCTCAGGTGATCCACCTGCCCCAGCCTTCCAACATGCTGGGATTACAGTCGTGAGCCACCGGGGCGCCCAGCCAGCACTCTTTAAAGTACATCAACACAGTCTAGATACTGAATAATGTAACATTTACAATGTCAAACACACAAAAACTTGATAGATGTGTAAAGAAGCAGGAAAATGTGAGCAAGAAAATTAAACCCATAATTTAAAAAATCCAATATATATAAACCTGAAATGACTGAGATTATGGAAACAGCAGGCACAAATACTTTTAATCAGGTATTATAAATATGCTCAATGATTTAAAGAGGATTTAAAGTTGTTCATTATATTTTTTCATTATGCTTCTAATATCTATATTCTGTAGTGGCATTGCCACTCTCATTGCTAATATTAGTAATGTGTTCTCTCTTTTTCCTGATCAGTCTGGCTAGAGATTTTCCTATTTTATTTATCTTCTTTACAAACCAGCTTTCTGTTTTTGTTTTTTTTAATTTTCTCTATTGTTTCTCAGCTTTTTATTTTTTTTCCATTCTGATTTTCATTGTTTTCTTTCTTCTACTTACTTTAAGTTTATTTACTCTTCATTTTGCTTGCTTCTTAAGGTGGAAGCTAAGGTCATTTATTTGAGATTTGTCTTCTTTTCTAAGATAGGTGTCTAGTGCTATGAATTTCCCTCTAAGTACTGCTTTCATAGCACCCTGCAAATTTTGATACACTGTTTTCACTTTTGTTCAGTTCCTAGTACTTTTAAATTTACCTTTTGATTTTTTTTTTTTTTTTTTTGACCCACAAGTTATTTAGAAAAGGCTTTTGTTTCCAAATAAATTCCAACATTCCTTAAGGGAACTAACACTATTCCCGGCCCCGCTGAGAACTGAATACTGATCCCTCTAATTATTTTGGATTGTTCTTTCCTAGTGTTGCTGCTCAAGGGAGACTCTGAATACATCTGAGTTCTTTCTCTGTGCAACTCTCTTCTCTTCATTACTCCACTGGTGCAATCACATGGCTCACCTTGTTTGTTTCCTGTCTCTCAAGGATTACTGTCCTTTTTTGCCTGATTCCTGTGTATTGAAAACTACAATTTTATCTATTCTGTCTGCTTGTTTTTGAGTTGTTTCATGTGGGAGAACAATCTGTTTGTTATTACTCCATTTTGGTCAGAAGCAGAAGTCCTTACACTATTCACTTTTTAAGCAAAAAATTAACAACAATATATTTGGGATTTATAAAATGTACAAGTAAATTGTTTGACAAAAGTAGCACAAAGTTCTGGTGGAAAGTAATGTAAGTATGTATCTGCAAGGCTTTTACATTATATACGAAGTGGGATTAGACTACTGGAAGATGTATGATAATGTGTTAAAGATGTTTCCTGAAATAGAAAAATCAATATAAAGTAAAACAAAGAAGTATAGCTAATAATCTAGTAAAGGACATAATATGGAATATGAAAATGCTCAGTTAAGAAGGTAAGAAAAGTGGGGGAAAAAAACACAAAAAAAGATGGAACAAAGAAAAAATAACAAAAAGGATAGACTTAAGCCCAACATATTAATAATGACATAGTAAATAGTGTAAACACTCCAATTAAAAGATAGAGATGGCCAGGCATGGTGGCTCACGCCTGTAATCCCAGCACTTTGGGAGGTCGAGGCAGGCAGATCACCTGAGGTCAGGAGTTCAAGACCAGCCTGACCAATACAGAGAAACCCTGTCTCTACTAAAAATACAAAAATTAGCTGGGCATGGTGGTGCATGCCTATAGTCCCAGCTACTCGGGAGGCTGAGACAGGAGAATTGCTTGAACCCGGAAGGTGGAGGTTGCAGTGAGCTGAGATCACGCCATCGCACTCCAGCCTGGGGGACAAGAGCGAAACTCCATTTCAAAAAAAAATAGAGAAAAAAAAAGGCAGAGATTGTCTAATGAATGAAAAAGTAAGACTAAGACTCATCTCTGTCATGTCTACAAGAAACACACTTTAAATCTAAAGATACAGGTTAATAACAAGCAAAAAGATGAAAAAGATATCCCTGTAAATGCTAGTCATAAGGGAGCTGAAATGTCTATGTTAATATCAAAGACTTCTGAGCAAAGAATATTACTAGAAATAAAAAGGGTAGTCCATAATAATAAAAGAACAAATGCTTCAAAAATTCATAGGAATCCTAAATGTGTGTCCATCTAACTATAGATCTTGAAAACTCTTGGAGCAAAAACTGACAGAACTAAAACAAGTAGGCTATTCAAATATTTTGCTTCCTTACTGAATTTTGTCCTTGTATGTTTATTTTAATAATTAATAAAAAAAAAGATATGCTAAAATCTACTATGATTGTGTGTTTTTTCATTTCTTTTCTAAAATTTTATTTCTGTCCATTTTTTTAATATTCTCTGCACCTATGTCATTAAGTGCATAAACATTTATATTTGTTATAACTTTTTGGTGGTTTGACCCTTTTTCATTAAGAAATATTTGCCTTAATTTCTACTCATTCTTCTTTCCTTAAAATCCACTTGGTCTAATGTTGGTCTACTTACATCTGTTTTCTTTTATTTAATGTTTGCATAACATATATTTTTCCCACCCTTTTCTTTTCATTTTTTTTTTTTGAGATGGAGTCTTGCTCTGTTGCCCAGGGTGCAGTGGCACCATCTCGGCTCACTGCAACCTCCGCCTCCTGGGTTCAAGGGATTCTCCTGCCTCAGCCTCCTGAGTAGCTGGGATTACAGGAGCACACCACCACGCCTGGCTAATTTTTGTATTTTTAGTAGAGATGGGGTTTCACTATGTTGGCCAGGCTGGTCTCTAACTCCTGACCTCAAGTGATCCGCCCACCTTGGCCTCCCAAAGGATTATTTTTAATCCAGTATGAAATTCTTTCTATTTTATTTGGTATATTCTACTTACTTTTAATATGATTACTTATAGATTTTGGTTTATATCTATTATTGCTATCTATTTTTTTTTCTACTTAAATGTTATCCTTTTTCTATTCTTTCTTTTCTTTTTTTGGAATAAGTGGGTTTTTTTATTATGCTATGTGAACATCCCAGTTAGGGTGATAGTTATCTCTTTAAGAACACCTTATTTTAGTGATAACATTTATGTGTAACTGGCCTGAAACATGCACTATTTTCTTACTACTGTCTAACATAGATTATCACATTTACCACTTCTCTGACAATGCAAAGATCTTAAAATGCTTGAACTCCATTAATCTACTTCTTTTACACTATTGTTGTTTTATATATTTTATTTATTATTATTATACTTTAAGTTTTAGGGTACATGTGCACAATGTGCAGGTTAGTTACGTATGTATACATGTGCCATGCTGGTGTGCTGCACCCACTAACTCGTCATCTAGCATTAGGTATATCTCCCAATGCTATCCCTCCCCCCTCCCCCCACCCCACAACAGTCCCCAGAGTGTGATGTTCCCCTTCCTGTGTCCATGTGTTCTCATTGTTCAATTCCCACCTATGAGTGAGAATATGCAGTGTTTGGTTTTTTGTTCTTGCGATAGTTTACTGAGAATGATGATTTCCAATTTCATCCATGTCCCTATAAAGGACATGAACTCATCATTTTTTATAGCTGCATAGTATTCCATGGTGTATATATGCCACATTTTCTTAATCCAGTCTATCATTGTTGGACATCTGGGTTGGTTCGAAGTCTTTGCTATTGTGAATAGTGCCGCAATAAACATACGTGTGCATGTGTCTTTATAGCAGCATGATTTATAGTCCTTTGGGTATATACCCAGTAATGGGATAGCTGGGTCAAATGGTATTTCTAGTTCTAGATCCCTGAGGAATCGCCACACTGACTTCCACAATGGTTGAACTAGTTTACAGTCCCCCCAACAGTGTAAAAGTGTTCCTATTTCTCCACATCCTCTCCAACACCTGTTGTTTCCTGACTTTTTAATGATCGCTATTCTAACTGGTGTCAGATGGTATCTCATTGTGGTTTTGATTTGCATTTCTCTGATGGCCAGTGATGGTGAGCATTTTTTTCATGTGTTTTTTGGCTGCATAAATGTCTTCTTTTGAGAAGTGTCTGTTCATGTCCTTCACCCACTTTTTGATGGGGTTGTTTGTTGTTTTCTTGTAAATTTGTTTGAGTTCATTGTAGATTCTGGATATTAGCCCTTTGTCAGATGAGTAGGTTGCGAAAATTTTCTCCCGTTTTGTAGGTTGCCTGTTCACTCTGATGGTAGTTTCTTTTGCTGTGCAGAAGCTCTTTAGTTTAATTAGATCCCATTTGTCAATTTTGTCTTTTGTTGCCATTGCTTTTGGTGTTTTAGACATGAAGTCCTTGCCCACGCCTATGTCCTGAATGGTAATGCCTAGGTTTTCTTCTAGGGTTTTTATGGTTTTAGGTCTAACGTTTAAGTCTTTAATCCATCTTGAATTGATTTTTGTATAAGGTGTAAGGAAGGGATCCAGTTTCAGCTTTCTACATATGGCTAGCCCGTTTTCCCAGCACCATTTATTAAATACGGAATCCTTTCCCCAATGCTTGTTTTTCTCAGGTTCGACAAAGATCAGATAGTTGTAGATATGCAGCATTATTTCTGAGGGCTCTGTTCTGTTCCATTGATCTATATCTCTGTTTTGGTACCAGTACCATGCTGTTTTGGTTACTGTAGCCTTGTAGTATAGTTTGAAGTCAGGTAGTGTGATGCCTCCAGCTTTGTTCTTTTGGCTTAGGATTGACTTGGCGATGCGGGCTCTTTTTTGGTTCCATATGAACTTTAAAGTAGTTTTTTTCAATTCTGTGAAGAAAGTCATTGGTAGCTTGATGGGGATGGCATTGAATCTGTAAATTACCTTGGGCAGTATATCCATTTTCACGATATTGATTCTTCCTACCCATGAGCATGGAATATTCTTCCATTTGTTTGTATACTCTTTTATTTCCTTGAGCAGTGGTTTGTAGTTCTCCTTGAAGAGGTCCTTCACATCCCTTGTAAGTTGGATTCCTAGGTATTTTATTCTCTTTGAAGCAATTGTGAATGGGAGTTCACTCATGATTTGGCTCTCTGTTTGTCTGTTGTTGGTGTATAAGAATGCTTGTGATTTTTGTACATTGATTGTGTATCCTGAGACTTTGCTGAAGTTGCTTATCAGCTTAAGGAGATTTTGGGCTGAGACAATGGGGTTTTCTAGATATACAATCATGTCGTCTGCAAACAGGGACAATTTGACTTCCTCTTTTCCTAATTGAACACCCTTTATTTCCTTCTCCTGCCTAATTGCCCTGGCCAGAACTTCCAACACTATGTTGAATAGGATTTGTGAGAGAGGGCATCCCTGTCTTGTGCCAGTTTTCAAAGGGAATGCTTCCAGTTGTTGCCCATTCAGTATGATATTGGCTATGGGTTTGTCATAGATAGCTCTTATTATTTTGAAATACGTCCCATCAATACCTAATTTATTAAGAGTTTTTAGCATGAAGGGTTGTTGAATTTTGTCAAAGGCCTTTTCTGCATCTATTGAGATAATCATGTGGTTTTTGTCTTTGGTTCTGTTTATATGCTGGATTACATTTATTGATTTGCATATATTGAACCAGCCTTGCATCCCAGGGATGAAGCCCACTTGATCATGGTGGATAAGCTTTTTGATGTGCTGCTGGATTCGGTTTGCCAGTATTTTACTGAGGATTTTTGCATTGATGTTCATCAAGGATATTGGTCTAAAATTCTCTTTTTTGATTGTGTCTCTGCCCAGCTTTGGTATCAGGATGATGCTGGCCTCATAAAATGAGTTAGGGAGGATTCCCTCTTTTTCTATTGATTGGAATAGTTTCAGAAGGAATGGTACCAGTTCCTCCTTGTACCTCTGGTAGAATTCAGCTGTGAATCCATCTGGTCCTGGACTCTTTTTGGTTGGTAAGCTATTGATTACTGCCACAATTTCAGATCCTGTTATTATTCTATTCAGAGATTCAACTTCTTCCTGGTTTAGTCTTGGGAGAGTGTATGTGTTGAGGAATTTATCCATTTCCTCCAGATTTTCTAGTTTATTTGCGTAGAGGTGTTTGTAGTATTCTCTGATGGTAGTTTGTATTTCTGTGGGATCAGTGGTGATATCCCCTTTGTCATTTTTTATTGTGTCTATTTGATTCTTCTCTCTTTTTCTTTATTAGTCTTGCTAGCAGTCTATCAATTTTGTTGATCCTTTCAAAAAACCAGCTCCTGGATTCATTAATTTTTTGAAGGGTTTTTTGTGTCTCTATTTCCTTCAGTTCTGCTCTGATTTTAGTTATTTCTTGCCTTCTGCTAGCTTTTGAATGTGTTTGCTCTTGCTTTTCTAGTTCTTTTAATTGTGATGTTAGGGTGTCAATTTCAGATCTTTCCTGCTTTGTCTTGTGGGCATTTAGTGCTATAAATTTCCCTCTACACACTGCTTTGAATGCGTCCCAGAGATTCTGGTATGTTGTGTCTTTGTTCTCGTTGGTTTTAAAGAACATCTTTATTTCTGCCTTCATTTCGTTATGTACCCAGTAGTCATTCAGGAGCAGGTTGTTCAGTTTCCATGTAGTTGAGTGGTTTTGAGTGAGATTCTTAATCCTGAGTTCTAGTTTGATTGCACTGTGGTCTGAGAGATAGTTTGTTATAGTTTCTGTTCTTTTACATTTGCTGAGGAGAGCTTTACTTCCAAGTATGTGGTCAATTTTGGAATAGGTGTGGTACGGTGCTGAAAAAAATGTATATTCTGTTGATTTGGGGTGGAGAGTTCCGTAGATGTCTATTAGGTCCGCTTGGTGCAGAGCTGAGTTCAATTCCTGGGTATCCTTGTTGACTTTCTGTCTCATTGATCTGTCTAATGTTGACAGTGGGGTGTTAAAGTCTCCCATTATTAATGTGTGGGAGTCTAAGTCTCTTTCTAGGTCACTCAGGACTTGCTTTATGAATCTGGGTGCTCCTGTATTGGGGGCGTATATATTTAGGATAGTTAGCTCTTCTTGTTGAATTGATCCCTTTACCATTATGTAATGGCCTTCTTTGTCTCTTTTGATCTTTGTTGGTTTAAAGTCTGTTTTATCAGAGACTAGGATTGCAACCCCTGCCTTTTTTTGTTTTCCGTTTGCTTGGTAGATCTTCCTCCATCCTTTTATTTTGAGCCTATGTGTGTCTCTGCATGTGAGATGGGTTTCCTGAATACAGCACACTGATGGGTCTTGACTCTTTATCCAATTTGCCAGTCTGTGTCTTTTAATTGGAGCATTTAGCCCATTTACATTTAAAGTTAATATTGTTATGTGTGAATTTGATCCTGTCATTATGATGTTAGCTGGTTATTTTGCTCGTTAGTTGATGCAGTTTCTTCCTAGTCTCGATGGTCTTTACATTTTGGCATGATTTTGCAGTGGCTGGTACCGGTTGTTCCTTTCCATGTCTAGCGCTTCCTTCAGGAGCTGTTTTAGGGCAGGCCTGGTGGTGACAAAATCTCTCAGCATTTGCTTGTCTGTAAAGTATTTTATTTCTCCTTCACTTATGAGGCTTAGTTTGGCTGGATATGAAATTCTGGGTTGAAAATTCTTTTCTTTGAGAATGTTGAATATTGGCCCCCACTCTCTTCTGGCTTGTAGAGTTTCTTCCGAAAGATCCGCTGTTAGTCTGATGGGCTTCCCTTTGAGGGTAACCTGACCTTTCTCTCTGGCTGCCCTTAACATTTTTTCCTTCATTTCAACTTTGGTGAATCTGACAATTATGTGTCTTGGAGTTGCTCTTCTCGAGGAGTATCTTTGTGGCATTCTCTGTATTTCCTGAATCTGAATGTTGGCCTGCCTTGCTAGATTGGGGAAGTTCTCCTGGATAATATCCTGCAGAGTGTTTTCCAACTTGGTTCCATTCTCCCCGTCACTTTCAGGTACACCAATCAGATGTAGATTTGGTCTTTTCACATAGTCCCATATTTCTTGGAGGCTTTGCTCATTTCTTTTTATTCTTTTTTCTCTAAACTTCCCTTCTCGCTTCATTTCATTCATTTCATCTTCCATCACTGATACCCTTTCTTCCAGTTGATCGCACCAGCTCCTGAGGCTTCTGCATTCTTCACGTAGTTCTCGAGCCTTGGTTTTCAGCTCCATCAGCTCCTTTAAGCACTTATCTGTATTGGTTACTCTAGTTATACATTCTTCTAAATTTTTTTTCAAAGTTTTCAACTTCTTTGCCTTTGGTTTGAATGTCCTCCTGTAGCTTGGAGTAATTTGATCGTCTGAAGCCTTCTTCTCTCAGCTCATCAAAGTCATTCTCCATCCAGCTTTGTTCTGTTGCTGGTGAGGAACTGCGTTCCTTTGGAGGAGGAGAGGTGCTCTGCTTTTTAGAGTTTCCAGTTTTTCTGCTCTGTTTTTTCCCCATCTTTGTGGTTTTACCTACTTTTGGTCTTTGATGATGGTGATGTACAGATGGGTTTTTGGTGTGGATGTCCTTTCTGTTTGTTAGTTTTCCTTCTAACAGACAGGACCCTCAGCTGCAGGTCTGTTGGAGTACTGGGCCCTGTGAGGTGTCAGTCTGCCCCTGCTGGGGGGTGCCTCCCAGCTAGGCTGCTCGGGGGTCAGGGGTCAGGGACCCACTTGAGGAGGCAGTCTTCCCGTTCTCAGATCTCCAGCTGTGTGCTGGGAGAACCACTGCTCTCTTCAAAGCTGTCAGACAGGGACATTTAACTCTGCAGAGGTTACTGCTGTCTTTTTGTTTGTCTGTGCCCTGCCCCCAGAGGTGGAGCCTACAGAGGCAGGCAGGCCTCCTTGAGCTGTGGTGGGCTCCACCCAGTTCGCGCTTCCTGGCTGCTTTGTTTACCTAAGCAAGCCTGGGCAATGGCGGGCGCCCCTCTCCCAGCCTCGCTGCCGCCTTGCAGTTTGATCTCAGACTGCTGTGCTAGCAATCAGCGAGACTCCGTGGGCGTAGGACCCTCCAAGCCAGGTGCAGGATGTAATCTCCTGGTGCGCCTTTTTTTTTAAGCCCGTTGGAAAAGCGCAGTATTCGGGTTGGAGTGACCCGATTTTCCAGGTTCCGTCTGTCACCCCTTTCTTTGACTAGGAAAGGGAACTCCCTGACCCCTTGTGCTTCCCGAGTGAAGCAATGCCTCGCCCTGCTTCGGCTCGCGCACGGTGCGCGCACCCACTGACCTGCGCCCACTGTCTGGCACTCCCTAGTGAGATGAACCCGGTACCTCAGATGGAAATGCAGAAATCACCCCTGTTCTGCGTCGCTCACGCTGGGAGCTGTAGACCGGAGCTGTTCCTATTCGGCCATCTTGGCTCCTCCCCCTGTTGTTTTATATTTTTAACTGCAAAATATTATATTATTGTTTTGTAGAGTAAGTAATTTAGTTTGCCTACAGATTTATCATTCTCATAGCTCTTCATTCTTCCTTGTACCTCCAGACTTCCATTTGGGATTAATTTCCTTCTGCCTCAAGAATGCCTTTTAGTATTTATTTTAAGATAAATCTGTTGCTAATGAATTCTCTTAATTTTTGCCTGTCTAAAATTTCTTTGTTTCAATTTCATTATGAAAGATATTTTTATCAGGTTAAGAATTCTAGGTTGTCATCATTTTAATTTAATCATTTTTAATTTATAAGCATTTTGATATCATTCCATTGCCTTCTGGCTTCCATTGATTCTGTCCTATTGTTGCACTTTCGAATGTATTATTCCTTCTTCTCTGGCTGCTTTTGAGATGGTCTATTTGTCTTTGGGTTTCAGCAGTTTTCCCATAACGACCCTTAACAATGTTGTGGTAACGAACACCTAAGATGATCTCCAGTGATCCCCACCTTCTGATGTTCATGCTTTGTGTAGTTCCCTCTACACTGTACCAGTTTTGGTATGGATGACTACTACAATTTGGCATAAGTTAAGGTATGTCACTTCTATGATTAGGTTATGAAAAACACAGTAGCATCCATCTTGATTCCTTTCTTTCTCTCTTGGATCCCTTGATTTGGGTAAAGCTGGTTGCCATGTTGTGAGCATCCTCAGAGGAACTGAGGCCTCCTGTCAACAGCCATATGAGAGTTTTGATGCAGATCCTCTAGCATCTATCAGTTCTTCAGATAACTGCAGCCCTGGCCAACAAGTTGAATTCAACATCATCACAGACCCTAAGCCAGAATCTTCCAGCAAAGATACTCTTAAGTTTCTTTTCCTCAGAAACAGTGAGAGATAATATCTTTGTGACTTTAAACTATTGTTTTGAAGCAATTAAATAATCAATCCAAAGATTTTGTAAAGCTCCTGGGTCTCTGTGTGTGCCTGAGCAGCTGCTCTGTTGAGACTCCACACAGCTCTGTGTGGAGAGCAATTACTTTTGTGCCAGCCTAATTATAACAGTGATTACTTTTGCAGAGGGATAGAAATTGGAGGATGGGAAATAGAGTGGGTAGCAAAGTTCTCAGTATATATGTTTTTATACTTGGTGATGTTTGTGCTATGTGAATATATTAACTAAACTATTCAAGAGATGAGATTTTAACCTTGGGCTTCTCAATTCTGGGACAGTGTTTTGTTGTTGTTGTTGTTGTTGTTTAAAAAAAAAACCCAGACATTTCCTTTGAATTTACCCAAATCTGAAATTTCTGAGTGTAGCATCATATAGTGAAAGCCACTCACATGTCTCATAACTAAACTTAGGCTCACTCAATCAGCTATTGCATTCTTTATACTTGTTTTTATGGAAGTAAAAGCCTATTTCCCCAGAGAAAGCCAAGTAATATCTGATTCATAAGCAAAGAACAATTTCCTAGAACTTCTTTTGTTATCTGTGGAAAATTGCACTAAACCTTGAAATCTTACTAGAGTATGAAATATGGAGCTGCCTTTTGGTTTGAAGAGTTCTTGTAACAGGCCTAAAAGTAATGCAGTCAAAAAGTCGACTTTTCACCTCAAGTTTTGGTGTTAAAAGGCAACTCTACATAGACTTGCACTCTGAGATTAGATTCCATCAGCCCTTCTAGCAAGGGCACCTCTGGAAGATTCTCTCTTCAGAACTTAGTTATGTATGTGCATACATATTAAATGTGGCAGGTAGAGAGTCAAGGACAGAGATTAGGTATCAAATAGAATAAGTTTTATCATTAGTTGAACTAACCTCAAAATTGGCCTCAGCTTGAGAAAGCCACTGAACCTCAGTTTACTCATCTGTAAAATGGGAGTAACTCCTTTCTAGGGTCACTGGAAGCATTAAAATGGTACAGTAACTGGCACAGTGTCTGGGGAAAAGTGTATTTAAAATAGATACCGTTTCAGATATAGTGTGACAGAGTGGGTGGAGCATGGGATTTGGCGTTAGATTCATTTCCATCCCTTCATCTTTGAAATGGGATCATTGGTGCTTACATTGCAGGACTGACATGAGATCTGAGACAAGCGCTCAAAGTTAGTGTCCTTTTCCTTTGCCCTGTTGGCAGCTACCTCCTCATCAGGGTTGCTGTTTTCAGGCCCCTATTTCTTCTGCTGGAGTACTCTCACTAAAGAATAACCTGATCATTCTGCTGCCCTGCTGTGAGACCAAGGATGGCAGTCTAAACCCAGGCAGAGAGAGTCTCTTCCAGAAAGAGATGTGCAAAAGTCCCACGACAGTCCAGATGTGGGACACAGGAGAGACAATGAGACCAGAGGCATGGAGGTGGGGCCATGGGAGAAGACAGGGGCAGTGGTGGAAGAGCATAATATTTTATAGGATAGACCCTGAAGCCTGAAGACAGAGCCCTGGAGAGCTCCCATGTGTGAAGCCTGGGAAGGATGTCAAGGGGATGTTGGAGGCTCAGGTTTCTGAGGAGGAGAAGATTCTAAGGGTCATAATCAGCAATAATGATATTGAGCACTTGTCACATGGGCAACACTCAACAACATGCATTATCTCATGTAGTCCTCACAACAACCAATAAGGCCGGTGCTTCTTGTAGTCTCGTTTTATAGGTGATGAAACTGAGGCTTACAGAGAGCATGTGGCTGGCCTGAGCTTGCACAGCTGGGGAGTGGCTGAGCCAGGATTTGAAGCAAGGCTGTGTGCTTCTGGCCAACTCACCCTTCTACCCCTTGCTGAAGGGAATGAGTGATGTCATCTGCACTGTGGAGGTGTTGAGGGGATGTGACTGAATTGGGCACTGAGGACCACAAGGAAGCAAGGAGGCAAGCAGTATAATTTAAAGTGACCGGCGGTGGGGTGAATAGAAGCCTGATTGCAGTGAGCAGGGGTGGAGGAAGTGGGAGAAGGAAATGAAGATCGATATGGTAAATTCTGCAGTAATTTACTGCATTGTCAAGCGAGGCTTTCTTTAGGAAGCGAAGATTGTGTCAGGGTGCAGGTCAAGGGGCAGAAGCCACATGGAGAGAAGGTCAGTGTTTGAAGGAGAAGTTGACTGATACAGTGAAGGGCGAGGGACTTCAGCCCGGATGAGGGGCTGCCCAGATGGAGGAATTAACCTTGGCAGGAAGAAAGAGAGAGAAGTGAACGCATACCAAGCACAGACTGGTGCCCCCAGTACCAGTCTTGGCACTCCTCCATTCTTTATCTCATTTATTTATTTATCTGAAATATAAATGATCTCATTTGACAGATAAGGAAATTTGGAATCAGAAAAGGTGCCTGGCCTCCCAAATCCACACAGCCAGAAGGTGACCAGGCAGGAGGCAGACCCATGCCTGTTGACTCCAAAGCCTGTGTGATTTCTTCCTTGACGTGCTGCCATTTACTGCTGGGGAAGTGGGAAGCAGGGGGAGGGGGAATGACCCAAGGATGTGGGAGGTGGAAGGGACAGGGAAGCTAGGAATTTCATCATTTGCTGAGAGAGACAGGGAAGGGGGTAAGAGAGAGGGTCTTCAATAGCTGGGGTGGGGAACTCAGCAGGGAGCGGGGTGGGGCAGGCTCCCTGGAGGGAGCGGGGTGGGGCATGAGGGAGGGGGGTGGGGCAGGCAGTGCCCAAGGCCCAGCTGACCAGGGGCTCATGGGGCCCAGTTTCTGCCTAACAAAAGGGCTCAGAGCCCCAGCCAGGAACTGGGGGCCTCAGACTCAGAGGTACAGGGGAGGAGCCGGGACATTGCCTCCATTAGGAATTACGGAGTCTCACTTGTCCCTTCTCCTATTTTGGCCAGGGTGTTTCTGTGTGTGTTTGTGAGTTTAAGTGTGTGACTGTGTGAGTATATGTAAAGTGGGAATATGTGTGAGTGTATATATCAGTGTGTGTTACTTTATGTGTGAGAGAATGTATTATGTGTTGTGTGTGAGTATATGTAATTGGTGTGTACGTGTGTGTGATTGGGAGTACATGTAAGTGTGTGTGACTTTGGATCTGTGTGAGTGTATGTGTGACTGTGTTATACATGTGAGATGTGTGTGAATATGTGTGAGAGTGTACATGTGTCTGTGAGTGTCCGTGAGTGTGCCTGGGTGGTTGTGTGTGTGTGGGTGTGACAGTGTGAGTATATGTAAGGGGGTGTGTGAGTGCATGCACTTGGCAAATGGGAAAAGAGAAGCTTCCCTGGGCCAGCAGCTGGAATGCAAATGCATCCCTCTGAAATAAATCAACTGTTTGCACCATGGGCCACAGAGTCAGGCTGGCCTTGAGCATTTAACAGGCTTCCAGAGGCTCTCAGGCTCTGCTCCCCATGACCTGGTGCTCAGGGTCACCCCTTAGCATGGCCCCAGCCCCCTGAGCACAAAGACATCTCCGTGCAGGACTGAAGGGACACCTTTAGGTGGGAACTAACTCTCATAGAATACATAGATGCCTGCCAATCACAGTTGGGACTCTTCAGTGGGGTCTCCTGGCCCAAAGTGTACCTGTTTGCTGCATGTCTGAGTCTGCATAGGAAATCCTGGTGCTCAAAGAGTTATAACCTCATTTTTTTTTTTTTGGTTAATGAAGTACAAGTGGCAGGGGTTGAATTAGAGAGAGAGAGAGGCACGGGGTGTAAACAAGAGTTTTCTTGTTTACCTATATAAGGGATGTACTTCACTCATTCATCTATTCATTCATTCACTCTACAGACTTTATTGAACCCATGTAACGGGCCAGGGACTATGCTAGATGCTGGGAATAAAGCAGGGAACATTCAGAAGCCATCCCTGCTTCATGGTATGAGGCTCAGGAAAGGCACACACACTCTCCTCTCCACATTTGTGTGTAGGAGAGGAGAGGTGCGCTTGGACCTCATAACAAAAGGCTCTAACTTAGCCCTGGGGGTTGGTGGGGGAGCAGTGATGTAGGTGACAAGGGCTTTCAAAGAAGAAGCACTTTTTGGGAGTGAGAACCACCTTTGTGCTCTCCAATGTGCCCCTGCCCGTGTAAGACACCCTGCCTTTGGGAGGCCATACCCACAGGGAAAAAGACCTGATGCCCCTGCCCCCTTACCTCTCAGGAGCAGAGCTGCAATGAGCCTCCATCTCAGGATGAGGCAACAGGCCAACACCAACCCAGGACCCCAGTCTCACCTCTTCTAACTCCAGCCCACAGGCAGTGACCTTTGACTCATTCATGCCCCTGGGATTTGAGGATTCCAATTGTGTTATGCCACCTCCTTGCACTGATCCACCCACTCTGTGGCTGGATTCAAAGCTGAGTCTAACTTGCTTTCACAGATCCCAAGATGAACTTTCCATCACCTATTCACTAAGGTTTTGAAAGCCACCAATATTGAGTCTACGGCCACGCCACCCTGAACACACCCGATCTCATCCAAAAGCCACCAATCTTGAGATCTTAGTATGTAATGACACTGTGTTAAACCCCTTATATACATTATTCATTCATTAATTCGACTGATTTTTATAAAGCACCGACTATGTGCTAGGCAGGGTTCTAGATGCTGAGAATACAGTAGTGAACAAAGCACACAATATTTTTACCCTAATTTAGTGAGGAGACCCATGATACAAAAAGGAGACAATGAACATATAACATAGTATCAGATAGTGATAAGTGACATTTGTCTCATTTAATACATACTCCATCTTTAAAAAGTAGGTGGTTTTATACCCATTTTATAGAAATAGAAACTGAGACTTGAGGCTCTTCACTATCACATAGTCAAGCCATTGTCAAAGAATAAAATGTTGCTTTCATTTACTCTTCTCTCCTCTCTCTTTTCTTCCTACCATCCCTGCTTTAGAAAAGGTAGGAGGGGAATGCTAAGAGTACAGAATCTGAGGGCTGGAGGGGCAATGCCCTGAAGCCACCCTGGCCATTCTCCTGTCCCGGGGTGGGGCTGCCCTCACACTTAGACAGAAACCATCTCTTCTCATTCTTAATGAGAATGTCATGCAGAACCCAATCAATAAGAGGTTCTCTGACACTAGAACGTCTTTTGTTTTTTCTCCCCACCTCTTGTGCTGACAAATGCATTAATGTAAAAACAGAAAAGAAAACCAAGCAATTTGTCACAGTGATATCTTCCCTCCTGGCCTTCATAATGAATTGCAGTGGTTAATCAATCACTCCCTTAACTCTTCTGTGGAGGCTTCCTTTTTAATGGGCCCCCAGACTGGATCCTTGAATTTGCTGTTTCCACAGACTGTGCACACGCATTATGTGTGGACTCAAGTGCTCCATAAGGGAAGAAAAATTACATTTCTAAGTGTATGTTTTGGGCACTATGCTGATTCCTTTGGATGCATTATCTCATCTTCTCCCAATCATCCTTCATGGGTGATCTTACAGGGCTGAAGAAAGATGACGTTTGTAGGCTGAGGTGACACAGCTTGTCAGAAGCAGAGTTGCAATGTGAACCTAAGTTTATATTTCCAAAGCTTCAACATGAATCATCTGCATCCTAGTTAATATGATAACCCTGGTTCCTATCAATTCAATTCATGTCCTTACCAGATGTTTACAAGCTTGTTCTCAAGGGCATAAAAATGCTTTGATGTTCTCTAAATCCCCTAACCTTAATTCCTATCATGTGGCTTTGTCCTTAGGATGGGAGCATAACAACTCATCTTATCTTGCAAGTCATTTAAAACACAGACTTCATAAGCTCACAGAGGTCCTCAAGCTCACCTGAGTCCTCATGCTGCAAAGCCTCACACATTCTCCTGAACAGGAGGTGGCAAGAAAATGTTAAAGACTTTTAAAAATTCAACCATATCACATAAATTAATTTATCAAGATGCTGCTGCTATTGGCTTACGATATTGATCAGTGCTATAGAAGCTAGCAAGTGCTTTAAAAAAATTGATGAAAATTTATGTTCAGCACTTTCATTACTCGTCCTCAATAACACAGTTGCCAAAGTGATTTGAAGAAGACTCAGGAATTGAGTATATTCATGTTCAATTAGGTTAAATATTTCCCTTGTATTCACTACCCATTTGCACAGCAATCCAATCCAAAGGAACCAAAATGAACTGTCGCACATACCCAATTAATGTTGTTTTAATTCCGAGACAAATAGGATCACAGTGAATTTCAACAAACTGTCCAAATTCTTTTATGTGAGTGTGCTAGGATGACTGGTGTGTGGAATTAGTTGGCTGTGGGCTGGAGCTTAGCAATTGTTTATCAGGCAAAAGTTCTGGTTATCATAGTGCTTGCTGTTACAGGATGGGACCTGGGTGTCACATTTTCTGTACTTATGAAGAACCAGAGCAACACCAATAGGTGCCGGCTATAGACAGAACATGGGCTAACTTGGAACCTGTGTTTTTAAAATGTCCATCTCTACTACGTCTAAAAATCGGCAAAAACAACATCATCTTATTTTTGCATGACCCATCCATGCCTAGGAGCTCATGCTTGTTTCCACAAAATTGATTGTCAGGATATTGTAGAAGGAATTAAAATCATAGAGAAAGAACTGGACTCCTCGATCTTTGAGGTTCCTTGCAGCTCTAAAACTCTGGGATGGCCTAAGATCTCAGTGGTTTGCCTGGATAGGAAGACATGACCAAGTTACTGACATAAGTACAGGATTACCTATAATGATGTATCCATTCAGCAATTACATACTATTTACTGGGTTAGGCACTGAAGAAACAGAGATGAAATAACTTAGCTGATCCATGCCTCCTGGAGCTCTCTATCCAGTGAAAGAGATTATTGTGATACCTCCAGGAGAGTGTCTTATCATTGCCTACTTTCCTTTCTGTATTGCCTGCTAGAATATAAGCCGCCTGAGAGAAAAGATTATATTCTAATCCCCAATCTATCCCCAAAACTCAGCATAGAGCTTGGCACCTAAAATACGTTTAAACAATGTCAACTGGATGAATACATTATTGGATGAATGACATTGTGGAGATATGATTAGAATACTGCAGGAATTTAGAGGAAAAGATTGCAAATGGAAAGGAGTTCATGGAAGACACACTTCAAGTCAGTAAATGCTATGTGAGAGTTACTACATGCCAGGCACTGAGGTATTTAGACACAACAGCAAGCATGCCATAGCTTCTCCTCTTGAGGGGCTTTTGGTTCACTTGAGTGATAGACACAAGTGACCAGACAATTGCAATGCAGCATAGCATATGGGGCATGTGAGTCAGAGCATTATGCCTAGGAAACTCACAGGAGGCTTACTTAGCCCAGTGATATGGTTTGGCTCTGTGTTCCCACCCAAATCTCATGTCGAATTATAATTCCCAGTGTTGGAGGAGGGGACTGGTGGGAGGTGATTGAATCATGGGGACGGACTTCACCCTTGGTGTTCTTATGATAGAGTTTTCATGAGATCCGGTTGTTAGAAAGTGTGTAGCACCTGCCCTTTCTCTCTCTCCTTCTCTGGCCATGTGCATATATGTGCCTGCTTCCCTTTCCATCATGATTGTAAGTTTCCTGAGGCCTCCCCAGAAACAGACGCCTCTACAGCCTGCAGGACCGTGAGCTGATTAAACCTCTTTTCTTTATAAATTATCCAGTTTTAGGTATTTCTTTATAGCAGGGTGAGAATGGAATAATACACCCAGTATTGAGGGATTCAGAGTGATGTCCTTTCCTGAGGGACAGAACATAAGGGCCTTGAAAATCCAAGGCACATGCTTGGTGGCAGCATGGTGTCTGTATGGAAAAGTAGTAGAGAATCAGGCTGTGAAGACAGGCTTGGGGTTATTAGAAGAAGGGCTTGTATGTCAGGCCAATGAGTTGGAGTGTCATCACTAGGTGATGGGGAGCACTTGATGATTGTTGAGTGAGAGTGTCATCACATGAGCACTGTAGTGGGAGAGAATGACTGGGATGCTATTGCCTGGAGAAAATATATTAAGTGCCTGGTCCTGTGTGATTTCAAATTATAACACCACCTACATTTATGGAGCACTTCCACAAAATCACAGAACCATAGACTCATGTGCTTGGAAGAAACCTCTGGTCCGGTATGCTGTTTAAGGCCTGCAGCTGTTGCTTTATTCTCCTTGACAGACTCCTATGCAAGGGTTTGTTTCCCTTCTGTTTGTGCATTACCAATAAGAGAGAATGCATTCCCCCAGAAGCTCATTTCATTCTCAACCACCCTGAATGCTAGAAAGTTCTTTCTTATATTGAATCAGAATCTGTGTTCCATAATATGGACATAATTTTCTCCAGAACAAGTCCCCTAGCTGACAAATGAGACAGATAACTATCCCTCGGGGAAATGGATGTGGGGTCTTGCGATGGTCAATTTTATGTGTCAGCTTGACAGGGTCATGGGGTGCCCTGACATTTGGTCACACATTATTCTGGGTGTGTCTGTGAGGGTGTTTCTGGATGAGATTAACATTGGAATCTGCAGACTGAGCAAAGCAGATGCCTCCCTCTAACGTGGGTGGCCCTCATCCAATCAGTTGAGGGCCTGAATGGAACAAAAAGGCTGATCCTCCCATGAGGAGGAGGGAATCCTCCTGCCCAGCTGCCTCGAACTCAGACATTGGCCTTCTCCTGCCTTCAGACTCAGACTGAAACACATTCTCTTCTCGGGTTTGGAGCCTGCCACCTTTTTTTTTTTTTTTTTTTTTTTGAGACAGGGTCTCCCTCAGTCATCCAAGCTGAAGCGCAGTGGCATAATCACAGCTCACTGCAACCTTGACCTCCTGGGCTCGAGTGATCCTCCCATCTCAGCATCCTGAGTAGCTGAGACCACACTCAGCTAATTTTTTTGTATTTTTGTTGAGATGGGATTTTGCCATGTTGTCCCAGCTGGTCTCAAATTCCTAGGGTCAAGTGATCCTCCTGCCTCAGCCTCCCAAAGTGCTGGGATTACAGGCATGAACCACCACACCCGGCCGCCTGCCACCTTTTGAACCAGAACTTGCACCACCAGATGTCCTGGTTCTCAGGCCCTGGACTCAGACTGGAACTACACCATCAAAGCTCTTGAGTCTCCATCTTACTTACTACAGATCTTGGGACTTCTCAGCCTCCATAACTACATCAATGAATTCTTTATAATATATATACAGCTCTCCTATTCATTCTGTTTCTCTGGAGAACGCTGGCCAATACAGTTCTTTTCCCTCCCTCCTGGCCACTTTCCTTCAACCCTCCCAGATTTGGCAGTGACCCTTGTAGAGTGTGGTATCAAAACTGGAAGATGTTTCTCCAAGTTCTCTGATCCTTCCAGGGATGGTAGATGACCTCTTTTCTTGTTTTGAACTATGTCTTATTAAATGCAGCCACAGTTAAGACCTCAAACAACACTTCAAGATTGGTCTTTAATCCTTGTTTTCCAATGTGGAAACTCAGAGAGGGGCAGGAATTTGCTCCAGGTGACACAACCAGGAAATGACATAAGTGGAAATCTAATTGTCATGATTTTAAGGCTGTGCTCTTCTACTGGGTTTTATACTGTAATTTGTGCTAACTGCATAATGAGCACTTTAAAATACTAGGTACTTTAAATAAGTCATCCTACTTGATTCCTAAAGGAATCTTGCAAGATAGGTTTTGGTTCTGTTCCTATTCCAGTCACATTCCTCCAACCTATCAAGGATTGGCAATGACCCTTATATTATCACCATTCTATAGAACACAGAATCAGGGGTGAACAGTGGGTAAATGTCAGACTGCATCAGTAAATATCAGAACACTGGGCTATCTGTTTGTAGACCACACACACACTACACTGCATGTTCCACCATATGAATGTCTTCAGAAGCCCAGTCACAATGTCCACTCGTTAAATGTGTGAACAGTGCTACCTCTCAGCTGCATTCTCCTCACCTACACCTGTTCAGCTACGTTTTCAAACCTGGCTGTAGGACTTCAGTTTTTTGTTTTTGTTTTTGTTTTTTTCTTAATCATGACATTGAACACATCAGACCTGGACCAGCTTTTACAGTTTTGGCATTAAGACACTTGCCATTCAGAATTAGGAGGACAGCAGCAAAACACTAGCACGTGAGAGCCGAGAAGTGTTAGCTTCATCCCTTTGTGTTTCCTCTGCCCCTTGGTGAGGGGAAGGAACGAGTTTCTTGACGACTGAGCAAAATTGTATCTATCACTGAGGACCAGAAAAACACAACTTTTATTTTTATTCTTGACGATGAAGGTAATGCCTTATGTGGCCCATTCTCTTTAGGGTCTCTCAACATCACTTCATCCTCATGCAGATCACCAATACTGGTGACCTCAACTCTCTCCTAGACCATATGCTCCTAAGCAGGCAACGTCCATGGGAGAAATGCACATTGTACTGGGCCGTATCATTCTGTTAGGACTTGTGCAGGCAGGTGTAACAGAAGATGGGAAGTTTCCTCTTCTCCATTCACTCCAGCATCTAATTTACATTTGCACAAATATAATATCACATGAATACAATGGTTGTGTTGTTGGGGGTGATCAAGGCTTGGAATCTGCCCACAACCATGCCCAATGGTTCTGTGATGTTGAGAATTCACTTCCATTCTGTGGACCTCATTTTCTCCATTAAAAACAACATCAACAACAAACTCTTCAAAGTGACTGAACTTGAGAATGAGTATGCTCTCTTTAAATTTTCATACTCCACAGTGCTATAATAGAATTTTTAGGCATATTCTAAGTCCATTAAGAATTATACAGGGCATCACATACATTCTTAAAGAGACTTGGTGGTTGTATGTGAGATTCAAATTTTCTAGTCATCAGGCTTGGGAAGAGAAATATCCTAATTTCACAATATCCCCCAAGAACAGAGCTGCCGACATATATAATTATGCAGACTCCACCAGTGATTCCCTGATGTTGTTTCTCACTAATTTTCTCACAGACGTGAAGACAGAAGAGAGGTTCTTGTGCATACGTTTGAACAGGGAAAAGGTAAATACCCAAGCTGCTTACATTTAGAGACACTCTTCTTTTGAACTCACCTAAATTTAATTTCCAAATCTCGACATTACAGATTGAAATCAAATGCCCGGAGGTTCCAAGGAAGAGTAAAAATAGAAGCCAGAGTGGCAGAGGGAACCATTATGCAGTGTGTGGCCCTCATTCACGATGCTTACAGTAGCTGATTTATTAGAAGACAGAAAAGAAAATTGATTTATAAATGGTCTTGGGAAGGTAAAGACTCCTGCCCACATTTTTAAATTAATGTTTAATTATATATGAAATCCTTAATTACACATGTAATCCTTAATTATGCAAGCAATATACGAATAAATTTCCCTTTACCAAAAAAAAAAAAACACTAGAGATAAAGCTGAAGTCACCTCTGAACAATCCCACCCTGAGTTCTTACTTGATGCATATCCTTTAATGTCATCTTCCTTGCTCTTGTATAATTTTAGATACAGATATATAGAGCCATAAAATCATACTGTGTTGTTTGATAGTATATTTATTGTTATTGACTGTTTTTTTTTTTTTGAGACTAAGTCTCACTCTGTTGCCCAAGCTGGAGTGCAGTGGCATGACCTCGGCTCACTGCAACATCCACCTCCCAGGTTCAAGCGATTCTCCTCCCTCAGCCTCTCAAGTAGCTGGGACTATAGGTGCCCACCACCACGCTTGGATAATTTTTCTATTTTTAGTAGAGACAGGGTTTCACTATGTTGGCCAGGCTGGTCTTGAACTCCTGACCTCCTGATCCACCTGCCTTGGCCTCCCGAAGTGCTGGGATTACAGGCATGAGCCACTGCACCTGGCCTGTTATTAACTTTTTAATTGCATATGTAATATCATTTTACAAGTTTTTTTTTAACTTAATGGAAGGACTTGAGTTTCTAGCCATATTCCTACATATGTTCATGTTGCTTCTAGTTTCTAACTGTAAACATGACTGCAAAGAACATTTCTGTACTTGCCTCTTTTTGCATGTGGGCCATAGTGAGTTGTTCTCTAAAAGAAGCTACATGATCTTATAGTCCCACCACTTTCCATTTCAGTGCTAACACTTTATATTTCCAAACTCTTTCAGTTTTGCCACTCTCTGGGTAACAGATGGCATCTCATTGTTTTGATTTGTATTTCTTTACTTACAAGAGAGTTGAGTATATATCATGTATATTTTTCTGTTATTTGTCAAACATATTATATAATCATTTTTCTATAAGGTTGCTTTTTCTCATTGATTTTTGAGAATAGTAACCTTTCCCCCAGTATTTGTTGAAAATGTTTTCTCACAGGTTGAAGGCATACCTCCTTTCCCCTTACAATTTTGGAATTTCCTAAGAATAGGGTTATTCTTTTATGTAACCACAACACTGATATTCAATTCAGGATATTTAACATTGATGTTATAATTTCACCTATCATCCATATTCCAATTATTTCTTTGTCCCAATAATATTCTTAATGTTTTATATCCCTAATAATAGCACTCTTCTTCTCCAGTGCAGGATCCAGGACAGAATTATATATTGCATTTACTTATCACTTATCTTTAGTCTCCTGTAATCTCAGTTCTATAACCTTCTGTTGTATTGCATGCCATTGACATTTTTGAAAAGCTGAAGTCAGTTATTTTATAATATATTCCTTTAGCTGGTTTTGTCTGATGTTTTCTCATAATTAGATACAGGTCTTTTACCCCCAGATGGTACTACAAAAGTGATCATTTGTTTTACTCAGGATGTCACATCTGGAGGTCCACAATGTCCATCTGCTCTTGTTGGTGATACTAATTCTGACCACTTGATAAAGGTGTAACTGAACAGCAGTTATGATTTCTCTTGATCCTCACAATTACCCCCTAAATTTAGCATTCATTGATGATTCTTGCCTAAGGATTGGTTACAAAATGATGATTTTCCACCATTTCTTCCACATTTATTAGTCAACTTTTACTGTAAGGAAGAGCCCTCCCTCTCCCCTACCTGACATTCATGTATTCTTTCATTCCGTTATTATGTATCTATCATCTGTCTATCTACTTATCTACTATTAGAATGAACTCATGGATTCCTTATTTTTTTATAACTTATTATGAGTTGTAATATATTACTGTCTCTATTAGTCTGCTGTAACAAATTATCACAGACTTGATGGCTTAAAACGAAACACATTTATTCTCTTACAGTTCTGGAGATTAGAAGTCCAAAACCAGTTACATTAAGCTGAAATCAAGATGCCCTCCTTCTGGAGGCTCTAGGGGAGAACCAGCTCCCTTCTCTCTTCCAGGTTCTAGGGCTGCATTCCTTGCATTTCTTCGCTACTGTCCACTTCCTGCATCTGCAAAGCCAGCAGCACAGGCTCTGGCTTCAGCGGTCACATCACCTTCTTCTAGGTCGACAAATCTCCCTCGGCCTCATTCTTGTAAGAACACTTGTGATTACATTTAGGGCCCACCAGCTAATCCAGGATAATCTCCACAGCTCACAATCCTTAATTTAATCACATCTTATGAATCCCTTAACATTCACAGGCTCAGAGATTAGGAACTGGATATCTTTGGAGGTCATTCTTCCACCAGGAAGGTGGTATCAGTAAGAGTTCAGAGTAACAGAATCACTAGGATATAAGTATATCATTCAGGCCTGGCACAGTGGCTCAAGCCTGTAATCCCAGCACATTGGGAGGCTACGGTGGGTGGATCATGATGTCAAGAGATTGAGACCATCCTGGCCAACATAGTGAAACCCCATCTCTACCAAAAATACAAAAATTAGCTGGGCGTGGTGGCACGCACCTGTAGTCCCAGCTACTCTGAAGGCTGAGGCAGGAGAATCGCTTGAATTAGGGAGGCAGAGGTTGCAGTGAATGGAGATCACACCACTACATTCCAGCCTGGCAACTGAGTGAGACTCCGTCTCAAAAAAAATAAATAAATAAATAAATAAATAAATAAAAGCATGTAATAGATTAGATAGATAGATAGATAGATAGATAGATAGATAGATAGATAGATAGATAGATTTGCTAAAGGGTATTGGCTTACATGACTGGGGAGTGTATTAATTAGCTTGGGCTGCCATCACAAAATACCACAGACTGAATGGTTTAAATAACAGACATTTATTTCTCACAGTTCTGGAGGCTGGAAATCCTTGATCAAGGTGCTGGCAAATTTGGGTTTTGGTGAGGGCCTTCATGTGGCTTGTAAATGGCTGCCTTATTGCTGTGTCCTCACGTGGCCTTTCCTCTGTGTGTGCATGGAGAGAGAGAGAGAGAGAGAAAGAGAGAAAGAGAGAGAGAGAGAAAATCAATCTCTGGTGTCTTTTCTTATAAGTACTGGAAATCTATCAGACTAGGGCTCCATACTTATAACCTTACTTACTTTCTTAAAGGCCCTATCTCCAAATATAGCCACATTGGGGGTTAGGGCTTCAATATGTGAAGTCCATAACAGGGAGCTAGTTAAGTAGTGTCTCTAAGGTTGTTTTTTCCACATCTGATGCCCAAGTGAGAAGCTCACAGGGTAAGCAGTCAGAAAGGGAAGGTATGAGGAGGCCGGAGTCCACGAACATTAGCTGGAACCCACCAGGACAAACTAGAATGGTCTCTTACCTCGAGGGTATGGGTTACTGCAGAAACTGGGGCCCATGGTCATGGAGATACTCACACCTAGCCCAGGAGCTGGAGAAGCTGAAAGAGGGTCCAGGGGAAGGCAGAGCAATTGCACACCTAGCTGCCACATCACACCTGTGCATGAATCTGCAGCTCATCAACAAGTGTGCAGATAACAAAGTGCTTGCTGCTTCCTTTGTGCCCTCCAAGTCTCTCAAGAATCTCCATTGTGACCGCCACAGCTAGTAATATGTAAGAAAGCCAACTCTAGGAAATGTAGTGTAGCCTCACCAAGTTGATAGCTTACAACGTCACCATAGAGGACCAAACTTCCAAGAGTCTTTACATCATCAGAAGAGGTCTTTCTGGACTTTCTCATCAAGAAGACCAACTCTCTGACAGCATTCATTTGATTGGTCTACTAAGGTTGGTTACTAACATCATAACCCTAAATTTCACTGTTTGGAAAACTTTCTAAGGTAATGGAATCACCTAGAATGGTAATATAAAAAGAACATAGACTTAGGCAAAATAGGAAGTCTTTGAGACTTTCCTCCAGGCTGCGTCTGACAACCACTCACAAGCCCTCTCTCCTAATCCCATTTTTCTTCATTCTGAACTACTTCCCTTCTCCTTACCATCAATCTTCTTTCTTCATTTTTTTATTCTGCCTAGGCTCCATGATCTGTCACTCTGACATCCCTCTTCCCGATACCCACACTTCCTTGTCTTTTTGTGTTTTTCCCTTTAGTAAGATGCACATAGATTGAAAGAACCAGATTGTTATTTGACTAGTAATGAAAATAGCAGTCTTCTGCCCACTTACCGCACAATTCCCCACTCCTCAGATAAGCAACCAGTTTTCATTCTGTTAGCTCATTCTTTCGGTACTTATCCCTGTGTCTTTATAGAATACACTTATTTGCTCTCAATTTTTTCATCTTAGGCTTGTCTATGGACATCCCACTACGGAAAATGAGAATTTAACTCTCTTTCATTTTCATTCTCTCTCCTAATCTCCCGCCCCATGCAAGTGTTCCTTCTGGCTCTCCACTCTCTAATTTAGTTTTATGGTAATTTAGCTTAGTTCAACATTTAGTGTTTACATAATTATGAGAATGTAAGTGCTATTCAGACTGAGTCTTTCCTGCAAAATATGCTTGAAATTCATCCTTAACTTTTCTCCCTAACTTTGTTTTTCTGTATTCCTCACTAAAGCAATTCTAAATGTTTCAAAATTTCAATACATTTAGATACTTCAGGTCTATCCATTGAAACTCCTTGGAAAAAAAAATCTCTGTGATAATCTGGACTCTGGGCTGATTGTCCTCCTCACCTGGGGCATAGCTATTGCCCTGGGATCACACCTCACCAGCATCCTAGGAATCCCTTCGTTTCTCTCGTATAGTACAAGCCCCTGAATACCAGGCCTTCCTACCTCTTGGCATCCTCCTCTCTCCTATTCTCACTTCATGGCTGCAATATCTTCCCTTCTTCTCTGAAGATCTTAATGCTAGATAATGTTAGTTTTTTTTTCTCTTGCAGATCTTGTCTCCTTCAGTTTCCTTGCATTCTTCCTCTGCTGTGTTTCTTTTAGTCCCTATATTTTATGTTGGCATGTTTCCTCATATATCTGGTATCTCATGGTTGCCTGTTCATATTTAAAAGTGGGGGCAATAAGCTGACCGATGCTCTAAGCACTTTGCTGGGATGAGTTTCACCTTATAACAGTCCAGCTGGTTTACTCCACTGGACAGCCCCATTGCCAGCACCTTTATGCCGTTCCTCCCAGCTGGTCTTCTAACTCCCAGCTAGAGGCTAAAGGCCAGGCTGCTAGCATTTGTGAGCCCAGGAATTGAAGTCTGAGAGTTTCTGCCTTACTTGATCTTGCTACTTCCAGTCTGGTCCTCTCACTCTCAGCTCTGCTAGTCTCACCACAGTCCAAATGCCTTCCTTTTACTCTCTTCAGAAAATGAACCTCCAGTCTTCTGCTGGAGCAATCAAAGGCTAAGTCAGTTAGCCCCTTTACATTGGCTTTTCAGCTCTCAGGATTTTGTCACTGATGTCTTTTGTGCATGCGGGTTTGGGCTTTTTAAAAAGTCCTTTTAAACTCCCCCCACCCCGACACACACACACAAATGAGCAAAAGTAAATGTGTGTGTTCAAGATGTCTTCTTTACCTGGCATTCCCTGGCTTTCTGTCACATGTGCCATCAAAACACCAACCCTGAATCTGTTCCCCGGATCCCTGCTGTCCTTTACTCCTTGAGAACATTGTATAATCACATGGAATTGTGCCCCTGCAAGTATGTAGTCATAAGCCTCAACTGAGACTCAAAATTGCCCAGGAATCCTTATTTGTCTTCCTTAAGAGCTCTGATTCCAATTCCATACCCACCCCTGAGTTTCTCTCAGACCCTCCTGTCTTCCTCCAACTTCACTTTCAGCAGGATGCATCACCCCTGACTTGAGAGGAAGGAGTCACCAGCCAGGTGTGCCATCAGCCTTCGTGGCACTACCACTTTCCAGGTCAACTGCCTCCATGCCCATCCTTGTCACAATGAAGAACTTTCTCTCCCCTGAGTGGGTCCAACCCTGCACATCTGCTCCAGGTCCTATCCTCTGGATCTGCCCCTCCTGAATACCACTGTCTTTCATAATCTTAGCCTCTGCCTCTCTACCGACTCCTTGCCATCAATTATGTAGCTGGGATCCCTTCAATGTCTGGCCCTTGCCCACTTATCCTGGGTCATCTCATACCTCTCCTTGCCCATCATGCTCCAACCACTTGACCCCTATCCAGTTCCCTAAACACACATCTCTTCTCTTCATTTGGGACCTTGGCATATGTGGATCATTTTCGCTGGACTATCCTCTTTTCCTCTACCCACCAGATCACACCTGTCCTTCGGGACCTAGCTAAAATGACCCCTAGCTAAAATTAAGAAGCTCTCCTCACCACCTGAAAGCTCAATATGGGCCACTCATGTGAGATCCCTCATTACCCCCCTTCCACTCTCATGAACCACTTCTCACGCTGCTGAAATGGACTGTTTTCTCATCTGTCTCTCCTGCTTGACTGTAAGCTCCCTGGAGGTAGGGACTGCATTCACCAACTCCCCAGCACCCATCGCTGTCCCTAGGAATATGGTAACTGTTGACTTCCTGTTGAACTCCCTTTCTCATTCTCTGGGAAGAATCAAACCTTGTGGGGAATGGCAAGTGAAGGAGAAAGCAATCCAAACAGCAGGCTACTATGTTTATCCACTAGAATGACTCCACCGTCCCTCCATTCAACTTTCTCTCCACACAGTGATGGCAACAACTAGAACAGGAAAGGCAACGTGGAGGGGAAGCTCTTGATTTATTCGGGTACCCCAAATTCCTCATCTGTATTATCCCCCCTGAGGTGAAATTAAATAGGCCACCTACTATCGCACCATTTATTACACTTAATTTCCATGTGTTCTTCCTATAAGCATGAGGAGAGAGCTCCATTGCCAGGTAATAACTAGGAGTAACATATGCCTATTTCAGCCTTTACCAAAGTCTAAACTTGACTTGATCAAACATCCAGTGTTGACTCCTACTCTTACGGTCCAGAGAGTGAAAGCTTCCTTCAGTTCTGTTGGTGTCCTCTCCAGGATCCCATACATTTCTACATTATTTCCTTACGCTAATACCTTAACCAATGTCAGTGCTATTGACTAACCTCGATTCTTTCCTTTTCTCCAGTACAACATTTTCTCATTCTGATCAATAGTGTTTACTCAAGAATAAACATTCAATAATTATTTACTGAGTGAATGGACCTCAGACCATTAACAACTCATCATTTCTAACCACCTTGGCTTTATCCATCTGGAAGGCAAGATCCGTTTCCTATTTCACATTACTGTATAGGTAAATAAGTTAGTCCAGACCAGTGGCAGGTTGTGAAATTATGAGAACAAATAAATCATCTGGGTAATAATACACACATTAAGTTATAGAATCACAGTACTTTATTTCAATCATCCCTAAGAATAACATCTACTCTCCCTGTGTCACCCTGGTCTAACAATTACCACTGCTTGTAAAAAAAAAAAAAACCAGAGTAGACATGCTGCTACTTAAGCTGCATTCTTATGCTGATATATGCTTGTATATGCTGGCTATCCCAGCTGAAAGTGAGGATATCTCCTCCTAAACATCTATTTTAAAATTAATTTTAGTCCAATTTTTCTGACTTTTATTTGTTTGGTTTTAAACTGGAAGTGTCTGTAGTTACTGCAGGGGACATATTGTCAATTGGTGCTCAGGGAAGGCTCTCTGAGCAGGTGTCTTTTGAGGATGAGAGAAGCCAGCCACCGCTGGGGACAGAACATTTGGGAAAGCAAGAACTAGTGCAAAGCCCCTCGTCGAGGCTGGCAAACAGAAAGAGGGATGGTTCAGAAAATAGAACAAAACAAACAGAAATGAATAGACTAGAATCTTCCTACTCAAAGTTAACCATTTATTATCATTCCTTTCTATATCATCCCAATCAAATTACAGCATGCCTTTCTTCTTAGCACTGTCCAGCATTTTCCTTATTGCCATAGGTTGATAAGGTGTTGGTTACTTAACGATTCCCCTGTTGTTGGATCCTCTCTTGGGTTGATTGTGGTCTCCCTGAAACTTTCTTCTCCGCCATCCTCCAAAACAGTCCCTAGGCCCCGCTCATTTCAAACATTTCATTGAGGAACAACAAGGCACAGTCAATGAGTACCTTGTGGAGAAAAACAAAGGTCCTAGCATTTTCACAAAGTCCTCTGAGTTGGCCTGAGTTATCTGGGTTCCTGAGCCTGGAGCCCACACACTCCCTCTTTTATTCTGATGCCAACACCTTCCTCCAGTGAATAGGCCTGGAAATAAATCAGGACTGAGACAAATGATCCAACTGGCATAATGTCTGAGCACCCTCTGGTCAGCCACCCTCTGCCCCAGTGTCCCAAGGCCCTTCTGGAAGAGCCTGACTTCTCAAAAAACAGAGAAGGAGCCCAGTCCTAGAGAAGGGAATGATTACTGGGTTTAAGGGGCTTTGCTTTCCAAGAATACTTTTCCTGCCTTCCTTCTTTGCTATATGCAAACCTTAGCCCTGGTGCGGTGGCTCATACACCTCATGCATGCTACCTCTCCAGCATAAAAAGGACCAGCTTGTCCAGGGGGATGCAGCCCCATGCTCTGGCTGTAACTGTGAAGGGAGGCTGGAGAGTGAGTGGGCAAAGCCCCCACCTCACACTGAGACAAATGATCCAATTGGCATAATGTCTGAGCACCCTCTGGTCAGCCACCCTCTGCCCCAGTGTCCCAAGGCCCTTCTGGAAGAGCCTGACTTCTCAAAAAACAGAGAAGGAGCCCAGTCCTAGAGAAGGGAATGATTACTGGGTTTAAGGGGCTTTGCTTTCCAAGAATACTTTTCCTGCCTTCCTTCTTTGCTATATGCAAACCTTAGCCCTGGTGCGGTGGCTCATACACCTCATGCATGCTACCTCTCCAGCATAAAAAGGACCAGCTTGTCCAGGGGGATGCAGCCCCATGCTCTGGCTGTAACTGTGAAGGGAGGCTGGAGAGTGAGTGGGCAAAGCCCCCACCTCACACTGCCTTGGAGGAAGAAAGAAGCTATTCCAACCTGGCAGCTGTTATTTACACTTCTGAATAATGTGTGAAGGCGGGAGTGTAGAAACAGTAGCAGATGACTCCAGAGAATAGGAAAACGAGGCCTTTGACAAAGAGATGTACTATTTATGTGAAACCCAATGCCTCTGCTAAGAATATATCCCCAGCACCAAATGCTTGTTCCTGATACAAGAACTACACAGATAATAAAGTTATTTCCCATCTATCTTTCTCCCAGGCTGCTGGCCCAGGTGTTTACATCTAACAGTTAGCATCTCCATTTTCCAGGGCCTGATTTCAGTGTAATGCTACAGAAGGGGCTCGCTGTTCTAGTCCTAGATCCTTGCTAACTGATTATGCTAGATTCACTTTATTGGTAAAATGAAAGGCTAAGGGGATGAAATGAAATTATTCACGTCCACTTTGACATTTTATGAATAGAAAAAATCATTTAGCTGGTCGATGGCCTGGATGGGGGTTTCCTTCTCCAGCACTTGTGCTTAGAATTGTTTATAGCAGGCACATAACATGTGTTGAATGAATAACTTTACACACCAAACCGTTCAATTTGAATTTTTATAATTATGGAAATTTATTCACACTGTCTGAGAGCAACTAACACCACACGATGTAGGGGAAGTCCGCGCGACTCAGAATAAATATCAACTCTTACTTGCAGGTGAAGAAAACTAACTAGAATAAGCAAAGGAAACAAACACAGAATTCTTTTATTTTTAAAAAAAATTCATGTGGTTGTAATGTAGGAAGGATGTGGGAACGGTGTGGGAAGGGTGTGTGGGAGCCGCCCTTGGAAATCACTGCACCTGGCAGTGGAGTGCTGCCAGGACCCATTCGCCCCACACTTTGTGCTCCACTCCAAGCCTGGCGTTCTCTCCTGCCCACTGGTGGGCTGGAGAGCAGGGAAAGGGGCAAGAGCCTACCAGCTGGAAGTTCCATATTCACATCTTAACAGAGCTACAGAAGAAAAGCAGCTTCTATTCTGCCAGGTAAAGTGTGAACAATCTCAGGGAAAGACTGCAATTGGCCCACCTTGAACCCCATGCCACCCATTGGCCCATCTGTTCAAGGAGTGAGGATATGATTGGCTCAGCTCTGTCACGTGCCTGAGTAGTGGGCGGGGCTCCGTTCTACGGAAAGTGGAGTAGCACCGTGTGTCTGTTGGGGGAATTTGTGATTCAACAGGAAGAAATTGAACAGAGTGTTGCTTGCATTTGGCCTCAATTATAAATATGCAGTGGGGACTTGTCACAAAGTGCACATTGCAGTAACTTCAATGTTTGAAGATGCTTGTTAAAGCAGATTCTGTTCAGAATGATCCTGCCTGCTTCAGGATAGGATAAGAAGAAACTAATGCCTTAGACAGATAGAATTTTTAGGGAAGCAAAAGAATTCCCCTTTAAGGGAATAGTTTTACGTGTTGTAAGAAGTTTACTAGGCCACACTATATTTTCTATGAAATAAAACAAATATATGTCTCCTGATTCCATTATGGGAAGAAAAAAAAAGGGGGTTGGGGTTGTCAGAGCTCTATGTAGATAAAGTGAAGTGTCAGGGGTAAAATAAGCAATTATTGAGATTTGGGGGTGAGGCTTCAAAAGAACTGCATGCTAATTAAAACAATTCTGTATCATTTTATGCCTATTAAATTAGTGGGAGGTTTTAAAATGATAAATGTTGGCAAGGTTTCAGTGAAGCAGGTACATTTGCGCATTGCTAGAGGGACTATGAATTGGAAAGCAATTTGACAGTATGCCTTAAAAGTGCTTGGCTTTTTTCTTTTCTTTTCTTTTTTCTTCTCCTTCTTCTCCTCCTTCTTTTTTTTTTCTTTATCCAGCAATCTCTTTTCAAGGAATTTCTCCTTAGGAGTTAAACTGAATGTAGAAATCAAGATACTCACTGAGCTCTAATTTGTCCTAAAGAATTGTGAGAATCAGGGTCACATTTTATCTTTGTGTCCCTAACACAGTCTCCATAAGGCATGGCATAGAGTCAGTGCTCTACAGTTTGTTAAAGTAATAAATGAAAATATATGTTCACAGGAGGATAATTTTAAAATTAATTATGTAAGATCATCTCAGTGGGAGACGATGGTGTTATTAAAATTAAAAACTAAGAAAGCAATATTGCAGTGTGGGAGAAGGCCTGTCTGAGGGATCCAGGGGAAGAAAAAACTAAATAAATCTAGAAGAGTATATAACATTGTTCCTATGTTCTGATTAAAAGTATGAAAAATTTGCTTATGTATCTGGACATGGAGTGGAAAGGAAACAGAAGAAAGCAAGCAATGATTAATTGAGGTGAATTCTTTATTGTACAGTTCCTCAATATTTATGCAAAAACACGTTTTAAATTAGTCTATTTGCTTGTTCAATATAAATATTGTGTTAGACTAACCCATAGGACTCATCTGGATGGCAACAGAGCCTTTGTGAGCTGCCAGAAGGAATTTCTCTGCTCATTCTGGGTCTTGGGAGACCTTAGAAACGAAATCTCCCAAAGTAATCACATCTACACTATTGTGAAATGTGTCTACATAAGAGTGTACATACAGACATGTAGAAGTGATCAATAAAATATTAAAGTTAAACATTTTCTTGTACACAGCTAGTATATATAGGACTGGCTACGTAATTTGCAGGGCCTCAGGCAAAATGAAAATTTGGGACCCCTGGCCAAAAAATTATTATGAATTTCAAGATGGCAGCAGACGATCATTAAACCAAATGTTGGGCCCTTTTGTGCGCAGGAAACTGTGTTGCTGCACAGGTCAATGCCCGTGAAGCTGGCCTGGTTATATAGACACAGGATGTGAGCAAATTATTAATAGTAAACTTCAGTTCTAGTATCAATTCTCTCTCTTGCTAGTGGTGCAACCTTGAAAAAATAAATCATTTGCCCTTTCTGTGCCACCATCTGGTCAGACTTTGATTCCCACTGCCAGTGTTTTCCTCCATCCGACTCAGTTTCCAATTCTATAAACCAGAAGCAATGCCTCCTGATTCACTGGGCTGCTGTGAGATATTGAAAGCTCTTGCTTTTTCCAACACAACTCCCACCTCAAGGGAATATTCCTTAAAATTACACATATTCAAATTCAGCCTGATGCACCCCCCAACAACTTCCCATTAAATTACTCATAAAAAAAAGATGAAAAGGAGAAAATTCACAACAGCAGGGACATTATGGATAATAACCAACCATATGCCAGAATCCAGGGGAGTGATCATGGCTGCACCATCAACAGGGCTATAGTAAGCAAGGCAGTCGTGGCTGCAGCTGACTCCTTCCAGTGAGGCCTGGGGCGATGCCCACCTGGAGCTGCAGCTATTTTAGGCATTTGATTTCTTTAGAAACAGGCTTAATTTCAGCCATGGTTTCCATCTCCTGAAGAGCTGTGAGTGCCCCACCTTCTACTACGTTTGTGGCCACTCCTCCTCCATCCCACACACCAGGGAATTACTGGGACTGATTCTTTGGAAATTCTGTAGCCCAGTTTATCTTTCCAGCCTCCTCACTATGTCTCTCATCTTTAATCACTTCCTTAATGTATTTCCCCCACTGGTCTGTCCCCCCATAGTCTCATCCTCTTATTGCTCTGGGCTGCCTCTCCCTCATCTGGTTTCCCACTGCTTTCCTTGTGCCCTTTAGAATTCTATGGCCTTTTTAAATGATTCGAAGGTGAGCCCCCTTCTCCTATCTGAGAAACCTGACTCTTTCCAAGGGGAATCTTCTCAAGTGGATGGTACCTCCCCCACTTCCTTGTTCCCCACCCTACAGGGCAGAAAGGGAAGGTCAGGCCGTACTAATCAGAATCCACTCCTCCTGTAATAAGGTCCTGGAGTGAGGTAACTTAAGAGACAGCCCACCAGCCAGCAAAATCTTCAGACATTTTATTGCCACACAGCATCCTTCAAGCCATTGCAGCAGGTGACATCCCACGCCAGACCTCACCTTCTGGTTCCCTCAAATCTATCCTATTTCTTGCCCATGTAATGCAATGATCATCCACATCCAGATTGCAGAGTTAGAAAATCTTTATTATGAGAGTTTGTAATCTCTGTTTCTAGTCCCCTGAGGTCTTCATATTCCCTTAGTGAGCTCATTATGATCAAGATTCACTCATCAGTTCACTGAAGAATCTGGCCTATTTCTAATGGTCTGGTTGCCCAGGTCAAGCCTTCAAATTCCAAGATTTCTATTTAGATAAGTAAATACAGTTCTTGCTTATTCCCTCCACCTGTTGTTCTCTTGGGGACAAGTTCATTTGACAGAACTATCTAACTCAGGTAGAATGTTTCAAGGCTATCAATGCAGTGAGGCTGCATGGCTAGCCAAAGCATCTGGTCTTACAAGCACCCGTATATTGAATGAGAGTGGGAGCAAAGTTTGAGAACAACCTGAGTGCAACCACAAAATTAATATGACCCAGAACTGACATTATTTACATTAACATGACTTTATCATTTCAGAAATTTCTTACCCAAGAAGGTAAAGTTGCAAACACTTTTATTGTGTCTAAGAAATTGCTAACAAAATTATTCATTTAAACAATAGATCACTCCTCAACTACACCTATTCTCAGGATGACAGGTAAATAAGACAATATGTCACGACAATATGTAGATTCAAGTAATGGACAAATCTGCTATCTTTCCATGCAGCTTTTTATTCATTAGGACTTTCTTGACCTCACAATCTCCCTCTACAATGCCATTCATTCATTCAACAAATATTTATTGAATGCTTTCTCTGGGTTGGATGTTACCTTAGACCCTCTTCTTGTCAACTACCAGTCTCCTATTGAAATGTCCACCTTTATTGAAAAAAAGGGCAAAATTTGGCATCCTGATGGTTTTTTTTTTGGGGGGGGGGTCTCAGTTCTTATCATCCTTACTGTCTTCAACTCCAGTGACTTTCACCTTCACTTTACCTACCCACTCCAATGGAAATGCCCTTGATTCTGCCATCCCTGGGGGCACTCCATCTCTGAGTATTCCTGTGTCGAGGTATTTTCATGTATGAGTTCTTCAGAGAAAGCACTGAGTGGGTTCTTTCTCTCTTCAGGCCTCATGGTGGCCCTTCTCCCATCTGAGAGCTGGACTGAAAGAACTTTGATTGCTGAGAACACACTTGCCATTGGGAGCAAAGACTCGGACTCTAAATCACTGCCATAGGTTGGCTTCTTTAGAAACATACACTGAGACAAAGATTTGTGCACAAGTAGTTTATTAAGAAAGTGCTCCCAGGCAGGGTAACTAACAATTCCGGTATACCTGGGACAGAGATACAGGAAGGTAGTTACAGTGATTTAGAACTTTCAGTTTTAAAACTGGGACCATCATACTCAAACTGGGATGAGTTGGTTGCCCTACTCCCAGAAGAAACTGATAAGGGGATAGAGAAAGCAGAACAGGGAATGTGCTTCCTAGCCAAGCAGAATTGCAATTGCATGTATCAAAAGGGTAGCCTCAACCTGATCCCAAAGGTAAATTCTGGAGAGTAAATTGTGGCTCAGAGTTTGCTCCTAACTAAAGTAAGAGAGCTGAGCTTCCAAACTCCCATACCCATTACACATCAGCTAGAGTCTTAGGGTTGAGGATGCTCAGAAGCAGGGAGCAGTTCCACAGCCTGAGAACAATCCTCTGAACAATTGTTGCAGGGTATTTGCAAAGGGGTAGATTGTGCACTGAGGTTGTCCACTAGAATACTAACTTTAAAGGGTATGGAATTGAAAAATTCACACAAATGAGAGGACCGCACTTTTTTCCTCCCTTTCTCACTCCCCATCCAATCAAGTTGGGATGGGAGAAAGGAAGGTTGAAGATCGGCATAGGGAGCGCCAGGGGAAACATGCTACTTTTCCAGGTGCTTCCTAGAGGAAGTGTGGGGGGCACCCGGGAGAATTTCCCTCAAAGTCTGTGGGTCTTTAGGAAGACAGCATACTTGTATCCCTTCTCTCATTTCTTCTGAAGACAGAAGATTGCAGGAGTGTCCCACATGGTCGGGGCATTGAGAAACAAGAGTACAGTGTGCCTAAGTAGAAAGGGTGACCCAGCACCACCCCCTCTCATTTCTCCATGATGTTGAAGACATTGTAAAATGATGCCAAAGTTCCCCAGGGCCCTGAGTGAAGAGCCGTGGAGGTAGAAAATGAAAAAGAATGCATGTGCTGCCCTGGAGCCTCTTGGCTAAGTAACCGGAGCTCCCCAGGAAAGGGCTGCAGTGCTACTTTGAGAGGTCGTGATCTCCTTTGTGGGCCAAATTCTCACTGATGTTCATAAAGACAACTGTACCTCATCACCCTGACAGTACATGCTTGCTTGCTTTGGAACTTGCTGAAAATGAAGATGACTTAAGTCTTTTGCATGCATTCATTTTCTCTCCAGGGGAAACGGATGGAATAAATGAGCTGAGACTAGGATATGAGCTACACTAAGGGCTCCATGTGCCTTCTCAAAAGGTAAATTATAGATATTGCAAGAAGAGATGAGTATATAAAATGTTTGTCAAAATAATATGAGAAGTCTCTCTTTGTCTTCAAATTATGCTTTCCTGCTGTTAATGTTTTTGTTAATGATAGAGATTAATCTATCCTTCATGTTTTGAGTGACATAATAAAGCTGGGATTGTACCTAATCCTTAAACCTGCCTCTAGTGACATAAATGAATTGAGATTGAATACCAGCAAGAGCTACTGTTTCTGCCCCAGGGGAACAGTACAAGAGGCCAGAACACAGCCCTGTGCTGCAGCTTTAAGCAGTCCTTCAGTTGTGTCACAATGCAGTATCGGGCTGCAAACTGGGGATCTACACAATTGTTTCTGTCCCTCTGTACATGAGACTGACGCTAAGTCCTGGGGTCCAGGACTGCTCAGATGCATGGAAAGATCCCACCTTTAATAGAGGGCTGAAAATGGGGCCAGTGGCTGCTGAATGCTGCTCTGCCATTGTCTTGAGTGGGGCGTAAAGGGATAGAAACAGCACTTGAAAACTCTGTCTTTGGTGTCTTAAAATTGCCCCCTACCTTTAGAATAAAAGAATCAAGACACAGTCTCACTATTTGGGAGGTGTTGAAGGAGATGCATACAGCTGGCAAGGCCAAGGGAAGATGCTGCGCTATCTCCTACCAGTCCACTCCAACCAGGAGCCAGGCTGGAGCTGAAAACCGCAAAGGGCAAGGTCATCATAGCTGCAAAGGTCACAGATGTCAGCCCAAACTGATACAGAAGGCAGTCATCACAACTTCTACCACCGCTCTGACCAAACAAGCCTCCCAGGTGCTGGGATCTACCAGAGGAAAGGAGAAGAGAGCCTGAGATGGAATTTTGAACTGGACTCCAGTGAGTTAATTATCCTGAACCCACTGATCAATCTCAAGAGTGGGCTGAATATTCTGAGAATGGCTGCCTGAAGATGTCTGCCAGAGGGTGGCTAGAGGGTCAGAGACAGAAATTCAGGGCTATTTTAGAAATAAACACAAGTCTACTTATTTTTGTCCATGTCTAGGCCTATTGAAATATTTTACCCCTTACATAAGATTCCCTTACTCCCACTAAACCTCACCTTTAGTCTAACCAGGACCTCTGGCATTTGACGCTTGACTGTCTCAACTTTCAGCCTCTCTTCTCATTTCCCACCCTGACCTCTAGACACTATGGTGTGCCATGAGATCTGTTTCCCTGACAATGCATTCAATTCTCATCCTCTTTCCTCCGTCATACCTGCTGAGAAAAACACAAACTTGTATCCACCCAACTTCCTGCCTCCTCCAATCCGATACCTTGGCTTCTGAGCAATGCTAGAGAAAATTGCATAACCATGCAGATTAGTAACATTTCAGATGTGTGGCCTCCAAACTCAACAAAGCCTTTCAGCATTGCCAAGAGATACTTTCTAATTTCCAAAGTCAGCTTTCATTTCCATTTTTTCTCAATAAACCCTCCTGACACCTCCTAGCTACCCCTCCATGCTAATTTTCCACCCATTCTCTTTCTCCTGACATGCATGCACACATTTATACACACAGCCACTGGGAAAGGTGTAGTCTTCAGACTAGACTCCTTGGCATGCAGTATTTTGGAAAGCTGTTTTATCTTTGGAGTTTTAGTTTTTGATAGTGTCTTTTTAGTACTTACGTACGTTTCTGGAAGGGAAGCCTAACGCTTGTTTCACTGGATAATCTCTGCCGAGCATTTGAATCCTGAATTGACAGACACAATACCAGAATGCCATTGCCTGAGCCATTTTAGAGCCCATTAGGGTGAAGACTCATGAATGCCTTCAGCCAAGAGCCCTGGGTTTTCCAGGTCCCTGCCTTTCTCAGGGCATGGCTGCTGAGTTCTTCCTTGGACTCCCTGTCATTATCCAGTTGCTTATATTAGTAAATGTCATTTTTAAGTTATCCATGGCCCATTTCTGTTACTGCTGACCAAATGAAACTTACCAAATAAAGAAGTTGCTGCTAGGAGTGGAGATTTTCAATTACAAGAATGTCAGAGAAAATGAGTTGTGATGAGGAGAGGAGAGAAGTAAGGATTTGCTCATCTTTCTGTCCTTGTCTGAAGAGTTGGCAATCTTTGCCATGCCACAGTGACATAATTAGTAAAACTGTTGCTTATCTTCTCTTGGGATTTGACTCACTAGTAATAATCCATGATTTTAGCATGTTTCAGTTAGTTACTTCTTACAGCCCTTATAGTACATGATGAGAGAGAGAAGCTCCAGTCCAAGATAGCTGTCATAAAAATTGAGAGAGAATAGAACAGGGTGCATGTAGTTTCGTTGAGCAAGGCCTAGGATGCATGTAGTTATGTTGAACAAGGCCTTTTATGGATGTCAACAGAAATCTGAGTCAGCTGAGGGTTAAATAACTGTATTCCTTACCAAGCTGCAAGAGTCAAATTTGCCACTGAATCCTCTTTATAAAGCTGAAGTGAAAGTTAAAGCTAAATGTCATGTCCTGATCAGAAAACTGGAGGTTTATGGCGATCACAAGTCAAAGAAGTCTGAGAACTCTGGGGAGCTCCCTCTGATCTCCTTATTCTTCCAAAGCACCTTTAAAAGAAAGAGAGTGGAGGAATGGGTAATCTCCAAAGACTGTGAACTTGGAAAAGAGACTCCCTGTCGTCACATTGGAATTCATTGCCAGATGTGACCTTAGGTTTTCTCCCACTGGGGAAAAGGATCTTGGTGAATAGAATCGAGCAGAGGCCTCTTTGGGTGTGTGGGAGGAAAGGATCTGTGTGTATCTGCACACATGTGAACATGCACGTGCATGCACTTGAGTTGGTCGGTCAAGGTGTGGAAGGTAGTGAACATCTATTACTTGATTCACCCACCTTCTATTGTTTTTCCAGAAGCAGGCCTCCAACTGAGGATGGCATGATTTTATTCTCCTCCATCTTTTACTTTTTTAACTTTTTAGTTGTTTTTAGAGACAGGGTGTCGCTATCACCCAGGCTAGAGGGCTAGAGTACAGGGGCATGATCACAGCTCACTGCAACCTTGAACTCCTGGGCTCAAGCGATCCTCCTGACTTAGCCTCCAGAGCAGCTAGGACTACAGGTTCATATCACCACACCCAGCCAGTAAAAAAAAAAAATGTTTTGGAGAGACAGCTCTCACTTTGTTGTCCAGGCTGGTCTCAAATTCCTGATTTCAAGCCATCCTCCTGCCTCAGCTTCCCAAAGCACTGGTTCTACAGGAGTGAGCCACTGCACCTAGCCCTCCATCTTTAATGTTTCCAAAAGAGGAGTCATGTGTATACAATAGGACCCATGATTATGCAATATGGCTACATATCTCAGGCTGTATCTGATTCACACTGAGTCAAAGTCCTTTCTAATGAATTTCAAGTTTGAATTAAGACATTTAAATATCAGCCTGGCTGCTCTCTGTGTCTGGAACTATCACCAGTGGTCAGTTCCCTTCATGTGAACTGGAAGACAAAGAAAGCCGGATTACAGCGAGAGAAAAGCATGAAGCAGCTCTGCTGAGAAGGAGGTGTAAGAAAGAGCAGCCGGATCTTCCTGCCGCTCCAGTCTGCCCATTAAGGTTGACTGCATCCTCGCCTGGGATGTATGATTCCCTCCATTTGCATGATTCCACTCAATTCTTAGTGTAATAGGGTCACCCTTTGCCTTAAGCTGGCTCAAGGTTTCTATTTCTAGCAACCAAGAGAATAGTAAATAATATTCATTATTACATGTAAAATTTACATTTTTAAACTTTATCCTGAGTATGTCACCCCTTCCCCAAGTTTTCTCTGCATTTTGAACAAACCTTTATCACAGCACTTATTACAGTGGACAGTAATTATTTTACACATATGCCACCCACTAGACTATGAATTCATTAAGAGCCAGGATGGTGTCTTACTCATCTCGATCCCCATATCTGATTGCAGAGTGAGCTGCGTAACCAAGCACATAAAAGCAGATGTGGGAGGCAGAGCCTGTTGCAGGAACGACACTTCCTGCCTTGGCAACTGCTTCATAGGGAAGCTCCTGATTCCCCTGCTCTATTCACACCAGGGAGTCATGATGTTTCCTTGTCACCTCTGCACAAGAAGTCCAGGAGATTGAGATGTGGTGAGAGGGAGCATGTTGGTGCTCTTTAGCTAAGTGATAGCCACGAATTAACCTACTGACCTGCCCGATCATCTCAAAGAGGGATACAAATGCCCTGCCTTCTAGAAGCCCTAACTAGGTTTGGAACCTCAACAGAAGCTGGGCCATGGAGTGGGCAGACCAGCACAAACTCCAGTGTCCACTTGGCCAGGCCAAGCACTGTCATAGAGCACCATGGCTCTGCCCGATCATGGCAGACGAGAGTGGGTTCCCATCATATGGATGTGGGTGTATGAGGAGCAGGGGTCATGACACGAGGCAGTTTGTCCTTAAGAGCCAGGAGCAGCCCAGCCCCCTAACTTGGATGAATCCCAGAGCAAGAACACAAATGGAGGCCACACTCTGTATGCCTAAATGTTTAAAAGTTATAAACTCAGATGACAAAGTGCTAAGCAGAGCATGTTTTAGCCTCCACCTTGACAAGTACACCTTCCAATATACCTGGAAGCCAGGCTCAGATTTGGAGTTGCTGGATTTCTTGGAGTTCTGCCCAGAAACATGGATATGACAAGGAGAGCGTGCCCACCCATCACTCCTCCCTTCCCACTCCTGGCTCTCAGATCCGAGGGTGGTCCTGGTCAAGAAGAAAGGTGGCTGTCCCCTGAAGGGGTTCTCCTTTGGGGCAGAAGGCCAGCCACTGATGGTAGCCACTAAATGGTAGCCATGAATTAACCTGTTGACCTGCCTGATCATCTCAAAGAGAGATGCAAATGGCCTGCCTTATAGAAGCCCTAACTAAGTTTGGAACCTGAGCAGAAGTCAGGCCATGGCGTGGGTAGGCCAGCATAATCTCCAATGTCCACTCGGGAAGGCCAAGAGCCTCTGTGGGACACAGAGCATAATCCATGGAAGTCAACACAGTCTGTCTGTGAGCAACCTTCAAAGCTATGCAAAATAACTTCAGGGGCCTGCCCATTGACCTTGTGTTCCCCCAGATATCCCCTTCTGGGTCTGGGTCAAGGCAGGAAGGCAAGGCAAGTTTCTCCCCAGAGGGATGGTGGAGGGGCCTCTGAGCAAGATTTCTGGGGCACATAGGTGCTCTGATCAAGTCTGTCTGTGGGGCGAAAGGTGAATCATAGACTCAGGGGCCATCTGAGAACTGTACTCACAGGGAGGCCACCAGGCCTGGGCTTGGTTAGCCACTTAGGAATTTGGAAGATGGTGCAGTGGGGAAGGCGGCAGGCATTGCTGGAGCCCACTGGTCCCAGCCTGCCTTGTCAGTCGATTCTGGATCTAGAGAGTTTGGCTTCATTCCAAGTGCCCACTCTCTCCTCCCTTCCCCTAGTGAGATTGCTAATGTCCTTCTGACCTCAGGCTGGCTTGGATGTTCCTGAGCCTGCAGGTGGGGACCTCCTGGGCTACAGATATGAGGGACTGGGTAGGAGGCTGGGGAACAAGGTACAGCAAGTGGGAAATTTCTAGGGAAATTACAAGCTCCAGGAGATCTAGAGTGGTGCTAACCAGCATCCTAGCCACCAGCCTCATGTGGCTAATTGGGCACCTGAGATGTGGCCAGGCTGAAATGAGATGTGCTGTAAGTATAACATACACACCAGAGTTTGAAGAGTGAGTAGGAAAAATAGAAGGTAACTATTCCATTAATAATGTTTATGTCAGTGACATGTTGAAACAATCATATGGTTCTATATATTTCTTTACATAAAGCACATTACCAAAATTAACTTTACCTACTTCTTTTCACTTTTTAAAATATAGCTGGTAGAAAATTAAAATTCCATATGTGACTCATATTATATTTATATTAGATAGTACCCATAGACTTTCTCTGACAGAGGTCAGAGAACATAGAAGATGAAGGAAGGAGATGAAGGAAGAAGGTGAAAGAGGAAAAGGATTTTTTTTTTTTTGGCATGAGGAACTTTGCCACGAAGCTCACATTCATTTCATCCTTACTACACTCCAGACGCTGATCAAATAACTTTCTTTTTTTTTTTTTTTGAGATGGAGTCTCACTCTGTCACCCAGGCTGGAGTACAATGGCATGGTCTTGGCTCACTGCAACCTCTGCCTCCTGGGTTCAAGCGATTCTCCTGCTCAGCCTCCTGAGTAGCTGGGATTGCAGGCACCCACCACCACGCCCGGGTAATTTTTGTATTTTTAGTCGAGATGGGGTTTTGCCATGTTGGTCAGGCTGGCCTCAAACTCCTGACCTCGTGATCTGCCTGCCTCGGCCTCCCAAAGTGCTGGGATTACAGGCGTGAGCCACCGCACCCAGCCGATCAAATAACTTTTCTATGTAATGTTTTATTTCATCTTCACAGCAGCTCTATCAGGTTTCTATTACTATTATTTCCATGTTAGTCATGTGGAAACTTAGGAAGTATAAGTAACTGGCCCAAGATCTTACAGATGGGGAACTGTAGGGCTGGGAACTGTAAGGAACCAGCGAGACCATCCTAAGTTCTTTTATCCTTTATCCTTTACCTACATGCAGCCCAAGCTAGAAGCTCTATATATGTTCTCACTGACTTTTCAAACAATCTCCGGGCAAAGGCTGCATTTTTAGAGATTTCACATTACAGTTAATATTGGCTTTTTTTTTTTTTTTTTTTTTTTTTTTTAGTAGAGAGCTTATTGTTTGTTCCTTGAGCAAAAATAAGAGGACTCATAGCAGGTTCAGTGGTTCTGGATGTCAGACCTCAACCCTAGTCTTGCAGGGACCATTCCTATCTTCCACCCCTCCATGGTACAGATGTATGATGTCAGATCCTCTGAAATTTTAGCTCAAGAGAATTGGATGGGACCTAATCAACTGAACAAACAAGGCTGCAAATTGATCCTGACATGGGAAGTCATCAAGAATCTGCAACAAAATTTCCAAGCTGTCAAAACAGTTCAATATGCATTCACTTAGAGCATGGTGGATTAAAAATTCCAATTCTCCACCAGACACCAGTGATGAGTGGAGAAAATGAATGGGCCATTATAAACCTAATCTTCTGACGCTAATTGCCACTGGAGCAGCGCAGGACACAAACACCGTTCTCTCCTGCAGCAGACTTGAGAGTGCAATTGGATTTTGATCTGGCTCTTTGTCACCAGTGGGGGCACTTCAGGACAGGACCCCTCTGTTTGGAAGATGAGTCACTATGCCTTCTTAACACAGCAAGGACCCTGTCCTGGGGCAGGGTCATGTCTTTCTGGCCTCCCTTGGCACTACACAGCAATGCTGGGTC